>NC_000006.12:106320790-107570790 GCF_000001405.40 Homo sapiens | reverse complement strand
TGCTATTACACTTAATGTGGATCTTCACCAAATGTGGATCAATCTCTCCTCTCTGCCAGGCATACCCTGTTGCAGGGCCCGTGGGTGGAAAAGCCCTACCTCCCAGACTGGTGGCTGAAAGAATGAAAGGACAGGTGAAAGGAAGTGGCTGCCCCATGGCTTGGTTTCCCATCCATAAAGCGGGGCTCGTACTTGTTACCCACACTTGGTAGAATGAGAGCGTGGCTGTAACCACCATGTAACACCAATAGTTAAAACTCAACAAAAGATTCTGAGTTGTGTGTCCTACTGACAACTTTTGAATCAAAAATACTGTATGCTTTCAAATAAACATCAAGTTTTCAGTAAAGCCAAGGAAGGTGGTGATTCAATTTTTAGGCAGTGAATATCAAGGTAAAAATTCCCTAGATTGATTGATTTAGGCTAAAAGATACAAGGAGATTAAGATAGATTCAAAGAGGTGAGTGAAAAGTACAATTCTTTTATAGCCTTCACTCTTTTTAAAAACTTATCATGAAATAAATCTCATCATGAAAGATGTTCCACCGGAAGATTTACCCACAAAGACCAGACCAATATTACTTTCCAATAAAAATGCTTGGTAAGCTACACTTTGCAGGAGACGAAGGACAATAAATGTGTAAGGGGAAGGAAAAAACACCAACTTGCTCTCACCCAGTGGTATTCCTCTGTAACTGATGAGTATTTAACCAGTCCCGTTATTCTCATTAGCATAAGTGCTAACTACCCTTACTTCTCTCTTCCTGGAAGGGCAACTGAGACCCTACACCTGCCCTTCACAATGGCTAGCATCATGGGCCCCAGTTGAGGGAGAAGGATGAGGTTCGAGCTGTGTAAAGGTAAGCATAAAACAATGTGAGAGATGGGCTGCAAAGGGGGGTGAGAATGCAGGCGGCTGCAGAACACATGGGTTTCCTTCCCAGGTGGGGCGAGGCCTGGAGCTGCATTACGCACAGGGCATTTCTCCTCCACTTATTCATGTGCTCCTGGCAATTTTGGCAGGGGCACCTCGAGTGAAAAGCACACTACTTTGCACATATGGTGGAAAGAGTCTTGTGCATCAGTTGAATGCATACTGTACTACATACACATTCTGTTTTATCTCCGGGCCCAGCCGTGCTGCAAACGCTTGCAAATTGGGAAACCTTCTGTGCAGTAAAAATACGGACAGGAGAAGCTAGACTGTGACTTATAAGATGCAACACTAGCCAAAAAAAGCCAAAGTAACGAAAAGTTGAGGCGTGTGCTTCACACTCATTGCAACAAAGGCAGCTCTGGAAGGTGGGGACTCTCAGCCAGCCTTTATTTCACCCCCCTTTATCCTGTGGTTTCAGGTCCAATGAATGGGCTTCCCTTCCACATGCACTATGCCCTCTGGGAAACCTCTGCCTGTATCCACTGGTGCTTTATTTTTCAGAACGTTTGAAATTTACATGGAAAAACAATTTCAGCAAAATTTCTCAGATTTGCCTTGGTAGGGGATAGTGATGAAATTGTTATTTTTGTCTTATCCTGAAGCCTGCAGCCTACTGTTCTGCAGTGGGATGCCACTGCCCTTAGAGAGTCACTGGCATCATTTTCACTTCCTAAGTGTTTCCAAAAGCAAAATCTGATACTGCTCAGGATTCAGAACTCCCTGTATATTTGGGATATTAAAGGGGTAAAGTGGTGGATTGTTCTGACCTTTCTTCTTTTCCCACTCTTCCTTTACCTGCCCCCCAAATAGATTTTTAAAATAACTCTTTTAAAACAACTGTTTTCCAGGTAAGAAGAGTGGTATAAAAATTCTTTCTCACTTCCAATCACGGATCTTTCTTTCTTTTTTATTAGCCTTATATACGTTAATAAAAAAGTGTGGGAGTGTAAAGATTGTGTTAATAAAGCCGGTTTTATCAGGGTCAATGCATGAAGGTTTCTCTCAGTCTGTTTCAGCCTGCTGAGAGTGATAACATCTTCTTGTTTCAAAAATGAAGAAACCAAGAGGTAGCCAGGTGATCTGACCGAAGGCACAGAATAAGAATTACAATATAGGATTATTCATAAGATACAGGGTTAGAGTACCTGAGGAAAAGGGCAGAAGGTATCCACCACAATACCCACTAGTGTCCCTATTGACTGGCAGCTCCTTCTCATTCAACACATCTCTCCCCTCCTAACCCTTTCGTCTGGGCAACATCAGAGGTAGCAGAGGAGCAGCAGGCTTAATAATGCTGATGTGTGTGTTGCTCCCAACCTAATTTATTCTGTGTGTAGAACCTGTGATCTAGTTTCCATGCTATTCAGAATCATATACTCTCACAAAAGTTTGGAGTGATGGGAGTTAGCCCCAAACTGGTGGGAAGCTTAGAGTTGCCTGAGGCATGCTTTGGCTCATTTGAGTCCGTTGTTCATCTTCAATATGGTTTTAGTTTGTCAAATTTCTAGAAACAATAAAATACATATTTTTAAAATTGTGTTTTGTAAGGACTCCACAGGCAACTTGACCGTGTTTCCCACTGTTGAGCACTAGCATTGTCCAGGTTTATTTTTCTTTGTTTTGTTTTTGTGGTGGCTCTTTTTTTTCTTAATGAGTTGAAATATATGAAAATACAATGGAGTCAATAATTGGAAATGACTCTCGCCATTTAACCCTATCTATTAACAATAGTGTGTGATCATTGTTACTGGTACAGCTGAAATTCTTAATGGAGATTTCTAAGCAGTATATAAAAACCTAAGGGAAAGACATATTACATACTTGGATAAAGTCCCAGGTTCTTAAAACGTACCTTTTAACAAGGTTACAAGGGAACCAGCCAGCTGAGTTTAAATACTGCCCCTTCTTCCACACACCCACTCTGGAGCCAGAAAAGGTGGAGCTGGGAAGATTCTCTGGGCTACTCTCAGAGTCCCTTTTCTAGCTCTCCTTGGAAACTCCCTTTGTTCCAGGTCTCCCAGGGCAAAGACACACCTTAGCATTATGGCTCACCCAGGTATAAGCAGCTGCTTTCTACACCATGTCCTTATTGGATCAAGAAATGACTTCCTCAAAGTCTGTATTCTGGGGGCATTTCAAGTACTATTATTTTATTTTGTATCATCAAAATTCCTACATGTTTTACACACAAAATTCTGGAAGTGGATTTCATTTTAATACAAAGTATATTCAATCAGGAGCCAAGTCTCTTTCTAGAGGAACTTCTTCCAGTATTCTGAATTCATTTTATCTCACAGAATACCAACTATGGAAATTATGGGAAAGACACACATGAGCTCTGGTGACTTCTCTCAAGGAATTTTCTGCCTGGTTAAGATTAGGTATATACACATTAATGGAAAATAGAGTAAATAAGTGGCAGATGCTGGTTTAAATATGTGCCCTGCTAGCCAAGGCAGTGAAATAGAGCCATCCTCATAGGCTAGAGTGGTCAGAAGGACATGGGATTTTAGCTGAGTACCATAGGTAAGATTTCAATAAGGATTTTTAATAATTTTTAAAGATATGTCCATCTTTCAATTCCACACTCAAGGAGCAGGACTGAAGAGGAAGAAAATGTGTCCGTCTTCCCAATGTGCTTCCTGCTATTTCTTTTCTACTTCTAGTCATGGTCATTTTTTCCTTCCTTCTTTACTATATAAATAAGAAATGCAGGAAAAAAGTGAGTCCTTCTAAAACAGGAAAGACTCAGCACTTTTGATCACCCTTGATGTCCAGCATAGTGCTTGATATATGTGCTCAATAAATGCTGTGTAATGGACTTCAATGTTACACTAAATGTCTGTAATAAATGTTGTGCAGAGAGATCATTGCAGGTATCTGCCTGACACACCCCCTCCTCAGGAACTGTGTAGCCATGTTTTTGTACCACATGATCTGGTCTGAGTTGACTGGACCAAGGTTGGGCACATGACCCAAGGGCAGCTACTAGAGAAGGTGTCCAGCAACCCATGACACACCCTGTTGCAAGAAGATGTACAGCTTCAGTCCGATTTCCTCCCTCAGGAACGTAAGCTAGAATACACCAAGAGACTGCAGCAGGTGAGAATGGGAGCTGAACTGAGAGGACACAATGTTGAGAGGCACTGCAGAGGCCATGATGGATTTGTACATGTTGAAGTGATGAAGACCATGAGCTATAGGGATGCAAAGAAATCTGGTCTGGTCGATGGCGAGAAAAACATGGAGCAGACAGCCAGAGAAAATCAGAGACACCGTGAGAGAAGGAGAGGTGGAGAGAAGCCAAGCCCAAAGCTGCCTTGGTTCTCACTGCTTTCTGCTTCCAATTCCAGCCCCCTTTCCTGAAGAGCCTGGCTAAAATACACAGTAACATCTTCTGTCTTCAACTTCACTCTACTCCCTTCCCTTTCTAAAGTCTTGGTGCTTATTTTCTTTCTCCCCCTTGGGGAGAGGGGAATGGGCTCCTACAGATTAAAAGAGTCTCAAGTGAACAAACATAAGGATTTTGAAAACAATCAAGTATCTCATCCACGACTCACCATCACCTGCTGAGCCAGGTGGACTGGGCACTGCATTAAATCTAAGAAAGGGAAACACATGAGTGAGAAGGGTTTTGGTTTAAACAGAACTAAGTTGTCCATTTTCCTTCATCACCTGAAATCACCACTAAATGTACGGATTAGACAATGCTATCTGTTCAGTTAATAGTGAAGTCAGAGTAGATTTTATTTTTGATAAAAAATCAGCCAATTAGTTCATAGCCTTTCACCCTTCGGTGGGTGTCTGTCATTTCTAATTTCTGAGAGTGGCAGATGTCAGCTCCCTTAGCAAGGGACAAATTTTAAAAATTTGTTTGTACACATAAGCTGACACAAACTGAGCTGAAACCCACTGGGGAAAAGTACAACATTATGCTTGAAGCAACTGGAGAACATGGCTTCAACTGCTTTCCCTGCACAGGAGGTGCGGGACGAGCCAGGATGCCTTCCCATTCCAATTTCCTTTTGTATTTCCCATAGTGTTCCTGGTTAGATTTGGAAGGTGCTGAAACTGGTCAATTAATCTGGATACTCAGATGACTTTTAGGTTCATTTTGATTTTTCAGTCCTTCTGACTCTGCACTATTGCCTAGAGATTAGGTGCATATTCTACAATTTAATAGAGTCTTGTTACTCCCTAGCACTCTTCCTCCTCTCTGGGGGCTCTACCCATTCATCCCACACCTATCTCATTCCAGAGGTCCAAGTCACTTCCTACTCAGATGACCATATGGGAAGTGGGTCAGCTTTACGTCTCTCTCTTTCTCTCTCCGCCCACCCCCGTCCCTCCCCAGCCGCCACACACCCACTCCATCCACCTATCATGCAATCTGGGTCCAATCCTTTGCACCTGCCTTGTACTGGATTCCACGAAGAGGTGGAGCAACGTAGAACTCTACCATGAGACAGTCTCTGAGGCAATCTGACCTTGGTCTGACTGAACCTGCAGGGGCAGCCTTGTGCAGACAGATTCTACGGCAGATGGAGACAGAAGAACTCAATGGGACTCAGCAGAGACTCTGGAACCCATGGACAACTAGGTCTTATTTCTGATTGTCCATGTCACCTCTTTTGCTTCATTAAATATCACTGAGTCCTGAGCAGATGATTTCTTGGCCATCTCTTGACCCTTCAAATGACAAGGAGACTTTACTCCTTCATCACTGCATGAGTTGAAATACTATAGACTGATGTAGCCATACACTCCAAACCAAAGGAAAAACATCAACAATCTCACAATTTGTGTTACAACCATCCCAGCTTCAGCTCTCAATAGCCATCTCTTGTTTCCCTCTTGCCCTCTTTATTTTGATCTGCTGCCCTTTCAGGCAGTGATGCTGTTTTCTTTAGCAAACCAAAGGCAGTCTGTTTCTGAGTTAAATGTCACTTCAATATTTCCCCAAGTGAGATGTTTGAACCAGTTTATGGGTTTCCTAAGCAACAGAGAAACGCTGGAAAAATATTTGGTATCTCAGGTCTGCAAGTTGCCTTAAATTTTGGCTCCCCGAGGCAAATGAAACAGATAGATTGAATACTCCAGTCTCACAGAAGTTTCAAGTTGAAAAATAAAGTATCGGCCTGAAAGCATAGAGCTCTGAGAGCTGGGAAACTCTGAGCCACGCCACTCAGGTTTGTGCCCCCAGACAGTTTTATTACTGAAATATTCTAGTGACAGTAAGGGAAACAAGCACAAATCCAGAATCACAGAGCTATGGTCAACAACTAACATACGAGGAGGGAAGTAAGCCTCCCCAGCCAAACACAGAATTCTGGAAGAAAATTCCTGTGGGAATGCAGATTATGCCCTGAAGGCTGAGATTTGATTAACCTTCTTGTAGCATGTGTAACGACAAATGTTATTGGTCATAAAATTATCCAGCCCTTATTAAAACACAGCTGCAGCTCTGGGCTCAGTGACCTCCTGGGGGAGAGATTTCCATAAGATAGTGATAGACTTTATGGAAGGAGAGCACCTTCCTAGCATTGAAACTACAGGAGAGTGTTTTATACTTTAATGAGGAGTTCTTGAGAGAGACCAGGCTCCTTAGTATTAAAAGCTTTAAGAAATAGAAGGGCCAGATTACATTCAGTCTGCTACTTGGTGGGCAGCCAGCCTACAGCTCACAATATGGATACGTCTTCCTTTATAGGGAAACGCGCGCACATTTGGGTGTGCATTGTCACATTCACACAGACATACCTATTTTGCATCCAAATGTTTCCATTTCTCTTTGTCTTATATAATCATAGAATCTCAGGATTTGAAGGAAACTTAGACTACCCACCCGTCTCCATCACTAAGTAGAGCTGTACAAAAATGGATACTAGTTCCTGCCTTTGGAAGTGTTCCAGAGAGGCTCCGCAACCCTACCGGATGCTATCAAGGGCTGCCACGGCCAGCTGGCTCCTCCCAGTAGCTGGTGCTGGTCCACTCTCTGTCTCAAGCTGTGAGGGCCTCCCTGTACTTTCTTGAAGCGCTACATTCATGGGAAATGTGGCTATGAGGCTGCATCCCCTCAAGCCAAAGCCATGTGGAAAGGGTGTCCTCTGCTTTTCCGGACATACTGGAGAATCACTGAAAGACGCCATTTTGTCTATTGTAAGTTTTTTTTTTTTCAATAGAAATAAAAAAGGAACAATGAAAATGCTTATTCTTTTCTGTGGTCCATTTCTCACTATTTATAATCTTTCTTTTACCTCACATGAGCCACTAAACTTATTTTTACTAATGATGCTTCCTTTGTGAAATTTTAGTTCCACTCCTAGAAATCCTTTCCTAAAATACAGAGTTTTAATATTGCTCTTAAATTGATAAATTTATCTGCTGAGAAAATCAGAATTCTCAGAATAATTACAGAGTTGCAACTCATTTTTCTCAAGTATGTAAATTTCCTAATCATAAAAATGTATTAATCAAATGATATAAATTTCCCAATGGTACAAATGTTTTTCTCAAATAACATAAAGTTTTTCTTGTGAAATTATTTTGACCCATCAAACTCCTACAATCGATTATTCTTATTTTTCTTCTTTGTTTGCGATGGGGTCTCACTCTGTTGCCCAGGCTGGAGTGCACTGGTGTAATAATGGCACACCACATCCTTGACCTCCTGGGCTCAAGCAATCTTCCCACCTAAGTATTCCAAGTAGCTGGGACTACAGGCATTCACCACCATGCCCAGCTAATTTTTAAATTTTTTTGTAGAGACAGGGTCTCAGTTTCTTGCCCAGGCTGGTCTCAAACTCCTGGGCTCAAGCAATCCTCCTGCCATGTTTCTATTACCATTTTATTACTCTCAAAATTTGTATTATGAATATGTAAAATATATGCAAAAATAGAGATAACAGTGAATTTCCAATTTCTCTATTCACAGCTTCAACGACTATTGAGATTTTTACCTTACCTACTTCATCTATCCCTTCTTTTTTTCTTACTGAAAATTCTGAGACATCATGCCATTTCATGTACAGCAGTATATTTCACTTTATCAATTTTTTCATCATTTTGATGTTATTTTAGTTTCCTTTTTGAGACTTTTTTTAGATTTGTCCCTCAGGTTACCCATCTCACAATGTTCAGTCCCTTCCTCAAGGGATCTCAGCATCTCAACATGTCTCAGTCATACTTTGTCACCTCTACTTTGCAGAAGGCGACAAGGAAATAACTGTTTGCCCCAGAACAAAAACACTTCTGATTTTATTATGAAACATGGAATTCTGGTCATGAATTTAAAGTCTCTTTTATTATGCCAATTGGCATACAAAAATTATCTGAGGAAGACAAGTGATTATGCTAACTATACTACTTGGTCAACATAACATGAAATATGCTGCCGCCCATAGTCTCATCAAGACCTCATGGCAGCATGCACCAAATGGCTTGTCACGGTCTAAAGACAAACTTTTTTTAACCTCCAAAAGGCTTCCTTTTAATATACCATCATTAAGTAAACTTCACTATTTAAGAACCAGGGAGGCCAGGCGCAGTGGCTCACACCTGTAATCCCAGCACTTTGGGAAGCCCAGGAGGGCAGATCACTTGAGATTAGGAGTTTAAGACCAGCCTGGCCAACATGGTAAAACCCCATCTCTACTAAAAATACAAAACTGAGGCATGCACCTGTAATTCCAGCTACTCAGGATGCTGAGGCACGAGAATCACTTGAACCCGGGAAGCGGAGGTTGCAGTGAGCCAAGATTGCACCACTGCACTCCAGCCTGGGCGACAAAGTGAGACCCTGTCTCAAAAAAAAAAAAAAAAAAGAACCAGGGAGCCACTAAGAAGCAAGTGTGTGATGATGTAGTAATATTTTAGTTCAAAGAATACATGATTTTTGTCATCTCTTTTGAACACCACAGAATCTCAGACACAGAAAGAAATAAAAATGTGTGACACACCATTCAAGGGATCTATTTCTTTCTGTCGTTCTTACTCCTTTTTAAACTATCAAGCTGTAATAATTACTCCATCTAAGCAGCCCCCAGTAAATGAAACAGCCCTTAGACAGCTGTCAAGGCTCAGTCTTCCGGAAGCTTTGATTTTAATGAAACTCATTAAGGAAAGAAATTAACAGAAAATATCATAATTTGTCTTGTTTCAGAAAACTAAACAGAAACAAAAGGCTTCTTCACCTGACAAGGAATCTGACCAGCCAAGCTCCTTTATTATATCAGAGCTCCCACCAGGCAGCTGCGCACAAGCACAGAACTACAAAAGAGAAAGCACCTCCTCCCAGAGAAATGGCCCAGCCCAGCCCGGCCCAGCCAAGCCCAGACAGACTTGTTGCCTCAACTTCATGGAGAAAGCCTCCTCAGTCGGGGCAGGGGTTTTTGGAACCATCTATGCAAGCACAGAATATCTAAGGAAATGAAAGGCTATGGAAAATAATTCCCATTAAAGGGCTATGGTTGGAGAAATTGTCCACACATCTGGCTGTAAAACTCCCCTCTCCTAAGTCTAATTTTTCTCCAGAGAATGATGAAATATTTAGCTTGGATTTTTTTTTTAATTTAAAGAAACCCCATGAACTACGTATGCCTTGCTTCTCCTTCTGTAATGTTTTCCAGTACAAGTTTAGCTGAAATGTCTCAAGACATTAAGAAACATTCACCTTAACATCCATCTACCATCTCAGATACTCCCAAGACTTTGATGACACCCAGAATCATTACACTGATAGGTTTGGCACAGTCCTGATTTGAGTATGTTCAGATTCCATGTGGATTTAATTGGCATCTCTCCCTGATGGGTCAGGTACCCCCAGAGACAGACCTTTGCAGAAGAAAGGGCATGCATCAGAAGTGTTTATGAAACTGAAAGCGAGTATATTATTGACAATGGTCTCACTGCTGCTTCCCAGCTGGAAGCACACATTTCTGAGTCTCTCAAGTAAAAAAGCCTGAAAAGGTGGTTGGGCTTTTCCAGAGATTTCAGTTGCGTCAATAGGAGACAAGATGAGAAGCAGAACCCAACAGAGGCCGTGAACATGGCCATGTATACCCACCTCCACAGTCTGGTGGGGAAAAAGACTTGAGTCCATTCCCAGCCCGGTCACTCCTGGGCTGTCTGATTGAGTAGGTTAAGTTCTCTGAGTCTCAGTTGCCTCCCCTGTAAAATGGGGACACTAACATCTTTGTCATCAGGGCATTATGAGGCTTAAACAATATAAAATGCTTAGCCCAGTATCTAATATAGTGAAAACTTTAAAAATGGGAGAAACCGTGAGTATCCATAGGTGTATGAAGAGGATGCTACCTGTTAGGGGTCAGGAAGGCTCCAGAGGTCAGGTTTTGGGGAAAGGGAGGGTGGGCCTGGACAGTCAGGTACTTGAAGGAGAGAATCCAGAGAGGAAGGAATCCGTCATTGGGTGGACAAAGGTGAGACCCTGGAAAGGGAGCAGGTGGACTTCAAGATTCACACTTGGTTGACTTCTCACCCTGGCTTCACACA
Organism: Homo sapiens; assembly: GCF_000001405.40. Taxonomy (NCBI): domain Eukaryota; kingdom Metazoa; phylum Chordata; class Mammalia; order Primates; family Hominidae; genus Homo; species Homo sapiens. Next base: position 107,560,343 of record NC_000006.12, on the reverse strand, counting down.
GTCCTGTAACAGACCCCTGTGAAAATTCTCAAATCCTTCCAGGGCTACTCCTATCTTTACTACCAGGATCTACACAGGAGACCCAGGAGAGAGCTGCATGAACATATCTGAACACCTCTTGGGCTGGGGAAGGATAAGTAAGGCTCCTGAAATCCTGTTTTTTAAAAACAGATTGGTAGGGTGAAGGCAGGAAGCTGCTAAGTAGAAACCACCAGACAAACTAGAGGAGAGAAAAGAATGGTTATTCTAAGGCACGTACCATTATTTTAACTGTGAAAGGGTCATTTTGAATTAGTTATTTTCTGTCTTTTTCTGGGCTCCCTCTGATAGACAACCAGGACATCAGGCCACCCTCTCCCCCACTGCTGCCCCCTGAATAAAGTCATAACTCAGTTCTATGCAGTGCATTGAACACAGTTCCTTTTAAGAGAAGAAACTGACATTTCTATTGCAAGTCACTCAGGGACTGACAACTGAGATTCCTACTTTAGATTATAAGAGTCTATGTTTGCCACAAGGTACAAACTACATGTGTATTAAAGAAACTAATCAGATCTATATGTCACCCAAATTTCATACAAATCCATATTCTCTCACACAACACAAAATAAGAGGTTTCATATGACAATTACCACTGTGACTGAGAACAAGATAATTACTCCAACCATGACAAATTTAGGAAGACTGATTAGTTAATCTGCAAACGTTTTGTGTAACCCATGATTCCCTGATAAAGCCATGTGGATGGATGATCAGGAGATTAAGGATCCTCTGACTGTGGATCCATTTATTCTTGACAGGACTAGGCGAACGTGGTAATTCTCAATATCTCCTCTTTTTCTTATTTCATGCCTGTTTCTATTGTTTTCTTAGTTTAAATAAATTTCATCTTATTTTTTTCATCTCTGATCCATTTACATACTTTGTACTAAAGGATGTGTATATTGAAGGGAGAAAAATATGCTGGTCAACTAGTGTAGCCTTTACTTGTACAGCCTCCACATCTTCTGTATGGGTTCCCAGGTTCAAAAAATGCACCCTTTACGTCGGTGTAGCGTGGGAAGTAAACAAAACAAGAAAAGAAAATGCACCCAACACTTGACAGTACAGATGAGGAAATCTACTCGTTTATAAGCTAGCTTTTTTTTTTAACATTTAATCTTATTTGGTTAACAAATTAACATTCCTTTCAATGTTCTTCATTTCAAAAATCCAGTCCTAGTTTATTCATCATTTGGTTCAGAAATAGTTTATCTATTCATTCAGCAAATACTTATCAAGAAATTTTCATATGGCAGATGAAGTTTCAAACACTGGAGATGTAGTGGTAAACAAGACAGACAAAATCACTGTCTTCATGGGGTTTTTATTATAATGAAAAACAGGCAACAGACAAATTAACATCTACAAAAAATATACAATATCTAGTAGTATTATACGCTATGAAAAAGGAAAGCAGTTATAAGAATTTAGAGAAGATGGCAACTGCTAATCTAAATAGCTAGTTGTTAAATAAAAAGGTCTCACTTTTTAATATCACTAGAATAACTTAAATTTTTTCTGATCTCTCTAGTATCTTATGAATTAACATACCGGAACTAAAATGCTACCCATGGTATTCTGCAGTTTTAATTTTTTTATATTTCATATATAAAATATATTTATTATATTTTATTAATTTACCTGTACCCTCCCTGCCTCATTCTAGAGAGGATTTATGACAGAGGAGTTACATAAATCGCCCTGCCCCTTTGCTATTCAAGAACTAGATCTTTAGGCCGGGCGCGGTGGCTCACACCTGTAATCCCAGCACTTTGGGAGGCCGAGGCGGGCGGATCACGAGGTCAGGAGTTCGAGACCAGCCTGGCCAACATGGTGAAACCCCCGTCTCTACTAAAAATAAAAAAATTAGCCGGGTGTGGTGGCAGGCACCTGTAATCCCAGCTACTCAGGAGGCTGAGGCAGAAGAACTGCTTGAACCCAGGAGACGGAAGTTGCAGTGAGCCGAGATCGCGCCACTGCACTCCAGCCTGGGTGACAGAGCAAGACTCTGTCTCGGGGGGGGAAAAAAAAGAACTAGATCTTTATGAAAATAGTAGAAACACAAACTCATTTCCAAAGTATTTTATGTTCTCTCATCTGAAGTTGATTTCTTGGACAATCTAAGTGTATCAGTAAGTACTCAGAACCAAGTTTGCAAGGAAGATCAAATGAAAAGACTAAAAATCAATACAGCCTACATCTTATAATCATAAATTTTGTAGAAATTTAACTTTGTAATTTTTTTCACATCAGTCTCAGAAGCATGTCAGGATTAATCTTGTGGATCAACATTCTAAGTCTAAAATGTTTAAATTTTACACTCTAGATACAATGAATGGCAATATAACATGGGAGAATACAGGCAGAAAAACAGGAGAAATTATCCATAAATTATGCAGAGTCATCTTCTGCTCATCCTCCTTGGTAGAATGGGAAAAGCTGAATGACACAGACAAAGGATAAACCTAAAAAATCACAAAAGAACATGCATAACCAGTAACCTACTCCATAACCAATCTCAGCCACTCAGCCTCAAAGTTTTTCTTAGCAGCCAGATTTTAGAATAATGATGGTGACAGGAAATCCCTTGTGTTGGTGTGAGAGCTCAATTCATGAATAACCAAGTATCATCTACACAAAATGGGACCAAATAAAGTGAAATATCTGTTTCAAATCCACTACCTGGCACTCTGTCCATCTGTTGAAACACTCTATAGTAACTTTCCAAACACTTGGTTTATATTGACCGAGTCTGATATACAGCTAAAGGCCATCAGATATACTTTGATTTTTGATTCATTTTGCCATTCTTGAAAGAGTAGCCGTTAACACTTTCCAAATGGCTATATCTTCCATAATTTTTAATAGTTTCGGAACAATTTGATATACAGACAGCAAAAACAAATTTCTGCTTGTACAAAGCAAGCCTACAGTTCACAGAAGCACTCATATTTATCCTTATGATATATTTAAAATGTATCTTTGCTTTTCAAATCACTTCTATCAGAGGTATTCACTAATTACTTATACAAAGGAAGTTTTATATGTTTCCATTTTTATCTTGATTTCAAAGGAAAAAAATCTCTAAAATGTGAAATATATTTTCTATACCTCAGTTTTAGTTCTTTTTTGCAGTCATATTATGTTTATTTTATTCACAAAATGGTCACTTGCGACAGCAACAAAATAAGTGTACCAAGTACACATATATATGTTTACCAAATATAAGAACTGGTAAAGATCAGAAAGGAGAGATTAAGTTGAAGTCTGGAGGTATGTGGATGCCTTATAAATTATAAAATGTGATATAAATGTATATTCTTGTTATTACTGCTATTAATGACATACTATCAATTAATTTCCTTTGAGGCTCATTATATAATATGTTAGATCACAGTTTTAGTTTGGACCCAATTACCACATGGTTCTCTTTCATCAGTCACCTGATGTTGGGAACTGCCAGATGGACACATCTGCTCCGAGGTTTGACTAGACTCTGTTTCACCCAGGCAAAAGTAAGGTTTAGACTGGCCCAATGTCTACAGCGGCTGAAAGACCTGCCCAAGCTGATGGTTTCCGTTCTACCTCTTATTCATGTATAACCATGATCCTCCTGTCACAGAGTCAAGGCTTATAGACTAGGTTATGCCACTTGCTTTGTTAGGCACGCATTAATGCAGTCAAACTATATAATTAATTCATGCCATTTTGTCAAGCCAATTCACAAAGAAAGAACATTGGAAAACCACACTATTACCTCGTTGGATACCTCCAAATAGTATTTAGTGATTTGGTTTCAGGTGTGATGGATCAGATGGGTCTCTAGAAAGTGTCTGAGGTGATGGAAATCATGCTGCTGTGAGCATTATGAGATTTCAGGTAAGCTGATTTGTGTGTGTGCACAGAAGTATAGCACTGGTATAACAGAAAACCTTTGACTACATGGAGTTTTCAGAGAGGCCATTATTAGGTCATTCAGCATATCAAGGACAAAGCACTGATTTACTGGGTTTGCTTCAGAGTGTGCATTTCTGCTTTTTACACATGACAAACCACTGAATGGGATCATTAGACACCACCCTTGACTGGAACCATCTTCTAACACAGGCTGCCTGTGCCCTTTATAACATCCCTATTACATTAACAAGGAGAGCCATGATCTGGTTTCTGCAACTTGCCACAGAATTCTCAGGTCAAGTGTAAATGCATATTACAGAGCACCCTCTGGCATGTATTGTTAATGTCCTCATTTTTAAAAATCTCTAAAAGTCTTCAACTGTGCAACTGGAAAATGTTTCCAAATCCTCTTACCCCTAACATATCAAATCCCATTGTTTATTAAGTCTGATGTTTTGTAAATTTGATCCTGCCTAGTTTATAGGGGAGGAATATCTTCCAAAACAACCCAAGAGAGTTCTTGAGGAGACAAAAGCAAATCAGGAGAACCCGCTTTCTTGGTAAGAAGACAATTCTAGGATTAGGAGACACAACAGTATTGCTAACCAATTGCAGTTCTGTCTGGGTCATGCGCTATCTGTGGCAGAAACAGGCAAGATGGCAGATGCCCTGGGTTATTTTAATTAATTTAATCATGTGACTAATTGGTCTCTGCTGGGTTTCTGTGGTAACTGCTTCCTAAGTGCTGATGGGCAATTGTGTTAAATGTAGCTTGGAATCTGCACGTAGGGCGCAGTGCCTTGGAGAGCTGTGCAGCTGCGCTTGGAAGGTGCCCTGCTGGGCCTCTGATTGTTGGAGTGCAAGGCGCTTACAGCTGCACCGTCCTCTGGAAACAGGCACTGCCTCCCTTTTCTGAAGGAACATTGCTTACCTACCTATGTGGGCGAGAACTCACTGTGGACATGTGAAAATGATCTGTGATCAAAAAATACTCAGATTTGGCAAGGATTTGAGAATTTGATGGAGAAGAGTATCTGCAATAAAGGGACAGTGGAATGGGAAAGAGGAGAGAAGGAGAATTAAGGCGACTCTTCTATGAATAATATGCCACCCCAGAAGCTATCATGTGTTATTCATAGCTGTCCAACTGATACTAATAAGCCATCCTTTTAAATGCCTTGCAGGGTTTATCTTTTTTTTTTTTTTTCATTCTCTTACAATGCCATCTCCTCCTGTCACTGAGAAGGTGCGTGGGAGAACGGGTGGGTGGATGGCCAGTTTTAGAGCACAGTCTACTTCAGACAGATGGAAGGAAAATGACTTCCAAATTTTCTCATGAAGTGGGATGTTTGTGTTTGCGCAATGCATTCTAGCACCTGTGCAGAGAAAAAAATGTAATCACAGATTTCCCTCAGAAGGGGATTTTAAAAAATGTAAAACCACTAACTGCAGCACAAGGATGCTGCTGTACTTGAACAAGGCCTTCCATCTGCAGACCCAGCCAGGCTCACAGAATAACAGTTTCTCCACCACCTCCCACCCCCCATCCCAGCCCTCTGTAGAAAGAAAAGTCAATGCTTGCACCATCTCAAAACCTGAAGAGAAATTGCTTCCTATGTCTATTGGGATGGTGGCATGAATGATGATGCGTTTTTTCCAGAACAGAAGTGGGAGTCATTTAGAGGGCAATGTTGCTTTTCCTTGACAAATGCCACAATGACCCACCAAACCCACTCTGTGTCCTTTGTGTTCTAGACTTCTGCAGATTGGTGGCTCCAATGGATTCCAGCTCTACTTCCCCCAGCAGCCCTCCCAGACATGAAGAGATGTCTTGGCAAATTAAGCTAAATTGCCTTCATCTAGAAATTTCACATTAGAGATGAACACTTAATGGGCTGACAGTTTAAATTCCTTTCAGAGGTGGCAGGGAGTAAGGAGTTCTGTTAAGTATTACGCTGCATCTGACAGGGCATCCAGGCAGCAAGATTATTTAATCCAACATCTTACCACGACTAGAGCTTCCCCACATCCATCAAGTCTCTGTAATGCAAATGGAAGAAGCTCTCCTTAACATCACCAGTTTTGTGACTTTAAAGCCATCCATTTTGAGAGGTCTGGGATTGCTCTAAGTACTGGACAAACTGCAGAAAAACTCTGTCACTTGTTTCTCAAGGCCTACATCCTGGAAGGAGCATCATCTCTAGCTCTCAGGCCAAATGCCCTTTTCCCTAATACTGTAAAGTTTATTACTGGAGGGTTACTCAAAAAATCTGCTGGGAGGCATACCAGGCAGTACAAGTCAAACCCCAGTCTGGCCACGCTGTCCCTCATGCTGGTGGATTTACAGCTCACCTCCACCTGTCCCAACCTCCATTCTAGGCTGCACATGTCAGAAAACCTTCCATCTTCTATCTCTGGCTTAAGGGAAGAAACCTTGTTTGTAGAAGAGAAGATGGGAGCTGAATTCTCTCATGTCTAATGCATGTTACATTATATAGAACTCTAAACCAGAATTCAAAAAGCCCACACCTGAGGCAGGCAGATGACCTGAGACCAGGAGTTCAAGACCAGTCTGGCCAACACAGCAAAACCTCGTCTCTACTAAAAGTACAAAAAATTGGCCAGGCACAGTGGCTCACACCTGTAATCCCAGCACTTTGGGAGGCCAAGGCGGGTGGATCACGAGGTCAGGAGTTCAAGACCAGCCTGGCCAAGATGGTGAAACCCTGTCTCTACTAAAAATACAAAAAAATTAGCCAGGCATGGTGGCGGGCGCCTATAATCCCAGCTACTTGGGAGGCTGAGGCAGAGAATCGCTTGAACTGGGGAGGCGGAGGTTGCAGTAAGCCGAGACCACTGCACTCCAGCCTGGGCGACAGAGGGAGACTCCATCTCAAAAAAAAAAAAAATTAGCCAGGTGTAGTGGCGTGCACCTGTAGTCCCAGCTACTTGGGACGCTGAGGCAGGAGAATCACTTGAGCCCAGGAGGCAGAGGTTGCAGTGAGCCGAGATCGTGCCACTGCACTCAGGCCTGGGCGACACAGTGAGACTCTGTCTCAAAATAAATAAATAAATAAATAAATAAATAAATAAATAAATAAATAAAATAATAATAAGCCCGTGAGTGGATTTCAGAAAGTCCATGAACCCCATGAAATTATGTGTGAAATTCTCTGTGCATGTGTATTCCCTGGAGACAGACTCCAATCTGAAGCTTTCTTCAGATTATCAAAGAAGGCCATGATTCAAACAGTTAAACTCCCAGCTCAGATAGTTTCCTTTTTCTTTTTTATTATTTATTTATTTATTTCAATAGGTTTTTGGGGAACAGGTGGTGTTTGGTTACATGAATAAGTTCTCAGGTTTATTCTCCACTCCACACCCACCCCATCTCTAATCTGGCTTTAAGTACCAAACTATTTAAATGGGGAAGCCTTAGCTATTATGTCTTCATCAGTCTACTATTTATTTATTTATTCATGGAGACAGGGTCTCACACTGTCTCCCAGGCTGGAGTACAGTGGTGTGATCATAGCTCACTGCAGTTTCTAACTCCTGGGTTCAAGTGATCCTCCCTGCTCAGCCTCCTAAGTAACTAGAACTACAGGTACACACCACCACCCCTGATCAGTGGCTGACTTTAAAATAGAGTCAGCCACTCTTTCTACTTGGTAGCCAAGATGTTCTCCCATCAACTCCCCTGATGTTGGCCAATCCTTGTGAAGGATGTGCCTCGTGCCATGGTTAACAACACAGCTATGTGGAACAGGCCTGGAATTCATCTCATTTGACTGGAATGGAGAAGACCAGGCTGAACATGGTGAGTGTCTATCCCTCCATTCAACTCCTCCTCCCCTTTGGTCCAGGCTCAGAATGACAGTGAGAAGCTTCTTGGGAGGCTGCCCCTCCTCATTGTCTGGTCTTCCTCCACTCCCCTGGCTTTCCCACCCTTGGTCCTCCCCAACAACTCACCTCTGACTTCCTTTGCTTCATTTTCACCTGATACAACAGCTTCATATAGCACAGCTTAAAATTTGAGCATTCCCTTTTACTATCTGATCAATACACACATCACCTGCAGTTCTCCATCAAGACAAATGCATACTTAAATTATAAATGGAGGAGCCACTGGCCATTTTGTGATAAATATAACTCTGCTAAGAGAGCCCACAATGAAAGTTGAGCATAACTGATCATAGCTCGGTTTAACTTGGTGAAATTGCAGAGTTAAGGTCAAAGAGAATCCATCCAACGGTGAGAAATTGAAGGCCCCCAACCTACCATGATAATGACATTTCATACCAATATACCTATTTACCTACTATTTTCAAGCTTCTCAGCTCATCAGTAAGTCCCAATCAACAATTTTTTTGTTGTTGTTGTTGAGATGGAGTCTTGCTCTGATGCCCAGGCTGGAGTGCAGTGGTGCGATCTCAGCTCACTGAAACCTCCACCTCCTGGGTTCAAGCGATTCTCCTGCCTCAGCCTCCCAAGTAGCTGGGATTACAGGTGTGCACCACCATGCCCAGCTAATTTTTGTATATTTAGTAGAGATGAGGTTTCACCATGTTGTTGAGGCTGGTATCGAACTCCTGACCCCAAGTGATCCACCTGCTTCAGCCTCCCAAAGTGCTGGGATTACAGGCATGAGCCACTGCGCCCAGCCCCAATCAACAATTTTTTAAATGAAATAAAACAGAAAATATCAGAGTGGATCACACAGGAAAATAAGTATGGTATTATTTCATGAAATTTTTATTTCAGTTTTAAATACATATGCCCTGTTTTGCGTATTCTAAAACCCAGATATTTTTCACATTTTAACACTTCTGAAATCATGATTCATTTTGCCCTTGTTTTTAGCCAGGTTGTAGCTGTGACATAATTGTATGAAAATCTTCATTGATACCTTCTGGCAAAATCAAGAAAACGCCATCATCAAAGTGACTTAGATTCTGTGAAACTGGTTATGAGTTTGTGTGTGTGTGCGTACTAAATTATAAAACAAATTTTTTACTACTGGTTCATAATAAATAAAAGCTTGAAAAATAGCATACTAAGCCATTTTACAAAGTTATTATGTACACTTACTAAACACTGATATTCTAATCATAAAGGAGACCAGTTTCTATTGCTCTTCAGGCAACTGCAATTACAGCCTCCTCTTGTTACTGAGTTTAGAAACTTCATCAGAGCTGATATATCTGTTGTGGTAACCACCCCCCGCCACTAGATGTGTGGCCCCTGCAAGTCACTTAACTTCTCAGGGCCACAGTTTTCTCGGCCGTAGGAGGAGGATGTTGGAGAAGTTTTCTACCACCACTTTAAGGTTGCACAGTTCAGGAAATGTGCAGACACATATTAAACTCTTCACGTGCCTGTCAGTCTCTGCATTACTTTATCCATGAGCCCTGAGCCCTGTCTGTTAGATTCTCTGCTTCTTTGCCTCCTTTATCTCCTGAAGACTTCTTCATAAAACATCCCAAGGGCAAAATGATGTCAAAAATCCATTTTTTAAGTTATGTAGTATTGTTTCAAGCATTCCTACAAAGTCCGTGATATTTTAAAATGTTAAAGCACAACATGGGAATGACAGTAAGGGTTATGCATTGGTTTTTTAATGTGTGACATGTGGCGCTCTCATTCCTGACTCACATCTTTTTTGAGCCTCACCGTCCTTTTTTCTATCCATCCCATTTCCTGAATCTATATTTTGGTCTCTAAATTAGCATGTGCTCACTCATGCATAGAGCCTGGCCTCTGGGCTGGGTAAGTCACCCTGTGGTGCCCGGGTTCTTCTTACCCGCATCAGTTCCAGCATGCCTCACATCATGTCATTTGTTTACTGGTTGCTCTCCCCATTCAACTGTGAGAGCCTCAGAGGCAAGGACCTCTCTTTATTTATCTTTGTATCCCCAGCCACAGAACAATGCCCTTCATACTGCGGATGCTCAATATTGCTTGTTGAATAAATGCGTAAGTGGATAAATGTGTGGCGTGAAGTCAACTTCCACACAAGCACAGGACAATTCACACGCTCAAACAGACACTCTTCTGAGCAGAAACCACGTCTCAGATGTCTAATTTCCACGGCACCCAGCCCTGAGACAAGTTCCATCCTCTGAGGACCTCACTGAGTTGCAGATTCATGTGCTTGTTTTACAGACACCAGTCTGTACCCAAATATGCATTCTTATGCTTCTCTCTGGCCTTTCACTACCCACACTATTCCAGTATCCTGGTCCAAGCCGAGTGTGGGTCAACTGTTCCTGTTAGCAGCTGCCCTGCAAGGGGGCTGAGTGACAGAAAGGATTATTTCAGCTTTAGGACTCAAGACCAAAATGGAAGCTGCCAACTTCCTTCCTGTCCCCACTGGCCTTCCAGGTGTGGAGAGGAGGGACCCCATGGGTGCCAGGCTTCCCAGGAATGAGTAAGGCCCATCTCTCCATGTCTCCTCCCATGCACAGCTGGGTTAGAGTAACATGACCATACCTTACCAGGCCCCTGGACATCCCTGGAGAGTGCAGGTGATAGGGGTTAACTATCACGGTTGTTTTGACATAGGTTTTCTCCAGTACATCACCCCATCTCCCTACACACATAGGGAGAAAGAAATTGAGGTCTATATCACCTTTACTTGCCCCTGATCAAATATTTAGCCAAATATCTAGGCCATGGAACATCAAACATCTCCTTATCCAGAGCTGAATTATATGATCATAAAAAATTAAAAATTAACTGATACTTACTAAGTACTAAATGACTACATTAGAAATGTAAAAAAAAAATGAGCAAAAGGGCTTGAATGAGGAGGGGAGCTGTACTTCTGGGGGAAAGGAAATATAAAGTTCTAACTCCATTTACTCTGGGGCACTTTAACTTTCTTCTTTCATCGCATTTAATGCAAAATGACACCCTAAATGAAACCCCATAAGGCATCTAGGGTTTTTTTTTTCCTGAGTTTCTATTTAATTCTGGTTATTTTGATTTAAGCTTCTATAATCAATTTGTGCTTCAATAATACAAATAACTTCCATGAGCTCCACCCCAGTATAGGGCTTGGGAGTATGCCTCTTTATAATTAATTCTCTGGATTTATCTGTTTTTTTTTGTTGTTGTTGTTTGTTTGTTTGTTTTTGAGATGAAGTCTCGCTCTGTTGCCCAGATTGGAGTGCTGTGGTGCGATCTTGGCTCCCTGCAAGCTCCGCCTCCCGGGTTCATGCCATTCTCCTGCCTCAGCTTCCCGAGTAGCTGGGACTACAGGCACCTGCCATCATGCCCAGCTAATTTTTTTGTATTTTTAGTAGAGACAGGGTTTAACCATGTTAGCCAGATGGTCTCGATCTCCTGAACTCATGATCTGCCCGCCTCGGCCCCCCAAAGTGCTGGGATTACAGGCTTGAGCCACTGCGCCCGGCCGGTTTATCTGTTTTTAATTCAATTTATTTATTTATTTATTTATTTTTTAGAAATAAGGTCTTGCTCTGTCACCCAGGCTGGAGTGCAGTAGCACAATCACAGCTCACTGCAACCTCAAACTCCTGGCTCAAACAATTCTCCTACCTCAGCCTCCCTAGCAGCTGAGACTACAGGTGTTCACCATCACACCTGGGTGATTTTTTTTATATTTTGTAGAAACAGAGTCTTGCTATGTTGTCCAGGCTGGTCACGAACTCCTGGCCTCAAGTGATCCTCCCACCTCAGCCTCCCAAAGTGCTGGTGTTACAGATGTGAGCCTCTGCACCCAGCCCTTAATTCACTATTTAAGTCAACTTTGATTGTGCTGAAATTTGGGAGGTCAATATTCTTTTCTACTTATTAAACAATTCATGATAAAGAACGTTGAAAATTATATTATAGGTTGGCTGGGCGCGGTGGCTCACGCCTGTAATCCCAGCACTTTGGGAGGCCAAGGCGGGCGCATCACGAGGTCAGGAGATGGAGACCATCCTGGCTAACACAATGAAACCCTGTCTCTACTAAAAATACAAAAAATTAGCCAGGCATGGTGGCGGGCGCCTGTAGTCCCAGCTGCTCGGGAGGCTGAGGCAGGAACCCAGGAGGTGGAACTTGCAGTGAGCCAAGATCACGCCACTGCACTCCAGCGTGGGCAACAGAGCAAGACTCTGTCTCAAAAAAAAAAAAACAAAAAGAAAACAGAAAAAGAAAATTATATTATTGGTACATGGTTTTCTCTGGTGCCAGTAGGCCATGAGATTGGGGATTCCTTTTGTTGTTGTTGGTAAGCAGTATTGACTTGATGTCAGATTTGAAGTTCTATTAGATTTACAGCAGTGGTGTCTGCTCCTTTACATTTGATTCACAAATCCCTCATACTCAATGAACTCTCAATGGTACCACTTTAACTAGAAGTAAAAAGTCATCAAACTAAATCATGGGACTGGGTTGTAAGTCTACCTTCTCTCCCTTCCATTCACCTGCAGTAGTCTAAATCACTCCTTCCCTGAAGCATGCCTTATCAGCTGTGCAGTGCAATAGAAGGGGGAAAATGTTTTCCCAACCCAGAAACCCATCAACTTGGACCCCGAAGCATGACATCTGAACACTTAACTGCAAGACCAGGAACAGCTCACAACTACTATCCATGATCATTAACAACCTGCTTGCATTTCCAGGGCTGCCTCCGTGGATTAATGTATGTACTATGTATTAAACCATCTGCCATGGAGTCTGACCTAGTCTTTCCCCATTGTGGCCAACTGCAAAGGTTACCCCTGAGTGTTAAGAGGCTGAGTACATTTTGATTACATTTACATTTACCAATTCTTTAGTTTTATTATTAGTTCTTTTGTCCTCAACAATATACCTTTTCAGGCTTTTGTATCCCATATTTGTATAGCCTGCAGTATAATAAAAACACATTTAATCCTCTGTGTCAACTCTTTTAAAGTTCAGCGTTAGCCTTTTATAAAAATCAGGTTCAAGAAGAATGAACTACACATTTCCTGTGAGAAGGGACATAGCTTGATTATCAGCATATTGTTTGACGTACTTTTGTCTGCTTTTAAAAATTGTCTTTAATGCAGTCAAACATTTAAACGTTAATTTTTTTACTCTAGGCAGGTAACACAATGAGCCCCCTACAGATGGGACCAAGTTCTCCTCTCTGGGGATGCTGAGAGTCAGCCCATATCAGGGACGTGAGGATTAAAACGTTTTGTTCCCTTGTGCTCGCTGATGGCTGAGTGAATGGAATTGCATCTGATGTCAGGTTACCTCATTATATGTATATATTTGTAAGGGTTTCTTTTTGGGCGGAGGGTAATTCTCTGTGGTTTTTCAAATGAAAGCAACTAAGAGAAAGTAGTGAATGCTACCTCCTTCCTGTCATCTACTGCCAAATAAGCCATCAGTATTACCAAGTGACACTACTCCTAATATAAACCCCTGGGATGGTACACTATTAATTTCTCTACCCTGAGGAATATCATCCACTCCTTCCCCAGGTTCTTAATCCAAGGCTGGGCTTTATTCCTTGTCTTCAGTTGTTTATGTTCCTCAAGGGTCTCTTCAGGAGGAGTCAGCCAAACTCTAAATGAATTACTTGGATTTTTGAAAATCCAAACAACTTACCTTACTTTTTTGCAAGGCTATATTTGGTCATTTTTATTTAGGTTTGTATCAAATGCTAACTCAAGACATAAATACTGTTTTTTGTTTGTTTGTTTTGTTTTTCTCAAAGGAGCCTCCTCAAATAGTGACCCTGCAAACTTTGTACTGTTCTGTCATTCCTTAGAGTCTGGCTTTTCTCAAAATTATGATAATGGACACTCACCCATTTCAAATCCAGAGGCTTTCTGTGTGCACATGAGTGCAGGCGCCAGCATGCTCATGGGAAGATACCTGGAGGACTGCATCCAGGATGCAGCAAAGCAGACCCTTGAGAGAGGCTGGATGCCCTTGCACCCCAGTGACTTCTCCACTCTCAAGTATACGTGCTATTTTTAATGCTATCAGCAACATCATACTTTATTTCCTTCATATGTTTTGGACCCTCTGATTTACAGCACTTAAGCTTCTCAAATTTGCTTCAACTGATTTTCCTTAAAGATTCAAACCACTGTTTAAGTTGCAAAAAATCCTTATAAAACCTGCTCTACATCACAGATTGATACAGGACAGGGAAGCTACTCCCAATTGCCCATATACGGCATCTTTCTCTTACACTGCTTCCTAAGGTCCTTGGAGCACAGCTTCTGATATCCAATGTCCATGCGTACAGTCTTCACTATTTTTGGTTGCTTTCCGAAATGTCATCTGTGTGCCCTCTCCATTTCCCATTGGTCTTTAATACGTCTTCCAAATTTCCTGAGACGGATTTTTTACTTTCTAAAGGATGCCTTTTTAGTACTAATAAAACTTTCATACTTGTCTGCTTAATCACGCCAGCTTTACTGTCCCCTTTTTCCTTTTTGTTTTTGGCTCAGAGGTATATGAACCATCTGTGCCTCTAAAACAGTTTGCTTAAATAGCCTCCAGGCAGATTTTATGGTTTTTAAGTTTTTTACTTTAACCTTCAGCCTGCTGTTAGCCATTTTCAGCACAGTTTTAAAATCAGCCTCTTTTGGAAATGACTGTCATTATGTGTGGCTTTCAGGAGCTACTAGATCTGGAGAGGAGGCTGCTGACTCCAGCTGAACTGCAGTCCCTGGTTCACAGTCACCTGAGGCAGGTAAAGGTGTAGCTAGCCTTATAAGGGTCATCTCTCCCATCTGGCATCTGAAGAGAGATTCAGATACCTCTCATTAGCAATATCCATGTCCACATCACCCAGGTAAGACCCAGGAAGATAAAATCTGAATTACTTACCTGCCTATTTATTTGTCACTACATTTCTATAGAGTTGTCATCATGACTTTAGGTACTAAAATTACATGCGAGGCTGAAACAAAGAATACAAAGAAAGGGAGGAGAATCCCTTCCTTCCCGCCACACCATTGCACCACAAGAATCACCCTCTGTTGCCGTGCCAGCAAACATGCTGTTCTCTTTCCGTTTTATCACGATTGTCTTGCCTAGGGACCTGAGTGTCAATCAGCAGTTCTCTGTCCTGGAATTCATCATTACCCAAAGTTTCTGTCTGCCCTTGTATTAACGTTAACGTAACTATATAGTTCTCTCTATATATAACAAAACTATATCTCTTCACCACACCTAGTGGGGATGAGGGTGAGTATCTGCCCTTTCTGTGGCTCTTCCCCGCAAAAAGTGACTTATCTCATTTATCTTTCAACCACATTCATCAGACAGTAATTACACTATTCTCCTCTCTCAAATCAGTGCATTTTTGCCCAATCTTTTCTCTGCTGTCATTGTTGCTTTTCTAGTACATTTGATAGTTAAGAACACTTAAGCTCTTACAGTTATCATTGTGATTATTACAGTATTATGATGTATTTATAAAATGCTTCTACCTTCAAGAGTTACAAGCTGCATACTCTCCGAAATGATTTAGTATTAATGTGCTAACTCTATAGTCCATGAAGCTGATCGAAAAGTCAGAGCAGGCAGAGGCCAGCAGGCAAGCAACTAATCCCCAAGGATTGGTAGAATGAATGAATGAATGAATGAATGAATTTGCAAACAAATGGATAAATGGGGTTATCATTCCAGGGAATATTTGTTTGTTCAATTGTTCTCTTGTTTGTGGGTAAAGCGCCATTCCTTCATAAAGAACATGAAATTAGCAAAGAAAGCGCATATCAATGCCAAAATTAGAAATCACACTGTGGTGTCCTCAGCCCAATAAGCTCTTCCTTCTCTCTTTCCTTACTTAACACCTCTTTATCCTTCAGATTTGAGTGCTAGCCCCACTTACTCAGGGAAGCTTCAAGATCTTCTGACAAGTCAACTCACCCTGATAAAGGTTCTCATGGGACTGTGCCCAATACTATCATGGCACTTGCCACAGTGACGACTTCACATTTGCGTTATTATTTAAATAAACATCTGTCCCTCAATGGACTATAAGCTTCATGAGAGCAAGGACCAGGTTTTGTTGGCCACGGCAACTCCCATAGTTACTGTTCAACAAATATTTGTTGAATGCATAAATAAATAGATTAATTAATAATGGTGAAAGCTGCAGTCTTCAAGACTTCTACTCCTTTGGCCACCTGAACTTGAAGCATTTAGCCTCAGACTGTGTCACAATTCTTCTGAACACTTCTCTTTTCCTTCTGTTTAGCAGACACAGTTTTCAGCCACAAAGATAGTAGCTTCAATGTGTGGACGAGTTAACTCTTGATGGGTAACAGCAGCCTCATCCCATCAGACTTCTACTCCAAAGCATCTAGCTCCCCACATCCAATACAGTCCTTGGCCAGCCTCTCCTAGGCCACTTACACTGAGGAAACTATATTCTGAGCTATCTGCTGCTGTAATGGCACCACTGTTCCTATTTATAAATGGGAATAACAGCTAACCACAATCCCTTTGTTTTAGTTCTGTGCAATCTCATGTTCTAAAGTCTGAAAAGAGTGGAAATAGTGATCACATCAGTCCTGATACTAGAGCCAATGTTCTAATAATCAGGTTTCTCAAAACAGCTGGTGCTGGGTAGAAGAGGTGGTTCATCTAAGGACCCTATGATGACGGCTAACCACATTTTTATCTTTCAATCCACTTTGGATTATTTCTCCCACATGTCAAGGGTAGACAGGCATGACACATCCATCGTGTAAAGAATTCAGCCTCATGAATTAACCTCAGGAGATCATCTCTCTTTCTCTCTAGAGGGCATTTGCTTGCATCTCCCATCAGCCATCACTCTGGTCCCCTCCCTAACAGTTCCCTGACTTTCATTCTGGTAGCTACCCCTCCCCATGCTGCCCATGGGCTTCAGAGGAAAATGAGCTCAACCTGAATTTCAGAGGGAAGCCCTGATTGGCTCATGCTAGACATTCCATTGCTCTCTCTCGTCATAGCCCACCCTCCCAATTCAGGTATGAGCATGTAATGTAAGCATAGACAATGAGTATGAATTTCAAGACTCTTTTTTTGGAATGCTAGGCCAGAGACTCATTCCAGAGGATGTCAACAAGAAAGTGTGTAGCCCTGATTGCTGCTAGCAGCTGTCCCATGACCACTGGGGAGCTTGCCATGAAATGTGGCCAACACTCTACATGGAAGAATACAGAGATGGAAAGAAACGGGACTGTGATAAGACCACTGTGCTGCTGAATCAACCTGCCCCAAAGTACATACTAGCTTGGGACTTTATAACTCCAAATGATATCTTTTATTGTTGAGGTCTTCTGTTACTTGTATTAAAAATCCTGACACACCCTACAAGTAATCACCAGACTATACCTACTCTCAGAATAAAGCTGACATCAAAATAATCCCTTTACCCAAAGATGGTCCCTTCAAGATTACCATCTCTTTACCATAATGCTACCTCTAAGGCTAGAGCTTGAGAAGGCCCGTGGATGCTGTAGGTCTCTCAGAGCAAGAGTTAGATTCTGTATGGAGCTTGCCTTCTGAGGCCCTAACCTCTCTACCGGGTTGGGGACAAGCCCCACCTGCCCTACAGAAAGAAAATCGCTGTGTCAGAACACTTACCCAACAGCATCCCTCCCTGGTGCCTTTCCTCCCACACCTTGCCCAAAAAAAAAACAAAACACACAAAAAAACAAAACCACACACACAAAAAACTAAATTGGTTCAATACACTTTTGCTACTGGGAAATGTTTCATAACTACTAATGAATAATTCAGTGAATAAGATATTTTTAGTTTTCTATTGCCAGACACACCCAACTTTGATGTGAATGCTGTTGCCTTTCTTACTCTTCAAATCCCCCTTGCATACGGGATCCTGAATGTGTTACTTCCGTCACAGAGGCCCAATCAACAACAAAAATCAGATCATATCACCCATCCTGCTCAACAGCTTCCAATAGCTGCCATCACACTTAGAATGAACTCCAAACTACTGCCTCTCCAGCCTACGTCATTTGGCTTCTCACCACCTTGATCATTCCGCTCCAGACATCTGTACTTCTTGCTGCTGTTCAAAAATGCCAAGACTGTTCCTGCCTGAGGACCTCTGTTTCTCACTTACTCCCCCTTCTCCACAGGACACTCTGCTGCCAGCTCCTCACACACAACTAGCTCCGTCACTTCCTTCTGTCCCCAGCACACGTCACCTCCTCAAAAATAACTCCTGTGATCCTCAGATATGAAACAGCAGCCCTTCACTAGCCCTCTCCCTCACTCTGCTTTTTATTATAGCACTTTTTCCTACCTGAAATCATATTACAAAGATATGTTTAAGCCTGTATATATCATCTATCTCCCCCGCTAGAGTGTAAGTCCCTTTAAGACAGGGACTTTTTCTCTTGTTCAAAAGTCTACCCACCAAGACTAAAACATGCTTAGTGCCGTATACAGGCTCAATATATCTTTTTATTTTATTTTTTAAAGAATGAATGGATGATTAAATAACAAGTTTTTTTTTTAAGTGTGGCTAAAAACAAAAAGCTGTAGGGAGGTACTTATCTCCTGTCGGGCAAATTCCCCTTTTTCTTTGTTATCAATTTATATTGCTCCACTTATGAAACATACAATCCTACAGTTTATCACAGAAAGTGTCACATCCTTCAAAGATTCTCCTTATAACAAAGATTTAGATGTGCAGTCATAAAAATGCTCACCATATTTTAAATGATATGAAATCATTCTATCAAAACAGATTATAAGATAACATATCATTTATGAGATCCACATAAAAATCACTGCTTTACCATGGAATGTCTGGCAAAAGGCCAGTGAAAATTTGCAGTCATAATATCTCAAAATTCCTATTACCCATTGAGCCTCCAAAATATAGTTATTGGAGTGGGAGTGGGATTAATTAATGCTAATTAGCTAATCAAGAAAGTTAAACATTAAGAAAGTTTAAGTTTCTGTGACAAAAATCAGATGCAAAATCTTTGAATTACGTCATAACTTCTACTATTTCGATGGAAAAATAATCATTTCAAAGTCAAGGCACTTGTTTTTCTACGATCAAAGGTGGTTAAATACCTTTAAATACATTTCAACATATTTATGAAGGAATTATCCTACATGCCTCCAAAGCTCTCTCATAAATCAGTATAATGTTTCCAAAGCACATTTGGAAGTACAAAATTCATATCTACTAACTATATTTTCCTCTATTCGAAGATGAATTAAGCAGAAAATACATTAATGTCTGAATTTATAATAGGAGTGGTTAACCCTCAACCACAGCAAACTAATGAGGAATATTTTACCATGGAAAAATTAATCAGGGCTCTCCAACACTATGCAATTTGACATTTTGAGGACTTAATCAGGAATGGATTTTATTCCGCTATTTACTTTTCATCATGGGGATGACTTACAAAGACACTACCTGTTAGAACAAATATAATTCTTGAGCTTAATCTTGTCACTTTAAAGAAATTTATTTTAAATAATATTCCATAGTTTAAAAATAGTCCTCACAGAAGCAACATTACTAAGATTATGTCATTTCTGGGCCAAATTCAGCTCTCAAACATTGAGCAAATATCAACATAGACACAGTGAGCCTCAGAAACTGAATGTGACTAAACCTCTGTTAGCAATGAGACAACACAACTTCTGGGAGGTTGTGACTGCTGGACATGGACTTCCATCCCCAGCCATCGATTATCACTATCTTTGTTAAAGACTACAGGAGTTTCATTTAACTAGAGTGCTCAGTAAATTGCAGCAGAGTTCAAGCATCTTTATGGATTCATTAAACCATTGATCTGCCTCACAGAGCTTGTAGCAGAGCCCAGCTCTGGCCCACAGCCTGTGTTTACAGAGAATGCAATAGACTGATGTTTGTAACCTCCAAAGGCAGTCTGTCAGTAGACATTAGATTCCACTGTGTGCACAGCCACCCTAAGAGTGGATTGTAACATAGGGAATTTCCCATTCTCAGTCTCAACTGCTGGGACAGAAATGAAGTGACCATCTGTAGCAAGATTTTCTTTATTCCATTCTAATCTGTGATAATATAAACAAAGAGCAAAGAGCCCGAGGAACAAAGAATTACATATGGCTTGGCCAGTTCACACTTCTGTTTATGTGTACATAAGCTATCCAGAGGTATTGAAATGGAGGAGAAATTAAGATAATCACAGGCATGCCTATAGCTTGGATCCCCCATGGGGCCTCTCGACTATACTAGGCATTGTGACCAGACATTGCAAAGGTGTACAAGAAAAATTCAGGACTTAATCTACTACCTTAAAATATCTCAAGGCAAGCCACCTGCCCTTTTATGCCTGCACTTATTCAGATACTTAACATTTTTAACAAAGCACTGAATCAACAGAGTATAACTACTATTCCAGGAAAAAGAATAATCATTATCTCTTGGTTTCTCAGGACAGTTCACCAAGCACTCTCAGAACCTTCTCCCTCCTCTGTTTTTTATTAATAAAGTCTCACAACACCTTCCTTTTTAAGTCAGGCACAAAGAGTAACTTTGTGCTGAATGCAGCTTATGATCAGAGAATCACATCAAAATGACCTGTAAGATAATTCTTTAAACGCTCATTCTTCAGATAAAGCTGAACACTGTTAGTGGCAAGGTGAGAGAGTTGGAAATGTAAGTGACTGGATCAATAAGGAGAATGTTCGTCCCAAATAAATAGATCCCTTCCTGATCATTTGTTTCACTGAACTGCCCACTGCCCAAACAGACAGTCGGACTATGAACTCCAAACACGCACATTCATCACTCTGCAGAAGCAGTCACCAGAACACAATGTGGCTGATGCAATCTGACACTGTGGTTAATGTTAAAAGGGAGCGTGCCTTTTAGATGGATTGGATAATTACCGGCAGTTCCGATGAGAAAAAACTTGATTTAAGTGAACAGCATTAGCCTTCACCAGAAGGATGGCCAGAGATGTACTATGTCTGAAAATTAACATTCCAGCATATATGTCAATAGCACTGTGTATTGATCCCCAGGTGACCGGATTCTGATTTATGAAAAACTCCCTCTCTTCCTTCCGCTCACTGAAAAATGTTGAACACAGACTGGGGCTTGAAGCTATTTCGAGTTTTCATCAACTCTTCACATTTAATTTAAAATATCTAATGTTATTCAGAAACTGATGTCCATTCTGGCTAATGGGTTAGAATTATTGCTGTTTCCTTCACAGTCTCACAACATGTGGCTCATTAAAAACTAGAAGTGGTTGCTGTTCCTTTCAGTACAAACCTACTTGCCCCATGCTGTGTTCCAGGTATCCCTTAGACCAGAGTTTCTCAAGTGGTTTTCAAGTGTTTTGGTGAACATGAGGTCACATACCTCTCCCCAAGCTTCTGATGGCTTTCTAGAGTACTATGTCCCACCCTGTCTGCAGAACCTCTGCCTTGGAACACTTTCTAGCTCTCCTCAAGAGCCTGTGTGTCACTTTAAACGGACCTACACTTTACTTCACTAGCCAGAACCTTCCTGCTCTAACCCTACTCCCAAATGTGTTTCCAAGGACTGACGTTTACCCCTCCTCTGTGATTGCTTTTTCCAGCCTCTCATTTGCAGCAGCTCATCAATATTCCATTCTGTATTTCAAAATACAAGACAATAAGAAACACTTGGGTTTGTTGTTCTTTTCCCCAGAGCTTTCTGAGAACACCCGTTTGCTATGACCAAAAGGGAGCTCAGCCACTGGCCTGCAGACTAAAACCCTGGGAGGAGAAGCCACTATACACATGAGGCAGTGAATAGGCTTATAGTACAGTACTAAGGAACACTGCAAAACCAAGCAATCATCCTGCAGGCCAGGGTGCAGCTGGACAGATTCAGGAGGCTCACTGGTGGCTGTTAAAACCAAGGGGAATCCACAGGAAGAACCCTGGGGCTCCCCAGGTGCATTTACTGGTGGGCCAAAGATATTTGCCAGCAACTGGCAAAAGCAAGTATGTGGCCTGAGCTTCAGGTGGTCAGGGGACATTAATTGCAAGTAATTTCTTAATGTCCTTCTCCAAGCCTTCATGAATGATAGCCATTTTGCAAATTAAATCTTGCAGGTATTTAAAGGAAAAAGAGTAGACAGGTTAATCACTAGATTAACAGGGCAATTGTTACACATTTCTTCTGTACTACTTGGTTCTATAATTAAGTCTGAAACTGAGAAATCTTTCCCAGGATATATTCAACTTTAATAAAAAGACAAATAGACTATGTCTAAATAAAATATAACTCCAAATAACATGATGATACATGCTAATTAGAGATGGGTTCTTCCAAAAGAAATGTCTTCTAAGAAGAGATCGCTGTATAACCAAGAATATAGTCTGAAAGTAAAAGAAATGCCAATAACAGAATATTCTCCTCCTTGAATTATTTATGTTATTATTATAATGATTGTTAGGAAATCTTAATGGCATCATTTGCAAATGTTGTTTCTGTCTATATCATCTTTTTCTTTTTAATGCATCCTTATCCTCATCTCTGAGCCACATTGGTTTCTTCCCACTGTGATCTGCTGGGGAACCACAATATCATGATATTGAAGAAGTATTTCGATCTTTTTTTTTTTTTTTTTTGAGATAGGGTCTTGCTCTGTTGCCCAGGAAGGAGTACAATGGCACAGTCATGGCTCACTGCAGCCCCAGCCTCCTGGGCTAAGCAATCCTCCCACCTCAGCCTCCTGAGTAACTGGGACTACAGGTGAGCACCATCACAGCCAGCTAATTTTTGTATGTTTTGTAGAGACAGGGTCTCGCGCTATTGCTCAGGTTGGTCTTCAACTCCTGGGCTCAAGCAATCCTCCTACCTCCACCTCCCAAAGTGCTGGGATTACAGGCATGAGCCATGGCGCCCGGCCTTTCAAATTATTAAAAAACTAGAACAAGGAAGCAAAACTTTGGTGCTCTTAGGAATTTGTGTTTACTTGTAAATTATCAACATTCCGAATCCATAAAGAACACTAAAAACTTGAGATCCGAACAAGAAAAGTAAATAATCATCCTTTACATTGCCTGCAGTAGCCATTTGTCTTGACTTTTAATTTCCTTCTTGATTTTTGGATATTAGTTTGGACAATAAGATATTTCCCATGTAAAAGGAAAGAGATCAAACACAGGCCATTTGGAAGTGACTAACATTTGTGGTCTTGTTTGTTACTCCTTTTTAGAGGGATAATGGTTACAAGACATTACTCCCTTAGGAAAGAGTATTTTTACGTGTGCATTACTATGCAAAGTAAAACTGGTGTTAGCAAGTTGGACTAAATGTTTTCACAAGAGTGCAAAATCACTAAGGAGTCTCTGCAACTTTCCAATTCCTAGATGAATTACAAGGACAGAAATGCTCTCAAGTCCAAAAATGGGCTGGGAAAAGAGTGAGCTATTAGTTCCCTGAAAAGTCTCCAATACATGAAATAATGAGATTGACATCCCATTGTCCATACAATGCCCACAGACTACATAAGTATTTTTCTTACCCGCTGTTTCAAAAACTTTTAAGCCAGCAAATAAGCCTTCGGGGATAAGGACCCTACAAAATATATTATGAATTAACACTATCCACTTCCTAGAGCCAACATTCTGAAATGTGTAAACTAGTAGTTAGAGTCCTTAAGTGAATACAGCTGTGATTCATGGTCCTCTCCTGGCAGTGTTGAGTAGAAGTATTTTGAAGAAAGCCTAATATTCGTAGCAATCCAGACAACTCTTCAAATAAAAATTTAAATTCAGTTAAAAATATAACCTATATACTATATAGGTTAACCTGGCTTCAATCCATCCCACCTTATTGCATAGTGACAGTCTGTGAGAGATGTATGTGACACTTTCAACCCGCCCCATTAAACAAACACAGAAACCCAAAAAGAAATGAAGGATTGAGAGGCAAAAGAAATTTCAAGAGCCCATTTTCAGTGGGCCATCATTTTGAGAGTTGGGTTATTTTTGTCCTTGTTTTCAGCAGCAAATCAATTCCTGACTCTACACCCAAGCGTGTGTGAAGAGAAATGCACAGAGACCACAAGCACAGCTGTCCAATTTACATTCACAAATGCAGGTGTTGCTCAGACACAAAACAGAGGTCAGCTGAATACTGCTCCTAATTAGCTACCTTTTCTACTAGGATTTTTCTTTGTAAAGTTATGCATGCAATTTGGGTTCAACTTAGAGACCATTTTTAGATCCCACCATGCTATCCAGCAAGAAGCGGGCTGTCATAAAGCATAATTTACAGCACAGTTAATTTTATGTTTTTTTAAGTCTACACTATACCTAAGGCAAAATTCTGTTCTGCACACACACACATTATTCACTCTGTTTTCTATCCACTTCTCAAAACTTAAAAAAGGTAGAATTTAGCCAGAAAAAAAATCTGTTATGTAGGAATGGGAAGAATTTTGCCCTTTTTCTAAGATTAAGAAAGTCCACAATTTAATTAACAAGGACTAAGGACTTTGTTAAATGATACAAGAGGAGAAGTAGCTATTTGCTATTGTCTTCAGTACGGAACACCCAGGGGCTTATTACAAGCAGTTCTTAGAAATGGCAGGATGGAGACTGGTATCTAATACAATCCATTAGGAAACCCAAGCCCTAAATGAAATGACCACAAAATCCTATCAGTTAACAGAAATGCAGCAGCTGTACATGTTTATTGTAAGACAATATAATATTGTAACAGAGATAACACTCTTTAAAATTAAAAAAAAAGAAGCCAACAAATGATAGACTAGTTTATTTCTCTATTTGGAAAAAAAAAAAACACACACACACACACACACACACAAGAAGGCATAGCACATCAGAGCTTTGGGATATATAAGGAAGGATGAAGACTGCAGAGAAGGGAGGAATTGTTTGTACACTAACAGACAACTGGGATCAGCTGGCAAAGTCACTGGCTAAACACCAAACTGCTGCAACTTCCAGGTTTAGCAAGATGTTCAAAGACATATCCCAATAACGCCTGGTAGAAAGTGAAATGTGATGGTCCTCCTCCCACTGCTGACTTTACCTGCTGTAAGTATTTCAAATGCTAATTCCTATCCTCGCTCCCAGTTATCCATTTTTCAAAAATGTACCCTATGAAAGTTTAAATTCAGTTTGACCTTAAACTTTATAATGATGTAAACAATATAGATATAGATATGGTATTCTGGAGTGTTTTTCCAAATGGAATCAGGTGTCTTTCTTCAAAGGCTCACTATAAAATACAGTTTGCAAAATATAACATGTATCACCAGGATTGTGACAAATCCATCTTGCTTGATTTTAGTCCCTACAGGCAGCCCATCAAGATTCAGACCCATAACCCTTCAGAATTATAGAAAGACAAAAAGCCCTGTTCTATAGCCATCTTCTGGATTGGAATGCAAAGTATTTTGTTGTGGTAAGTAGGGCTTTGAAGAAGAAAGCACTGGGCCCACTCCTGGGTTTGTTACTCCAGTGCTCGGCATTCAAAACGGGAGCCCCGGGGTCTCAGAGATCATTTTAATCCCCCTATATTAAAACAAAACGTGTCTCCCGTGCATCATTCTTCCCACCCTCCTCCCCAGATTCACTGGCTCCTCCCAGGGGAAAGTGAACTTGACTGCTGACAGTCCCAAAAGAATTCCAAACAATTTCCTTACTTGCCTCTCTGTTTCAGTGAAGATTATGAGCCTAACTCTTAGAGACTGCTACTAAAATTCCACCCTGCTGAATTCTGCAGCCTAATTCTTTTGGCATTATGTTTTTTGGCAGAATGAATGTGACCCAAATTTTCAGGAGATAATTTGCTGCAACAGTGCCTGCAATGCAGTGAGCCCATAATTAGCATTTCAGGATTGCAAATATCACACTTTTGGAAAAATAATAATTGTTTGCTTCAAGAAGAACAGATTTGGATCTTGTATTATAGAAATGGAAACAACAAAATGTGGACAATTTTAGTAAAGATTTTATGAATTAAGGAAGCTTTACATATCAATGGAAAATAATTGAGGACTAGCAAGTTACCGCAGTAGTTGGTGGCAAAGGCTACAGCAGTTCTTTAAGGATTCAGAAAATAGTTGTGTGCATGTGCGTGTGATTGTAAAAACATCATGCATTCCATTTCCCATCCATGGTGGCTAACACTATTCAAAAAGGACATTTTCAGACCTGGGATGTCTTCAAAACAAAACCAAAAAAAATTCTAACGATGGCTGTTCCTGTGTTTACCCACCACGCTCCTCACAAATGCTTGGCTGTGTGAGCAATGTTGTTTCACGTATTCATGATTTCATCTTTTCTCAATATCAATCAGCTTTAACATAAGATGTCAAGAGAGACTTGACATTTTTCTTGACAAGAACTCGTGGGCCAGATTTTGAAAAGAGCAATAGCAGTATTTCCACTGGGTACAAGAATTAAACTAAGTGGGCTAAAACTTTCTGGCCATGCTTTTGTGGCTAATTACTTGGCTTTTTAAAGAAATATCTACCACTTATCTTTCATGTACTCAGAGTGCAGTCTGCACTCTACTGCTGGAAAGACACTGGCCATGAGGATACCAGCTGTGATCACAGTGTCCTCATCAGATTCATTCACCCTCTCAGAACACAAACACTAAGCCAAGAGAAACACATTAGAAGGGGATTCCTTATTCCAAAAGGTTAAGCATGACACAAAAGGGGAATCAACAAAACAGAGAGAATAAAAATATAAAAGTAAAAGGTGCGCAGTGTTTTCCGCTAGAAGCTATGAGGCACATGCGCGTGTGGGCTGGTGAGGCCTGTGGGGGGCCGCCTCTCTCTCCGGTGCTCTTACCTTATTTCTCTTGAAGTAGGCTCGTCGGCAGGCCGCAAAGCACTTCTCGCTGCAGAAGCTTTTCACCTCACTTCCCATACTCAGGGAATAGCGCTTGATTCCCACTTTCTGGCACCAGGCACACATTATTTGTACATTTGACACATCATCTTCTATAATAAAAGTATAAGAAAAATGTTCATATCAGAAGCAAACATCCCTTCAAATTTAGACACACCCTGAACCTGACAGAGCTACCTGGGCCTGATTTTAGTTTCTGGACCTTGGAGAAGAAGTGCTTTTTCTTTCTCTCTCTCTCTCTCTTTCTCTCTCTCTTTTTTTTTTTTTTTTTTTTTTTTTGGCTCCTAAGTTTCCAAAAGACATTTACTTAAAAACCAGAGCATGACTGCAGAGCCACAAGGGCTCCTAGGGCTTCTTAGCCTGGTTTAAAAAAAAAAAAAAAAAAGCTTCATCTGCCTAGTTAAACCAGCCCCAGCACTAACGAAGCTTGTAAAATAACCCATTTCTTCAAAGGTCCTGTGAAAGCCTGCAGGATCTGCACTGGGTGGGACAATTTGTAGGGTGCTAACTTACAAATGGAACACCCTCATGTGAACCTTGACCAGACGCCAGGCTCAACCATGGCCTGTTCCCTATTACTGTTAAATGATATGTGCTATTGTTTATTCTTGCAATGTAATAATTCCCAAGCAACACGTTTAGTCAAAAAGGAAAGATGTGCGTGGCCAGATTCTGGCAACGGAAAGGGACAAGCCTGGCTCGCTGAACAGACTCTGACAATGCAGCCTTCCGGCACTGGTGTCCTAAGGGAGATGCAGGCCTGATTGAAATTCTCCTCCATGTGATGTGGTTCCTGGGCCCTGGATGGAGGGATGGTAATGGGAATGCCAGATCATTCTCAGCCAGATTGGTGGTCCTCCCAGCCCCTCATGTCATGTCATGGGGTTGCTCAGAATGAATTTAGGTGGTTTGCAAATATTTCCATTATTTAAATTGTATTTCTTTTCCTTTGTATGAGAAGAAAACAAATTTAACTAGCATAATGAGCCCATGATATCACAAATACTACTGCTTAAAACAAAGGATTTTAAAGTGAGTCAATTAGTAAAATATATTCAGTAAGTCATAGTGCAGGTGGTCAGAAGTTATGACAAACATTATGATGGTGATATTCAGGTCTGGGAAAAACTGGCCTCTGAGGGGTGGGTGGGGGTGAATAAAAGGAAACTTTAAGTAGACACCTAAGTAATATTTCCTTGTTGCCTCTTAACGGCTTTTGCTACATCTTGAGTTTTCTCTGTCCTCCCAATTGATAGTGACTGTGTGTGTGTGTGTGTGGTGTGTGTGTGTGTGTGTGTGTGTGTGTGTGAGAGAGAGAGAGACTGATTGCCACATCTCTTCTTCCTTTATGGAATTTTTTTTTTATTAACCCACATTCATGCTCCAGACATGAATGGTAATCATAAAATCCCCAACAAGCACTCGTATAGTGTTGTCTGATTTCTGGATAAAATCCCCCAAAGACTAATTGCTAAGCAAGGCCTGGTCCACGAGTTGTTGACATATTCAGGGTTCATAGAGTTTGTCATGCAATCATTTCATTTCCAGGGAAAAGATTTGGTTTGAGGCAGTGTGGTCATCAGCCTGCAAAATTAGAAGCAAACTAATTTGTAGTGCAGAGATATGGCTTTTTTCCCCCTGAGTATCACCACTCAGAACTATATGCAGCATTTTATTTACCTCAATGGAATAAATATTGCCATTTTAATGACCTTTTAGTATTTCACAAATTACATATTGTGATCTATTGTTATCAAGTGAGATAGTATAAAAAATGACCTTTGATGTCAGTCCAACATTTTTGATAACTTTCTTTAAATGGTATAATATGAAATCAAATGTCAAACAATTACTGTATTTAATAATTTGTTCTATTCAAAGCAAGCTTTTTGATATTTCAGGAATATCCTTAACAAAAAAAATTTAAAAATAAATAAATAAAAGCAAGCTTTTATTTATATTTTACATGATCTCTAATATGGCATCTCTCTACATATGAACATTTTACATGGTATGAAAAATTAGCAAAGCTTTATAATTTACCTTGGTGTATGGAGCAGTTTTCTTAGATTAGAAATAGCATATATTTTAAAATATTCACCTATCTTTACTAAACTAGATAGCAACTAATAGTTTCTATTTTTCCCAATTGATAAGATACTTTAAAATCTTAAATTCCTGAAAAAGAAGATACAGCAGAATTCTCATAAATTATCCACTGGCAGTAAGCTTGATTCTGGTGAAATCTGTAAGGAAAAAAATTTATGCGGGAAATCACCTGGCCTCACAGTTTAATGAGGAGACCCCACTTCCCAAGGAGCCATTTTAGAACATGCATTAGGTCCCCCTCATTATTTCTTCCTTTAAATAATCTGATTTGGGAAACAAAGCATAAAACTGTTTAAGTCCTAGATCTTCAGCTATAATGGACCAACACTGAGATGAGAAAGAATAGAGTGCAAAGCTATTCACAAGGCCAGGCGCTTAGCTTGCAGCTTGGACCTGGCCTGAAGGAATGATGCTTGAGGCCAAAGGGCAGCTCCGGGGTCTTTCTCAAGCTTCAATCCATCATCACCAGACAGACCCACTTGTCATTTTTTAAAGGGAGGCAAGAATACTTTCTTACAAAGGACCTAACAAATAAACGAACAAAAAGGTAGAATTTTAAAACAGATTATTTCTTATAAATCATTCTTACTACAAAGCAACAATATGACATGAGACCAAATACATTGTGCACTTTTATATCTGGCTGCTGGAAAAACTTCTAGAATGATGGTTAGCATCTGCCTTGTTAAATAAGTCAACGCTCCCCGCAGTTTTTCATACAACTCCATTTCATAAAGGTATATGCTTTGGGAAAAGCCCATCAGATTTCTCCTTTTCTAGTATTAAACTGTTATCAGCAGCTAATGATCCAAAGAACAGTCTGATAATTGGGTTATTCAAAAAATTTAAAAAACATTTTCCGGTATTTCAGGCATTCTAGATTTATAAAAGTCTTTTATATTAGTAACAGATTTTAGAAACTAATAAAGAACTGTGATTATCTAAATTAATATTGTCAGCCAAACTATAGTTCAAAATTCTGTCATCAGACATGAGATGGTGTCCCCATCTTATGACTGCACCCCTAGAAAAGTGAACACTTCTTAAGTGGTTAAAGTCAAAAGGATCAGTCCACTTCAACCCTGCATCTCTTTCTACCTGAAACACGGAAATGAAATGCATGCTTTACAATAAACATGGAAATGAAATGCATGCTTTACAATGGCAAAATAGAAGGTTTCAGCACTTTAACTTTTCTAACTTGATCTGCTTTAAATTTTTTTTTCTACTTAAAAAAATATTTCTTCAAGCTAGGGAAAACCTAATTACCTGTCTTACATTTTGGCTAACGGTCTGTGCCATTAGAGACTTGAGATTACCTCAGAGAAGATTCACATAACAGATTTTTACATGACATTACCTTACAGCCATCAGCCTGTGCATTTTTATAATAAACAATACAACAAATGTAAAATGTTTACAGCATTAAATCACATTCCCAAAGAGAACGGTTTGTATAACATAATTTTCATATGATAATATCATATAAATATGTATCAGTCAAAATAAGCATATTTCAATTAATCATGAAAAATTTGTACCGAATTTAATTAAGCAGAATGTTTAAGGCATTTTCTTTCCAATCTAATGTTCCAAGAGCTATAGAACATTTTTCTACTTTACATCCCAGAAGTTCAGATTACTCCAAGATGAAATCAAAATTGTATTTATTATAGTGCAGAGAAGTATGAGATCAAGCATTTCTGGAATGCCCTGCTGAAGTTGTTTGAGAAATTGCCTTATCTGGTGACTTTTAAAAATAAGGATGGCCATTGGTCAGTGATCTTCTTGGGGCATTTAAATTGGCTATAAACATGTATACTAACTTACCTGACCAGTGCCCAAAGAAAATCAGTAGGGCATTAATGGACTCCAGGCAATTAAACTGTAGATTTACCACCCCTTTGTAACTTTCATGGGAGTCCAAGACTGAGGGGAAATTCCGAAAGTATTTGCTGGGACATCTATCTCCTCCAACAGTTCCTAGAATGCACACATCCAGATAATCAATGAAAGACCTGGATTATATTTGAGACAAGTTACAAGGCAGTCTGAGGAGACTCCTGTGTGTTCCCCATGCCATGAAATGACATGAAATGGCCCATGGCCGGGCTGCACTGTGTCAATCTACTTGTTGCAGCAGCTATATTTAAAAACAGAATAAAGTCAAGGCCTGGAAAGCAGGCAAGAAACTGAAGTTTGCTTTCTTTATAACTTCTGCAAAAAAGAAATTCCTTTTTGAAATAATTCAATTCCAAACACTTTAAAGCAATCTAACTTAAAGTTTCTACAGAGTCCACCAGGAGTTTCTGTACAATTCCCTGTGTTCTAGGAGTGAACATACAAGGAGACCCAGAGAAAACTGGGACCACTAAACCACAAAGAACATAATGATAGCAGTACTTCGCAGGTGCCCGCACAATGCACGGCTCATTTCAATGTTATTTAATCTTTTTCACAACCACCACCAACCAGGCAGTTACTAACATTAATCTCCATTGTGCAAATGGGGAAAGTGAGTTTATATGTTAAGTAATTTGCTCCTAATCACACAATAAGTACATATCAGAGCCTTACTGAGGACCAGGCCATCTGATTCCAGAGCCCAAGCTCTTGACCACTACACCTTAGAGACCACAGCTTTTCTAAGCAGTAAGATTATAAACCATCCTCACAGACCTCTCTCCACAAAAAGGACTAAAAGCTGTCACACATTTTGCAACTTACACAGCACATTGCTCAGTGACACAACAATAGACAAAGAAAATGAAATCAAAAAGGTCAAAATGTCTTTGAGGAGACAGCTGAAGTGTTAATCAATATTTGTTGATTGATTTTCAAAAAACAAGTTAAAGGCCCACGGTGCAAGCCTTTACTTCTTTATGACTATGAGACATGGATTTGCTGCAAACATTCTGTATAACTCGCACCAGCAAGTGCTACTTAAACATTAAATGATAAGACAGGCCCAATAATATGTGGATCTCAAGCAGTTATTCTACCCACAGGCAAGCAATACTCTTGTCAGCCTTCTCTTTTCTAAGGAGCAGGGCTCACAGCAGAACATGGATAAGACTGGCTTTCCATGTGGTTGAAATGGGAGACCCCCCTACCTCTGTAATTTCAAGGGTGCCAATAAGAATATCCTAGCTTCAAAAAATTATCCTTCAGCTGCTCACTAAGATTAAATTCTACCACTAGAAGGTCATTTCTTTGGCTAAATGTTTCTTATGAACCATTAAAACACCAATTCCCTGAAAGCAAGGAGGCTCAATATATACTTGTAAGTAATGATTTATGCTTTGAAATGAATGATTCTTTCTGAAGAATATGTTTTTACAAGGAATGGGAAGAAGGGCTGAGGATAGGGTTCCAATGAGAAAGGTAGAGAGGCAAAGATGGGAGAGTTGGGACATATTACTTAGCTAATCTCTAGCCTTGGAAAGAGCTAGGGCAACCTGAGGGCAGCCAAAGGAAGGCAGTGTGGACAGGGTGATGACACTGTAGGACATGTCAAATGTTCAGAGTGCCTTTTAAGTATGAATATGAAACACAGCAGACAATGGCATATAACTAAGGATTGCCAGAAAAGAAAAGCAACAGGCAGATCCACTTAGGACAATCTCAAGGGGGTGACTTTTTATAAGCAAATGAGGTAGTAGATGTACATTGCTTTGCAAATCTAAGTTGCTACTATTTGAAAGACAGTGTGGTGAAGCACAGAGATGGAGACAGAGGACCTTGGTGAAAGTACTAATATTGCCCCTTCTAGTTGTGTGTGACAAGAGTAAGTCGATCAAGGACTGGTCATGCCCACCCTAACTATGGCTTCGGTGAGGATCAAATACGATTAAATATGCACATTCTATATGTAAATGAGCCTTCCTTAGAACGAGTGGCAATTAGAACCACAAGAAAAGGGTAGGTGTCAGCTGTATGCAATCTGGAGAGGCCCAGTGACCAGGCACCAGTCTCTCCAATCACATCCCCTCCTGTGGATGACATCTGTAAAACCACTATCCTTGAATACAAAGAACAACTCAGTAACTGGTTAAATTTCACTAACTTAGATTATTTAAGAGTAAAGCCATTAGAATTAATAAAAGCCTCACTTACAGCTATTCTTTTAAAAAAGTACTTAACTTGAATTAATAGTTGACAAGATGTTGCCAAATATATCACTGCACTGCCAGATATTCTGTAATTAATAGATGGGAATTCTTTGTAATTATTACATTAACTATCCACACATGGGTGGATCTTCCTAAGTGCCTGAGAAGTTTGCTCATTTAAAAAGTATCAGAGCAACAACTGAAAATGTCTGCCACTTTGGTAACTGAACTATCAAGAATTCCCAAAGAGTGGTGTCTGAAAAAATAAAATTTTATTGAACTTAGCTCTCATTAAAAGGATAATGCAATTAAATGACAAAGGTCCATAATACTACATGAGTCTTTGTAGTACCTAAAATTATCCCTAATTTTCTTTTGTATAAATAGATTTGAAGTTATTTCAAGAATTTAAATAGTCCACTCCTCTCTAAACAGAGTAGTACTTAACCCCAAAATAAAATCTAAATATTCTATACATAAATTAAAAATTGGTTCCAATAAGTAAAAGGAATGACCCTATATTATACAAAATTACAGAAAAATGACAGACTTTAAAATTAATTTTCAATTTTCTAACGGAACATTCTACCCAATTTTAAATTATTTACATTCATATTATGAAGACAGACATAGACATAGATACAGATATAAAGAATGTGACTCCAGAAAGAACTACATGTTTACATGTGAGCTGGATAGGACCTGAGGTGTGTGGCTCATTTTATGACAGGCAGAATGCAGTAAGAGAGAGGTTCAGACAGTTGTGAGAGCCATTCCAGAGAGCACGGCATTTGAGTTGGGTCTTGAAGGATTTGGAAGGCGGGGAAGTTAAAGAGGAGAGAAAGGACAGTGGAACTGCAGGAGCCAGAGAGTGGAAGACAGGCTTGAAATGGGCAAGAATCCTGCAGTCATCCAGTTGACCAAGCTTGTGTGAAGGGAAAAGTAGATTAGACAGGAGCTGATAGGGCCTGAACAAGGAGTCTCATGGATGTCATTTTGGCATAGGGGGAGGGAATCAGCTCGTCTCTATTCCACAGGTAATAAGAAGCTCCCAAATGTTTCTCAATAAAACATGACAGACTGGGCACTGTGGCTCACACCTTAATCCCAGCACTTTGGGAGGCCAAAGTGGGTGGATCACTTGAGGTCAGGAGTTCAAGACCGGACTGGCCAACATGGTAAAACACTGTCTTTACTAAAAATACAAAAAAAAAATTAGCCAGGCATGGTGGCGGCTGCCTGTAATCCCAGCTACTTGGGAGGCTGAGGCAGGAGAATCGCTTGAACCTGGGAAGTGGAGGTTGCAGTGAGCCAAGATGGTGCCATTGCACTCCAGCCCGGGCAACAAGAGCGAAACTCCGTCTCGGGGAAAAAAAAAAGAACATGACAGGATCAAAGATGTGTTAAGAAATGTCACTCCAACAGGAGTAACAGGACGGATCAGAATTTGGAGAGACTAGAAATCCAGTTCCACATCTAGAAGCCTCAGTAAGCAAAGTGAGAGCAGGGTCCATGTCTCATTCTCTCTTGTGTGTTCAGTGCCTTGCACAGAACAGTGCTCATGCTACATGAAGGAATAAATGGACAGATGAATAAATGGCTGCAGAGGAAAAGGGATGAAGTCCTGAACCTACAGGGTGACAGTGGAAATGAAGAGGACAGATTTAAGAATGAGATGAAATCAATTATCAAAAGGTAGAAATGTTGCGAATCCAGAAATCACTGAAATTTCATAGTATTCATCTTCCCGTGTTTCTAGTCAAAGCAGACAGGGAAAAGTCCACAGCATTCTTGGGGAAGGTGACTCCAGAGTCAAATTCAAACAAAATGAAGTTGCTTTACAGTCAATGTCCCTTCCTCATTTATTCTCCCGTACTCCAATGAAGAAGGACAGCAAAAGGAGAGACTCATAAAGTCACAAAATTGTAATTCTGTCTTGAATACCATGCTGAGCTTGGATTCTTTAACATGACACTACTAAGTACATGTGCCTCCAGCTCCCTGACATTAATGTGAGTATTTCCCCATAATTTCACTGACTTGCCAGTGAAGGAGTTTCTTCTTGTAAGTTTCTTTGACAACCTCGCCTCTGCTTCTCAGTGTTCACTGTGGAGTCTGTCTTTCCTATGTAATCACCCTAAGAAACTGGAATAGGAAAGGAAAAAGGTAGAGCTTCAGACTAAGGAAAATCCACAGTCTTGTATGCAACACTTCCAAAAGCACGTTCCACAGAACACTAAGCCCATAGGGTACTTACATGGATGTGATTTTTAAAAAAGACTTCCATGATTAAATATGAATGGAAAATAGCAGGCTAAACAAAGTTAAACAACAGGCTTTTTACAGCAGGACATTTTGTTTCCACCAATGTACAATTAAGAATCTTTGAAAAGGAGAGAGAGTGTGCCATATTTCACAGATTTAACAGCGGACATGTCTTTTCACAGAGAATTCCCAAGACTGGACTTCTGAGGAAGCCTCCTGGAACGTGCTGCTCCACTGCCCTACATCAGCACTGAGGCATGCGCATTTCCATGTGGGTCATTAATTATCAGGAAGGTTTCTTCTCTTTTGCCCACAATTATATCCTCAATTGCCAGGAGCCTCCTTTGCCTGCACTGGGCAGAAAGACAAGGTCTGCAGCCATGTGGCCAGTGCTGGGCACATTGACCAACACCTACTAGTCCTCAGTATGCATGTTCAGATTGACTAAAGACACCCATGGTCCACAAAGTCCCATGGTGTCTGTTACTTGCATCAAATACAGAGAAGGCAATCCTTTTCCTATAGAGCCCTACAGAGAAAATGGGAGAAATCAACAATAAGGCAAAGAGAGAGTAATACAGACCAAATAGCTCATGTTCACTGGCTGGCTGCCATAGACAAGATGCTCAATTAAAATCGTATCCCCATCCCTGGGCCCTCAATCTGAACCTCTGAGCAATCTAAGATGTCCTGGGACAATGATGCTGCAATCATGGATTTGCTGTCTGCTAGACTTCTCTCTCCTAGATAGCTGAAGTCTACTCAGCATCTAGTCCACAAATGAACGTGATAAGCGACAAGGGAGTCAGATCAAAAAGTGTGCTCCAGCAAGCCTACCACTCATAGAAAACCAATTCTGAGGCCTTGCCCTGCCTAGAGGGGCACCATCTTCAAAGAGATACAAAAGTGGCAGCATATAAAGACTAAAAGGTCAAGCTGCTTTATACAGGACCTCAGAACAAGAAAAGCATTTCCATCATCTGCTCTTTAATGAAAGGGCTCATTTCCCCTTCTGAGATCTGACTGTCCCAATATTTACACTTAATGGGTCCCACAGTGGTTGACAATCTCCCCAGAGGTAGACAGAGGATTCATTTCTTTACTCAACTTCGTGCCAGGCACTGTATGATGGGCTGCAAATGCACTGACTAACAAGACACGCATGGACACTAACAAGGCCTCAAGGAGCTTCCCATGGCTGCCCCTAGTGTAAAAGGCCAATGTGCAGGAGAAAATGGCCAAGGACAAGCCTGGCCTGCTCCCAGGGCTCCATCACCATGAAGGATCATAGGAGCCAGATGTTCTTGGTGACTGTAGTAGGCAGGTGTAAGCATCTCCACTGGAGGGGAGCACAAGCAGCCCATCATGACAGAAGAGCAAGCCAAGTCCCTCCTCGCTGCTCCAGCCAGTCCTGCCAAGCAGCAGGCCACGTGGGGCCACCTCCTAGGGGAGGCAAATTGACAGGCTAGAGACTGGGTGTCAAAGGGACACCTGGGAGGGCCCAAGCACTCAGAGAGAGCACTGCTTGTTCTCCTCCTCAGCTCCTTTTCTTCCCTCAATACCCTGAACTGTAGTCACACCCAGAAAGTCAAGTTCAGTAGGTTGAAGGGTATGCAGAACTGCATTCAATTAAATGTGTTAAAAGAAGCAAGATGAACCTACTAGAACATTTCAACAAAATAATTTACTTCACTCTTCACTCTTCTCACCTTTAAATATTTATTTAGATTTCTTAGAGCAAAGATTGGTTGAGAGACTCTCTGAAGGGGCCCTATGCCAATCCCTACTCTGGAATGTAATGAGACACAGCATGCCAAAATAGTCCTGCTATGGGAAAAGTAGAGGGCAACACTAACAAGAAATCCTTCAGAGCACTCTTCTCTCTAGACATTCCTCTTGAGCTGCACTACGTATTCTTATGACTCCAGTTATCATCCATAATACGACGATGCCCAAATCAACACAATTATCTTTCATGAGCTACTATGTCCAACTGCCTCCCAGACATCTTAGTAAGTCAAGTCCAAAGCTGCATACACAACCCTCTCCATTTCCAGTCCCCTTCACTGCGTTTCCCACCTCAGTTCCTGGCCCTATCATCTACCCAGTTACCTGATGGCAGAAACCCAGCATCTTTCCTGCCTCTTCTCTCCCTCTCACCTCTCACCTCCCACCTCCCACATTCTGATTAATCACCAGGTCCTCCTAAATATTTTTACACAGCTGGGTGTGGTGGCTCATGCTTGTAATCCCAGCACTTTCTGGGGCCAAAGCATGTGGACTGCTTGAGCCCAGGAGTTTGAGACCAGCCTGGGCAACATGGTGAAACACCATCTCTACAAAAAAATACAAAAATTAGCTGGGCATGATCGTGCCTGCCTGTAGTCCCAGATACTGAGGAGGCAGAGGTGGGAGGATCACCTGAGCTCAGGGAGGTCAAGGCTGCGGTAAGCTGTGATGGCACCACTCGACTCCAGCCTAGGCAACAAAATGAGACCTTGCCACAAAAAAAAAAAAAAAAAAAAAAGTTTTTATACTACACCCAATCATTCATTCATTCGATGAATATTTATCAAGTCTACTTATATGTGAGGCACTGTTCTAGGTGCCTTATCTTCATGGAGTTTGTTACCCTCAATCCCAGTGAAGCCACCAATACCTCTTGCCCAAACTACAAGTAGCCTTCT
Organism: Homo sapiens; assembly: GCF_000001405.40. Classification (NCBI taxonomy): domain Eukaryota; kingdom Metazoa; phylum Chordata; class Mammalia; order Primates; family Hominidae; genus Homo; species Homo sapiens. The sequence goes on along the minus strand of NC_000006.12, from coordinate 107,522,377 downwards.
AACTCACTGTCATGTAGTTCCTTCTCTCCATTCTGCATCTAGAAAATTCTTCTGAAACACCAATATGACCACTGCTCTCACCTGCTCAAAACTCTTCAGTGGCATCCACTGCCCTCAAGAAGAAAGTGGCACTCCTGGCATGGTCTCCATGGCTCCTAAGACCAGGCCAGCCTCACACCTGTCTGCTTTCTGGATTCTGGCTTCTTTCACTTCCTTGAGGCCCTCCCTCCACTCAGCCTTTAAATGTGCTGCTTCCTCCCTCACAACCCTAAAATCCTTTGCCAGTTTAGTCCTACTGATGAATTCAGTCCTTTGTATCTTATCTTAAACCTCATCCTAGGGAGACCTTCCCTGACCCCAAACCTGGTCAGATCCGACAGCACTCTGGACTTGGTAATTCTCAGACTTGATTGAGTTTGTGTGTGTGTGTGTGTGTGTGTGTGTGTGTGTGTGTGTGTGTGTGTGTGTTTTAATGTCTGTCTCTTCCACCAGACTATGAGCCAGGTTAAGACAGGAGCATATCTGTTTTGCTCACTAGAATAAAATGTCTGACCTGGGACCTCAGCACAAGGAGAAGAAAAGCATCCTTACTAGGTGCACCTTGGGTGTTGGATACCCAGTGGGGGAATGGAGGGAGCCAAGGCAATAATTCTATCTTAGGTATGTGCTCAACACAAATGTGTATATGTGTGAGCCAAAGGCACATAAAATAATCTTCATGGCAGCATTTATTCATAATAGCTAAAAATCGGGAACAACCCAAATGTTCACCAGCAATCATTAACATACACTTGGGATTCCTTAGATGGGCTTAGGTGGTTAAGTGTAGGTCCTGAAGTTGACTGTGAAATTGTGTATACTAAGAATTCCTGCCTGCATATGAGACCTGGATTTCCATAGTTTCTAAGAAAATTTTAAACTCCTCCTAATTTAAGCAACTAAGCCCTAGAATGTAATTTGACCTTTTTAATCCTATATTTAGTCTGTTCATAGCTTTCTCAAATTAAGTAGAATATTTAAAAATCTCATCATTCCTTATTATTAAGGAATTATTACCAAGTGAAATGCAAATGTATCATAGTGAAGCCTAAAAATTAAGTTATAGGCATAAGGCATAGATATACCCCTCTGTGGTCTACTTGAGAGCTGCATTTGATATGGTGTAAAGTGGAGAGAAATTAGGAGACACTGGGTGAGTGACAAAAGTAGAATATACAATATCTCTACCTCCCAGTGGTTCTTATCAGGGTGTGACTTGGCCCCCAGGGGACATTTGGTAATATCGGGAGACATTTTTGATTGTCACAGCTAGGAGAAGGGGTACTAATGGCATCTAGTGGGTAGAGGCCAGGTATGGTGCTAAATGTCCTACAATGCACAGGACAGCCCAAACCAATTATCCAGCTGAAAATATTAACAATGCTGTGCTTTAGAAACCAGGCTCCACAGTGATGACAGGTCTGTGTATGGGACACCTCTTGTGCTCCTCTTCAAATCCTCTTGGCCAAGGGCACTGCCTTTGAGAACAAAGTTGCCTTAGAGGGAAACACTAGTGAAAAGCCCCAGAACATACTGGGATCATTATGACCACTCTCCTTGGTCAAGTTAATCAACTAAGTCTTCTCCATTTAACAGGAACTTTAAGAAGTCAGCACTGCGACTGTCCCTAGAATAACAAGAAATGCCAGAAACACGGCCACCCTCTAACAAGAAAGGAAAGGCACAGCTGACATTTCCTCTTATTTCCTGTTAGCATCTTAGCTCCTTGTTGACCTGGGACAAGGTATCCTGAAAGTATTATCCTAGCTACGTCATAACTCCAAAAAGAGTTTAGAAAATGTCAAGAGAAGTTCTGGGCTGCCTCCGGAATCACAGAAGTATGTGATCTAGAATCCATGATCAGATTGTGTCCCCATCCCTTTCAGAAGTGAGTTCTGGTCCTGGTTCTGCCATTAAGGCAACTGAGTGACCTTGAGAAGATCATTTAACCTCTCCAGACCTCATTTCCTCTGCTGTAAAAGAGAAAATTTAATTAGATGATATTCTAGGTTTCCTCTAAGTAAAATTCTAGCATTCTGAAGCTCTCACAATAACACAATCCATTTAAAGGAGCTGAGGCAAAGGATATTCTTTTTACTTTCCTCTTTTACTCGAACCCCTGACTTAGTTTCTTTGTTTCTCCTCCTTCTGTGTAGCCACCACTGTTTTTCCTTACCCCTACCATAGGAGGATTAGAAAATTCTTTGGCTGACAGGACAATTTTAGAAATGGCCCTTTCTGAGTGCTCCGTTATTGTGCCACTGAGAATCTGGTGCCCTTTTTACTCTTTCATTGTATATTCATGCTGGACTTTGAAGGGAAAAAAGACAAATGTTCATAAAATTCTAACTTTTTTATATTCCCTTCCATTAATTTCTGGTTTTTCACTGTGGACTTCTGTACACATGGCACTTCATCCTGAGTTTCCCAGAAAACAGAATCTGAGTCAAAGACTTGCATGTAGGTGCTTTAATGGGCATGTGATCCCAGAAAGTAGGAGTGAGGGACAAGAGAAATGAACCTAGGGAGCAGAAAGAGCCAACAGAAGGATGTGCTATTTAGTTGGCTACTGCTAAGGGAGACTGGTGTTCAATTGCAGAGGTAATTCTTTGGAGTGTATTAAAACATTTCATAACTATCTACCCAGGGGACAAAAGAAGGAAAAATTCAACTCTCCTGTCCTGTTGCTATAGTATGCTTTAATCCCCTACACTGCTGGTTTGCAAATGTTTCAGTGAATGCCAAAAGGATCCACATAGGATGCCCATGCTGCTATGTCAGAGAAGTCCCAGAGCAGGAAGCGAGAGACGTATGCCACAGGTGCGAGGCAAGTAACTTTCAGAATGCACACGCCCAAGCTGGTCAAAGTGTTACAGCAATCATGGGATTAACACGTGGGGCCAAGAGGACTTGAAGAGGAGCACAAGAGGTGTCCCATACACAGACCTGTCATCACTGTGGAGCCTGGTTTCTAAAGCACAGCATTGTTAATATTTTCAGCTGGATAATTGGTTTGGGCTGTCCTGTGCATTGTAGGACATTTAGCACCATACCTGGCCTCTACCCACTAGATGCCATTAGTACCCCTTCTCCTAGCTGTGACAATCAAAAATGTCTCCCGATATTACCAAATGTCCCCTGGGGGCCAAGTCACACCCTGATAAGAACCACTGGGAGGTAGAGATATTGTATATTCTACTTTTGTCACTCACCCAGTGTCTCCTAATTTCTCTCCACTTTACACCATATCAAATGCAGCTCTCAAGTAGACCACAGAGGGGTATATCTATGCCTTATGCCTATAACTTAATTTTTAGGCTTCACTATGATACATTTGCATTTCACTTGGTAATAATTCCTTAATAATAAGGAATGATGAGATTCTTAAATATTCTACTTGATTTGAGAAAGCTATGAACAGACTAAATATAGGATTAAAAAGGTCAAATTACATTCTAGGGCTTAGTTGCTTAAATTAGGAGGAGTTTAAAATTTTCTTAAAAACTATGGAAATCTAGGTCTCGTATGCAGGCAGGAATTCTTAGCATTTTTTGAGACAAGGATCTTTTTGAGAAAAAAAAAAAAAAACAGCCTTTCCTAAATTGTGCACATATGATATACACACAGTTCCACAGTCAACTTCATGACCTACACTTACCCACCTAAGCCCATCTAAGGAATCCCAAGTGTATGTTAATGATTGCTGGTGAACATTTGGGTTGTTCCCAGTTTTTAGCTATTATGAATAAATGCTGCTATGAAGATTATTTTATGTGCCTTTGGCTCACATATATACACATTTGTGTTGAGCACATACCTAAGATAGAATTATTGCATTATACATTTTCAAGAACACTTAATTGTATAAATTATTGCATATGTGTATGTTCAGCATTAATAGATATTGCCAATCAGCTTTCAATAGTGGTTACATGTATTTACACTCTCACCAGCTATGCATGAGAGTCCCAGTTGCTCCATATCCTCCTCAAACTTGGTATTGTCAATCTTCTTCATTTTAGCCATTCTCATGTGTGTTTACCGGTCTCTCACTATGATTTTAAATCTGATGTCCCTAATGAGTAATGAGATTGAAAAACTTTTCATGTTTACTGATAACTTGGATATTTTCTTTGATGAAGGGCCTGTTTACATTTTTTGCCTATTTTTCTATTGAGCTGTTTTATTTTTATTTACAGAGATTCTTTATACATTGTCAATATAAGTCTTTTACAGGGAAATGCATTACAAACTTCATCTGGTACTCAGTGATTTGCTTTTTCATTCTTTGGAAAGATTTTTTCTTTTTTTATTTGTATAAATTCATGGGATATGAGTATAATTTAACTATATTGATATATTGCACTATGGCGAATTCAAGGCCTTCAGTGTATCCATCACTGGAACAACACATATTGTATCCACCAAGCAACCTGAAAGATTTTTTAAAATCAGCAAACATTCTTAATTGTATTATATGTAATTAACTTTTTCCATTATGGTTAGTACTTTATGTATGTAGTTTAAGAAATATTGGTGTATTCAAGATCATAAATTCCCCTAGGCATTCTCTAGAAGCTCTATTGTTTTACCTATCACATTTAGATCAACAATCCATCTACAATTTGTTATGAATGATGTGAAGTAGAGAATCAACATACATTTTTTCCATAAACATATTTATTGAAAAGACCATCCTTTCTCCACTGCTCTACCGTGTCATCTTTGTTGTTATAGACTGAATGTTTGTGTGTCCCCCAAATTCATATGTTGAAGCTCTAACCCCCAATATTATGGCAATTGGAGATGAGGCCTTTGGAAGATAATTAGTGTTAAATGAGATCATGAGGATGGGGCCTTTGTCCAGTGGGATTAGTGCCCTTATGAGAAGAGACAGCAGAGAGCCTGCTCTCTCTCTCTCTCCCTTCACCACATGAGGACATAGTAAAAAGGCAGTGATCTACACTCCAAGGAGAGAGACTTCACCAGACATTGACCCTGCTGGCACTCTGATCTTGATTTCCAGTCTTCAGAACTGTGAGAAAATAAATTTTGGTTGTTTAAGCTACCCAGTCTATGGTATTTTATGTCAGCCTGAGCTGACTAATATATTTATCATGAGTCAAGTATCAATTTAGATTTGTTTCTGGACTCTGTTATAATTGTTTATACCTACATCCTTGCATCCTTGCCTACTATCATAATTATTCTGTCCTTACAATAAATCTTGATATCTGAGAGTATAAGTCTCCCAATTTTATTTTTTTCTTCAAGATTGTTTGAACTATTCTTGCTCCTTTGCATCTCCATATACATTTTAAAAAACAACTTTTTAATTTCCACAAAATTTTATGCAGGATTTTTATCAGAATTAGATTTAAATATATAGATCAATTTAGGAGGAATCTTCCTCTTTACAATATTTAGTCTCTAATCTATAAACATGGTATGTCCCTCTATTGATTTAGGTCTTCTTTAATTTCTCTCAGCAATGTTTATGATTCTCTGTGTAACCATCTTACACATATTTTGTGAGATTATTTTCCTGGGTATTTGATGGGTCTGATACTACTTTAAATTATATTTTTAAGATTCACTTTTGAAATTTTTATGGCTGGAATACAGAGATATCATTGATTTGCAGATATTGACTGTGTTTAGAGACTTTGATAAATTGAGTCGTAAATTATAATAGTTAACCTGTAGATTGACTGTAGGGAGGTCTATATAAAATAGCATTTCTGTCTTACAAATCTTGAGTTTCTTACTCCTTTTTATTTCCTTATTAAATAATTGTCTGTTAATTTCCGGTACAGAAGTGGGTGATACTGATCTTTCTTTTCTTTTCTTTTTTTTTTTTTGAGACAGAGTCTTGCTCTGCTGCTCAGGCTGGAGTACAATGGTGCAATCCCAGCTCATCACAACCTCCATTCACTGCAACTTCTGCCTCCTGGGTTCCAACAATTCTCCCACCTCAACCTCCCGAGTAGTTGGGATTATAGGAGCGCATCACCACACCCTACTAATTTTTGTATTTTTAGTACAGACTAGGTTTTGCCGTGAAGGCTGGGCTGGTCTCGAACTCCTGTCGTCAAGTGATCTGCCTGCCTTGGACTCCCAAAGTACTACTATTACAAGCATGAGCCATTGTGCCTGGCCCATAATGATCATCTTAATCTCATTCTTGATATCAAGAGGAAAGTTTTCAATACTTCACTATTACGTAATATTGGCTGTGGAGTGTTCTGTTGATAACCTTTGGACAGATTAAGGAAGTTCTATTCTATTCCTCCTTTGCCAAAAGTTTTTTTTAATCATTTATAGTGCTAAATTTTATCAAAATTGTTGCTGCAGCTATTACTTTATTCTGTTAATGGTTTTACTTTAACAGAGGTTTTACTTTATTTTGTTAATCATATTGACTGATTTTTAAAATTTAAACCAACCTTGCATTCCTAGAAAAAAATCTAAATTAGTCATGATGTATTACCATTTTGCATATATCATTGGCTTTGGTTTGCTATAATTTTGCTCAGTATTTTTGCATGAATGTTCATGATGAACAGAAGTTTTCCTTCTTTTTTTGTTTTTTGAGACAGAGTCTCGCTGTCACACAGGCTGGAGTGCACTGGTGTAATCTTGGCTCACTACAACCTCCACCTCCCAGGTTCAAGCAATTCTTGTGCCTCAGCCTCCCAAGTATCTGGGACTACAGGCATGTGCCACCATGCCCAGCTTATTTTAGTATTTTTAGTAGAGACAGGGTTTTGCCATGTTGCCCAGGCCGGTCTCAAACTCCTGAGCTCAAGTGATCCCTCCACCTCGGCCTCCCAAAGTGCTAGGATTACAGGTGTGAGCCACCACACCCAGACAGAAGTTTTCAATTTTAATGTAATAAAATTACACTAAATTATTGTTTCCCTTACTTATAATGCCCTTGGCATGTAATGTGATCAATGTTATGCTGAGATCATAAAATAAGTCTACGTATTTATTTCTTCTCTATTCTCTGAAAAAGCTTCTCCAACTTCTTTTCTTTGTTTGTTTTTTGTTTTTCTTAAATGTTTCACAGAATTTACCATTGAAGCCATCTAGGTCTGGAATATTCTTTGTAGAAAAGATTCAATTATTTTATTTCCTTAATAGGACTACTCAAGTTTTCTATTTCTTCTGTCTGTTTTGGTAAGTTAAACTAATGTGACGTCTCTGTCAAAGAAACTCTGGGAATTATTCTAGTAATCACTATGCATAACATCAAAATGATTAGTTCTAATAACATATGAACCTTTTTATTTACTCACATTTCATATTTCCTAGCACTTGTTATCTTAAAAAATGTCAAATCTATTATTTCATTCACTATTTGTTCAAAGTAAAAATTAACAATCATTAAAACTTGTCCCAAGCAGTATAAATCTTTCATCAGACTTCTGGCTGTTATAACTATACATATATGCAGTTTGCTTTATATCTGTTCAATTAACAAGTACCTGTTAAAGCACATTAAAACATACCCTCTCAAATCATAAAATCAGGAGAGCAACTAACCATACAAGTCACAAAATAAGGATTTTATAAATATAGGGAAATAACAGATCATGTAAGCTAACCACATCATTTTGCAGACAAGGAAACTAAGGCTTAGAGAAACTACCTTATTCAAGATTACATGGCCAATAAATGGCAGAGCTGGCATTAGCAACCCAGGTCTCCTGGTTCTTGCTCTGGCAGTCTTCACCACCTCATGCTACCATTCAAATTATACATTTCATCTGGCATTAAAAATGATAGAACACACTAAAATGTGCCTTACACATTTTTAAGAACCCTTAATTGTAAAGAGAACAATAAAGCAGGACCCATATCATAGTATCTAACATTTTCAGGTTTCATTTTGGATCTTTTTTTATCACTTTGAATTTGAGTTTTCAATTGCTATCTTCTAGCCTATATTAAGTTTCAGGTGCCATTTCCCCTCAACTGTATAAATATAACAGTTCTTGATTATCTGCCTATAGACTTTTTGCTACTCCACTTTAATTGCCCTTGTAGTCCTACCATGCACCTTCCATATGCAACTAAAATTATATCATACATTCCAAGGTAAAACTAGAATGATGTTTTGATCATATGCCAACAGTACTATTAAGTTCTTGGTAGTCAAGGATGATGACATACATCTGTATTGTCTAGCACAATGTAAGGAACATTCAGTAAATACTTAACTGACTGAAATACTGCCATAGTGTTTTGGATAATCCAGTGGTTAAGGATATAGGCTAAGGAGACATAATGTATAGGTTCAAATATCAGCTCTGCCACTCAGTATCTGTGTAACCTCAGGCAAGTTGCTCAACTTTTCTGGGCCTCAGTTTTCTCATCTGTAAAACAAGGTTAATAATAGCATCCACAAAGAGTTGTGAAAATTAAATGATATAAATCTACTAGCATAATACATGCTCAAAAACTATTAGCTATGATGAGATTATATCATTACATTATTAAGTACTCACATTTCTGCCATTCATCGTTAATTCCTCCTGTCCTTATCCTAAGTGATTGGGAAAACTGAGGGTTCAGTGAACCTCTTTTTCTTTCTTTTTTTTTTTTTTTTGAGAATTGCATCTGGTACATAAATAGTAAGTCATCCAAATCCCATTAACTCTAGGTAATTTTATTTAATAATCATATTTTAAAAGTTGGACAAATAAATAAAGTCCAAAGCAATTTTGATTAAATCCTGTTTTCTCAATGGCTATTTGGAACACATCATCATATGCAAGCCCCAAGAATATTGAATAACAGATAAAATAAATAATGACCATAATGCAAACCACATTCTCATTCCCATTTCCCTGCAAGTACAACTCCATGTCAGAATTATAAGAGCCAAAAAGTAACATGCTTATTAACTGTGGGTTACTCAGCTATATACATAGAGGTTAGCAGATCACGTGACTGTTTCCATATTCTCCGTTAAGCTAATGGTTCCTTAGAGTCCAGTTCTTATAACCCCTTAGGAATTTCAAGATTTGCCTGAAAATATATATCATATTTCCCTGACTATAATGGAACTCAAATTTGGAAAACTAACTGAAAAGCAAACCATCCTGGAGGACAGGAAATGGTCATTGTTTTCAAAGAAAGATAAGACATTTCTGCACACAGGAAATCAAGCTGGTTTTAGGGGATCGATCTTATGTTGCTCCACACAAACCTGTCTGTGCCGTATGGACAGGCTCTTCCTTTTACTTCACATGTGCAAACATGGTAAGAAATGAGAATAAGGGCACTTATCATTTGAGGTAAAAGACACTTTATTCAAGACTGCCACATAAATGCATAAAGAGAAGTATATTCCCTCTTTTTTTCACATTTCATTTCATTTTAAAGTATTCAGAGATTTACAGGGATTCTGGACTTGGAATAGGCAAGTTGTAAGCCTCTGGGAAAACCTGTCAAAAGACTCAGATCTAAAATGTGGTTTTCTAGGTACACACGGTTTTCTGCAGCAGGAAAGCTCTCACTAGAAAAAGTTGCTTCATTTCACTTCTCCTTGTGAACAAAAACAATCACACTAATAGTTTTATTAATTTAAAAAAAAAATTTTGGGAGCAAAATGTTGTCATGGAGCAAACCCAAAACTAGAGGGGAAAAAGTCCTGGTCTGAGTCTCAACTGGGCCAGGGTCTACCCTGGCTACTTTGACCAGAAGTTGACAAGGTGGGGAGACCCAAACCTGCCCTACCTCTGCAGAAAATTGATGGCCAGTCAATGCAGCCAAGGGCTATTACACTTGTAAAGCAGTGAAGACCATTATAAGGCCTTTGTCAAAGATATGTATTCAAAATCCCTTCTGAGTGCTTTACCTCAATCATCAAACTTGGAGGGAACCAAATTTAAAGCTCAATTAAAACCAGAGAAGGCCAAATATCTTAATGAAGACTCACTACAGCACAGTTCTTACAATCCATGCCCAAGCCCTTTAAAGGCATGATCATCTTCGAATGAAGTCTCAAAGGGTTGAACCCATGCTAAAATCTCTAACATGAGATGAATTACAGCAAAGTTACCGTTTAATTAACCTATCTTTCAAAATTCTTGCTGACATATTTTTTGCCACTTCAGATTATGTTCATGATGTGATTTTTTAAATTAGCAAAGAAGGAGGTTTTTACATTTGTTCAAACTGAAAGAATAAAGACATGTTTGCACAAAAAGAAAGTGTTGGTCAATACTTTTATTATTTTCTAATATTCTTATAAGTTTTCTTCATGGCTTGCCTATATGGCAAAGCCTTATTCTGTTCATTTCCTAGAGTCTGCAAAAAAGTCTGTGATTATTATTTAAGGATCATGGTGATTCCCTTCACTGCATGGGGGCGGGGGAGGGGGAAAGCAAAAGCAAAGCTATTATCCTGTATTTATAACACGTCTGTTACCATAGTAATGCCTGTGCTGTCACAAACCATACCAAGGGCCAGAGGCTGTCTCTGTGGGGGGAAAGGCAGCACAGAGTTGGAAGATGAATGCACACATGTGTGGCCAGAGCAGGGTCAATGCTGTGGTAACCACCAAGACACGGGAGCTCCCCTTCTCCAGAGAAAAGGGAGGGCAGGGCCAGAAGAGCAGTTCTCCAGGCCCAGAAGTAAGCTACACCCACAATTCTGTATGCAGCTGTGAGAAAGGAGAGTGGAAATCCAAGTCAATGCAGTATCACCGTGTTCCCAATCACGAGTATTCCACTGGGCCCACTGGCTGCCAAGACATGGATGGGATCCAGTGGTGAGCCTGCCCCAGCACATGAAACACATGCTTGGGAAACAGTGCCTGACTGGATGGAGCCCTCTGGTACCCTCAAAGAGAAGCAACTCGCCTCATGACGGCAAGAACTGTAAAACAAAGCTAGGATTTTACCCCTACTGGGCCATCCACGCTTTTAGAACCACAGATTCTCAGGGTTAGGGAAGAACTCATTGAGTGTCCCCAAAAATGTGGACTTGAAAAAGTAACTTTTAGCAGGAAGAGAGTGTATGTCCTGTCATTGGGGTATCTGGAAGTAGTATATTAACAGGCATTATTATTCTGATACAATCTAGGGAAATTTTGTAGGAATATGCTAAAAGGCAATTTACATTAAAAAGAATTTTGGATTAGGAGTCAGAAGACCTTAGTACTAGTCTTGGCTCAAGTACTTAGAAGCCATGTGACCTTGAAAAAGCCATTTAACCTATTTGAACTTCAGCTCTTTAAATTTAATATCTAATATGCTATTTCCCAGAGTTATATGAAGACCATATTAAATAAAATAATCAATGTGAATAAATTTCATAAACTCTAAAAATTTTAATGAAAGGTATTATTATTATTAGCATTTTCACATAGCCAGTTTACAATGGGATAGGAATAATTTGAACACTAACACAGGAATCCAAAGCATACACATGATCCTCATCTTCCCTATCTTGAGAGGTGCACTTGCATGATACAGTCAACTCTAAATTATTCAAGGGCTGATTATCAAGGGGCCTTTTGCTCCTAGCCACTGTACCCTTTATTTGTTTCCCCACAGGAATGCAGCATTAACCTACATACAGCTAGAAAATTGACAGTAGCATATCTCAACCCAATTACCTTGAATCACAACTCTGGTAAAAGTTTTAGCAATGGAAGAGTTAAAATGATTCACTAGATGGAAGTTTTTGATAATTTGTTGACTTTAGCCATGGATAATTAAGAGTGATGGAATCCTCGTTTCACTATCAAGGAAGCTGCAGTCAAGGTCAAACAGGTTGGGACTAATCCAGACAAAACACTAGCATTTTCTCAGTGAAATGCTTATATATGTGCAATAAGATTTGAATATCAGTCATTCATTCATTTATTCAACAAATATTGTGTCAAGCTCACCAAATACCCTGAAAACTCACTATTTTCCTGCCCTTGCTGTTCTTCCTTCCTTGAAATACATACTGCACCTCGGCAAAGTCCATAGCCTGACTCTTTGAAACTCTAGTCACCTTCCTGTTATCATGAGACTGTGGCTAATCTTACCTTAGCACAAGCAGCAAATTATGTCCGTGGGCCACACCCTGCCCACTGTTTTTTTTGTAAATAAAACTTTATTGGAACACAGCCACACCTATTTGTTTATGTATTATCTATGGCTGTCTTTCTGCTACAACAGAAGAGCTCTGTAGTTGTGATAGAGACAGTATGGTCTAAAAAGTCTAAAATACTATCTGGCCCTTTACAGAAAAGGTTTGCAGACCCCTGCCCTAGATAGTATGACTAAATCAAAATTCAACTTCCCTGTAAGTTCCTGCTTGGTAACTAAGAGAATAAGCTCCTTAAAAGTAGAGAATCTTTTTGTATCTTTGTCTTGTCATATAGAACCCTTGAGTAGGACAGAGTCAAAGTTGGGAGCGGAGATAGAAAATTAAACATGTCCTTCCCTACATTTTATTTTCAACAGATGAGCGCCCTGGAATTCCATGGAAGACAGCACAAAACCAATAAAACCACTGGTGTTCAGTTACTCTGGCTTCTAATTCCTCAGAGTTCCTACATCTAAGACTTTCAAGGCTCAATTTTTGGCCTCTGTCCCTTCGCATATTTATTTCCTGATCTGATGTGGAATTAGAGTTAAATAGGAGCTGTGTGCTTGAATTCCACGTGGCTGGCTCAGCAGGAAACTCCAGGGCAGGTTTTTTGGCATGCCAAACTTATGTTAGCCTCAGCTATGCTAATTTCTAAAGCTGTTTGCTTTGCTCAAATAAATCTTAGAGACCAATTTGCATTTGGATGCACACCTTTTTATGCACAATTTATGTGCATGATAACTCTAGGGCAAAAAAAAAGAAAAAAGGTCTGGTTTTGTGAGGCAGGCACTATGCTAAGGGCTTTACACACATTTTCTTTTTTGTTTTGTTTTTTTTTTTTTTTGAGACAGGAGTTTCACTCTTGTTGCCCAGGCTGGAGTGCAATGGCGCCATCTTGGCTCACCGCAACCTCCACCTCCCAGGTTCAAGCGATTCTCCTGCCTCAGCCTCCCTAGAAGCTGGGATTACAGGCATGTGCCACCATGCCCAGCTAATTTTGTATTTTTAGTAGAGATGGGGTTTCTCCATGTTGGTCAGGCTGGTCTCAAACTCCCGACCTCAGGTGATCCGCCCGCCTCAGCCTCCCAAAGTGCTGGGATTACAGGCATGAGCCACTGCGCCCGGCCTTACATACATTTTCTTATCTCATCTCCACAACAACCACATGAGGTAGGGCTGGGATCCCCATTTTACAGATGAGAAAACTGAAGTGAAGAGAGCTTATGTAACTTGTCCATGTTCACAGGGTGGTACATGACAAAGCCTAGATTTGAACCCAATCTGTCTGAATCTGAACCCCATGTACTTGTCACTTACTCATACTACCTTACTGATACCTTCATCATCATCTCCCCTCCCCTAAGCCACTGGGCATATATTCAAACGTAAACTCTACATTTACAAAATTAGTTACCCTTTTTTTCCCACTTGGCCTACGTAAAATATGTCTTTGGTCCTTGGGAAATAAATGTGGACCCCTCCGTATCACAAAACAATCAACCAAAGGAGAACAGGGGCACAATAAGGCAAACTTTATATGATACACCAATTACATTAGTAATTAGTAGACAAACACAATTACAAGTGATTTTGACAGGTAAATGGATTTTAATGACATATCTAAGACCTCAATATGAAAGGACTTTTTTTTTTCTTTTTTTGAGACGGAGTCTCACTCTGTCACCCAGGCTGGAGTGCAGTAGCATGATCTCAGCTCACTGCAGCCTCCGCCTCCCAGGCTCAAGCGATTCTCCTGCCTCAGCCTCCCGAGTAGCTGGGATTACAGGTGCCTGCCAACACGCCTGGCTAATTTTTGCAGTTTTAGTAGAGACGGGGTTTCTCCATGTTGGCCTGGCTAGTCTTGAACTCCTGACCTCAGGTGATCCACCCGCCTTGGCCTCCCAAAGTGCTGGGATTACAGGTGTGCCAGGCTGAAAGGACATTTTTACTGCTAAAATGCAGCAGGCCAAGCAAAAGAATGTAGCGGGAACCATGAAGAAAAACGAGAGTAACACTTAGAATACAGTGTAAGTATATCTATAACATAAGCCCAGGAACTTGTATCTACAAATTTCTTCACTGTTTATGGAAGCATAACCAAATACCTATCTTCCCTAATAAAAACACAAACATTAGCTTTAGTATGTTATAATAAGTACTGCTGTTGAAACTCAGTATTTATCATTGTTCAATTCAACATACAGAAAAATAACCAGCGTTACAATTAAACATTCTAGGATGATTCCAACATTTTACAGGGAGCCAGATACAATATTATTTAACTTCTTTCTCTGTGTGAAATATATAGCCCAGCTTGCAATATCACATAATGCTCAGCCCGTTGCCATCTAGATCTAATACACTGCCATCTAATTTTCTGGAAATATAAGAATGAATTACATTTTCATACAAGTGAAAGATCTCCATTAAAAAAAGAAAAGAAAAGAAAAAAGCTCTCAAAGAGAGCTTTCCAGGAATTAGAAAACACTCTGTTGGAGAAGATATGTAATTTTCAGGGGTGTCCAACCTTTGGGCTTCCCTGGGCCACATTGGAAGAAGAATTGTCTTGTCTTGGGCCACACATAAAATACATTAACATTAACGATAGCTGACGAGCTAAAAAAACTGTTTTAGGGCCCGGAATGGTGGCTCACACCTGTAATCCCAGCACTTTGAGAGGCCGAGGTGGGTGGATCACCTGAGGTCAGGAGTTCGAGACCAGCCTGGGCAACATGGTGAAACCCTGTCTCTACTAAAAATACAAAAATTAGCCAGGCGTGGTGGTGAGCAGCTGTAATCCCAGCTACTCAAGAGGCTGAGGAAGGAGAATCACTTGAACTCGGGAGGCAGAGGTTGCAGTGAGCCAAGATAGCACCACTGCTCTCCAGCCTGGGTGAGAAGAGCGAAACTCTGTCTCAAAAAACAAAAAAATTTAAATCTCAAAAAAAATCTCATGATGTTTTAAGAAAGTTTACAAATTTGGGTTGGGCCACGGGTTGGATAAGCTTAATCTAGGTGGTTTCTCTAATGGATTTAGAGGAAAGCGTGTTGAAGACCAAGCCTGCCTCATGTCCTTTTACAAAACTATCCCTCTCCTCAGAAGACCCCAGAGGAGATGTGGCCCTCCTTATGCACCACCCAGTTTTCAACCATGGTTACTTTTTTTTTTTTTTGAGACGGAGTTTTGCTCTTGTTGCCCAGGTTGGAGTGCAGTGGCGTGATCTCGGCTCACTGCAACCTCTGCCTCCCAGGTTCAAGTGATCCTTCTGCCTCGGCCTCCCGAGTAGGTGGGATTACTAGCTAATTACTAGCCCGCCACCACACCTAACTAATTTTTTGTATTTTTAGTAGACATGGGGTTTCATCATGTTGGCCAGGCTGGTCTCAAACTCCTGACCTCAGGTGATCCGCCCGCCTCAGCCTCCCAAAGTGCAGGGATTACAAGCCAACCATGGTTACTTTTTTTTCTTGCTAAACAGTCATTGTCTATATTTTATTTTTAAAAACCATTTTATCTTTTTTTTCTCATTTAAACAGGTGATTTCAGAGAAGGAAAATAACTTTGTTTTGTAGTCAGTGGTAGAAAAGGTTTACTGTCAGTTGAAAGTTTATAGCCTAAGTAGTAGTAGGTAGGGAAATTTTCCTAATGTAACAGTAATACTCTAAGTGATGCCTGTATTAACATTTCTTACCTATAAGGTCCCTAAAACAGCCTCTACCAAAGTTAACTTGAGCATTTAATAATTATTCCTAAGATGGTTAAAACAACTTTCTATGAATTGTTATCACTGAAAACACCAGTAGTGACTTACCTGCTGGTGGCTTTATGAAAGGTGGTGGAATTAAAGGTACAATAATGGGCACACTGCCATGATCCTTTGACCCTGCAGGTGAGTCACTGAGTCCATTTCCAGTGGCAAGCCCTGAATAGCCTGTGCTTATATTGTATGGTGAAATAACACTGTCCTCGGGTAATTTTGGTTTTGGCAAAGAATTTTCTGTAAAAGAAAAAAATCATATTCAATGTGACCAAGGAATGTAATGCAGTAGACTTAAATTTTTCCTTATTTTCTCAAGTAAAATGGCCATGAACCCAACATATTTTTTCTTGCAAATCTTTAAACAATGTACTAGAACTCCACAGTTCATCCAGGAACTTTTTAGTGTGGTTACCATAAATTTCCAATGGGCTCCTTTATAATTTGCTCCACTATGATAGCTAATATTCCAGTTGAATCATGGTGATAAATTTTAGCACTGTAAAATTCCATAGAAAATTGAGAGGTGGTGGCTGGGCAAGGTGGCTCACGCCTGTAATCCCAGTACTTTGGGAGGCCAAGGAGGGTGGATTGCCTGAGGTCAGGAGTTCAAAACCAGCCTGGCCAACATGGTGAAAGCCCGTCTCTACTAAAAATACAAAACTTAGCCGGGCATGGTGATGTGTGCCTGTAGTCCCAGCTACTCGGGAGGCTGAGACAAGAGAATCACTTGAATCTGCGAGGCCGAGGTTGCAGTGAGCTGAGATCATGCTACTGCACTCCAGCCTGGGTGACAGAGCAAGACTCCATCTCAAAAAACAAAAACAACACAAAACAAAACAAAACAAAACTGAGAGGTGACTAGGCGCAGTGGCTCAGACCTGTAATCCCAGCACTTCAGGTAGCCAAGGCGGGCAAATCACTTGAGGCCAGGAGTTTGAAACCAGCCTGGCCAACATGGTGAGACCCCCGTCTCTACCAAAAATACAAAAATCAGCCAGACATGTGGCGCACGCCTGTAATCCCAGCTACTTGGGAGGTTGAGGCACGAGAATCGCTTGAACCCAGGAGGCGGAGGTTGCAGTGAACTGAGATCGCGCCACTGCACTCCAGCTTAGGTGACAGAGCAAGACTCTGTCTCAGAAAAAAAAAAAGAAAGAAAAGAAAATTGAGAGGCAATTAACCTTTTTTTCCATGTACAACATGATATACAGCAAGCATAGCTCTCTGGCTACCAGGGGAAAGCCTAAAACGTGCCCTCCAGCATTGTAACTAGGTCCCACTGTATTATAAACTTGTATCATAATATAATCACATGAACCAATGAGAAAGAAACAGGGAAGAAAACTGATGCTTCACAAGGTATCGATAATACCCATTAAAAAATAACAAAAATAAAAATTTTAAAAACTTACAACGATATGAGCTTTGTGCATCGTATCCTTGCATGTGAATCACTTAAAAAAACAAATGAACAAAAACCTCAACCATGGAAAACAACTTTTTCGTTCTAGTAGCATATCCTGGCATGCTGTATGTTCCCCAGAAGCAAAGATTATTACCTAGGCCAAGTATTATATGAGCTATTAGTTTATAGAATACAAACTCATGACTTGCATTTTTCATTTACAGTGAAATTGATGATACTATCTCTGTAGCATGATGTGTACAATTTCATAGTAAGCTTAACATAAAATTTGTCATGTACATTCAATTCCACTTGCCTGCAGGGCAGCTCAATTACATTTCCTTGCTTGGCATATAAGAAGGGAAAGCTCTATCTTAAAGACTGGAAATAAAACGTTTGAACAGGTAGTTTATGCCAATAGATTTTGAATGCAACGCAAATATTGATCAAATTGCCAGTGATGATGTATAATTTGTTTTACCCACATTTTATTAAAGTTTCCTGAATGGGCTGCTTCTTCACATACTTCTCTTTTCTTTGACAAGCAAGCTCTCATTCCTAATTTAGGTTCATAAATTCAGTATTCATACAGACTTCCCCCATGAGATATCTGGCACTGTTACCCACTGGTAGAATCAGTGTTAATTCAGCTCTGCCAAGGCTCTGTAATTTTCACTCTTTAGCTGGGCTTTGATTAAAAAATTCTTAAAGAGTAATATAGGCTCTAATCATCTACCACTCTCTTACTCCTCTTTTTACCCTATTCAAGTGCGTGGGGGCAGGGAAAGAATGAAAATGTCAAGCAAAACAAAAATAGTAATTCCGTTTAGATTTCCCACTGAAAAAAAGGAAGGAGGATTACCAAACTAACAGTGAATCTCTCTAGCAGTCTGAAGATCTAAACCTAACATTTCACTTAACAGAAACCCCAGTCCCCAACAGATGATGATCTATCAAAGTGATCAGGAAACTCTAGTTAGCAAACATTGTCCCTTTCTTTAAATCTGTATGCAGGACCATGGCACTTAGGTCGCTAGTCCTTGTCTAGTTCTCCCATTGCTGGGAGGAGATTAAGCTGTGTCTATTTTTGTTTTATGTTGTTCTTTTATATTCTGCAGAATTCTGCTTATGGGAAAGCACTATTGGGGATGTATGTTTAAATCAACCATTGGCATAATCAACAAAGCAACTCAATTGAGTCCCAAAGCAACTCAATTCTGGCAGGTTGAGATAGTTAATCCTTCTTTGCATGAACAAAAGGACATTAAATGTCATTACCTTTGAGAACAGAAATGTGCTGCCGGCTCTCCCCATCTGTAGGGTAGCTCCTGAATTCAATATCCTCACCATCTTTTAATTCAACCTTATCATAGCCATACCAGCCAAGGAGTTCATTCATGGTGTTTTCTGCAAAGTTCTGAAAGAGAAGCATAGGCTACTACTTATTTCTATAATCAATAACTACTTGAAAAGAATGCATAAATTGAATTCTGCTTGTCCTACCTCATTTATTTGCAGCCCTGCCTCACTTCCCCTAGTGTGGTGTTCATTTTTCAAATCATGTTCAAAACCATAATGTTTTTAAATCTTAGGATGATGCATTCAATTATGACAGGGCTTCAGATATTTGTAATTTAAAGATAATAAGACAAAAAAGACTAACTATATTTGTTAGTGTTGCCTATGAACAGGAAGTCATATTTTAGCACATTAGTCTATAAAATCTATATCCAACATCAATACAAAAATATTGAAAGGTGAATCACAAAAACAGCTAAGAAAAGATTTTGAAAATGAAAACAACCTTTTGTGGTTCAGATCAATTTCAATTAAAATTGCTTTCTGATTTAGGTGTTGTTTTCTTAAGATAACTCTTATCGCGGATAACGCCAAATTTCAACAAAGAAAAATTTCAGAATTGTTAACAGTACCATACAGAAAGCTAGGTTACAATAGGTTACAAGGGTCTTCCTTTTTTATTTTTTTCCTTCTGCAAGAGTTTTTTCAAAAATCAGGCCAGGCACGGTGGCTCACGCCTGTAATCCCGCACTTTGGAAGGCTGAGGCAGACAGATTACTTGAGGTCAAGAGTTCAAGACCAGCCTGGGCAACATGGTGAAACCCCTTGTCTACCAAATATACAAAAATCAGCTGGCCCTGGTGGCACACACTTTTAATCCCAACTACTCGGGAGGCTGAGGCAGGAGAATCACTTGAACCTGGGAGGCAGAGGTTGCAGTGAGCTGAGATCACACCACTGCACTCCAGCCTGGGCAACAGGGCAAGCCTCCATCTCAAAAAAATTTTTTTTTAAAAAATCAACACATAAGTTTTTTTTATAAATTTCATTAGTGACAGGTTCTTTTTCCATAAAATCTAAGGTCACTAAGATTGTCTTCTGACAAGTAACATAAAAGTACCAAATAACTTTAAAGTTACTAGCCAGCCCATTTGGGATAATGTATGAAAACATTTTATGAACTATAAATCAATACATAAATGTAAGATAATATCACTGTTGCTGTTGTTATGGATATCATACTTCAAAAATAATAAGTATAATTGGACAGATTTAATATCATATTAAAGTGACTATATATTTTTACCTTATCAATTGCTATATCTGGAAACAAGATGTAAGACTCTGTGTGTTAATGATTTTAATGCTTATGTGTGCCTTAAACATTCCTGTCTCGCAGGGAACCACGAGCTTCCTAAGCTGAGCCAGAAAAACTATATATTCTAACCTTCTTTGTGGCTCAAAGAATCTTTTATTATCCTTCTTAGAAGCTGTCATTTCTGAATTACACTACAATATATAATTTATATACCTGAAACAAAGCACCAAGGCTAAGCCAGAGTGTGCACAATCTCAACGTGTGAGTTCCGTGTTTTCTTGAATTTCACGACTTTAAATTTCAGCAGGGGTAGCATAAAAAATAAAAGACATTACACTACTGACTCCACAAAAACAAACCTGGCATTTCAAACTACCCACAGGATGCTAGATTTTTTGCTTTAGTACCCACGTAAGCTCTGAACTCCAACTGGGTCAATCAGTGATGGTACAGTGCATTAACAATTAAGAAAAAACTAGCCAGATTGATTCAGTGTTACCATCCGCAAGGCCAACAGTCAGTCACATCAAGCTTTAGTGAGGCATTTATTCTCTCTGATGGCTGGTCGTGTCCACATTAAATAGATATTCTTTTCATGAATGCACAAAGATATGATCAATATGAATAATAAGCTCAGCAACTTTAGGAATATCACTGAGGAGGACTGGGTTGAACACTGCCCCACTCAATCAAAAGAGATCCCTTTAATGAGGCATCAGTCTCCCCAACACCTAATTTCTTTCACTGAGATGAGAGCCTGACTTGAGAATGACAATCCCTAGGCACACAAATAGAGGTCCTCTATCAGTGGTCTCACAGCAGAAATCTCCAAGGATGAGGCTTATACTTTTCATCAAAAAAAACAATTCCCAACAGCATTAAAAGCCAAATGCAAGCCATCCTATTGGTCTGTGTGCCATCTGCCCCAATCTCTAAGAAAACTGTGCCAAGACAGAATATCTTTTACATATATCCTAGTGACTATATCCAGTTTTATAGACCGGTCATCTATGGGTGCCACTTTCTCCTGTTTCTGTCTAGCCTCTGAAGTCACACAAAGGCTACGAATGCATAATCATGGAGCAACCCCCTAGCCAAGGATATAGATTTGTTTTAGTCCAGCTGCAAATCCATTCAGCCTTTCAGAACCAGTTCCAGGAATGGGATCCAGAAGTTTTAGACATTTGGGTAAAAACTGAAACCTCAGTTGGAATATTAACACCAAATTCACATTATTTGGGCATCAAAACTACATCAGTTTAGTTTACGGTTTGTGCTGAAAAGTCAGAGGCTTCATGGAACAATCAATATGAACTTGATCTATTCCATGATTTTCAAGTTACTATAAATGTCAGGGTAAATAAACTCTAAAACATTCCCTTTTTTGTCATGGAAAATAAAAATAAACACCTTAATGTTTTGATATATTGCTACAAAAGCAGAAAACAAAGATTTATAAAACTTCAAGCCATAAATCTCAAAGCTTTCATGAAAGGGGCAAGATGAAAGAGAGAAAACGAACACCAAAATTTTTTGTAGTACAGCTACAAGAAATGACTATTACTTCTGTTGTATACACTATTGTATGAAGAAGCCAAAGGACTCCAAGGAATCAAAAATTTAAAAATTTAAGGCTGGGTGTGGTGGCTCAGACCTGTAATCCCAGCACTTTGGGAGGCCAAGGTGGGCAGATCACAAGGTCAGGAGATCGAGACCATCCTGGCTAACATGGTGAAACCCCATCCGTCTCTAATAAAAATACAAAAAATTAGCCGGGCGTAGTGGCGGGCGCCTGTAGTCCCAGCTACTTGGGAGGCTGAGGCAGGAGAATGGCGTGAACCCGGGAGGCGGAGCTTGCAGTGAGCCGAGATCGCGCCACTGCACTCCAGCCTGGGCGACAGAGAGAGATTCCTTCTCAAAAAAAAAAAATTTTTTTTAAATTTAAATTTCAAGGTGAAGTTTGATGCTAGATGTCACAGGAGTTCATTATGGTGCTAAACCAAAGTAAATAAAATAAATTTTTAACGTTATCATCCAAGAAACATATTCTTTTTCCTTTTCCTTTTTTTTTTTTTTTTAGACAGGGTCTCACTCTGTGGGCCAAGCTGGAGTGCAATGGCATGATCTTGGTTCACTGCAACCTCCACCTCCGGGGCTCAAGTGCCTCAGCCTCCCAAGTAGGTGGGAGTACAGGCGCAAGCCACCATGCCCGGCTAATTTTTCTATATTGTAGAGACGGGGCTCACCATGTTGGCAAGGCTGGTCTCAAACTCCTGACCTTAAGTGATCCACCTGCTTCGGCCTCCCAAAGTGCTGGAATTACAGGTGTGAGCTACTATGCCTGAAGAAACATAATATATTCTAAGAGACATGAATTTAATGTTTATGGCCTATAAAGATTTTCAAGTCTTTCTAGCAGAGAATTCCAACAGTTACTTTTCAGCATTGTTTTTGTACTATTATCCCTTAAAAAGGAATTTCCTATTTAAAAAGTTATTCATTTCCTGTTTCATATATATATACATGTGTTTCATACATATATATGTGAAAAACAGTAAAGGTAATAGTAGTTAAAATGCAGACAGATTTTCGAGATAAGGATGTTCAGTAATAAAACAAGCCACTGAACGAAGGCAGGTTATGATATCTGCCTCCCTCAAAATCTTTACCCAGCATTTCTCCTGAAGACCTAGGGCAGGAAATGAAGCAGAGTCTCTTAAGAGTGCCTCCCAGTTTTAGGATTCTGTAAAATCAAAGAACTTCTACTTATATAAGAAATAAAATACCTTTTGCAAAGAAATTTCATAATTACAGTGATCATACCTCATGAATTTTACTGAGTCATTATTTCAAATATTTTATCATTGCTCCCATAAATCATCAAAATGTGCCAGAGATTTCAATATTTTGGCATCTGAACTACATTTTGCAGACTGCTTCTTGCCCTTGGAAGTGACACAAAAATCATCTCTCAAACCATGTGGTCCAATTTGGGTTTGGAAAATAGGTCACTGTAATTATAATAATGTCTAATAGTCTTATAGCACTTTACAGTGTTTCTATATCTTTTAATTCTCCTGATCCTTTCAATAACCCTATGTGTTAGGTACTTGATTTCCACAATAAACTTTTGGTGAACCTATATGACATCCTCTTTTCACGACAGAAAATTAGAACATCAAGAAGGTAAAAGACAGGCATGAGAGATCTAGTAAAGTCAAAACTAAAATACATATCTTCTAATTCTTAAGCCAGGTCTCTTTCTATTATAAATTCTGTACTTCCCAATGTATCCGCAATTGCAAAGAAGCTACCTCCCGGACCAATCAAAGAGCTGCAAAGATATCATGCAAGAGAATGTCAATATCATATATAAAGAGATTTCTAAACAGGGCATATCTACTTACGTTAAGACTTTGCTTGCTTTGGATTTGATCATTGACCTCTAGTTTCCTTAACAGGGGTGCTCAAAATTCACAATTAAAATGGAATCTCCTCATTTCACAATGTTTTGATACTACATCTGACTCTAATTGCTTTGTACTTCTACTACATAATTTCCCTGCCTCTTTCCTTCCCTCTCCAATTCTCCTCTCTCACCTCTAGTGTTCATAAGAAAAAAAGGCAATCCTAACATTTAGTCTGAAAGCATGATCTCTTCTGAGAATTAAAACAAAAACAAAAAAAGGTCACAGAAAGATAGGTGGAAACTAAATTTTACTATGTCTTTACTCCTCCTGAGTTCTTCCTATACCAGCAAAATAATTTTTGTTGCATCTTACACTGCCAGGATATTCATCAAACACCTTCCTTATTCAACTGGAAGTACTGTACAAATGTCAAAGTTCAACCTACATGATTTTTTTTTTCTTTCTGAGGAGCTGTGAATGACACTACGTGATTTTTGATTGAACATTTTACCAGGTAAATAATAAAGAGTTGACTTCATAACACTGAAAATAGCAGTAATTACAAATTCGCAAAATACCTCTGAAACACAAGTACTTCAAAATCTTCAAAAAGAACTGGTGATTTTATTTATTTTGAAAACAACAAGTAGATTTTAAAACACAGATACTGATTTTTTCATACCAGGCCTTGCAAAACTGAATGCCAATGTGTTTTCAAATTTGTATTCTACCCAAGACAGCAGGAAGTATTCAAAGAGCCCCCAATCACTCACCCAATGAGGGGCAAGTCATGCCCTTCCCCTCCCCATAAACATAATTCCCATTTTCACTGCAAGTCCCAGTTCTAGTAAAATATGTCATCTATTCCAAAAACAATGTAAGTTACTTGAGGGTAGGAACCTTTAATTTCATTTTATGCCTCACCTAACACAATGCTTAGCACTTAATCCAGTCACAAATATTTATTTAAACGCAGTTACAGAGAAATGATCAAATAAAATTCAGGAAAACCTAATTTTAAAAATAAATATGTAAAAGCTTAAAAATTATAACATGTAGTATTAGTAAGCACCCTCATGCTATTGGGAATTTAAATTGCTACAACTGTTAGAAAAAGTAATTTGACTCTATGCATTAAAAGCCTTAAAATTGTACATACCCTTTGACTTAGCAATTTTACTTCTAGGGACTGTTGAAACTATTCTAGGAAAACAGCTATGGAAATATGCATGTTTCAGCATTGTTTTCTTAGAAACAAACTAAATGCCAAACAATAGGAATCCTAGTTAAATAAATTATAGTTTGGGCATATAATGGAATACTATTTTGCCACTAAAATATATACTGTAGATACATTTTTATTGCCATGAAAAGCTATTAACAGTACATTAAGTTTTAAAAGGAAGGTTAGTATAGTATGAGACTTTTTTTTATAAAAACTATATATCATATATAGAGAAAGGGCATGAAAAGACATATATCAAAATGTTGACAGTAATTGCGTCTGGGTGGGAAAATTACAGGCTTTGTTTTTCTTTTTGCTTATTTTTATTGCCTACTCTTTTTGTCATGTCCATGTATTATTTTCATAAAAATAAAAAACTAGTTTTAATTAAAAATTAACACATAGTCTCAGTCATAGACAATTACATCAGCTATAGTCACAGTCCTAATGACAATAAAAAGGATTTGTTGGTTACATTACTTAACTTCAAAACATTCTGACACCCATTATCCAAGAAAGTGGAGCACATGAGAAATGCTTTCAAAGGAAAAAGAAACTCCCAATTCCAAACAATTTATAAAGCATGGGGGAAAAATGCTACTATCTCTACTAGTTAAGGTTATGAATAGTAGACTGATGGTTATTTCTGAAAAATATTTTATCTCCCTTTCCATCTCCATATGCTCTGACTTACTTCTGGAGTAGATATCTATCAGGCATCATTGGACTCATTAATAGAGATAAAGAAAGGTAATCTGCAGAAGACAGGCAGAAGCCTTGTTCAAGTTCCAGAGTGAAGCAGGAATTGAATCTGGTTAGAAGTCAGTTTCTAGCTCTACTCTCAGGCCTGGCCCAGGGCTGAGTCTGAGCTGTCTTTCTTAACACAGACCCAGTGGATCAGTTTTATTTTATGGTTCTGCCAAGAAAAAGGTCATGACATAAAATTTAAATAGTGCAAAAGAAATATTTGAAGAGCCCTTTGCAGATTACAAAGTACTTCCTCTTTCATGATCCCACTGGATCCAATGGTATAGTTAAGATGAGCCACCCCCACAGATGACCCACTGGAGGGTCATCAATGTGAATGAAATAGTAAGGGTGGCCAGATTCCCACTCAGTGCAGACTTTATATACTGAACCCTGCTGTTTTTACCTGAACTACAGCTTTCGAGCCTGAAATTCTTTGAAGATGGTTCCTATGCTCCATTTTGCAGAATTGCTCTTAGCCACAACACAATGATTTTAACGCAGAGGACATATCATTAACACTAATACTCAACTCTGACTTGGAACAGGCTGGAAAAGAAAGTCTTACTCTCTTATTGATATATCCTAAATTGGATGGCTATATAATTGGCATATGAAACCAAAATCATGTGGTTCTGCATATAAAATGTATGGTGTTTTACTGTCTCGTCGTGATACAGAGCAAACAATCATGTCCCCACATTTTAATCTGCTGCCAGGACATCAAATGTCCTAAAAAGGTCAAACAAATGCTGTGAAATTGTGAATACCAGCCCTCAGGCTAACATTGTGGCAGGCATGGCAGGTGTACAGCTGTGTGCAGCTGTGTCTTTTCACAGCTGCAGAACTGCCTTAAAAAATCACCAAGACTTGTTACATTGTTTTCCTGTCTGTGCCAAAGTCACTGGCCTTAATGCAGCACAGAGTTCCACAGGCCTTTGGTTATATAAGAGATATTAACACCCATCGGTCTACAGATCCTAAAATATACATTCAGCAAATCTCACTTACCACATGCTTTCATGTCTGTTTACATGTTTCAATTGGCACTATCAAAAACAAAGTCTTCCGTGTTTTTTTTTTCCTCTTCTAACCTGTAATATCCCCTCTCCTTCAGGAACATATTCAATAATCTTATTAGCTTGAGAGTACAAGTGTGGCTGAATTCCCATTCCACAAGAGGAAGTTTTAGACTTTAGGGATTTTGATGGTATACCTTCTACTACTTGTAATAATTTTGTTAAGTATAAAGAGTCAGTAAATAAAAGGGAATTTTATATAAGATATAAAAAGTTTGGTTACCCTAACAAGAGACTACCTTTTCCTAGAACTCTCCCTTTTAGAGAGCCACTGTGCTCACTAATATTTGCCCTTTTTTAAGGCCCTGTTTTTTACTTTCCTTTAAAAATTCTGTTACCTCTTGGTTTCTATAAGTCTGTCTTTCACACAAGGAGAGTAGGGCTTGGCTTCTCAGAGCAGTGCTTGGCAAGCACAGAGGCAGGAAACGCAGAAGGGAATGAGTCTGTCAGACTCATTTTCTTCTAGTTCAAATGTTTATTTCAGATTCGAGAGGAAGTGGAGTGGTTCCTTTCCATTTCCTCGTCTCTGGAATCTGCGAGTTGTATAAGTAAGTTTAGAGAATGACGCTCTACCGTACATCACACCAGTTCGTGGATGGAGAAAGAGACTCTTCCCAGAAAACTCCTGGTTTGAACAGACCATAATACATAACCATCCAAGCTCTCACAGGACAGTCTTTTATGGGTTTAGCTTGGAGCCTTTGGCAGGACAAGTGAGAGCAAGGCTGAAGGCTCAGGAACATCTTATACCTGCTCCCAAGAGGCCAGGGCTATGTGCCCACTAACATTAGTCCCCATCCCTGCCACGTGGCACACCTGAGGCCACTGCTTAGAGAGGGGGAGTCTAACATAATTTGTGAATGCCACAGTGGGATCTGGGGTCCTAAGTCCACTTTCTAAGTTCCTGAGAATTATGCTTCTGACACCAGGATAGAGTTTCAACAGCAAAACTTAAAATATACCTGTTTTAATAATGAGCCAATTTCAAACTTAAACTTGCTGACTTTTCCAGTCCATGCTCTGATTTCTCTCTCTCTCTCTTAAAATCAAGCTATTTATCTCACCAGCTCGGCTCTGCAACTTGCTTTATTGTCTGTGCAATTGACACAGGTTATTTTTAATGCCAAATTGAGACCATCAGAAAACAAACTAGAAAATCTTGTGGTAAGTTTACTACTAAACTCTAACAGATGTGCCTGACCCAAATTGTAGGCATCAGGACTGAAGCGTAATTTTAGGTACAAATTACTTACTGAGAATATTTATAGACAGAAAACTTCTTCAGCAAAGAAGCATCTCTGACATTTAACACAGATTCTCCTGTAGTTTAGCAATTGATAAAGAAGTTAAACATTGTAAGTGCATTAATTATGGTTTGTTTAGGAAAGTTTCCAGCACAGAATGCTTGATCTAATCATGCTGGTTTTGTCAAAGAATTTTAAAAGACAAAAATTGAACTCATAATCTCTACTCACAGTTTGGATATTTTGAGTTGTATTGTTGTTTGGTAGCTACTGATCACAAAAGATCTATGTGCACAAAATATATATCCTTAAGGGCAACAATATTTACCTTACACATATATTTACGCTTACACATCCACTAGTAGAAGTTAGTTTTTATATTATATCTACTATGTTCTGGATGAACTCTTAAAACTAATTAACCTTCCCATATGTCAGAATTCCCTTGTGACATTCATTTATTATGATATATGTGAGCTAACAGTATACCTGAGACATATTACATTAGACACAATCACAACATTCACTTTAGAAACATATACTCTGCATCGCTGTCTGATTTTTTAAAATTCTACTAGCCACTAATTAAATAAGGCAGACTAATTGTAAGTACATTGGTACAACCAGTCTTTCTAATCAGGAAAAACCAGGATAAGGGAAGAAGAAAAGGAAAGATAAAGAAACACTGTAAAGGTCATAGTGAGACAAACATTTCTACATGAAGATATTTTCAGGGAGTACACTACAAGCAAGCTATGCCAAGTCATGTACTTTTCATACACAAAATTATATTGTATCAAATTTAAATTTGTTACAACTGCCATGTACATTAAACCAGTGATAACGAAAATGTAACTCAATATCTGATCTAGTGAAACAGCAACTAGCATTAGCTCTCAGCCACATGAAGACACTCTTCAATGCCATTACTGGTGTCAGCTAAACCTCAGCCAGTTTGTCTTCTCCAGCCATTTTAAAATAAATATGTGACTATCTCAATTAGGAAATCTTGAAGGAAGTCTCCGTGATGAGGCAAGTTTGTTGCTCATTCTCAGTGCCCTGCATTTGCTGTACTTAAAATAGACACTTGTACCAATGTCCTTTCTATTACCCGAAGGGGGAAAAAAAATCACATACACACCAGTCCTTTTTCTTTCAGCTCACAGAGAAGCAACTCAATCCAACCAGTGTTGAAACCTGAGTAGGTCACTGTACACCACGATAAAATTCCCTAATCCCTGAGCCAAATCTCCCTAAGGGGGGCCTCCTCCTGATCCTCCACTTCCCAGGCTGACTTTTCCATTTGCTCTCTCTTCTTTCCCCCTTTCATTTCCCCTACCTTCAAGCCTTGATATGTGATCCGAGGTGGGGGCTCAGGTTTCCGTTTTTACAGCTTAGGCCACGCTAGCTGTATACATTCCTTTCTTTCTGCCGGGCAGTGATTACTTACCAGGGCTTAGTTTACACTGGTCCAGATGAAAGCCGTTCAGATGAAGGCAAACACAGCCAGGCAGCTCCAGCGGCACCGATATGAAGCTGCACAAGGCCACATTGTGTTCTCGGTGACATTTTGTTGCACACATTTATATACAGGGCAACCAACTTGTTATGTTACTCTACACTTAGGTTCAGGGAGCTGGAGGAGTAATAGTATCATGATGTTTGGGGAGGGGTTTTGCTGATGTGATTATTAATATTAAAAACAGAAAGATATTAAGGAGCTCAAAATAATCCTTCCACCTTTTGACTTTGAGAAACCACTTTTTAAGTGAGGACTTTTGGTGCTGTTATATTAGAAGAATGCCTACTAAACAATTCCACTAGACTCTCAGGCATGGTATACTTGAACATGACTAAAATTTTTGGTTAGGGGTATTTTACTTTGGTCCAAAGAAGAGAGAAAACACTGATCCTACAGACAATTGAGTTATTTGCCGTGTAAAACTTCTTATTTAATGCTACTCTGGATTGAAAGGGTGAGGATTAAAACTTCAAATAGTGGGTGGTGATTTGGAAGGAAAATAATATTTTAAAAAGAGGAAATTCTGTGCACCAAGGTTAATTCCATACTTAGTCCTGCAGCATCGGCTAAAAATTGTGTAATTTTTCCCCTTCACACAATGTTGTTTTTGTTTCTTCCTCACCAGTTCAGACAAACATCTGTTATACTGCAGAAGGACAACTATCTCCCAAACCACGGACTGCGCCTGCAGCCAAAATCAACAACGCGAGCCCCAAGCATCGAGCACAGTCAGCCTTTATATCCAGCCGGGATAACATTTCACATGTTTTGATTAAAATTAGCTAATTTGTAATTCTAGAACCTATGAAACTTAAAAGCTGCCATCCATATAGATCACATTAGGCAGCGTTTTAAAGGGCCAGAGCTCCTTGTGATTTCCTAGTGGCTTTCACCTCTCTCCCCCTTCCCCACCCCCAACCTAAAATGAAATGCAAAAGTAAACTGGAAATGCAGGACAGGAGGTAAGGGTAAGTGAGGAAGAATGGTTATTATGGACTGTTTGAATTTTGTTCCCATCAAAAAACAACAACTTCTACCGGTCTTAAAAAAAATAAAATAAAACTGTCCATCATTGGAATCAACAGTGGTTTCCACCATAAGAAACAGCATTGATTTCCAAGGCAAATCTCCCTTAACTCTCCGTTGGACTCATGCTGCACCTCATGCTTCCAGGTACTAAGTTCCTTATCCAGTAATAAAACCCCTAATTCTGATATTTAGGTTGCTTCTGACATTTCTGAGAAGTAAAGCTAAGCATATGCACCTAGGTACGCATACATATATGATATATATCCATGCGTCCCCTGCTAAGCGTGAGCTATGATAGAAAATGCTTGTTCTAATGAAGAAAGCGTCAAAGCGCAATAAATTTGACTTACTTGCACACCATTTTCATCCAGTTTGTTTTTTAAATACAAACTGAACCAAAACTGGCCAAGTAGTAGTATTAAGCCACCTGGTAGTATTAAGGATTTCATGCAGAAGATGGGGAACACCAAGAAGACCGCAAAATGCAAACCTGCTACTTTTTGATGGCTCGCAGAAAAATAAATAAATTGTTTTATATCAATAGAGACTCGTGAAATCAACACAGAATAAAACCCTCGCCCAGGCAAAAGCCGCAACTTCATGGAAAATAAGGAGGTGGGGGGCAACGAGGGGGTCCAGAGCTGAGCGGTGCTCTTGTGCAATTGCTCTAACGCGAACAGCTGGAGCGCCAGGCTGCTGCGCTCTCCACCTCTGGTGCACCGCTGGCCTGGCGGGGAGCCCAGCCTCGCCGAGAGGACTCCGGGCCGGCCTTAGCGAACAATGGACAGGCGCCCTGCAAAGGCCGCCCCTCAGACAGCTGTCCTCCAGCGGGGCTGGCCGGGGTCTGCTTGGCTGGGAAGTGAGGCAGGCAGAGGCGAGCGGGAGGCGGAGGCTGCCAGTGGTGAGGTGCGGGCGGGGGCGGGCGAGGAGAGCGGTCAGGACCGTGCCCAGACCCGCGCCTCTCGGGCCGCAGCTCGCCGGGCACTGACGGGCTCTTCACGCCGTCGCAGCTGGTTGGTTGGGGGGAAGCGGGATTGAGGAGCAGGAGGGTGAGCTGGGGGAGAGGGGTGGAATAGAGCTCTCTCCGGGGTGCCCCGGCCAGGAGGCTCCTAACTTTGGAGGGACCCTGAGGATGATTCTCAAAAAGGGGGGAGAAACTGCACCGTCCACTGGGAAAGCCTCTTCCCCTGCCCAACGCCGCTCGAGTCCCCGGTGCCCTCGCCCTGAAACGCGTCCGTGCCAACCTGGGATTCGTAAGGTTAAATAGTATGTGGTCCCCCCTCATCAAATCTGAGGTTGGCAACAATTTCGGGGATGCAGCCCTCGAGTTGGCCTCTGCTTTACACCTGGAGGAGGAGCGGAGCCGTTCTGGGCATCCTACAGAAACTGACAAGCGCGCCCCGGTACCCCCCAGATCCATACCACGGCCCACGGGGAGCGGGCGCAAGAAAGAGCTCAGTCTCCCTGGCCCCCGAGATCAAAAAATACCTTCATCTCCTCATTGATCTCCCTTTTCACTGGGTGAGCCGGCTTCCTGCTCCGTTTATTTTCGGGAGGTCTCCCTTCTTTCTCCATTTCTGCCATGTTTTTGTGTCTGGTTTCTGTGGAGATGAAATGGCTGCTGCCGCCGCCGGCGGTGGTGGTGGCGGCGGCGGCGGCGGTGGAGGTGGTGCTGATGGTGGCGAGGCTGGCGGAGGTAGCGGTGCTGGCGGGGCCGGACCGAGCCGCGAGGGGGAGGGCAGGCGCCGAGAAGCGGGGTCTCTTCTAGCGGCGGAGGACGTCAGTGGCTGTCACGGGTAAGGATAGTGCGGAGAGTCTCGGGGATGCCGCCGCCGTCGCTCCGGCTCCTGCTGCCGCCGCCGCCGCCGCCGCAGCCAACGCCGCCGCTGCTGCCGCTGCCCCTGCCGCCCTCGCTGCCGCTGCCGCTCCCGCCGCCGCCGCCGCCGGGCCGCATCCTCGGGGCCCCGTGGAGTCGTCAGCCATCTTCCGTCGCTCGGTCCGTCCGCATGGGCGCGGGGAGCAAGGGCCGGCGCGGAGAGCGGCCCCGGGCGTGCGTGCGCGGCTGTGTGTGAGCCCGGGAGAGCGCGCCAGCCCCGGCGCCCAGCGCCTCCCGCGAGCCGAGCCGGGGGCGGGCCGGGGGCCGGCGCGGGAGGAGGGGAGGGAGCGCGGCCGGGAGGGGGTCGGAGGGAGGGGAAAGGTGGGGGGGGCGAGGACAGCCCCCCGGCTCTCGAGCGGGCGTGGCTTCCACCGTCACTGGATACGCGGATGCTGCGCGGCTCCGGGGGCTGCTCGCAGCCGCCTGTTCATCCGCGGCGGGCACGGGCGGCTCGCGGCGCCCCCCGCGGCCGCCACCTCCCCGCCACACGCCAGGGGCGCCGGCGCCCGCTCGGAACCCAGCCCTGCTTCTCAGCTCCGCGAGGTGGGCTGGGTTGCGTGTGGAGTTGGTTTTTGAGCCCGTCCTAGGAGCCGCTGAGGAAAAATGAATGGGGGTGAAAGGAGAAGGTTGGGCGGCGGGAGGTCGCGAGACCTGAGGTCGCCTGGCTAGAGGGCCGCCGTCCCCCGGGGAGGGTTGACTGAGCCTGCCGCCTCGGGGGTGCAACGCTGGGGTCTCGGGGAAAGGAAACCACAGCCCGGACGAGCTTCCCCCCACTGAGCTGCCAGAATAGTTTCCCCCTCCGGGGGCCACCGCAGAGTGCGCGGAGGCTGGAGACCCCTTGGAGAGGTCCCCGCGCCCCGCCCGGCCGGTCCTCCACGCGGCGCTGCCTCGGACTGCAATGGCAATGAAGCTTTTGCCTCTCAAAGAACTACTTAGAAGTAGGACATCTCGGCCTTCAGCCCCTTCATTTCTTTTTCCCCTTGTTCCTTCTCTCTTTATCTCTCTCTCACTTATGCCCTGCTTCAAAGTAACAGCTTTACGCGTGACCCCGCCTGCACCCTTATCTGGGTGTCCTGGGTTTCGCCCAAAAGGTTGGGCTGAGTGGGAGCTTCTGGGAGCGCACGGTCCCGCGTAGGGTCCCGCTCACCCGGACCCCGAACGCCCTCGCCACGCCCCGGTGGGATCCTCCCCTCCCCGCCTGGTTGCACTTTCTCCTCCCGACTTCCCAGCTAGCGCCTGCCCTCCATGGAGCGGTGCTCGCTCCCTCTGCGCTCACAAGTCCCCTCTTTGGCCCTCTCCTGCCACGCCTGGGGCCGAGGTCTGATTGAGTCTGTCCCTGTCCCTGGGTTGAGGCATTGGGGGTGACGACTGGATGATGTTTCTGTGATACGCGCGGCTCTGAGCGCTCCCACACGTTGCAGAGGACACATTGACGTTCCCGGCTTCTCCTTCCCGCGCCTCGACACTTCATAATTACCTGACACAATGCGATATGGGGGTGTCCATTGTTCCACTGCATGTTACTGTGGAGTGTTCGTTATGACAGTGGTGGAACTTAAAATTACACAATTTTTTTAAGTTCCTAAAAGAATGAATTCCGTGTGGGGATATGAGTAAGCTTTCCATTAAATCTCAGTTTGGCCTGTCAAACGAGGCTCATTCTGGGTATTACATCGCCTAATTTGCATTTTAGCATTGTTTTGTTTCTTAAATGTCACATTAGAGATACATGGGCGTGTACGCAGGAGAGCTGAGTACCTCCACGTTGCCTATTTTGCATTTTAGCATCATTTTGTTTTTAATAAACGCCAACTTAAAAACATCTGGGAGTGCACCCAGGAGGGCTGAGTACCTCCTCCCTCCTGATTTCTTCTCTTCCCCGTCCCGGGGAGGCGAGGGGAAGCTGCACCCTGCTCCCCGTGGCTGCCTAGATCCTGGGCAAGCCAGGAGGCCAGAGCGAGCCAGGCTTTGCGCCTGCAAGGGGTCCGCGCGAGAAACACTTACGCCGAGGAAAAGTTAAAATTCCTGGGACGCCCAAGAGTCAAGAGAGGAAGACTGATGAGGTTTTAGGGGAGCTTTGCAGTACAGGCGTCCTGTATTTGCGATTTTCCCAGTAGCCTCTGAGAACCTATCTAGGTACACTCAGGTCGTGAGCCGCGAGTCCTGTGGCCGGGTCTCAGAGCCCGCAGCAGCCCACAGCGCACCTACGACGACCCAATAACGCGGAGAGGAGCCTAAAGCTGTCGCAGCAACCTCCCCCCACTCCTGGAATGATAGTGCAACATTCGCCAGTGGGTGAGTGGGTGTATTTTGCGGTGGGGAGTATCTCCCTAATGCTGTTGCTGGGAGAGGGAGAGGAAGAGAGAGACTTTTGGTTTTTTAAATTGAATTTCATCCAAAACATCTGATAAATAATATGTGGGTTGGAGAGTTGTTTTCTCTGTTTGATCCTGTTAGTCTTTAATGAGGGAAATAGTGAGAAAACTTTTTGGGGGGCTTTTTAATATTCTAAAACTGTGGAAACATATGTTGTAAACTGTACGCAAAAAGCAGCTTTTTGTCTTCTGTAAACATATTTAAGTCCCCTCTGTTTCCTTTGGTGCCAGAAGCATTACAACTGATTCACTGTTGAGCAGCTGATATCAAATAGCAAGTTATATACCCCAAGTCCTAAGATACAGTTTCACAAGTTAAGAATAAAATAAACAGAAAAGGTGAACTGTAGCCCAGAGTTATATTTAGAGGCAGCTATACTTCTTTAAAGAAAATTACTTATTCTGTGATGGTTCAGGCATTTAATAAAAATAATGATATTAAACAGCCACCTGTTCCTTCACAAACATATGTCCTTCAGAAAACTGAGGTGAGAACATTGTATTGAAATCCACAATGCACATCTTTGGTGACAGAAAGAAGGCTCATAAAGTATATCTGAGGAAAACTTTTAGTCTAGAATGAACTTCAGAAGTAATGATGATTGTTACACCTTTTAATGACCCTAGGTTTCTTCATATCTACTGTAGACGAAAACAATTATAACAACAGATGATGCTTTATGAATTTAGATATACCATGAGTTAAATAATGTTCCCTGAATAACTTCATAATCCATAAGAGTATAACTACACAGGTAGGAACAACACATTATACGCATTTCAGAGGAGCCCCACTCCTGCTCCAATGACGTATCCTTTTGCTCCCCAACCACTAGCACTCTCCTGCGTGCTTGCTTTCTCTCTCTATACCCACACATATCACCCAAGGCTCCAGACATGCAATTAATCCTCAATTTTCCCTCTACTACCCCTGCTAGTCATCAAGATGGGTACAGGACTGATCTTTCATACATTCCTCAGGTACAATTTTGTGACTTCTTTTACCCTTCAAGGCTAGTCTTGATGATCATTCTACCCTGATTCACCTAGAAAACACAGAGGATGGGAAGACCCCAGGGTGGTCTGCCTCAGGCCTCCAACCTCCCCATTTGTTTCTTTGTTGTCTCCAAGAACACTTAACTCAGAGACCGAGTCCTCATGCCTGGTGAGGAATTAATAAACACTAGCTGATTGATTAGTATGATATAATAACAAAGTTAAAAAGTTTTCCTGTATTATTGTTTGAAATTAATGTTTATCTTGAAAAGCTCTGTGATTTAACCAAATATGGGGATTAAAATATGTGAAATAATTACTATGCTGAACACATTGTAGTAATTATCTTCATTTAATAATCACAAAACTCTATGAGGCTGTTTCTACTATTATACCCCCATTTCACAGATGAGGAAACTAAGGCTTATATAAGCTATTAAGATAAAGGCTATTGGCCAGGTGCGGTGGCTCAGGCCTGTAATCCCAGCACTTTGGGAGGCTGAGGCAGACAGACCATTTGAGGTCAGGGGTTTGAAACCAGCCTGGCCAACATGGTGAAACCCCGTCTCTACTAAAAATACAAAAATTAGCTGGGTGTGGTGGCATGCACCTGTAGTGCCAGCTACTCGGGAGGCTGAGGCAGGATAATCACTTGAACCCCGGGAGGCGGAGGTTGCAGTGAGCCTAGACTGCACCATTGTACTCCAGCCTGGGCGACAGAGCAAGACTCCATCTCAGAGAGAGAGAGAGAAAAGCTATTAAGTATTGGGATTTGAATCCATAACTTTCTGTCCTACTCTAGGTTTGGAGCTCTTGACACTATGTGAATCTGCTTTTCTGAATTTCTTTAACAATCTGTATTTTATCGAATCTAAGGCCCACATTTTTCCCATTTTAACATCTGTAAGATTGTAATGCATCTTACACTGAACTCTTACAATTATAAATGGCATCTTTATTTCTCAATGGTATATAAAATATCAGTACATTTTTTTTTCTTTTTTTTTTTTTTTTTTTTTTGAGACAGGGTCTTGCTCTGTCATCCAGGCTGGAGTGCAGTGGCGCGATCGTGGCTCACTGCAATCTCCACCTCCCGGGTTCAAGCAATTCTCCTGCCTCAGCCCCCCGAGTAGCTGGGACTACAGGCACGTGCCACCACACCCGGGTACTTTTTTGTATTTTTGGTAGAGACAGGGTTTCACCCTGTTAAGCCAGGATGGTGTCGATCCCGACCTCGTGATCTGCCTGCCTCGGCATCCCAAAGTGCTGGGATTACGGGCGTGAGCCACAGTGCCTGGCAGTACTTTTTCCAAGCAGTGGTGTGTTAGGCTCCATTGGGTTGTATTGCAATAACAAATCATCAGAAAACCTCAGGAACTTAAAGGTTGCTCAAACAAAGTCAGGTGAAGATCTGTGTGACTCTCCACAGCAACTATCCTCCATGCGATGGCTTGGTACTGCCCATCCGTATCAACTGTGCTTCCACAGTCACTACTCTAGGGGAAAATAGAGCCCTGGAGGATCTCCCACCAGCAATTAAATGCTACAATCTTGTAGTGACATGTCACTTTTTCCTCTAATCCATTGGCTAGAATTAGTCACATGGCTCTGCCCAACTGCGAGGGAAGCTAGGAAGTTTAATCCTTCCACGTCTCACAAAAGAGAGGAGAACTGGATATGGGTAAGCACATCATGTTTGTACCACAAAGGCATCTTCAGTTCATTAAAATATGGTCATGTAATTAGGACCCATTAATATAAATTAAATATAAATATAAATTAATATAAATATTGGGAGTCTGTTTTATTCAAAACCAGTGAGCAGTGCTTGGTCTGTGATTTGTTATATTGTATCTAAAACATACTTTTGAAGTTCATGTGAATGTTTAATTGCAAAGAACAGAATTCTAGAATCAATTTCAAAAATAATATGAAAGAGCACAACAATAATGCCAGATTTTAAGCAGGTGTCTATAGATGAGCTTCCAAGGCTCTGAAACTTCCTAAAATGCATTTTTTTCAGTCCACTTTTTTTTCTGGAGAGTGAGTACATATCTGACATCATATTCTCAATTGAGGTTCATGATTTATTCATTCATTTATTCAACAAATATATACTGAGGTCCCTCTGTTCTGGGTGCTTGGGATCCAGCAGCAAATATGACAGACAAGTCCCCAAATTTCTTGAAGCTTACAGTCTGGAAAGGGGACAACAAACAAGCAAACAAGTAACAAGATAATTTTAAATCCAGACAGGTAACATAAAAGGACAATGTGATACAAGGTGGGTGTATTGGCAGTGTCTGCTTTAGCTAAAATGATCATGAAAGACTTCTCTGAGGAGAAATCTGACCTGAAACAGGGAAGATGAGAAGGAACTATCCATTCAGAGATTTTAGAATCCTAGAGAAAAGTGTTTTGGTCAGAATTTTAAAGGAGCTGAAGAATGGATATGCTCAGCATGTTTGAGAAGTTGAAAGGTATCTGGAATGTAGAGAATGAGAAGAAGAGTGGCAGGACAAGGAGTAAAAGAGGAATGCAGAGGCCGGATTATATGAAGCCTGCAGGTTATGGTAAAGGCTCAGGATTTTATTTTAAGTGCACTGTGGACAAATGCACAGTGGAAAGACACCCTCCTTTGCACTATTTGTATGTGTGGGTCATCTGGCCATCATTAGCTCTGTCAACCCAGCTGGGCACACATCTAAGTGGGGTCCCCTCCCCTCCTTGCTGTTGCAAGAACATCTTGGCCCCCTTTGCCATGCAAAGTGAAGATCACAACCCTCCCAAAAGGATGGGGGCTCTCCTTCAGTCACAGGGGTAAAAGAAGCTCCCTGAGGCCAAGTGTGGTGGCTCACACCTGTAATCCCAGCACTTTGGGAGGCTGAGTTGGGCAGATCACTTGAATTCAGGAGTTCAAGACCAGCCTGGCCAACATGTTGAAACCCCCACCTCTACTAAAATAATATAAAAATTAGCTGGGCATGGTGGTGCATGCCTGTAGTCCCAGCTACTCAGGGGACTGAGGCAGGAGAATCACTTGAACCCAAGAGACGGAGGTTGCAGTGACCGAGACCGCACCACTGCACTCAAGCCTGGGCAACAGAGGAAGACTGTGTCTGAAAACAAAACAAACAAACAAACAAAACTCCCTGTCAGTAGCTTCAAGCCAACTCCGGGTTTTTGGCAAGAGAATGAGGGGCTTCACTCTACACTAGTGAAGTCTCGAGCATTTTGCCTTACTCTTCATTTCTTTATTTGTGAAATGAGAACAGTAATTTATATTTTGGGCTGTTGTGTTGTGGCCACATAATGTCTCCTAAAGTAACTAAAAATAAAACAGCACAAATTTCTATAAACAAGTGTATATTATTTACTTTTCTGAGGATCATTATTATTTTACTTTTACTTAGGTTTATATGTATAAACTGATACAGATGTGTACCAATTTAAGGAAACTTGACACATGAGAACTAATTGCCTGCATAATCAATATTCTTCATTTTGAAATTAATATCTAATAGGGTCTCTTTCAATAGTAATTTGCCAAAAGGTAATAATTTTAATCTATAAAAATGAGATTTCAATATACACGTCTAAGAACATTCCAATTGTACCCATTGAGGGAAGTATACCAATACGTATAAATTTAAGGAAAAAATCATTTCAAGTTATAATTTTTAATTTTTATCCATTAAAGCAGAAATCAAAGCCCAGTATGTATTTAATCCAAATATCTATGCTAAAAAACAAAAAACAAAAAAGCATGAAGCTCAACTATCAGTGTGCATATCTAGAATATAACAGCTTTATGTGTATTAAGTTTGTGGAAACAAATGAAGACCACCCAAATGAGAACAAAGGCTATTTTTTTTTTGCTTTTTAAAAAAATTTTATTATTATTATACTTACGTTTTAGGGTACATGTGCACAATGTGCAGGTTAGTTACATATGTATACATGTGCCATGCTGGTGTGCTGCACCCATTAACTCGTCATTTAGCATTAGGTATATCTCCTAAAGCTATCCCTCCCCCCTCCCCCCACCCCACAACAGTCCCCAGAGTGTGATGTTCCCCTTCCTGTGTCCATGTGTTCTCATGAACAAAGGCTATTTATTTAAAGTAAGGGAGACAGCCACCATCACTTGCATTTGGCAGAGATTCAAAGGCAGGTGTGGGAGTGGGAAAGTTTCACAGTGTAAAAACAAGAAAGGCTTCAGGTGTGCTCTGATTGGATGTTGTTGGCCTGGAGAAGCTGAGGAAGGCTATCCAAAAGGCCAGGCAACTAGAAGCAGGGCATCTTATGTGATTGGTTTGGGGAGCATATTTGGAGATATTTGGAGTTCGATGGTTGGTCCTGAGTTGGAAGGGTGGTGGGGGAAGAGGGAGAGGGTATGGAGGTGGCAGTAAGAAATTAAGAAGCTGGCAGGCATTGACCAAGTCCTAACCATTCTGATTGAAGCCAGAGATGGTGGTTCGGCTTCTCTGCCTTGTTGCTGCAGCAGTTGTAGATCAGAGTTCTCTTGTCATGCATGGTCTGTCCATTTGTATAGTAAGTCTCTCAAGTCATTAACTAAAAAATAATTTAGGTCAGGCAACTAAGGAGAAACTAAAGCGTAAGACAACTTCCACTTGTGGTGAGATATTTTGATATATTAAGAAGTGTTTTTGTTTTGTTTGTATCCACTAATTCTTTTCTATCTCACACACTCATTTATTCAAATTAGATTTGGCATCCATTGCTTCAGGGTGAGGATGTTACAGAAGAAATTCACAGCCCCAGTTGCATACCTGTTATCCCAGCACTTTGGGAAGCTGAGGGAGGTGGATTGCTTGAGCCCAGGGAGTTCAAGGCCAATCCAGGCAACATAGTGAGACCCTGTCTCTACAAAAAACAAATGAACAAACAAAAAATTAGTGGGGCATGGTGGCATGCACCTGTGGTCCCAGCTACTTGGGAGGCTGAGGTAGGAGGATCACTTGAGCCCAGGAGGTCGAGGCTGCAGTGTGCCATGATCGGGCCACCGCACTCCAGCCTGGGTGAGAGAGTGAGACCCTGTCTCAGAAAAAGAAAGAAAGAAAGAAAGAAAGAAAAGAAAAAGAAATTCACAGAAAAGCATAAGTTGGCCATGATTTTGGATTTTTTTGTTTGTTTTGTTTTTGAGACGGAGTCTCGCTCTGTCACCCAGGCTGGAGTGCAGTGGCGCGATCTCCGCTCACTGCAAGCTCCACTTCCCAGGTTCACGCCATTCTCCTGCCTTAGCCTCCCTAGTAGCTGGGACCACAGGCACCTGCCACTACACCTGGCTAATTTTTTTTGTATTTTTAGTAGAGATGGGGTTTCACCGTGTTAACCAGGATGGTCTCCATCTCCTGACCTCGTGATCCGCCCGCCTCAGCCTCCCAAAGTGCCGGGATTACAGGCGTGAGCCACTGTGCCTGGCCTGATTTTGGGTTTTAAAATGGAAATGTGAAATTCAAGACAGAAACAATGGTTTGAAAGAAAACATTTTTCTTCAAGTTTGAAAAGCCTAGATTTTTTTTTTCAAAGTGAAAGCAAGCTTATTAAGAAAGTACAGGAATAAAAGAATGGCTATTCCATAGACAGAGCAGCCTGAAAAGCCGAGATTTTGTGTCAACACTTGGTGACCTGAAGGATTCAGATTATAAAGTTGGCCATAAACGTAGGTTTAGGAAAAGGAATGATATGCCAAAGGGAATTTTCCCAGTCCAGAAAGAGAACATGATTCTATGGGGTTGGGAGAAGGAAGGAGCAAATGAGCAAAAGAGCTTAGACATTAGATTTCCGACCAGGTCCCAGTGCCCAGGGTTGGGGGGAGAAACGGGAATGGGTTTGAGGAAATCTGAAGGCAGAGGGTAGAGAGAAGAGGTGACTCTGTCTCCCTTCTGAGATGGAGCCTGGAACAGCAGTGAGCCTTACAGAATAGGCCAATCCAACATGGTACAGGCAGGCACCGTAGGGTAGGCATAGTATATGGAGGAGCCTGGGCAGAAGGTCCTGGGGTGACCATAAGTATGCTCTACCTACCATAACGTGTATGTTTCATGTGCAGCAGAGAGTAAAAGAGCTGTGGCTTTGAGAGACTGCAGAAGCAGAGTAGCCCTGCACCCAAAATGTTTGATCAGAGACTCCACGAGGACTTCTATCTCAGAGGATGCCAGCTGG
The DNA here is from genome assembly GCF_000001405.40 of Homo sapiens. Classification (NCBI taxonomy): domain Eukaryota; kingdom Metazoa; phylum Chordata; class Mammalia; order Primates; family Hominidae; genus Homo; species Homo sapiens. The sequence continues at coordinate 107,480,764 of NC_000006.12, read as the reverse complement.
AGAGATGACTGAGGCTGTGGAGTAGATGCCCCCCACCCCATACCCCCCATGTAGATGCCAGCCTGATGAGAAAGGCACTAGGAGGTGTAGGAGGTGGGCAAGAGAATTCCAAATCAACTGAGATTATATGGAGATTTCATTTCTGCCTCTTAGCATAGTAGACTTATGAAACAGAGATTCAATTCAGGTATACAGAAATAAAGAAGCTTATGTTTAGTAAATACCGGAGGCTTTTACGTTGATACTTATAGTTCATACATATATTTACCCTATGACTCAATCTTGTGTTTACTAATTTTTTAAAATGGAGTTTTCTGACTCAGGTAGATTTGAGGCATCATCTGCCTAATTATTTAATATATAAATAGTATCCAAACAAAAATAGTTTCTTTGGAGTTGTGGCCCCAAAGAAATATTATACCAGGACCAACTGAAACAGAGAACATTTTTCAGTAATTATTCAAAATTATAGTAACTATAAAACTTAACAGTGTCTTGAGTTATCTTGCGTTGCCACTGCCTTCCTTGATAATATCCACTGATGAAATCAGAATTCTTCTCTTTGATTTATATAGATACTAGTGTAGACTTAAAATAATATTCCTTTTAGATAAAATCATATTTCCTTTAGATAATCAAATATCATTAAAATTATTAAATCTCTCACAATCCTTTGTTGAGCTATAACATCAATTATTGGGTATTGAATTCCTTCTGTGAGCCAAGTATTTTGCACATATTATGTTATTGATTTCTCACAACCAACACTGAGGGTGTTATTGTCTCTATTTCACACCTCAGGGAAGTGAGGCTGAGCACAGGGTTATACTAGGAGGCAGCCCATCCGGGCCAGAAGCCCCAACCTGCCAACTCCCACAAAGGCGAGAGATGCTTTTACCTATACTACTCTGCTGCTCCTCTCTGCTGAGCCTTTTTATCACATTTTTTTTTTTTGGAAAATAAAGCATGCAGAGATGGTAAATAATTTTAATTTCTTCTTTATTCTAATTTACATCTAGCTGCTATGGAAATTAAAATAGCCATAGCAATATGCTCAACCTTTGAAAAGTAACATACTACATTTTAATATTCTCAAACCAAATATGGTATTCAGTAAATGGTTATAGAGGATTGATATCTATGTTTTGACCTACTTCCTTTGAGAAACATTATGTGTAGTAAAAAACATTTTTCTATCACAGAAAATTTGTCTCCAGTGTGCTGTTGGGCCATACGTTGTCTATTTATTATATCCCAGAACGAGGAAGTTGAGTGGAAAAGATTCTGCAGTTTAACTATGAGAGGACATTATACATTTCAGTGGAAGAAAAAAAAAATCCATCAAAAGCTAAGTAGATAAATTAAGGATTCCATAATAAGTCTTAGGATATAGACTGTGCATTTGTTTTGTTTCGTTTTTTAAATTTTCATTAAAGCTGCTAACCCTGTATACCAGATGCAGAAAAAGGACGTGCTTCAACCAATTTTGTCCTCTCCACCTGCAGCTGATCACCTTTTGGTGGCCTGGAGGTGGAGCAGAGCTGGTACAACAAAAATGAAGAAAGAAAATACAGATAGAGTGACCAGAAGCTGTGCCCAGAAGAAAATCTCAGGATATACAGTGTGGAAAGGCACTGAAGTCCTAAACTGGAAAATAAAGCAAAACAAACCAAACCCCTTGGGAAAAAATTAAGCGCCACACTGAACACAGTATGCATGGGGGTGCGTTTTTCATGTAGTGAGCAACAGAGTTTTGTGGAGTGAACACATGGACATTACAAAGAATTTTAGTAATAACAAAACCTACTATTTATCGAATGCTTCTTTATGTACCAGGGCTTGTGCTAAATACTTCATAGAGATTATTTTATTCAATCCTCACAAGAACCCTATGACATAATTATTGGTTTTACTCCCATTTTACAGATGAGAAAATGGAGGGTTAAAGAGATCAAGCATTTGCTGGAAGATACACATTTACTAAGTGGCCCAGCAATCTGACTCCAGGTCCAGAACTCTCTGCTCCCTTGCAGTACTGATAGTATCAGTCAGGGTTCTTGCTTGCAAATAACAATAATAAACTCTAACTGTCTAAAAAAAAATAACACTGGAAGAAGGGGGAAGGGGACGTGGAGAAGCAGAGCTCATAGGTCCTAGGAGGCTGAGGGAGGCTTGGGGAAGCTTGGGAAACAGGCAGGAGCCAGGGGTTCAGCAGGTCAGACCACAGGAAAACTCTAAGGTATGGGCATCTCTGCTTTTGCAGCGAAAACAAAAGAAAAGAAAAGAGAAAAGAAAAAAAGAAGAGAGGTTTCAAGGACTCTCAGAAAAAAGTACATGCTCTTTTAGCATAATATTCAAGACCATTGACAATCTGGTCTTATTCTACTTTTGAAGTGACCTCATAGCCCTCTTTAATACATTCATCCCAGCATACTGAATTATTCACTCTTCCCTTAACTGTTTGTACTTTCACATCTTGACACCTTTGTTTATATTATGCTTTCTGCCTAGAATGCTCCTCCCCCTTCCTCCCTTACCTGACAATATCCTACCCATCATCCTTCAAGGCCCAGCTCAGGGGGTCACTGCTTCTGTCCCTCCTTCAGGATTAGTTATCTGCTTTTCTTAATCCCCATCTCACTTTTATTTTTACTTTTTTTTTTTTTTTTTGAGACCGGGTCTCACTCTTGTTGCTCAACCTGGAGTGCAATGGTGCAATCTTGGCTCACTGCAACTTCTACCTCCCAGGCTCAAGCAATCCTCCCACCTCCCCCTCAGGTAGCTGGGGCTACAGGCATGTGCATGCACCATACCCAACTAATTTTTGTTATTTTTGGTAGAGGCAGTGTTTCACCATGTTGCCAAGGCTGGTCTCAAACTTCTGGGCTGAAGTGATCTACCCACCTCAGCCTCCCAAATTGTTGAGATTACACGCATGAGCCGCTGTGCCTGGCCTCCCACCTGACTTTTAAAACATCTTTGTCATTTATGTTTATGTTTACAGTGCCTGCTAATGTGCTTGTATTTAGTGGGTTCCAAATAAAATGTTTGTTAAATATTTATAGTGCAGCTACTTGGGAGGCTGAGGTGGGGTACTTTCTTGAGCCTAGGCATTTAATGCAGCAATGAGCCATGATCATGCCACTGCACTCCAGCGTGGGTGACAGCAAAACTTTTAGTGGCGAGATCTGAAATATAAATGTTTGTGGATCTTTTTAACAGCTTAATCACAGCTAGTTAGAAATTTAACAAGAAGATTCAATTCCCTAAATATTCCTTTGTTTGTTTTTGAGACAGGGCCTCACTTTGTCATCCAGGGTGGAGTACAGTGGTGCGATCTTGGCTCACTGCAGCCTCAACCTCCTAGGCTCAAGTGATTCCCCTACCTCAGCTTCCTGAGTAGCTGGGACCACAGATATGCCCCACCACGCCCAGCTAATTTTTGTATTTTTTATAGAAACAGGGTTTTGCCATGTCACCCAGGCTGATCTTGAACTCCTGGACTCACGCAATCTGCCTGCCTTGGCCTCCCAAAGTGCTGGGATTACAGGCCTGAGCCACTACATGTGGCCTAAACATTCTAATTAATTGACATTTAGTATGTGGGTTACCAAATTTGCCTTTCAAAGTTTGCATTTAAAGATTGCCAGTACATCCATAGGATGAATTTTCAGGTCAGTCATGTTTTGATTTGGAGTACTTAATGTTTGCACAATTTGATCTTTGCCTGCCCTTTCAAAATTATTTTATAGACCTCCATTCACTTTCCTAATAGAATGAATTGCTATAAAGTGGCTACAGTGAGTAGTCTGAGAAAACACTGTAACACTCCTTTGGGCTTTTACCTTTGGAGGAATTCCTCACTGAGTGTGGTCTTGTTGGGATATATAACCTTGCCTTCCACTGTGGAAGACAAAGATTTTGAATCTTGCTCTCCCAACCTATAGGCATATGGAGCAACGTCCTGACACCAGGCAGTGGACTCTCCCACCTGAGATGAAAAAAGAGCATCTTGGGCAGCTAGTGGGGCAGCACGGTATTTATTGGTGGCTTCTAGGAGGTGGGACATATACCCTAAAATACTTAGATTGTGAAGATTTTGTAATACGTCAGATTTATTAATGCCACAATGTGTGGTTGTAAAGTACAATGAGAGTGGACTGTGCTAAATGTGTTTATATCCTAGGGTATATGTTCCATGTACATTTCATTAACCAAACTTCTGTTGTGAATTTGCCTTTTGCTGTCTTCATCTATATTGCATAAAAATGGGTAAAGTGGAGGAAATAAATTTTCTCTATTAAACAAACTTTGTTTTTTTAGAGACAGGGTCTTGCCCTGTCACCCACACTGGAGTGCAGTGGCATGATCATGGCTCACTGCAGCATTAAATACCTGGGCTCAAGAAAGCATCCCACCTCAGCCTCCCAAGTAGCTGCACTATAAATATTTAACAAACATTGTATTTGGAGCCCACTAAATACACAGCAGCCACTGTGAACATAAACATAAATGATAAAGGTGTTTTAAAAGTCAGGTGGGAGGCCAGGCACAGCGGCTCATGCCTGTAATCCCAACAATTTGGGAGGCTGAGGTGGGTAGATCACTTCAGCCCAGAAGTTTAAGACCAGCCTTGGTAACATGGTGAAACCCTGCCTCTACCAAAAATACAAAAATTAGTTGGGTATGGTGCATGCACATGCCTGTAGTCCCAGCTACCTGAAGGGGACGTGGGAGGATTGCTTGAGCCTGGGAGGTAGAGGTTGCAGTGAGCCAAGATTGCACCATTGCACTCCAGGTTGAGCAACAAGAGTGAGACCCGGTCTCAAAAAAAAAAAAAAAAAGTAAAAATAAAAGTGAGATGGGGATTAAGAAAAGCAGATAACTAATCCTGAAGGAGGGACAGAAGCAGTGACCCTCTGAGCTGGGCCTTGAAGGATGATGGGTAGGATATTGTCAGGTAAGGGAGGAAGGGGGAGGAGCATTCTAGGCAGAAAGCATAATATAAACAAAGGTGTCAAGATGTGAAAGTACAAATAGAGTTAAGGGAAGAGTGAATAATTCAGTATGCTGGGATGAATGTATTAAAGGGGGCTATGAGGTCACTTTGAAGGTAGGATAAGACCAGATTGTCAATGGTCTTGAATATTATGCTAAAAGAGCACGTACATTTTTCTGGGAGTCCTTGAAACCACTTTTTTTTTTTTCGAGACAGGGTCTCCCTCTGTTGCCCAGGCTGGAGTGCAGTGGTGCAATCATGGCTTACGGCAACCTCTACCTCTCAGGCTCAAGTGATCATCCCACCTCAGTCTCCTGAGTAGCTGAGACTACAGGCATGTGCCACCCTACCCAGCTAATTTTTGTATTTTTTGTAGAGACAGGGTTTTGCCATGTTGCCAAAACTGGTCTTGAACTCCCGACCTCAAGCGATCCACCTGCCTCAGCATCCCAAAGTGCTGGGATTACAGGTGTGAGCCACCATTCCTGGCCTCACTGTGTCTTTTTAAATATAGGAGAGATATGATCATAAATGTGAGATAGGATAATCACCCTGACCACAGATAAAAGGCAGAAAGGGAGATCAGAGATAATAAATTACATAAGAGGGGTTTACAATAGTCCAAGAGGTAATAAATGATTGCTTAGTCTAGTACAGTAGTGGTTGGGAGGAATTCTTTATCTGAGAGTTATCTTATCGACAGAACCCTTAGGAATTGGTATCTAATTGAACATAGGCATGAAGTGAAGGAATGAATATTTTGGATAATAGAGCCCAATGCATAATAACTATCTCACTTTGCAAAAACAAGAAAAATTATACTTCTGCTGGGCACGGTGGTGCATGCCCATAGTCCCAGCTACATCTTGATTTCAGAGACATTAAAATATGAACAAATGTGTGTCTCAGAATCAGTAAAATATAGTATGTATTATGTTATCATGTCTCACTACAAGATACATAGCAGGTGCCCCCCAAAATGTTTGTTGACTTGATATTACGTACATGATGATGTGGAGTTCACATTTTTAGTAATAGTCTTTTTGATAAACACATTTCCTTTTTAACACATTGAATGTAACAATGTAACCCCAGGTATTAACTGTAATGGAAACTAAAATATATATAGCAAACTAAGTTTAAACTTAAGAAAAATGTTAGTTGTGACTTCTCATTACTTCTTATCTGTCTCCGCCTTCCTACTACCTCATATAATTTCTTGAGTTACATCTCAAAGGACTTCCTCCTCTTTCTTTCACCCTTCATAGCCTGTATAGGAGTCTTCTATTTGGGGAAATTAGAGAATAAAGGTAGCAAGCATGGAGTTTAATAGCCACTGGAATAAACGTAAGACAAAATATTCAGATGCATGCTTGTGAGACAATTTTTCACACCCCACAAACTAGATAAGATATTGAATAGGGTGAAGGATAAAAGGGGTGGAACCACATGAGCCACAGGGAGAGTCAGAGAGTTGTCCACATCTGCCAGATTCAGTACCATCTATGGTCAATACCAAGAGCTGTGTGGAAGCCAACTCAGACTCTTGCTCATTGTAGAGGATCTAACACTGTGTTATTAATTAACCACAGTATATAACTTAGATTTTTGTACCCAGAAAAGTAAAATAATAATAATATTATAATAATAGCAACCTGAATTGAGCATGACTATATGGCTAGCACTATGCTAAATTATTTACATAAATTATCTCATTTGATCCTTCCAATAATTTTATGTGTTAGTTAGCTATTGCTGCAATAACACTTTGTAACAAGCCACCCAAAAACCCAGTAACTTACAGCAACAGTTATCTTTTTCATCAGTCTGCAGGGCAACTATTGTTTGGGTGAGCTAGGCTGAGCTCTGCTGCATACCTCTGCTTCCAGCTGTGAGCAGGGTAGATTTGGCTCCAGGGTGTGTGTTGGAGCAGGTCTGCTCCATATGTCTCTTATCATTCAGGACAAACAGCTACGTGGAGCGTATTCTTCTCACGGTGTCGGTAGGAGTGTAAGAGTACAAACGGAAACACATGATGCCTGGGTTCAGGATGCTTGGAACTGGCACACTGTCACTTCTACCCACATCCCATGACCAAGACTAACATTGGCAGGGAGGAAAAAATACTCTACCCCAAGGGAGATAGGAGTGAATATTTGCCAAACTATAATCAAATATATAATAAGGTAGGTATGTAGGTATATTACACCCATTTTTATAGATGAGGAAACCAAGTCACAGAAAAGACTAAATGATTTTCCCAAAAACACAGCTAAGAAGTAATGAAGCTGGGATTTGAATCCAAGCTGATTTCAGACGCTAGGATCTTAACTATCACTCTACCCAGCTTTAATAAACTGGACTGTAGACGGTATTACAAAGAGAAGAATAGCAGTGGTGATTTTATGATAATAAATGGAACCTGAGGAAAAGAAGTAGACAAGATAAAAGGCTCTATTTTGAGATCCTAATCAATAAAGATGATTTTCTCATTAGCTTTCATAGCTGTAAGAGGGTATGTTGTAGGACTTCACAGAGGATGTGTGTTTATTTATTTTTAGAATCCCCCCAATATAAACATATTAACATTTTCTCTATTTAAATACTACCTTTGCTACTTATTTCCTACCCACCTACATTGAAAGGGAAACCTCATATAGTCTGATAATTATTAGTAACCAATAAAGTAATTAATTAAGTGTCTTTTTGTAAGAATACCTGAGGGCTGCAATGGCAGTCATATTAAAGCAACTGTAAAAACAATGAAGTCCAATAAAAATATTAGGTTCATGTCTTAAGAGGTATGCAAGGAGTCCTGAAGAGAAAGAAAAAAAAAAAACTGAAGCATGATTGTAAAATAGGAGAACCAAGGTACAAATGTCACAGACAAGTCCTTTGGAAATACTTACAAGGAAGAAAAGAGAGAGTATGGAATAGAGAAGTAGGAGCTACAACCAGAAGACTTTCAAAGACTGAGATGTTGACCAGATCACGCAACTTCAGGGGATTGCAATGCCCACAGACAGGCTATTTTCGAACTCTCTATGCTTCTTACACCACAGTACTTTAGAAAAATTATTTTTCTTCTTATTGCAGTAGCAAAAGACTCAAACATCATGTAATAGAACCCTAGGTCAGTATTACAGATAAAACCCAAACCTATTGTGAGACTCCCATTTCTCATTCTAGCTTTCTCTTATTATAATGATTTCAATTTCAAGTTGCAGCTGTAGTCATTCATTTTCCTTTAGAATAAGTATAAAGCTGAAATAGCTTCCAAAATATAAACTAAAAGGTTTGGATCTTGATTTAAGTAAATCAACTATAGAAATATATTTTTAAGACAATTTGAATATTAAGAATTTTGATAATTTTTTACGTGCAATTGTATTGTTGTTACTTTTTTTTTTTGAGACAGAGTCTTACTCTGTGACCCAGGCTGCAGTGCAGTGGCGCAATCTAGGCTCACTGCAACCTCCGCCTCTCGGGTTCAAGCGATTCTTGTGCCTCGGCCTCCCAGGTAGCTGGGATTGCAGGTGCCTGCCACCAGACCAGCTAATATTTGTATTTTTAGTAGAGGCAGGGTTTTGCCATGTTGGCCAGGCTGGTCTTGAACTCCTGACCTCAAGTGATCCACCTACCTTGGCCTCCCAAAGTGCCGGCATTACAGGCGTGATGTTACTTTTTAAAAAAGGAAGTCTTTATTATAAATTCTGAAATATTTACAAATAAAATATTGTGATATCTTAGATTTGATTCAACATATTCCAACATTTTGGCGAAGGGAAATGAAAAATGTTGATAATTACCAAAACTGGATAATAAGTACATAGGTGCTCATTATCCTATTTTTTCTACTTTTGTGTGAAGTTTGAAAACTTCTATAATAAAAAGTAAAAAGAAAAAAAATCCACTAAAAAAATGCTACAAGGAGGCCACTCTAAGAGAAGTCTAATTCAAAAAATGTTTTCAATAGAGAATAGATGTCTCTCTAAAAGAAGTTTTAAGCCATACAACTGCAAACTTCCTTAAAACAACATCATCATAATATTCATGAGCAACACAGCATTTCAATTGTCTTATTTTTTTTTTTATTTTTTAATGAGCCAGAGTCTTGATCTGTTGCCCAGGCTGGAGTGCAATGGTGCAATCTTGGCTCATTGCAACCTCCGCCTCCCGGGTTCAAGCGATTCTCCTGCCTTAGCCTCGGGAGTAGCTGGGACTACAGGTGTGCACCACTGCGCCTGGCTAATTCTTGTATTTTTAGTAGAGATGGGGTTTCACCATATTGGCCAGGCTGGTCTCAAACTCCTGACCTTGTGATCCTCCCACCTCAGCCTCCCAAAGTGTTGGGAATTACAGATGTGAGCCACTGCGCCCAGCCAATTGTCTTTTATATGTATATACTATACATGCTTATGTTATGTGGGAAAATTGTATGATTTGTTCTAGAATTAAAAAGAGCTATATTCCTAAAAGCATAAGAAGTAAAAACACTTTATAGCTTTTTAAAATTATTATCGATTTAGGCTGGGTGCGGTGGCTCACGCCTGTAATCCCAGCACTTTGGGAGGCCGAGGCGGGCAGATCACGAGGTAAGGAGATCGAGACCATCCTGGCTAACACGGTGAAACCCCATCTCTACTGAAAATACACACACACACACAAATTATTATTGATTTGAAGTTAGGAGAACTTTTCCTTGAAAAGTGGAGAATAATAATAATATTAATAAGTTTATGTTATAAACTTACTATGTGCCAGGCACTGATCATACTTTATGAACTCAGGCTACTCTTCAAAATTACCCATTGCCATAGGTATTGCTGTTCTTCCCAATAAGAAAACAACAGTACTGAGAAGTTACATAATTTGCCCAACATTGTACTGTTGGTTAACAGCAAAGCTGGGACTCAAACACAGGGCATCTGGCTCCCATGACTGATCACTTGTCACTGAGCTGTGTCACTATCCATGGGAAGAGCATCTTTTGTAGAGCTGTTCTTTGTTTAGACTTTGGGGACCCAATGTCTTTTATTCTTAGACAAATAAAGCAACTTTTACTTCCTTTGACATCAGCATATTCCTTTTATTTCGTCATGCACTTCAAATCTATTACTCCCAACATAGTCATACTAGCCCTATAATGTTCAGACATATTTATTACAGATGTTTATTTATGGCATGATTTCAAAGAACAGAAAACACTAGAGTAAGCTCTTCTGCTTGATTTAAACCAGGATAATTTTGAGAAACAGCTCTGACACTGTAGTAGTTGACAATGACATCTCTTTTATGTGAGTGTCAGTTTCTGGGCAATAACCTTACATAAATTGCCCTAGTCACCTGATTTTCTCAAAAGGTCTTTTACAAATTCTTTGCAGCCTAGCCAGTTGATATCTCTTCCATACTGCCATATTGCCAAGGTTAATAAAGGAGTCTCTCTCTCTCATTTATGACACATTGCTTTATATGAAAGAAATAGTTTTTATTTTTTAATTATTTTTATTATTTTTATTTTTGAGACGGTGTTTTGCTCTTGTTGCCTAGGCTGGAGTGCAATGGCGCGATCTCGGCTCACCGCAACCTCCGCCTCCCGGGTTCAAGTGATTCTCCTGCCTCAGCCTCCTGAGTAGCTGGGATTACAGGCATGTGCCACCACGCCTGGTTAATTTTGCATTTTTAGTAGAGATGGGGTTTCTCCATGTTGGTCAGGCTGGTCTCAAACTCTTGACCTCAGGTGATCAGCCCGCCTCAGCCTCCCAAAGTGCTAGGATTACAGGCATGAGCCACTGCACCCAGCCTAAGAAATAGTTTTTAAAGGTCCATTTACCTATGGCCACATCATAATAGGCTTTGAATATGTGACTTTAATTTGGGGGGACTGTTAATAGCTATTTCTAAAAAGAAATTAGGGTGAGTCTACATGGGGCTTCAAATTGACTTAACTGAATTGGTCATTGAACTTATGAACAGAATGCCTTGAACAGAAAAAACAGAGTTTTTTCACTAAATTTTTGAAAAATGATTTATTAGAATTAACTGACCAAACTGATTTATTTTTTTTAACCATGGAAACACCCATCCCTGAATGAAACACTTTCCAATTTTAGAGGAAATTGTATTTTAAGACAGAGGGAATATTGTCATATAATTTAGGGGTTATATTTATTACTCTAGGGCAGCTGTTACTGACAAGATGCCTTAACAACTCTATATAATTTGAAGTTATCGTCCATATACATGTAATAAATGCTGTATGTTTTCATCCCTCCGTTACCTGATATTACCTATATCTGCCTTCTATGCAACAGAAAGAGAGTTTTCTGTATTCAGATCTGCCAGAATTTCTCTAGAACCCTAGAAAATGGAGTCTAACCAATATTTATTTAAAAATAAAGGAGAAAGGAACAAAGAAATGCAGAAACAAGAGAGAGAGAGAAAGCCAACAAAAAGTAACAGAAATAAAGAGTAGAGTATTTTATTTTTTTCTATAATAGTGATTCTCAACCTGGCTGTATATTAGAACCTCCTGGAGAGTATTTGAAAAATACTGATATCTGGTCCTCAAGCCCAGAGATCAGCTGGGTGTGGTTACTTTGCTATTCATGAGGAACATTTAAACAGTAATGGAGAGCCAGCTAGACTTGTAGTACTGGAGACATTCTCTACTCTGTGCTTCCTGATCGTCTCATTATAAATAAAGTACAACTCAAGTAACTTCTGATTTTGAGTATGATGGTGGAGTGGAAATGGGAATGGAGCATAAAGACCTAGCTTGTTCATTCATTATTCATTCAACTGATGAACAAATATTTATGTGGTGCCTATTCTTTGGCAGATACAGTATTGAGTTCTGGGGATGCAGTGGCAAACATAACGATTCAAGAAGCATGACAGGGCCCTGTCTGAAATCTTGTGTGTGTGTGTGTGTGTGTGTGTGTGTGTTTAATTTTTTTGTAGAGACAGGATCTCACTTTTGTCCAGGCTGGTCTTGAACTCCTGGCTTCAAGTGATCTTCCTGCCTTGGACTCCCAAAGTGCTGGAATTACAGGCAGAAGCCACCACGACCAGCCTAGGGCCTCAAGTTTTAACCTGTGTTAATGCCAAGATCAATCAGGTTGGTAGGAAGCAAGTAAGTGGAGAAGATGAAATTACCTTAAGGAACAAGTCAGTTTACTAGCTAATTTTGTTCATGGAATAAAAACATTTTGGCACTTAAATGGACTCAAGAGATTATTGACTTCTGTTTTACAAATGAGTAATTTTAAACTCAGGGTGTTAAGTAACTAGCCTCTGATCATACAGTTAATTTAGGACAGAGGTGTAGAACCTAGATGGCTATTTTATAATACTGTCTACAATTCAAGTAAAAACCCTCTCAGCGGATTTTTCTTTTCATTCTAAGTTTCTAAAAGAAAATAGTCCCCCAGAAAGAGCCTTTGTAAAAGAAAAGGACCAACTTCTTCCCCTGTTGAGCTAATCCTAGTGTGAAATTAACTAGCAGCACCGCTAGTCAATTCCACAAGTCAATTCCACACTGCTGCCCTGTAGGGAGAGAAACTAGAAAAAAGGAGAGTAGGTCTTGGTCCATTTCCTCTCTAACTACAGTTGTTCTAAGGTCAAACACTTAGAACATTAAAGGAAATGGCAAGAAAGGACTATTGTGAATATGAGGAGTGAGGATCTGAGACGGGAAGACTTAAAAATTAAACCAAAGAGAACAACTGCAATAAAGAATTACAGTTCTAACTTCCCACACCATCTTTGAGGGCTAATCTACAATATGGAAAGTGCATTCAGCTATCTTCCTAGTGATAAGGGAAATGCATATCTACACCATAATGAGATTCTGTTTTATACCCATTTGTGTAGAAATTTTAAGAAATCTGACAGTATCAAGTGATGAGAGGATCTCTCAAAAATGGCTGGTGGAAGTGTAAATTGGTATAGCCACTTTGGAAAGCTGTTTGGCTCATTCATCTACTCTACAACCAAGCAATTCCAATGCTAGATATAAATCCTTGCCATGTGCACCTGGAGGCATTTGTAAACCTGTTCATGGCAGCATTGTTGTAATAGAAAACACCCCAGAGCAAACCCAATGTCCACTGACAGAAGAGTGGATATGGATACTATACAACAGTCAAAACAAATGAACTGCCACTATGTATGTATGATTTGGGTGAATCTTGGCAAAATAATGTTGAATAAATTAAAAAGGCCACAGAAAATTACATCTGGCATGAAACTTCATTTTTAACTTAAAACTAACAAACTACTGTTAAATGACATATTTTTAAGAATACATATATTATTAAATTATATTTTTGAAAAGTGATGGAATGACAAATACAAGATTTGGGATAAAGATTTATTTGGTAAGTAAGGGGAAAGGGATGGAGAAAGGTCACATAGATAGAAGTAAGCTATGATCAATATTCTAGTTCTTGTGTTAGTGGCAGGTTCACTTTATGTATTAAATTATAAAAAGATTAATAGATAATTGTATCAGTAATTTACTGCAGCATAATAAGTTACCTAATAATTTAGTAACTTAAATATACTTCTTTTAACATACTTCTTTCATCTATTTTTCCCTTCCTGAAGTGTCTTAAAGCACATTCCTGGCATTGTGTTATTTTATCCCTATATACATTAGTATCCATCACTTAAAAATATGAACATTTTCTTATAGACTCACATGTACAATTAATAAGTCTTTTGCAATACCTAGTGTATGAAAACTATATTCAAATTTCTTTGAGTGTCTCAAAACTTACATTTAACAGTTAGTTAGAATGAGAATCCAAACAAGGTCTACACATTACACTTGGTTTGCTCTGCCTCTTAAAATCTTTCAACCTAGGGGAGTCCCTTTACTCCCTTCTTCCTCCCTTGTCCTGTTGAAGAGACCCAGGCAGTTGGCTTGCAGACTATCCCATAGGCTGGATTTGTCCATTGGCTTCCTTGTTATGCCATTTTACTTATTTCTACCTCTCCTATGTTTCTAGAAGATTGGAAGTTAGTCCTCAAGACTTGATGAGATTTAGATTCAACTGTTTTGGCTAAAATATTTCTTAGGTGGTGGTATGTATTTCATAAAGCACCATATCAGGAGGCACATATGGGTGGACTCCCCACTCATAGTGACACTGAGATTGATTAATAGTTACAGGTGGTGTTAGCCTGAGACCTTCATTGCAGGGTTCCCTATCAGCCTTCCATTTTGATAATTGTTGCCTAAATCAACTAATTCATGAGGAATTGTAAAATGGTGATTTCCTAATTCTATTACTTCTCTTTTATTTGACGTAATTATTTTTATAAAGTAGAACTTTCCTTCATCAATCTGGGACATCTGATTACCCCATTAGAAGTGGTTTGTTCCCTGTTTCTCATCCTCTCAGCCCACCTTTTACTAAAGCCATTGATGCAGCAACCTGCTTCCTGCAGGTGTAACCTGAGAGCATCTCTCCTCATCTGCATTGCATACATCTCAATTTCTGTCCCTGAGTTCCTCTGACACTATAAAGAAGGGACATTTGCCTAGCACTCACACATGACAGCTTAGAAGTATGAGGGGGCTCAGGCCCCAAGGAGGAAACTTGGACCAATGGAAGAAGGGAGCTAATAAGTAACTGCTCTCTTCTTGCATCAAGCTGACAATTATGAAGTATATTCTACATGGCTCAAGGCCTCATTGCCCACAGTGATGACAAACTAGAGAACACCCTTGTACTGACTCTCTCTGTTTCACTCTCCCTAGTCATCCACTTCTGCTTCCTGAGATCACTGTCCAAAATAAACTACCTAAAAAGTCAGCCCTTGTCTTAGGTTCAACTTTCAAGGGGGTAAGCCAGGCTAAGACATCACTAAATATAATTCACACAGGAAAGACAGGATAAATGCTCAATTCTTTTATTACATTGCAAATATTCAGAGTATTGTCCCAGTTACAGCTAATAATAAACTCATCGATTTATATGTAATCAATGAATTCCAATCAGTTGTAGTTCTTACTTTTTTGGGTAAGATTGTCCTCTTTTCAGCCAGTGGGAGCTCCTTTATGCTGATCCCTTTGTGCCTCTGACCTGTCCCTTTGGACTTTAATAGCTTCCTTGATTTCTGGCACAAGATGTTCAAGCTTCATCATACACATTTCTTGCCCCAGACAAAAATCTGCCATATCTCCAAAGAGCCTCATTTCTTTTCAACGGAAATGATGTTTTTTAAAGTAGAATGTGGCCAGGCGTGGTGGCTCACGCCTGTAATCCCAGCACTTTGGGAGGCTGAGGCAGGCAGATCACTTGAGGTCAGGAGTTCGAGACCAGTCTGGCCAACATGGCAAAATCCTATCTCTACTAAAAATATAAAAAAAATTGACAAATGGGATCTAATTAAACTAAAGAGCTTCTGCACAGCAGAAGAAACTACCATCAGAGTGAACAGGCAACCTACAAAATGGGAGAAAATTTTCACAACCTACTCATCTGACAAAGGGCTAATATCCAGAATCTACAATGAACTCAAACAAATTTACAAGAAAAAAACAAACAACCCCATCAAAAAGTGGGTGAAGGAGATGAACAGACACTTCTCAAAAGAAGACATTTATGCAGCCAAAAAAACACATGAAAAAATGCTCATCATCACTGGCCATCAGAGAAATGCAAATCAAAACCACAATGAGATACCATCTCACACCAGTTAGAATGGCGATCATTAAAAAGTCAGGAAACAACAGGTGCTGGAGAGGATGTGGAGAAATAGGAACACTTTTACACTGTTGGTGGGACTGTAAACTAGTTCAACCATTGTAGAAGTCAGTGTGGCGATTCCTCAGGGATCTAGAACTAGAAATACCATTTGACCCAGCCATCCCATTACTGGGTATATACCCAAAGGATTATAAATCATGCTGCTATAAAGACACATGCACACGTATGTTTATTGTGGCACTATTCACAATAGCAAAGACTTGGAACCAACCCAAATGTCCAACAACGATAGACTGGATTAAGAAAATGTGGCACATATACACCATGGAATACTATGCAGCCATAAAAAAGGATGAGTTCATGTCCTTTGTAGGGACATGGATGAAGCTGGAAACCATCATTCTCAGCTATCGCAAGGACAAAAAACCAAACACCGCATGTTCTCACTCATAGGTGGGAACTGAAAAATGAGAACACATGGACACAAGAAGGGGAACATCACACTCCGGGGCCTGTTGTGGGGTGGGGGGAGCGGGGAGGGATAGCATTAGGAGATATACCTAATGCTAAATGACGAGTTAGTGGGTACAGCACACCAACATGGCACATGTATACATATGTAACAAACCTGTACATTGTGCACATGTACCCTAAAACTTAAAGTATAGTAATAATAAAATTAAAAAAAATTAAAAAAAAAACACAGCTATGAATTGCGAGTGGCAGAAGAACATACAGAGAGGACCAGTCAGAAAGAAGGTCTGCATTTGAAATTCCACCCAGCACCTGGTCATTCTGTGCTTCTGGAGGCAACTGATGGAGCCTTCTCAGGGTATGTGGTGAATGCATAATTATAAAATACATAAGATAACCAAGAAAACAATTAAACTGGAAGTGTTTTCAAAATATAAAACATTCTAAATTTGTAAAATATATATATATTATATATATTTTATATATATATATATAAAATATATATATATAAATTAGCTGGGTGTGGTGGCACACACCTGTAGTCCCAGCTGCTCAGGAGGCTAAGGCATGCTAATCATTTGAACTCAGGAGGCTGAGGTTGTGGTGAGCTGAAATTGCGCCACTGCACTCCAGCCTGGGTGACAGAGAGAGACTGTGTCTCAAAAAAAAAAAAAAAAAAAGAATGTGAATGCTAAAGATGCTTATTACTACAAAATTGTCATTACTTCTAGGCCTTTCCAAGGGACAAAGGAAGTAAAATGCTTTTTTTCCCCTAATAATTCTTACTGGGATATAAGAAAAACATTTTTTAAAAAGAAAAGAATCATAAGTTCATATTCTTTCTAATTCAACTTTAATATTACATGGATTCTACTTACTCTGAAAATCACTGTTCCTAAAAACTCTAGTAATTTTTACCTATATATACATGAATAGTTTGAAAGTACTATAATAGTATCTGTATTTCAACCACCAATAAGACTATTGACTAAAGCTTAAGATATCTTTGTAGTTCTATTTATCCTGAGCATATATTCTGATTGTACAGTGAAAACAATATTTTCTAAAGTAATTAAAGTGTTTACTTGGTATGGTTATGCCACCAACTTAATATACAGTTAGATTATTTGTTTTCAAATTTTAGGAATTGCATTTTTCTTTCGGATTTGAAATTATT
Source organism: Homo sapiens (assembly GCF_000001405.40). NCBI lineage: Eukaryota > Metazoa > Chordata > Mammalia > Primates > Hominidae > Homo > Homo sapiens. The sequence continues at coordinate 107,463,393 of NC_000006.12, read as the reverse complement.
TTGAAAATGTAAAACATATACATGATTCTAAAATCAAAACCATATAGCCAAGGCTTATTCAGAGTAGTCTAGCTTCCACGCCTGTCTCCTCCACCTGTTTCCTCCTATTCCAAATATATGCAAATACTCATTTGTAGTTTAGCTATCTTACAAAAAAAAAGCACATATACTGTTCTGCACTTTGGTTTTTTTTTTTTTTTACACTAATATATATTCGGAGATCATTTCACCTCAGTGTAAAGAAATGGCCCTCGTTCTTTTTCACAGTTGCATAGTTTCATTGTGTAGATCTACTCGAGTTTGTTCAACCAATCTCTTATTTGGGGTTATCTGGATTGTTTCCAATCTTTTGCTATTACAAATAATACTGCAATGAATAACCTTGTGCTTAAGTCATTATTTGGGATATTTTCCTAGAATTGGGTTTCTAGGGCAAAGGGCAATATATATGTAATTTTGCTGAGGATTATCAAATTCCCTTCCATAGCTGCCATGTACCATTTTGCATTCTCAATGGCACTATGTGGCATCTCCATAGCCTGCTAACCAAGTAGGTGGTCAAACTTTTGGATTTTTGCCTCCTTTTATCATCTTTGCCCAAGATACACCACGACGCTTTCATCTGCCTTTGGAAGAACTCTCTCAGGATAAACAATAGGTGATTGTATTGAGGGTGACATAAGGAGGGTGGCTGCAATATCTCTATCTATTTCCACTCACCTAATCATGGAAATGCCAGCGCCCACAGCACTATCCTTGTTAAGAGCTTGTATTTTCCAAGGCTGGCTCGGGTTTCCAGCCAAAGAAAAGGACATCAAATATGACCTTACTTCTTTCTAAGGTCAGTAGAATGCAGAGTGCCCAGTGAGTTCTACTGGTATAAGCTTCAGAATCCTGAAAAAGGTAGAGGAGGAACTGTGATCATTTTTTGTCAGCGTGCTGTCTCCAAAACAACTCCGATGCCAAGGGGAAGTCCCTGAGTGTGGCTGAAAGTTTCCATAGGTTGTGGAGTGACCACTCTCTAACCTGCAGGGCTACTCACACCCAGGACTTCTTTTTTGCTGCTTTGTAGGAGTAAATGTCATGGATGGACACTGTTTTTTTCTTTCAGCATCTCCCATTTCCCAGTGGGCAATTTTGCACTCCAGGGTGACAGACATTTGGTAATGTTTGGAGACATACCTCGTTGTCACAACTTGGAAAGGGGTGCTGCTTAACATCTAGTACGTAGAGGTCAGGAATGCTACTCAACACCGTACAATACTCAGGACTGCCCCCCTTCCCCCAACAAAGAATTATCTGGTCCAAAACGCCAAAAATGCCAAGGCTGAGAAATCCTGCTGTATTCTTTCTTTATGCACACATTCACAGACATCTTTAATATAACTATTATCAGTGGCAGAGGAAGGGCAGAATCACAGATACTCCCCCTCCCTGTTTCTCCAAAAGTCACTAGCAATTCAGAAATTTCTTTAATCATAAAGACTCTAAGGAATTATATATTTATCTGGGAGATTAAAGAACAAATACCATTTTAACCTTCTAAAAACTGATTATCATTAAGTATAATGCAACCTTTTAACTGTAAGTATAAAGGAAAATGCTGATTATTTAAAGTAAATGGGACCCAAAGTCCCATGAATAATCAAAAACTTGGTTAATAGAGTATGACCAGAGAATAATGCACTTGGCTTCTGTGGAGAAATTAAAGTACATGCTGTGAATTGCTATTGAGGAAATTGCGTGAAAAGTTACCCTTAAGGTACCATGAGGCTGAAGAAACAGCCTCAGGTGCACAATATATCACATTAGTCTCTATCTATCTTTGTATTTTCATGACTTCTTTCACCTTGGATAACCCAGAAGCTCTGGCCTTGGAACTTTTTGGAATGGTAAAGTATCTCACTCTCCATATTTATTTTCATCTCCTGGAATGGTAAAGTATCTCACTCTCCATATTTATTTTCATCTCCTAACAGACCTGAATTTTGTTGCCAAGAGTTTATCTCTTTCACAGGAATTATTTTCAAACTTCAGCTTACTTACTTTAAGGGCATAGACTGTGTTTGATACTTATAATCACAATTCATGTTAAATAAAATGTGCCCCTGAAAAGTTACACCTAAACTGAATTTTTGTAAATAAAAAATTTAAATCACAAGGAAAACTTGCCAAAGGGAGAGTATGAAGCTAAATCTTTTGTAGAGAAAATCATCTTGTTTTGCAAAGTGAACAACTACTCTTTAAGTCCCAATCTTTATTTGTAGCTCAAGAGGCTGGTACAGTATTATGCATGATGCTCATTTAAAAAATACTGACAGGCTGGGCATGGTAGCTGGTAGCTCACACCTGTAATCCCAGCACTTTGGGAAGCCGAAGTGGGCGGATCACTCGAGGTCAGGAGTTTGAGACCAGCCTGGTCAACATGGTGAAACCCAGTCTCTACTAAAAATACAAAAGTTAGCCGGGCGTGGTGGCAGGCGCCTGTAGTCCCAGCCACTTGGGAGGCTGAGGCACAAGAATTGCTTGAAACTGGGAGGCGGAGGTTGCAGTGAGCTGAAATCGCGCCGCTGTACTCCAGCTTGGGTGACAGAGCAAGACCCATCTCAAAAAATAAATAAAAAATAAAAATAAAATACCATGAATTTGGAAGGATTTTGAAAGTTTTAGAGAGTTTTATAAGCTATTTTTAAGAGTGTAAAAAATGGATAATATATCCTTTATTAAGAACGGTTAACACCTGTTTTAGGTGATAAGAAAGGAGGTAAGATCTTAGGCACATTTGAAAAAAAAATAGGTAGCATTACTTAAAAGATAATCATATTGACTGTTTCCTCTCAGCAATAAGGAGAAAAGAGTGGATGGGAGCCTATTATTTAGACGGTGTAATCTTTCGGTTAGAATACGGATTCTGAAACCAGATTGTCTGGGCTCACATCCCTGTCTAGTGTGGTCTTAGGGAACTTACGCGACTCGACTGCACCTTAGTTTCCTCATACAAAACACGGAGAATACTAATATTATCTACTTAATGAGGTTGTTCTGAGGATTAAATAAAGTAATACATGAACTAGTACGTGAAAAGCACTCCGGTCAGCGATAGTCTTCAATCCTGGAGTTGAGCTCCAGGCTAGGCATAAAGAGGAAGATAAGAGGCAGGGAGTAGGCAACGTTTCATTCTTCCTCTCCGCACCCGCGGGAAGGAGGCACCGCTGTTTCTCCCAAGGCTCAGCGAGGAGGCCGGTAATTCGAAGTTGGATCCGAGGACTTTCCTTGGGACCCCTTTCCGCCGCACCACGCTGCCTTATGTCTGGTTGGGCCCTGAGGACACGAGGGCTCAGCCCCACGCCCCGACTAGGCGTTCCACCACTGAGACGTGGCCCCAGCTCCAGGAGGCATGCAGCCCGAGAGGCCGCCTTCACGCCCGGCCACGGCCACTGCCACTGCCAGGGGCTGGTGGCGATAGCGACAAAAAGCTTCCGGGAGGAACTGGTGCCTCCGCCCGACGCCCTTCCTTGCGGGCAAGCCGGGGGCTGACCGTTGTTCGTGACACCAATACTTATGCATGCCACTCAGTGCTGGGCGCCGGGGACTCTAATGAATCCAGACTCGGCCCAGATACCGTGTGCAGAGGGACCACTCGCCGCCCACAACTGATCCCTGTCACTGACGACCTTTGCTGGCCCAGAGCGGCGGGGTGGGAGGAGCTGAACCTCCCAACCCGGGTTCACCTCCAAAGCACCGCCCCTGCGGGGGCGTTCTCGGGTACGCCGTAAAGTAGAGAGTATACTTAACAACCCGCCTCTGTCTTTACGGCAGGCCGCATTCCATGCCTCCAATATGGCGTCCTCCACATAGGCAGTGGCTGTGGTTTCTACCCCGGGTGGCCGGGGGCAGTGCTGAGCTGGGACTGTTGTTTGCCCAGCCTGGGCTGCAGAAAGCAGCAGTTAAAGTTCGTTTCTGGTCACTGCTCCAGGAAGCCACCTTACTCTGAGGGTCAAGAATTGCCGCTTCCTTTTAGTTACTGTAAGTTCCTCCTCTGCCCCTGGTTTGTTTCCCGCGGCACTTCTGGATACCCCCAGGTCCCAGACCCTTCCAGACTCAAACCATGAACTTTCGGCAGCTGCTGTTGCACTTGCCACGTTATCTTGGAGCCTCGGGTTCCCCGCGTCGCCTGTGGTGGTCCCCGTCCCTCGACACCATCTCCTCGGTGGGCTCTTGGCGTGGTCGGTCCTCCAAGTCCCCGGCCCACTGGAATCAGGTAGTGTCAGAGGCGGAGAAGATCGTGGGGTACCCCACGTCCTTCATGAGCCTTCGCTGCCTGCTGAGCGACGAGCTCAGCAACATCGCTATGCAGGTGCGGAAGCTGGTGGGCACTCAGCACCCTCTGCTTACCACAGCCAGGTGAGCTACCCCTCTCCCGCTGACACACTCGCACTCATTGGAATACTTTTTTTTCTGGCGGGCATACGCATTCTAGCTCTCTCAGACTGGCTCCTGATTTATCTCTTTTTAGTCCTTCCTTTTTACTCACTCCTCCTAGACATTCCGTGTTGTCTCTTCTCTAGTCCACTTAACGTTCTTGCTCAGCTGAGTGCATAAGTGGTTTTCTTTGAAACACTTGTATGCTTTCCTCGATTTTGCTTCTTAATTGTTGAGGATGAAGATGCCTCAGTGATTTGTGGAGAAATCGAGCGGAGATGTAGGTTTATTGAGTCACTTCCTAGAAATTTTTTTTTTTTTTAATGGGATAGATTAATTTTCTGTCCCGCACTGTTCAGGGGGTCACCTCCAGAAAGTAGGCAAGGAGAGAGAGAGAGGCTGAAGGTAGATAATTCTTTCCAACGAATGTCTTGGGGTTGAAGTAGGAATTTATCCCGTTAGTAGTCATTATCTTCTTGGGATGTTTATCACTTATGCTGTACTACTGCTGTGAAACCTGCCTTTAGGATTTATAAAAGTTTTTTTTTTTTTTTTTTTTGAGACGGAGTCTCGCTTTGTCGCCCAGGCGGGAGTAGCTGGGACTACAGGTGCCCGCCACCACGTCCGGCTAATTTTGTTTTTGTATTTTTAGTAGATACGGGGTTTCACCGTGTTAGCCAGGATCGTCTCAATCTCCTGACCTCGTGATCCACCCGCCTCGGCCTCCCAAAGTGCTGGGATTACAGGCGTGAGCCACCGTGCCCGGCCAAAAGTTTTTTTTTTTTCTTCCACTTAAACCCCACACCTGAATTGTAATTAGTTTAAACATACAGCGAAGTTACAAAAATAATATAGTTCAAAGAACACACTTGCATACTCTTTAATCAGATCCACCTGCTACGTAGATATGTCTATATATGTCAATATATACATTAAATACATATACACACAGATATATATACTATTCACGTGTATATATCTTTCTATATATTTTTTTCTGAATCATTTGATGGTAGATTGCATACATCACGATCCTTTTCCCCTAAATACTTCAGTATGTATTTCCTAAGCATAGCAGTAATCTCCTACGTAAGTACGCTACAGTTACCAACTTAGGTATATTTAATATTGATACAATACTTTTATTTAATCTACCATTTAATTTCAATTTTGTTAATTGGCCTAATAATGTTCTTTATAGCATTCTTTACCCTCCAGGACAGGATTCAGTCCAGGATCAAGTATTGCGTTTAGTTGTTATATCTCTTTCATCTTCTTCAATTAGGAACATTTTCATATCTCTTCTTGGCTTTTATGACTAGAGCACTGGTTCTCAACTGGGGCAATTTTCCCCCCCTGAGGACATTTGGCATGTATGGAGACATTTTTGGTTGTCACGAATGGAGGCACATTACTGGCATTTAGTGGATAGAGGCCAGGGATGCTACCCTTCAATTCCCAGGACAGACCCACAAGAAATAATTAGGTGCTGCAAAATGTCAGTAGTGCCAAGGTGGAGAAATCCAGGACTAAAAGGACCTTTTTCTATTGTTGTTTTTAAAAGTAAACTTCTATTTTGAAGTAGTTTTAGATTTACATGCAGTTGGAAGAAATAACACAAATCTAATATACACCTAACCCTGTTTCTCCCAATGGTAACATCTTTTGAAACGATGGTGTAATATCATAAGCAGGGTATTTATGTTGATACAGTTAAGATAAAGAACATATTCAGCACTATAAGGATTCCTCATGTTGCTTTTTTAGCCACACTCACTTCCCTTACCCACCCCTTGCTTTAATTTTTCGAGGCACCTGTCATTTTCTTACTACAAAAGTTATCAAATAGTAATAATAAAGTGATTTTATTCCTTGGCATCGTTCCCAGTTATCAGGAATGTCACCTTATGATTAGCTGGAATGTTAGTTTTCCAGAGATTCTAGATGATACACACTCAAAACACATACACATATGTTTAAAGCTTAATGAAACGAATAAGCCTACTATTACCCAACTTAAGAATTGTAACTTTACCAGTCCTGTTGAAGCTAAATGTGTACTCCTCAGTCCATCTCCCTGACTCCCACTAAACTGTTTTTAAACACTTTTCCTTTTCAAAATTACCAGGGGTCCTGGTGTGGTGTCTCATGTCTGTGATCCCAGCACTTTGGGAGGCAAAGTAGAAAGATTGCTTGAGCCCAGGAGTTCGAGACCAGCCTGGGCAACATAGCAAAACCCTATCTCTACAAAAAATAAAATAAATTAGTTGGGCGTGGGGATGCACATCTGTAGTCCCAGCTGCTTGGGAGGATTGCGATTGCTTGAGCTGGGAGGTCAAGGCTGTTGTGAGCCGTGATTGTGCCACTGCACACCTGTCTGGGCAAGAGACCCTGTCTCAAAATAAAATGAAATAAGTAAAATTACATTGTTATTTTTCTAAATAATAATGTTTCATTTTACTGGTTTCTTTGCAATGTACAAATATGATAGTTTATTGCATATGACCTTATGTGACTTCCTTTTTAAAATTCATGGTTTCTGAGATTCATCCATGTTGTGTGTTTAACTGTAGTTCATTAGGTTTTTACTGTGTGTGAAATTCTGTTGTGTGAATATACCATAGTCATCTTTTGTTTGTTTATTTATTTTCAGACAGAGTTTCACTCTTGTTGCCCAGGCTGGAGTGCAGTGGCACAGTCTCGGCTCACTGCAGCTTCCACCTCCCGGGTTCAAGTAATTCTCCTGCCTCAGCCCCCCAAGTACCTGGGATTATAGGCGCCCGCCACCATGCCTGGCTAATTTTTGTATTTTTAGTAGGGACAGGGTTTCACCATATTGGCCAGGCTAGTCTTGAACTCCTGACCTCGTGATCTGCCCACCTCAGCCTCCCAAAGTGCCGGGATTATAGGCGTGAGCCACCACGCCGGGCCTCACAGTCATCTTGTAATTAACATTTGGGTTGTTGCATTTGTTAATATTATGAAAAATGCTGTTATAAATATGTTTGCATATCTTTTGGTGTTCATGTCACGAGGATATAAAAACAAGAGCGTAATTGTTGGATGTGCACATGTTTATCTTTAGAATGCTTTCTAAAGTGAATGTACCAGTTTATACTCTCATAAACAACTTCTGAGTTCAGGTTACTCCTAGTTCTCATAACACTAGAACTAAGAGATTTCTTAAGTTTTTTTTTTTTTTTTTTTTTTTTTTTTTGAGACAGAGTCTCGCTCTATCGCCAGGCTGGAGTGCCCAGTGGCCTGATCTCGGCTCACTGCAACCTCTGACACCCTGGTTCAAGCAATTCTCCTGCCTCAGCCTCCCCAGTAACTGGGATTGCAGGCATGTGCCACCACGCCCAGCTAATTTTTGTATTTTTAGTAGAGAAGGGGTTTCACCATGTTGGCCACGATGGTCTCTAGCTCCTGCCCTCATGATCTGCCCACCTCCGCCTCCCAACGTATTGGAATTACAGGCATGAGCCACTGCGCCTGGCCCAGATTTCTTAGTTTTTGGTAATCCAGAAGGAGGTTTCTTTGTGTTTGATGGAAATGATAGTGTCAATGATAGGGGCTGTAGTATTGCATTATGAGTATTGTAGTCCATCATAAAGCACAGAAGTGAAAAGGGTGAAGCTAAAAAGAGCCTTATTAATGTGTATATTCTGAGAACCGTAGTTCGTCTACTTAGTTGCAATAGCATCAGATGAGGGTTTGGAGAAGATCTCTTCAGAGGCCACCAGAGGCATCCTAGATGAAAGTTTGTGAGACTAATGGTTCTGAAACTTTCCTAATTGTTGCCTAACCTGCCTTGTAGTACTATAGTACAGTGACAGAACTGGAAAGGCACAGAATAAGTAAGTTTTTGCAAAGTTGTCCTAGCATGTATGTGTTGCTGTATTTTGTAAGAAAAGAAAGAGCTAATCTGCATATAATTTTATTCTATTTACTACAATAATGTGTTGCAAATTATTTAAACAGCCTAAACTCATAGACAGCCAATGAAGAAACTTTTGGGGTGTGGATATGTATCTGTATATATTTGTATATACACTGTACACAGTTATTTCAGCAAAGGAGCAGGCATTTGATCCAGAGGTTAAGCAGGTAATGATTATTGTAAATTATAACTAAAATCAAGGATTAAGCAGCTGTATTTTTTTTGTTTTTTTATTTTTATTTTTTTGAGGCAGAGTCTTGCTCTGTTGCCCAGGCTGGAGCCATTTACTTTTCGAATAAAGCTACATGGTATGTTAGGGGTGAATCATGTCTAATAGCCCTAAAGTTTACGTGAATGGTGACTTTGTTAGCAAACAGCAGGAAAAAAAAAAAGGAAACCACCATAATTTGCTATTCACTGATCTCTTTACCTAAGACATCTTGTCAAGAAAAGGGAAAAACAGCCTAGATGTGACATATATTCTTTAACACTAAATGAGAAATGAGGTTAAAAATCTTGAGGTTTGGTGAGATAATGATTCTGTTACTAGGAATAGAGGAGCATTTAGCTCATTGTTACTCTTGTTCATCTAGATTTTCTAGGATCTCTCTGTTGTAAACTATAATTAGATAAATAATTAATTAAATGTTTATTGAAACTTATGAAGTGATATAAAGAAGTCTAGACCAGGTGTGGTGGTTCACACCTGCAATCCCAGAACTTTGGGAGGCCAAGGTAGGCAGATTGCTTGAGCTCAGGAGTTTGAGACCAACCTGGGCAACATGGTGAAACCCCATCTCTACAAAAAATACCAAAAATTATCCGGGTTGCTGGTGCATGCCTGCAGTCTTAGCTACATGGGAGGCTGAGCTGAGAGGATACCTTAAGCCCAGGAGGTCGAGGCTGCAGTAAGCTGTGGTCGTGCCACTGTGCTCCATCCTGGGCAATGGAGTGATACCTTGTCTCAAAAAAAAAAAAAAAAAAGAAGTCTGAAACATGGACCCTGTCCCTTGATGAGTTGACACAAAAGATATTTACAAATATCTAACAGAAGGAAACAAATGACTTGTGGTTAATGAGCTACCACATAGAGAGATGGCTTGGAATAGTAGAGAACCTTTCATGGAGAAATTGGGACTCCATTGAAGGATGGATGGATAAAAATTACATGAGTAATGTTTTAGGGTAGTAGTTATATAATATTTGTTTTTTTCCTTCATGATTCTTTCTTTTTTCCCCTTTCTTCTCCAGGCTACCATACCTCTACTAGGTATGGGGAAGACCTTAAAAGCAAGGATAAGCAGCATGAATAGAGCTAGAATAGTAAAAACTAGAACATTTTAGGATAACTAAAATGTTGGAAAAAGAAAGCATGGGTTGAGGAATCATTCCACCTACTGTTAAATCTTACTATATAGCTGCATTAATCAAAACACTGCGGTATTGGCAGAGGAACAGACAGATCAATGGAACAGAATAGAGAACCCAGAAATAGATTAACACAAATATGCCCAACTGATTTTTAACAAAAGTGCAAAAACAATTCAATGGAGGGAGGATAGTTTTTTTTTTTCTTTCTCTAAAAATAGGGCTGGAACAATTGAACATCATAGGCAAAAAAATGAACCTTGACCTAAACCTCACACAGTATTTTTTAAAAATCAATGTAAAATGGATTATTTGTGAAATCAATGTCCACTTAAAATGGATTTAAACATGAAATGTTAAACTATAAAACTTTCAGAAGAAAACATAGGATAATATCACGGCCGGGTGCAGTGGCTCATGCCTGAATTCCCAGCACTTTGGGAGGCTAAGGTGGGTGGATCACCTTAGGTCAGGAGTTTGAGATGAGAATCGCTCAAACCCAGGAGGTGGAGGTTGCAGTGAGCCGAGACTGCACCACTGCACTCCAGCTTGGGCGACAGAGCAAGACTCAGTCTCAAAAAAAAAAGAAAACATAGGATAACATCTTCAGGACCTAGGGCTAGGTAAGCAGTTCTTAGACATGACACCAAAAAATTCATAAAAGAAAACAATAATTGGACTCCATAAAAGTTCAAAACTGGCCAGGCGTGGTGGCTCACGCCTGTAATCCCAGCATTTTGGGAGGCCGAGGCGGGCAGATCACAAGGTCAGGAGTTCGATACCAGCCTGACCAACATGGTGAAACCCCATCTCTACTAGAAATACAAAAATTAGCTGGGCGTGGTGATGTGCACCTGTAATCCCAGCTACTCAGGAGGCTGAGGCAGGAGAATCGCTTGAACTTGGGAGGCGGAGGTTGCAGTGAGCCGAGATTGCGCCACAGCAAGCCAGCCTGGGAGACAGAGTGAGACTCTGTCTCAAGAAAAAAAAAAAAGTTTGAAACTTAGCTCTGTGAAAGACCCTGTAAAGAGGGTGAAAAGTTTAGCCACAGACTGGGAGAAAATATTTGCAAATCACATATTCAAAGAAGGGCTTGTATCCAGGTTATGTAAAGAAATCTCTGAACTCAAGAGGTTGGGTGCGGTGGCTCATGCCTGTAATCCCAGAACTTTGGGAGGCCGAGGCAGGTGGATCACTTGAGGCTAGGAGTTTGAGGCCAGCCTGGCTAACATGGTGAAACCCTGTCTCTACTAAAAATACAAAAATTAGCCGGTGTGGTGGTGGGTGCCTGTAGTTCAAGCTACACCAGAGGCTTAGGCAGGAGAATCACTTGAATCTGGGAGGCAGAGGTTGCAGTGAGATCGCGGCACTGCACTCCAGCCTGGGCAACAGAGTGACACTCTGTTGCAAAAAAAAAAAGAACTCTCTAAACTCAAGAAAGCAAACAATACAATTAGAAAATAGGGGAAAAAGCTTGTGCGGTGGTGCATGCCTGTAATCCCAGCTACTAGGGAAACAGAGGCAGGAGGCTTCCTTGAACCCAAGAGTTTGACTTCAAGGCTGCAGTGAGCTATGATTGTACCACTGCACTCTAGCCTTGGCAACAGAGCAAGACTTTGTCACTTAAAAAACAAAAAAGAAGAAGAAAGAAAAGAAAATGGGCTAAAAGAAAAACCTATAAAGGTAGCAAGTAAGCATATGAAAAGATGTTCAACATTATTAGCCTTTTGGGAAATGCAAATTAAAATCACAATGGGATGTTGAGGTGATCGGGCCCAACACCAGGCCCTGAGGGCTACAAAGTCTGGCGGGGTCAAAGGAATGAGAAAAGACAAGTTAAGAGTTCATAAGGTGTGTCCAGAGGGCCAGCGCTAGATTGGAGGCTGCAAAGGCCCCGAGCTCTGGGAACCCGCCCTATTTATTGGTGATCAAACAAAGAAGCAGGTGGTGAGGACATGAGGGTAAACAGGTGAGGGCATGAGGAGGTGAGAGTAGAAAGGTAGTGGTGCATTAAGTGTAGCTGTGACGGTTTAGCACTTCCTTTGACCCATATAGAATATGCTCTGCTGCTTGAGATAATGGAGGGCATGTTTACAAGAAAGAAGCAAGGAACCAACAAGTCTGTGCACATTCCAGAGGCTACGAGGGGTTTATGCCCTGAGCCCTGGATTCCATCAAAGCCACAAGGGGTTTTATGCCCTGGGCTTAGATTTGTGGTGCGGCAGTGTAGCCTTCCACCCTTTGGCACAGAGCTTGGTGTTCCAAAGGCCACGAGGGGTTTCAGACCCTGGATCCCGGACATCTTCCAAGACTCTTTTACATTATGACAGACAAGCCAGTCCTGCCTCAGCTCTTCTACCAACAATGGGATACTACTATGTACCAATTAGAATGGCTAAAATAAAAAATATAATATGTAATTCTAGTAACGATGCAGATAAACTAGATTTCTCATGCATTGCTGATGGGAATGTAAAATGGTTCGGCCCCTCTGGAAAACAGCATAACAATTTCTTATAAAATTAAACATACGACTGGGCACAGTGGCTCACGCCTGTAATCCCAGCACTTTGGGAGGCTGAGGCAGGCAGATCACTTGAGTCCAGGATTTCAAGACCAGCCTGGGCAATGTGGCAAAATGCTGTCTCTACAAAATATATAAAAAATTAGTTGGGTGTGGTGGTGCACACCTGTGGTCCCAGCTACTTGGGAGGTTGAGGTAAGAGGATCACTTGAGCGCGGAAGTTGGAGGCTGCAGTGAGCCATGATCGTGCCATTGCACTTCAGCGTGGGTGACAGAGTCAGTCCCTGTCTCAATCAATCAGTTGATTGATCAATCAGTTTAAACATACACTTACCATGTAGCCCAGCAATCAGACTCCTGAGCATTTATTCCAGAGAAATAAAAACTTATGTCCATACCAAAACCTATACACAAATGTTTGTGGCAGTCTTATTTGTAATAGGCTGCCATAACCTATAGAATTATAGGTTGAAAATCCTACATATATGTATTTCTCCTTTGCAGTTAAGTTTCTTGTATTAATGCCATTTTCATTCCACAGCTTGGATAGGGCTGTGTGTTCTTTCTAGAGGAAAGATCCTTTCTTTAGAATGATGTTCCATAATTTCACCTTGATGGTTTTTGGAGTGGAGAATGAAGGCCTTCTTAACTTAATCCTATATCCTTTATTTTGGGATGATTTTGTGTGTTATTTCTTCAGTATCATGGTTCCCACCATTTTTCTCTCTCATGTTGGAATTTTGTAGTTGGTCATTGTGAATTGATTCCTCAACATTCTTCCCCCTACATTCATAGTTTTCCTTTCTTTAATTTATCCTCTACATATATACTGTTTGTTATACTGTTTTAATTCTGTCTTTAATTATTTCCCAACTGGAAACAACCCACATATCCTAGTGAGTGGTTGAACAAACTGTGGTCCATACATAACAACGAAATGCTACCCAACAATAAAAAGAAATGAACCACTGATACAACAACTTGGGTGAATCTCAGATGAATTATTCTGAGTGAAAAAAGTCAATCTCATTCATCAAAAAATTAAAAATAGAATTACCATATGACCCAACAATTCTGCTTCTGGGTGTGTTTCCAAAAGAATTGAAAGCAGTGTCTCAAAGAGATATTTGTATACCCATGTTCATAGCAGCAGTATTCACAGTAGCCAAGAGGTAGAAGCAACCCAGTTGTCCATTGATGGTTGATAGGATTAACAAAATGTGGTATATATTACCATGGAATATTATTCAGCCTTAAAAAACAAGGAGGGACCAGGCACAGTGGCTCATGCCTGTAATCCCAACACTTTGGGAAGCTGAGGTGGGAGGATCACTTGAGGCCAGGAGTTTGAGACCAGCTTGGGCAACACAGTGAGACCCCATCTCTATAAAAAAATAAATTAACTAGACATGGTGGCTCCTAAAAATAAGTTGGCTAGACAGCTGCTCTAGAGGCCAAAGTGGGAGGATCGTTTGAGCCCACGTGTTTGAGGTTGCACACGTGTCATAATATGGATGAACCTGGAGGACATTATGCTGAGTGAAATATGGAGGACATTATGCTAAGTGAAATAAGCCAGTCACAAAAGGACAAATACTGTGTGATTCCACTTATATAAAGTGTCTAGAGTAGTCAAATTTAGAGAAATGGTGTGTAGAAACAGAAAGGTGGTCTCCAGGGACTGGAAGAAGGGGGAAATGGAGAGTTGTTTAATAGTTATAGGATTTCAGTTTTGCAAGATAAAAAGTTCTGGAGATTGGTTATACAACACTGTGAATACACTTAATGCTACTGAGCTGTACACTTAAAATGGTTAAGATGGTAAATTTTATGTAAATTTTACCCAATTTTTTAAAAAGTCTATCTCAAAAGTTTATATATTGTCTGATTCCATTTATATAACATTTATATCATTTTCAAAATGACAAAACTGTGGAGATGGAGAATAGTAAGTGTTTTCTGGAGTCAGGGACAATGTGAGGAATAGGGAGGAGTGTAAATACAAAGAGGAATATTGTGGTAGAACAGTTGGGAGTCTTGTGGTGGTGAGTGTGTGAATCTATACATGGGATAAAGTTGCTGATACAGTTTGGCTGTGTCCCCACCCAAATCTCCTCTTGAATTGTAATCCCCATAATCCCCACGTGGGAGGGACTCAGTGGGTGGTAATTGAATCATGGGGGTAGTTTTCTCCAGGCTGTTTTCATGATAGTGAGTAACTTCTCACAAGAGCTGATGGTTTTATAAGCATCTCACATTTCCCCTGCTGGCACTCATTCTCTCTCCTGGTGCCCTGTGAAGAGGCACCTTCTGCCAAGATGTGAAACTCTGGGTCAATTAAACCTCTTTTCTTTATAAGTTACCCAGTCTGGGGCATCTCCTTAGAGCAATGTGAGAACAGACTAATTGGTACCGTAGAGAGTGGGGTGCTGCTATAAAGATATCTGAAAATGTGGAAGCGACTTTGCAGCTGGGTAACAGGCAGAGGTTGGAACAGTTGGGAGGGCTCAGAAGAAGACATGGGAAAGATGTGGGAAAGTTTGGAACTTCCTAGAGACTTGTTGAATGGCTTTGACAAAATGCTGATAGTGATATGGACAATGAAATCCAGGCTGAGGTGGTCTTAGATGGAAATGAGAAACTTGTTGGGAACTGGAGTAAAGGTCACTCTTGCTATGCTTTAGCAAAGAGATTGGCAGCTTTTTGCCCTTGCCCTAGAGAACTGTGGAACTTTGAACTTGAGAGAGATGATTTAGGGTATCTAGTGGAAGAAATTTTTAAGCAGCAGAGCATTCAAGAGGTGACAGAACATAAAAGTTTAGAAAATTTGCAACCCTGACATTGTAATAGAAAAGAAAAACTCATTTTCTGAGGAGAAATTCAAGCTGGCTGCACAAATTTGCATAAGTAATGAGGAGCCAAATGCTAATTGCCAAGACAATGGGGAAAATGTCTCCAGGATGTGTCAGAGACCTTCTTGGCAGCCCCTCCCATCATAGACCTAGAGGCCTATGAGAGAAAAATGGTTTCCTGGGCCAGGTCCAGCCCCCCCTGCTGTATGCAGCTTCTGGACTTGGTGCCCTGCATCTCAGCAGCTTCAGCAATGGCTAAAAGGGGCCAAGGTACAGCTCAGGCTGTTGCTTCAGAGGGTGCAAGCCCCAAGCCTTGGCAGCTTCCATGTGGTATTGAGCTTGAGATGTGTAGAAGACAATAATTGAGGTTTGGAAATCTCTGCCTAGATTTCAGAGGAAGTATGGAAATTCCTGGATGTCCAGGCAGAAGTCTGCTGCAGAGGTGGAGCCCTCATGGAGAACCTCTGCTAGGGCAGTGCGGAAGGGAAGTGTAGGGTTGGAGCCCCCACACAGAGTTCCCACTGGGGTACTGCCTAGTGGAACTGTGAGAAGAGAGCAAACATCCTTCAGACCCCAGAATGGTAGATCCACGTACAGCTTGCACCATGTGTCTGGAAAAGCCTCAGACACTCAATGCCAGCTGTGAAAGCAGCCAGGAGAGGGGCTGTTCCCTGCAAAGCCACAGGGGCAGAGTTTCCCAAGACTGTGGGAGCCCACCTCTTGTAATAGCGTGACATGGATGTGAGACATGGAATCAAAGGAGATCATTTTGGAACTTTTAAGGTTTAATGACTGCCCTGTTGGATTCCGGACTTGATGTGGGGCCTGTATCCCCTTTGTTTTGGCCAGTTTCTCCCATTTGGAACAGATGTATTTACCCAGTGCCTGTAGCCCCAGAGAGATGTGTCTAGGTAGTAATGCACTTGCTTTTGATTTTTTTTTGTTTTGCTTTTTGACGGATTCTCACTCTGTCGCCCAGGCTGGAGTGCAGTGGTGCCATCTCGGCTCACTGCAAGCTCTGCCTCCTGGGTTCACGCCATTCTCCTGCCTCAGCCTCCTGAGTAGCTGGGACTACAGGCGCCCACCACCATGCCTGGCTAATTTTTTTTTGTATTTTTAATAGAGATGGGGTTTCACCGTGTTAGCCAGGATGGTCTCGATCTCCTGACCTCGTGATCCGCCTGTCTCAGCCTCCCAAAGTGCTGGGATTACAGGCGTGAGCCACTGCGCCCGGCCGCTTTTGATTTTATAGGCTCATAGGTAGAAGGGACTTGCCTTGTGTCACATGAAACTTTGGACTTGGACTTTTGGGTTAATGCTGGAATGAGTTAAGACTTTGGGGGACTTTTGGAAGGGCATCATGACTGCATTTTGAAATGTGAGCACACGAGATTTGGGAGGGGCCAGGGTCAGAATGTCCTCACCTAAATCTCATCTTGAACTGTAATCCCCATAATTCCCATGTGTCATGGGAGGGAACTGGTGGGAGATAATTTAATCATTGGGGCTGTTCTCATGATAGTGAGTGAGTTCTCATGAGATCTGATGGTTTTATAAACATCTGGCATTTCCCCTACTGGCACTCATTCTCTCTTCTGCTGGCCTGTGAAGAGGTGCTTTTGGCCATGATTGTAAGTTTCCTGAGGCCTCCCCAGCCATGTAGAACTGTGAGTCAATTAAGCCTCTTTTCTTTATGAATTACCCAGTCTTGGGTATTTCCTTATAGCAATGTGAGTGCAGACTAATACAGTTGCAAAGAACTCTATACACCTACACACAAAATAAATGCAGGTTAAAAGATGCTGAAAATGGAATAAGGTCTGTAGTTAACAATCTATCAATATCAATTTTTTGGTTTTAGTGTTCTATAGCTATTACATGATTTCACCATTGGGTGAAGGGTACCTGGGACTCTGTAGTGTTTCTGCAACTTTGTGTTTGTCTGTAATTATTTCTTTTTTTTCTTTTTTTTTTAGATGGAGTCTTGCTTCGTTGCCAGGCTGGAGTGCAGTGGTGCAATCTTGACTCACTGCAACCTCCACCTCCTGGGTTCAAGCAATTCTCCTGCCTCAGCCTCCCGAGTAGCTGGGACTACAGGTGTGCACCACCACGCCCAGCTAACTTTTGTATTTTTAGTAGAGATGGGGTTTCACCATGTTGGCCCAGATGGTCTCGATCTCTTGACCTTGTGATCTGCCCGCCTCGGCCTCTCAAAGTGCTGGGATTACAGGCATGAGCCACCGCGCCTGGCCAATTATTTCTTATTTTGAAAAGCCTTAAAAAAAGCACTTCAAATCCAGAGAGAAAGAGAGAGAGCATGCACGAGAGAGAGAGAAACAGACAGACAGAGACAGAGAGAGAAAGAGAAAGAAGACCTGGGAGACAGATGTGTGTGTTGTAGTTTCATCTCTGTCAGTACTTAACCGTGTGATCCCCAGGCAAGTCATTTTATCTCTCTGGGCTTTAGTTTCCTAAGCAATGAAGTAAGGAGTTTGACTAGATTATTTCCAATAATGTTGCCAATTCCGGACTAGCATGGAAATTAATATTGTATCTGAATGTGGCAGGTAAGGAAGCCGTCGTCAGTTCTCAAGCAGAGAATAAACCAGGTTGAATACAATGTAATAGTTGAAGTCTGTAATCCTTTTTCCACAATTTAAAATCTGAAAAGCTCAGAAAACAGAATTTTTTTAGACTTACACATCTGACCTGGATTGATGTGAGGCTATTTATAGTCTTTATTTATCCCATTTAATATGAATATTTATGCATTTGATGCAGAAATATTAAGGCTTTTGATTACAGGGTGTTGCCCAGTTCCTGCTGCAGTGTTGGGTAAAATGCACCTTCCTAAAATCAGAAAAATTTTGGATTCTGAAAGACATTTGGTTTGGTTTCAGGGACTTTGGATGAGGGATAGTGGACTTGTCCAAGCTGGATGGCCCAGGTATGTGACATAGATTGGTAGGATGGAATAAACTGAAGGTAACAACATGCATCAACTGTCCCCTTCCTCTCAATACAACCTCTACCCAATGGTTTTATTACTGTTTCCCTAACTAAATGTAATTATCCACTTGTGCAATATATATATATATAAAATATGTAATTTATAAAAAATTATATATAAATTTTCGTTACTTAAATTTCTGTATAAATCACTAAAATTTAAGTACTTTTAGTTGTTTCACAGGCAGTGACCAATACTTTTCCAATACAGAATTGGTTAGACTTTTGTTGTTTCTAAAACATAGATGATTCTTTGAGTAGTAAGGCTTTATTTATTTTCATTGATTACTCTTGACAGATTTGGCTTTTAGGATTAAATTTTTGTTTAAATACTCCTTTTGCTTTTGCCTTCAAAAAACTATGCTCTTGATTTCAGATTTAAATGGATAGGATTAATTTAGTATGCAGCTATTGGAGACGAATTATGACATTTAGTCTCTTCTCTTAGGGTGTGTTGATTCCTTTGTAGGGACTTTATGTTCCTGAGTTCACTACTGTTATTTGGCTACCTAAAAAACCTCATTAGTCCTTTCTGCATGGTAAAATTCTTCAGAGCTCTTTGAATTTATTATTAGAAATTTAATTTTAGTCTCTTCCATGTTTATGAAAGACCCTTTCTAGATTCAGTTCTGTAATTACTGACTGAAAACCTACATTACTTATGAAGAACTTTTTCATGGATGACTAGGAGAAAATTATAAATTTTAATTCATTCCACAAATATTTGAGGTGCTCTGGGCATGGATGTACAAACAAGAATAAGACCCAGTTGCTGCCGTCCAGGAATTTAGGAGAGACAGTATAGTAATCATGAGCTCTGGAATCAGACTGTTTGGGTTCACATCCTGCCTCTACCACTGTCAAGCTATGAGCTCTTAGGCAATTTATCTAACTTCTCTGTGCCTTAGTTTCTTCATCTGTAAATCAAGGATAGTAATAGAACCTGGTGGCTAGGTGCAGTGGCTCAAACCTGTAATCCCAGCACTTTGGGAGGCTAAGGTGAAAGGATTGCTGAAGCTCAGGAGTTCAAGACCTGCCTGGGCAACACAGTGGGATCCCATCTATATAAAAAAAAAATTAAAAAGTAGCTGGGTGTGGTGGTGTGTGCCTGTGGTCCCAGCTACTTGGAAGGCTGAAGAGAGAGGATCACTTGAGCCTGGGAGTTGAGACTGCAGTGAGCCGTGATTGTTCCACTGCACTCCAGCCTGGGCGACAGAGTGAGATCTTATCTCAAAAATAAATAAATAATAGTAGCTATGTCATAGAGTTTTATGAAGATTGAATGATTTAATATGGGTAAAGTGCTTAGAACAGTACCTGGCGCATAGCAAGTACCCAAATATTAGCGATTATCATTATTATTAGAAATTCATTTTCGTGGGGAGACATACACAGTACCTTGAGATAAATGCCGTAGTGAACAATATGCTGTAGAAACATAGAGGGAGAAAAAGATCTCTCTCCCTAGAGAAAATGGAAGACTACCAGAGATGAAGTAGGATATGAGTCAGGTCATGTGGGATGAAAAAGAGATGACTGAGGCAGGAAAAGAATTTAAGACATAATAAATTGCTCAGCAAAGTCTAGGAAAAATTGTAGTGTGGGGTAGACTGCACCACACGGTGGGATGGGATGAGGCAAAAGAAATAGGCTAGAAATATCTGCTTCTGCCATGATAGAGTATCTGATGCTAAACTTGCCCTTCCACTGTAAACAAACAGAAAACTGGACAAGATACATGAACCAACTATACATTTTTTTTATTGCTGAAAGATATTCCATTGAATGGATATAGAGCAATTTGTTTATTCAGCGTAAATGAATATATAGGTTGCTTCTGTTTTTGGCTACTGTGAATAAAGCTTCTATGAATGAAATAAAATGTATTTAAAAAGCAAAGGAAAGGTTGTGGCCAGATTTTGAGTTTTGTATGTCATGTTAAGATGATCTAATTTTATCCTGAGGTCAGTGGAGATCATAAAGGTTAAGTACTAGACAGACCTAAGCAGATGTGCTTTTTTGAAAGCTGACTTTGGCGGCTGTGGTGGTTGTGAATTGCAGAAAAGAAAAGCTAGAGGCAGGAAAGCCTGGCAGAAGACTGCTATGGTTTATTCATTTCTTCTTTCAGCAGCTAGTTAAGTGTGTTCTCTAATGGCCAAGTACTATGCTTGTTAGTCAGGGAAACAACACCAGACACTGACCCACATCCCTCCTCTCCCTTCCCCTCCCCAGGATTTATATTCAAATAAGGGAAATAGACATGTAAAACACAAAGTGCAATAAATTGTTACATATGTTAGGATAAAAGTGTTTCCAAATAAAATGAAGACATAAACAATAGAGTGGCAAAAGGTCTCAACGAGATGATTTAAACATTGAAAATTGAGATGTTCTTGCGGATAGAGGAATGATGATGGTGAGTTATAAACTTAGGCAGTAGTGATGGAGATGAAGTGGAAAGACTGGATTCAAGCTACATTTGTGAAGTGAGGTTGGTAATTGCAGACTTGATAATTGTGAGAGTGAAAGAACAGAAGAAGAATAAGCTGAGCAATTGAGTATGTTGAGATACTAGCAGAAGTATGTTGGGTGTAGAGTGTAGGGGGAAATTTTGTAGACCTGTTGAACGTGAAGTATTTGCAGCAAGTGGAAATGTCCAAACTGAAGTTAGGAATGGGTTAGGTCCTCCTACAGGAGGTAAACACTAAGGCTAGAGTTGGAAGTACTCAATACAGGTGAGATTTAAAGCCATAGGGGTTTCTCATCTCTCAGGGAGGAAGTATAGAATTATCTCAGCATTGTTTAGTTGCAAGCATAGAAATTGCTTTTGTTTTTTGTTTTTTGTTTTTTTGTTTTTGTTTTGAGATGGAGTCTTGCTCTGTTGCCCAGGCTGGAGTGCAGTGGTGTGATCTCAGCTCAGTGCGACCTCTGCCTCCTGGATTCGAGTGATTCTCCTGCCTCAGCCTCCCGAGTAGCTGGGATTATAGGCATGTGCCACCATGCCTGGCTAATTTTTGTATTTTTAGTAGAGATAGGGTTTTACCATGTTGGTCAGGCTGGTCTTGAACTCCTGATCTCAGGTGACCTGCCTGCTTTGGCCTCCCAAAGTGTTGGGATTACAGGTGTGAGCCACCGCGCCTAGCCAAGAAATTGATTTTGGATTACTTAGGCAAGGAGGAGCTAATCAGGCCTTAGGAAGAATGAGAACTGGGGACGCTCTAGGGCAGTCAGTAGCAGGAATTTACAGACAGTTTCTCTAGACTACAGCACTGCTGTCAGGAAGTTTTGGCTCAGGCTGCCTTTTATCCTTGGATGGCTGCTCAAGATTCAAAGTCCTGTGAGAGGGGGTCTGTTTGGTCTTTATTGCCAAATAGATCATTTCCTTCATGGGTGAATGGTGTACTAGGTTTGAGCCTGCTTGAGTGTTGGCCACCCCTGTGGTCAGCTGGGGAGTAAGCTACTGTATTTCATGCCTGCTTAGACCTCACAGAATAAGGGAAAAGAATTTCCCTAATTGAAAAGTGAAATGTGTTACAGGCCAAAAGGGGAATGGATTCTGAGCAGGGCACCCTGTCCTTGAATTTACTGCCTTCTGCCCCCTTTCTTACTGTATAGATAATTTAAAAGAATTCCCACCTTAAATGAGGAAATTAGTCATTCTGACCACCTCCACAAAAAAGATAACTTATTGTCATGTCTAGGACCTCTGAGTTGTGTTCAGTCTTCTAATTTTGTGACCTAATTCTTACATTCTTCAACCTGTGGGCTAAATGGTAAATTTATCCACTACCATCACACTTATATGTAGTGCAGAGGAAATAATGAGGTAGAGGAAACACCAAAAAACCGTGGACACGCTATGGCAGAGACTGGCGGCAGCCTTTCTCAATTTTCATCTTCCCCTTCCACTTTGGTGAGAGAACCCTGAATTTATTCAGGTATAAGAGATTACATTTCTTAGCCTCTCTTACTGCTGGGTGTGACTGTGTGACTAATTTCTGGCCAAAAGAAATGTTGGTAGAAGCATTTGAATTTCTAGAAAGCCTCCTCAAAGAGAGGAGTCTACCCTTCATTCTCCCTTCTTTTATCTTGCTGCTTTGAGTGCTGATGTAGTGGCTGGAGCTCTAGAAGCCATTTTTGAGTGACACATTTTATGGATGGTGGGCTGGAGAGTAAGAAAGAACATAATAGCCTTGTGGAATTTCCAACACAGTTTTGTATTGCCCATTTCCAGACTTCTTTTTACATGAGAAAGAATACACTTCTTACTGCTTAAAATGTTACTTTGATTTTCATGTCACAATCACTAATACCAAATAAAGAATTTAGATTATGACCATAACTTCAGCTGGGTGGGGTCCTTTGCCTGATGGGTTGTTACACCTTCTTCATCCTAAGCCATTGGTGGCCCAGCTTAGATAGACATGAAATAGTCTTTCATTATAGTTTATTATTATGCACTCCAGAGCATTTCTTACATTCTACCTGTACTCATTCTCTTCCTCCTGTATACAGTATTCAGATACTCTCTTTGTAGCGGATATATCCCTCTATTTAAGCCTCTCATTTGCTTTTTCTGGCATGATGAGCCAGGTAGCAATCTCAGCTTCCAGCTCAAAGGCACCATTTTTATATCTCCTGGTGGAAGCATTCTTTCCCTGGGCACAAAACCTTTAGTAGCTCCCTGTCTTAGAGGAAGGAAACAATTTTGAGAGGTCATTAGCTGGAGTTGTGAGAAGTGCCATGTCCAGTACCCAGTTGGAAAAGTGCTGGTTTGGCTCATAAGCTGTGTTCTATAGCAATAGATCCTAGCTGGAACCTTGTCTATGTTGTCATAGGCTATTTCACCATTGTGTGAGCCTGCTGCTTCTGAAAGATGCAAAGAGTACATGTTAAGATCAAAGAAGCCCTTGGTTACCAGCCAGTTGCCTCACTTTTGTTGGGAAGTGATTTTATTCATCAGTGGCACTAAGTGGAATATCACACTGGCACACAGGTAAGTCCACAGATGGTAGTGTTGGTAGCAACATGACAGGTAAATCACATCCAAATACAGAATAAATATCTCTTCTGAAAAGGACAAATTACTAACCTCTCTAGGATGAAAAGGGTCACTGGAGTCCATCCCTTATGAGGTAGATGGCTCAACTGGAGGAGTGTACCATATAGGGACACTTAGCAGTGAGACCACCAGCTCAGCCTTGGTGGGAGGAAATCCCTGTTGTTGAGCACATGTATAGCCACTGTCCCTGTCAAAACACTAACATTTAGCCAAGTACTGAATTGACTAGGCAAGGAAAATGGCTCACTCTTTCAGTAACAGTCACCTTGTCCATATACTTATTAGTACTCTCTTCTTGGTGGTAATTTTGCTGAGCAGTCACATGGAGCACAGATATTCTCAGGTGCTGGTCCCATTCCCAAAAATGTATCTAAATATTCCTTTCCCAAACTACCTTGTCACTAGTCATCCAAATATGCTCCTCCCCAGTCCTGCTTATTCAGCCAGTCTATTGGACATGCCAGAAATTACCATGTAGATACTGACCTCAGGCCACATATTTTCAAGTAAAGTGAACAATGATACGTACCACTGTAAGTGCTTCTCACAAGGAGGCTTTCTCCTCTCAGCTGATTCTCAGGATCACCCCTGAATGGAGTTGTTATGCAACAGTGGTACACTTGCAGCTGTAACATAATGCTCAGGTCTTTCTTTAACCAGGGAGAGGCATTTTCCCCTCTGCAAGCTTGCTGGTCATAGGGCACTTCTCATGAAGCCATAGGTGTAGTTTGAGGGAGAGGTGGCATGTAGCAGGAATATGGTTGTAAGGAATGTAAGTGATCTGATATGCAATTTAATTGTGCCTTCACAGCTCATTTTGGGCTTGCTGGAATTTAGAGTTAAATGCATCCAATAACAACTCATGATGGACAGCTAGGTTGCATGGTCACTTAATGTTCTATTCTGTTTTCACTGGATCCTAGTAGCAAGCCAGGAGCTGTTTTTCAGAAAGAAATCATTACTTCAGTTGCTTGCTGAAATTGCCATGGCCTTGTTTCAATACCTGTATTCATTGCAGCTTTTCCAGATTAAATACAACATCATTTTAGGTGGACACATCTTTTCAATTCTCTGTACAGGAAGAAAGTGGAGGGAGGAGGGCAGTATGCCTGCTTGCAGTATGTCTTTGTCTCATAATAACATTTCACTATTCCTTTATAAATTTTAGAAAACTCACCCCTTAGAAATGCAATAATTTTCATAAGGAAAGGGAATTTGATCATCTTCCACTTCATACCTCTTACCATAATAGTCCTTCCTTCTGAACCAGGGAGTCATTGTGGGCAGTATTTGGTAACATCTGAAAACTAGGTGTGCTTGGGCTTTGTCATGATGACTGTTGTGAGAAGAGGTTGAATTAGAACTTCATCTCCTATACATGAGCCTCATAAATTGTCAATCCAACTGATGAACCTGTGGTATTCTTAATTCCTAAGAATTAATGTTAGCTCAAAGCCAGTATGTAATAATCCTGGAGAGGTTTTGGTATTTCCCTTTTGCCAGCTCTTGATTACCTGGGTAAATGGCCAGAGATCCAATGGGGGGAAATAAAACCTTCCAAAAGGGATTTGGCCTCCCCTTCATTCAAGGAACCGTGGGTCTCGAATTTGGGTGAGAGTTCCTGACTCTCTACTGTAGTGGCTCAGACAAGTTCACTAGACCTGGAGTTATTTGTTCATTTTTGGTTATTTAAATCAAAACAGGCCGGGCATGGTGGCTCACACCTGTAGTCCCAGCACTTTGGGAGGCCGAGGCGCGTAGATTGCTTCAGATCAAGAGTTCGAGACCAGCCTGGCCAACATGCGAAACTTTGTACTAAAAATACAAAGAAAAAAATTAAAATTAGCCGGTGTGGTGGTGCATGCTTGTAATTCCAGCTACTTGGGAGGCTGAAGCAGGAGAATCACTTGAACCCTGGGGGTGGAAGTTGTGGTAAACTGAGATCATGCCATTGCACTCCAGCCTGGGTGACAGAGCGAGACTCCATCTCAAAAAATAAAAATAAAAAATAAAAACAGATCTAAGTGGGTTGCCTGTTGATTTGAGTTATTGAGTCTAATTAAATATAGACAGGGATTTCTGCCTATCACAACAAAGTTTGAGATGACCTAATATTCCATATCCACCTTGCTGCCTGTTAGGATCACCATGCCCACTTCGTTTCTGTCAGTTAACTACTACCACCTGGATGCGACCTTTCCCTGGGTGCCTCTCATTGCTTTCTGAGTTCAAGGAGTCCATTTCAGTAGCAGTCCTTCTCACAGAAATCCTTAGCCCTAGAAACTAGAGCCAGTAAAGTGATTAGTAATGATTGTCATGTGCTTTTCACCAACCTGTTTCCTGTGTCGAGAGTGAAAGAATCTTCTGGCCTCAATCAGGAGATATAAGAGCAGTATGTTACATGAATAACAATTTCATATACAGTTGACCTTTGAACAAAATGGGTTAGAACTGTGCAGATCTATCTACTTATACGCAGATTTTTTTCAACCAGAGGTGGGGCATAGGGGAATGTGAAGCTCGTGTGCAGGGAGGCCAATTTTTCATAATACACAGGCTCCCACAGGGCTGATTTTGGGTCTTGAGTATGCATGGATTTTGGTATATGTGGAAATGAGGAGGTCCTAGAACCAATCCCCCATGTATAACAAGGCACGACTGTAAATTTTTTTTTTTTTTTTTTTTTTTTTTGGAGACAGGGTCTCACTCTGTCTCCTAGGCTGGAGTGCAGTGGTGCGATCTTGGCTCACTATAGCCTCTGCCTCTCAGGCTCAAGCAATTCTTGTACCTCAGCCTCCTGAGTAGCTGGGACTATAGGTGTGCGCCACCTTGCCTGGTTAATTTTTGTATTTTTAGTAAAGACAGGGTTTCGCCATGTTGGCCAGGCTGCTGGTCTTAGACTCCTGGCCTCAAGTGATCTGCCCACCTTGGCCTCCAAAAGTGCTGGGATTACAGGTGTGAGCCGCTGCACCCAGCCTCACAACTGTAATTTGAATAGAGAAAAGGGGTGAGAGAATGCATTTTCATGATAGTCTTCCCTTATTTCAAAGAATTACCAGTGCGATGGCACACACCTGTAATCTCAACTGCTCAGGAGGCTGAGGTGGGAGAATGGCTCGAGGCCAGGAGTTGAAGGGTGCAGTGAGCTATGAGCATGCCACTGCACTCCTCCAGCCTGAGTGACAGAGCAAGACTGTGTCTCAAAAGAAAGAAAAAAAAAACCCACACTGAGGCAGTCAGCACCCATTTCATATTGGGAATAGCAATTTAGTATCAGTCAAGTACCATCATCTGTCGTAGTAAATTAATGCCAATTTGAATAAATTTTGTTTTCAATTTGTACTTTATTTTTTTAATTGACAAATAATAACTGTACATATTCATGGGGTACATAGTGATGTTTTGATACATATAATGTATGATGATCAGATCAGGGTAATTAGCATGTCTGTCATTTCAAACATTCATCACTTCTTTGTGTTGGGAACGTTCTTACCCTCCTAGCTATTTGAAACTATGTAATACATTATTGTTAACTATAGTCATCCTACAGTGATAAAGAACACTAGAACTTACTCCTCCCAACTGAAATTTTGTATCCTTTAACAAATCTCTCCTTTTAGTTACATAAGAAGTATAACCAAATAGAGTTTATCACTTTTACATGTGTACATATTTAAATAATATTTTAATAAAAATTATTTAAGGCAGTACTCAGTAACTGAATTTTTACCTTTAAAAAGGGTACATATATTATTTAAGGCTGAAGAATTCTAACTGGTCTGTGTTCTTCATTTTGAGCCCAATGAATGAGGATACATTGGTTATAGGTTTTTAAGTACTATAATAATTCCTTTTGTTTAGATAATAATTTGGATTCAGATAATTTCTCTTCTCATGTTGCTCATTACTACTGTATTGCCAACTGCTTTTCATCAATCCTGTATTCTGTAATTGTCCCTTCTTTATTCTCTAGGGCCAAGATTTGTCTCCCTTTTCTAAAAACACCTTAGAGGCCCATTAGTTACCAAAAAAATCCATCTGTGTTTGTGGTTTGACGAAGAGTTTAATGAATGTTTTCCCAAAAGTAGCTATACTAGAGAGTAGGTTTTAAAAATGGGCACATAGTTAACACATCAGATAGTTGTTTCTGATTTAATATTTTTTGGAAGTTCTAAATACAAATCTTTAGTTTATGGAGTGCAGCTGGATTTGCTTTTCTTCCTGTGACTCACCAAAGGCTCTTGAAAACCTTTCATTTTTTTTTCGCAATTTTTGTGTTCTGTAACTTCGTTTCAACAAATGTTTTAAAATAGCTTTAAAAAATTATTCTCCTGGAGTCTCCTTGGAATATTATTTCATTTGCTTCAAAGATTTTTTTTAGCAAATTAAAAAGATTTTATTTCCAGTATTGTGATGCTAGAGATAGGTCTAATGAATACTCTAAAAACTTAGCAGTCATGTTTTGAATTTTTGAAACAGTGATAATTTGCATGATCGAGCTCTTGACAGTGTTTAATAATTACAGGGGCTTTATGACAGGAGATTTCTGTCTGTTAAAATGTTGATATTACAAATAAATGAGATTTATCTTCAGAATAATAATACCTTCACAAATCTACCTTCTTTAACATCTCTCTCTAACTTTAGGCTATGTCTTTTAGGCCACTGTGTTTTTAAAAGGAATGTCATTTAGTTTCACAGGACTACTACTCTAGTATATATAAAGCTTTTGCTAAAAGCATTTTTGATTATTTTAAAATATTTATTTTCTCACATACTTTTTATTCTGTAGTGACCATGATTCAAATCAAGTGTGACTATATGACAATGGAGTATGCATGGTACAATTTTATGAGTACACAAAAAGGAGGTCATTTTAATCGTGTGTGTGTGTGTGTGTGTGTGTGTGTGTGTGTGTGTGTGTGTGTGTGTTTTGAGGCAGTATGTTGCTCTGCCACCTAGGCTGCAGTATGGTGGCATGATCATAGCTCACTGCAGTATTGAACTCCTGTTCTCAAGTGATCCTCCCACCTCAGCCTCCCGTGTAGCTAGGACTACAGATGTGTAACACCACACTGGGCTAATAGATTAATTTTTTTTTAAGAGATGAGATCTTGCTGTGTTGCCCAGGCTGGTCTTAAACTCCTGGGCTCAACCAATCCTCCTGCCTTGGCCTCTCATAGTACTGAGATTACAGACATGACTCACTGTGCCCAGCCCTAATCAAACTGATTTTTTGTTTGTCTTTTACTGTTGAGCTTTAAAAAAAATTTTTATGAGTACATAGTAAGTGTGTATATTTATGGAGTATAAATGGAGGTATATATGTATATATATACACACACACACGTATATATATGGAGGTATTTTGATACACGCATACAATGCCTAGTAATCACATCAGGGTAAATGGGGTATGTGTTACCTCAAGCATTTGTTATTTCTTTGTGATACAAACATTCTAGTAATACTCTTTTAATTATTTTAAAATGTACAGTAAATAATTGTTAAATGTAGTCACACTGTTGTGCTATCAAATACTAGATTTTATTCATTTTAACGATATTTTTGTACTCATTAACCATCCCTACCACCCACCTGCCACTATGCTTCCCAGCCTCTGGTAACTATCATTCTACTCTGTTTCCATAAGTTCAATTGTTTTAATTTTTACCTCCCACAAATGAGTAAGAATATGTGAAGTTTGTCTTTCTGGCCTGGTTTATTTCACTTAATGTCCTCCAGTTCCATTTATGTTGTTGCAAATGACAGGATCTCATTTTATTTTCTGACTGAATAAATACTCCATTGTGTATATGTACCACATTTGCTTTATGCACTCATCTGTTCATGGACACTTAGGTTGCTTCCACATCTTGGCTATTGTGAACAGTGCTGCAGTAAACATGGGAGTATAGCTATCTCTTCAGTATACTGATTTCCTTTCTTTTGGGCATATACCCAGCAGGGGGATTGCTGGATCACAAGTTATCTCTATTTTCAGTTTTTGAGGAACTTGCGTACTGTTTTCCATAATGGTTGTACTAATTTACATGCCCACTAGTCGTGTATGAGAGTCCTCTTTTCACTATACCCTCACTAGCATTCATTATTGCTTATCTTTTGATGAAAGCCATTTTAACTGGGGTGAGATGATATCTCGTTGTAGTTTTGATTTGCATTTATTTCTCTGATGATCAATGATGTTGAGCACCTTTTCATATACCTGTTTGCCGTTTGAATGTCTTCTTTTGCCCACTTTAAGATCAAATTATTCGATTATTTTTCCCTTCAAGTTGTTTGAGCCCCTTGTATATTCTTGTTATTAATCCTTTGCCAGATGGATAGAGTTTGCAAATATTTTCTCCCATTCTGTGGGTTGTCTTTTCACTTTGTTGACTGTTTCCTTTTCTTTGCAAAAGCTTTTTAATTTGATGTGATCCCATTTGTCCATTTTTGCTTTGGTTGCCTGTGCTTTTTGGGACATTATTCAAGTAATCTTTGCCCAGGCAAGTGTCCTGGAGAGTATGCCCAATATTTTCTTTTAGTAGTTTCATAGTTTGAAATCTTAGATTTAAGTCTTTAATCCATTTTAATTTGATTTTTGTGTATAGTGAGAGATAAAGGTCTGGTTTCATTCTTTTGCATATGGATATCCAGTTTTCCCAGCACTACTTATTGAAGAGACTGTCCTTTCCCCAATGCATGTTCTTGGCACCTTTGTTGAACAGTGAGTTCACTGTAGATGTATGAATTTATTTCTGGGTTCTCTATTCTGTTCCATTGGTTAATGTGTCTGTTTTTATGCCAGTACCATGCTGTTTTGGTTACAATAACTCTGTAGTATAATTTGAAGCCAGTAATGTGATTCCTCTGTTTTGTCCTTTTGGTCAGGATGGCCTTGGCTATTTGGGTCTTTTGTGGTTCCATATAAATTTTAGGGTTTTTTTTTTTCTGTTTCTGTGAAGAATGTTGCATTGAATCTGTAGGTTGCTTTTGGGTAGTATGGATATTTTAACATAACTTTAAAAATACTTACGAATATGAGTATACCCGGTCAACGTAGGAAAAAACTGGGGTGGAGCTTTTCCATCCTGGATGATTTTTACTATTTCATAAGATGAGTTAAAAAAAAATTTTTTTCCTGGAGGACATTATGTTGTGAAATAAGTCAGAACAGAAAGATACATACCACATGTCCCACTTATATGTGGGAGCTAAGGAAAAAGTTGAGCTTAAAGAATTAGAATTGTGGTTATTGGGGTGGTAGGGAAAGGTAGAGGGGAGGGAAGGATAGGGAGAGATTGGTTAACAGATACAAAGTTACAACTAGATGGGAAGAATAAGTTCTAGTGTCTGTGGCATTGTAGGGTGAATATGGTTAACAGTAATTTAGTGAATATTTTCAAAAAGCTAGAAGAGAGGATTTTTTTTGTTTGTTTTTGTTTTTGTTTTTGAGACAGTGTCTCCCTCAGTCGCCCAGGCTGGAGTGCAATGACACAATCTTGGCTCACTGCAACCTCCACCTCCTGGGTTCAAGCGATTGTCATGCCTCAGCCACAGGCGTGCACCACCACGCCTGGCTAATTTTTGTATTTCTGTATTTTGTTGGCTAGGCTGGTCTCAAACTCCTGGCCTCAAGTGATCCGCCTGCCTTGGCCTCCCAAAGTGCTTGGATCACAGGCATGAGCCACCGTACCTGGCCAAAGAGAGGATTTTGAATGTTCACTACCCAAAGAAATGCTTAAGGTGATGGTTATGCTAATTACACTGACTTGATCATTGCACATTGTATGCATGTATTGAGAAATATCATGCATCAATATCCCATAAATTATGTGTCAACTAAAAATAAAATGAAAAATAGAATGTTTTTGCTTTTGAATGTATGTTTGAATAGTGGGCTCATTTGTTAAATGATCAGGGTAATGTCTCTTGATCCAAAGAGGATAATCCTGAGATGTTGATGGTTTACTTTCCCCCCAAATTATATTGTGTTTTTGATTATCTATGTGTTGATTACCCAGTGAAAAATTTCTTTTAAATTCCTGCTAGATATTATTCTGCCACCTGTTTGCTTCTTCCACCACTTTCATTCAGTAGTAGGTTTGGAAATCAGACTGATAGCAATTTCAGTTCACAATTCTAACTAATTTTAGTTTAACTTAATTATAGTAAATGCATAATATTCTATAAAGAGCACTGCAGTTTAGGGAAGCAGTTCTGTATGATGCTGTAGATAAGAAAATAGATTTGTGAGCCTACTAGTACCTGAATTTTAATTCCAAGACTGCCATTTCCTAGCTATGTGAACTACAGAATTCCTTAAGCCTTGTTATCTCATCTGTAAAAGAGGTCATATTGTTGTCATTGCTGTCTCACAGGATTGTAATGAGGATTACATGAGACAACAGATTGTAAAATGTTTAGATTAACTGTTCAATAAATATAGCTACTGTTATTAACTATTATTTGTACTCAGTAATCATTTCTCTGTGATCTTAGGCTAGTCATCTTTTTTTTTCTTTGCCCAAGTTTTCTTGAAAAATAGTTTTAGGAACCCACAAAAATATTATAGATGAAAGTGATTTGAAAGGTATGCTGTACTGTACAAATATAAGGTAGAAGTGCAGTATTATGATTGTTATTAGAAATAATAACGGGTGGCTGGGTGTAGTGGCTCACGCCTGTAATCCCAGCACTTTGAGGGTCCAAAGCAGCAGGTTCGCATGAGCCCAGAGTTCAAGATCAGCCTGGGCAATGTGGCAAGACCTTGTCTCTACTAAAAATACAAAAATTAGCCGGGCATGGTGGCATGCACCTGTAGTCCCAACTCAGGAGGCTGAGGTGGGAGGATAACTTAAGCCTGGGAAGTGGAGGCTGTAGTGAGCCATGATTGCGCTACTGCACTCCAGCCTAGGCAGCAGAGTGAGACCCTGTCTCAAGAAAAAAGGAAAAGAAAAAGGGTGACAGTTAAAGCTATGTGGAATAGTGGGAAGAAGTTAGTTTTAGAAGCTGTGTCTTCCAAAGAGGTCTGGCTTTAGCCCAGACATCAGTCATTTACTACCTGCTATTTGAGCAAGTTAACTACTCAGAACTTCAGTTTTCCCATTGGTGAAAAGGGGAATAATAATACCTATCTTGTTGTGAGGCTCACTGAATGAAAGGCTTAGGTGACAGAACCCAACGTGATTTTCTTTCCTCCTTCCTACCTGGAGAATAGCAAATTTCCTTGGCAAAACTAATCATCCTTTCTGGAGCAAAATATCGATTAATTTTTTTGAATTACAATAAAATAAGATTGACTAATGGGTTAGGAAGATTAGGAAGATGAAGAAATTGCTGGTGCTGGTTAACATGTGGCCCTGAATTAGATTTTAGAACTTTTTTCTTTTTTTTTTTCTGAGACGGAGTTTCTCTCTTGTCTCCCAGGCTGGAGTGCAGTGGTGCAGTCTTGGCTCACCGCAACCTCCGCCTCCCAGGTTCAAGCAATTCTCCAACCTCAGCCTCCTGAGTAGCTGGGATTACAGGCACCCACTACCACGCTTGGCTAATTTTTGTATTTTTAGTAGAGATGGGGTTTCACCATGTGGCCAGGCTGGTCTGGAACTCCTGACCTCAGGTGATCCACTTGCTTTGGCCACCCAAAGTGCTGGGATTACAGATGTGAGCCACCATGCCCGGTCCTTTTTAAATTTTATTTTTATTTTTTTTGAGATAGAATCTTGCTGTGTCACCCAGGCTGGAGTGCAGTGGCACAATCTTGGCCCACTGCAACCTCTACCTCCCGGGTTCGAGTGATTATTGTGCCTCAGCCTTCTGAGTAGCTGAGATTATAGATGCACGCCACCACGCCTGGCTACTTTTTGTATTTTTAGTAGAGACAGGGTGTTGTCGTGTTCGCCAGGCTAGTCTTGACCTCCTGGCTTTGAGTGGTCCACCCACCTTGGCCTCCCAAAGTGTTGGGATTACAGGCGTGAGCCACTGTGCCCGGCCTAGGTTTTAGAACTTTTGAAGTTAAAGTGGTTTAATATACAAAAAAAGAGTGCAAAATATGAATACAATTGGCTACAGTGGATGTGTGAGTTATAAACCCCCACAAAATAGAAAATAGGGAGCTGAAGGTGTCTTAGGTGGGTGAGAATAATATATGTCAAGAGGTCTTGTATATGCTAAGTAATTTTAGCAATGAATAAGGTATTACCCTTGTCAAGAGTAAAGGGGAGACATTTGGGGATGACAGATCTCCCAAAATCTTTCTTTCTGGGTTTGGTGTATATATATATATATATATATATATATATATATATATTTTTTTTTTTTTTTTTTGAGACTAAGTTTTGCTCTTGTTGCCCAGGCTGGAGTGCAATGGCGCGATCTTGGCTCACTGCAACCTCCGCCTCCCGATTTCAAGTGATTCTCCTGCCTCAGCCTCCGAAGTAGCTGGGATTACAGGCATGCACCACCACGCCCAGCTAATTTTGTATTTTTAGTAGAGACAGGGTTTCTCCATGTTGGTCAGGCTGGTCTCAAACTCCCGACCTCAGATGATCTGGCTGCCTTGGCCTCCCAGCGTGCAGAGATTACAGGTGTGAGCCACCGCGCCCACCCTAGGTTTAGTATATTCTTCTTCATGGCCGCTATGTGTTTATGTACCCACTGCTGCTACTGGAACCATACAGGCATTTAGATGTCTCAATAGTTCGAGGCCAAAGAGTGTTTAGATACAGTAGTGTCCAGTCTAGCTTTATGGACTAAAAGCAAGATACCTGCCTCTTTGTATGTCTACCAAACCTTGAAATCTCACTGTATGGGAGTTTGGTAGAGTTTTCTGCAGACAGATAAATTCTGCTCTTGTATGTTGTATTATAGAGTAACTTCTTCAACAAGTTCTTGTGTTCTGTGCATAGAGTTTAGCTTGTGCATGGCTTCTTTCCTCTCTAGTTGCTTATCTTGCCACTCCCCACTTTCCACCCTAAGCTGTAGCCACAGGAAATAAGGCATCTGCATTCACACCTAGTACACTCTGCGTAACCTTTATAGGACTCGATTCAAATGTTAGCTCTTTTGCTAAGCATTCCCTGATTTCTCTAGGTTAAATGTTCATTCCTCAAAGTTTCTGTCTTCTCAGAAAATCAGAAGCTGTGACACCACTGAGTTTGCATTCTCCCAGAGCATGGGAGTGCTGGTGTCAGGTAGTGGCTGCATCCTTTAGACTGGGCATATGTTCTCCATTCCACAATTTGGCGTGCTTCAGTTATAGTTGCTGCTTCATGGATGAACTGGCCTGGACCTCTAATTTAGGTATAAGTGTTCCCATGACTGTGAACTTTTTGAAAGAGATGATTTTCTATTTATTTAATTATGAATGAATGAATGACAGGAATCTTGCTCTGTTGCCCAGGTTGGAGTGCTGTAGCGTAGTCACAGCTCACAACAGCCTCAGACTCCTCAGCTCAAGCAATACTCCCACCTCAGCCTCTGGAGTAGCTGGGACTATAGGTGTACACTACTATACCCAGATAATTAAAAAAAAATTTCTTTTTGTAAAGATGGGGGAGTTTCACTATATTGCCAAGGATGGTCTTGATCTCCTGGCTTCAAGTGATCTTCCTGCCTCAGCTTCCCAAAGTGCTGGGATTACAGGTATGAGCCACTGCGTCTGGTCTGATTTTCTCTTTTATGTTTCTGTTGCCCAGCATATACTTGATACAGAAAGCCTTCAATAAGTACTTATAGAATTGAAGGAATGGAATAAAATTTTGCCTAACCAGAGAGTTTTGCCCTGTCCTGACCTTTGCCTTAGTCACGGCATTCATCTTGTGTATCATTCTTCAAAGCATAGAACATCATGGTTGAAGATAGTGATCAACTTTTTCTAAAAACAGAGCACAAAAGAATACACTTAAATTGTAGCAAGTGCTGATTAAAATTAAGTGGGGAAGCTTTTTGAAGCTATACCACTTGTTAGCAATGGATTACTACAAGATGCTGTTGCATCCTTTTATTTTGAAATCTTCCATGGGATTGACTTGCACCTTAAAGACAGAGTGAAGGACAATATAAAATTCCTTATGAGTCTCTGCAGTGTACTAGTGAGTAATTGGAATAGTTCAGAAAATTTTGACTGTATCTTATATACACTATGAAAATATATTAGTTTTAAACATTATAGATATAGATAGAATTTCAGAACAAATTCTAATCAGCTGGTGCACAACCTCTGTAAAAAATGTGAAATTTGTCAATCCAAAATTTGTTCCTCTCTCAGAAACAGCTGTCTCTAAATAGGGCCTCATATTGTTGGTAAATTCATTATAAATGCTGGAAGCAACTCCAGTTTGATATGGTTGGGATTTGTAGAAATAATGTAGACGTAGGCTATCTACAAACCATTTTTTTTAAAGTAACAATCCAATCTAAATACTCATATGCATTACAAATGAGTGTCATAAACTTAAATTCTGGAACCTCCAAAAATATAAGAAACCTCTGGAAATATAAGAAAGGGCTCATTTAGGATGGAATGACAAACAATAGGGAGAGTTCTCATTTTGGTTTCTGCCCACCTGCTCCCACCCCTTAACCAAAAACCAAAACAAAATATCTGGAATTATTTAGGTAATATAGCTATTCTTAAAAGAATGGATTTCTAATTATAAAACTCTTTGCTGGCACTTAAATGTCCTTTTAGATAGATAGAATTCATGATTGGTAAAAATATGTTTGATTTCATAAAGGCTCTCTCAAATCATGAGTGCAGATTTTGGAAGTATCAGGGACAAGACTCTATTAGTCAATTTTCATGCTGCTGATAAAGACATACCCGAGACTGGGAAGAAAAAAAGATGTAATGGACTTACAGTTCCACATGACTGGGGAGGCCTCATGATCATGGCGTTAGGCAGGGAGGAGCAAGTCACAAAAAATGGTTTGTGGATAGCCTACATGGATGGCAGCAGGCAAAAAGAGATTGTGCAGGTAAACTCCCGTTTTTAAAACATCAGATCTCGTGAGACTCATTCACTGTCACAAGAACAGCACAGGAAAGACCCATCCCCATAATTCAATCACCTCTCATTGGGTTCCTCCCACAACACATGGGAATTATGGGAGCTAGAATTCAAGATGAGATTAGGGTGGAGACACAGCCAAACCATATCATTCCGCCCCTGGTCCCTCCTAAATCTCATGTCCTCACATTTCAAAACCAATTATGCCTTTCCAGCAGTCCCACAAAGTCTTAACTCATTTCAGCATTAACTCAAAAGCCCACAGTCCAGTAACTCATCTTAAGTCACTTCCATCTATGAACCTGTAAAATCAAAAGAAAGTTACTTCCCAGATACAATGGGGGTACAGGCATTGGGTAAGTACAGCTGTTTCAAATGGGAGAAATTGGCCAAAACAAAGGGGCTACAGGCCTCATGCAAGTCCAAAATCAAGCAGGGCAGTCATATCGTAAAACTCCAAAATAATCTCCTTTGACTCCATGTCTTGCATTCAGGTCACGCTGATGCAAAGGGTGGGCTCCCATGGTCTTGGGCAGCTCTGCCCCTGTGGCTTTGCAGGGTACAGCCACCCTCTTGGCTGCTTTCATGGGCTGGTGTTGAGTGGCTGCAGCTTTTCTGGGCACACGGTACAAGCTGTCAGTGGATCTACCGTTCTGGGGTCTGGAGAATGGTGGCCCTCTTCTCACAGCTCCACTAAACGGTGCCCCAGTAGGGACTTTTTGTGGAGGCTCCAACCCTACATTTCCCTTCTGCAGTGCCCTACCAGAGGTTCTCCATGAGGGCTCCGCCCCTGCAGCAAACTTCTGCCTAGGCATCCAGGCATTTCCATACATCCTCTGAAATCTAGGCAGACGTTCCCAAACCCCGGTTCTTGACTTCTATACACTCAAAGGCTCAACACCGTGTGGAAGCTGCCAAAACTTGGGGCTTGCACCCTCTGAAGCCACAGCTCAAGCTTTATGTTGGCCCCTTTCAGCCATGGCTGGAGCAGCTGGGATGCAGGGGACCAAGTCCCTAGACTACACAGCGGAGGGACCCTGGGCCTGGTCCATAAAATCATTTTTTCCTCCTAAACCTCCAGGCCTGTGATGGGAGGGGCTGCTGCAAAGGTCTCTGACATGTCCTGGAGACATTTTTCCCATTGTCTTGGTGATTAACATTTGGCTCCTTGTTACATGTGCAAATTTCTGCAGCTTGAATTTCTCCCCAGAAAATGGGATTTTCTTTTTTTTTTTTTTTCGAGACGAAGTCTCGCTCTGTCGCCCAGGCTGGAGTGCAGTGGCGCAATCTCGGCTCACTGCAAGCTCCACCTCCCAGGCTCACGCCATTCTCCTGCCTCAGCCTCCCGAGTAGCTGGGACTACAGGTGCCTGCCACCACGCCCAGCTAATTTTTTGTATTTTTAGTAGAGACAGGGTTTCACCATGTTAGCCAGGATGGTCTCGATTTCCTGACCTCGTGATCCACCCACCTCGGCCTCCCAAAGTGCTGGGATTACAGGTGTGAGGAAAATGGGATTTTCTTTTCAATTGCATTGTCAGGCTGCAAATTTTCCAAACTTTTATGCCCAGTTTCCCTTTTAAAACTGAATCCGTTTAACAGCACCCAAGTCATCCCTTGAATGCTTTGCTGCTTATAAATTTCTTCTACAAGATACCCTAAATCATCTCTCTCTAGTTCACAGTTCCACAAGTCTCTAGTCTCTTTGCTAAAACATAACAAGAATTACCTTTGCTCCGGTTCCCAACAAGTTCCTCATCTCCATCTGAGACCACCTCAGCCTGGATCTTATTGTTCATATCACTGTCAGCATTTTTGTCAAAGCCATTCAACAAGTCTCTAGGAAGTTCCAAACTTTCTCACATTTTCCTGTCTTCTTCTGAGCCCTCCAAACTTCCAACCTCTGCCTGTTACCCAGTTCCAAAGTTACTTTCACATTTTTGGGTATACATTCAGCAATGCTCCACTCTACTGGTACCAATTTACTGTATGTCTGTTTTTATGCTGCTGATAAAACATACCCAAGACTGGGAAGAAAAAGAGGTTTAATGGACTTACAGTTCCACATGGCTGGGGAGGACTCACAATCATGGTGGAAGGCAATGAGGAGCAAGGCACATCGTACATGGATGGTGGCAGGCAAAGAAAGAGATCTTGTACAAGGAAACTCCCGTTTTTAAAACCATCAGATCTCGTGAGATTCATTCACTATCACAAGAACTGTGCAGGAAAGACCCACCCCCATGATTCAATCACCTCCCACTGGGTTCCTCCCACGGCACATGGGAATTGTGGGAATTACAATTCAAGATGAAATTTGGGTGGGGACACAGCCAAACCATATCAAAGACTGATGGAGTTGTTCATATCCTTTGAGAAGGAATCAGTTCATTAATCCATGAGTATTATTCCCTTGGATTTTCCCTTAGCATATTCTCCAATGAGGTCTCTAATTTCTTGTTAAATGATGGTCGTTTCACTTTGAAAGACATATACCAAAGGTATACAATTCATTTTATTCTCTTTTCACATTTTAAATAATTTTTGCTGCAGGAAGACAAAGAGAATGCAATGCCTTACACAGCCTGTATCTTCAGCCTCTCCTTTGTAGTTTTGTCCTTGTAAGTAAGACAAAGGATAGGTAGGAGAAATAATAGCTAAGTGTTGAAAAAAAAATTAGTATCAAATAAGAGTGGAACTGAAAGGTTTACTTGTGTTATAGTTGATCAACAAATGTTTATTGACTCACTACTGTGTATTAAAGCACAATAAGGGATATGTTGAGGTAAAAAAGGTTCCTGCAAGAGAACTTGGGGAAACTAGATGCAAATAATGATGCAGTTTAATGATACAAGGTCCAGTGTGGTGGCTTATGCCTGAATACCAGCACTTTGGGAGGCTGAGGTGGGAGGATCACTTGAGCCCAGGAGTTTGATACCAGCCTGGGCAACATAGGGAGATCCTATCTCTATAAAAATAAAAAATTAAAGAAATTAGCCGGATGTGGTAATGCTCGCCTATGGTCCCAGTTACTTGAGATGCTGTCATGGGAGGATCACTTGGGCCCAGGAGGTCAAGGCTGCAGTGAGCCGTGATTGCACCACTGCAATCCAGCCTGGGTGACAGAGTGAGACCCTGTCCCAAAAAAAAAAAAAAAAAAAAAAAGATGCAAGATAAAAATAATCATAATTGTTAGTAATTGCTAAATGAAGTGTTTAGCTAAGTGCTACAGGACTTCAGGGTAGAACACTGTGGGCTGGCTAAACCAAAGGCTTTATGGAAGAAGAAAAATTTTAAGAAGCTGCTGGAAATGGGTAGAATTGTATAGATGGAAAATAGGAAGAAGTTGTTTCTGCTCTGCCTTTTACCTGGAATGCCAAGTGTGGAAATCAGGAAGAGGAGTGGTAGTATTATGTTACTTTTGAGTCAAAATCAGCAGTTAATCATGTGGGAGAATTTTAACTTAATGAGCCTAAGAAAGCTTCTTGATGATTTCAGCATATTGTAAGTCCTCTTAATTCAGGTCTGTAAAACAAAAACAAAAAACTTCTTTAAATGCTGGAAGGGCTTCGGGAGAGTGATATAATCCAGGAAATTCACTATGAAAGCAACAATATTTTATTATTAAACTTGGACATTTCAAGTATTTAACTGAGGGAAATAACAGACAAAGAAGCCATGTGTCTCTGCTGGAGAAACTTTATTTTCCAACTGAACAATAAAACCTTACTTACCACAGACTATCAAATAAGCTTTCAGAGATTCTGATATTGATACAAGTTACCAATGTAAAAAGGAAATTATTTCCTATATGCTGTCCTCCTTCCTTATCCTCAGAAATGAAATTCTTTTTTTCCCAAGATCACATTAAGGAAGATATTATTATCATTCTTGTCATTTTATTCTCTTTTCCCTTTTTGCTGTCCAGCTTTCTTCTATGACAAATGGAGAGTACACTTGTCAATATGTTATTAATAAATTAACAGTTTACTAATACCTAAAACAATACTCATTGCCATTTACAACTAGATATAACAGAGATGCAGAGATTATCAACTTCATGATGAGCAAGCATACATAGTCCTTGGGTTGCATGGATTTTTTTCTTTAAAGCCACCCTGGTCAGGCTTTTTTTGTTTGTTTTTAAACTAAAAATGAATATCTTTTCAGGAACCTGGAGGAGTCATAAAGAAAAAGCAGATGTTACTATATCAGGCAGGGTAGTTTTATTTTTTCTATGGAAGTAAAAAAAATTATGTAGTGCTTTTAGCATCGTAATATATGAAATCTCCAGTTAAAAGAACGCTCATTAGCTTAGTATGTATTGTTTAATTTAAAAAATGAAAATTAATTTTATTTTTGTATAAAACATGCTCCTGTCGGACAATACAGAAATATATAACGAAAAGTTACCCTAGTCTTAATTACTCAGAGATACCTAGTGTTAATATTTTGGTGTATAGCCTGCATGGCCATAAAAATAGGTTTATCACATGTGTATATTTTTGTTACTTTTCTCTCTCAACAGTATATAGAGAATTGCTTTTAAAATTAATAAACATAATTTTAACAACTACGTGATATTTCATTATAATGAATATTCCATAATACAGTTAATTATCCTCTTTTTTTTAAATGTTTTTCTCCTGAATTCTTCACTATTATAGATAGTACTGTGATGGAATTTGCATGTATGTCATTGCACACTTGTTTGATTATTTCCTTAGGATACCTTCCTAAATATTGACTTTTTGGGATTAAGAGTATGAATATCTTCTATTGGAAATATTTTCATACATTAATTTCTGTCCATGGTATATGGGAGTGCCTGTTTTTCCTTGTTCTTACTAACCTTGGATATTGATAATTTTTGCCAACTTGAGAGATGTTATAAAAGTCTTCTTGTATGTTGAATATTAATACTAATATTAGTATTTGAATACTAATGAGATTGAGTCTTTTTTGTTATGTGGTTGGCCAATTTTATTTCTTTGTTGAGTTGCCTAGTTATATTCTTTCCTTATTTTTATTTGCACTATCTCCTATTGACATAGAAGAGCTCTTCATATATTAAGGGTCTTTTTGTCAAATGTTTTAAGTTTTTTTTTTTTTTTTACTTTTAAAATTTTATAGGTTTTTGCTGACAAGTTTTTTTTAACCTTTTTATTTTGAAATAATTACTGACTTACAGGAAGTTATAAAAATTGTACAGAGAGGTCCTTTTAGCCATCATCCAGCTTTCCCCGTGGTAACATCTTGCATAAGTATAGAACATTATTTAAACCAGGAAATTGGCATTGGTACAGTACTGCCAACTAAACTACAAACCTTATTTGGCTTTCACTCGTTTTTACATGCATTCGTTTGTGTGTGTGTGTGTGTGTGTGTGTGTGTTCTGTGAAATTTTATCACGTATATAGATTTTTGTAACTACCATCATCAAGATATAGGACTGTTCCATCGCTATGAAGAAAATTCCTGGTGTTGCACTTTGAGACTACAAAGTGCAGCACCAGGAATTTTCCTCCTTTCCTAACCTTGAGCACTGCCTGATCTGTTCATTTTTATGTTTTTGTCTTTTGAAATGTTATAGAAATGGAGTCATATAGTACGTAACCTTTTGAGATTGACAGTTTTCACTCAGCGTAATGTCCTTGTGATCCACCTAAGTTGTGTATGCCAGTAGTTTGTTCCCTTTTACTGCTAATTAATATCTCATTGTATGAATGTACCATAGTTTATATATCCATTTACCATAAACATTTGGGTTGTTTCTAGTTTGGGCTGTTACAAATAAAGCTGCTCTGAACATTCATGTATAGGTGATTATGTGAACATGTTTTTGTTTCTTTAAGATAAAAGCTTGGGAGTGTGATTGTTGGGTTGTATGGTAAGTGTATGTTCAATTTCATAAGAAATTGCCAAATTGTTTTCCAGAGTAGCTGTACTATTTTACATTTCCACTGGCAAGGTATGAGAAATCTAGTTTCTCCATATCCTTTGTTAGCATTTGGTATTGTCAGTATTTTTTAT
Organism: Homo sapiens; assembly: GCF_000001405.40. NCBI lineage: Eukaryota > Metazoa > Chordata > Mammalia > Primates > Hominidae > Homo > Homo sapiens. The sequence continues at coordinate 107,421,168 of NC_000006.12, read as the reverse complement.
TTTAGCCATTCTAATAGATGTGTAGTAATATCTCATCTTAGCTTTAATTTCCTTAATGCCTAATGATGTCGAACGTTTTTTCATGTGCTGATTTGCCATACTTACATCCTCATTGGTAAGATGAATACTCAAGTCTTTTTGCCTATTTTCAAATAGACTGTTTGTTTCCTTACTGCGGAGTTTAGAGAATTCTTTACATATTCTGGATAGAAGTCCTTTGGATATAAAATTTGCAAATATTTTCTTCTAGTATGTGGCTCATCTTTTTATCTTGTTAATGGAGTCCTTTGCAGAGTAAAAGTTTTAAATTTTGATGACATCCAGTTACTGGTTTTTTTTTTTTCTTTTATAGATTGGGTTTTTGATGTGATGTCTGAGAACTCTTTTCCTAGCCCTAGGTCCCAAAGATGTTCTCCTATGTTCTCTTCTAAAAGTTTTATAGTTCTGTGGTTCACATTTTACATAAATCCGTGATCCTTTTTGCATTGATCTTTGTATGCGGTGTGCGTTTTAAGTCAAGCTTCTATTTTATTTTTTATTTTTGCCCATGGATGTCCAGTTGTTCCAGCATGATTTGTTGAAAAGACTATTTTCCCTCCATTGAACTACTTTTGTACCTTTGTGAAAAATCAGTTGGTGTATTTGTATTTATCCACTTCTGGATTCTCTGTTCCATTGGTCTATTTGTCTTTTCTTCTGCCAATACTATACTGTCTTGATTATGATAGCGATGTAGTGAGACAATATAAGGCAGAGTGATTCTTCCTACTTTTCTTCTTTTTCAAACTTGTTTTAGAATAAGCTTGTCTGTATCTATCATAGTTGTGGTAGTCGCAGCAAAAGGCTAGCACCTCTCCAGCTTGTCTGTGTGGGACTGGTTCTGGCTGAGGCTAGAAGAAGGTGACGGTACTTTATTGGAGTGAGCTTCTGAACATCCAGTTGAGCAGAGGGTGGGAAGGAGAATTTTTTATGGAATAGGAAGTGATTCCTAAAGATATAACATCATTTAAAATTATTTTCCTTTAGTGCTATCAGTTTTAAGTATAAATAATATCAATAGAGCATTTAGGATGGCTTTGCTTGAAAGCAGAAGAGTAGATAGGTAAGTTCTTAAGGACCATTCTGTTGTTGTTTTCATTTTATCCACTGTTGTCAGGGACTTCGGTTTAGGTTTCTACAGCAACCAGTCTGGACTACATAATACCAACACTTTGTGTGCATGTGGTGTTAACTCTGATGCCTTATACACTACATGTGGCAGAGTTACAGTTGCTATGGAGATCAATCTTTGGACACACTTGGTTGATAACGATGCTTTTCATATATGGATTTTGCTGCTGAAAGAATATGAGGTGATGCTAAGTTAACCAAAAGATGCATAAGACTGTCAGTAGTTTATAGCTTAGAATCTCACATTTGAAAACTTTAAGTTATACATTTGCTCACAAACATACTGAAGTATGTGTGTGTGTGTTTGTGTGTTTACAAGTTTGATACCTGGAAAATACAGTAGAGGGAAAATGTGATTCTAAAGAACACATTATCAGAGAATTTGATGGATTATTTCTCTTGGCTAGTCTATACCATTTCTAAAACATACTGTAAAAATTCAAAGACTAAATATCTTACATAATTTTAGTAGTATTATCATAAGGTCAGTTGTCAGTAGGTAAGCAAAGGAAACACAATTCTTGTGTACTGCTCTAATTTGAATGTAGATCCTAATAAGGACCTTTTTCTTGGAGCACTATATCTCTGAAGTCTTAAATGCCACAAATAAAAAACATTGAAGAAGTAGAATAAAGAGTTTTATTTTTTCTCTTCCTTTGACAAAGTCAGTTAAACTGGGATGCAACTCTCAGTGCTAAATTTAAACTAATATAGACTATCACTGAGTGTTTTCATTTGTAGCATTTTTGAGACAAATGTGGTTTTAGATTGATATCCATTTCTGCTTTGGCCTAGGGAAACTCGTCATTTATGAGTTGCTATACTAGAGCAGTGGTTCTCAACGCTGGCTGCACATTAGTATGTGGGTTAAAAAAAATGATATTTGAGCCTCACAAAAATCAAATCAAAATCTCTGGGGACAGGAGAAGGCATGACATTTGTACTCTTTTTGTTTTTTTTTTTAAGCTAACTACTTGATGCTAATATACAACTAGAGTTGAGAACCACTGAAGCAAAATATGTTTTCATCTAGACTTAAATTTTATCTAATTTTTAAAATTAGCATGCAACAATAGAATTGATATGAAATATTACAGAAAGTTTAGAAAGGTCAGTCTTACCATCTATATTAGTTTCCTATTGCTGCTGTAACAAATGATCACGAAGCTAGTGGCTAAAAACAACACACCTTTATTTTTATTTTGTTGTTTGTTTGTTTGTTTTGAGACAGAGTCTTGCTGTGTTGCCCAGGTTGGAGTGCAGTGGCGCAATCTCGGCTCACTGCAGCCACCTCCTCCCAGGTTCAAGCGATTCTCCTGCCTCAGCCTCCCGAGTAGCTGGGACTACAGGTGCCTGCCACCACACCCGGCTAATTTTTTTTGTATTTTTGGCAGATGCGGGGTATCATCATGTTTCCCAGGATGGTCTCGAACTCCTGACCTCAAATGATCCACCTGCCTTGGCCTCCCAAAGTGCTGGGATTACAGGCGTGAGCCACCACACCCAACCAAACAACACAACTGTATTACAAGTTTATTAACTTGTGTTCTGGAGGTCAGAAATCTGAAATGGTCTTATGGGGCTAAAATAAGGCTGCAGGCAGAGCTGTGTTCCTTCTGGAGGTTCTAGAGAGGATCTGTTCCTTGCCTTTTTCAACCACTAGAGGCTGCCTGCATCCTTTGACTTGTACCTCATCACTCTTTGCTCTGTCCTCACATCTCCTCTCAATCTGACCCTCCTGCCTTCCTCTTTTGAGCACCCCTGTGGTTATGTTGGGTCCATCCAGGATAATCCTCCCATCTTGAGATCTTTAACTTAATCATACCTGCAGAGTTCCTCTTATCACATAAAGTAACAAGCACTGGTTCTGGGGTTGAGGATGGGGATGTCTTTGAGGGCCAATTATTCAGCCTGCCATACTACCCTAACACAATGATTGTCACTTTGACATTTTCCTTCCTAGTCTTTTTTAATATGCATATTTTTATTTAAATATAATCATGGTAAATATGATTTTCTATCCTTTTCCACTTAATCTTCTTAACTGTCATTTTAAATTGCTGTATAATGTTGTATCTGTGATTATATATTTTATTGTCTTGTATTACACATACCTTTACCCTGTTGAATGTTTATGTTGTTTTGGATTCTTATTATTGATCAAGCTGTGATAGGTGTATATATGTGTGTGTGTGTGTGTGTGTGTGTGTGTGTGTGTGTATTATTATTAATTTTTTTGAAGATAGGGTCTCACTCTTTTGCCCAGGCTGGAGTGCAATGGCATGATCTCAGCTCAACTGCAACCTCTGCCTCCTGGGTTCAAGCGATTCTCCTGCTTCAGCCTCCTGAGTAGCTGGGACTACAGGCTGCGCCACCGTGCCCAGCTAATTTTTTGTATTTTTAGTAGAGATGGGGTTTCACCATGTTGGCTAGACTGGTCTCAAATTCCTCACCTCAAGTGATCCAGCTGCCTCGGCCTCCCCAAGTGCTGGGATTACAGGCGTGAGTCACTGTACCTGGCCAATATTTTTGTTTATTAGATAGATTCCATGATGTGGATGTACTAAGCTAAAATTATAAACATTTTTTAGTGTTTAAATTCACTGCCAGATTGCATTTTTGAGGAGTTCTAACCAATTTGTAACACTATCAGCATGTATGAGAGTACTAGTATCACTATATCTTTGCCAATATTGGTCATTATCATTTTAGAAAGATTTTTGCTAATCAGGTGAAAAAAGTTACCCTGAGCTACATGTAATTTATTTGAACATTATGTTTCTATTTATTTGTTTATCTTTGTATGTCTTGTTTACATATGTCTTGTGGTCTTGTTTCTTATTAATCCTTAGGAGACATTATATAGTGAAATTATTGTCTTATATGCTGTAAGTGCTTCTTTAAAAAAATTTTTATTTTTTATAAAAATTAAATAGAGACGGGGGTCTCGCTGTATTGCCCAGGCTGGCCTCAAACTTCTGGGCTCAAGCAATCCACCCGCCTCCACCTCCCAAAGTGCTAGGAATACAGGTGTGAGTCACTGCACCCGCCCAGATAAGTGCTTTTTGAAATCCAATTTTTAAATTTACATGTTGACATCTTTTTTTTTTTGTAGTTCTTCTATTTTCTCTACAGTTAAGTTTTTCTACCTAATAAAGGTCTGTGGTAAATACCCAGTTCTGTTTTATTTCTTTAATGGTTTAGTCTCTGCCTTTAGCAAATTGCTAGCAAGCTAAGAAGTTTCGGGACTTGTGAGTCTAGATCTAGCTCTGTGACTTACTCTACCAAAGCAAGTGCCAGATTAATTTGTTCTATTTACATACTTTATCAAAATTGGAAACAGTTTTTTTAAAGGACTGGAGAAGAAATCTAGCAATTTTAGCACAGTCCTAAGATGTTTGTTGCCCTTTGCCAGAAGGTTTACTTACCATGCTGTCATGTTATGTGTTCATGCAAATAATTGAGAATTATAGTAAGCTATCTTAGTCAATGATAAACAGGCAGAATACACTTTAATTACATTCTAATTTATTATCTGGTGAAAGTACCTTGCTAACAAATCAACCCGGATATGACTTATTGGATAGCCTTTGCACTTAGAGGAATAATCAGCCTGTAATCATAAACAACATGAACTGTTCATCTTCTAGATTGCTATCATATTTATTACCCTCAAATGTCTGTGCCGAGTCTCTTTCCTGTTTGTTTCCCATCTTCTCTGGCTCATGGGTCCCCATCGTGCCTGCTGTAAGTTGGAATACTGTGCTTACAAATTTTTTTCCTTGAAAAAAAGGATTAGACACATGCCTGGGAACAGAGTTCTGTCGTTTTACCATAGGAATAAAATACATTTTCCCCAAATAACAGTAAATAGAATAAAGTTTCGGCAAAATGTACTAATACATAATTTGTTCCCTGCTTCCCTGGTAAGAACTAGCACAATTCTAATTCTATAAAGAAATACAAACATTGCCCTCAGGAATAGCTATCACATCCTTTAATATCCCCTGTTACTTCCCTCTGGTTCTAAAAAGAAGGTATGTAAATTAAACTAAGAAACCAGCTAGCCAACCCCTGTTCCTTTCTTCTGAAACAACCTCCTGCAGAGAATCGATACCTGGGAGTACATTTTACTAAGTGAATGCAGTTCTCTGATACAGTACCTTTTCATAATTCCACCACTTAAGACTGATAGCAGAAGGAACAACCTGTGGCACTACTTCCACAGAGTAATTTGGAAGTCGGAAGCATTACATTTTCCCAGTTGATGCAAATCTTTTTGAATATGACTTTAGGTGGACATTGAAGTAGAGCTAAGGTGTAGGTGTAGGGATACAAAACTGTAGAACAACTTAAATATATATCCAACCTTCTAGATGGAGCCACAATAAATGAGTTGTTAATTGCCTTCTCTATTTCAGACACCCTTTTTTCCTTCTCCTCTACCTCTTTTTCAGTGATTTTAGTTGAATCTACTGATTCTGCTTGGTGTCTTAGCAACCAAAGGAGACAGTAATCCTGATGTGAGAGTATCTGTTTTTTATGAACAAGGATCTTACACCTAGAAGAGGCCTTACTAGTACTTTTGGTATAATGCTGTCTGTGCCTATAATCTGTAGCTGGTAAGTAGTAGAAGGGACCTGGAACTTCTGCATTTTAGTGCTATGATTAACAAAAAAAAATTTTTTTTGTTCCAAATTGTGTTAAAATGGGAGGTAAAAAGATATTGGTCTATTTCACTATTTTTCCACATTGGAAATTGGTTTGGGCATGCACACCAGCTTAGGTGGGCTTAGGAGTTCTTTCTGTCCTAAAGAATTCTGAAGGAACTAAAATAAAAAAAAAAATTTTTTTTAACCTATGATGTGCTCTGTTAATTACTTCCATTGGAGATTCCTAGCTTGAACCCGGAGGTGGAGGTTCAAATATGAGTGGTAAAATTGTGATATAATAATATCACCTTTCTAATTTTCTGAACTAGATTACATCTAAGCCTCACTCATTGAGTTGAGATTCTATGATTATGCCCCTTGAGTGCCATGCCCCAATTCCCTGTGATTCTCTACCTTCACACAGTCCCAGGTTTCTGGAATTTCCAATGGGACATTCTCCTTTTAGTATGTTCAGCCCCAGTTTGGCTCAGATCAATGTATTGTCACTACTTTAATTGATGCCTCTGTTTCCTAACCCTTCTTGCTGTCTCCTTGTGGCTAAATGCTATGTGTTATCCTTTTTGTGAATGTTAACAAGGACTGGGGATACCTTGAATACCTTTACTTTCCTGCTGGGGAAGCCCATATGCTTCTGTTGGGACTATCTCAAAAGAGAAACCACAATTAGGATTTTGAATTCAGATTGAGAGAAGGAGAGAAGGGTATCTTGACAAGATGCAGAAGGAAGTATTTCTGAGCAGCTAGAGCCTTATTTTGGCATCCAGTTTAGGCAGCCACCTATTTTATCTGGCTCTCTGGCTGTGCTTAAGAATGTATGTATACTTGCAGGGGCTAATGCCAAGCCAAATCCTTTTCTGAAGTTATAGCCTAGTTTGCTTTGGAGAAAATGTACTTCATGTTTGCCACTCCCTTGGCTCTCTAGCTGTTACTTCCTAGTCTGGTTTCTGATATTTCCTTGTATTGGCAGTATTTTCTGGATCTGTGCATTCTTTGTGTGAATTATTCAAGAACCTCCTTCTGAGAGTGTGTTTGAACTCCATTTTAGGAATAATTACTGTACAGTTATACTCTGAAATCAGTGGCATTTTGACCTTTAGGAAGACCCTTTTAGAAACAAATTAAAGCCAGATAGCCCTATTTGGCCTAACTGGAATGTAAGTCCCACTTTGGCTTCCAGCCACATAATTCTCCCAAAATAGATCTTACTATGATCACTAATGACTTCCATATCACTAAACCTAATGTATTTATTTTAGTCTTCATCTTAATTGTACTTTTGACAGTTTCTTTTTTCTTAAAAAATACTTTTCTTTTTGTTTTCTTTCTAACTTTGTAGAATTCATTTTCTGCCTCTGTGGCAGGCCTATCCAGGTGATTAAATGTTGAATCGCTCTCTTCACTCTATTCTCTCTCCAGTTTATCCCATACATATTCTTCAATTGCCACAGTCTTCCCTAGCCTAACCTCACCTACCTATCCTCTTTTCAATCCACTCTTTACATTCCTGAAGAACACAAAAGTAGACGTGAATGCATAAAAAAAGTACCATGTTCTTTGTTTTTCTATGCATTCCTGTATCACGCCTGTAATCCCAGCACTTTGGGAGGCTGAGGTGAGTGGATCACTTGGGGTCAGGCGTTCAAGATCAGCCTGGCCAACATGGTGAAACCTTGTCTCTACTAAAAATACAAAAATTAGCCGGGCATGGTGGCACACATCTGTAATCCCAGCTACTTGGGAGGCTGAGGCAGGAGAATCCTTTGAACCCAGGAGACAGAGGTTGCAGTGAGCCAAGATCATCCATTGCTCTGTCACCAGGTGAAGTACAGTGGCATAATCATGGCTCACTGCAGCCCTGATCTCCCGAGCTTAAGAAATTCTCCCACCTCAGCCTCCCAGGTAGCTGGGACTACAGGCATGTACCACAATGCCTGGCTAAATTTCTTATTTTTTGTAGAGTCTTGCTATGTTGCTCAGGCTGGTACTGAACTCCTGACCTCAACAATCCTCTCACCTTGGTCTCCCAAAAGTGCTGGGATTATAGGTGTGAGCCACCACACCTGGCCCTCATACCATGTTCTTAATTGGGAAATTGAGACTCATGATAAAGTGTCAATTCTTTCTTACTTAATTTACAAATTGAAGTGATCCTAATAAAAAATACTACAAAAACTGTAATAAACTAAATTCTGAAAAACTTTGAAAGAGAAGAAGTCTGAAACATCTTGAAAGACAAATGAAGACTTGACCTTCCTGATATTAAAACATAAGCTAAAGCTTCAATTAAAGTAAGGTATTTGGTGCATGGATAGACAGCCTAATAGGGCAGAAATTAAAATTCAGAAATAGATTAGAAAATATAACAACCTAGGATATGGTAAAAAGCAGTATCTCATATCAGTGGGAGTAAGGATGGACTCTAATAATGGTATTGGTACAACTTTGAAGCCACCTGGAAAAAGAGAACATTAGATCCTTTATGTTGTATACTCAGATACATTTTACATGGGTCAGAGATTTAAATATAAAAAAATGAAACCAGAGGAGAATTTAATTATAACCTTAGAATTATAAAGCCTTTCTAAAATTATGACTCAAAATCTGGAAGTCAAAAGATTGGTAAATTTGCCTTTAAAAATCTCTGTGATAAAAAACTACCATAAGGAAAGTCAAAAGAGAAATACAGTTTTTAAAACAATTGACGCTTATGTTGCCGACAGTTGTATAAATGGAGAGAAGGAAAGTTAGCACATGCTCATAAAAACATTATAGAAAAATGGGCAAAGGGCTGGGCACAGTGTTTCACACCTGTAATCCCAGCACTTTGGGAGGCCGAGGCAGGTGGATCACCTGAGGTCAAAAGTTCAAGACCAGCCTGGCCAACATGATGAAACCTCGTCTCTACTAAAAATATAAGAAATTAGCTGGGCATGGTGGCGGGTGCCTGTACTCCCAGCTACTTGGGAGGCTGAGGCAGGAGAATCGCTTGAACCCGGAGGTGGAGGTTGCAGTGAGCCAAGATCACACCACTGCACTGCAGCCTGGGCGACAGAGTGAGACTCCGTCTCAAAAAAAAAAAAAAAAAAAAAAAAGAGCAAAGGACATGAACAGATAGTTTGACAGAAAAAGAAGTACAGTTGCCAGGCGCGGTGGCTGACGCCTGTAATCCCAGCACTTTGGAAGGCTGAGGCAGGTGGATCACCTGAGGTCAGGAGTTCGAGACCAGCCTGCTAACATGGTGAAACCCCCGTTTCTACTAAAAATACAAAAAAATTAGCCGGGCGTGGTGGTGTGTGCCTGTAATCGCAGCTACTCAGGAGACTGAGGCAGGAGAATCGCTTGAACCTGGGAGGCGGAGGTTGCAGTGAGCCAAGATCATGCCATTGCACTGCAGCTTGGGCAACAAGAGCAAAACTCTGTCTCAAAAAAAAAAAAAAAAAAAAAAAGAAGAAGAAGAAGTACAGTTATTCCTCAGTATCAGTGAGGGATTGGTTCTAGAAATCCCCCACCCCCCAATACTAACATCCATAGATGCTCAATTCCGTTATATAAAATGAAGTAGTATTGTGTATAACCTTTGCACATCCTCCTGTGTACTTGAAATTATCTCCAGATTACTTATAATAATTAATACAATTTAAGTGCTATTTAAATCGTTGTAAAACTATATTGTTTAGGGAATAATGACAAGAAAAAAGTCTGTATATACCCAGTACTGACACAACCATCTATTTTTTTTCTGAATATTTTTGATCTGTGGTTGGTTGAATCCATGGATGCAGAACCCACAAACATGGAGGGCCAATTGTATAGATGGCTCTTAAACATGTGAAGGTATGTGCAACCTTACCTAAAATAAAAAAGAAATGCAAATTAAAACTACAGTAAAACAGTTTTCTACCTGTCACATTGGTAAAAACTCAAAAGTTTGGTAACTCATTTGGTTGTCCAGTTTTCATAAATGATGTCATACATTGTTGGTAGGAGTGCAGAATCTAACCATGTCTGTCAAAAGTACAAATGCACTTACCATTTGACCCAGCAACCTCACTTACAAGATTGTCTGTAACAGCAAAATCCAGTAGCAGTTGGGTAGGCTTTTTCTTCTCATCCACGAGACTCATTAAATAACCCATGGTAGGCCGGGTGCAGTGGCTCACGCCTGTAATCCCAGCACTTTGGGAGGCCGAGGTGGGCGGATCATTTGAGGTCAGGAGTTTGAGACCAGCCTGGCCAACATAGCAAAACCCTGTCTCTACTAAAAAATACAAAAATTAGCCAGGCATGGTAGCACGTGCCTGTAATCTCAGATAGTTGGGAGGCTGAGGCAGGAGAATTTCTTAAACCCAGGGGGCAGAGGTTGCAGTGAGCTGAGATCATGCCACTGCACTCCAGCCTGGGCGGCATAAGACTCTGTCTCAAAAAAGTAATAACAAAATAACCCATGGTAGATACATCAAACCGTGGAATGCTGTGCAATTGGAAACAAAAGAAAGAATAGATATACTAAGTGAAAAAAAACAGGGTAGATGCCCAGGCATTAGTGCCTGTAATTAGTGCCTGTAATCTCAGCACTTTGGGAGGCTGAGGCGGGCAGATCACCTGAGGTCAGGAGCTTGAGACCAGCCTGGCCAACATGGTGAAGCCCCATCTTTACTAAAAATACAAACATTAGATGGACGTGGTGGCACGTGCCTGTAATCCCAGCTATTTGGGAGGCCGAAGCAGAGAATCACCTGAACCTGGGAGGCAGAGGTTGCAGTGGGCTGAGGTTGTGCCACTGCACTCCAGCCTGGGTAACAGAGTGAGACTCTGTCTCAAAAAACAAACAAACAAACAAACAAACAAAAAACAGCGTAGAGGACAGTACATATAACATGCTATCCTTTGTGTAAGAAAGGAGGAAAGTGTTTTATGGGTGTGTGTGTGTCTGCGCGCACATGCACCTGTGGATTCATACCAGGATAAGCGTACTATGTAAGACTAAGATTGATTACCAGTGGGGTGGAGAAAATCAGATAGACATTGACAGGGTGGGAGTGAGACAATAGACAGTACCTTCTTCTTTTACGTTCTTTCAATTTAAAAAATGCATTAAAATGCCCATAATTCTGATAATTCTCTTCCCCTTTTTCTAACTTCAGCATTTTCTATTGCTCTTGGAGACTTTTAATGTGAATGGCTTGGAGACTTCTAATGTAAATGGCAAAGCCCTGGATGGCCTATTCATTCAGCATGCTTCCCCTTATTCTCCCTGTGTTGGCCGCATTTGCTTTTTTTGTCTCTAACTCAAACTCCATCACAAGACCTTTTCTCATACTCTTCTCTCTGCCTGGAGACTTTGCCTAGTTAAAACTTGCTTATCCTTTGATCTGTATAGAATGTTATTTCCACAGAGATGCCTCCCCGGGTAAGGTCATATTTTCCTTTCACGTACATTGGTAGCACCTTGTTCATCTCCTTTCTCACTGTGATCATAAATGCAGTGGTACATTCTTCATTGAGAATGTTTAATGTCTGCCTCTGCCATTAGAAAATAGCCTTCTGAGGGCAGGAACCGTGTCTACTTTGCAGATAGAAGTACCTATTTCGTAGGATAGTGAGGATTACATGAGTTTAGCTCAGTGCCTAGTACATAAGCACATAATGTTAGTTAAATCCTGCTGTATATTGTTTTGGTTGTAGTAGAAGGAGATTATATTGATGGTGAATACGTTAACTGGGTTAAGTTTAAGGAAGAATTCTGACTCTCCTTGTCCAGAAATAGATCACCTTTGGAGAGAAGTAGCTAGTCTTTTTGTGACAAGGGAAAGAGAAAAATAGCTTCACTCCTGTACTATTCTTGACTTCTGTATCTAAGTCAAACTGTAAGAAAGCAGCTTTTTCCAAAATATTTTCTCCTCTTTTCCAGCAATATTTCCCTAATTAAAAAAAAAATCAAGTAGGTAGGCAGTTTCAAACAGAGATTTTCGATTGGAATTTGGGAAATTAATATATAGAATTACAGATCCATATCTGTTATATCAACCAAAGTTATAAAAATCAAGAGGATGGGATCCAAGATGATACAACAGACATTTCATGTCATGGCATAGGGAACAGGTTTGTTGTGAATCATGTGATTTTTAGGGTGGCTTCAGAGAGTTTTAAAAATTATATTCTTGCTGCTTAATATTTTCTTCCAGTGTTCTGCAGTTACCATGGACTCATCTGAGTTCCTGACATTTTGAAAGTTGGTAGGTTATTTTAACATATACTCTAAGTGTCAGGTTTTAACTTTTTATATGTTAAGTAGATATTAAGAAAATTGCCTTTTCAGTTTATGCCTTTGACTTATTTATTTTACGTGACTTGAATGCCACCTGCTGCCTTGCTCTCAGGGAATTGGAGTCCTTAGATCCAAAATGAGATATGAATAACTAGGAAGTATTGTTTCCTGTCATTTTCCTTCGTAGCTTGGAGTGTTCATGGAGCAAAAAGCACAGACTGGCGGCTTGTAAAGTATTTAGGGTTCTCTGATTCATTTTGCTCAGCTTTTAGAGTTTGTTGAAAAATCTAAATTTCTAGCCTCTTTTGAAAATTCAGAAGGCATGGTAACAATGAAAAAATAGCATTCCCACATGGCATCAATTGACAGTGCTTCTGTAGGTGTGGCAGAAGCATTCCAGGTTGCCACAGCTTTCATTTTTTGCTTGCCAGATTTGTTCCTATTGCTTCATTCATTTATATTCCTTGTCTGGCTCTGGCTTCTTTAGGCATTTGAGATTGTTACCCCTGGCATAGACGGGTAGGACACTACCAGGTTAAGAGGAAGGGAGGCTAAATGCAGTAATCTGCTGAGCTGATTCAGTTACAGTCTCAGAGGACTCCAATCCCTATAGCATGTCCTTGGGACAACAAAGGGAGTCCTTGTTTTCTCTCCAGATAAATTAGATTTTTTTGAATAGCAATGGATGTCTTGTAGAAATAAGTATAGGAGTGTTAAATAATCATTTAATAACAACTGCTAGTAAGGCCAGGTGTGGTGGCTCAAGCCTGTAATCCCAGCACTTTGGGAAGCTTGGGGTCAGGCGTTCAAGACCAGCCTAGCCAACATGGTGAAACCTTGTCTCTACTAAAAATACAAAAATTAGCCGGGCATGGTGGCACACACATTTGTAATCCCAGCTACTTGAGAGGCTGAGGCAGGAGAATCATTTGAACCCAGGAGACAGAAGTTGCAGTGAGCCAAGATCATGCCACTGCACTCCAGCTTGAATGACAGAGTGAGACTCTGTCTCAAAAAATTAATTAAAAAATAAATGAATAAATAAATAAATGAAAGACTGGCCGGGTGTGGTGGCTCACACTTGTAATCCCAGCGCTTTGGGAGTCCTAGGCAGGCGGATCACGAGGTCAGGAGCTCGAAATCAGCCTGGCCAACATGGGTAATAGCCCATCTCTGCTAAAAGTACAAAAATTAGCCATGCATGGTGGCAGGCACCTGTAATCCCACCTACTTGGGAGGCTGAGGCAGGAGAATTGCTTGAACCCAGGAGGCAGAGATTGCAGTGAGCCAAGACCGTGGCACTGCACTCCAGCCTGGGCAACAGAGCGAGACTCCATCTCAAAAAAGAGAGAGACCTGCTAGTAATAAGTACTACTCAATCAGGATTTGTGTTACCTCCAGGACTGTTTTCTGGAGCTTCCTATAATTCTTCTAAAATTATAAAAATATGTCACCTGTGGTAAAGTGTTTGAATTTATATTTTTCTTAAGCAGAGTTTTTAAGGAGAAATAACCCATTGCTAACAAGTTGGTAAGTGGCATAGAAAACAAATTCCTCATACCTCCAAAACTCTGTTTTGTTTTTTTGCATTTAAAAAGTTGTGGTAAAATATACATAACATAAAATTCACCATGTTAACTATGTTTATATGTATGGTTCACTGGCATTAAGTACATTCACATTGTTTTGCAACTATCACCACTATTAATTTTCAGAACTTTTTTATGATCACAAATAGAAACAGTAACTCCTCATTTGCTCCTCTCCCTGTACCTGGTAACATCTATTCTATTTTTGTCTCCATGAATTTGTCTGTTCTATATACCACATATAAGTAGAATCATACAATGTTTGTTCTTTATTTCTGGCTTACTTCACTTACCATAATGTTTTCAAGGCTCATCCATGTTGTAGCATATATCAGAATTTCTTTCCTTTGTATTGCTGAATAATATTGCATCTTATGGATATACCACATTTTGTTTATCTGTTCATCTCTTGATGGACCAAAACCCTAACCTTTTGACTGCACTACACTCCCCAACCCCCAGTCAGTGGCTAAATAGGAGAGCAGAGCAAATTCATTCTGGTTCATTCTCCTCACTGACTTCTTGTTCTTCCTTTCTAATCTCCCCTGGAGATTGCATGTCAGCATGACTTTTGATATCTGTGAACCCAAAGCAATTCTGCTTCCTTTAAACATTAGTGAAGCTGTTTATGAATGTTATTCTACCCACTTCACCTGCTTAACTTTAAGAGTATAGTGATTTCCAGCCTGGTTCTATCTCACTTATGGTTCTTCTCTTGTGAATTTGACCTTCTTGATATAGCCAGCTAGATAGCTGAAGGGCTTAGTTAGCTTTCTGGTCTCAGCTGTGTCATTCACTAACTAGCTGTATGACTTTAAGCTGTATCACTAGTCTCAGTTATGAAAGGAAGAGTTTGGAGTAGATGATATTTTGGGTTTCATCTAACTCCCATATTCTATCATTCAAAACATACTTTTTATCATCAGATTGGTGGTAGAAGCAAAAATTGATGAAAATACATTTAGAGTTTGTGATTAAATAAGATTGTATGTCAGAAAGTGCTTGGTAAAGATGATCTTACCATGATTTAGACTATAAAAAGGTTTCCCTACAAAGCTATTGGAAACAGTTAACTTAATTCCTTACCACTCAGGTAAGTGAGCTGTAGAGTAAGGAAGGCTAGTTAACTGGATCTAAAACAGTAAGAAGTTGTATCTTTTTTGATCATCTAAAAAAGTTAAATAATAACATTTGGAACCAATTTCAATACATTTTATAATTTTTGATATAGCCATAAAAGTTACTTTTATTACTTGCATTTGAGTGTGTTTGGGTAGGATACCTGACCGATTGCTTATACCTGACTATATTATTAATAGAAGAGAGGTGGGAAAGTCAAAGGCAGATTCTGATAAATTGATAAAGCTGAGATAGATCAGTAGTTTACTGATTTTGTTTTATTAAATTTTAAAAATTTTGTATTAATATAGGAGGTACAAGTACAGTTTTGATACATGGATATATTGCATAGTGCTAAAGTCTAGGCTTTTGGTATAACCATCACCTGTAAAGTTTACATTGTACCCATTTCTAGTAAGGTGAATTTTTGTCAGCAGCATATAGTTGGTTCAGGTTGTTTTATCTATTCCACCATTCTGTATCTTTTTTTTTTTTTTTTTTTTGAGACGGAGTCTCGCTCTGTCGCCCAGGCTGGAGTGCAGTGGCGGGATCTCGGCTCACTGCAAGCTCCGCCTCCCGGGTTCATGCCATTCTCCTGCCTCAGCCTCCCAAGTAGCTGGGACTACAGGCGCCCGCCGCTACGCCCGGCTAATTTTTTGTATTTTTAGTAGAGACGGGGTTTCACCGTTTTAGCCGGGATGGTCTCGATCTCCTGACCTCGTGATCCGCCCGCCTCGGCCTCCCAAAGTGCTGGGATTACAGGCGTGAGCCACCGCGCCCGGCCTCTGTATCTTTTAAGTGGAGCATTTAATGCATTTACATTCAAGGTTAATATTGATATGTGAGTTTTTTTTCCTGTCATGATATTGATTGTTATCTAGTTGCTTTGTAGATCCTTTGTTTCTCTCTCTTTTTTTTCTGTTTGTGGTTTTGTGTTCTGTTGTGTTCCTATTTAATTTCTTTCTCTTCCTCCTTTTTGTAATTGTTTTATAAGACCTCTGAGTTCTATACTTACACGTGTTTTTATGATGGCAAGTATCACCTTTCGTTTCCATGTTTAGGACTCCTTTGAGCATTTCTTATACTACCAGTCTAGTGGCGATGAATTGCTACAGCATTTGCTTGTCTAGGAAAGACTATTTCTCCTTCACTTATGAAATTTATTCCTGCAGGGTACAAAATTTGTAGTTGACAGTTTTTTTTTTTCTTTAAGCATTTTAAAATTAGAATCCCAATCTCTTCTGCCTTGTAAGGTTTCTGCTCAGAAGTTTGCTGTTACTCTGATGGGGTTTTCTTTATAAGTGACTAGATACTTTCTCTTGCTGATTTTAGGATTTTCTTCTTCACATTGATTTTAGACAGTCTGATGACTCTGTGTTGAAGTGAGGTCCTTCTTGCAATGTATTTGCTTGGAATTTGTTGAGCCTCTTATATCTGGATGTCTAAATCTCTTGTTAGAATAGGGAAGTTTTCATGAATTATTTCTTTAAAAAGGTTTTCCAGACTTTTTTCTTTTTCCTCTCCCTCAGGAATATTAATCTATGTAATATGGTTTGGCTGTGTCCCTACCCAAATCTCATCTTGAACTGTAGTTCCCATAATCCCCACATGTCATGAGAGGGACCCAGTGGGAAGGTAATTGAATCATGGGGGCGGTTACCTCCATGCTGTTCTCATGATAGTGAGTGAGTTCTCACAAGATCTGATGGTTTTATAAATGGCAGTTCCCCTGTACGTGCTGTCTTGCCTGCTGCTATGTAAGACGTGCCTTTACTCCTTGTTCGCTTTCTGCCGTGATTGTGAGTCCTTCCCAGCCATGTGGAACTGTGAGTCTGTTAAACCTCATTTTTCTTTATAAATTATCCAGTCTCAGATATGTCTTTATTAGCAGTGGGAGAACGGACTAATACAGTGAATTGGTACTGGGTAGAAGGAGGGGCTGCTGTAAAGATACCCAAAAATATGGAAACAACTTTAGAACTGGGTAACAGGCAGAGACTGGAAGAGCTTGGAGGGCCCAGAAGAAGACAGGAAGTTGTGGGAAATTTTGGAACTTCCTAGAGACTTGTCAAATAGCTTTGACCAAAATGCTGATAGTGCTATGGACAGTAAAGTCCACTCTGAGATGGTCTCAGATGGAGATGAGGAACTTGTTGGGAACTGGACCGAAGGTGACTCTTGTTGTGCTTTAGCAAAGAGACTGGTGTCATTTTGCCCTGCCCTAGAGATGTATGGAACTTTGAACTTGAGAGAGATGATTTAGGGTATCTGGTGGAAGAAATTTCTAAGCAGCAAAGCATTCAAGAGGAAGCAGAGCATAAAAGTTTGAAAAAATTGCAGCCTGATGATGCTGTAGAAAAGAAAATCCCATGTTCTGGGGAGAAATTCAAGCCCATAGCAGAAATTTGGATAAGTAATGAGAAGCCAAATGCTAATTGCCAAAACAATGGGGAAAATGGCTCCAGGACATATCAGAGACCTTCTGGAGAGCCCCTCCCATCACAGTCCCATGGCCTAGGAGGGAAAAATGGTTTCTTGAGCCTGGTCCAGGGCTCCCCTGCTGTGTGCAGCTGCTGGACTTGGTGGAAATGGTGCCCTGCATCCCAGCCGCTCCAGCCATGGCTAAAAGGGGCCAAGATACAGCTCAGGCTGTGGCTTCAGAGGGTGCAGGCCGCAAGTCTTGGCAGCTTCCATGTGGTGTTGGTCCTGTGGGTGTGCAGAAAACAAGAATTGAGGTTGGGGAATCTCTGCCTAGATTTTGGAGGATGTATGGAAACACCTGGATGTCCAGGAAGAAATTTGCTGCAGAAGAAGGGAAATGTGGGGTCAGAGCCACCACCCAAAGTCCCCACTGGGGCACTGCCTAATGGAGCTGTGAGAAGAGGGTCACCATCCTCTAGACACCAGAATGGTAGATCCATTGACAACTTGAACCATGTGCCTGGAAAAGCTGCAGACACTCAGCGCCAGCCATGAAAGCAGCTGGGAGGGAGGCTGTCCTCTGCAAAGCCACAGGGGCTGAGTTGCCCAAGACGGTGGGAGCCTACCTCTTATATCAGCGTGACCTGGATGTGAGACATGGAGTCAAAGGAGGTCATTTTGGAACTTTAAGGTTTAATGACTGCCTTGTTGGATTTCGGACTTGCATGGGGCCTGTAGCTCCTTTGTTTTGGCCAACTTCTCCCATTTGGAACAGGAGTATTTACCCAATGCCTGTACTCCCATTGTGTCTAGGAAGTAACCAACTTGCTTTTGACTTTATAGGCTCCTAGGCGGAAGGGACTTGCCTTGTCTCGGATGAAACTTTGGACTTCGACTTTTGGTTTAATGCTGTAATGAGCTAAGTCTTTGGGGGACTGTTGGAAAGGCATGATTGTGTTTTTAAATATGAGGACATGAGATTTGGGAGGAGCCAGGGGTGGAATGATATGGTTTGGCTATGTCTCTACCCAAATCTCATCTTGAACTGTAGTTCCCATAATCCCCAAATGTGGGAGGGACCTGGTGGGGAGATAATTGAATCATGGGGACAGTTACCTTCATGCTATTCTCGTGATAGTGAGTGAGTTCTAGTTCTAGTTTATAGTTCTAGTTCTAGTTTATAGTTCTATAAACTGCTTTTTATAAAACCATCTAGATCTGATGGTTTTATAAAGGGCAATTCCCCTGTACATGTTGTTTGTCTGCTGCCATGTAAGACATGCCTTTGCTTTCTGCCATGATTGTGAGGCCTCTCTAGCCATGTGGAACTGTGAATCCATTAAACCTCATATATATACACATGTATATATATTTTTATATATATATATATATATAAAATGTATGTATATATGTGTGTGTATATATATGTATACATATATACGTATATATGTATACATATATATACGTATATATATGTGTGTGTGTGTGTGTATATATATATTACCCAGTCTCTGGTATATCTTTATTGTGAGAACAGACTAATACACTATGATTTATACGTTTGATTGTTTTATATAGTCCCATACTTGTTGAAGGCTTTGTCCATTCTTTTTTGTTTTTTTTGTTTGTTTGTTGGTTTGTTTTTTTTTTGAGACTGAGTCTTGCTCTGTCACCAGGCTGGAGTGTAATGGCGCAATCTCGGCTCACTGCAACCTCTGCCTCCTGAGTTTAAGCAATTCCCCTGCCTCAGCCTCCTGAGTAGCTGGGATTATGGGCACCCACCACCACAGCTGGCTAATTTTTTGTATTTTTAGTAGAGATGGGGTTTCATCATGTTGACCAGACTGGTCTCGAACTCCTGACCTCAGGAAGTCTGCCCACCTCTGCCTCCCAAAGTGCTAGGATTACAGGTGTGAGCCACTGCGCCCGGCCTAATTTTTGTATTTTTAATAGAGACAGGGTTTCACCATGTTGGCCAGGATGGCCTCAAGCTCCTGACCTCGTGATTTGCCTGCCTTGGCCTCCCAAAGTGCTTGAATTACAGGCATGAGCCACTGTGCTCAGCTGTTCATTCCTTTTTTTTTTAATTGTTGTCTGACTGGGTTAGTTCAAAAGGCCTGTCTGCAAGTTTTGAAATTCTTTCACCTGCTTAGTCTATTCTGTTGTTGAAGCTTTCAACTGTATTTTGTAACTCCTTGAACAAGTTTTTCATTTCTAGAAGTTGTGTTTCTTGTTCATATCCTGAGTTGATTTTCTGATTTCTTTGTATTGGTTTTCAGATTTCTCTTTTATCTTGTTGAGCTTCTTTAAAATCAGTATTTTTAATTTTTTACCTGGCATTTCAAAGATTTCTTTTTCGTTAGGATCCATTGCTAGAGATGTACTGTGCTCCTTTGAGGATCTCATAGCACCTTGTTTTTTCATACTTTCAGTGTTATGCTGATTCCTTCACATCTGGGGTAACAGTCGCTTCTTTTTATTTTTGAATTACTTTTGTTGGAGTAGGACTTTTTTTTCTTTTGAGGGTGTGTCTATGATGATGTTTAGTAGGGTTGTCTAGTTTTGCTTTTGGGTGCATTCACTGGTATAGACACTGTATAATTTCCTTGGTTATAAAAAGCCTTAATGCAGCAGCTTTCTCAAATGCCAGTTGTAGTAGTAATGTACCAGTAGGGAGAGTAGGCTCAAGGTCTCCTGAGTAGCCGGGCTTGTGTGGGTAATGGTAATAGTAAAGGTTGCACAAAGCTTGTGTCCTTCCTGAGTACTGTACAGTTGTATCAGCAGATACTGTAATGGGCTTTGCATGTTGACCTCCTGGCCAGTAATTGATACTTACAGGTGAGAGCCTGCTGTGATGGTTGCAGTAGTGTTTATACTTGACCTTTGTTAACCAGGAGAAGTACTTGGATGTCCCATGCAACGGGCTGGGCTATGGATTAGTTGTAAAGACTTGTCTTCAGGTTCTGAAGTTCAGCGCATTATAGTATCTGCTGACACAATTGCACAGTGCTCGGGAAGGAGACAAAGTTTGTGCAACCTCTGCAATTACCATAACCTATGGTCTGTCTCTAAGGCAGTTGGGGCAGGGCAGAGCTGGGTAGAGCTGGGCCAGGCAAGTCTGTGCTCAGGCCCTCCAATGGCAGGTGCAAACACCAGCCCTGATAAGGGTCAGAAGGCTGTTTTCAAGCCCCTGGAGCAACACTCCAGGGAGCAGTAGGACAACCACTGCCATGCTAGAGAGCCAGTATGGGGAAAAAGGGACTGCTTGAGCTCCACAGCTTAGCACGTGGTAGTGGGACCTGCATTGCTCCCATGGTCTTGACCTAGCAAGACTTTCTCTTGCAGACCACCTCTTGCAGCAAGCTGAGACAGCCAGCCAAGTCACAAACAGTTCATCCTCAGGTTGCAAAACCACCCCAGTCTGCCAAACTCCCAGGACAAAAACTGCGGCCCCCAGGCCACACTCCTCCCAGTCCAGTCCCACAAAGAGGGAATTGGGGGCCTAACTCCTGCACCTGCAGCTGGAGCTCACACCACATTCACCTCTTGGTTCTGACTGTGGGGTGTCCTCCCCGCTTGAGACTAGATCACAAATGCCAGTCCAGAGATTCTCCAAATCATTGACTGCTGCCTATTCTGGTTGGTAGGCATCCATGTGTCCCCTAATTAATTAGGACCAGAAATGACCTTCTATTGACCCCAAGGTCTGGGAGTGTGCATGGAGCACTTCCCTCTGCTGCTCCTTCTCACAGTCTCTCCACTGCTCCCTGACACTATCAGCACTTGATAGGGTCAGAAAGCTCCCCTGTGACCTGGATTGCCTGGCTCCCCAGTAGGAATGTGTATTGTGGAGACACTCCCCCCACTCACATACTGGGAATTCACATCAGTTTTCTGCTTGACCTGCAGTGCAAGCTGCTGCCCGCTCTTATTTTTCAAAGTATCTGAAGTTTCTTTCACTTTTGTGTTAAGCTCCTGTGTTCCTTCTTGTATAAAAGTTCACAGTATGAATCTCTACACACTATTTTGTTATTTCCAAATGGATGAGGTATGCTAACAAAGCCTCTAATCTGCCATTTTTGAGGGAAAAAAAAAGATTGCTGATATAAAAATTTCCTAGGTTAGTAAATTTTCAGAGCAGCTAACTTTGGGAATCATTATAGTATTGTTAATGTTTTAGTTCACTAAGAAAAAAATATAAAATGAACTATTATCTATTATCATTTTTTCATAAAAGGAAAAACAAAAACATTCTAACAGTAAATAGTAGGAATTATCTCAGAATAAAAGACAGGTTTTTAAAAATGAATAGCACATTACTATTTTTCTCTTTTTTATATGCACCATTGTAAACTTGGTTGGAAATCAGTGTTTGGGGATTACTGGTATAGACATAAATGTATCTGAAACTTAGGGGAAGATAGGATCATAATTGCCCAGATTGGCCAAGGGTGGGAAGGATGCTAAAGAATTGGTGACAGTTTGGGAAAGAGGTTTCAGGACTGTGAAGAAGATGCATTGGTTTTATAATATGCTGAACATCCAGGTTGAAGTTTAGCCAGCAGTTGGACAGGTGAGACTTGGAGATCAAGATTTTGCGACTTCAGGTGATAGTCACAACTCTGAAAATGGGCTGTTTCCTGGGGGAAAATGTGTGGTAGATAAGACCAAGGGTAGGTACCTTGTTAGAGGCTAAGGGCCTGTACTCTGAAACAACTGCCTGGGCTTGAATCCTGGCTTCACTGCTAACTAGCCAGCTGTGTGACTTAGTGAGGATAGTAATATTATCTACCTTATTATGTTGCCTTGAGAATTAAATGAGTTACTATTACATACAATGCTGGGAAGATTGTTTGGCAGGTGGTATATGTGCTAGCTTTTGTTATTTTTTAGTGGATTAAAAGATTTCTTCCCTTGGATAATATGTGGTAGATAGTGACAGACCATTTCCTGTGTAGAATATGAATACATTCTAAAAATCTTATTTTTAAAGCTATAGGGGAGCTGTGGAAGAAAAGAGGAGATACACTGAAAGTCTAGAGAGGGAAGCCCCTTTCTCATGTGAACTGAGATGGCCAATTGGTTTCTCCTGAGGACAGTTTCCAAGTATGGACATGTTTCTAGATCAGGTTTGGTCCAGGTGGGGGAGCCCACGCAGGAAAAGAGAAGTCAAATGACCTTTTAATAGTTGTATGGGCTGGTTTGACAGATGGAAATCTAAGGGAGCCTGAAATTCGCAGACTTATTTTTCTCCACTAGGTATTTGCTAAATGCTATGGCAGTATGGGAGGCTGAGGGCCAGTCTAGAAAAGCCAAGTTGAATCTCTTATAGTCTCATGGTGCTTAGGAGACTTGCTAGGTTCTCAAACTTTTTGATTTCAAGACCCCATTCCAATCTTAAAAATAGTTGAAGACCCCCAAGGATATTTTGCTTTTGTGGCTTATATCTGTTGATATTTACTGTATCAGAAATTCAGAAATTAAAAGTAAGAATTTTAAATATTTATTACTTTTAAAACAATAATAGACCCATTACATGTGAACATTAATAAACATTTTTTGGAAAAAGGATTACACTTTTAAAAACAAAAAGATATTACTAAGGAGTAGGATTGTTTTGTATTTTGTAACACTTTACTGTCTGGTTTAATAGGAGACAGCTGAATTTTCTTATCTGCTTCTGCTTCCACTTTGTTGCAATGTGTTGTTTTGGTTAAAATAAGTTGAGAAAATGGAGCCTCCCACAGATAAGCAGTTGGGAAAAGGAGGAGCAATGTAACCACTTTTTCAGATAATTGTGAATATTCTTTTTTGATCTGATCCCCAAATTTGACAGGTGGTAGTTTCTTAAAGGTTAGTTACAGAGTGGAATCTGAAACCATGTCAATGTACTTTTTGAACTTTATTACATTAAAATGTGTTATTCTGTTTTGTATTTTGAGTGGGTTTTTTTACCCGTCCATAATTTTGTACCATGCATTGATCATTTGGAAATGTTGGTTTACTGAGGTATGCTTCTCTTCCAAACATTGACGTTTTATTTTATGATATTTAAAAATACCATATTTATTAGTATCACCACTGATCTCATTAGAAAAAGTCATTAGGTATTGAAAAGCTGTCAAGTTTATAGTGGCTGATACAAGTTTTCCACAATTCTAATTTCTGCCTGAAAGCTCAAATTTTATTTTTGGCAACAAATACTGTTATTTTTCTTACTGCATTTATTTTAGAGGAAACACCTATTAAACATTCAAGTTGAAAGACCATAATTTGTCTATTCATTGTTCTTTCAAGTAAAAGTGGTGTTTCATGGAAAACAAAAAACCAGCTAATTCAGCTTGCAACTCAAAAGAATCACACAAGCTCTTTTCCTTGAGACAAGGACTATATTTTGGTATATGGCAGAAATGCTTTATATATACTTCTCATTTTGTAATTTAGATTATAAAAAAGACATGTACTCACAGGTCAAAAGTTAATAAATTTCACCATTTGTACTGGTTCATCAAGGACATTAAGTAAAATTGGTATTTTTTTCTTACTGTGGGTATATGGCACTGAAAACTATAAATGTACATTGGGTGCCACTGCCTTGATTCATGTTAAGTCTCCAACAGTTTTACCTTCCAATGCTTTTGTACTATTAGTGCTAGTGTCAACACAGAAGAGCAAATAATATCTTAGTATTACTATATTACAGTTTTTATTTCATGCTTCCCCCTCGACCACCAAAAAAAAAAAAAAATCTCAGGACCCCTGGGGATCCACAGACCATACTTTGAGAACTACTAATCTAGAGGAAGATGCCTACACAGACAACTGACAGTTTCACCCTTGAGATTTTTGAAAATAGAAGTGAGCAGAATCTAACTAAAGCTTCATTCCAATCTCATCCTAGCTCAGTTCCTTTCTGCGTAACAGAGGAGAGGGCAAAGGATAGGCTCAGTGGCTTACACCTGTAACCCCAACACTTCGGGAGACTAAGGTGGGAGGATCACTTGAGCTTGGAGTTCAGGACCAGCCTGGGTAACATCTTGAGACCCTGTCTCTATAAAAATAAAAATAAAAAATCAGCCAGGCCTGTTGGTGTGTGCTGTAATCTTTAGCTACTCAGGAGGCTGAGGTGGGAGGATTCCTTGAGCCCAGGAGTTTGAGGTTGCAGTGAGCTATGATTGCACCACTGCACTCCAGCCTGGGTAACAGAGCAAGACCCTGTCCCTGTCTCAAAAAAAAAAAAAAAAAAAAAAGAAAAAAGAAGAGGAAAAAAAGAAAGGGCAAATCCTCTGTGGCAAATAACATCAACCGTAGTCTCTACAGTTATTTTATATATAGCATTTGACACACAATCAGATATGAGAAAGGACTTTGCTTTTAGCCATGAGGAAATAACAGGATCTAGAATTGCCATTTCTCTATAAACAACTGAATAACTGGGCAATGTACCTGAAACAACTGTCTTCATATATGGGATAACAGGTAACAACACTGTTGATTCCTGAGAGAAAGGAAACAAAAGAGATAACTCTATGATTGTCTTGGCTTTCTGCCTGGAGGCAACTTCCAGATCTTGGTGCAGGGAAGGGAAATTCAAACAGCGCCTGTGGTATTGCTGAATGGTGGGAGACATAGATTAAAGTTTGGGCAGGTCTTGGTAACTAGGATGTGCAAGGTGATATAACAGACAGGAGGGAGCTATGGAAAAAAAAAGTTCTAGATAATCTGTTTAGGAGTCCCTTTGAGTCCTATATATGGGTAAGGTGAAATTCCATGGAGTGTGCAAAAACAACTTCTTAGAAAAAGTTATTGAGGAGCTGAACAATTCCCAGAGAACATACAGGACCAGAAATCATTTGAGTTCCCATTAGAGTGAAAAACACTCACAGAATACGTGGGTTCTTTGGGGGAGATATTAGAAGGGTCACACCTTTGTAGTGGGAATAAATTAGTTCTAGAATAAAGACTAGTCTAAGCCACCATAAATGAAACTCCACATAGATCAAATGGGTTCAGATGTAATTTAACTGTCTGTTAGAACAAAGATCAATCCTCTTTAAACAAATATAGCAGAATCTAACACTCAGCAACATAAAATCAACTACTTGGCATACAGTAAAAAAATTACTAGACATGTCAAGAGGCAGAGAAACATAGCTCAAAAATCAAAATTAAAACCAATTAATAGAAACAGACCTGAAAACAGAAATAATGGAATCAGCAGACAAACAAGAATGTTGAAATAGCTACAATAAATATATTCAATATATTCAAGTAATTAAAACAAAAATCAACATAAGTAGAGAAATGGAAAATATAAAGAGCCAAATGGAACTTATAAAGATGAAATATAAAGTATATTTAATGAATTTCACTTATATAAATTACAGACAAGTTAGATACTGCAGAAGAAAAGATCAATTATATTAAAAATTACTATGCAGAATATGAAGCATAGACAGAAGATGAAAAAATGTATAGAGCTTCATTAATGTTTAGGCCAATATCAAGTGGTTTAAAAAATGAGTAATTGGAACACCAGAAGGTGGGCACAGAAAAATAAAGTAATAATGTTTCAAAAATTTTCATATGTGATGGAAAGCATAAACTTCCAGATCTAAGAAGCTCAATAGGCCACAAACAGGATAATCATAAAGAAAACCAGCACCAGGATACATCATAATCAAATTGCTGAAAATAACTGATAAAGAGAAAAATCTTAAATTCAGGTAGATTAAAAAATAGGCCTATTAAAGAGGAATAAAGGTATGCTTATCAAGACATATCAGAAACTATAAAAGTCAGAAGATAAGAGAATGACATCTTTAAAGTGTTGAGAGGAAAAACAAAGCTGTCAACCTAGATTACTATATCCATTGAAAATATCATAAATAGAGGTGAAATACTTTTTTGACAAATCAAAGCTGAAAGAAGTCATCACAAACAGATCACCAGTATGAGAAATGTTAAACATTGTTCTTCAGAAAGAAGGGAAACGATACCTAATGGAAACTGAGCTACACAGAAGAATGAAGCATTTTGGAAATGCTAAATATGTGAGTAAATATAACAGAGTTCTTGTTCCTCATTTAAAAATTTAAGGATAATTAACTATTTAAAACAAAAAAACCCAGCAATATATTGTGGGACATATAACATATGAGGTAGTAAAATGTATGAAAACAAGATAAAGGGTAGGAGAGGAATAATGAATGTATATTGTTGAAAGGTTAGTACATTTTACAGAAAAGGTTATACTATAATTTGAAGGTAGACCTTGATAAGTGACATGGTTTGGATCTGTGTCCCCACCCAAATCCCATGTTGAATTGTAATCCTCAGTGTTGGAGATGTGACCTGGTAGGAGGTGACTGGATCATGGGGGGTGGTTTATCTTGAATGGTTTAGTACGATGATCTCGGTACTGTCCTCATGGTAGTGAGTTCTTATGAGAGCTGGTTCTTTAAAATTGTGTGGCACCTCCTCCCTCCCCTGCTCCTGCTTTTGCCATGTGATGAGCAAGCTCCTGCTTTGCCTTCTGCCATGATTGTAAGCTTCCAGAGCCTTCTCCAGAAGCAGATGCTGGTGTTATGCTTCCTGTACAGTCTGCAGAACCGTAAGCCAGTTAAACCACTTTTCTTATAAATTACCCAGTCCCAGGTATTCTTCATAGCAATGCAGGGAATGGACTAATACAGTAAGTAAAATACATATACTCCAAATCCTAGAAGAACCACTTGAAAAATAAGCCAAATAGAGAAGATAAAATGGAATACTAAAAAATAATCCAGAAGAAGGCAGGAAACGAGGAAAAAAGAGAGAACAAACAGAAAACAAATAGTAAGATGGTAGATTTAAACCCAGTCTCATCAGTAATTAAATTAACTCTAAGTGGTCTAAATCTTCCAGATAAAAAGCAAAGATTTTCAGGCTGCATATGAAAGCAAGAAACTCTTGGCTGTCTATAAGAAACTTGCTTTGAATATAAAAACCAAAGAGATAGAAAAATATGTATCAAACAAATAGCAAGAAAGCTGAAATAGCTGTATTAATCTCAAAGCAGACTTCAGAGCAAAGAATATTACAAGGGTTAAAAAGGAACATGTATTATGTTGGTGCAAAAGAAATTGTGGCTTTTGCCATTACTTTCAATCGTAAAAACTGCAGTTACTTTTGCACCACCCTAATATAAATCATAAAACAGTCAATTCATCAAGAATATATAAGTATTCTTAATGTGCATAGATGTACATAATAACAGCTTTGAAGTACATGGAGCAAAAACTGACAACTGAAATAGACAAATCCATAGTTATAGTAGGAGATTTTAATACTCCTCTCTTAACAATTAATAGAACAAGTATACATAAAATTCATAGGGATTTAGAAGACTGAACAGCACTATGAACCAACTTGACCTAATTGACATTTATGGAACATGCCTCCAAACAAGTACAGAGTAAACATTCTTTTTTTTAAGTGCACATAGAACTTCACTTAGATTAACCATATGCTGGGTGATATTTTTAAAGTCTCAATAATTTAAAAGTTTTGAAATCACAGAATGTATTCCCTGACTGAAAACAGAGTTAAATTAGAATTCACTATAATAGATATCTGGAAAATTCCCAGATATTTAGAAATTAAACAATAGTCTTCTAAATAACTCATGGGTAAAATACGAAATTTTATGGAAAATTAGAAAATATTGTGAATGAAGATGAAAAAACAACATGTCAATTTGTAGGATGCAGGTAAAGCAATACTAGAGGAAAATTAATTGCTTTACAATAATGATCTAAGCTTCTACCTGAATAAACGAGAAAAGAAGAGCAAATTAAACCTAATGTAAAGGAAGGCAGTAATATAGAGCAGAATCAGTGAAATAAAAGACAAAATATAGAGAAAAATGAATAAAACCAAATACTGTTTTTTAAAAAATCAGTAGACCCATCAATATCATAAATGATATTGAGAAGAATAGGTAGAGTTATGGACAGTCCCCAGTTTGGTATAAAGGACACTGTATTGGATATGAGACAATAAGAGAGGAATCAAAACAGGCTAAGTTTCAAGAAGGGGAGTGCCAAGCTTGAAGTCTGGGTATAACTGTTCTGGGGCCAATCCAAAGTTTGCTTGTACTTCTGACACTAGAGTAAATTGAAGGGAACGTTGAAGGAGGCCAGGATGGAATTCAGGGTGCCCAACAAGTCACCTGTATCAATACTGATGAACTGAGACTAAAAGGAAGAGGAGGAAATTACCTACCGGTTAGAAGACAGTAATGTTTGCTCTTTCCTTATGAAAAATTATTTGACATGGTTTATGCATTAAAAGTTCAGATGCTGTGAAAGCCTTATGTGTAGTCATTTTTCTCTGTCAGATTTAAGCTAATGAATCATGCTCAAGTTACTTTAAAATTGTATCTAATAAGAAAATGACTGAAAACTTTTTTTTGAGAATTTTAAAGATGAACATGGAACTAAAGATCAAGAAAAATATGCAACTTGTTGTATACCCTCTTTTAAAGAATGTTTTAAAAAAATTTTTAAAGCCATTACCGTTCACTGCTGCAAGCAGTATCTGACTGTTTTATTTTCTATGGGTTAACTCAAAATAGGCAGCCAATTGAAATCTACTTCAGTATACTGACAGAGCTGCTGCCCAATTAGCTTCTTTACATACAAGCAAAGTTACACTTGGCCGATGTTAAAACATGTATACCTGTGTTTATTTTCATCTAGGGTCCACTTTTAATTAGAGAAAGGTTCTATTAGGTATGTTTTAGGTGAAGCCTTATTGGCCTGAATTCTCAGGTCATTTTTAATAATAGAAGAGTCTAGGATTAATATTGTTATAAACATCAAGCTTAATAGTTGTTTTTTTTATAAAGAAATGTTTCCCATTAGTAAAATGGCTAAAATCCTTTTTATAAAATATGTATTAATGTGCCTGGCAAAGAGAGATGTCTAGATTGTTTTTCACCAAGGGTTAAATTCTGGGTAGGAGGTTGTAGGGTGATTTTTCCCCCCTTTTATTTTTGTACTTGTTTGACTTGCTTGAGTCTTAAAAAAAAATGAGCATGTATCTTTTTTTTCAAAATCTATGAAGCATTCAAAAAGTGCTGGCGCATAAGAAACATAAAGTAAATATTTATTTAATACATGAATGAAATGGATTTTGTGGGCAAACTAAGGGTAATAGGTTCAGTTATAATATGTATTGATACATTAGACATACTACAAAGTAACTTTGGCAGTAATTCTAGTTTGCCACCCTCCACAAAGGAAATATAATATGGGTTTATACCATTTTAGTATACTAGAAGTACCAATAACTTCCTAAAACATTGGCCCTCCTCATACAGCTATTGAATGGGGTAAAGCATCAAGAAAAATCTTTGCTTTCAAATGATTTCCGTACCTGCTTTGTAATCCCCCCATCCCCTGCTTGGAATAGAAACTATTTCTGGCAGCAGGAGCTCTCTAAGGATGTTATTAGTCCTTATACTTACAGTAGACAGTTATACAAAGAGTTAATTTAAAAATAAAATCTATTTCTTACTAGCCAGGAAAGAAGGAGGTTAGTCAGTTTTCACTGCCTTTCTTTATTCCCTCTTATCATTACACATGGTATTTTTAAAAAACTCTTCTGTTTGGTTTCTTTCTTATCTCTCATGAGCTGTAGATACAGTGTTGTGGGCCTCCTGGTTCACCACTGATCTTAAGAGTTAGATGGGGTTTCTTTTCCAATAGCCATGTTATTATCTCTTCCACAAGAATAAAATACTTAGGCCCTAAATATAAAAATGTGAGCAAAAAGGTGGTTCTAAGTATTAAAAAGTCTTTTAATCACAAATCATCTTCTGCATTTCCTCTCCCCACCCTCCCCCCATCAGTTCAAGGAACCTTATTTGAAGCATTATTTTGTATTTTATGGAGCTAGAAATTCCAAAAAAGGTTAAAAAAATAGCTATGATAGAATCCAGTTAGATTTTTCATTTATTACTAAATCACACAAACTCAATTATTCTCTAGATTGTTAACACTGAAAGGATGTTAAGAGCAAAAGTAGACTTGGGTCATACATCAGATGAGCATAATGTCCTAGTGTTTCCAGGATGATTCTGGCTTATATCTATTTTCTTGGCACATATTTAATACACTTTTTATTTGGAATAATGTTAGATTTATGGAAAAGTTGCAAAGACATTTTAGAGAGTTCCTTTATACCCTATACCCTCACCTAGTTTCCTCTATTAACATCTGATATAATCATGTTACATTTGTCAAAACTAAGAAATCAACAGTGGTACGTTACTATTAATTAAACTCCAGACTTTATTCAGATCTTACCAGCTTTTCCACTAATGACCTTTTTCTGTTCCAGGATCCAATGCAGTATACCACATTACGTTTAGATGTAATATCTCCTTATTTTCCCCATTCTGTGACACTTTGTCAGTCTTTCTTTCTTTTTCATGACTTTAACAGTTTTGAGGAGTATTGGTCAACTATTTTGTGGAGTGTCCCTTAGTTTGGGTTTGCTTATGTAGACTGGGGTTATGGTTTTTCAGAATGATACAGAGATGAATTGCCCTTCTTTTCACATAATTTCAGGACTACATTTTACGTTATGACTTATCACTGTTGATGTTAATCTTGATCATCTGGCCAAGGTAGTGTCTGGCAGATTTCTCTACTGTAATGTTATCCCCATACCTCATCCTCTGTTCTTTGGAAGTGAGTCACTAAATCTAGCCCACACTCAAGGGGGTAAGTTAAGCTCTTGGAGGGTATCTGTGTAAATTAATTGGAATTTTTCTGTAAGGAATATCTCTCTTTTCTCCCCATTTATCTGTATCAATACGGACTCAGGGATATTTATTTATACTTTGAGTTATACTCCATTAACATGTTATTTTGTTGCTCAAATTGTTCCAGCTTTGGCCATTGGGAGCTCTTTCCCTTTGACATAACCCCATCCTTTTGTTGAACACTTCCTTACTTTCTGGTACTACAAGATACTCTGGTTTATCTTGTATTTTCCCAGCCTAATCATAGAAGTAGCCATTTCTCCAAGGAGCTATGGTTTTTTTTGTTTGTTTGTTTTTGTTTTTAATTGAATAGTGGTATTTAGAAACCAATATCTGGGTTGTGGATATGATCATTGCTTCTGGACATTCCTATTCCTAGGCCCTCTCCACAGACAGAGCAAGGAAATGTATGTATACTTATTCATGTATACACATGTTTCTATAATTATTTGTGTATCTACATTAAGTTAAACATGAATTCATATTGATAATTCTGTCTCCAATCCAATACCACAGTATTCCTTGTAGCCTTCCCCCTTAGTTTATCTGTAACTTTCCAACAGTGAGTAATCTGGCTTCTATGATGTAGCATCTATTTACCTGTTTGTTCGACTGTAGTATACATGTAAAGCAGTTTCAGAAATGTTAAATCATACCCCTGTGAGAAACAGCTTTACCAAGTAAGAAACAGTATTCATGTACAAGTTCTTTTGCCTCTAGCCTTACTGTTTACAGTCAAAATATTATTTTCCAAAGTTATTTAGGTCCACTCCTTTTTTTCCCCCATATTCTCAGAGATATTATGTCATACATTTATAATAGTTAGGTTCTTTTTCACAGTCTACATTCCATCCTGGGAATGCCAACTTGTTGGCTGATTTTTTAAACTTTTTATACATGAAAGTTCATGTTTTATGTTGTAAAGTTCTTTGGGTTTTGCCAAATACCCAGTGTCATATATTCACTACCCCAGTACTATACAAAATAGTTCCATCACCCTAAAAGTTCCCTTGTATTCCCTTTTGTAGTAAACCATTCTCTACTCTCCCAACCCCTGGCAACCACTGATGTTTTCTATTCCTTACTTTAGCCATTTCCAGAATATTATATGAATAAAATCATACAGTATGAGTGGAATCATACAGTATGTAATCTGTCAGATCTTTTTTCACTTAGCAAAATGCATTTAAGATTTATCCATCTCATTGTGTGAATCAGTAGGTTATTCCTTGTTGTCACTGCATAATATTACATTGTATGGATATACCACAATTTGTTTACCCATTCTTCTTTTAAATGACATGTGGTTGCTTCCAGTTCTTTGATTATGAATAAAGCTGCCATAAAAATTCACATATGGCCGAGCACGGTGGCTCACGCCTGTAATCCCAGCACTTTGGGAGGCCGAGGTGGGTGGATCACGACGTCAGAAGATGGAGACCATCCTGGCTAACACGGTGAAACCCCGTCTCTACTAAAAATACAAAAAATTAGCCAGCCGTGGTGGCGGGCGCCTGTAGTCCCACCTACTCCTGTAGTCCCAGGAGGCTGAGGCAGGAGAATGGCGTGAACCCGGGAGGCGGAGCTTGCAGTGAGCCGAGATCGCGCCACTGCACTCCAGCCTGGGCGACAGAGCGAGACTCCGTCTCAAAAAAAAAAAAAAAAAAATTCACATGCACATTTTTACATGAACGTAAGTTTTCAGTTCACTTGAATAAATACGTAGGAGCATGATTTTTAGGTTGTATTTGAGTCTATTTCTAATTTTATAAGAAACTGCCAAACTGTCTTCCGAAGTGGCTATTAACATTTTACATTTCCATCAGCAATGAATGAGAGTTCCTGTTCTGCATCTTTGCCTGGTATAATTTTTAATAGTGTCCTTTTTCATTTTCAGTAGTGTCCTGGGCTGGATAATAAACTTATGCTCTACTAAGTATACATATTGTTGACATATTCTTTCTTCTCTTCTTATGCATTGTGGCTGTCGGGGTGAGGAAATTGAGTCTAGGATTTTCTTTTCTTCGTTTTTTGATTGGTAGGGTTTTCCCCATTAGCATGGTTTTAGATCATCTAATTTAAATAATGGTAGTCTAAGGAAATAGATAATTATACTAAAATAATGTAATTGATTGAATAGGATTGAGAATCATGTAATGCATGCCAATCTCTTTGAGAGTTTATTTATTTTGATGACATTCTTCTCCTAGTTGTCTGCTAACTTTCTTCAGTGACATCACAAGTAATTTTGTACATTTTTGTAACATTTGCTCCAGCACTCAGAGTGTAATTTGGACCTTTCCTAGCATCTCAAGAGATGGAGAAAATGAAATCATTGCAACTTCTAATACAGTTTTCTACCAGGCTCACAGTTGAAGCCTCTAGGGATGGTCAGTAGGGCTGGAAAGCCAACTTAGTCTATGGGTCTTCCTGCAGAATAACTGTGGATATCTGTTATCCTTCAGACCTTTATGCTTCAGTATTATTTTAATGTTCATGTTTATTCTTTGGATTTGGATTACAGGTTAAGATATTTCAGTTATACCTTTGACACACTGCATATTAGCCTTGGGTAACTGCCTTTACACAGCAAATAATGCTTTTCTTTCTTTAAAATTTTTCTTTCCTTCTGTCTCTGTAATTTCTCTCCCTTATTCCTACAAAAATAATGGTATCAGCAAAAATGAGAGTTAAAGGTTTGCTGAGGAAATTTTTGAGCAGTTCATTCATGTCATCTGCCCAGGGTCTCTAGAGAAAGTTTAAATGAAAACTGCTAATATTTCTGGAAATCTAAGCTGCTGCTTTAGTCATGCAAGTGAAGATTCTACTGGCAGGTCAGAGGCTACAGGTGCACCTGCAGGCCTGTCATCTCATCTCCAAGAACAGTCAACCAATCTTTCTGGTCTTTTTCACGGGTGGTGAGGAGAAGCTGGGGAACAATGAACTTTCCAGATGTCAAGGTCTAAGTAGTCAGACCCTCCTTGGGAATGTGTGGACCGCAATGGTGGAGAAATACCAAAGCAGAGTGCAACAGGTTGGTGGAAAAATGGACAAACCCTTCAGACTTATTTGAGAAGGAAGCAGCTTGTGGATTAAGTTATTCTGTTGCTCTGTATGTGATTTTCCTTTCCTTAAGTCAAATTTAGATGTAACATTCTTGTGCATCTTGTTGCTATTGGAGAAGGATAGCTGGGACAACCCTAGCTTTGGACTTCTGTGGTTTCTTTAATTTTGCATTGTTTTATGTACTAGAGAAATATTTTGAAGGTTTCTCATATTACTAAAAGTGATTGCTAGGTGATCTTTATATTTTCCTCCAAACTCTGATGAAAGAACAAAATTGATTAAGCCTTTGGAAAATATTTATTTCTGGTCAAATGGGATTTAGTTAGCTTCATTGATAAAGTAGTATAGCTTGCAGTCTGCTGTACCCTAATCCTGAGATCTTTGGGCATTTGGGGCAAATTATTTAACTTCGATTGGCCCTACTTTGTTCTTTTATGAAATGAGGAGATTGCACTAGTGAGTTCTTGGATACCTTCCAACTTTGTGGACTCTGGTTTTATGACATGAATGGTCAGATTAGATTTTATCCAAGATGAATAATTACCAAATAATGTCAGTGATTTAAATGTAAGCCTAATCCTGCTGTGAGCCTTAGAACATTGTTCTGTGACATGTTCAGATAACACTTAAATATAGGATCCAATTGTCAATTTTTGTTTTTTTTTTTTTTAGAAAATGACATATACAATGTAAAACTATTTACATCTAATAAACATGAAGTTACTTTTTAATATCACAAAGTTTGAATTTTTGAGTCCACTGTTCCTCATTGTACAAATCTTTGTAAATTATTTTGATTCCTGTATATGGGAACCCAGAAGAAAAGTGGATCATTTTTTTCAGTGCCAGATTCTTTGCCTAGTGAATATACATAACTATTAAATAATTAATACAATCTTAGTTTCTTTAAATGTGTTTGAGTTGACTTTTAAGGACAAAAATTTGTAGCTTCCTTTCTCAAAGATGCCTTTTTAGAGGACACACTAGAGAATAAAGAGGATGAGGAAAGGGAGGCTAAACTTACCTTCATTTAACATAGTTAATGAAGTTCTAAGGCAGAAATTCTGTTTACTTAACAGTTAATTTGTAAGAGCTTTACATCCTACATATGATTTTTCTATAGACATGTTACTGTATTTTTCTGGAAATTATATCCCTTCTTCCAGTAAGCAAGCCTGACACATATTTAGGCCATGTATTTTTGCTCATGTACAATCATGCTTTTTTAAAGGTAAACTTTGCAGGACCTGGAAACAGATTTGAGGAAAGATCCAGACAGGTGAATTGCCTATTTTATTTAAAAAAAAAAAGAGAGAGAAAAAAAAAGATGTTCAGCTTTTAGGGTTGAGCTGTCAGTTCTCTTGGTTTTAATGTCCTGTGGTAAAAGTTGGTCTGCCTAGTATTACTTCAACTGAAACTTCCTTACTGAGTACATGGGCAAAAGCAGTCCAACATAGTAAATAATGATAGTTGATTATAACAATGACCCTAAGGCAGTGTAACATATCCAAATGTTTTCTGATTTATCCATGAAAGATTGTGATCTTGTTGTGATTTTGTTCCCATTCATTTAGTAAGTACTAATCTGTATGTAGTCAATTGGTATTAACCAGCGTACCTCATTCCCTGATCCAAGAGGATAACAGGATGTTTTTTGTGTTTTGTATTAACTCTGCTATAGAGGTTTTCTGTATGAAGATTTTTTTTTTTTTTTAAGAGACAGGGATCTTGCTATGTTTCACAGGCTGGATTCAAACTCCTGGGCTCAAACAGTTCTCCTGCCTCAGCCTTCTGAGTACCTGGGACTATAGGCAGAAGGATGTTTTTAATTTAAAAATGCAGGAAGGTTAATTATAGTATCTTCTATATTACGGTCATGTTCTAAAGATTTCTCAGATCTCTCTTCCTAAAGAAACTGGCCAAAGACTAAATAAAGAGATGAAATTCAGAGGTCAGTATTCACCTGGAAAGCCTTGCTATAAAAGTACTTCTTTCTGAACATTTAAGCTCCCTAATCTCTTTTTGAAGATTCATTTGAGCAGACATTTATTGAGCACTTACTGTGTATAAAATAGTATGAAGAAGGGAAGTAGAACTATGATATTTTTGTAGCCTTCAAGGACTTTATATTCTAATAATTCCTTAAATTAACTTTCAGACCTATATAAATTTTGGACAGTTTTTGTGTTTTTATTTGCGGAAATTGAGAATTTTGCATCAGTCAGACGGAAAGCACCAGGGGGAGAATGATCTATTCAAAAGTCTACAAGTTGTGTGAGTGTGAGTGTGTGTGTGTTAATATTAATAACAACTTTATTTAGATACAATTTACATACCATAAAATTCACCCTCTTTAAGTATACAGTTTAGTGGGTTTTTTTTGTTTTTTTGTGTTTTTTTTTGGTTTTGAGACAGAGTCTCACTTTTGTTGGCTGGACTGGAATGCAATAGCGTGATCTCGACTCACTGCAACCTCTGCCTCCCGGGTTCCAGCAATTCTCCTGCCTCAGCCTCCTGAGTAGCTGAGATTACAGGCGCCCGCCACCATGCCCTGCTAATTTTTGTATTTTTAATAGAAACAGGGTTTCACCATGTTGGCCAGGCTGGTCTCGAACTCCTGACTTCAGGTGATCCAACCACCTTGGCCTCCCAAAGTGCTGGGATTACAGGCGTGAGCCACCGCGCCCAGCCAGTTTAGTGGGTTTTAGTGTATTTACAGAGTTGTGCAACCATTACCACTATCTAATTTTAGGACATTTCTACCACTCCCCTCAAAAAAACCTCGGTACCTGTTAATTATCACCACCTATTTACCCACTACCCCTAGTTCTGTCTTTATGGATTTGCCTACTCTGGATGTTTCATATACATGAAATTATGGAATATTTGTCCATTTCTGCCTGGCTTCTTTCACTTTGTGTAATATCTTCAGGGTTCGTCTATGTTGTACTTCATTTCTTTTTATAACAAAATAATATTCTAGTGTATGAATATATACCACATTTTGTGTAACAGTTGATTAGCTAATGGATATTTGGGTTGGTTCTACTTTTGGGCTGTTATGAAAATGCTTCTGTTGCATTAGTTTACAAGTTCTTGTGTGAATACATGTTTTCATTTCTCTTTGGTGTATATGTAGAGTAGAATTGCTGAGTCACATAGTAACTTTGTTTTACCTTTTTAAACTTTTCAAAACTGGCTGTATGATTTTAAAATCCCATTAATGAATGAAGGTTCCATTTCTCCACATCTTCATCAACAATTGCTATTGTTGGTCTTTTTCATTTTAGCCATCCTAATGGGTGTAAATTGGTGTCATTGTGGCTTTGATTTGCATTTCTTTAATGGCTTATGACATTGAACATCTTTTCATGTCCTTGTTGCCCATTTGTATATCTTTGCCCATTTTTTAACTGGGTTATTTTTCTTTTTATTGTTGAGTTGAAAGTTTCTTTATTTGTATCTAGATACAAGTCCCTTCTCAGAGGCATGGTTTGCAAATATTTTCTCCCATTCTGTGGGTGGTTTTTTTCACCTTCTTGATGGTGTCCTTTGATACACAAAATTTTTAATTTTGATGAAGTCCACTTTATCTAATTTTTATTTTGTTTCTCATGCTGTGTCTAAGAGCATCTTAATCTTATGAAGATTTACTTTTATGTAGAAAATAGCATTTTACAGTTTTCCTTCTTATATTTAGATCTATGATCTATTTTGAATTGATTTTTTTTTTTTTTTTTTTTTTTTTTTTGAGATGGAGTCTCACTCTGTCACCCAGGCTGGAGTACAGTGGTATGATCTCGGCTCACTGCAGCCTCCGCCTCCTGGGTTCAAATGATTCTCCTGCCTTGGCCTCCTTAGTAGCTGGGATTACAGGCGCACACCACCATGCCTGGCTAATTTTTTTTTAGTAGAGATGGGGGTTTTACCAGGTTGGCCAGGCTGGTCTTGAACTTCTGGCCTCAAATGATCTGCCTGCCTCGGCCTCCCAAAGTGTTGGGATTACAGATGTGAGCCACTGCACCCAGCCCTGTTTTGAGTTAATTTTTGTATATGGTATGAGTTAAGGGTCCAACTTTATTTTTTTGCATGTGGCTACCCAGTTGTCCCCATACCATTTATTGGAAATATTATTTTCCCTGTTGATTGAACTCTGCGTCTTTGTCAAAAATCAACTGACCATAAATTTAAGGTTTTTTTGTTTTTTGTTTTGGAGACAGAGTCTTGCTGTGTCACTCAGGATGGGGTACAGTGGTACAATCATGGCTCACTGTAGCCTCG
Organism: Homo sapiens; assembly: GCF_000001405.40. Classification (NCBI taxonomy): domain Eukaryota; kingdom Metazoa; phylum Chordata; class Mammalia; order Primates; family Hominidae; genus Homo; species Homo sapiens. The sequence continues at coordinate 107,382,768 of NC_000006.12, read as the reverse complement.
ACATCCTAAGCTCAAATGATCCTCTCACCGCAGCCTCCCAAGCAGTAGGGACTACAGGTGTGTGCTGCCATGCCCAGCTAATTTTTTATTTTTTGTAGAGAGGGAGTCTCACTATGTTGTCCAGGCTAGTCTTGAACTCCTGGGCTCAAGTGATCCTCCCGTTCTTGGTCTTCCAAAGTGCTAGAATTACAGGCATGAGCCATTGCACCTGACCAAATATAAGTTTTTATTTCTGGACTCTCAAATCTATTCTGTTGATCTGTTTGTCTGTCCCTTATGCCATTATTATACTGTCTTTATTGCTGTAGTTTTATGGTAATTTTTGAAATACTGTAAAAGATTCCTGCTTTTACTTTTCCCCATTGCCCATATCCTTTTGGTCACCAGTGTTTAATTCTTGCTCTTTAATATTTTCAGAGTGTTCTAATTTGTGCCCTCACTAACAATTCTTGGGTTCAAGACTTTAATTATTATGGTGGTGGTGGTGGTGGTTCACGGCCAAAAAAAAGGAAAGAAAAAAGTATTAGCTTTTCAGCCATTTTTGTTTACCTCCCGCACCTGACATTATAAAAGGTGTAGGGGATATAACAGTGAATACACAGATATGTGCTGTAGTCTTGTCGACCTTATATTCTAGTTGGAGAAAACACAGTAAATAAGTTTTAAAAAATAGTGCAGTGAAGGGAATTAAATAATCTTTGTGAAACATAATCTGGGTGTTTTACTGATTGAAATTCTTCAGAGGCTCCCCATTACTTTCAGAATAAAGTTCAAATTTCTCAACTAGTTATATTTGAAATTTTTTCCACATTAGCTTCTAGTAAGTTCTCTGCTATCTTCCTTTGCGAATAATTTGTATAAACTGTGCAGCTAGTGTTAAACCTCTGAAAAAATCACCTGTAGCTGTAAAAAATTTGCAATAAGCTCTTTTTATCTTAACATATTGACTTGCACATTACAAATACTAGCTTATATATTGGAAAATAAATTAATAAAATGCTATAATTATAGTGAAATATTTATAAGTAGGATGAAATATATTAAAGGATATGTTGACATCCTGATATGGAAGTCAAAAAGTTCAGCTGCAAAAGTTATTTCATAGTAAAAGCATTCTAGTTGAGTTTCATGAAACTGGATCACAGCATATCTAATCAGGAGTCTACTTGGTTTTTGACTGTGCCAAATGTTCCAAAATATTAAATTATGCCTTTGACTATACTTCCTGTCTTGTTTAAACAACACCTAATGAATTTAATGCTTCAATTCCTTGGATACAGTAAGTAAACATAAGCAGCATCTTAAGAAAATGGAACATAGCTATGAATGAGGTTTAAAAAAAATCTCATTTCCAAAATGACCAAGAGGATGAGCCAGTTTTCTGTTGCCATGAAGAAATTCTATTGTTAGTGAGTATTTAATAGCATTTAACATATGCTTATAGGCTCTTTGATTTAAAACTATTTTCTGTCTCAATTGATGATGAATGCAAAAACAAGAAAGATGGGCTGGATTTGGCTCCTTTCCAGCCTTATTATGGAGGTTAGAGTCGAGAAAAGCACCTTATTACCTGGTTAATTCATCTAACACAAATATTTATTAAATACGTGCTATGTGCCGTATGGTGTTTTATGCACTGGGGATGCAGCTGGCCAGGCAAACAAGGCTCCCATTATTAGGGTGCTTACATTTTAGAAGTAGATAGGGTAGACTGATAATGGAAATGAGGGGATGACACAGTCTAATGATTTCTGCTTTCCTTCACACTAAAATAAAACTTTATAGTTTCCTTTTACTTCTAGCACATTCCATTCTTCAATTCGGATTATTAACTACTTTTGAGGAAAGAAAGAAATAGTAGAAAAGTAAATCTGTATCTTTTGTGACTTCCAGTTTCTCCTGTCACATGTAAAAAGTTTGGAAGCTGTCACTCCCATTCCTACAACAAGGAAAAAAATGAAAAACTGAAAATCAATAACTCTTAATAGATTTATCAGATAATTGAGGTCTCAGGGGAAACCGCTGCTCTGAAAACTAGAGAGAAAGGTGAATACAAAGAATCATAGCTAACTGGGAACATAAGCTGCAAGAACTGTCAGGATTAGTTGGATGATAATTGACTAGTGTCTGGAGACTGAATCTGGATAACTTGAGAGTTAAAAACTAAGGAGGCCCCCACACTTTCATGAAAGTTTTACTCCCAGGCTGGATACTACCACCTTTCAAAGTTGAAGATCTGGGAAAAATCCCCTCATGCATTTGGCAAGGGGAAAGGAAAATGATCCACTTTGAAGTGCTCTCAGAGTGTTCTCAGTAACAAAGGCCAGCCCTCAAAGGAAACTACCAATTTACCCCACCATGGCCTTTCTGTCTAACATAAAGGGAGGGGGAAAAAGACTGAGAAACTCTTCTGAAGGTCAGAACCCAAGGAATCACAAACACTAACAATACTGAGATTTAATTATAGGAGTATAGATTGCTTCCCTTCCACAATACCTTCCTACCACGTCAACAGAGCTCCAGTAAATTAAGAGTAGATGACAGCTGAGAGAGCTGTAAGACACAGACCCTATTTAAGAAGGAGTTTCTAGGGAAACCCAAAGATAACAGGGGAGACAAAAACAGGGACACTAGAGGAAACTGAAGCCTCTGACACCTACAGCTACAACAAACTTTAAACACAGGCCAACTCCTAGACAGTTAAACGTAAATCCTTACATTAGAGGTCTATTTACAGTAAAACACAAAATCACTAGTACAGAAGAAAAAATATTTCTAAATATAACAGAAATTTTTAAAATTCAAAAAAAACTGATAATAGAGAAAGAAAATATAGCAGAAAAACATATTATACATAATATATAATATGTTGAGACCAAATATATTAATCATTATCAATAATTATGAATAGCCCTAACTCACTTCACCTATTAACAAAAAGTATTTTCAATTTGGCAGTAAAATAAATTTCATGCTGTATAGAAAATATATACCTAAACAACATGAATTAAAAAGCTAAAAACAAAGACATGAATAAAAGAATACCAGAAAAATAGAAAAACACATATAAAGCAGCAGTTATTATTCTGATACCAAAGTAGAACTAAAGATGCATTAAACATGAGGAAGAACACACTTCAATTCAAAATAAAGATAACAAGTTATGTGTATTTAACACCAAATAACACAGCAACCACATTTATAAAGCAAAAAATACAAGAGCTACAAAGAGACATAAGCATGCTAATTAATAATGGGAGACTTTAACTCATCACTCTCAGTATAAGATAAGACAGACAAAAATCAGCAAGGATAGATTTTTGAGAAGGCCTAAACAACATAGCCAAATAGGTAGGTCTGTACATATATTAAACTCGAAGTTCTGATAATAGAAAATACATCCTTTTCTCAAGTGCACATGAAATGTTTACAAAACTTGATTGTATGTCAGGTCACAAAAGTAAACATCAGATAAGTGTTATAATACAGAAATGTTATACGACCTGATCAAAATGCAATAAAGCCAGATATTATTTTATAAGTTTTAAATACTCAAAGCATACTATAAATATCCATGAGTCCATGCTGATATAAATGATTGAATAAATAATAAAGAGAAGAAAAGAAACAAATCTTCCATGCCAAAGAATTCCAAATGATTTGTATAGATACCCTATCCCAAGGACAGGAAGCATAACTTCCCCGGGACTCCTTAGTATGGGTTGAGCATAGTGACTTCCTTCCAAGAGTATGTGTGTGGATGGTTGGGGAGTAACTTTACGGTGAAGAAACTTGATAAACACTACCTCAGCCAACATCAGCAGAGCTAAATCATGGCGATTTTATGTACCTTCGGTATGATATGATGAAAGTGGCACATTAGTGCTGTGTTCTTCCTTCCAGAAACTCATAACCCCAGTCTAATCATGAGGGAAAAAGACAAATTTCAGTAGAGGATCTTTCTGAACAACACATTTTTTTATTGTTGAGACGGATACTCTGTCGCCCAGGCTGGAGTGCGGTGGTGCGATATCGGCTCATTGCAACCTCTGCCTCCCAGGTTCAAGCTATTCTCCTGCCTCAGCCCCTTCAGTAGCTGGGATTACAGGTGCCTGCCACCATGCCTGGCTAATTTTTGTACTTTTAGTAAAGAACGGATTTCATTATATTGGCCCAGCTGGTCTTGAACTCCTGACCTCAGGTGATCCACCCACCTTGGCCTCCCAAAGTGCTGGGATTACAGGTGTGAGCCACCATGCCCAGTCTTCAGTGCTATTTTAAGTGATATTACATTTAGATTTTCAGTTTCCAATTGTCTATTGCTAGCATATAGAAATACATTAGCCTTATGTCATACAACCTTGCTAAACTCATTTATTGGTTTTAACAGGTTTTAATAGATTATTTATGATTTTCTACATAGATAATCATGACATTTGTAAATATAAAGCTTCATTTTTTCATTTTCAGCCCGTGTGTCTTCTTTTCTTTTATTATACCTGCTGAAAGATCTAGTATGATATTGAATAGTGGTGGTGTGAGTGGATGTTTCTACCTTGTTCCAAATGTTAGGGGGAAAATTCATTTTTTTCACAATTAAGTATGATATTGGCTATAGGGTTTTTGTTAGGTTGAGGAAGCTTCCTTCTTTTACCAGTGTACTGTCGTTTTTTTTAAGGGCCTAATTGTAATATATTTATTTATTTATTTTTATTTTTATTTTTTTATTATTATTATACTTTAAGTTTTAGGGTACATGTACACAATGTGCAGTTTAGTTACATATGTACACATGTGCCATGCTGGTGTGCTGCACCCATTAACTCGTCATTTAGCATTAGGTATATCTCCTAATGCTATCCCTCCCCCTTACCCCTACCCCACAACAGTCCCCAGAGTGTGATGTTCCCCTTCCTGTGTCCATGTGTTCTCATTGTTCAGTTCCCATCTATGAGTGAGAACATGCGGTGTTTGGTTTTTTGTCCTTGCGATAGTTTACTGAGAATGATGATTTCCAATTTCATCCATGTCCCTACAAAGGACATGAACTCATCATTTTTTATGGCTGCATAGTATTCCATGGTGTATATGTGCCACATTTTCTTAATCCAGTCTATCGTTGTTGGACATTTGGGTTGGTTCCAAGTCTTTGCTATTGTGAATAGTGCCGCAATAAACATATGTGTGCGTGTGTCTTTATAGCAGCATGATTTATAGTCCTTTGGGTATATACCCAGTAATGGAATGGCTGGGTCAAATGGTATTTCTAGTTCTAGATCCCTGAGGAATCGCCACACTGTCTTCCACAATGGTTGAACTAGTTTACAGTCCCACCAACAGTGTAAAAATGTTCCTGTTTCTCCACATCCTCTCCAGCACCTGTTGTTTCCTGACTTTTTAATGATCGCCATTCTAACTGGTGTGAGATGGTATGTTATTGTGGTTTTGATTTGCATTTCTCTGATGGCCAGTGATGAGCATTTTTTCATGTGTGTTTTGGCTGCATAAATGTCTTCTTTTGAGAAGTGTCTGTTCATCTCCTTCGCCCACTTTTTGATGGGGTTGTTTGTTTTTTTCTTGTAAATTTGTTGGAGTTCATTGTAGATTCTGGGTATTAGCCCTTTGTCTGATGAGTAGGTTGCGAAAATTTTCTCCCATTTTGTAGGTTGCCTGTTCACTCTGATGGTAGTTTCTTTTGCTGTGCAGAAGCTCTTTAGTTTAATTAGATCCCATTTGTCAATTTTGGCTTTTGTTGCCATTGCTTTTGGTGTTTTAGACATGAAGTCCTTGCCCATGCCTATGTCCTGAATGGTAATGCCTAGGTTTTCTTCTAGGGTTTTTATGGCTTTAGGTCTAACATTTAAGTCTTTAATCCATCTTGAATTAATTTTTGTATAAGGTGTAAGGAAGGGATCCAGTTTCAGCTTTCTACATAGGAAGACAGGGATGCCCTCTCTCACCACTCCTATTCAACATAGTGTTGGAAGTTCTGGCCAGGGCAATTAGGCAGGAGAAGGAAATAAAGGGTATTCAATTAGGAAAAGAGGAAGTCAAATTGTCCCTGTTTGCAGACGACATGATTGTATATCTAGAAAACCCCATTGTCTCAGCCCAAAATCTCCTTAAGCTGATAAGCAACTTCAGCAAAGTCTCAGGATGCAAAATCAATGCACAAAAATCACAAGCATTCTTATACACCAATAACAGACAGAGAGCCAAATCATGAGTGAACCCCCATTCACAATTGCTTCAAAGAGAATAAAATACTTAGGAATCCAGCTTACAAGGGACGTGAAGGACCTCTTCAAGGAGAACTACAAACCACTGCTGAATGAAATAAAAGAGGATACAAACAAATGGAAGAACATTCCATGCTCATGGGTAGGAAGAATCAATATCGTGAAAATGGCCATACTGCCCAAGGTAATTTATAGATTCAATGCCATCCCCATCAAGCTACCAATGACTTTCTTCACAGAATTGGAAAAAACTACTTTAAAGTTCATATGGAACCAAAAAAGAGCCCACATCGCCAAGTCAATCCTAAGCCAAAAGAACAAAGCTGGAGGCATCACACTACCTGACTTCAAACTATACTACAAGGTTACAGTAACCAAAACAGCATGGTACTGGTACCAAAACAGAAATATAAATCAATGGAACAGAACAGAGCCCTCAGAAATAACGCCAGATGTCTACAACTATCTGATCTTTGACAGACCTGAGAAAAACAAGCAATGGGGAAAGGATTCCCTATTTAATAAATGGTGCTCTGAAAACTGGCTAGTGTACTGTCTTTTATCATAAATGGATGTTGAATTTTGTCAAATGCTTTTTCTGTATCTGTTGAGATGATTGTATGATTTTTCTTTATACAAATTTCTTCATACAAATGTTAAACCAACCTTCTGTTCTTAGTATAACTGTACTTGGTCATGGTGTATCATTCTTTTTACATATTGCTGGATATAATTTGTTAATATGTTTGAGGATTTGTGCATCTGATATCATAAAGGATATTGTTTAATAATTTTCCTGTAATGTCTCTTTCTGGTTTTAGTCTCAGGGTTGTCATTGTCTGGTTTTAGTATCAAGGTAATGCTGGCCTCATAAAATGAGGTAGGTAGTGCTTTCTTCTGTTTTCTGAAAGAGCTGCTGGTATGAGTTCTTCCATAAATATTTGATAGAATTCACCAGTGAAGACATCTGGGCTGAACTGTTTTAGTTTTTTTACTTCTTCTTACATGAACTTTCATAGATAGTGTTTTTCAAGGAATTTGTTCATCCCATCTAAGTTATTGAATGCATGGGCATAAAGTTCTTTGTAATATGCTTTTATTATCTTTTTGAAGTATGTGGGGTCTACAGCAGAGTCCTATCCCTTCATTGCTGATATTTCTAATTTGTGTCTTCTTTCTTTATTTCATAATCATTTTGGCTAGAGGTGTATCTGGTTTATATATCTTTTCAAAAGATTTTCTGTTTCATTGGTTTTCTCTTTTGTTTTTCTGTTTTCTGTTTTATCAATTTTTGCTTTGATCTTTATTTTTCCTTCTGCTTTTTTTAGGGTTTATTACGCTCTTTTTCTGGTTTCTTAAAATGAAAAATTAAATCTTTGATTTGAAATCTTTCTTTTCTAATATAAGCATTTAATACTATAAATTTCTGCATTCCTGAAATTTTGATGTTTTGATTATTATATTTTTATTTACTTTCATTCAATTTATAACATTTTCTGATTTCCCTCTGACAGCCTCTTTGTCCCATGGATTATGTGGAAATTTGTGTTTAATTTTCAAATATTTGGGGATTTTCTAGATATCTTCCTATTACTGATCTTTAATTAAAAAAAATAAGATTGCCACAAAGAAAATAATACCTAGTAGTGAACTCAAAATCGGAAATTATAAATATATGAGAACCTTACCTACCATAAGTAAAAATAAGCAGGAAGGTTAGCACCTCAGGAACCTGAGATACAGAAAAACATGAAAGGGCTATAACATGACTGTTTAAAATGATTAAAGAGATAATATAAGGAACATTAACCAAAAATAAAGAAAAAGATACTGTGAAAAGGGTTTACGTCCAGCACCGTCTTCCCTAGGAAGTGTTTCTTGGACTGTTTATTAAAGCTGTGCAAATCACTATCATGGCACTGAAAACACTGTTCATGGCATTTTATGCCCTAGCCTCCCCTCTTCTTCCTGCCTGTGCCTAACCACTCTAAGTGTTAAGCACATGGATTTGGTAACAGCTGGGCTTTATTCTTTGTACTTCCAAGGTCTAGCACAGTGCCTGGCACATAGTAGGTCCTTAGGAATTGAACTAAATAAAACCTACATAACTACATGCTAAACTTTAAAAAGCAAAAATTATATCAGTTCAGTTGATCGGTTTGGATGAGGGGGTAAGTTTTTGTACCTAACTGAGCATTAACTTTAGCAACACCACATAAGAGTATTAGCTGCTGTTAGTTGCTTTCATTGGTGATTTTTTTTTTTTTTTTTTTTTTGTGATGGAGTCTTGCTCTGTCACCCAGGCTGGAGTGCAGTGGTGCAATCTCGGCTCACTGCAACCTCCACCTCCTGGGTTCAAGTGATTCTCCTGCCTCAGCCTCCTGAGCAGCTGGGATTACAGGCGGGCGCCACCACGGCAGGTTAATTTTTGTATTTTTGTAGACATGGGGTTTCACCATATTGACCAGGCTGGTCTTGAACTCCTGACCTCAAGTAATCTGCCGTGCCTCGGCCTCCCAAAGTTCTGAGATTACAGGCGTGAGCACCACACCCAGCTGGTGATAATTTTTAAGATGTTCACAGGATCCTTCTTTAGAAGAGAAAATCTTACTCATTTGCATAAGAGAAAAGAGGTGTTTCCCTGTTGTCCTAAGCAGTAATCTAGTTTTGGAAATGGAGCAGAGGGCCATGCTAGAACCTCTGTTGTACTTCATCTATAATCCAGAGTGAGAAAAAGCAGGAGATTTGACTGATTGCCAGAACCGTAGCTTCTGTGCTTTAAACTATGGGCTCTGGCAGAGAGAAAGTGGGAGTTAATTCCAATCAGGTCCTTGTAGAGGGACATTAGCTAGCAGGTGGCTTAAGGGAGAAGAAAAAGGGTTACTTCTTTCTCCTGTCAGCTTTAGGTAAAAGTTATAGATGGTACTTTTGTAGAAAAAGTAGATAGGCCCAGCTGGAGAATTCCTGGAGGAATGTGTGAGAATACAAGCAACAGTGGAGAACAAGATAAGACTACAGTCTGTCTCTAGATTCAGAACAAGTCCTGAGGTATAAATTTAACACGTTGTTTCCTGTTTATAGGTAATATTAATCATAATAGTATAAAATGAGAAGTAAAATTATTAAGTTAAACTTATTTTCTTAAGTTAGCTCTATTTATTTAAACTTTTGGAGGCCGATTTTTACTCTGCCTCGTAGACTAAGAAGTTATTCAGTATTAACATACTTTAAAAAATGGATTATTACACCGGGTGCAGTGGCTCACGCTTGTAATCTCAGCACTTTGGGAGTCCAAGGCGGGCGGATCATGAGGTCAAGAGATCGAGACCACCATCTGAGCCAACATGGGGAAACCCCGTCTCTACTAAAAATACAAAAATTAGCTGGGCATGGTGGCACACGCCTGTAGTCCCAGCTACTTGGGAGGCTGAGGCAGGAGCATCACTTGAATCCAGGAGGTGGAGGTTGTGGTGAGCCGAGATCACACCACTGCACTCCAGCCTGGCAACAGAGCAAAACTCTGTCTTAAAAAAAAAAAAAAAAAAAGATTATTAGACTTGTCAGGCAAAAATAAAAGTCAAGTGTGTAGGTTTAGTTTTGGCACTCTTCTATAATTACCTGTATACATTGAGAAACATGAAAATTTGAGACCTAGACTTTGAAAGTGGTAATTTGCATTCTGTTTTAAATTTACTTATTTGATTAGAACCTAATATCAACATTTTTAAACTCTCTAATATAGAAGGATTAGGATTTGGCAAGAATTATGTGATACTAGGGCCGGGCGCAGTGGCTCACGCCTGTAATCCCAGCACTTTGGGAGGCCGAGGCGGGCAGATCACAAGGTCAGGAGATCGAGACCATCCTGGCTAATACGGTGAAACCCTGTCTCTACTAAAAATCCAAAACAATTAGCCGAGCGTGGTGGCGGGCGCCTGTAGTCCCAGCTACTCGGGAGGCTGAGGCAGGAGAATGGCATGAACCCGGGAGGCGGAGCTTGCAGTGAGTCGAGATCGCGCAACTGCCCTCCAGCTTGGGCGACAGAGCGACTCCGTCTCAAAAAATAAAAAATAAAAAAGAATTATATGATACTGATGAAACATGCTTTAACCCCTTTTCCTCCTACTTCCCAGACTAAATGCAGTTCCTCTGAATTTACCCTAAATGCAATGTGCCTAGAAATTCTTAGAATAGCTGTACTTCAGAGTCTTGTGATTTACTTATTTTTATTGAGCATGATTTTTTAAACTACCGGTGTACAACAGTGAGAGAGAAACCAAAAACCAGGGTGAAAAAAAAATAAAGAAAACTGGTACCTGCTAAAATCTTTGCCTGGGTACCTTGCTTCCAGCCCACAGTTTGGTGACTACCCCCCTTGACTGCCTGCTAGAATAGAAGTCCATAACATCAGGAAATAATAAATGGTTATTACTTTCTCCTTAATTGAATCTTTTAAAAGCCTAAAATCTCTATTGTGTAAAATGGTTACACTGAGATATAAAAGAAAAAACAAGAGTCTAGTTTCTTGGTTTGAATTTTGCCTTGGTTCAACTATAAGTAAGTTACTTAACTCTTCTGAATATCAGATTCTTTACCTGTAAGTTGGGAAAAATATCCTCTTTCAGGGTGATTATAAAGATTACATGAGATAATACATATTCCTAGCACATGCCAGCATTAGAATAGGAACTCAACAGCTATTAGGCCTTTTCCCTTCTTGTTACAGCCTTTGACAAATTATTTAATTTAGTTAATTTGTAAATTAATTCAAGGAACTGGCATCTAAGGTGTCCTAGACTCGACAATGCTTTAAGACCCAGCTAGGTTTTTCTTGGTCTTGGAGCTGTCTGTCTGCCTTCATTCTTACTAATTCTTACTAATGTTATAGTTGTCAATTTTATATTCCACCAGAGTATTTTCACTCTGAAGTGACCTAATTCAACATGCCAGGAAGCATTTAACATTTACTTTGAAAAATGAACTACAATCATTGTTTAGTAGATTGTAAGGGAAAATGTCAGTTGAAATAAATGAAAACAGGAGAATGTAACCTGCAGATAGTCTCAAGTTGCCACTTGAGACTGTCCTTTACTCTTGCTGTATTCAGTTTAGTCTTAGATTTCTTCTTATATGGGAGTTAGAATGAAAATCTAAAATATTCAATTTCCTTTTCCCATACACCTGAATTTCGAGTACCCCAATCCTTTGGTGAAAAGAAGTTTGTCCACTTCTTTGAGTTGAATAACTATGGTAACTTACAAACAGACCTTTCTTAATGATGTTTTACAGTAATAGCTCATATTTTGGTACTTTGGCTTCCAGTGGTTGACTTTTTTTTTTTTTTACTTTGAGACAGAGTTTTGCTCTTGTCGCCCAGGCTGGAGAGCAGTGGTGTGATCTTGGCTCACTCCAACCTCTACCTCCTGGGTTCAAGCGATTCTCCTGCCTCAGCCTCCTGAGTAGCTGGGCTTACAGGTGCCCACCAAGCCCGGCTAATTTTTGTATTTTTAGTAGAGACGGGGTTTCACCATGTCGGTCAGGCTGGTCTTAAACTTCTGACCTCGTGATCTGCCCGCCTCAGCCTCCCAAAGTGCTGGGGTTACAGGCGTAAGCCACTGCTCCTGGCCGGTTGACATTTTCTGGAAGCATTCACTTTATCTGTATTTTAAAAGATAAAAAAGGAGGATAGTTCTTATTTTGAACTGGAGACTGGATGCTCAGAGGTAACCAGATATTCTGAGCATCATCAAGAACTATCTTACTTTCTGCCACTTGAAAAGAGGTGATAAAAATAAATTATTCTTGAGTTGTTATGTGTAGGTCTAGAATTGATGTCTGCTAAATGGGAAAAGAATAAAATTGATACTTGAATATCCTGCATTGTAACTAGAGAGGGAGAAATTAAAATTTCATTATTCTTTAATATGCACTTCCTTATCTTTGAAATACACTCGTTATGCTTAAATAGCAGGCTTAAAATTCAGCATTGTAAACCATACCACACTATTTTTGCAGATTCTTTAATTTTGCTGATGTTATTGAATACAATGGAAACTGCAGATCAAGAAGCTTTGTTTGGTGAAATTCTTTGTAGAAGTCACAATCTGGTAGTGTATTTAGATTGTTGCATGTTCTTTTTTTCTTCAAATTGGGATCACTTTTGAAGGTAATCTTGCGTAAATGATTCAATGAAGAGTTGCTGATGCTTTCACTGAAACATATCCTAATAATGACTGGTGAATATTCTCTGAATTACTCGAGACCTTGCGAGTAGTTTGTGCTAAAACTCCTGAATGATGATTCGGTAAAGTGTTAGCAAACCTGCCAAAACTCTTGAGCATAATCCAGAACTCTAACTACTAGAAGTGAGGTGATATTCTCAAAGGTCTCTTTTGCTCTTTTATCACTTCATCTCTTTTGGGGTTCCACAACTCAGAAGTTCAAGGCTGTTGTTCATTTTTCAGAGTTGGGAAAACTGTTTCTCATGGCGAAGGTCTTTTAGGTTTCTTTCTGTAGTTTTTTTTTTTTCTTTGCGAAACACATCTTACTCTGTCATCCAAGCTGGAGTGAGATACAAAAGAAACTGCAGCCCTGACCTCCTGGGCTCGAGTGATCCTCTCACCTCAGCCTCCCAAGTAACTGGGACTACAGACATAACACCACCCACATCCAGCTAATTTTTTTATTTGTAGAGACAGAGTCTCACTATGGTGCCCAGGCTGGTCTCAAACTCCTGGGCTCAAGTGATTCTTCTGCCTTGGCCTCCCAAAGTTCTGGTATTACAGGTGGAGCCACTGCACCTGGCCTGAGATGATTTTTTATTTTCACAGCTGTGTATGGAGATTGGTACTGGCACCTAGTGAGTAGGAGCCAGCCAGGGATGCAGTTAAACGTCCTTTTGTGGATAGGACAATCCTTTACAACAAAGAATTCTCTGTAATGGTGAGGTTGAGAAAGGTCATGAAGATATGCTCCTATGGTTTTTTCTAGAGGATTTATAATTTCAGCTCTAAGGACTATGATTGATTTAAGTTAATTTTTTATATGATGTGAGATAAGAGTCTACATTGTTCTTTTTTCTTTTTTAGTTTTTTATTTTATTATTATTTTTTGAGATGGAGTCTCACTCTGTTGCCCAGGCTGGAGGGCAATGTTGCAATCTCAGCTCACTGCAAATTCCACCTCCTGGGTTCAAGCAATTCCCCTGCCTCAGCCTCCTGAGTAGCTGGGATTACAGGCGCACGCCACCATGCCTGGCTAATTTTTGTATTTTTAGTAGAGGTGGAGTTTCACCATGTTGGCCAGGCTAGTCTCGAACTCCTGACCTCGTGATCTGCCAACCTTGGCCTCCCAAAGTGCTAGGATTACAGGCGTGAGCCACTTTGCCCGGCCTGTTCTGTGTTTTAAAAATAAATATATGAATATTCAGTTGCCCCAGCACCATTGGTTGATATGACCCTTTTTCCCATTGAATTGTCTTGGCACTTTTTTCAAAAATTAATTGACCATAAATGTAAGGATTTATTTCTGTACTGAAAACCCTGTTCCATTGATCTCTATGCCTATCATTATACCAATACTACACTACTTCAATTACTGTAGCTTTATCGTAAGTTCAGGTAGTAGTACAAGTCCTCTAATTTTGTTCTTTGTTTTCAAGGTAGTGTTGCCTATTCTAGGCACTTTGCATTTTTACTTAAATTTATAATCACCTTATCAATTTCTTTTTTTGAGAGAGGGAGAGTGTTGTCCAGGCTGGAGTTGCAGTGACATGGTCACATCTCACTGCAGCCTCCTGGGACCACAGGTGTGTGCCTGTGATGCCTGGTATGTTTTTTGTAGAGAATGGGGTCTTGCTATGTTGCCCAGGCTAGTCTTGAACTCCCAAGCTCAAACAATCCTCCCGCCTTGCCCTCCCAAAGTGGTGGGATTACAAGTGTGAGCTGCCGTGACTGGCCCACATTATCAATTTCTGTTAAAAGTCTTCTGGGATTTTGATAGGGATTGTGCTGAATTTATATATCAATTGTGGAGAACTGACATCTTAACAATACTGAGTCTTCCAACCTGTAAAAATGAAATGTCTTTCAGTTTATTTAGATCTTCTTTATCTCAGTAAAGTTTTGCGGTTTTCAGCATCGAATTTTACACTTCTTTTAAGTTTATTCCTGAGCATTTTATTCTTTATGATGTTATTGTGAATTGATTTTTTGATTATTTGTTGCTGATATATAGAAATACAATAGTTTTTTTTTTTTTTTTTGAGACGAGTCTCGCTCTGTCACCAGGCTGGAGTGCAGTGTCCTGATCTTGTCTCACTGCAACTTCTGCCTCCTGGGTTCAAGTGATTCTCCTGCCTCAGCCTCCTGAGTAGCTGGGACTATAGGCGCAAACCACTACACCCAGCTAATTTTTGTATTTTTAGTAGAGACAGGGTTTCACCATGTTGGCCAAGATGGTCTCCATCTCTTGACCTCATGATCCGCCCTCCTTGACCTCCCAAAGTGCTGGGATTACGGGCGTGAGCCACCGCGCTTGGCCTGAAATACAATAGTTTTTTAATATATCAATCATATATCCTGAGATCTTGCTAAATTCATGTATTAATTCTAGTATTTTTTATTATAGATGCCTTAGTATTTTCCACATAGATGATCACCCTCAAATACAGTTTTTCTCCTTCCTTTTACTATCTGGATGTCTTTAATTTTTTTTTTTTTTTTTTTTGAGACAGAGTTCCACTCTATTGCCCAGGCTGGAGTGCAGTGGCACCATCTCAGCTCACTGCAACCTCCAGCTCACTGCAACCTCCGCCTCCCGGGTTCAAGCGATTCTTCTGCTTCAGCCTCCTGAGTAGCTGGGATTACACTTGCCCGCCACCGCACCTGGCTAATTTTTTTGTATTTTTAGTAGAGAAGGGGTTTTGCCATGTTGGCTAGGCTCATCTAGAACTCCTGACCTGAAGTGATCCACCTGCCTCAGCCTCCCAAAGTGCTGAGATTACAGGCGTGAGCCACTGTGCCCGGCCTAAATTTTTTTATTTCACTGGCTGAAACTTTCGGTACAACATTGAGTTGAACTGACATCCTTACCTTGTTCCCAGTCCTAAGTGGGAGGCATTCATTCAGTCTTTCATTTTATGTTAGTGGTAGGTTTTTCACTGATATCTTTTATTAGGTTGAGGAAGTTTCCTTCTGTTTCTCACATATTGAGAGTTTTTATTGTGAATAGGTGTTGTATTTTATTAAATGCTTTTCTGCATCTGTTGAGATGGTCATGTGTTTTTTGTCCTTTATTTATTAATATGGATATTAAATACTTGATCTTAAAAGTCAGCCTACATCGTGCTTTGACATTACTTGATTTTGCATCCCTGGGATGAATCCCACTTAGTCGTGGTATATGAGCCTCTTTTTATATTGCTAGATTCAGTTTGCCAATATTTTGTTGAGCACTTTTGTGTCTGCATTCATGAGAGATATTAATCTGTCATTTTCATTTCTTATGATGTCTTTGTCTGGCTTTGGTGTTAGGGTAAGTACTGACCTCAGAGAATGAGGTGGGAAGTTTCTATATTTTCTAAGTTTGTGAAGAATCAGTATTTCTTTCTAAAATATAGAATTTGCAAGCAAAACCATCTGCGCCTGGGCCTTTCCTTGTGGAAAGGACTTTAATTAATAATTCAATTTATTTACTTATAAATGTATTTATTTATATTAAATATAAATAGTCCTATTCATATTTTCTGTGTGTTCTTAAGTTTCGGAAATGTCTGACTCTCTAGGAATTTGTCCATTTTATCTAAGTCATCTGGTTTGTTGGCATAGAGTAATGTTCATTATATTCCCTCATAGTCCTTTTAATTCCTATAGGGTCAGTAATGTGATCTTTTTTCATTCCTGAGTTTGTTTATTTGTGTCTTCTTTCTTATTTTCTTGGTCAAATAGTCACTTTATGGTTTCATTGATTTGTTTCTTTATTGTTTTTCTTTTTTCTGTTTTATTGATATTCACTGTAAACTTTATTATTTTCTTTTTTTCTGCTTGCTTGGGGTTAGTTTGCTCTTTATCTAGTTTCTTAACATGGAAGCTTAGATTATTTATTTGACACTTTTCCTCAGAATATGCTATAACTTTTCCTCTAAGTACTCCTGTAGTTGTACACTACAAATTTTGATATGTTGTCTTTTCATTTTCATTCAGGTGGAAATATTTTTAAAATTTTTTAAATGATTTCGTCTTTGACCCCTGGGCTATTTAGAAGTATGTTGTTTAATTCAAAATATTTGGGTTTTCCCCTATTTCTTTCTATTTGAGATCTTTAACTTGTGTTGTGGTCAGAGAACATACTTTTTATGATTTCAGTCTTTTAAAATGTATTAGACTTGTTTTCTGGCCCAGCATATGAGAATGTTCCACGTGTGCTTGAAAAGAATACATATTCTGCACTCATTGTGTGGAGTATTCTATAAATGTCAGTTATATCAAGTTGGTTGATAGTGTTGTTAAAGTCTTCTATATTGTTGCTGAGTTTCTGTGTAGTTGTCCTATTAATTATTGAAAGCAGAGTATTATTGAATTCTCCAACTATTTTTCCTGAATTGCCTGTTTCTTCTTTCAGTTTTTTCAGTTTTTGTTTCATTTGGGGTCTCTATTGTTAGGTATATATACATTTAAAACTTTTATATCTTTATGATATACTGATGATTATGAAAACTATGATAAACCTTTATGATTATGAAATGTCCTTCATTGTCTCCAGTAATATTTCTTATCTAAGTGTCTATTTAGTCTGACATTAATATAGCCATTCCAGCTCTATTGTGGTGACTGTTTGCATGGCATATCACCTTCTGACCTTTTACTTTTAACCTATTACCGTCTTTTTCTATAAAGTGTGCCTTTTGGAGAAAGCATGTAGTTAGGTCTTGCTTTTTAAATCCAGTTAAAAGCAGGGATAGCCCTGCTTTTTAAGTGGGTTGTTTTGTCCATTCATATCTGATCTAATTATTGATATGGTTTGATGTAAGTCTGATTTTGCTAATTATTTTGTATTTTTTCTCATGTTATTTTTGTTTCTCTGTTCCTCCTTTACTCCTTTCCTTTGTATTAAATGAAAATATTTTAGGGAATGATTTCAATTTGTGTTTTTTTTAGCTGTATGATTTTGAGTTATTTTCCTAGTTGTTTTGGGGGCTAAAATATGCATCTTAATTTATCACAGTCTGCTTCAGAATAATACCCATTTTAATTCTAGCAAAATACAGAAACTTTGCTCCAATATATCTCTATTTTTCATTTGTGTTACTATTGTTAAATATATTTCTATATATTATAAGTCCATTATAATTTTTGCTTTATGTAATCATATCTTTTATAAAATTTAAGAGAAGAAATGAGAAAAATGTATTTACAGATTTTTTTTACATTTACCCACCTATTCACTATTTTTTACACTCTTTGTTTCTTCATGTAGATTCAGATTACTGTCTAATATCACTTCCATTATCTTTATTTCACTTTTATTTTTGAAGGAAAGTTTTGCAGGGTATACAAAGGCTTAGCTGCCAAGCCTTCCCCGCCTCCCCCAGGACTTTAAGTGTATCATTGATTTCACTGCTCTCTGGTCTCCATGGTTTCTGATGAGAAATAAACCATTAATTGTATTGTTATTCCTGTGTACATGATAAAGTCATTTTTCTCTTGCTACTTTCAGGATTTTGAGAGGTGACAGCATGCTGGCAGTCCTCAGAGCCCTCGCTTGTTCTCGGCACCTCCCCTGCCTGGGCTCCCACTTTGGTGGCATTTGAGGAGCCCTTCAGCCCCCCCACTGCACTGTGGGAGCCCCTTTCTGGGCTGGCCAAGGCTGGAGCCCACTCCCTCAGCTTGCAGGGAGGTGTGGAGGGAGAGGCACCAGCGGGAACCGGGACTGCGTGCAGCGCTTGCGGGCCAGCTGGAGTTCCGGGTGGGCGTGGGCTTGGTGGGCCCCGCACTCGGAGCAGCCAGCCAGCCCTGCTGGCCCCGGGCAATGGGGGACTTAGCACCCGGGCCAGTGGCTGCGGAGGGTGTACTGAGTCCCCCAGCAGTGCCGGCCCACTGGCGCTGTGCTCGATTTCTCGCCGGGCCTTAGCTGCCTTCCCGCGGGGCAGGGCTGGGGACCTGCAGCCCGCCATGCCTGAGCCTCCCACCCACTCCATGGGCTCCTGTGCGGCCCGAACCTCCCCGACCAGCACCACTCCCTACTCCACGGCGCCCAGTCCCATCGACCACCCAAGGGCTGAGGAATGCGAGCGCACGGCGCAGGACTGGCAGGCAGCTCCACCTGCAGCCCCAGTGCGGGATCCACTAGGTGAAGCCAGCTGGGCTCCTGAGTCTGGTGGGGACGTGGAGAGTCTTTATATCTAGCTCAGGGATTGTAAATACACCACTCAGCACCCTGTGTTTAGCTCAAGGTTTGTGAGTGCACCAGTCGACGCTCTGTATCTAGCTGCTCTGGTGAGGACGTGGAGAACCTTTATGTCTAGCTCAGGGATTGCAAATACACCAATCGGCACTCTGTATCTAGCTCAAGGATTGTAAACACACCAATCAGCACCCTGTGTTTAGCTCAAGGTTTGTGAGTGCACCAATCGACACTGTGTATCTAGCTGCTCTGGTGGGGACTTGGAGAACCTGTGTGTCAAAACTCTGTATCTTAACTAATCTGATGTGGACGTGGAGAACCTTTGTATCTAGCTCAGGGATTGTAAACGCACCAATCAGCGCCCTGACAAAACAGGCCACTCGGCTCTACCAATCAGCAGGATGTGGGTGGGGCCAGATAAGAGAATAAAAGCAGGCTGCCCGAGCCAGTATTGGCAACCCGCTCGGGTCCCCTTCCACACCGTGGGAGCTTTGTTCTTTCGCTCTTTGCAATAACTCTTGCTACTGCTCACTCTTTGGGTCCACGCTGCTTTTATGAGCTGTAACACTCACTGCGAAGATGTGCAGCTTCACTCCTGAAGCCAGCGAGACCACGAGCCCACCGGGATGGAACGAACAACTCCAGACGTGCTGCCTTAAGAGCTGTAACACTCACCGCGAAGGTCTGCAGCTTCACTCCTGAGCCAGTGAGACCACGAACCCACCAGAAGGAAGAAATTCCAAACACATCTGAACATCAGAAGGGACAGACTCCAGACGCGCCACCTTAAGAGCTGTAAGACTCACCGCGAGGGTCTGCGGCTTCATTCTTGAAGTCAGTGAGACCAAGAACCCACCAATTCCGAACACAATTTATCCTTCAACAGTTTGTCTCTGATGTGTCTATGTGTATATCTCTGTATTTGTCCTGTATTGAGTTAGTTGAATGGCTTTGTTCTGTAAATTAACAGTTTTCATCAAATTTGGTAAGTCTTTGCCCATTATTTTTTCAAGTATTTTCTGTGCCCCTTTCTCACTTTTCCTCATCTTCTGATACTCTTAATGACACCTTTATTAGTATGCTTGATATTGTCTGGTAGTTCTCTGAAGCTTTGTTCATTTTTCTTCAGTTTTTTCCCCTATGTTATTCAGGTTAAATAATTACTATTGATCTATCTCCAAGTTATTGCTTCTTTTTCTGCTATTTCACATCCTCTATTGCACTCTCTGGTGATATTTTCATTTCAGTTATTAAACTTTTCATCTCCAGAATTTCCATTTGATTTCTTTAAAAATATTTTCTATCTTTTTACTGAGACTCTGTATTCACTGAGTCATTTACTAATTCTTTAAATATGGTTTTTAGTTTTTTGAGCATATTTATAATAGCTGTTTTGAACCCTTTGCTTATAATATCTTAAAGACACTTAGAGATAGTTTCTAATGACTGCTTTTGTATGGATCATATGTTCTGGTTTCTTGCATGACTCCTAACTTTCTGTTGAATACTGAATATTTTAGACAATATATTGTAGCAACTCTAGTTTCTCACTTTTCCCTTCTGTTGGTGACCTTGGTTGTTGTTAGTTTTATTACTTGCCTGGACTAAACCTTTGAAGTCTGTATCCTTCACAATGTGCAGTTGTGACGTCTCTTCTCACTATTTTATCCCTTCCTTTTATTTGTAAGTCTGGCTTCCTAGTTGTTGTCCTTGTGTCTGCATAGCTTAGTGATCAACCAAAGACTGGTCAGAAGTTACGCTGAAACACCTTAAGACAGTGAGACTTCCAGTCTCTCCTGATGGATCTGTGTGTGAGCTTCGGAGCACATTCAAACTTCAGGCTGCTCTGGGTTTTATTTCCTTTTGGGACCTCTCATGTCCCACCTGCACATGCCTGCAGGCTCCATCAGCCAGGGATATATGGGCCCTCTCTGGTCTCTGTGGCAATGCACACAGCCTGGTCAACCGTAAATATGTGGGGTCAAGCTCCCTGTGGTTGCTGGAATTCCCTGTTAAATATTTGGCTAGTTTGTCTGCTGCCTGCCCCCGTCAGGTTTGCTTATTCAGGCTTGTGATGCCACAGGCCATCAGTACTTTTAACTAACAGTCCTCAAAATCAAGTGCAGTCTTCAAAATCAAGTGAGCCTCCTCTGGCAGGGGTGACAAAGCTTTGAAACAAAACTGCTTGTTTTCACAGCCTACCCTGCACTGATTCAGCTACTGTGCTGATAAAGCAAGGGGATGGAGGTGAGAGCAGCTGCTGGCAAGGATGTCTTAAACTCATATTGTTCTTCTCTGAAGTTCAGCAGTTCTAATGAAGTGGTTGGATTGCAGAGTGCTCAAATTACTGCTTTTGACTATTTTGTTCAGCTTTATAGTTGCATTTTGAGGGAGGATTTGTCAACCACCTCATTCCATCATGATAAATGGAAGTCTCTATCTGTACATTTTAAAGCACCAGTGATTTGGATAGTGTTACATGTGTGATCCTATGTTTTATGTTGAGTAATGATGGCCTTAATTGGTAGTCTTTTAGGGCAGGGGTGGTAGGGGCGTAGTTTAATTGTGTAAAAATATGGATGATTTTTTTGCCCAAGTGGAGAGAAAAGACATTTGTAGGGTCAAGTAGAAAATGTCAACCCTGAAGTTTTCCTTGAAACACAAATTGAAAAATGAAATGGGTCAGAGAGCATCAATTATTTCAGAGCTCTCTTCCTCTGTAGTTTGTGGCAGCACGTTGCCTGTTATAATGAAATAATCCTTTGTTAAATTAACCCTGTACCTGTGTGAAATGTCTGAAGTATGTACTTAAAATGCAGGGTGCTGATTTTATAAATTTAGAAATTTATTGGCATATATCTGGTGTTTACCTTCAATATTTAGAATTCAAGAAATACCACAAGAACCTGAATTTATTAGTAATAGATTTAATATCTTTTATCAAATTGGTATGTTTACTTTTTAAAAATGAGAACAGTCTTTAAAATATGAGACACCATTTTGTTAAAATTCTAATTTTTTTCACAATGAAGGTTTTCCAAATAGGATTTGGGTATTTATCATATATCATGAATATTATAATATATGTAAATTATAGCATTAAATGCAAAATAGTTTGGCATTGCAGTTTTTTCCAACTAAAAATAAGCTGTCTTCTATATAAATCAGACTTCTCTGTATCTCTAACATTTGCAATTAAATTTTCATGTACCATAAAATGCTGTTCCAATTAGACTTTGTTAAAGGAAATACTGCCCAGTATGTAAATTCAGATTTAGCAAATTATGTCCAAATTTCTAATGTTGGAGATATCACTATACATAGAGTCAAAACAAAACAGTAATAACAGAACTTTTCAGCCTGTAGGCATCCCTTTGTGAAAACACAGACCGCTCTCTTCTTTCACAATGTTGAAGAAACAAAAGTTTGTTGAGTATGAGAAATTGAGACCACTTGGTAACTTTTCAAGTGAAGGCAAAACCAAAATGAGCAACACTGTCCTCTTAGTGATTATGATTTCGAAATTCATCAGTTATCCAGATGTTTTTTGTTGGTTTTTAATGCAGAGCTTGTAGGCTTCTAGAAGCAGAGAAGGTTCTAATGGCAAGCCTATCTCATAAACTATGCCTCTGGTGGGCCTACTTCTTTTTAAATTTGATCCCAAGCCAACTCACATTTGGTCACTAATTCTCAAATATTCCTTTCCATCTTTTCTCTCTTAGTGCCTTTTTCTAGAGTACTTCCACAGACTCTATGCACCACATTTTTAATGAGGTACTGCTATTACCAAGCAGTTGTTCAGTTTATACTTCAGCAGGTGTGAAGGCTAGAGAAGAGAGAATACACAGGAAGATGCATGAGACAGAGGAGGTCAGCTCTTCCTCTTCATATATTTTGTAGACCTAATATTTGCTTGCCACCTCAATTATTTGCGCCTTGATCTAACATTTTAGCAATCTCCAGTATAATAAACCTTCACAATTCTTGAGATCTTTGGAAAGTGTGAAATTTGAGGTGGTTTTATGACAATTCTTTGCCCACAAAATTTATATACCAAGAACAAAACAAAACCATATAGTTTTAATGCTCCTAGGTCACTGGATGGGTGAAACATGGACTGAATGGCTAGCTTCTGGACACCAGCCTGGAATTGTACTTGATTGCAATTTATGTGTCAACAAAATGACATGTTATATTTTGAAAGAATAGGAAAGGATGTACTAAGGGTTTCTTGGGCAAGAGGGAGAGCAATTTCTAATTTGAGAAACCTTAATATGAAAGATCCCCATCTCTCCTCAGGATCAAGGACCGCCCCCCGCCTCCAGGACTTTTCATATTTCTTTGGACTTTTCAGAAGTTAGTGGCAGAAAACCACAAAATCAAAACCAAAGCCATACCTTGATATTGAATATGTGATTTTATTTCTATACTCAGGTATTTTAATGCTTGATGCCTTATATCTGAAGTTATCTCTCTCTCTCTCTCCCTTTTTTTTTTTTTTTTAAACACATTCTTTTGCTCTGTCACCCAGGCTGGAGTGTAGTGGCACAATCTCAGGTCACTGCAACCTCCGCTTCCCGGGCCCAAGCAATTCTCATGCCTCAGCCTTCCAAGTAGCTGGGATTACAGGTGTGTGCCTCCATGCCCAGCTAATTTTTTGTATTTTTAGTAAAGATGGGGTTTCACCATGTTGGCAAGGCTGGTCTCGAACTCCTGGCCTCAAGTGATCCACCCGCCTCAGCTTCCCAAAGTGCTGGCATTACAGGCATGAGACACTGCTCCTGGCTAGATCTGAAGTAATCTTTAAGAGAATACTGGCTGGGTGCGGCGGCTCATGCCCGTAATCCCAGCACTTTGTGAGGCTGAGGCAGGTGAATCACCTGAGGTCAGGAGTTTGAGACCAGCCTGGCCAACATGATGAAGCCCTGTCTCTACTAAAAATACAAAAAATCAGCTGGGCGTGATGGCGTGCACCTGTAATCCCAGCTACTCAGGAGACTGAGGCAGGAGAATCACTTGAACCTGGGAGGCTGAGGTTGCAGTGAGCTGATATCACGCCACTGCACTCCAGCCTGGGCAACAGGAGCAAAACTCATCTCAAAAAAAAAAAAAAAAAAAAAGAGCGAGAATGCTAAAGCTCCTGATTTGCTTTGCCTCTAGATGATATTAAGCATGTATCACAGTTTGAAAATCAAAAGATAGTAGTCTGCCTTATCCTGTGATTTTTTTCAACCAAAGGCAGTTTTGCCCTCCTGGGGACATTTGCCAATATCTAGAGACATTTTTGGCTATTACAACTGGGGGTGCTATTGGCATCTAGTGGGTAAAGGTTAGGGATGCTACTAAATATAATGCCTGTAATGCGCAGCCCCTCCCAACAAAGTTCCAGTTCAAAATGCCATTAGTGCCAAGATTGAGAAACCCTGGCCTTATTATTTTCATTTAAAATGTTGCCATATTTTTAAGAATTATGATTCTATCCATGGCTTTCTCCTCAGTCTCAAATTTTTCATCATTTCTGCAATGGCTTTTACTGGCTACTTATGGATATAGATCAAATGTTGTACCATCTTTATTCTCCATAGAATGTGGCACAAGAAGTGTAGAATAATCACCTAACACTTCTGGAATAAGTGGAAAAAATATCACTATAAGAACATTATGTAAGTGAATAAACCAAAAATTGTTTTTAACTAGACATAGATGAATATAGCAGTTTGAAATAACATCAAAAATAGGTTACCCTGTTTAATTTTCAGAACATACTTGGAAGATACGTACTACAGGTTGAGTATCCCTTATCCAAAATGCTTGGCACCGGACATGTTTTGGATTTTGGATTTTTTTGAGTTTTGCAATATTTGCATATATATAATGAGATATCTTGGGAATGTGACCCAAGTCTAAACATGAAATTCATTTGTTTCCTTATACACCTAGTCCGAAGGTAATTTCACATAGTATTTTTAATAATTTTATGCATGAAACAAATTTTTTACTGCATTTTGACTGCAACCTGTCACATGAGGTCAGGTATAGAATATTCCACTTATGGCATTATTTTAGCACTCAAAAATTTTTGGATTGCGAAACATTTTGGATTTTGAATTTTCAGATTAGGGATGCTCAACCAGTATTATACTGATTTTATAGTGTAATAGTATTTTGACAATTTATGTGGTTAAAATATTGCTATGTTTACCTTGGCTAAATTACTTAGCCTCATTGTGCCTTATTTTCTTGTTCTGTAAAAAAGTGTGATGGACAAGATTATCACTACTGCAGTTCCAACTCTAGCATTTTAAATATCTTTTAATAAAATGTAAAGATTCCTCAAATAGTTCAAAATTTTAAATTCTTTATCATTGTTTATAGATGAAACAGTAAAAAATTGCCAGAGAATAACGGTTGCCACTCAGTTTTTCAAAATAAGTAGTATAAAATGTGGTGGAATGCACTGAATTTAGAGCTGGAGGTTGGTATGTTTGATTTCCTCCCCTACTTTTTAAAAAATGGATGCATGTTTGTGTCATTATTTGTTTACATTTGAATAAAAATTTAGTTCTTAGTAAATAAAGCTTGTTTGGTATTGTCAGGTCAAGATAAAAGGTCATTCATCAATTTTTTTTTACATTCAAATAAAGTTTAATAGGAAAGCTTTTATTTTGAGATTTAGAAAATACTGTATATGAACTTAAGTATCCTCCTGTGATTAGGACCATAGAAAAATACCTTTATATTAAATTAGACTCTGGAAATCTAGGCATTGCTTTCTCATGCTAATAGATGGAATTTAAATTTGTATTTATTTTTAATCAGTTGCCTAGTACTAAAATAAATTTGGATACCAGCAGCTCATAATAGTTAATAGCCTGTATAAATGGGTCCCAAGACACCTGTTCCTTTATTGTTAATGAAGCCCTATTTTATGTGCAGGAAGACTAGAGTTCCTGTGATGCTGTGTCCTAGCACATCTCCCTGTCTCCTGTGCGCATATTTAAATAACATTAAGAAATGTTGTTTCCTCGTTTTCTGTCATCTCTAGAATTCTGCCAGACACACTTATTCTCTTTAATAGGCTGTTTGTTCCAAAATGCATTAGAGTGATATTTTTTCCTGTTTTGTGTGTTCTGAATTTTTTTAGAATTAAACCTCAATCATGTTATGAGGATTGATGTAAAATTATGATGAGTTAATAGCACCAGACACACAAATAGCCAAATAAAGTTTCTCAAGGAAAGAATAAATGACTTGCGGAAATTTTAGTAGCCTGTAGAAATGTAAGAAAACAAACCAAAAATGTGGAAACCAATTTTAAGACTCTGGTATTGTCATGGTTTATTTTCTGAGATTATTTAACTCTACCCTCTTAATGTTTTATATCACTGACAGTTTGGAGAGTTTATTATTTTATTTCTCTTTACTATTTCATATCAAGCAAATAAGTCATTGATCTTGCAAATAATTTGAAAGGAGAAAACCATATAGATAAAGAACTATTACCACAATCTACCAGATAGACATGTAGTCAAATAAGAAATGTTTGTGGCTTGAAATAACATTTATGATCTATGACATTCATTTTTATTCTTTTTAGGAGACAGTATATTAACAGGTTTTTAACATTTTTGGATGTGTGCTACAGAAAAAAGGTGGAAGGTGTTTTCCTTACCTCTGGAGCTTCTCCTTCTCCAAACACCTGAATTTTCATTACTGTTGGTGATAGGTTTTAAGGTCATTTTTGTAAAAGAGAGTATGATGTCCATGAAATAATGTGAGAATTACAATGCTAATTATTTCAGTCCGTTCTTCAGAATGTCTAAGTACACTGGAAACCCAGAAAGCATTTATTTTGTTCAATGTGGAGAATACATCATAACCAGCTCAAACACTGAGGGCTTCCCAAAAGGAGTGAAAGTAAATTCACTGTTCACAAGTCTTTCTAATAATGGTAATCTGGCCAAAAGCTAAATATTATTTGGAATAGTTCATGGGGAAAGTTTTTTCATACCTCAGTCTGGTATTTTGTTGAACTCCTTTCCAATAAAATTTACTATACCAAATAATGGAGTATAATAGTGCCTTTTTCTTCAGCCTTGTGCCTCTCTATAATGAAGAGGAAATCTAACACTGAATTGTGTGTCCTGTAGACATCAAAGTGGTGACTTGAGATCTCTTCCTCATCAGGGATAAAGAGAAACAAGTCACAGTCTCTCTGGTGTTTTCTTTAAACCCTGGCTGCACATTAGAATCACACGTGAAGGGTGTTGTGGCCCCGCTCCCAGAAATCCTGCCTAAATTGGCATATGCTGGGATATGACTATTGTTATATTTAAAGCTCTTCAAGTAATTCTGTTTTGCAGCCAGGACTGAGAATCTCTCTTACACAGGTACCTCTGAAAAAAGTTAAGTTAAACTAAGAGCTATCAGTTTCTAGATGGTTTTCCACGCTGCAAGTACTATAGAAGAAGACAAACTGAAAACCCTCTGAAAAGGGCTTCTGGTTGTGGAATCACTCAGGTATTCTTTTTTGGGGTGGTGAGCTTGATTGGAGACTCTCACCTCTATGAGAAAGACTATTTTCTAGGTTTAAATAATTTTCAAAAATTGTATTATGGTAGCAATTTCTGGTAGGCCAGAATTGACAGTAGTTTATCTAAGATACATAATGTAGCAGACATTTTCCCATTTTTGAGTCAAATATAAATCTAGTACAGTCTTTGCCAGTTTTAAAATGTTTCAATTGAAAATTTTTGTTTTTCAATTAAACCATATATACTGTACATCACCCAAATTCACACCTTTTAAAAATATGCATACCCATTTTCTGTATTTCCATCATGGATTGTTACACACAATGAAGTATCTCACTTCTAATTAACTTACTTTGATGTAAGAAGCATAGAAAGGGCCGGGCGTGATGGCTCACACCTGTAATCCCAGCACTTTGGGAGGCTGAGGTGGGCAGATCACAAGGTCAAGAGATCGAGACCATGGTGAAACCCTGTCTCTACTAAAAATACAAAAATTAGCTGGGCGTGGTGGCGCATGCCTGTAGTCCCAGCTACTGGGGAGGCTGAGGCAGGAGAATTGCTTGAACCCAGGAGGCGGAGGTTGCAGTGAGCCGAAATCATGCCATCACACTCCATCCAGCCTGGTGACAGAGTGGAACTGCGTCTCAAAAAAAAAAATAGAAAAAAGTGCTAAAAATTAGCAAATTTAGGGATGGGTGCATGAAAACAGGACTTTATAAAAGGGAGAATGTAGGACAGATACCATTTACCAAATATTATTTTGCAGGTATAATAAAAATGGCTATTTATATAATTTAAAATCATAAATATTGACCCAGCTTTTTTTAAGGTAAGGATCCTCAAGCTAGCTTGGAAAATAGATCAAGGTCTCTAAGACGAGCCTGTGAAAAAGACTGCCAGTTTTCCCTGGGGAGCCCCAGCCTACTGTACAGCCCCTTCTGACTGACTGACTTTCTTCCAGATACAGGGTCGCTGCTTCACATGTGCTGATAATACATGCAGGAATTGGCTCTTCAGACTTCACTGCCAGACTAATCACATTTATAGTTTCTTGGCTTCTTTTAGTTTTTAAGCAAATAGTACCCAGCAAGTTACCACAGTTAAAACAGTGGAATTCAGAGTACCTGTATTTCTGAAAGCTGCCGCTGTGTACATGGAATGGAGTCTGATTTTTAAACAGCAATTTTGCCCTTTGCTTTATATCCTATCATTTATTGTAAAGAAACTCTTCCTGTTTCATAATTTCTCATTTGTTCTTTAAGAAAAGATGGCAAAGGAATATAATTACAGACATGGTTTCACTTTTATTATTTCAATCTATTATGTTCTCCTTGTCAGATTAATATTTGTGGTTATATGCCCTGCATGGCAAGTGCTGAGAAAACATTTGTACAAAGTCTTGCCAAGGTAGACTATTGAGTATATGGAGTATAGTGACTTCACTGTTCAAGATCTTCATGTGTTTATTTAAAAGAAAAAAAAAATTCATTACATCAGTCTAAATTAGTACATCTTGTGGTTAGTATATTAAATTCATTAAATAGTTCAAGTGTATTCAATACAGTACGATAGTAGTTTTATTGATATACTGGCAGAGAAACAAACATGACCACTCTTTACCATCTGTTTATAATGCTATATAAAGAAGACCATGTTGGTTGCCATGGAAACTACATTTCCAAAACTACTGAGTGTTTGCTTAAATTCTCCAACCTTTTAAAATCATAAGCTTTTCCCTGAGAAAAAGAATAGAAAAATACATTTTAAATTTTCCAGTGATTTTCTAAAAGGCATTACTCTGTTAAAATTCATTTATATCTAAGCTGATATTTTGCCTCAGGATTTCATGAATTTAATTGAGAAGTTCTTAATTTGAGAATCTTTGGCACTTTCGAGAACTGGGAAGAAAGTGTTAATGCTATCATATTGAGGGGTGCCACCTATCTTTTTGTAAGTAAAGACTTTGCTTCTTCAGAAAAACTTTTTATTGATGTAACAAGCAAAAGAAGGCTGAAGAGGTAACATATAATTACATGAGATCTGGGGAGCAAAGGCAGTTGTAATGTAGTTCCAATGGCTTACCATGCTTAGTTATTGCTGTCATATTAGCTAATATGAGAAAA
This sequence comes from Homo sapiens, assembly GCF_000001405.40. Taxonomy (NCBI): domain Eukaryota; kingdom Metazoa; phylum Chordata; class Mammalia; order Primates; family Hominidae; genus Homo; species Homo sapiens. Next base: position 107,353,470 of record NC_000006.12, on the reverse strand, counting down.
ATTACAGAAGGAGAGTAATTGGCTTTAAGCTTTAAATAGAATGGTTATGACTTTTTAAAGCATGGCTATTAAAAAATACTTTGTTGTAATAACTGTAAATAAAATCAGTTGCTATTCCTGGGAGTGTTGCCTAGGGAAGAAAGAAGTAAAATATATGCTTTATTGTTATTCTTATTAATCTAGAATAAATTTTTCCTAATCTAAAATGATTGTGTACATCCACATGTGTTGTTTATACAAACCTGGTGTCTGTATAGACATTCAAAAAGCTTTTTGCCATAGTCTTTTAAAAAATCTTTTTTTTTCAGTGTCTTAAAAGTTATTCTTGATGTATTTACAGTGGGGCAGATGACATAGGATTGCATCTGTTCCAGCTTTCACTGAAGCCAAAAAGCATTGACTATATGGATAACAATAGTAATTCTGATAATAGTAATAACTAGTGCATATTGAGCACATAGTTTGTGACAAGGAGTATAGTTAGCGTTTTATAAGCTAAATGTTTATATTTAGGCTTTATTATAATCCTATGGGGCAAGTCTCATAAGTACACATGGATTCTCTAAATCAGAGTTTCTCAACCTTGGCACTTTGTGAGGGAGGGGGAGGCCTATCAGGTATGTTATAAGATGTTCAAAAGCAACCCTGGCCTCTGCCTTCTAGATGGCACTAGTACCCCTCCACCCCCAAGGTGTGGCAACCAAAAATATCTCTTTTGACATTGCCAAAGTCCCCTCGTGGGAAAGGAGAAAGGTAAAATCACCCGAGTTAAGAACCACTTCTCTATATGAACCAGCCAGTTTAATTTTTTTTCTGGTAGAAATAGTTTGTACATCACCTCTTGCTGTTCACATGCTGTCTCCCCTACCACCATGTTTTTGAATACCAACTACCCTCTCCAGCTTTGTTCAGTTACTGGTATATCAAAAGGTGAACCTATGTATTGTGAAAGCCCTCTTATATCCAGGAGTTTGAAAACTATTTTGCAGCATAATGAAACAAATGGGGTAATTAAGTTGTACTAAAATTACATATTCATAAAAGAGAATTTTTAATAGAATTTTAGAATCTTCTACTGAGTTTAGTATATAAAAAATGGGAGGAAGTCCATATTCTTTGCATGTATTCATCCATAAATGCCAAACTCAGCTTATTCTGTTTTTCCTATTGCTGACTTGTGTAGGAATATTTAGCATAGTTAAGTTTGTGTGAACCTTTTTCTGTTATATTGAAACATTAGCAGATAGTCAGTCATGGTCCATCCTTATAAAGTTAAAGAATATTTTAAAGATAAACTCATAATAGCAATACTAACTTAACAGTTATGGTTAATCTTCTGTTCTTTTTGAAAAACATGACGTATTCTTGGGAAATTTTCTTATGATGGTTTACTTCAATACTAAATACATTTCTTAGCAACATTTTAAAACTGTGATATTGTAAAATTCAGGTCTCTGAATCAATAAAGTTAAGTTTCTGTTCATGAAGTTTCTTTATCAAAAAGTCTTATTAGCTCATTTTCCTAAAATTTCACAAAAATATGAGAATATTTTTCCATCATCTGATAGATTGTTTCAGAAACGTATATCAATATGTGGCTGTGTTAATGCTATTTGGTAGGAAATTACTGGATCTCACTATATGATTAGTTAAAAGAACATTTTGGAAGAATGCAGATATAGAGAATAATAGCTTTTTTGGAAATATGAGAATATTAGACCTTTCAGATCTACTTAAATAATTGTGTAAAATAATTACACTGAAATTTTAACTATTTTTTATGTAGGCAGTAGCTTGCACAGTATTTATATCACAGTATTTGAAACCAGACTGAGTGGAAACCAGTGTATATAGTGGCGATTGTGCTTATATATTATAGAGAACTTTTCAGCTCTTGAGTAATATGCAAGTTAGAACCATTCACAAGGCATTGATTTAAGTAAAGAATATTTGAAGATGAGGACCATATTCTAAATAGTCAAGCATCTTGATAGGCTTAAATAATCTGTTGATAATTTGCTAGTTTCTACCCATACACAAATAATAAAAACAAAATAATCCTGAAATATTAAATATTCACCTGATCCTTAAATTTAGTATTGGTCTGGCTACTCTTGGGGAAGAGCAGAACTTTTGATATCAAGATGATACAAACAATACAGCTGTATTTGTTAACAAAACCATCTTAGAACTTTATACCAAGAGAAGTCATTTTCTACATTTGGGCATACAAATATCTGTTATTCATATCTGAAATTCATTACCTTTTGGACAGATGTGCTCAGAGACAAAGGTTTCATCTTTTATCATTGTCCTCAACTTCATAATGTTTGGAACTATATTGGCAATGTGAAGAGAGTAATTACTTTTTTCCCATTACTTTTATCAATTTTTTTTTTTACTTTTAATGTGGTGGAAACAATTTTTGACTTTATTTAAATTAATTTGTGTATAATTCCTAGTTTCTCCCCCTTTGCTTAATCCAAGACCTTATTTATTTTGCATCATCTTTTTAAAAGCCACCATTTAAAGCAAAATCTGTATTTGTGGCCTTTATTATTTCACTAAATGTGGAACTGTTTTGTTTTTTTTTCCCCCAGGGAAAAGATAATGACTGTCTGAAATATTGAAACTTTCCCTGTTTGTTTACTTTTTTTTTTGAGACAGGGTCCTGCTCTGTTCACCCAGGCTGGAGCACAGTGGTGTGATCATAGCTCACTGCATCCTGGAACTCCTGGGCTCAAGCAGTCCTCGCATCTCAGCCTCCCTAGTAGTTGGGATGACAGGCATGTGCCACCATGCCCAGCTAATTTTCACATTTATTTTTATTTTTGTAGAGATGAGATCTCACTATTTTGCCCAGGCTAGTCTCCAAATCCTGGCCTTCTCCCTCAGCCTCCCAAAGTGCTGAGATTATAGTAATGAGCCACTAAACCTGGCCTGAAACTTTCACTGTTGAATCATTTGCTTATCAGCTAAACTTCATAAGTTCTCTTTATATTTATTCATTTAAGAAAATTTACATTGTCTCTACAGAAATACATTTTTATCTTCTCAATTTATTTTTTGATTTGTTTTGTTTTTATTGAGCTAATGATGCCATATTGGATCAAGAGAGGCAACTCATTGTAAGTACCCACCAACGTTTTTCCTGCTCTGGTGTGTGATGAATGAGATATTTATATAGTTTCAAAGTACCTCTTCACAAAACATTACTAATTATAAAGGGGGAAAGTGTAACTTTGCTGTGGAGAAGGCTGGTAGACATCACCTTACTCAGACGGCCAAAGTGGAAATCTGCTGTCATGGAACAAACTGAAATTGAGGTGGGAAGAATACAACATTGTTTCTATCTATGATCTTCCCGCCTGAGATGTAAAACCTCAATCTAATCACAGAGAAACATCAAAATCCACACTGAGAGAACTTCTACAAAATAACTGGCCTGTAATTTTCGAAATTGTAAAGGCCATGAAAGTCAGGGAATAGTTAAGAAACGGTTCCAGATTAAAGGAAGCCGAAGAGGCATGGCAACTAAATGCAATGTATGATTCTGAACTGGATCCTTTTGTTATAAAGGACATTATTGGAATAATTGGTGAAACTTGAATTGGATCTGAAAATTAGATGGTAGTAATGTATTCCCGTTAGTGATTTTGATGGTTGTATTGTGGTTATTAGGGGAATGTTCTTTTGTTTGTTTGTTTGTTTGTTTGTTTTTGAGGCTGAGTTTCACTCTTGTCACCCAGGCTGGAGTGCAATGGCACGATCTCGGCTCACTACAACCTCCTCCTCCCGGGTTCAAGCTTTTCTCCTGCCTCAGCCTCCCTAGTAGCTGGGATTACAGGTGTCTGCCACCAGGCCCAGCTAATTTTTGTGTTTTTAGCAGAGACAGGGTTTCATCATGTTGGCCAGGCTGATCTCGAACTCCTGACCTCAGGTGATCCATCCGCCTCGGCCTCCCAAAGTGCTGGGATTACAGGCATGAGCCACCATGCCCAGCCTAGGGGAATGTTCTTATTTGTAATTTTTTTTTTTGAGATGGAGTCTTGCTCTGTCGCCCAGGCTGGAGTGCAGTGGCGCGATCTCGGCTCACTACGAGCTCCGCCTCCCAGGTTCACGCCATTCTCCTGCCTCAGCCTCACGAGTAGCTGGGACTACAGGCGCCCGCCACCACGCCCAGCTAATTTTTTTGTATTTTTAGTAGAGACGGGGTTTCACCGTGTTAGCCAGGATAGTCTCGATCTCCTGACCTCGTGATCCGCCTGCCTTGGCCTCCCAAAGCGCTGGAATTACAGGCGTGAGCCACTGCACCCGGCCTTATTTGTAATTTATATACCCTAAAGTATCCCATGGTTATGAGGTACCAAGATAGGAACTGACTCTTAAATGCCTCAGGAAAAGAAGAATTCTTTGTACTTGTAACTTTTCTATAAGTTTGAGATTGTTTACAAAAAGGAAGGATGAGAATAGCTGAAGGTTCTAGAATCCTAATCCCTGGGTTAAAATCATGGCTCTACCACTTATTACTTCCTTGTGTCTCAGTTTCCCCATCTGTAAAATTAGGATAACAGTAGTACTGTACAAGCTTGTGTGAAGTTTAAGTAAGTTAAAAAAAAATGCTAAGAGCACTGCCTGCAATAGATATTCGCTATTATGTCATTTGAGTTTGATACTTTTACCTTTCTGGGATAAAGTGGCCAACATTGAGTCGCTGGTGTATCCATTAGCAGTATTTAGAAGCTTGGACTATTTATTATTTGTCTGTTGTTATAATATGGCCTTTGTACTGATGGAAACATTTCAGTTTAGAAACATGAAGTGAACATTGTGCTACAGGTCAACACATTGAAATAAATGTAGATATTAATTTTTTTATTTGGGTTTAAAACTATTAACCATAGCTGTTTGATTTAAGTTTAATATTCCAGTGATTATTTAAAGGCTTTTTAGCCTGTACCAATAATAAACAAAACTTACCCTGTTTGTTTCACTCCTGAGTTCCATCAGCCCTTTCACATTGGAGTAATAGCAATGACTCAACATTATTGGTTCCTGGGAACCAAAGAACTTCAACAAATAACTTAGTAACTAAGGTAGCAGCTTTGGAGTCAAGTTGTCCTGATTTTGAATTCTGATTCTTTCACTTGCTTTTGACATTGGCCAAGACGCTAACCTGTCTCTAAGCCTCACCTATAAGATGGAGATGACCACAGTACCTTCTTCAGAGTTGTTGTGTGCATGTGAAAGTGCATAGCTCATAGTATATGCTATAAAAACATTAGCATACTCTCTACTCTGCCACTCCTGTTGCCCATCACCTTAACCCCAAAAAAAGTCAGTCGAAAAGATAGGCCGATAGATATCCAGAAATTCCATTGTCTTATTTGGGGTGTAGGAGGGGATCGATGACTTATCTCCTATTACTTTTTTAGTGAAATAAAGGCTATCATTTTCAGCTCATGCCTGGCAACTTTTCAGGAAGGAAAACTGTGTGGGGGGTGGGGGATGGCATCCTGAGATGAAGTCCGGTGATGACCATAACATTTTCAACATTTCCTAGTCCTTTATAGCTATAGTGTTGTCCTTTACTCTTTTTTACCTTTTAAAAATTAATTGTTTTAATATTAATTAGGACAACATATAGCCATTAAGATGGGAACAAAAAGCCAGTTAAAATCTATAGGTTGTTAGGTTTCAAATACAGATATCTTGTCTTACTTTAGTATGTTCCTGGAAATAAAAACATATAATGTATATAAATTATTTCTTTTGATTAGCCATTCAGTCAGCTATTTCTCATGAGAAATTCACATTCTGCCCAACATCAAGGAAAGAACCCATGGTGTTCAGAAAAGAACGAAGAAAAGCGTAAGCTCCTCCTTCCCTAAAAGATATAATTTTAGGAGGCTAGGTGCAGTGGCTCACGCCTGTAATCTCAGCACTTTGGGAGGCCGAGGCGAGCAGATCACGAGGTCAGGAGTTCAGCCTGGCCAACTTTGTGAAACCCCATCTCTACTGAAAAGACAAAAAGTTAGCCAGGCGTGATGGCAGGCGCCTGTAATCCCAGCTATTCGGGAGGCTGAGGCTTGAATCGCTTGAATCGGGAGAATCGCTTGAACCCGGGATGTGGAGAGCTGAGACCGCGCCACTGCACTCCAGCCTAGGCAACAGAGCGAGACTCCGTCTCAAAAAAAAAAAAAAAAAAAAAAAAGAAGATATAATTTTAGGGAATTGTATGGAAGTTGACTATTTTAAAGGATCAGCTGCCACAGACCACCGGAAGGGCACAGGGCCATATGCTGCAAGCTGGGCCCATGCAGGTCCTCATTTCCATGTAACACTCCTTGGCTGTAGGGTAGACCCTGGCTACTCCTGCAGTCTGTGAGGTTTTGTTTTTGTTTTAACCTGGACAGCACTTTCACTGTACTGCAGACTTTTCCCAGCCTCCGTGGGAATGGGGGCTACTCAGGGCTTCCCTTGATCCCTGGTTCATGGGCCACCAACCCTCTGTTGTGTGCTGCCTGGGAGCCTTGTTGAACATGCCTATAAAGCAGGAGCCTGCACACCTCTGCTGGTCGAACTCTATCAATACACCAGACCTATAAGCAAGAGAAGATTCAAGGAAATGTTCAGGAGAAAAATATTTTTTAAAATGTTTCACAGTTTTTACCTATAAGGCACTTTTAAAACTCTAATTCTAATTTATTGTTCCTTTTTACTTTTCATATTTTAATTCTGCTGTAATCATTATCTTTCCAGTTTGGGGGAACATGGCCTTAAAGATAGACACCTGAATTGGACCCCAGGTCTCTCGCTTATTGGATATACATTAAATAATTTTAGGCAGGTTGTGTTATTAATCACTAAACAAGTATTTATTAAATGTCCTGTGTGCCAGGCACTATTCTAAGCACCAGAGATATAACTGTAGACAAGTAAATATGCTATAACATGATTATTATATTCTAATCAAGGAAGAAGAATAATCAAAATAAATGATGTGCTATAAATATGTAGTATATCAAATAATAGATATGGAAAAAATAAATTATTCCTATGAGCCTCAGTATCCTGATCAACAAAATGGGGATAACCACCACCTCACGGACAGTTGTCAGGTTAGATGAGATGGCACCTTAGAAAGCTTGAGGATACCATGGTAAATGAAACAGTTGCCCCTGCAGCTTCCTGGCAATTTGGTAAATGAGAGATTTCTTCCTGCTAGGATAGAGCAAATACTGTTCTCTGAGGCTTAATTGGCTAGAATAACCTGTATGTAATTTATTCCAAGTACATATCTTTTCATTCACTAGGTGCCATTCTATTCAATAAGTGCCATGTAAGTGTAACTTTTAAAAATCAAATTATATTTTTCTATGGACATAAATAATTTGAGAGATGCGACTATTATAGTAATCCTCTTTGCTAGCTCTGCTGGTGGCCATTTTAAATATCTGTAAGGTCTTAATGTTAATTGGGTGGCACATTTGTGATTATGAGAGCTAAGGTTTGAACTTAGGCAGCCAGTCATGGAATCTTTTCTCTGGTGGAAATTTTTCTGTGGAAAATGAATACATGAAATGTGTGTCCCGCCATCACTGTCACTTCCGATTTCCTCATGTCTTGGTCTCCTCTACCTTGAATTCAATGTTGATTCTGGAAAAATAAACGAGATTTTCCTAAAATTTTTGAACTTCTGAACCATCATGTTGCAATAATATAGTTTTACATTTTGAATGTTTTTCCATTCATTTTTAAACATATTTTTCCTACTAAAAATCTATGATGTATTTCACTTTGCTCTTCCCCCTCCCCCCTAATTTGCCCTTGAGGTATTATCTGTTACTCTATAAAGTATTTCATCATTTCCCCCAACTTCCTGATTTTTACTGGCTTCATCCATCTGCTGTTGTATTTTTTACATTTGGCTTTAGCCTCTTCATAATATGTTATGAGTAATTGTCAGTTGAACAATCATCTACCTTTATCTCTTTCCACTTGTTCAAGTACAAATCTTCTAACTTTTGCACAATTGATGTGATTCCATTATTAGCTAATAGGACTGATACTCCATACACTAAATATTGATTACTTACATTGAAACATTCTTTTTGGTAAAAACAGGCCTACATACTAGATGAGTAAAACCATAAAAAATTATAGACTATTAAAGTGAGTAGTTCTCTTGCATTTGAATGGCAGATTCTATTGAAACTGGAACTGCAAGTTGAGGAAAGCACTGAGTACTAAGGGAATACTCATTCACATTCGGTTGATTTATTCTCTGCACAGACGGGCTGTGGTAGTGGGAGGTGTAATTCACAGCACATTAGCTCTTAGCCAGTGTCATTGCTTGAGTGGTGGTGTGAGTCTTGTGTGTTGTGTAGTGTAATGATGCCTGTATTCCTACACTCAATTTTTCTACCCCCTTGCTTCAACACTAAATTGATTTTTAAAATGTGAACCCAAGGGGCTTAGATGTAAAAATTATTGTATGAGATTATTTTGAGAGTTTTCAGTGTGACTAAATATTACTTTTTAAATGGCCCTATTTTCCATTAGTATTTTTAAATCTTTAGTTACCATTTCAGTGGGGAAATCTTTGTTGTTGTTTTTCCAGTGGTATATTTAATTCCAGGGTGACTAGCCACATCTTGCTGCAAACATGATTGATCACGACATTTTATACTTCTTTTTAATTTCAGTTATATTTCAGTATACAACTAGTGGTCAGTAACCATTTCTGAAAAGTTCCTGGCTTGATTTAGTCCCTGCTCAACAACCCCTGCACCCTACCCCCATTCTACTTTCTCTTCTCTCTTCCTTCCTTTCCTTCCAGGCACCTGTCTTCTGCCACATGCTCATCAAACCTAATTGAAGCTTTGGGAGGGCTTTGGTGAGGCAGTTCTTGGCCCTGCTGTCCCTCGAGGATTTAATGCAGGTGGGATGTGTGTGTGGCCCTCGAGCCATATCAATGACTGCCACAGCTCCTGTATTCTAAAGGCTGGTCACCTCAGGCCCTAAAGTTGTTTCAAGTCTGGGACAGTTTAGTCTTAGAATAGATATGGCAGTAATAATACATTTTGGGTCATTTTTTCCATGGAAATTAACCTCCAGTTCTTCTGCTAATTTTATATAAAAATCTGTGACATGCAGACTATTTTTAGTCTCTCTAAAATTACAATTCTTTAAAAAAATAATTTTCATGGAGTGTTTTTTTCTTTTATAACTGAGTAATATTGCTGTCATCAAATTGCTAATTATATTTATGTTTTTAACATCATTTCATTGATACCATTTAAACTTTGGTCCTGTGTCTAAATCTCAGAGAAATTAAAAGTGAAGTAGTAGGACCCAAAAGGGTCCCTATACCATAGGGCTCTGGAGTTCATTAAATGTCACTTAATTTTTTTTCTTCAAGTTAGAAACACAACTATAATATACTAAGTCATTTGTCTTCTTAGAATTCTGTTGTTTTTAAAATACAGTGTTTTTTTCTCCAGTCTTAAAAAGATATCTGTGCTCTTGTGTGCAACTTAAGAAATAGGTCACCCTTAATCAAGAAATTTGTTGGATAACACTTGTTACCGTTTGGTAGTATTTTTTTCTTATCCTGTTTTTCTTTTCATTTTTAAACACTATTTCAAGCACACAGAAAAATGCAAGAATACTTTGTGTATTGAACACCTATACAATGACACCAGGTTTAAAATGTTAACCTTTTGACATATTTATTTCTAGTTTTTGTCCTTGGCCTCATTTATATGTATATATGTATGCATATTTTGAAGCATAATTGAGATCATATGATGTATACAATTTTGTATTCTTTTATTTAACATTTTTAGTATTTTCCCATGTCATTAAGTAAACGTTAATGTTTTGTTGCAACACTAAATTTGTGCTAGTGTGTGGACAGATTTTCTGCTTTTAAAAAGTGATGATTCTATTCCTGTTTAATTTTACATTATGTTTTCAGTTCTTTTAACTAATACATCATATACTGTAACTTAAAACACTGTTTTTCAAAAAAACTACAGTTGCACCTTGTTGGTGGGTCACAAATCAATTTAGCAGGTTGCAGTCAGCATTTTAAAAAGGAGTAGAAAAGATTAGAGTATTCCTGTAGTTCTTTGGCAGAAACTGTGCACATTATAGTCAATTCTTTTGTTTCAGTTGTCTGTATCTAAATGAAAAAAAAAATTTAACTAGGGGTCACAGTCATAAGCATTAATAGGAATCTTACCAATCAACCCACTTCATGTATGTTAGAATTTGACATCCATCTTTTGTGCTTACATTTTTTGGATAGACTTACTGGAACTGGATTTATGGAAAGTGGGGTAATAAAATAGTAAGACCTGGTGTGGTGGCTCACTTTCCCAGCACTTTGGAAGGCCAAGGCGAGAGGATCACTTAAGCCCAGGAGTTTGAGACCAGCCTGGGCAACATTGCCATCTCCATTAAAAAAGAAATAAATTAAAAAAATAAAAATAAAATCGTACCACTCACTCTATATCTCTAGGTTTTAACATTGAAAGGGGTTCCTTGCCCTCAAGGTGATTCTTTCCCACTCAGTTTTACTTTGGGGTATTTTGAGCTTACTCAAGGATGATGGTCCCTTGGTGGTGGTGAAGTTGTTTCCTTAATATTTGATTATAAATTTATCAAAAGATTGTAATTTGGATTGCTGATAGAATTTAGAATTTTGAACTCTTATTCATAAATCTCAAAATTTTTCTTTTATGCCCCAATTCTGTCTTTCCACCTCAACTCTCTGTCTGGAAGTACACTTATCTTCTTTTCAGAGTGAGGGCAGCTTTCTTTCCCAAGCACTGATGCAGCAGTCAATTCAGTCAGTTCTCCTAAATGAAGAAACAAAACACATAAATATTTGTATTAAATATATAATTAATATGTTGAGTTTTCTCTAAAACTTAAATAGACCCTTTGATACGGCATACATTTTATATACAGTAATTTTTAAAATACAACGTCAAAATAACAAATCTCAGCATGTTTTTTAGAATGTGTTGGGGCTTTTCTTGTGTGTGCCTGTCACTTTCAAAGAACTTACTACAATTTAGGAAAAGGAACTCAAGAGGAAGAGGAACCAGTCAGAGCTGAATGGTTGGATGTGGCAAATTGATAACAGGAAGAGAAATGAGGAAAGTTGAGAATAGTAGTAGGTCTGTTTTGGGGAGATGTGTAAGATGGAGAGTTGGCTGGCCTACTCCTTGAAGCTATTCATTCTCTCATCTTTAATTTTTTTTTTTTTTTTAGAACTATTCTGTGTCAGTTGCTCTGCTGGGTGCAGGGCATCCAAAGAGGACTGAGTACCTTCAAGGGTCTCACAACCTTGCCAGGGAGTCCTGTGAACAAATAATTAAATACCAAGGCCTCAAAGCATAAGCAAGCCCGGGCATTGGAGTCCAATTATGTTTAAATTTTGGCACCTCTGTTACTAATTGACTATTGTGAGTAGTAATTATTGAACTTTTTTGAGCCTCCATGCTAATTTTCCTCATTTGTAAAGGGATATTACTAGTTACCTTGCATGGTTTTTGTGAGAATTAGAGCATATGCATGTAAAACAGCAGATGCCTGGCATTATAGTATATTATAGTTGTTGTTATATTGTTACCATTTTTATTACTCAGTGTGTTAAGTGCCAAACTAGAGGTTTATAGTAAGTCCATGAAAGCCCATGGAAGAAGCTTACAACTACTGGCCCTGGTTTCTGTGCATTGTACTGTTGTAGTTCTCTGCCTCCATTGTGCGTGTGTATACATACTTCATTATCCATGTCTGTGGAGGCCTTTTATTTGTTTGTAGCTAGAACATATTTCTTCATGTTGGTTACTCATCTCATTCCTTTAAGTGTAGGAATTCTCCAAGATTCCCTTCCCTTCTCTTCTTTTCTTTTCTCTCTCACCTAAAAGCTCATCTGTCAGTTCCTACAGCTTCAGCCATCGCTTCTATGAAGATGCTTCCCAACTCTATAGGCACAGCATTTCCAGCTGCCTGCTTGGCATCACCATCTGGAAGTCCTTCTTGCATTCAAAGTTAACATGTCCAAAACTGAACTCATTCATTCCTCATTAGTTCTCCTCCTTCTTTCCAATCTCTACTAACGGTAGCATTATCACCTCCAGCAAACAGGTTGGAATCTTACATTCCTTTGCTTTCTGATCCCTCCCCAATGTCTCCTTCATCCCTCCAGTTGGCCACACTAGCCTTTTCCACCTCCATGCTACTGCCATCATTCAGCTTTTCTTCCCCATCCCTATTGCCACTACCCTCATTTAGGCCCTCATTATCTCCCATCTGGACTACTAGAAGAGGCTCCTCCTAACTGATCTTCCTTCTCCTTTCCACCGTACACAACATAGCACCTGCCAGAGTAACAGGATTAGGCTCAGAGTAACAGTTTTAGTCTTTAGCTCTAATTACATTTCTCCCTTGCAGACAAACCACTTATGCCTCCAGATTTCCTGCAGAATTAAGTCCAGACTCTAAACCTGACTTTCAAGGCCCTTCACTCTTTAGGTTGTCTGTTTTCCTGGACTTGTTTTACCTTCACACATTGCCCAAATGGGTAGCCCCACAGCTCCTGAACTGGTTCTGTGTTCTTCCACCTTCTTGTCACTGCTTATCTATTTCTTTCTCCTAAAATACCCTTCTTTCTATTCCCATGACTCCATTCCAGTCCCGTCTCCTACTTCTGTTCCCTACTCAGGGAAATTTGACCATCTTTCAGGCTCAATCTGAATGCTGCCTCTACTGTGAGGGACACCTCTAGCAACTAGTTGTGCACTGATAGCTGCTTGTAACTTTTCTTTGTTATCTGTTCCTTGTATTATTCAATTTAACCATACTTTGAATCTACTATTATAGCTCTTTTCTTACAGCTCGTATTTCTTTGTATACCCTTCATACGTGTTGAAGTGGAATTTAAGAGGATAAATAGAAAAGTACCACAGTGGTGGTTTGAGGATCTAATACAGGATTGGATGAAGGAATGTAAATTTGTTAGTAGCTGTGGAAGGATATGATGCAGTGAGAACTGCAGTCAGCCATCTAAAGTACAATGGAGAAGACAGAGCTGACTTGCCCAAAGTTTTACCTACTCAATCCTTATTCCCATGAAATTGTTTAGCTTTTAGAATATTAGTGTTATTAGTGTTTACTCTTTATCTATTATAGATCTAGAGAAGAACTTTAAAGGAGGCCAAGATCTCCCCACCTAAAATTCAACTTACAAACATATTTAGAATAATATTATTTAAAATTAGTGATATGCCTATATTAGCTAATTTTCCAGGACTATGTAGTATGCAACATCTTTTTGAGTTGAATCAACATTATTTTAGGTTTGGTACATCTCTAGTTTGTCCATCAAGCTACCCTCTTTTTTTTTTTTTTATTGACTATTACAAAAGTTTCCTAATTGGGTTCCTCATACTCCCTTGGTTTCCTCCTCTCTTGTCTACACAAGTCATTTTCTACACTGATGATAAATGATTTTGTTTTGTTTTGTTTTCTGAAATATCTGATTATGTCACTGGCTGCTTAATAAAATACCACAGCACCTTTGAATTGCTCTTTGGATAAAGAGCAAACCTCTTATGGTCTGTTCATCCTGGGTGGTGTAGTTCCTGTCTGCCACCAGTTTCACTTCATACAGTGCTCTCAGCCTGGCATATGCCCCTCCTTGTGCTGCAAATATACCCCCCTTACCTGTTTCCTTCCCACTCCCCCTTTTTTTCCTTTGGATATCAACTCAGTCATCACTTCCTCAAGGAAGACTGACTTTCCTGCAAAGTTACTTTCTGTATTCCAAGCTCTCATGGCACTCTTGCTCTTTTTCCCTTGTAGCATCTATTACCAGTGTAGTTTTACACGTCCTCATGATTCGTTTTTTATTACCAGTCTCTTCCATTAGACCATAAGCTCTGCAAGCTCCATGCCTGGTTTTGCTCACCATTGCATCCATGCCTAGCACAATGCTTGATGTATAGAAGGCGTCCAGTCTTATTAATTGAATGAATGAATGAACAAATGATGTTTTTGTTCATTAGCTAAGAAAACCCAATTCTGTAGAACTTTAATGATAAAGATTATAAAATACTAAATACTGCTTTCATTTATGACACTTTAATGACAAGGCTTTTTCAATTTTTGTATATATTGTGGAGTATTAGATAATTAAATGTAGTAAAGTGAGGCCATATAGAATCACAGAGTAAGAAAACAACCTCAGATGTCACATATTCCAGGCTTCTGTCTAATGTGTTATGTCAGAGTCCGTGCAGCTTCTTAAACATCTCTAGTAACAAGCAGCTCAGCATTACCAGAGGTTGCTCTGTTTTTTATTTCTTTGAGCCAGAATTGGCCTGCTATAGTTTGTGTCCATTAGCATCAGTCTCTAAAGTAATACTTACGGCCTGGCTCAGTGGTTCGCCCCTGTAATCCCAGCACTTAGGGATGCCAGGCCAGAAGATCACTTGAGGCCAAGAGTTCAAAAGTAGCCTGGTCAATATAGCAAGACCCTGTCTCTAAAAGAAAAAAAAAATTAATACTTACTAGATCTATCTCCTCTACATAGGGAACCCTTTTAAAAGAACAGACAACTCTCCTGTGCCCCTCCAGATTTATTTCTCTCAGTTCTTCCTTTACGTACTGTGTTCCTGCCACACTGGCTCTAGAAACAACTGTGTCCTCCTCTCTTTCCTTCGGACCTCCACACATACTGTTTCTCTCTTCAGAACACTTTTTCGTCCCTGCCCCAGATCCCCTGGCTACTTCCCTCTCACTCATCCTTTAGATCTCACGGAAGTCTCTTTGACATCCCCTGAATTGTGTTAGTTGCTTCTTCTACATGCTGCCACAACCCTTATTCATCCCCTGAAACAATTCCTGCCACATTTTATTGTGATTTTTAAATCCAGACTACTATACACAAGAAGGGAGGCCACATCTTAACAGTGCTCCTCATCATATTCTCCACTGTCTGTTTAGCACCAAGCCTGGCATGCAGTGAGCATTCAGTACACTCTTGGCTGAATACGTTTGAGAACACCAACCTTACCATTTTCTAAGCTAGCCTTCCTAGATGTGGTGGTATGTGATTTCACCATTTTCTGGTTATGCCACAGCTTGTCAGTGTCCCTTAAGAGAAGCACTGAGAAAAAATTAGAGTGTTCCAGATGAAATATGACCTGTGCTACATGAAACATATTGTCTCTGTAAGTTTAGAATCCCATGTTTTTTGTTTGTTTGTTTGTTTTTTATTTGCTCTGGAGCAAAATTTCATATTCTCTTTTGGTTGTGAGCTAAATTTTGAGCTGTAGGCATTATCCACTTATTTCAGTACTGTTTTTTTAAGAGTGTTAACGAAGTGAATTTAAAGAAATGGTGTTTTGGAAACAGTTATTTAATTTACTCAAGCTGTTAGTCTATCCTCCAGATTGTTAACCACTGACTTATGTGAAAATTAATGGCCAGAAGATGTGCTTTTCTGAATGCTCTCTTAATTTTTGTCACCCAGTTCATTACAGCTTCTTTTCCTGACCTTTTCAGTAATGCATTCTGAAAGGGGTGTTTTCATGATTATCATTGAGATAATGATAATAATGATTAGGGGGTGGGAAGAATTCCTTAACTTTTGTTATTTGAGGAGGTAGAAAACTAAATAACATAGGAGATTATATATGCTAGTAGAGTGGGGAAGACTTTTTGAGAGTTACAAGGAGAAAGAGAGTAGAAGAAAGAAAATGTTAAGAGTTGAGAAAAAAATAAGATCACAAAAAAGTAACAAGGAAAGAAAATGTAATTTACTGATTACTTGATCACCAACCATGTGCTTCCACAGTGTTATGTACTTTGACCTATGTTGTCTCTTCCATACAATGACTATGAAAAGTAGACATTGTTACCCTCATTTTATACAAGAGGTCATAGCCTTAGAGTCACACTCACAGCTAGTAAATAACAGAAGACTTTTTCAGACCTAGGCTTGTCTGGTTCTAAAGCCAACTGTTCTAATTTGATGTAGCAAATGGTTTTGTACAAAGGAAGCAGATGGAGCATCACTACATAGCATAATGTTTAAAAGTGTATGTAGACTCTAGAGCCTGTTGGCCTGGGATCAAATCCTGGCTCTGTCATGGTTCTGCCACCTACCAGGTATGGTACCTTAGACAAGTTACTTGATTTCTCTCTGTGCCTCATTCCCCATCTGTAAAATCAGGATAATTGTAGTACCCTCCTCTTAGCATTGTGAATTAATTTAGTTAATATATAGTAAAACATGTAGAACAGTTTCTGACATATAGAAAGCAATGTATAAACCACAATATAAGTGTTTGCTGCTGCTATTATTATTATTTGTGTGTGTGTGTGTGTGTGTGTGTGTGTGTGTGTGTGGTATGTGAAAGGTCCTATTTCTGAGAAGTTTGAAGATATTGTTAAAACTGTTGTCAGGGCTGTTAAATCTGTGTGATTTGGTCAGACTTGTCTCAAGGTTCACCTCTTAGAGTTCTTGCTGAATCATATCCTTAATCCCTGACCAGGCCCAGCCCCGAACACACACACACACACACACACACACACACACACACACACACACACACACACACACCACACACCTCTTTTTCTTTTCCTTTTCTAGAATTGAAAGCCAATTCAGACCTTCTCTTTATTATAAAAGAAAGGAAGAATAAAGATTCACTATAGGTAATACATAAATAAGAATCTAGTAGCCTAAGTTAAAAGTTGTAATTCAAAGCAAAAAAAAATTTAAAAAGCTCTTCTTTTAACATTTTTGTGTTCTGTAATAGGATGCCTCTTAACCGCCGTAAAATTCAGGTTCATAGGATTTAAGCAGATTGTTACATGACAGTAAAGAGTTTGGGACATTTCTGATGATTATTTGTTTCTGTTGTGATGTAACTGTATTACTTTAACTTCCTTTTCCTAGGAAATTAGAATTTCTTTTTAAAAATCAGTTTAAACCCTTTTATCTTGATGAAGATTGCCTACTTGGTTAAGGACAGAATATAAGCAGAGAAAGCTATAGCTGTTACTTTGCAGAGAACCTAATGATTTGTCTTATTTTGAAACTAATGAAAGGTAAAAGGGGCCCCTTTTAAAAATTTCTGTTTGGAGACTGGAGGGGCAAAGATTTTCCTTTTTTTTTTTTTTTTTTTCTGAGACGGAATCTCGCTCTGTCACCCAAGCTGGGAGTGCAGTGGCTCGATCTCAATTCACTGCAACCTCTACCTCCTGGATTCAAGCGATTCTCCTGCCTCAGCCCCCTGAGTAGCTGAGATTACAGGTACCTGCCACCACGCCTGGGTAATTTTTGTATTTTTAGTAGAGACGGAGTTTCGCCATGTTGGCCGGGCTGGTCTCGAACCCCTGACCTCAGGTGATGCCCCACCCCCCACCCCCCCCACCCCGGGCATGAGCCACCATACCCAACCAAGATTTTTCTTAAGTAATGGACTAATTCATTATTTTTGGCTATGTTACCTTAATTAACTTAAATTGATTCTTTGTTCAAAAACTCAACAAGGAAGCCTTGATAATTCAGTCAAGTATTATAACACTAATTTTTGTTTTCTTACTGCATTCGAGAGCTATATTTGTATATTATTTATATATGCTGTAATCTATTTGATTAGTGCTCATGAGCATTGTTCTCAATATGACTTTACTGTAATATATTGCCCATAGTTTTCTAATTTTTTAAAACAATGCCATTTAGTTCTTGAATGACAACCATTTGTAATACTTTAAAAAGAAAATGTATTCCTGGGAAGTATTTCTAGCCTCAGGTATAGCAGAAATTATAAAAATTCAGTCCTCATGTCAAAAGATATGCCACATTCTAAGTTAAAGCCTTGTTGTTGCCTAGAATTATAATGTTTGTAAGTAATAAGCAACATTTTTGCTGATGGCATTCACTTTCATTTACTTATCAAATTTCTGCGTCTTTTGAATTTGGTTTAATCCTTTCATTCTCTGAGCTCCTTCTCTACCTGTGAAAACAAATCATTTTTTACTACTGTTTACCACCGTCATCACCAAATAGTATCACTTCATCCAAGCAATGTGATTTATATGTCAGTTTCTTTCAACTGTCACAAACCGGTTTAAAACTATGGGTTCTTCTTGTTACCAGAGCAAATGATTAAGATTGTGAGATAGGGTATAGACAGCGGGGAGACCCAGAAAGAGGAGAGAGCAAATGAGGAAGCCTCAAATGTGAGATTGTCACTTTTTTTTTTTTTTTTTTTTTTTGGAAACAGAGTCTCAATCCGTCTCCCCATCTGGAGTGCAGTGGCGCCATCATGGCTCACTGCAGCCTCAGCACCCCCCCAACCCTGGGCTCAAATCATTCTCCGTCGTCAGCCTCCTGAGTAGCTGAGACTACAGGCACATGCCACCATGCCCAGCTTATTTTTCTATTTTTTGTAAGGACGGGGTTTCACCATCTTGTCTGGGATGGTCTCAAGCTCCTAGGCTCATCTGACCACCTTGGCCCCCCAAAGCACTGGGATTACAGACCTGAGCCACTGCCACCAGCGAGATTGTCGCTTTTAAAACTGGCCATGGGCTGGGCATGGTGGGTCACGCCTGTAATCCCAGCACTTTGGGAGGCTAAGGCAGAAAGATTGCTTGTGTCCAGGAGTTCAAGACCAGTCTGGGCAACATAGCAAGACTCTGACTCTACGTTTTTTTTTTTTTTTTTTAATTAGCTGAGCATCGTGGTGCATACCTAAAGTTCCAGCTACTAGGGAGACTGAGGTGGGAGGATCGCTTAGGACCGGGAGGTTGAGGCTGCAGTGAGTTGAGATTGTGCCACTGCACTCAGCCTGGGTGACAGAGCAAAACCCTGTCTCAAAAACAACAACAACAACAACAACAACAACAACGCAGCCGTAGATTTCTCTAGTTGTTTCCTGAACTCATGGCATCCTCACATTAATTTTCCTCCCTGACCCTGTTTCTTTTCAGTAAGTCTCATTGTCCAGTTTTAGAAGTGTGGGCATCTTTGTAGCAGTTTTCTAAGTTATCTGATGATCTCGTGAGGGTATATTAATCCTCTTCCTTCTTTGCTTGTTGGCAGGGGGCTTGTACATGACAGCTGGAATAGCCTCCAGTTGAGGGGCTTGGTGGTGCTCCTTATCTCTAAAGCAGCTGGGCCCAGCAGCGTGAACACTTCATGTCAGAACTATGACATGGTCAGTGGGATCTACTCATGGTAAGAAGAATTTAGTCTTTTGACATTGCTCTCTACATCGTGTTTTCTTTTACTGGACAGAGGTCAGTGGAAATCACCATTCTTTGTCATTCTCTGATTCAAAGATAGATTAAAATATAAGGTTAAAAATGGATTTTTATTGTTCATAATAAGTGATAGTCTTGGCCAACTCTACACATAACTCTGGTAAATTTCTTCACACATTTGTGTGAAATACTTTCCTTTCTACTTTGGGCATTTAAAATTTTCTGTTCATCACTTCTCCCTCCCCTTATTATGTATTGTTGTGTCTCTGTAGAGACCTCTGTGCCACTTAGTTCAGGATCTATGATTTTTAAATCTACTCAAAATGACACCTTGTTGGCCGGGCACAGTGGCTCACACCTGTAATTCTAGCACTTTAGGAGGCCAAGCCTGGTGGATCACTTGAGACCAAGAGTTTGAGACCAGCCTGGACAACATGGTGAGCCCTCATCTCTACAAAAAATTTAAAAATTAGCTAGTTGTGGTGGTATGTGCCTGTAGTCCCTGTTACTCAGGAGACTAAAGCAGGAGGATTGCTTGAGGCCAGGGAGGTTAAGCCTGCAGTAAGCCCTAATCGTGTCACTGCCCTCCAGCCTGGGTAACAGAGCAAGACTCTATCTCAAAATAAAATAAGATAAAATAATACCTCATTGTATAAAGATTGATGCTACTGTCATTTTAAGAGCTGTAGTCTACTTTTTTACTGGTTATTGGATTAAAAAATTTTTACATCTCATGTATTTAGATTAAAAAACAAATTTGTAAGTATGTATTACTCATTTTTTGCTGCATATAAAATAAACTTAAAATTTTCAGTTTTGTTTAAAAAAATCACTGGATATATTTTTAGTAACAGTATGTCAGCAATAATTTTACTTAATTCTAGCAATATGCTTGGCACTGTATTAAAAGCCTGTATAGATGTAACAATCAACAGGTAGACTTTGGCATATGAAATTAAAACCAGCCTAACAATATGGGTGATAAAGAAATTTTCCTCACAAGAAGAAGCATTTCTAGGAACTTTGACTTATGGCTAATTGACCTTGTTGATTTACTTTAAAAATAAATCTATTTTTTTTAAATTTTATTTCTAGTGGTCTTGTCCATAAATGTTTTCTGTTCCATAATATTTAGGGATTACTGTTGCTTGCCAGCCAGAAATTCAATGATCCTTCCTCATTAGCAAGCAAGCGAAATGATTACTGTTGTGACTACAAATGCCCATTCCTCCAGCCAATATAATTTTTTGTAAACCTTTTACCATTCATCCATACAAATACCCTTCACTATAAGGGATGTCTTGTGATCACCTATTCACTCTGAAATGGTTCATATTTGTTTAGTGCTTTTAGGTTACTAAGCATTTTTATGACAGCTATTCCATTTGGTTCTTATAATAATGCCATAGTAAGAGTTGTTAAGCTTATTTTACTCAAGAAAACAGATTCAAAAATTTTGAGGCTTTTTCTGGTGACACAACTGGTAATGGGGAGAGTTGAAGCTCTAACTGTAGTTCTCATGTTCCCTCCAAACCTCATTGTTGGTTTTTTTTTTCTTGATTACATTCTACCTTTCTAATCTATTTCAAAATATATATGTATTTCAGTTATAGATCAGACTAGCATTAAATTAGTATGTTAAAAAAAGTCATCTTGTAAGCATATCTTTAAAAACTTTTAAATGGAAAACTCTTTGGCACATCTTTAGTACATCTACATCCTTTCCCAAAACCTGCTTGAGTTAGAGCTCAAAAGTTTACCTTACAGGCCAGGTGTGATGGCTGATGCCCATAATCCCAGCACTTTGGGAGGCTGAGGCAGATGGATAATGTGAGTCCAGGAGTTCAAGACCAGCCTGGGCAACATGGAGAAACCCAGTCGCTACAAAAAATATAAAAAATTAGCCAGACATGGTGGCATGTGCCTGTAGTCCCAGCTATTCAGGAGGCTGAGGTGGAAGGATCGCTTGAGCCTTGGAGTCAGAGGTTGCAGTGAGCTAAGATTGCGCCATTGCATTCCAACCTGGGCAACAGAATGAGACCCTGTCTCAAAAAAAAAAAAAAAAGTTTACCTTATAAATTTTGTAGAAAACTCTTGGCTAAGTTTAGTTGAGATAACTAGAGAAAATATATAAAAATTTAGAGTGAGTACTAACTACCTGTTAGTCCCTGGAAAGCAAATGGACCTCACATTGCCTTGTATCCCATATATCTCTGTTTTCGGTTAGGAATTCCATTGATTTTCAGTCTGCTGACTTTGACCCTTTCTTATTAGTCATCTGCTTGTATATTTGGATAACCACACATACAGATAATGAGCACCTACTATTTTTTTTATCTCTAATCCTAAAATAATCCTTGCAAAATACTACTTGATACATAGTAAATATTCAATAAATATTTGTTACATAAGTAAGTTATTCCTATTTTACAGAAGAGATTGCTAATACTCAGGTTGACTTATC
This sequence comes from Homo sapiens, assembly GCF_000001405.40. Classification (NCBI taxonomy): domain Eukaryota; kingdom Metazoa; phylum Chordata; class Mammalia; order Primates; family Hominidae; genus Homo; species Homo sapiens. The sequence goes on along the minus strand of NC_000006.12, from coordinate 107,331,707 downwards.
TGAAATATTTTAGCTAGAAAGTGATAGAGTTGGGATTGAAATCCCATTTTTATCTCAAAGTGTATACTCTTTCTACTCAGCAGGAGCTATTAATCTGTATGCACATGGTGCACTGTGATGTAACCTTGTGTTTCTAATTCTTGTCTAGCCTCTAGGAAACAATTTCATTGCTTTTGGTCCTTCACATAACATGTTGGCAGATGGTCATTATAATCCAAGCAATTTGACTAAAAGAACTTTGGAAAAGAGTAGGGGTACGTTGTGAACATGAAACCTTTCCAAATAACATAAATGGGCTTTATACTCAAGTGTATAGAATCCACAGTTACATTTAGGGAATAATCCTGGCATGTAAACCCAGGCTATTTTCTATAATCAAACTTCATCTAGTAGGTCATTGGGGGTGTTTGGGTGTTTTACACACTTGTTAATGTGAAAAAGTAATTTGGTATAGTGCTATGAGAAACCATTAATTTGTTTCTCTACCCCTGAAGTCATTTGTTTAGCTCTTGCTTCCTTAATTGTTCAAGTGTAACTTTTGCTGGAGTCTTGTATCTATAATGCTACAGTGAATTATTTAACATTTGAGGGAAGTACTAATTTGGGAGCTTTTTAATTCACCTCCAAACTACTGGGATTTACCTTGTTGGTATTTTTTCTCTCATAAAACTTGACTTTGATATCAGATAACGGGACCTGAGTAAATTACCTGAAGGACCAAATGGGAGTTAGGTGATCTCTTTTGTTTGGCCTAAGGATATAATTGGTGCTGTGGATGTCTAGTGAACTAATCATATAACAGCCAGGAGAGGCAGAATTTAGGCTAAAATGTAATAACTACATTTTGAAAATCGGGCAAGAAAGCCACATTTATAAAAATGTACTGTAAACATTCGCCATAGCCTTTTGCCAACAAGACTGTGAACTTTAGGTTTATTCCACTAACCTTGACTTTTAAAAAATTGGTTGCAAAGCCAGTCAAGTATTACTAAATTTACAGTTATCCCTAGCTACAATCAAGAAAATGTTTACAACTTCCCATTCTATTAGTAATAGCATAGTTTTATTTTGTGTACAAAAGATAGTTTATTACAATATATAATGCATATTAAAAACTATAGATTTTTCTCATGATATGATTATTAAGTTTACAGAAATTCACGTGAATATTTTGGCTGATGGTTCCACTTTCTCGGTTGTTTTATCAAGAACTGACTCAATCTTCTCTTCTAACTAGTAGTTAAAAGCAGACCACAGACTGAACATATTTGCACTCTACTTTCATTTCCTGAAGTTTCCCAGCACCTTAACTGGTAGAAGAGACTGAAGCAAGTATGCCAAACGCACTTTCTTTTCTTCTTGAGTACCCGGCTAGACTACATTTCTCAGCTTCCCATGCAGGTGGCTGGCCATGTGACTGAGATCTAGCCAATAGAGTAGGAGTAGAAGTGATATTTACTATTTCCTGGCCATAAAAATGTTGCATCTGTAATACTCCTTAAGCAGATGATCTGGGAAGTGACCCATTCAAGATGAAAGTTGCCTGTGTCCCTGAATCACTCTTGAAGGAAAGTCACCTGCCCATCAGGAACATCCATACAGACTAGATGTATGAGAAGAAAAATCTATTTGTTAAGCCACTTAAATTTTAGGGTTTATCTGTTGACAGCAGCAAATGTTACCTTTTTCCTTTTTTTTTTTTTTTTTGAGACAGAGTCTCGCTCTATCACCTAGGCTGGAGTGAAGTGATGCAGTCTCGGCTCACTGAAGCCACTGCCTCCCAGTTTCAAGCAATTCTCCTGCCTGAGCTACCCAAGTAGCTGGGATTACAGGCGCCCGCCACTGCACCCTGCTTCTATACCTCACAAAGACGTGGGGTATAGAAGTACCTAGCAGGGCCCAGAACAGTACCAACATTGTAATTAATAGGCACTCAGTACATAACTGTTACATGATTGTATGAATTTATGGAAAAGAGACTAGCTTCATTATGTATGCAGGTATTATGGATTGAATTTTACCCTCCCAAAATTCATGTGTTGAAGTCCTAACCCCTAGTACCTCACAATGTGACCTTATTAGGAGAAAGGATCTTTACAGAGCTAATCAAGTCAAAATGAGGTCATTAGAATAGGCCCTAACTCAATATAACTGGCATCCTTATAAAAAGGGGAAATTTGGACATAGATATGCATATACAGGGAGAATGCCCTGTGAACTGAAGGCAGCCATCTACAGGCCAGCCTCACAGCCCTAGAAACTCATATATGAGAAGCAGGGAATGAAGATGAGGTGGAAAGGAAAGGTTGAAGTCACACTGTGAAGGGCCTGAGGAATTAGGGCGATATCCTGGATAAATTGTGGGGAGTTCAAGAGGCAGCAGAGTGGACTTGGAATCTGGAAGCTGACTGCACCACCTGCTAGCCGCACCTCAGTATGTACTTCACAGAATGGTTTTCAGAATTAAACGAGTGAGTAGAATACTGCATGGCATAGTAAGCATTCTGTAAGTGTTTGCTCTTATTCTTAGCTATTATCAAAAAGGTGTTTAAGCAAAAGGGGTCATGTTACTGTATCTGTGCTATGGAACATAATTAGCTGACGCTTAGAAGGTGACCCTGAGAGGTGAGGTCCAAGATAGAGAGTCAGCCAGGGAATTAGTGAAGTCGTCTAGGCAAAAGCTGAGAGGGAAAGCAGAGACATGGAGAGGGGTTGGAGCTGTTGCCCATAGCAAGCAGTTAAAAATTGGCTGAGCCAGACCTGAACCCACTGGGTCCTTTGATTTCATGCCTTTTTCTTGTTAGCATTTACCAATTTTTCTTCCAGAGCTTAAGTTGTAACTAGGTGTTCAGTGGGACAAAAGGTTCTGGGATCAAATAAGTGTGGGCATGCCAGGTTAAACAGAGTTAGAGAGATTCCTTCATTTGAGAATTCTTAGGAGTTAGGTACGGATTTATGTATCATGACTCTGAGATATTGTTTCCCAGTCATTTGACTACAGAACCCATTGGTCCCTGTCAGTAGTAGTACACCTTGTGGAAAGCGGCAAAAGTTTGGTAAATGTTTCTCTGTATCAGCATGCCTAACTTTGAATCCTAATGAGAACTCTGTGAGGCAGAAATAACAGTTTCAGGCTGGGCACGGTGGCTCACACCTGTAAACCCAGCACTTTGGGAGGCTGAGGTGGGTGGATCATTTGAGGTCAGGAGTTCGAGACCAGCCTGGCCAACGTGGTGAAACCCCATCTCTACTAAAATAAAAAAGAAAAGAAAAGAAAACAGTTTCACCAATGAGAAAACTGAGACTCAGGTGAAGTAACTTTCCGAGGTCCCACATTAAGTAGTCAAGTAGAGGAAGAAATATGTATATTGGTTATAAATTGTCTGGGTTCAAATCCTTGTTTCATCACTTACTAGCTGTGTGACCCCAGACAAGTTAGATAACCTCTCTGTGCCTCATGTCTATTAAGTGGATTAAATAAGTTAATACATCGAGAACCCTTAGAACAGTGCCTCATACATAGAATATGCTTCCAAATGTGGTTTATTATTGCCATTCCAGACCCCAGTCATGCTGCTTCATGGTCTTTATTAGATTTCCCACTCCTTCAGAGTAGGCACTTAGCTTTGTATACCTTTACAACTCACCAATGCCTTGGACATAGTATTCATTTAAATCTCTATCTGGATGACTGGATCTTCTGTATAACATAAGTGTTTTAGACTGACGCAAACATTTGAAACACATGTTTTACAGTGTAAGTCTTACAGAGTAGTTTAACATGGACGATGACTTAAAGGGATGGCAGTTTATTATGTCCTTTGCAACCTGTAGTTCAGGATGTGAGCTATAACCAGATTCTAAAGCATTCTTCATGAAACAATCTTAATTTTTAAGCTAGTTATTATGTGAAGCAATATAATATATTTAAAGAAGGAAAAGAAAAGTGTTGACCGGGCACCATGGCTCATGCCTGTAATCCCAGCACTTTGGGAGGCCGAGGCAGGTGGATCACAAGGTCAGGAGTTCAAGACCAGCCTGGCCAAGGCGGTGAAACCCTGTCTCTACTAAAAATACAAAAAAATTAGCTGGGCATGATGGTGGGCGCCTGTAATCCCTGCTATTCAGGAGACTGAGGCAGAGAATTGCTTGAACCTGGGAGGTGGAGGTTGCAGTGAGCCAGGTTCGTGCCACTGCACCCCAGCCTGCCTGGCCCTGTCCAGGGAAATTTTTTAAGTCTCATCAAAAGTTTATTTTATTTTTCCTTCATATTTCAACCAATTCCTTTTTCTACTACACTTTCTTTGCCCACCTCTGTTATCTGCAGCTTCAATTCTGGTATCTATAAGTCTTGAAGTTTTACTGATAGGTTTTAGACTCTCCTGAGTTTGTGTTACCCTTAACTCCATTTCCTCTAAGCAGCAGTGGGTAGAGAATATGCTGCTGCTGGGGACCCAGTGCAATGATGATGTTCCCACTGCTTCAGAATTGCAGCATAGGGACCTGCTGGACCACATCCAACTGCGAGACACACCTGCCAATCTGAGGAAAAAAACACTGAATTGAATTAAAGATCTGCAGTGTCCTGGGACACACATATTCATTTATAGAAGTGTAGCCACCTTCTTTTTACCCACCTTGCTCTGTCTCTAATCTGTTTGCTATAGAGATCAATTCAGGTACAAGTAGAATATGCAAGAATGAAAAAACATTAAATGAGTAATTGAATGAGAAGTAAAGTCATCGTTGGCATTTCTTCTTTTTAGATGGTCTATTTGCCAGGATACATAATGGATACTGACCAATTTTAAAGCATACCAATTCTATCTGTAAAACAACTACTTTTTTTTTTTTTTGAGACAGAGCCCTGCTCTGTCACCCAGAATGTAGTGCAATGGCATGATCTCGGCTCACTGCAACCTCCACCACCCAGGTTCAGATGATTCTCCTGCCTCAGCCTCCCAGGTAGCTGAGATTACAGGTCTGCACCACCACGCCTGGCTAATTTTTCTATTTTTAGTAGAGACAGGGTTTCACCGTGTTGGCCAGGGTGGTATTGAACTCCTAGCCTCAAGTGATCTGCCCTCCTTGGCCTCCCAAAGTGCTGGGATTACAGGCGGAGCCACTGCGCCCAGCCAAAACAACTATTTTTATCTTATTACCTATGTGACTTCTGGGTGGCAGGTGAGTTGGCGAATAAGAAGAAAATCATGACCGAACATTTTCTGTATTTATTTGTAATGCTGATAAGAGAAGACTGTGTCCTCTATGTGCTTTTAAACATAGTTCAGATGATTGGACTGGGTGCAGTGGCTTACGCCTGTAATCCCAATACTTTGGGAGGCCAAGATGGGCAGATCACTTGAGGTCAGGAGTTTGAGACCAGCCTGGCCAACATGGCAAAATCCCGTCTCTACTAAAATACAAGAAAAAAAAATTAGCCAGGCATGGTGGTACCTGCCTGTAAGTCCCAGCTACTCGGGAGGCTGAGGCAGGAAAATCACTTCAACCCGGGAGACGGAGGTTGCAGTGAGCCAAGATTGTGCCACTGCACTCCAGCCTGGGCAACAGAGCAAGACTCTGTCTCAAAAAAAAAAAAAAAAGAAAAAAGAAAAAACATAGTTCAGATAATTGTATTTTATCCGTATTACCTCAGCATTCAGCATGTTTCTAGCATATAGATAGCAATGACTATTTGATCATGGCTGAATAATTGTCACTAGTAGTGGTAGTATTTATCTCAGAGCAGGGAGGACTTTATGAAAAAGTTCCAAAACTTGACACTATAAATGAAAAGATTAACACATTTGCACAAAAAATAACTCTTCAGTGGAAAAAATTCCCATGAAGTCAAAAGACAAAGCCCAAATTACAAAAATGTTTACAACATACATGACCAAAAGCCAAGTTGTAACCTACAAATCAATTGAAAATCTTATAAATCGGGAAGAAGAAAATTACAACACAAACATGGACAAAAGACATGAACAGGTAGTTAGCTTAGAAACCCTATCCTGTAATTAGAATGAGGGCTTTGGAGTCCCTGGGCTGACCTGAACTTTTATCCTTTGGCCTCTTTGACCAGATCAAATATCCTGTGAAAATGCATAAACTACAAATAAAAATAATAAAGTATAAAAAAAATTATTTTTGTTAAAAAAAGCAGGAATGAAGTAAAATGCTATCTTTAGATTAGCTTTTTAAAATTTGCCATCTGTTCAAATGGACACCATCAATTTCTTCGCATTTGTGCTAATTCTTCACTCTACTCGGTGTATTCAATTGATTAAGGTTAAATTAATGATATGCAGGTAGTCCCTGGCTTACCATGATGCAACTTAAAATTTTCTGACTTTTAAATGGATTTATCAGGACATAACCCCATTGTAAGTCAAGAAACACCTGTACATACTGAGGTAATTGTTGGGCTTCAAGAACTTATCACAAAAATCATCATAAACATAACTATAAGTTAAATCTAGAAACATCTTAAAATCAAATTACAGATCTTAACATTACTTTCTCCTCTAAGTGAAAATTGGTTACGCTTAGTGTGGTGTTAGAGGAAGTGATAGAATATTTGGAGGCCTGTGTGAAATAATCTTAAGGAGAGAAGGGAGAATATAAAAAGCTGTGAAAGAGGCCGTTTTTTTTTCTATAAACCTTTACATTTAGGGAATTGCACTTGGTCTCAGCTGCAAATATTGTAGTTCATAATTTATCATTTTAATGTGGTACTAATTAGCATCTGACGACTTCTAATTATAGTAACAATAGGCTGTGACTATCTATCCATCCTCACCTTCATTCCACACATTAGAATTCGTCTAGCACTTCAAAATGCCAAACAAAATTAACAAACTGTATTTCCCTTGGGGACTGATCAAATCAAAAAACATCTTAAGAAATGAGGCTTAAGGCAGAACATGTTGATCATGTTATTTATTTAGGGTCAATTATATAAACATGAAATAGGTAATATTCAAATATGTAGCATTTTAAAAATCAGTTATGGTTTTGTTTTGTTTTTAAGATAACATGTGAATGCAAACAAAGAGTCTGGAAGGAACCTTACTCACCTGCTAATAACAGTGGTTGAAGAAAGAAGGGGTTGGAGAGGTTTGGAAACAGATATAAGGGAATGGTCTAAAGGTGACTTTATTTGTAGTATTTCAGTTTTTTAATAACCTATTCATGTTATTTTGTATAACTAAATTTAAAAATGAAAAAGTTATATTTCATACTTGTAAAGCAATAAAAGCCTATTTAAGAAACGTATCTTTTTGTACTACAAGAACCTTAAAAATGAGGAGCGCTTATTGACAGTGATTTTAAATGATTATGCAGAATAATTGAATTTAGTGTAGGCTTTTGGAAATAATTTCCTAAAGATATCTCAGCTCCTTTTCAGATAAATCTCAAGAGATGAAAGCATGTGCAATTTGATTACATATTCCTATTGATTGTATTCTACTTACAACAGTAAATGTAAACTCCAGATACAAATCTAGTAATATTACTAATTCATTACAACCAGTACTTATTTTCTTCATTAAGTTTTTATTGTTATGTTCAACTTGCACAGCATGCACAAATGCAGCAATTATATGTTGAGAAAGAAAAGGGAAGGCTCTTTATGTTTAACATACTGTACGTCAGAAGTCATTACTTCACCAGAGCTTTTGGAAAAACACAAAATAGGATCAGCTTCTTACAAAACAGTATAATTAACCACAAAAAGTAGGTGGGCTTACCTACTAATCTACTCAGCTGAGTTAGTTTATTGCATGTAAATAACATGATATAGATTAGCCTGCCTAATCTATCACAGCAAAACACAAGCTGCATAAATTGTTTTTGTTAATAGTAAAAAATTTTAAAATCCTTTCCTTAAAGAAGGGCTGTATGTTGACTGGTAAGTAGCCAAAGTTAAAGGCACTGTCCAGTGACTAATTCTACATTTTAAACAGTGCTTAATTTTGGGCATTCATCATGTGATAGAAGTTGTGCAAATCACTTAAAATATTAATTTTATTGGCAGAGTCAGCTTAGTAGCTTCATGACTTAATGGTGATCCTTTGAACTCATACGGAAGGCATCTCAGTGGTAAACAGTGTGTCATAATAAAGGCATAGATGAAGGGCCAGAGATCTGGGTTCTTGTCTCAATTCTGCAATTGATTAGCTATTTGACCTTAAGTAAGTTACTTAATCACTCTTTGAAATTACTCATCTGTACAGCAGGGGCAATGATGGGCTTCAAACCAGGAGCTTAACTAACAGGGTACACATCTAGATAGGTTCAACTATCCTGTGGTCCAGAATAAGTCACCCTGACCACCTCCTGTCTCTGCAAGGCACAGCACTGGACACTGAAAGACACTGAATATTTCTTATGAATAAGAAATAGTCTTTGACCTCAAATGAGTAGGTAAGGAAACAATGTATGCATCTAGAGTCTTCCTGACACTTGCTATTGATGTAATTTCCTTTCTAAAACTCTTTTGCTGGAACTTAACTACTAGAGCTATTTCCACAGTCACCATTGGGTTCACAATCCACCCATGTCCACTGATAAACCCTTTGTTTAACTAAAGGTAGGTAGTCTTTAACACCCCTCACATAAGATGATAGGTGAGAGCTGACATCTGTAGGTGGCTTAGTGCCTAAGAAATGTCTTCCTCACTGTGCTCTTGGACTTTCCTTCTCACTCCTGAAAGTGGGTGGTGTTGATAATAGAGGCAAAGAGGGCAGATTCTCTGATTGGTTATCTCTAATCCTGGCATCCTCCCTCTCTATAGTTACTGGAATCTTAAGTCTCCCTTTTCTGTTGTTAAGATTTCCCTCATTCCCTCCTCTTCTCAAGGTTTTTGTTTTTTGTTTTTTGAGACAGGGTCTCCCTCTGTTGCCCAGGCTGGAGTGCAGTGGAACGATAATGGCTCACTGCAGCCTCAATGTCCCGGGCTCAAATGAGTAGCTGAGACTACAGGTGCATGTACCATGCCTGGCTAATGTTTTTGTATTTTTTGTAGAGAGGTGTTTTTGCCATGGTGCCCAGGCCTGTCTCAGACTCCTGGGCTCAAGTGAGCCACCCACCTGGCTCTCCAAAGTGCTGGGATTACAGGCATGAGCCACCACACCCGGCCTCAAGTTTTTTTGTTGTTGTTGTTTTGTTTGTTTGCTTTTTCTTTTGAGATAGTCTCACTCTGTCACCCAGGCTGGAGTACAGTGGCCCGATCACAGCTCACTGCAACCTCCACCTCCCAGGCTCAAGTGATTCTCATGCCTCAGCCTCTCAAGTAACTGGGATTACAGGTGTGCGCCTTCATGCCCGGCTATTTTTTTGTATTTTTAGTGGAAACGGGATTTCACTGTTGGTCAGGCTGGGCTCAAACTCCTGGCCTCAAGTGATCCACCTGCCTTGGCCTCCCAAAGTGCTGGGATTACATACATGAGCCACCACACCTGGCCTGGCCTCAAGTTTTTAAGTGGAGTAAAACATCCTTAACTCTTCAATTGCATTCCCTACAGGATTAGATACAAATTCCTTAACACAGCAACAGGCAATTCCTAACAGCCCTAGAGTGGATGTGAGGAAGATAAAAGCATGATTAATGTTTTTCTTTGTCATCAAGAAAAGGGTATGTGCAAGAGTGTAGGTTGATCTAATATGATTGTTTAGGCCCCATCAGGTAGGAAGTGAGGTTGAGGGAGCCCAAAACTAGAGAGAAAGTAGTGATCAAGGGACTGGAGATCATGATGAATCAGTTTGCAGGGGTGGAAGTGGTAATGCAATGAAAGAGCAGAAAAGACAGTAGGTTTTAGATGGAAAGTTGGATATCCAAGTGGAGATTTCAAAAGTGGAACAGTTCTGATTGGTTATGTTCAGTTGTGCCTTAAAGTGGGTTTCACAGAATACAGTGGAGGTGGTTGAATTGAGTATATTGAAAAACTGTAGGGTGGGCAATTCACATGATTGAAGTCAACCAGAACAACAGAACTGAGACTTCAATAAATGTAGAGGCACAGAGAAGAGGAGTGATGGCAGAAGTAGAGCTGGTTTCAAAGGAACAGTGGTTTTCACCAAAATGAGGAAATAAGGGGAGCACTGAGCACTGGTCCCACCTCTCAGCTCCTCAGTTTGTGGCTTGTAGAAGTTAGGCATATCTGCTCATGAACATATAGGATTTGGACACTCCGGGAAAAGCCGTGGTGTATTTAGAGCTAGAACATAGAAGAAAGGTTCTGTGAAATCTTAAAACACTTAACACATTGTTTGTAATGACTGTTTTGTAAATACTGATTTATGTATGTTTTCTTACTAAACAGTACCTTCTAGAAGTCAGGGTTTGTGTCTTAATCATCTTCCAACCTATCACCTCTCCCTCCACTGAGGCCTCTATTACATTTTGTACCTTTGAGGCACTTCTCGTCTATTTTATAGTAATCTGCATATTTATCTTGTCCCTCTGCTAGATTTGTTCCTTTGCTCATTCATTCATTCATTCAACAAACATTTATTGAACACCTGCTGTGTGCAAAGCTAACTATAATAAATATAGAAATATAATTATTACTATAGCTAACACATATAGAGTTTTCTATAAGTCTGCTACTGTTCCATATTCTTTATATATATTAGTGCATTTATTTAACATTTAACATTGGTTAAGAAATTGCTTTTCTTGGTAAACAGGCTTAAAGAAATTTAATAACGTGCTCAAGTTTATAGTGTAAGAAAATCACAGAGTTGAGTTTCAAATCCCATTTGACCATAGAATTCATGCTCTTTCCATTACTGTAGACAACCTATGAAGTAGGGTGCCTTACATATACTTTCTTAGTCATCTTGACATCCTCAGTATAGTGGACAGACATCAGGTTATAAACTTTTTCTTTGACCTCCAAAGCCCCAGCACTATGGTGGGCACTCAAGTGCTCCATGTATTATTGTTGATTTATTGAGACAAAATTTTCTTAGGGGGTTGAATGTGGATTTTGGTGGGGCTCTATATAATTTAAAAATAAAAACGTTTATGTTTGCAGGCCATTATCTCTATTACTGCATGTTTCCTTTCACACATTTATTCTTTATATGTTGTGAAACACAGATATTTATATATTTTCTTTGACACAAGAACCTTTTTTTAAAATAGACTTGTGCCCTAAGCAGATATTCTGTCTAATGGGCTTTCCCTATAGACAAAGAGTAAAGTGTATTTCATTTGTCATTAGTCCTGAAATGTCAGTGCTGCAAATTTTGTTATTTTTGGAAACCATTACATTCATACTCATTAGAGACAACATTTCAAGGAAATACTTGAATGATTATGCACCTACAAGATTTTCTCTTGTCCATGAGTAATTTGTATCCTGTAATAATATGGAGCTTCTATTACTCTATTATAATTACTTACATATTTGTTGCAAATAATGATGTAATGGATTTTTTTGAGGCTGTACGTGAGAACCAACAAACTGCGACGCAAAACAAGTTTCCACCCCTTTTTTCCAAAGCTATAGTTAATCACTTGAACACTATCCAATATAGTAGAAAGCTGGCAGACTTTTCTTTGCAGCAGGCTATGTAAAAATGTTTATAATTTACAGCTTATTATGCCATGCAAACGACTGTGTTCCCAATGAAGGCGAGTGAGAAAATATGGCTGTTAAATTACTTAACTCCTCTTTGTTACTTGTTTTCTGGCAACAGTGGAAGGATACTTTGCACTTAAAATGCATTTCTGTATTTAATTTTATACCATTCAACTCAGAACTTTAAAAAATAGGGATTTGCTTTTTTATCTCTCTCTATAGATAGACCAGACCAATTTAAATTTAACAAAAACAGTAAGCTGAAAAATCAGAATTGTCAGGGAATGAAAATGTAATAATACAAAATTATTAGGGTTTAATTCAATTTAGGGCTTTAACTTTGCAAAACCTTTGTTACTGACACGTCTGCAACGGTTTATAGGCAGCTTGTTATTTTCAAAGGTACTTTATGCAAACTTTGTTTTATATTGTCTGCAGCGCTTTGGCTGAAAGTTGATCTTCCTCAAAAACAATTAGAGGGGTAGGCAAGGTAACTTGGACCTCTCTGTTATCTGTTGAATATATTCATCCATTTTAGGTCTTTCCTTAGCATTTTCTAATTTTATCAATGCCCTTATTAAATTCATAAGGCCCCTAACGTCAGGTACCACGTTGTCTTTTGTGGTTGCCATTCTTTCTGTGCCTGGTATACTACTACAAGTTTATAGTCAATCAGAACACCCCAGATCATGACCTCTATTTGCGTGGGAACGTAGCAAAAGCTGGTTTTTAGGTACTGTACCTTCAATGAAGGAAGTTCTGAGGAAGGCAAGTAAAAACACTACAGCTGGTGTTTAAAAGTTTATATAGTGTGTTTTCCTTCTAATTCTTCAGCTTTAAATGTGGGGAGTAGGGGAAACTTTCTATTTGGTTTACACTCCCTGAAGGTATAAGAGAAGAAACATTTATATTTAAATATTTAAAACATTCAAAAAACATGTTTAATTTTTCCACTTTCCGATTTTAGAATTAATTTAGAAACCAGGGACTCTGTAGTACTTGACCAGTTCTTAGTAATTGCACATTCTTTTTTCCATAGCACAAATAATCAGATACTGAGTGTGTGTGTAGTGTGTGTGTGTGTGTATGTGTGTGTGTGTGTGTGTATATATATATATTTTCTTTTTTAACATAGTCTCACTCTGTCACCCAGGCTGGAGTGCAATGGCACAATCTCGGCTCACTGCAACCTCTGTCTCCTGGGTTCAAGTGATTCTCCTGCCTCAGCCTCCCAAGTAGCTGGGATTACAGGCGCCTGCCACCAGGCCCAGCTAATTTTTTGTGTTTTTAGTAGAGATGGGGTTTCACCATGTTGCCTAGGCTGGTTTTGAACTCCTGAGCTCAGGCAATCCACCCACCTTGGCCTCCCAAAGTGCTGAGAATTACAGGCGTGAGCCACCGTGCCCGGCCGATGAACTGAGTATATTTAAATGGGAATTTTTGTGCACCTGCAACTCATGTTTTTAAGAAATAATGGATTGCTAGCTATCTCAGAGAAAATAAGATTATGTCACTATCAAGGCATTATCATTTTTATTGTCTTCTTCAGGGAACTTTTTGGTATATAAGGAAAATTTTTTCATTTTCTACTTCAGATCTTTTTTTTTTAAGCTAACCATTACAACAGACTTATAGGTCATCTCTGATTGTGTCAAAGTAAAAAATTGAATAAAACAATTTGTTCTGTTTTCATAGTTGCTTCTTTTTTGAGTAAACAGAGACCTGGGATCTTCTGGAGCTCAGCCCTCTGGGTGGGAGGATGGGTGCCTAGCACTGCTCTCCGCTGACCTCTTCTGGTCTCCTGTTAGAGCTGTTGTTGAAGTAGATAGCTACTTCCTCTTAGACTGCCTTGGTGAAAGAAGCGGGGCGGTCAAGGAGAAGTGGAGGGAAATTAGCCAGTATATACTTCATTATGATAACCTCCCCACCTGTTTACCGCTCAGGATTCCTTTTGTTATTCTCCCACCCCTGTTTAAAAAAGCGTCTTTACCAGGCACTTTATATATAAAATCATCATTATATGATTTTCCATTTTATTAGATACACTTGTAACTGCCAATCTGAGCTTCTGATGACCACAAGATAACCACTGTCGCATCTTATTAATGAGTACAAAATTAAAGAAAATTAAAAATTTTGTTAACAGATGTTACTTTATCTGGGGGGAGGGGGAATACATTGCTTTCCTTCGACATTTTGGAAAGGGAAAATTACTCACCTCTGTGAAGAACTTGTTACCTACTGTAAATAACCCTTAAAGATCTGCGTACCCCAAACTGGGGACCACTAATCTAACAGTACCATCAAGCAGTAAAGTGCTCACATTATTTTTTGCTGTAGAAATGGTGACCATTACTAATTTGGTGCCATTTTCAAACGGTAAAAGGTGATCTGCATGTTATTGTTATAAATTATGAATATTATATTGGGAGCTTTTATTTTTATCCATAGAATAAGGAGTTGGAGATGTAACCCAAAGCCCTGATGGTGTCCAGTGACAGAATTCCACTTTGTTCCTAAAACTGGGAGGTCAGGCACGGTTGTAATCTATATGCTGTCTTTGCAGAACACATGGTCATCAAACCTAAAATTCAGACAGCTTTACATTTTGAGATAAAATAGGCTCATCACATACAGAAGAAGCCTTTATTTCTGGGAGCTACATTAAAGTCTGTAGTTCATACTATTCCCTCATCACTCTGGGGCTCTCCCTGGCCCCCTCCCATTTTGTGCCCTCTCAGTTTATCACACTTCATCTCTTGTCACACCTTTGTCTCATGTTTCCTCCACATCTGGTTGTGCTTTTTTTCTGTTATTACTGAACATCATCTAATAATACCTAAACCATTTAAACCCTCTGGAATAGGGCAGAGGTGAGAGCAAATGAATAAACTGAAGATCTTAGAGCAGTGGAAAGAAAGAGACGCACTGACAAAATGGCTGCTCTGACACTGCTGCGAGGTGCCGTGGAGGAGAGGTTGGCCATACTCCTCTGTCTCCACTCTCAGCAGGCTCGTTCTTGGTTTGTTCCTTGAGATTCATAATTACATGTAGTATTGAAATGAACGTAGAGCAGTAGTGACCAGCATGGGGCCTAGTTGCTTTTACTTTTTCTGCAGTTCAACAATATAACTTGTTTTTGTATTATGATTGACATCTTATGATTATCTGTACCTTTTGTGACGTCTGGTTACCAGAAGCTTTTTCTGGTAGAAGAAAAGCAAAATTCAAAGCCAGGAATAATACTGCAACCATTTATACAAAGTTTTATGTGCACAATATGTGCAAAGCTATAGATGTAGTATATGTTTTGTTTTTTAAAAAAGCTTTGGAGTCTATACATTTTTTGTTCATTAAATGAAAAATGTTGGTAGGTTAAATACTGCTGAATTAAAACACTGTTGAGGAAGGGAGAACGGCAGTCACTTAAAAAGCTAAATCAGAGTAGATATATAGGGCCTGTTTAAAAAGGCCCAATATTCACGAAAAAAAGAAATCTGTTATACTAAAAGAGGAAAATGAGTATTACTATCATGCTGTCATGATGCTACTCTAAATGCCTCAAAACCACCTAACAATCCATTCAGGAATCTGCCATATTGTAGACCATAGCCATATATAATAGCTGTACTAGAATATAATGGCATTTACATTTAAAAAAAAAAGCAACCTTTTGTAAGTATCTGATTACACCTGAGCTATACTGGATACCATAGCAAAAGAATTAAACCAATCCGTCCTCTGCTGTCTAAAAGTTTATTATATTTTACAGATGTTTTGAGAGTAGACACACATACTAGACATATAAGATACCAGAAAAATTAAAGTGATGTATATATAGCTCATCCTTTTGTCAGTTTAAGGGGAAAGATACAAGGATGCTTACCTCATTCATGTGGGGGTAAAGATTAAGAAGAATAACCAACAGAAATTCAAAATTTGGTCATGACAAGTTATTAAATCAGACTTACAGTTAACATTAAATGGATAATACATTCATCCACTCTGAAATTTGACCATATGTGGACCTGACAAAGGAATTTTTTCTATAACATACTTTTTATTTTTTTAACATGATCCAAACTGTTCTAGAACTTTCTTGCTGACTTTATTTCATTAAGTCCATCAATCCAACTTCAAGATGTTTTCTTCTAATTAGGAAGAGCATTTTTAAAGGATTTCTAAAACTGTATATTGTGATAATCTGAGGTAAATGATCCCGCCCCAGCCTCCTCTCACTTGTTCGCCCACCTTCCCAGTGTATTTCTCCCCTACAGTTCTCACTGGGTAGAATTCTCACTTTAGCTGTTACTTCCCTGGGTAATCCTTACCTTACTTCATCAAGATTTCAATTAGGTCCTCTTCATCTGGGCTCCCTTGGCAAGCTGTATTTTCTTCTGGGACAGCAATTATTGCCCAAGATTCAAATCATTTGGTTTCCTGTCCAAATGCTTCACTGACCTGGCCATGAGCTTCTCAAGTACAGAGATATGCTTTCTTTCTTTCTTTCTTTTTTCTTTTTAATGAATTCTCAGACTCTTATCACAGGGTCTGACATGACAGCACTCAATAAGTGTTCATTAAATGAAAGGAAAGGATCCTTGAATAATCACTACAACTGAGGTCTGTTAATAAAATGTGGGGAAAGTACATTCAGAATATTATCCTTCTAACTGTAATGAATTTTGATATTTTATTAACAGTCCAATCAGGACTTTAGAAATCTCTTCAAAAGATCTCTTTGCTACAAATGTTTATCCTGCCAGTAATTCAGATGCTGTTAACCAGTTATCTGCTGATTTGGCAAAATCCATTAAGTATCTATTATTTTGCAATATTTATTTAAATCTTTGTAACTTATTCCAAGATCTGCCTTCTTGATCACATCTTTCTGGTTATAATAGTTATATCTGCAAATTCTATTTTATTAAATATTGATAAATGTGGGTTTGCTATAAAAATTTAAAAATGGGTTATCCTTTTAAGAAAATAAGTATTTAGAGTAATTGGTAAATTTATTTAAAAATTATATATAATGACAGTATTAAAATGTTTAAAAATAAGTTAATGTAAACAAGACATTTTAAAGTACAGGTTGGTACTTCATTAACTTTAATTTTGTGACTTTTGTCAGTTGATGTCACAACCTTAGTGTTATTTTAAAAATAGTTTTTATAGGGCTACTTAATTAAGTAACATGGTATTTGCTTATTTCAAACAGTCTGCCTTTGTTCCTGTCCAAGCCATGCTGGCAGGGCATTGCTTTTCTTTTCCCTTTTGTTAATATGCTGTGTTAGATAATGGTTCTGTAAATAATAGATTCCAAGGACCTTTGATCCACCGTTACTGTAAAATAAAATGCAACTTAATTTTTTCAGGGCATAATGGTTTTAACCTTGCGTACTAATTTGACTGTGCTTGTGGGGGCAGATCCTTAAATGAGACGCAAATGAAGGAAAAATTGCTAATGCTGCCACTGTATATCTAATGAGCACTGTGTAATAAACCATAACCTCTTTGACATTTCTCTGGAAAGCAGCATGATTATTTTGGATAGCTAGCCCTTTGTGGATGGCTCATTACCGTCTGGCATAATATGTATTGATAGAGACTGTAATTGTCAACTCCTATTTGACATGCTGCCTCTAATAAATATGGCTTGCATCGCTGGAGCCCACTGATGGTTATATGGGAAACTGTAATTAAAGAAAAAAATATATTTTTAGGTTAAATAAGTATATATGTATATAAAATGTCTCTATAGAAGATTATCTGCTTCCTTACTGCCACCACCCCCAGCTTCTTGTCATAGAGTATTTGGAGCTTCCCTGAAGGATTGGTGCTGTTTTATCAGTATAAGGGCCAACATGTGACAAGATGTGTGTGTGTGTGTGTGAATCATCTCCATTGGCAAAGAATTGACAATATGAAAAAGCTCGTTCTACATATATAACATCCATAATACTATAGTATTATTTTATTTTCTTTTGTTTTTAGAGACAGGATCTCTCTCTGTCACCCAGGCTAGAGAACAGTGGAGCAATCATAGTTCACTGCAACCTTGGACTCTTAGATCCTCCTACCCCAGCCTCCCTAGTAGCTGGGACTACAAGTGCTACCTTCATGCGCAGAACAGGATCTTGCTATGTTGCCCAGGCTGGTCTTGAACGCCTGTCCTCCAGGAATCCTTCAGCCTCAGCCTCCCAAAGTGCTAGAATTGCAAACATGAGCCACCACACCTGACCTCATGGTTTTCTTTAACTTTATTTTCATTTTGTTATAAGAATATTATGTTATTTCATACGAAACAAAAGAGGATACCCTACTCAAATTACTAGGAAATATGAACCATTTTAAAGATATTAAAAGCCCACAAAATATGTTACATAATATTTAGGCTGGAAGAAATGTAAATTAAAGATTAAATTGGGCCCTGCTTCATATTATAAAACAAATGTAGGGCCGGGCGTGGTGGCTCATGCCTGTAATCTCTGGCACTTTGGGAGGCTGAGGCAGGTGGATCACTTGAGGTCAGGAGTTCGAGACCAGCCTGGCCGACACGGTGAAATCCCATCTCTACTAAAAATACAAAAGTTAGCTGGGTGTGGTGGCTCATGCCTGTAGTCCCAGCTACTCAGGAGGCTGAGGCAGGAGAATTGCTTGAATCTAGGAGGCAGAGGTTGCAGTGAGCCGAGATCATGCCACTGCACTCCAGCCTGGACAACAGAGCAAGACTCTGTCTCAATAAATAAATAAATAAAGTAAAACAAAACAAATTTAAGCCTAGTCAATTTATAATTTCTGAAAACATAGAATTGGAGTTCTAAAAAATATTTTTATTGTCAATGTGTAATTGTAATATATTCTGAACTTCTGAACAAGGAAGTATACTCTTAGTTTATATGCTACAATTCATTATTTTTATTAAATTCTCAGCATAGGATATAAAATTAGAATGTAAGCACATGTTTATATTTCCTGGAGTAGGCCTAGAGAATCATTTAAAAAATTAGGCAGCTCCTAGATTTCTTCTTAGCAATGTGAAGTCTGATATAGTTTTCAAACTAAGAGAATGGAGCCCCGGGGAGGTGAAGAGAAGTAGCAGTTGGAAGAGCATGACTCTGCTACTCGCCTACCCATAGCTTTCAATTCTGATCCTATTTGTCTAGGCAAATTTTGTAAACTCTCTGAGGACCAGGATACTCATGTATAAAATTGGGGACAATACCATCTATTTACCACAGCTGTTGTAAGGATCAGGTGAAAAACATATATGAAGCACTTAATGCAATACTTTTGGCCCCTAGTAGGTAATCAGTAAATATTAGTTTTCCTCTCTTTCCTCTTTTATCCTCCCTTCTTCCTTCTACCCTCCACAGGTGGCCACATTTCTAATCTGAGGCATTCTTTATTTTCTCAAGTATGTCCTGTCCATGAAGCATAGATTTTTAATCTTGTTAGGTAATGCTAGCTAATAGCTATTAACAGCCAGGCCCTGTTTCAGTTTTCTTACATGTGTCAGCTCACTGAATCATCACAACAACCTCATAATAAGAGATAAGTGCTGTTACCATCCCCATTTAACAGATGGGGAAAACTGAAGCACACAGAGGTGAAGTAATTTGCTCAAAGTGACATAGTAGTGGGGCCAGGGTTTGAACTCAGGAAGTTTAACTCCAGAGCCCATACTCTTAGCTTAGCTATACTACCTCTGCAGGTCATCTCTCCTCATGTTCATAAGACAGAGGGAAAGAATAGGTTCTGGTAGGGTTCTAGAGAGGCCTGGTCCACCTACAAAGGATTGAATTGTCCTTAAAGGACAAATCCAACATAGCCATCAGGGGTAGCAAGGGTATTTCTGGGGAGGATGGATGGCAAACCAGTGAAGGGAGTGAAGGGAGATGCAATAGTGCTGTAGGATACCAAGGAAGGGAGAAAGTGAGGAATAACTATTCTTGCACTAGACCTGCCAGCAAATGCCAAATACTGGCAATACGCTGCATGCACTGTGCTATTTCCTCTGCATGGGATATTGTTCCTACCTTTCTTCATCTGACTCTTACCTCACTTAAGATACAGTTCTGCTCTCCTTTTCTCCAGGAAACATTCCCTAATCCCCAGGCCAACCTAAGTACTCTTTTCTGGGCTCCCTTAGCACACTCTGCATAAGTGTGTACAAACATTAGTGGTGATAGTAGTAATAATTACTGTGTACTGAGCACAGACTATGTGTTAAGGCATTGTGCTGAAAACACTTTACACATGTTATCTCATTTATGTCTCAAAACAATCCTAAAAGGTCAATAGTCACAGCCTCTTTATATGGTAAGGACAGTCAAGCTTAGAAATGTTAAATCATTTAGCCAAGATCTACAGAGCCATAAAGTAGCAGATCTAAGATTTCAACCAGGTCTTTCTTACTGCAAATTCATATTCTCAATAACTACATTTACCATACTTTATTGATATTATCTGCTTTTATTTTTCTCATAATCAGATTATAGACTCTTCAAGGACTACACTGTATCTTCATCTTTTACCCCACATCCTATCAAAATTGTCCTTTAGAGGAGAAAAAAACAAAATATTAAAATGTGCTGATTGAAGGCTGGGTGTCATGGCTCATGCCTATAATTGCAGCACTTTAGGAGGCTGAATCAGGAGGAGCACTTGAGCCCAGGAGTTCAAGACTAGCCTGGGCAACATAATGAAACCCCCATCTGTACAAAAAAATAAAAAATTAACCAGGAGTGATGGCACATACTTGTAGTCCCAGCTACTCGGGAGGCTGAGGTGGGAGAATTACTTAAGGATTACTTAAGCCTGGGAGATCAAGGCTGCAGTGAGCCATGATTGCACCACTGCACTCCACCCTGAGTGACAGAGCAAGACCCTGTCTCAAAAAAAAAAAAAAAAAAGCTGGTTGTGGTGGCATTTTGGGAGCCCAAGGCAGGTGGATCACAAAGTCAGGAGATCAAGACCATCCTGGCCAACATGATGAAACCCTATCTCTACTAAAAATACAAAAATTAGCTGGGCGTGGTGGTGTGCACCTGTTGTCTCAGCTACTCAGGAGGCTGAGGCAGGAGAATCACTTGAACCCAGGAGGCGGAGGTTGCAGTGAACTGAGATCACAACACTGTACTCCAACCTGGGCAACAGAATGAGACTTCATTTCAAAAAAAAAAAAAAAAGTTTATTTTTGCTAAATATACTTGAATTTTAAATGTATTTTATAATGGACTGAGTTTAATGTGTAGGAGCTAAGAGAGTTTCTCCTTCCCCTCTGAAGGTTCAAGCCTGCATAGATAAACTGACAATAGACAGATTAACAGGGAAAATTTAGCACACAAATGTATTAATGAGCACATGGACCTGACAGTCCTGCAGATATGAGACTCAGGGCCAGATGGTTGAGACTTAAATACTCTCTTCATAGAAAGGAAGGTAGTTGGAGGTCTGTAGGCAATTTTAAAGCGGTAGTAAATGATTTTTAGGGGAATGAATGGGCTCAAAGACAAGACAGTGGTTTGTAAATGATTCTCTTTGGACGCTGAATGGGATGGAAGGACAAACCAGTTATGGGAAAGTGAGGGGCAGAAATTCACAGTGAACTAAGGTTGTCTTAATATGCAGATAAAGCGTCCTAGGTAATCTCTCAGAGCTGCCCTCAGAAGAATAGATGAAAAGTCTCTCTGGGCATGGTGATTACTTTTAGTCTTTTCTCTTTTTTGGCAGTGAATCTTTCCTGGTTGTTTTTTTAGATTCTCAGGGAGAGGGAGTCTTAAGACAATTGCATTTCTTTCTCTTTTTTTTTTTTTTTTTTTTTGGGATGGAGTCTTGCTCTGTCGCCCATGCTGGAGTGCAGTAGCGTGATCTCTGCTCACTGTAAGCTCCGCCTCCCAGGTTCAAGTGATTCTCCTGCCTCAGCCTCCCGAGTAGCTGAGACTACAGGCGCCTGCCACCACACCCAGCTAATTTTTTGTATTTTCAGTAGAGATGGGGTTTCACCGTGTTAGCCAGGATGGTCTCGATCTCCTGACCTCATGATCCACTTGCCTCAGCCTCCTGAAGTGCTGGGATTACAGGTGTGAACCACCACACCCAGCCTGAATTTGCTGACACTTTTATCTTGGACTTCTAGCCTCCAGATCTGTGAGAAAATAAATGTCTGTTTAAGCCACCCAGCCTGTGGTATTTTGTTATGGCAATCCAAGCAGACAAATATAGTACGTTATTCTAGATTTTCTTGCTTTAGGACTTAAGTAAAATATTATATGAAGAAATGTTTGTAATTCATAATTTAACATGATAAATATCCAACTATGGGTAGTGCCATGTAACAGCTTAAGATATGCCATTAATAATATAATTAGAATAATCATGTAAGGACTTTGTAGAAACACAGAGAAATGGAATTGCATGTGTTATCAAGGATTCGCAATGACAGCCACCTACCATAAGCCACCTGTGGCACACCCCAGCATCCTTCCGTTCCTGCATTGTGGGCACCAGGGCTTCACCAGCACTCCTTGCCCTCAGGACTCCTGGCTCAGTCTTTTTCATAGAGAAGGCTTAAGGTAGGCCAAGACCTGTGCAATGGAAGGAGAGTTCAATTAGGAGCCATCTAAATTATTACTTAAAGAGAAGCCAAATGGGTACATTTTTATCTTTTGAAACAGCTTGCCAGAGTGTTGTCTGTATCACCTCTTGTTAGAAATCTTGACTTCATTCTTTTCTTCAGAATGAGAATGAAGACAGAGGTCTAAGTTAGCTTCTCTGCTCTCTTCAAACTGAGTTAACTCTGTTACGGCCACTCTGATTAATATGTAGGCCTCTGTTTTAGACCACAGCAGGGCATTGTGCTCAGATGAAAATGTGCAGGTGAAATTAGGAAGTATAATGACTTGACATTCTGATAATTAACTGGCAGTAAATATTCTTCAGTGATATCTAAGACCAACTGTTAACTCATATTTCTTTGGTAGCCTAATTTAAGTAAAACTTTCTTTTGTCTCTGTGAAAATGACTTTTTCACAATTCATTTATTTTTTTCTCCTTAATTTATCCAAATCATTTGGGGCTGTGGCTAGAAGATGAAGGATGTTCCTGGACTTTTCTCCTTTTCTGTATTGTTCTCATTTCTTTTTCCCTCAAGCACTGTCTAGAGGAGACACCCAAGCCTTTGTGCTAAATCTGTGCTCCACCCATATTCCAGTTTCAGTCAGCTGGCTGCAGCCATTTTTATACCACTCCATGGCAGCTGTCGACTCTGTTCATCGTCTGGCAGGGGCAGTGAGCCCTGTTGGGATCAGCAGCAGCAGCAGCAAGCTGACTGGAGCCCCCCAGCACATTATGGTGGCAGCCATGCATGGCATGGAGAGTAGGGTGGGTGTGTAGCAGCAACGTCCTTGCATTCAGTAATCTAAAGTGCTCATCATCTAAGAGAAGTACAACTTTGCTGTCACCTCTTCTTTGGAGTCTTCCCATTCCTCCCCCCAAATCCTCAGTGATCATAACTGTGTACCCCTACAGCAGTTATAGATTGTGGCATTCAGTTTACACTTATGTACTATATAATTTTCTTGTTAAATCTTTTCATTTCATTGTATTGTATCTCCAACTAAACTATGAGCCCTCAGGACACAGACCATGTCTTAAACTACCTTAAGAGAAAGAATACATACTCACACCTTGATACATAGTCGTCGATAAAAGAAAAATGCTTTTTATACTTTATATTTCTAGGGTCTAACACATAGTAGATATTCCATAAATAATTTTGTTGATAATAATTATAATCAGATAATCTAGGTTAACAGTTCTTTCCATTTTTACCTGTTCTCTTTTAAGTTACAAATAATCAAAATATTTAGTTTTTTAAAGTTTGTTTTTTCATTAATTAACTCAGGAGTAGGCTATTTCATGTAGTCATGAAATATATAGATAGATTAAGGTGAACAAGTTTTAGCTTGTTGTAATGGCGCTTATATGTAATCTGAATTGAGTGCCTGTTAAATTATTCTTTCTCCTTTCTTAGTACGTTGTGCTCATCTTTGACTTCTAAATTGGTTTGTGAACCATTTGGTATTATCAACTATCAGGAAGGCCTCTAAAGGGGGAAATTGGTGGCTTCTACTCAGATATTTCACATTTATCTTATTCCTTATAGCCTTACTATCTTCAAAGCTTACTTACAAATACACTCATTTGTAAAGAGAGGAGTCATCAGTATTTGTAAAATAATTACTGTTGGCTTATATTACTCTTTAAGTGATTGAACTTCATTGGAAGAAAGTCTAAGAATGCAGAGTGGTAAAAGGAAGCTGGTTTCCTTTTTAAAAAAGAACCCTACTGTGGACACAGGAATTAACTAGACCAGTGAATAGGGAAGACAATAATGGTAGCAACATGCCAAGATGATTAAATGTGGAAATATATAAAGACGTGAAAGGTAATATAATACCCACAAGAAATGGGAAAAGGTCAGGTTACTTGGAAAAGTATAAAGACATTGCACAGTTTGGTCAGAATAAGTACAATAATATAGACAGCCACCCTCTCAACTGCCTGTTTAAAAAAAAAAAAAAGGCTTAAAAAGTAGAAGTGCCCCATCTGTGAGTTGGAGGTATATCAGATGAGCTTCAAGTACCCTGATTTGAATGCGTACTCTGATTTGAATGCGTAGTTTCAATCAAGTAGTTTGAATCAAGTACGCTGATTTGAATGCGTAGTTCTATCCCTTTGTGAAAAAGTTCATGTATTCTCTGAGATGAACAGGGGACATTTTCAGATATCTCTGTTTCTGATTATTATTATTTTTATCCATGCCAGGCTTTAAGGTCCTTGAGAAGGATTGTGATTGTGTTTATGGTGTAAAGGCATCACCAAGCACATCACAGGTGCTCAGAAAATATGAGGTTGTAGAACCATGTGCACATTTGGACATCCTTCTAAAGTACATTTTATTAGTTATTTGTTAAAAATGCATGTTCACAGAATGTGTGCCTACTTCAATAAGCCATATTATCTGCCTTTTCCAAAAGTGGATATATCCAGAATGCCAGAATGAGAAGTCATGGGCAGACACAGGAAAAGAGAAAGATAAGTGTGGGAGAGAAGAAGGTACAACCAAAAGTAATGTGGTCTTAGAGGTCTCTGTGAAAATCAGATCCTTATGCTTATAACTATTTGAGACCTGAAACAAAGATTTGCAAACTTAACGTCTTTTGCAAACAACACATTTTCTGAGGTGAAAGGGGCATTTTCAGATGTCACTGTTTCTGTTTATTGTGCAGAAAAAGGCAGACTTAGTAATTTGATTATAAAATTCATCTCTGATAACCTTTGTTTTGTACCTTATAGTCAGTGTTAATTGACTTTTAAAATTGCTTGTCAGATATTAGTTCAATTTTTTAAAAACCTTGTATAATAATACATCTGCATACTATATCTGAAGGACCACCAATAAATTATAATTTCTGGAACATATGCATTCCAGCATCATAAAAGGATCTGATTATTCAGTACTACCTGGTTTTATTTTGTCATTAAACAATTTTTTTGAGCAATTTACTGTATTAGTCCGTTTTCATGCTGCTGATAAAGACATACCCAAGTCTGGGCAATTTACAAAGGAAAGAGGTTTGATTGGACTTACAGTTCCACGTGGCTGGGGAAGCCTCACAATCATGGCAGAAGGCAAGGAGGAGCAAGTCACATCTTACATTGATGGCAGCAGGCAAAGAGAGAGTTTGTGCAGAGAGACTCCCATTTTTCAAAACCATCAGATCTCATGAGACTTATTCACTATCACGAGAACAGCACGGGAAAGACCTGCCCCCATGATTCAGTTACTTCCCACCAGGTCCCTCCCACAACACATGGGAATTCAAGATGAATTTGGGTGGGGACACAGCCAAACCATATCACTTACAAACAGAAAACTTATGCTTAAGTTGTTTAGTCAGTTTCTGTGGGCGGGCATCAGGAATTAGAAAAAAGATTCAAAGATAAGGATTGTACTTCTGTCACCCATATGGCCTTGGGGTACTTGTCCTCTTTGGGTAACTATCTGTATGACATTGAACAAAGTACTTAGAATTTCCAGGCATTGATTTCTACGACTGTAAAATGAGGTACCAGGTTAGATGATGGGTATCCTCAATATTCTTCTATTCTGAAAAGAGTCTTAAATTTGGATCTAGCTTAGGAAGGTCTAAATATAATGTTAAGGCCCCTCCGCACTAGACTGTAAGTTTCTGGAACCAACTTTTAATCTACTCTGTATTCCCAATGTTCTGGGGTACCTTCCACATAAGAGGTACTTAACCTTTTCTTGAATGAATAAATAAAGCTGGAGAATTAGGCCCACTTGTCCAGAAAAGCAAAAAAAAGAAGACATTAGTTATCTGTCCACACCTCTAAATAATTGGTGTAATTAGGAATAGACCATGTCTGCTGCCCAGTAGATACTTGACATTACATGAATCCCTGTTGCTTGCATAATGAATGGAATTTCCTCCTTACAACAGTCCTATGAAATAACTGTTGTTAATCCCATTTGGAAATGAGGAAACCAAGGCTTTGGAGGATGAAATAACTTGTAAGATTCTACATGTGATAGAAAATGAAGCCAGGATTCAAAATCAGAGCTTTCTTATAACAAAATTTTTCATTTAGATGAACTTAAACTCACCCTAAAGCGTAAATGACTTACGGTTCTTCCCAGAGAAAGGTTCTGATGTGAGGAGGCATGGTAAGAGCAAGAGGGCCATAGATACCTGAAGTGGAAAATGACCAAGTGCTGGAGGGGGACCGGGACTCAGAAGCCACACTTGCCACCCCTCTAGAGTTGTCCTTGATCCAAACATTGACATTACTTGAAATATTTAGCAATTTTCTTTTCAAGAAGGTATGGTGTTAATATGAAAAAAAAAGTATTTGCTGATGAAAAAAATTTATTGATTGTAGAAGCATTGTCTGGGAGTTGGGGCACCTGGATAATAGTTCTAATATCTAAAACCTATGAGACTTTAAGTTATTCAGTAGACCTTTCTGCTCTGCTGAAAGTCTAAATCAGTGATTTTTCACAGGTTTATGAAAGGGATTTCAATGACTGGTCAGGGCTGGGGGATAAAGAGGGGACTGGAGGAGCAGGAAAGTATTGCCCACCACCGAGAGGAGCATCCAGAAGTCCAGAGGACTCTGTGGTCTGTGCCAAGCCCAGGATTTCCCCACAGGAGTGCCTGTGGTCGTATAATGGATGACTCCCTGTCACCACAGGTTCAGGTATTGCTGCTTTGTGGGTGACTCACTTTTGAGCGATACTTACCAGATAGTTGGTATGTCAACTTTTCTCTAAAGATTTATTTAAATGGAAAGATGAGTTGGTTTAAAATCAGTAATAGGTAATATTTAGTAAGCACTTACTATTGAAGTTATTGTTCTAAGGACTAGATATACAGTAATTTAACCCCCATGACACTTTGACACATGTGCTATTGTTACCACCATTTTACAGATGAAACGACTGGGCACTGAGAGTAGCTGAGCACATTGATCCAGCTCACGCAGCTATTAAGTGGAATAGCTGGGATGTGAATCTAGGCAACCTGGCTCTAGAATCTGCTCTTTTAAGTTCTATGCTATGTGGTGTCTCTATACATAGATAAAAATCCTAAGAAAGGACTTAAAGGTAAAATCTAAAGAAAAGCGTTACGTATATAAGAGTACATGCGGAATATGCAGAAATGACAAAAAGTGATAAGTAAATAACTGAAGTTTGTAAATGTAGCTCTGGAGCATTGCCTCTGGCAACTCCCAGATAACCCTGAATTTCAGATTCCCTGGAGAAAGAAGCTAAGGGCCTTTGATTGGGCCTGTTGCTCAGCTCTGGGTCACTCAACCAGGGTTGGGGAGACTGAGGGTCACATAGAACAGACATGGCAGCTACTACCCACTGTATAATCTCAGTGGGGAAGGGAGAGGAAGCATTTCAAGAAAAAAGGGAATCATTATCAGGGTCCCTCAAGAAGGTGCCCACCATAATAGTCAATGGCTAAGTCTGGGCTGATGTCAGGGCATAAGTTAGAATTGTTTTTCTTTTCTGAATCCTGGACATGAAGTTTATGTCCTTGTTATTTCAGAGACTTATGGAGAAGTTATAGATGGTCAAAAAACAAATGGTTTCTCTTTTTGCTTTGAAAGTAAAATAACTCATTTAGGAGTTATCTAACACAGTTTTAAATGTCATACTCTTTGATCCTGTAATTTCACTTGTACAGATATGTCCTACAGAAATACCCTACATATGCACATGGATATATGTATGAAGATGTTCGGTGCAGCAGTGTTTACAATAATAGAGAATAGGACATGACCTAAATAGTTTTTAGTGGGGTCTGGAGAATATTGTGGTACATCCATACTATAAATAAATAACCATCATTAAAAAGAATTAGGTGGTTCCATATTTTGTGACATAGAAAAGTCTTCAAACTAAGTGAATAAAGCAAGTTGTAGTACCATATGTATAGTATGAACACATTTTTATGGAAAAATGCATAGCATTTGTTCCATGGTTGTAAATGCATAGCATTTGCTATATGTTTATAAACATATGTTAAAAACATATAGCAAAAATCTGAAAGAAAATATGCTAAGCTATAAAAGAGATAACTTCTGGGGAAGGAAGTAGAGTGGAAGGATGATGAACCTAGTGGGGACCCAGAGGAGACACTGTATCTCTGTCCAAAGAAATTGCTATGATTACACGTTTGTCCCCTCCAAAACTCATGCTGAAACTTGGTCCCCAGTGTAGCAGTGTTAGGAGATGGGCTGATGAGAGGTGATTGAATCATGGAGCTCTCATGAATGTTTTATTGTCATTATTGAGGGAGTGGGATGTTGTAAAGGGAGCCAAGCCCATTGTGCTTTCCCTCTTTAGTACTCACTCCCTTGCTCTTCTGCGATGGAATGACACAGCACAAAGGTCCTCACCATATGCCAACCCCTCAACCTTGGATTTCCCAGCATCCAGAACCATGAACTATTCTTTA
This sequence comes from Homo sapiens, assembly GCF_000001405.40. Lineage (NCBI taxonomy): Eukaryota > Metazoa > Chordata > Mammalia > Primates > Hominidae > Homo > Homo sapiens. The sequence goes on along the minus strand of NC_000006.12, from coordinate 107,303,053 downwards.
TAAATTACTCAGTCTGTGATACTCAATTTAGTAACAGAAAATGGACTTAGACAGAAATATAATTTTAATCTGCTAGTAGCCACACTAAAAATGTAAAAGGAAACAAATGAAATTGATTGTAATATTTTTAAACTAAAATATCATTTTAACATGTAATCAGTGTAAAGCACTTATTATTGAGATATTTTAAATTCTTTTTTTTTTTTTGGTAGTAAGTTTTTACAGCACATCTGAATTCAGACCAGCTACAATGTTTTAAGGGCTTAGTAGCTACATGCAGTTGACGGCTATCATATTGATATACTTTTATATTATTTTAATTTTTTTACAGGAAGAGCATACTCTCATATGACTTATATGATATTTTTTAAAGTAGGCCATTAAATAATTGTGATGTTTTTTAAAGACTCCCTAAGTCTTTATAGGAAATATTATCCAAGAGAGGGAAAGACATACAATCTGAATGTTAAATAGAGGAAAGATTTAATTCAGGCACTGTGGCTTATGCCTGTAATCTCAGCGTTTAGAAAGGCCGAGGCAGGAGGATGGTTTGACACCAGGAGTTTGAAACCAGCCTCGGCAACATAGTGAGACCTCATCTCTATAAAAAAAATTAGCCAGGCATGATGGCATGCACCCGTGGTCCCAGCTATTCAGGAGGCTGAGGTGGGAGGATCCTTTGAGCCCAGGAATTTGAGGCTGCAGTAGGCTATGATCACACTACTGTACCACTCCAGCCTGGGTAACAGTGTAAGACTCTGTCTCAAAAAAAAAAAAAGAGGGAAAGTTTAAAATGAGATGGCATTTCCAAATATCTTTTTAAACAATCGGATCCTACAAAATACTCTTACTACCGTGCATGATAAATTATTTTCAGACTTCAGATCTGCCTATAAAAATTGTGAATAGTCTCATTGAAGGCTAACTTTTCTAAAGAACAGTTTTATTGAGAAATCATTTACATATCACCCATTTTTAAGAATACAAGTCAATAATTTTTAATATATTTACAGAGTCGTGCAACTATCATTACTATCTAATTTTAGAACTTTTTTATTACCTAAAAAATAAACCTTAAGCCCATATAGAGTCATTACCTACTTGAACTTTTTTTTTTTTTTTTTTTTTTTTTGAGATAGAGTCTCACTGTCACCCAGGCTGGAGTGCAGTGGCGTGATCTCGGCTCACTGCAACCTCCACCTCCCGAGTTCAGTGCTTCAGCCCAGACCATGCCTGGCTAATTTTTGTAATTTTAGTAGAGATGAGGTTTCACCATGTTGGTCAAGCTGGTCTCAAACTCTTGACCTCGTGATCTGCCTGCCTCAGCCTCAAAAAGTGCTGGGCTTACAGGTGTGAGCCACCAAACCCAGCCTGGACTATTTTTTTAAATTTTCATTTTACCTTTTCAAGTGTTTGGAATTTTTAATGAAACTAATTATAAATAGCAACAATATAAAATAAAAATGTCAACATACTTTTACTGAAAAAATATTACAGTCTGTGATAAGATACCCACCAACATATGTGTTCTCCAAGGTATATAAATGACAGCTACAGTAGGTGTCTGAAAGTAATGCTTGTTTTGTTTTTGCAAATGAACTGTAAATTATTTCAAAAAATGGTAAAGTGTTTTTAGCACTTTAGGTATCCATATATTAATATAACTTTCAAGCAAGTTACTTTGAATGGGAAATACATAGTTTATTCACCAGAAAACAAACTTTATTACTCTAAAATCACACTGCACACACCGGGCAATTCTTAATTTCACAATTCTTCTTTAGTGTGTGTTTTTGTTTAGGTCCACAAAAACTATAGAAATGTTTAAAAGGCTGCCACTGCTTTTCAAGGAAAGGAGTAATATATACACACAAAGTAATGAAAAAGTCCGCGAATCACAATTTATATACTATAAAAAGCTATCTTCATACATTCTTTCAAATTTCATCACTTCACTTAATTGTAATGTGGACTTAATGTGTGTTCACTCGGATGAAAATCCATGAGTGCTTATTTCAAATGAAACAAGTGTGCCATCTACAAATTTCTCTTTCATAGGAAAGTGGTGCGGGAAGATTAAAAGATGATTAAAAGACTCAGGGAGTCTTTATAGGACTCCCTGCTGTGAATAGTAAATGTCAGTAGTTTTCTGTTGGGGGGGTTAATGAATAAATGATATGCCTATGCCCACCTCAAATTGCTGTAAAACACATACATGTATGTATGTGTACATATGTGTGAATATGTGTTTATGCACGTGTGTGTGTGTATACATACGCTGCAAACCAGTGTTTTTTGTTTTTTGTTTTTCAATTGCAAGATTTGATAGAGTGAAAACAGAGCTCCCATACAACGGGAAGTGACCCAAAGGGGGTTACCCATCCGGCTCAAATGCCTAGGTTTATATCCCGATCATTGTCCCTCCCCCTGTGCTCTCAGGCAATAGATGATCTGACTATTTCTTTACCTCCTCTTTTTAGTCTAATTGGTATTTTAGTGAGCCCTTTTTACCACCTGATGGGTTGGGTGTGAGCTGAGTTACAAGCCCCGTGTTTAGAGGTGGGTGCGGTCTCCTTCCCCAGCTAGGCTTAGGAATTCTTAGTTGGCCTAGGAAATCCAGCTTGTCCTGTCTCTCAGTCCCCCTCTCAACAGGAAAACCCAAGTGCTGTTGGAGAGGTTGGCCGACGACCTCTTAACTACTTCCTGCTGAATTGGGGCGTAGTAGGGGTCGTGCAGTTGAGATTTCCTCAGGAGGGGTGCCTTCAATGTCATCAACATCAGAGCATGAACTAGCAGGCTGGTCCAGGGGTCCACAGTAGATCTTAGTCATGGACTGCATCTGGGGCTTCATTTGAAGAACGATTTGTAGTTTTACAGCTTCGATTCTGGAAGAGATAAACTTAACAAGGAGGTTAAAGATACAGGGATTGAAATGTAGGCCTGAAGTGCAGGGGGAGGCACATCCAACAGTTAGTAGGGTTTTGGGCCGAGACTTCATGGAGCCCAGTGAGGGTGGTATTAAATAGGCTTACCAGGTGAGTATGGGTATGGAGGGTTTCATGTAGTTTTGAGAGGTCTAGTCCTTTGTAGGGGCTAGGGGTGCTATGTACCTGAGTCAATTGGGAGATTACTTCCTTTACATGTTTTTCTCTTGCCTGATCTTGAACTCCACCCCCATCAGACATACTGGTATGGGTGAAGTAAGGTCCAACAGACAGTGGCTCCAAGCCCCCAGGACAACTGGGAGTAATTATTTTCCCTGTCCAATAATGAGTATTTGCTTGCATGCAAAGAGTGGCAGAGTTATAGCAGTTGCGGGGCATATGGATGTGGGGGTGAAAGTGGGGTTTCATTTAGAAAAACTCCTATACAATGGGGCATTAATATATTCGGGAAGCCGCATTCTTCATAGAAGCTCTTGGTAAGGGGAGCTACTGGTAGTACAGCAGCATGGAGGAGGTGCAGTGAGTGTGAAAGGGGGTAAGAGAACAGTAAAGAGAAAAATTATGACAAGGGAGGGCCATGGGGATCTACAATTCTAGTTACTTTCCTCATGGTTGTTGCTTGAAGAGCAGGTGCAGATCCTCTAGAGGTTCACAGGAATAGCTAGCGTTGTCTCCTGGATTTTCGGGTTCCTTTGGAAACCAGTGTATTTTTAAAAACATTTTTTAACTTTTAGTATCCTGCTAATCTAGCAAAATAAAGATAGTGAGATGCCTGGGTTGGATACAAAGACCACTGTGGCTCTCTGCTTTGAATGAGATAATGCTCATCTGTGAGTGTATTTAAAAAAAGACACAACTGGAATTTGAATTTGGGATCTCAAAAAATGTTCTGAGAGGGTTTTTTTTCTTTTAATTCTTTATTTGGTATATGTTTGTTTCTTTTTTTTTTTTTTTTTTTTTTTGAGACAGGGTCTCACTTTGTCACCCAGACTGGAGTGTAGTGATACGATCTCAGCTCACTGCAGCTTCAACCTCCCAGGCTCAGGCGATCCTCCCACCTCAGCCCCATAAGTATTAATAGCTGGGACTACCGGCCTGTGCCATCACACCAGCTAATTTTTGTATTTTTAGTAGAAATGGGGTTTTGCTATGTTGCCCAGGCTGGTCTCAAACTCCTGAGCTCAGGCGATTCGCCTGCCTCAGCCTCCCAAAGTGCTAGGATTACAGATGTGAGCCACCATGCCTGGTCCTATTTGGTATATGTTTCTTGTTAACTTCATTTGCTATGGAAGAGTGCTCATTTCTTTTTACTGCAATTCAGATCCCATGGGAGATCAGGCCACCTCTTAGGATGAGAACATTTAGGTCTTATGGATTTCAAACTCTTTACTAAAACCTAGCCAACTATGTATGTATGTATGCATCTGTACAAACACATATGCCTATATATACACACACATATATGCATACATACACATGCATATCTATGCACACATGTATGTATATAAAGCTACACTATGTATATAGGTATATATACAGTTGCCCTCAATATTCATGGATCTTGGTCCCAGGATCTCACTTGGATACCAAAATCCTTGGATGCTCAAGTCCCTGATATAAAATGGTATAGTCTCTGATATAAAATGGTTATATTTGCATATAACCACTGTGCATCCTCTTGTATGCTTCATATCATCTTCAGATTACTTATAATACCTAGTAAAATGTAGATGCTATGTAAATAGTTGTTATACTAGATTATTTAGGGAATAATGACCAGGAAAAAAGTCTGCTCGTGTTCAGTACAAGTATTTTCTGTCAGTGGTTGGTTGAATCCAGGAATGTAGAACCCACCAATACCAATGGCCAACTATATGTGTTTGTGTGTTTCTTTTCATTCCTTACCTTTCTCTCACTTTCTGCTACTTCTTCTCAATAGGGGATTCATATAATTTGTAGTGTGCTTTGGAATAATAACTGAATGCACTATCCCAGTTTTCCTTCTCATATCTTTTTCACATCATACTGATTTTATTTATGATTTGTTTTTTAAAATTTTGTTTCTGGCTGGGGCAGTGGCTCACACCTGTAATCTCAGGACTTTGGGAGGCCAAGGCAGAGGATCACTTGAGGCCAGGAGTTCGAGACCAGCCTGGCCAACATGGCGAAACCCTGTCTCTACTAAAAATACAAAAATTAGCTGGGAGTGGTGGCACACGCCTATAATCCCAGCTACTCGGGTGTCCGAGGTACAAGAGTTGCTAGAACCTGGGAGGTGGAGGTTGCAGTGAGCGGAGATTGCGCCATTGCACTCCAGCCTGGGCAACAGAGTGAGACTCTGTCAAATAAATAAATAAATAAATAAAATTTTGTTTCCAATATAATCTTCATCTCACCTTCATCCTTTCATGAGCCTTAAATTCATTCCCAGCCAGGCACAGGGGCTCATGCCTGTAATCCCAACACTTTGGGAGGCCGAGGCGGGTGGATCATGAGGCCAGGAGTTCGAGACCAGCCTGGCCAACATGGTGAAACCCAGTCTCTACTAAAATACAAAAATTAGCCGGGCATGGTGACGGACGCCTGTAACCCCAGCTACTCGGGAGGCTGAGGCAGGAGAATGGTGTGAACTTGGGAGGCGGAGGTTGCAGGGAGCCGAGATCGCACCACTGCACTCCAGCCTGGGTGGCAGGAGCAAGACTCCGTCTCAAAAAAAAAAAAAAATTCACTCCCACCTCCAAAAATACTGTTTACATGTTTTCCAGATACTTCTGGGAGTATTTTTTCTAGGAAAGGAGGGATATTGTATATGTACCCTAAGAGCACTTTTAATAGAGGATTATGAAAAAGCAATTCATATTTACTGAGGCATAAACATTAAATCTGAGACTGACTGAGATTTGGGAAGCCTTTCTGGGAAACACTGGTCTTTTAATTGTCACTACCCCCATGTCATCCACTGGTTAGGATGGGGTGTATTCCTTTGTCTATGCCCATGTGAGAGGCCCCTGCTGCAGTGCCCATCTGATGTTCTGTTAATTCCCTTCCCAGATCTAGACCATTGTAATTGTTTACTCTCTATGCAGTGCTTTGTGGATGGTGGCAGTCAAGCACTGAGGGGAAAATAATTTTTCTTGGGATTTCCACTTCTCTTACAACACCATTAAATGTTTCATTTTCGTATTTTTCTCTAGTTTCAAATTTGTGATGAGGTATAAACATAGTGTTGAATAACCTTTTTTTAAACCAGGCATTCTTCAATAACAATGCAAAAAGTATTTATGGAATGTTTACTAAGTATGCAGTACTCTATTTTGGGTAAAGGATGAATTGAGTTCAGTGTTTTATTTTTTTATTTTGTTTTATTTTATTTATTTTTTTGAGATGGAGTTTTACTCTTGTTGCCCAGGCTGGAGTGCAATGGCACAATCTTGGCTCACTGCAACCTCCGCCTCCTGGATTCAAGTGATTCTCCTGCCTCAGCCTCCTGAGTAGCTGGGATTACAGGCTCCTGCCACCACGCCCAGCTAATTTTTTATATTTTTAGTAGAGACGAGGTTTCACTATATTGGCCAGGCTGGTCTCAAACTCCTGACCTCAGGTGATCCACCCACCTCAGCCTCCCAAAGTGCTGGGATTACGGGCGTGAGCCACCATGCCCCATTGAGTCCAGTGTTTTCAATCATTATATACAAAAATAAAGAGATATAAGGCTGTGAGAAAAATAAATATTTCATTTTTGACATCTTTCATACTCATGCTTCAAAGGCATCATATAAATGCCTTACTCCCTTAGTACGTAATGCCAGCTCTGTCATACACGTAGTACACATGATCTTTCATACTAGACAAAGGAAAGGCTCAGGACTATTCTCACCATGTGTTAGGGTAGGCTAGGTTATGCTGCAGTGCAAATGGCCCTGAAGTCTCAATGACTCACAAAATAAAGGTCCACTTGTTATTCAGGTGTCATATCCATATCATCCTTACTCCTAGACTAAGGCTGATGGAGCAGCCCTCCATTTGGAACATTACTGGTCTCATGTCAGAAAAGAGACCAGGTGAACCACGACCCAGCTTTGCTTAGAAATGACATTTTTAACTCACTTCTCATTGACAAAAGCAATTCACATACCCTTACTTGAGTTTAAGAGCATGGAGATGCATAATCTTCCCACAGGATGATGGTGGTGGTGGTATTGAACATCAGACTATTTACCAAAAAGATATATAATCTGTTATGTACCTGTTGTCATTTTTTTTCTCTAAAAAAAATTATTCTAGGGTCACTCCCTTCTGGCTTTTCATAAGGTCAAGGAATAAAAGACCATTTATTGCTGTAGCGTGATGCCAATCAAACTTTTTCCTTCTCCCCACCCCCATGTTCTTCCCATCCCAACATTTACCTGGCAATTTGGTAAAATGGAAGGAGCATGGATTCACAGGTCACACTGGCTGTGCTGGTCACTCTTGGAGTGACATTAGGCAAATAACTTGACCTCTCTAAATCTAAGTTATCTCCATATAAAATCTTAATGATTCTCTCTTTATCAGGTTGTTGGAGGTATTACATGAAACAGTCTATATAAAGCACTTAGCCAACGCGGGGGACACTTCATCCCCACATCCCCTCCTATTTCCTCACAAGAGTACTTACCTGGTTTTCACAGATACCCACAAGGGAATATGTGGGTTGAATTCAGCGATCAATGAACTTGGATGGAAAAATGATTACATTTTTATTTTCAACATAATTGGCATCCTTCATAATCTTATTTATGTTATGTGTTTAAAACCATTTTTCTTAGTAGAATCCTTAGGTTTCACCAGATTGCCAAAGGAGTCCACAGTATAACAGATGTTAAGAACAGAACTGGCCGGGCGCGGTGGCTCACGCCTGTAATCCCAGCACTTTGGGAGGCTGAGGCAGGTGGATCACCTAAGGTCAGGAGTTCAAGACCAGCCTGGCCAACATGGCAAAACCCCATCTCTACTAAAAATACAAAAAAATTAGCTGGGCTTGGTGGCGTGCGCCTGTAATCCCAGCTACTCAGGAGGCTGGGGCAGGAGAATCGCTTGAACCCCAGTGGGGCAGAGGTTGCAGTGAGCCAAGATCACGCCACTTCACTCCAGCCTGGGTGACCAAGCGAGACTCCATCTCAAAAAAAAGAAAAAAAGAACAGAACCCCTGTGTCTAGTGACAGACTGTAAATGCTACCCACAATTATTCCATTATACAAAAAAAAATTGTTTCTTTAGGGAGGCAATGAGGTTTGTTAGCAGATGAATTATATTTTACCTCAGCAAAAGTATTTTAGTCCAAATCTAGCCCCATTGCTTATTAGTCATAAGGCCCTGGGCAAATCAGTTAATATATCTGAATTTCCATTTTCTTATCTGTAAAATAGGGCTAATAACTATACTTGGTGAAGATTAAATGAGATACTATATTTTAAAAATCAGAATATCTGGGACATAGTATGTTATGAGTTACGCATTAAGCTGTACACTTAGTACCTGCCAATGGCACCTATTGTCTATGGTTTAAACATGCAGGAGAAGCCTAGTACAGAGTGCCATGAGCCTGCAGTCCTAGCTACTCACGAGGCTGAGGCAGGAGGATCACTTGAGGCCAGCAGTTTAAGACCAGCCTGGACAATATAGAAAGACCCTGTCTCTAAAAAAAATTTTTTTTAATTAAAAAAAAAATTCTGAGGAATTTCTCAACTTTTATACATGAAAATACTTGGTGAAGTATTTGGGGGGACATTTAGGATTTGTTCTTGTGTCTCTAGATACCTAGGTTGATTAGGTAGCAGAGCATGCAATCTAATTTTAAGCTTCTCACTGTATAGACTATGCCCTGACACTCTTTTTCATTGGAAACAGATCTTTGCCCCTTTATTCCCACCTTACCTTCACATTTCCCAGCCTCAGACACATTTGATGGCCTAAGTGAAGCCTGCCAAGGTTCCCTCTTTGGTCCATCACTGCCTCTTGTTATTTAGCTGGAGAGGTCTTTGCAGAATGACATTTCCCTCCTACAGTGCTTACTGTGCCCCATTTAGCATGCAGCCTTCACATTTTTCCTAACCCCTGCTTGCTCTCTAAAGGAGAGAAAACCCAAACCTCAGCCTCTTGTGAAGCAATTCAGAACTCAATGCCTGGCAGTTGGCGTTGGTCCTGTCACTAAACTTTAATAATGATTGAGATCCCCCTTATTTTGATCCAGTCTCCAGTATTCATAGGTAAAAGCCTGCTTGTCTTCTTCATCTGCTATCACACATCTTTTCTTCTACCCCTTCTAAAATCAAAGTATGTATGCCCACTCCAGTTCACCAAATATTTTTAGCTTTCTCATATGCTGATTTTGCTCAGCAGCATTTTCTAGTTTACTCTCTGGGTTGTCAGTGGACTGTCATTTCTCCCAGTCCAGTTGTGCCTGAAGCAGTTTTCATAGCTAAATGACAAACCCTTGAAGAAAGGGGTTTGTAATGAAAATGGAAACTCCAGTGTGCTCTTTGTAATCAGTTCTTTAATCCTCCACCTGCCAGACCATGGATACAATTCGTAATTATCAGAGCAGAGAACTGAACTCCCGTACCGCGGCAGAAAGCATGAGCACTATGGGAGGGCAAGTGATAGAATCTGCTCTCCAGTGGGGAGGGGGACAGATATTTTGGAAAACTTTGACACAGAATGTGATGTATTTGTATAACCTTTTCATGTAAAACTGTGCTGCAGTCAGAGAGGGGGTCTGGGTTTTCTTCATTAAAAGCTTATTAAAGAAAGAAATAGGACAGTCGTTTTGCTTCGGTAGATGGGGGTCAGAGAGGCAGGTCTGATCTCCTCAGGATATTAATGTCTGCCTTCAGCCAGGGGAAATGAGCCGTCACTTGAGTTAGAGGCAGCTTTATGTGCTCATCACTAGGGATTCCCATATGTCCAGGGAGCTGCAACAGTGAAAAATGGCAGAGCTCAGTGGTAGAGTACGGAGGGCTTTCATTGGAATTCATGTCAGGAAGCTCAGCTCAGTCTGCCCAGAGCAAGTCTGTTTAATGTTGATCAGCTGTCCATCTGATAAACCGAATTGATACGGGTATTCCCTCCAAGGGCTGCCCTGACAGTGACAGCCGCCGCACCCAGATGTCTTGTTAGGCTTTTTTGGTAGTCTCAAGTATTTTTAACCCCTTTTGTGACATGCAAACCCCAAAGTACTTTTAGAAACCTAGATAAGGATGCCTAGCTAGGCTTTCTCTCTGCTCCTCTGGCAGATAAGAGCCCCACATAACTGTTTCTAGAAACCAGAGATTATTATTAGTTAGCTGCCCCTCCTCCTCCTCATAAGCATCTGGTTGACCTGCAGGATAATTATGTGTTGACAGTATCAAGTGTATGTCTCAGTTATTCAAAACAGCATTTAGAAAAATGTTCTTAAATATAGTAAGTCACCTGGCTTGGTTATTCTTTATTAAAGTACTCTCATAGGTGTGTTCATTGATCACTAAGCAGAGCTTTATTATGTTCATGCATAAAGAGACCATGCAATACAAATTTCTTTTTGGTTGGCTAATTTCTAGTGATAAATATGGTGACTCCTTGCTGAGTCCCAACATCCCTCTGCTCTTTCAAGTATGACTACCACCACCAAAGGCATCTTACTTCTTTGTAGATTGGCTGGCAGGTATGGAGGGAGTTAATTACAGAACACATCAATACTGAGTTTTCTTTTTTGGAAATAAATCAAGAGGGGAGGAAATGAATGCAAGTCTTTGTGTTAAGCTGTGATTATTTTAAAATTATATTTCTGCAAAAGTACCAGTAGTTCTAAATTACAGCACTGAATATGGGAGAATTTTTGTTTTAAAGGTTTTTTTTTTTTTTAATTGAAGTACTACTTAAAAGATTTTTGTCTTTATATTTGTTTTTCTTCACTTTTGGACCTTGTGTTTTCATGGCATGCAAGATTCTAACATAGACTGAAGTATCTAATCTCTTTGAACTGAGACCAGCTGCAGAGACTTTTTATTTTCTGCTTCTTTTCTGTATACTATAACTTAGAATGGTGGGTGAGCTTTTCTAAAAGAGACACAGAGCTCTCAGTACCCTCAGCAATTGCTTAGTGTGTGTGCTCAGAGCTGGAAGTAAGGCCTGGTCATTTTTTCCAACCCTTGAACCTGTAACTTGATCACTACTTGGAGGTCATCTTTATTACGGCCTACAGCCTTGGCATTTTTCTTTTTTCTTTTCTTTTTTAAATAGAAATGAGGTCTCTCTATGTTGCCCAGGCTGGTCTCAAAACTCCTGGGCTCAAACAGTCCTCCCACCTTGGCCTCCCAAAGTGTTGGGATTACAGGCATGAGCCACCGTGCCCAGCTGGCACTTGGCCTCTCATGGTTGAGATTTTTCATTTTCCTACCCTATTTTTAAAAACAGAATTCTAGGCTGTGCATGGTGACTCATACCTGTAATTCCAGCACTCTGGAAGGCCAAGGTGGGAGGATCACTTGAGGCTAGGAGTTCAAGACCAGCCTGGGCAACATAGTGAGACCCCCCCGTCTCTACTTAAAAAAAAAAAAAAAACTAACTAAAAATTAGCTGGGTATGGTGGCGCGCACCTGTAATCCCAGCTACTGAGGAGGTTGAAGTGGAAGGCTTCCTTGAGCCCAGGAGTTTGAGGTCATATTGAACTACAATAACACTACTGTACTCCAGCCTGGGTGATAGAGTGAGACCCTGTCTCAAAAAAAAAAAAAAAAATTATAAAATAAAATCAGAATTCTCATTTCAAAATTTAAGAATGAAATAAGATGAATTTTGAATGATATACTCATGGCCAACCCCAAATACAAAGTTCCATTTTAATTTAAGTTATCAACATGAATAAATGACAAAATAGGAAAATCCTTATGTTTATCTAATTATCACAACTTAAATTGAATGACTCTTAGGACTTTAAGTCTACTTATAAAAAATTAATATTTGGCACTTATAATTAGTTAAAGGTTATCATCACGAAAGATTCTTTTACCCGGCACAGGTTTACAAAAGTATGTATGCTTTTCCTTTTCATTAGCGCTCACATGCTTTTTTTTTTTTTAACGGTTTGAGCTTGATATTATTGAAGCATGTTTTAGAAATTTTTTTGCTTTTCTCTGTTTCTCCGTCTGCTCCCACCCTGATTATTTGCCCTGTTCTTTGGGACTTTGGGGAGAGATAAAACACAAACAAGTGGGGGGAAAAAAGCTAGTATGTCACATGGCAATAAGAGCTATGGAGGGGAAAAAAAGCAGGAAGTAGGGATCGAGAATGCTGATGAGGATGACAGGGTTGCTATTGTAAATGGCTTGCCCAGGGAAGGCCTTATGTAGAGAGAGGTGCACTTTTGCAGAGACCTCAAGAGGGTGAATGGCTAAGCCTTGTAGATACATAAGCCGAGTGCAGTCCAGATAGAGGAAAGGGCAAAGGCCCTGAGGCAAGAATAGGCTTGGCATGTTTAAGGAATAACAAAGAAGCTAGTGTCACAGAAGAGAGTGAATGAGGGGGAAAAGCAAAGGGAATGAAGTCAGAGAGGCGGGGGGTGGAGAAATTGTGGCAGATTGTATTAGACTTGGAGTCCATTATAGGGACTGGCTTTTACCAAAGTAAGTGAGATAGGGACCACTGGAGGGTTTTGAGCAGAAGAGCAACGGACCTGGTGGTTTCATTTTCCTGCTTGCCTCGTTTCTGCTACCGTTTTACCACTCCAGCCTCACATCTAAAAAGTATCTTTCATTTATCCTCCATATTTAGTCACACAGCAATACTGCAGTTCTTCCATGAGATTATTTTGTATCACTCCCCGTGTACCTCTGTTGTCACCTTAGAGTTCACATTCTAATCATTTCACTCCTAAATTATTAGAAAAGTAGAAACAACTTTGTGATAGTTACAGTTTGGCAAATCGTGGTGTAAAGAAATAAACTTCTTACAAAACTGTTTTAACAGAATAGGTGTCCTCATTAAGTCATCAGCTCCTTGTCACTGGAAATACTAAAATAGGACCAGGCATGGTGCCTCACACCTGTAATCACGGGCCGAGGCTTAAGGCCAGGAGTTTGAGCCTGGACTGGGCAACAAAGTGAAACCCTGTCTCTACAAAAAACATTTTTTAAAAAAAAATTAGCCAGGCTTAGTGGTGTGCACCTATAGTCCCAGCTACTCAGGAGGCTGAGGCGGGAGGATTGCTTGAGCCCAGGAGAAGTTGAGTGACTTTCCCTAATGAGCTTGCACTACTTGGCCTCATGGGCTCTTTACAACTAGAGTTCTCTGAAATTATGCTGTGGTAGCCTGATCTTCTTGACAGTCATAGTCATCTCTCCCCATGCTCCACATCCTGGATTATACTGGCATATTCCATTTCTTTTTGTTTTTGAGACAGGGTTTCATTCTGTCTCCCAGGCTGGAGTGCAGTGGCATGATCTTGGCTGACTGCAGCCTCGACATCCTAGGCTCAAGTGATCCTCCCACCTCAAGCCTCCTGAGTAGCTAGGACAAGGGCACACCACCACGTCCAGCTAATTTTTATATTTTTTCTAGGGATAGTTTCGCCGTGTTGCCCAGGCTGGTCTCAGATTCCTGGGCTCGAGCAATCCACCCACCTTGTCCTCCCACAGTGCTTGGATTATAGGCATGATAGGCATGAGCCACTGCACCTGGCCTCCATTTCTTTTTCTTTCTTTCTTTTTTTTTTTTTTGAGACAGAGTCTCGCTCTGTTACCCAGGCTGGAGTGCAGTGGCACGATATCGGCTCACTACAACCTCTGCCTCCCGGGTTCAAGCAATTCTCCTGCCTCAGCCTCCTGAGTAGCTGGGATTGCAGGTGCCTGCTACCATGCCCTTCTAATTTTTGTATTTTTAGTAGAGATGGGGTTTCACCATGTTGGCCAGACTGGTCTCGAACTGCTGACCTCAGGTGATACGCCCATCTTGGCCTCCCAAAATGCTGGTATTACAGGTGTGAGCCACCACGCCCGGCCTCCATTTCTTAAAATATCAATTTCGGCCAGGCGCGGTGACTCACGCCTGTAATCCCAGCACTTTGGGAGGCCGAGGTGGGCGGATCACCTGAGAGGTGAGGTGAGCAGTTCGAGACCAGCCTGGCTAACATGGTGAAACCCCGTCTCTACTAAAAATACAAAAAATTAGCTGGGCTTGGTGGCGGACACGTGTAATCCCAGCTACTCGGGAGGCTGAGGCAGAGAATCGCTTGAATCCGGTAGGCGGAGGTTGCAGTGAGCCGAGATCGTACCACTGCACTCCAGCCTGGGCGACAAAGCAAGACTCTGTCTCAAAAAAAAAAAAAAAAAAAAAAAACAATTTCGTCCCGGCATCTTCATATTGTCCAGCCCCTCCTTAATGACCCCATACTGCTCTAGAAAAACCTAAACTCGTTGCTTGCTCTTTTCAAGGCCCTCTTCAGTCACAAGTCCAATCTCATCTGTGCTCCTGTCTGTATTAGATGGGCTTGTCTGCTACTGTCCAATGACTATCCCCTACTTCCCTCCAAATCTAAATCTGTTTAAACGTCCAAAAATAAAAAAGTCTATTAAAAAGTTCATAATCTCAGCATCTGCATTTCCTGCTCCCTGCCTGTCCTCTTTTCTTCCTTCTCATTGTTTTTCCTTTTTCTCCGAAAATCAACTTGTGCTCCTCATTCATTCATTCATATAACAAAGACTTGAGGGCCTACCAGGCACTGAACTACACAATGGAGATAGAATAATGGAAAAAACAGACAAATATTCCAGCCCTCATATTTTTTTTGCACTTACCAACTTTTGAAGGCGTAGATTTGGCCGTACCACATTCTTTTTACTTTCTACTTAGTATTGTACTACATTAATGGACATTTAGCTTGTTTCTAATTATTTGTTGTTACCAAACTATGTAATGTACACTATTAAAAACAAACATGTTGGACGGACATGTTGTGGCTCATGCCTGTAATCCCAGCACTTTGGGAAACCGAGGTGGGAGGATTGCTTCAGGCCAGGAGTTGGAGACCAGCCTGCTGACATAGGAAAACCCCATCTCTAATTTTTATTCTTATTTCACTGTTTTTTTGTTCTTTAGAGGACAGGATCTCACTCTGTCGCTCAGGCTGGAATGCAGTAGTGCAATGCTAGCTCCCTGCAACCTTGAACTCCTGGGTTCAAGCTATCCTCCCACCTCAGGCTCCCTAATAGCTGGGACTATAGGCACACGCCACCTCACCCATCTCTAATTTTAAAATACAATAAAAATTTGGGCCAGGCACAGTGGCTCACGCCTGTGATCCCAGCACTTTGGGAGGCTGATTCGGTGGATCACCTGAGGTCAGGAGTTCAAGACCAGTCTGGTCAACATGGTGAAAACCTGTCTCTACTAAAAATACAAAAATTAGCCAGGTGTGGTGGTGTATGCCTGTAATCCCAGCTACTTGGGAGGCTGAGGCAGGAGAATTGCTTGAACCCAGGAAGCAAAGGTTGCAGTGAGCCGAGATTGCACCACTGCACTCCAGCCTGGGTGATAGAGTAAGACTCCATCTCAAAAAAAATAAAATGAAAATTTTTAATTAAAAAAATGTTTATGTGGGTATATAAAATTATGCTGTTTCAGTAGAGTATCATAGGTCAAGAGGTATGCATATTTTTAATTTTTTTAGATACCATACTTTTCTAAGTGATTGTACCAACTTAAGGTCCAATACAGTAGTATATTCAGGGAAATTTCCCTGTGAGTGGCTACCTTCAAGGGTCAGGCTGTTCAAGCGAATGTGAAAGGTAAAGGAAGTGGTGGAGACTGTGGCAAGCTGAAGAGCTTGGCTCCAAAGGCTTTCCAATTCAATTTAGTTTTGGAAATGCTATTTGCCAAATTGTATGTCTGTGGGCTTTATTTGGCTCTTGGGGCATCAGTGTGAGACCCCAATTTCTACCTTCACCAAAACTGTATCTTCTTGATCTTTTTCATTTTTGCAAAGTCAATGAACTAAAAATGTTATTTCATTGTTATTGTAATACTTTCCTTTTTTTTGTTTTGTTTTGTTTTTTGAGACGGAGTCTTGCTCTGTCACCAGGCTGGAGTGCAGTGGCACAATCTCGGCTCACTGCAACCTCCACCTCCCGGGTTCAAGCCATCCTCCTGCCTCAGCCTCCCGGGTAGCTGGGACTACAGGCGCGTGCCACCATGCTCAGCTAATTTTTTCTATTTTTAGTAGAACCGGGGTTTCACCATGTTGGCCAGGATGGTCTCGATCTTTTGACCTCATGATCCACCTTGGCCTCTCAAAGTGCTGGGATTACAGGTGTGAGCCACCGCACCTGGCCACTCTTTTCTAAATTATTAGTGAGGTTGAGCATCATTTTACATACTTTTTGGCCACTTGTATTTCTTCTGGAATTACCTCTTTGTACCTTTTCCCATGTTGCTATTGTTTCTTTAACTTACTTATTTGGGTAAGCTTCACATATATTTTAAATATAAATCTTTTGTTTATTGTATTTATTGCAAGTACTTCAAGTCTGTATTTGCCTCATTATTTTTATGGTATATTTTATTTTATTATTTTATTATTTTTTTGAGATGGAGTCTCACTCTGTCAACCAGGCTGGAGTGCAGTGGTGCAATCTCAGCTCACTGCAACCTCTGCCTCTCAGGTTCAAGCAATTCTCCAGCCTCAGCCTCCCGAGTAGCTGGGATTACAGGCACCCGCCACCACAATCAGCAAATTTCTGTATTTTTTTAGTAGAGGTGGGGTTTCACCATGTTGGCCAGGCTGGTCTCAAACTCCTGACCTCAAGTGATCCACCCACCTCAGCCTCCCAAAGTGCTGGGATTACAGGCGTTAGCCACTGCGCCCAGCCTATGGTATATTTTAGTATTAAACTTTTTTGTTTATTTTAACTCCTCAAATTTATCCTTTGTTTTCTTTTCTTTCCTTTTTTTTTTTTTTATTTTGCGACGAAGTTTTGCTCCTTGACTAGGCTCCAGCCTAGATCTTGGCTCACTGCAACCTCTGCCTCCTGGGTTCAAGCAATTTTCCCACCTCAGCCTCCTGAGTAGCTGGGATTACAGGCACCCGCCACCAAGCCCAGCTAATTTTCGTATTTTTAGTAGGGACGGGGTTTTGCCATGTTGGTCAGGGTAGTCTCGAATTCCTGACCTCAGGTGATCCACTCGCCTTGGCCTCCCAAAGTACTGGGATTACAGGCATGAGCCAGTGCGCCCAGCCCCCTATCCTTTGTTTTCTTTGTAGCTTCCTGAGTTCCTATTCTGTTTTGCAAAACTATCTCACCCCATGTCCATAAGGATGTTTTCCTAAATTTATAGTGTTGCTTTTCACAGTTAGATGGTTAATCCATTTAAATATGTTTTTATCTATGGTGTAAGATAGGGATCTAACATTTTTTTCTCATAAATGATAGCCAATTGCCCCAATATCATTTGTAAGAATAATCCATCTTTTCCCTAATGATTTGAATTGTTATTTTTATCGTAAATAATTATTCATTTGCATTTGAATCTCTCTCTGGATTCCATTTCACTAATCTATTAGTCTATTCTTGTGATATCATACTTTTTTTTCCTTCTTCTTCTTCTTCCTCTTCTTCAAAATGGGGTCTTATTATGTTCCCCAGGCTTGTCGCAAACTCCTGGGCTGAAGCAATCCTCCTGCCTCAGCCTCCCAAAGTTCTGAGATTACAGATGTGAGCCTCCACGCCCAGCCATACTATACTTTTTAAAACTGCAGTAACTTTATAGTAAGATTTAAAATCTAGAACGGCAGCCCTCTTATTTTTTTTCCAAAGTTTTGTTTTTTTGTAATTTTCAAATTTATTCTTCCCATATGAACATAAAAATCAGTTTTTCAATTTTAAAAACAAATTTTAGGATTCAAGTAAAATGACTTTAAATGGATGACTCTTGCCTATCATTTTAATATTTTTAGAAAGACCCTGAATTTGCACATGTTGTGTTTGGGATATTTATTAGTTTTCTATTGATATGCAAAGAGCCCAGGCTTTAGAACCAGAGTCCTGGGCTTGAATCCAGCTTTGCAGTTAACTAGCTGTGTGAACTTGGGCAAGTTACTTAGCCTGTCAGCCTAGCTGCCTTCTGTACGGAAGAGATAATAAAGCTTACCTCAGAGAGCTGTTGTGAGTTGTATATTATTTTGTTTATTAACCTGTTAATTGAGTTATTTTTGCAAAAATATTTTTACATAGTGTTCAGCATACAGTAATTGTCTCAGAGTAATTTAGTAAGTAGTTGCCATAATCACTATTAGGCACTTTTTAAAATAGTGTTTTCGAAGAATATTCAGATGAAGTGACATATCTGGCATTTACTTCAAAGTCTGAAAGAGGAATGAAGGGTGTAGCTAAAACAAGGTTAACTATGGTTAACAACTCTTTTTTTTTTTTTTTGGAGACGAAGTCTTTCTCTTGTCCTCCAGGCTGGAGTGTGATGGCGCCATCTCGGCTCACTGTAACCTCCTCCTCCCGGGTTCAAGTGATTCTCCTGCCTCAGCCTCCTGAGTAGCTGGGATTACAGGCGCCTGCCACCACGCCAGGCTAATTTTTGTATTTTTAGTAGAGACGGGGTTTCACCATGTTTGCCAGGCTGGTCTCGAACTCCTGACTTCAGGTGATCCGCCTGTGTTGGCCTCCCGAAGTGCTGGGATTACAGGTGTGAGCCACCGCGCCCAGCCAGTTAACAAATTTTAAAGCTGGATGTTGGGTCCACAGATGTTCTTGATGCAATATTTTCTACTTTTATATGTTTGAAAATTCCCAAAATTTTAAAAAAGCATATTTAAAAGCTGTTAAAAATGACAAAGTGTAAATATTTATTATTTCTAAGTGGAAGATTATGTAAATATTATTCTCTGTACTTTTCTGTATTTTTTTAACCTCTCAAAAAGAAGAGAGGTAAGGAAGCTAGTGAGAGAGAAAGAAGGCTCCATTGTCTTTTTATCTCCCTTGTCCGTATAGCGAAACACAATTCTTCTCCTATTTTATTTTTATTTATTTATTTATTTTTATTTTATTATTATTATTTTTGAAACAGAGTTTTGCTCTTGTTGCCCAGGCTGGAGTGCAATGGCACCATCTAGGCTCATGGCAACCTCCACCTCCTGGATTGAAGCTATTCTCCTGCCTCAGTAACTGAGATCAGAGGCATGAGCCACCATGCCTGGCTAATTTTTTTGTATTTTTAGTAGAGATGGAGTTTCTCCCTGTTGGTCAGGCTGGTCTCAAACTCCTGACCTCAGGTGATTCGCCTGCCTTGGCCTCCCAAAGTGCTGGGATTACAGGCGTGAGCCACCACACCCGTCCTATTTTTATTTATTTATTTATTTATTTTTTGAGATGGAGTTTCACTCTTGTTGCCCAGGCTGGAGTGCCATGGCGCGATCTCAGCTCACCACAACCTCTGCCTCCTGGGTTCAAGTGATTCTTCTGCCTCAGCCTCCCAAGTAGCTGGAATCACAGATGTGCAACACCACGCCCAGCTAATTTTGTATTTTTAGTAGAGACAGGGTTTCTCCAAGTTGGTCAGGCTGGTGTCGAACTCCCAACCTCCAGTGATCTGCCCACCTCAGCCTCCCAAAGTACTGGAATTACAGGCGTGAGCCACCGCGCCCAGACAATTCTTCTCCTATTTTAACATCAACTTAAATGCAGAACATTTGAAGAGATTTCAGGTTATTATAAGGAACGATTCTGGTGGGTTTTTTTCTTTTTTTCTTTTTTCTTTTTAAGAGACAGGGTCTCACTCTGTCGCCCAGGCTGGAGTGCGGTGTTGCAAACACAGCCCACCGTAGCCTCAACTTCCTGGGCTCAAGCAACCCTCCTGCCTCAGCCTCCCAAGTAGCTTAGAATCACAGGCACACACCACCATACCTGGCTAATTTTTTTCTTTTCATTTTTCATTGAGATGAGGTCTCCCTATGTTGCCCAGGCTGGTCTTGAACTCCTGGGCGAAGCAATCCTCCCCGCCTTGGCCTCCTAAAGTGTTGGGATTACAAGTGTGAGCCACCACACCCAGCCAAACTGTTTATCAGTCTGGGTACGGTGGCTCACAGCTGTTTCCCTAGCACTTTGGGAGGCTGAGATGGAAGGATTGCTTCAGCTTAGAAGTTCGAGACCAGCCTGGGCAACATAGGGAGACCCCTGTCTCTACAAAAAAAAAAAATTCTTCTTTTTTTTTTTTTTTTTGAGACGGAGTCTTGTTCTGTTGCCCAGGCAGAAGTGCAATGGCACGAACTCAGCTCACTGCAAGCTCCGCCTCCCAGGTTCACGCCATTCTCCTGCCTCAGCCTCCTGAGTAGCTGGGACTACAGGCACCTGCCACCCTGCCTGGTAAATGTTTTGTATTTTTTTTTAGTAGAGTCGGGGTTTCACCCTGTTAGCCAGGATGGCCTCAATCTCCTGACTTCGTGATCCACCCGCCTCGGCCTCCCAAAGTGCTGGGATTACAGGCATGAACCACGGAGCCCGGCCCCAAAAAATAATTAAAAAAAAAAAGCAGCCAGGTATGGTGGTATGTGCCTGTAGTCCTAGCCACTCAGGAGGCTGAGACAGGAGGATCACTTGAGCCCAGGAATTTGAGGTTACAGTGAGCCATGGTCACGCCACTGTACTCCAGCCTGGGCTACAGAGTGAGACCCTGTTTCTAAAAATAAAAACTGTTCATCAGCTGACATGGCTCCTGTGAAGTAGTTACCACTAATCCCTGTATGGGGATACATAGAGACTAACTGACCTCTGGGGTCACTTCCAACTCTGATTCTATAAACCCTACTTTTTAGTTTATGTCATTCCTTCCCTTTTGAAACTAAGAATGATAGTGATGCCCTATAGCCTTTATACATTAATGGTGGCTGGGTGCAGTGGCTCACACCTCTAATCCCAGCACTTTAGGAGGCCAAGGCGGGTGGATCACCTGAGGTCAGCGGTTCGAGACCAGCCTGGCCAACATGGCGAAACCCCATCTCTACTAAAAATACAAAAATTAGCCAGGTATTGTGGCACATGCCTGTAATCCCAAATACTAGGGAGGCTGAGGCAGAAAAATTGCTTGAACCCAGGGGGTGGAGGTTTCAGTGAGCTGAGGTCACACCACTGCACTCCAGCCTGGGTGACGGAGCAAGACTCTGTCTCAAAAAAATAAATAAATAAATAAATAAATTGCTAAGTAAAGAGTTGTTCATTTAACAGATATTTATAGGCAGCCTAGGGAAGTAGGATAGTATAATTTACAGTGTCGTGAGGGAAGGGGGTGGCAGGGAGAGAGATAGCTAAAGAAATAATTACAGTCAAGTCAATACAAGACTGAGCCATATTCAAAGGCTTTCATGCACAGAAGAAAGAGTTCTAACTCTGGGAAAGTTAAAGAAGTTACACATGGTCTGATTATTAAAAAGTCTTTAGACAAAAAATAATATTGATCACAAACCCTTTAGCCCCAAAAGTTGTATGGTACTTTCATACAGTGGACCTCAGTAGCGATGTTAAATAGAAAAAGGAGATCCTCTACTTCTAAATGATACAGGACTGTCTCTGAGAGATAATGTTAGGTGAATAAAACCAGAGTGCAGAATTATGAACATGAGATGTCTATTATTTTTGTCACAATTTTTATTGACTATAACTTCTCAGAATGTATTTGGCTGCATATAACAAGACTCTAACAAGACTTACAACAAGACTCTAACAAACAGTGACTTGAAAGAGTGCAGTGTTTATCTCAGATAACAAGAAGTCTAGAGGTGGACACATCAGAGCTGATGCAGCCCTCAAGTCAGCAGGGGCTCAAAATTCTTTTTGCTCTACCAGGCTTAAAGAGGGTTAAACCTCTTTAGGAGGGCCCCCAACCCTCTTTAGGAGGTTTAGAGGGTTGGGAGCCCTCTTTAGGATCCTTAAGTCTCTACTGTGCCTCCAGGCAGCTGGGCCATATTCCAGTCAGGGAACATGGGTAAGCCCAAAATATCAAAGGTATACACCAACTGAATCTGTTCCCTTATATCAGGAACTCAGTAAATTTCTCAGAAACCCCACCTGGTAGACTAGTGCTTACATTTCATTGGCCAGACTGTGTCACATGATCACATCTAGCTGAAGGGGATCATGAGGAGGTAAGGTTTTTAAGTGAGGACCATTGCCACTCCAAATGTAGTCAAGAGTATGTACTTTTCTGTATATTTTTAACCTCTCAAAAAGAATAAAGGGAAGGAAAGAAGATAGAGAGAAAGCAGGCTCCGTTGTCTTTTATCTCCCTTGTCTGCGTGGCAAAACACAATTAACTCTGCTATTTTAACATCAACTTAAATGCAAAACATTTGAAGAGATTTCAAGTTATTATAAGTAACAATTTGGGTTGTTTGTTTGTTTGTTTGTTTGTTGAGACAGGGTCTCTGTTGCCCAGGCTGGAGTGCAGTGGCGCAAACACAGGAATGAATGGATAGGCAAATATTAATAGCAATGTCTGCCACCCTGATTTCTGAAGCTTAGGATGCTAAAAAAATTTGAGAAGCTTTGGAGGAAAATGGACAGATCAAAAGCAGATGAAATTTTTTAACATATAATGGAAAGAAAGTGATTTGGTGAAAAATCTTGTAAAAACATTTATTAATCTTTCAATATGGTAATTACTTTCTTACTCTGATTACTTAACATAAGTTGTATTTATTTGTGACTGTTTTCTAATCAAGAGTTAGCATGAGGGCCCAGCATAGTGGCTTAGGCCTGTAATCCCAGCACTTTGGGAGGCCGAGGTGGGTGGATCAGTTGAGGTCAGGAGTTTAAGACCAGCCTGGCCAACATGGTGAAACCCTGTCTCTACTAAAAATACAAAAAACTTAGCTGGACATCATGGCGCATGCCTGTAATCCTAGCTACTCGGGAGGCTGACGCATGAGAATTGCTTGAACCTGGGAGGCAGAGGTTGCAGTGAGCCGAGATCACGTTACTGCACTCCAGCCTGGGTGACAGAGCAAGACTCCATCTCAAAAAAAAGAGTTAGCATGAGAAATATTCAAGAGTACTAAAATATATGTACATAAATCGGCATGAAGACTTTTATTTAAGATAATTTTTTAAAAATCCAGTGCATTGAAAGTTTAATAGATTGCTTTGGGTAGCTAAAATAGGAATAAGATCACCAGAAGAAATTTTTCTCAAATTTTTTCATACTGTCAATGCTTCTCTGACATATACTAAATTGTACTCTTACAAAATATGATCCAGAGTTACTTATCTGGTGATAAAATCTTAGAATCTGAGAGCACAGTACTAGAGAGTGAAATTACAGGATAGATTTAAAGACGACCAGTCATTTCACTCCTATTTCCTATAGAAAAATAGGTACCAATAATAGTAATCATTTTTTTAAATCTTTTTAACTATTAACTGCCAGTTTAGATAACTCTTTTTTTAAAAAAATCCCTGAATCTTATAATTTGGGGACTGGAAGGGATGTGTTGCTCCAGTCCCCCTCCTTTCAGGGACAAGAAGACCACGGGTCTGATTTAAGGGATTTGCCCATGAATTGTCTTATGTAATAAGCAGAAGTAGAACTGTTATCCAGATTCCTGATTAGGCTAAAACTATTGATTTCATCCTGGTGAATTCAAACAACTTGACCTTCCCCAGTTACTGTAAACAAAAAGAATTAAGCCTGTTCTTAATATACTTTTTTCCTAGCAACATTCCCTTCCCTGTTGCTTCAAAACTAGGGATAAAAATTGGACAAATTTGTGGCATATATCAGTGATGGTAACATTGATAACTTTGGCTTATTCCCCCTCCCCAACGATCTACTATTCCTTAGGTAAATAAACATTTATTTTTATTTTTATTTTTATTTTGAGACAGAGTTTCACTCTGTTGCCCAGGCTGGAGTGCAGTGGTGTGATCTCGGCTCACTGCAACCTCCGCCTCCCGGGTTGAAGCGATTCTCCTGCCTCAGTCTCCAAATAGCTGGGATTACAGACATGCGCCACCATGTCCAGCCAATTTTTGTATTTTTAGTAGAGATGGGGTTTCACCATGTTGGCCAGGCTGCTCTTGAACTCCCGACCTCAAGTGGTCCACCTGCCTCAGCCTCCCAAAGTGCTGGGATTACAGGCGTGAGCCCAGCTAGATGTTTTAAATTGTCATTTGTTACTATGACAAGGTGGCTCTGAGTTCCAGCTTTGCCTTGTATAAACTCAGTGTTCTTGATCAAGTATTTAACCTCTGCAGACCTCTGTAATTAGAATCACAAGTAGATAATATAAATGAAAGGTTTTTTTAAATGGCAGACCCTGTAAAAATGATGGGCTTTCACTTTTATTATTGCATACCATTGTTTTTGTTGTTTCTGGTCATGTGGCATTTAAAAGTTTCTATTTATTTAATGAATGCTGTTTTATGACTATAGATGTCAAAATCACTCATTTTCATCCTTTGAGTAATTCAAAACACCACAACTTTTTGCTTACCTGGTTATTACTTTCTTTCATAAACTGAACTGCATGAAAAACTTGTCCAAATGCTTAACGCTTTTTACTTTTATACTTGCCCATAATCTCATTATGTGATTTTTGTGAAATGTGATAATGCGGACTTTTTTCAGTGAATGGTTTTGTAAACTAGAAATCATTCGCAGGATAGTAATAAAATACAATTTTATTCCTTTCTTTTAGTCACTTTT
Organism: Homo sapiens; assembly: GCF_000001405.40. Taxonomy (NCBI): domain Eukaryota; kingdom Metazoa; phylum Chordata; class Mammalia; order Primates; family Hominidae; genus Homo; species Homo sapiens. Next base: position 107,278,391 of record NC_000006.12, on the reverse strand, counting down.
TAAACGGTAATTTTAAATGTTCTACTTTAAAAAAATGTCTTCTGTTAACTTTTCAACTGTCTTATAAGTCTCCATTCTTAGTGATTTTCTTTGGGATATAATGAGATTTTAATCTAAACCATGAATTTACTCTTAGATACTATTTGACTCACTGGTTCATTTCCTTTCTCTACTCCCCAAATTTGTAATCAAGTACAATATGTCTACTGGGTCATCTTTACATATTCTCTTAATTTTTTTAACAAAGGAAATCAATTAGACATGAGATTTTCCTTGGCATTTGATAATGCCAATTTGTTCTTTTAATTGTATCTTTATGTGATTATTATAGATGTTAAACCATTCTGTTTTTTTTAAGAGGAGTCTCATATATTATTTGATGATTTTATATTTATTTATTTATTTATTTATTTTATTTATTCATTTATTTTTGAGACAGAGTCTTGCTCTGTCATCCAGGCTAGAGTGCAGTGGTGCAATCTCAGCTAACTGCAACCTCTGCCTTCCGGGTTCAAGTGATTCTCCTTGCCTCTGCCTCCCAAGTAGCTCCCAAAAATTAGTCAGGCACCCGCCAACACGCCTGGCTAATTTTTGTATTTTTAGTAGAGACGGGGTTTCACCATGTTGGCCAGGTTGGTTTCGAACTCCTTACCTCAGGTGATCCACCCGCCTTGGCCTCCCATAGTGCAGGGATTACAGGCCTGAGCCACCGCGCCTGGCCTGATTATTCTATATTTATTTCTCTCCATGTCTAAGGCGGTGTCCTAGGTCAAGCCCTTTTGTTGCATCTTCCTTGGACCTTTGTAATAGCTCCCCCACCCCATATCCCTACTTTCCCTACATACTTTTTAAGATTTTTCTATGTATCACCTTTGGAATCTTCTTCCTAAATTATTAAAAAATATATATCATCCTTTCATCTCAAAATATTGCATGTGTAAAATATAGACCATTTCACCTGCTATAACCAAGCTCCAAAATTCTTATCTCTCACTTATCCACACAGTCCCTTTACTGTAGCCAAACTGATCTTTTCAACCTTTGGTCACGTTTTCTACTCTTGCCTTCTCTGTGTCATGATGTGTAGTCTTTCTTATTCTGGGGTTCCCAAGCCCTACTCTTGTTTTGTCCTTTTTCTCCAGCTATGGAAATCTTACTTGCCTTTCCAGGCCCCGCTCAAATTTAGCTTCTTCAAGGAAACTTTTTTAAAGCTTTTGTGACACAGATGAGGTCTACAGAAAAAAAGGAAAGATAGAAGCTTTCAATGGGCACATGTGGAAGGCAGCCTAATCTAGTAGAAATAGATTGGGGATTGGAGTCTCTGTTAGTTATCTATTGTGTAACAAACTACTCCAAACCTTGGTGGCTTAAAACAATAACCAACTTATTTCTCATAATTCTGTTGTTTGGCTGGACTGTTCCTTTGCTGGTTTCTCCTGTATTTATTTATGTGTCTGTGTTTACCTGGTAAATGTGCAGGGGGCTGGGCTTGACTGGGACAGCTGGACCTTTCTCCATGTTGCCTTTCATTCTCTAAGAGGCTAGATTAGGTTTCTTAACTTGTAGTCTCAGGTTAGCATTCAAAGAGTGTAAGCCCCAATGCAAAAACATTTATCAAGCCTGTTTGTCCCTCATTTGCCGATGTCCCATTGACCAAACAAGTCATATGGTCAAACTCAGCATCAATCAAGGAGATCATACATGGCTTGGATATCAGAGGGTGTGACTGATAAGTGTAACTTGGTGTAACACTCTGCCACAGTTTGCCCTCTGGCCCCAATATTTCACATTCCTTCCATATGCAAAACAGACCACCTCCCAAGACCCCAGTCTCATCCATTTTATGACATCAAGCTCAGAGTCCCTGATCTCATGATTTCTGTTAGGTCTCGATATGGATGTGGCTCCATGGGTGCAGCCCCTCTTCAGTCAGGGACCTAGGAACTAAAAGGACAAGTTATCCACCCTCCCCCCAACCACACACCACCGTCTATCCAACATGCAACAGTGAATCAGAAAGAAGATAACCACAGTTGTCACTTCCATTAAAAAGAGGGAGAAATGGGAGGTACATAGCAGTCACTAGTCTGTAGCAATTCTGAAATCCAGCTGGGCATATATCTGGGCCACCTACTGTATCTTGGAGCAAGGAATGTTTCTTGATTAGGGCTCAGTTCTATTCCCTGGAAATGGTTCTCGAATCCACTCTTCTCCATTGTTCTTGGCTCTACCTTCTGAGCTTCCTTTTCTTTTCTTTTCTTTTCTTTCCTTTTTTTTGAGATAGGGTCTCACTCTGTGCTAGGCTAGAGTGCAATAGTGCAGTCAGTTCACTATAACTTTGAACTCCTGAGCTCAGGTGATGTCCCACCTCAGCCTCCCAAGTAACTGGGACTACAGGCGTGCACCCTCTCACCAAGCTAATTTTTATTTTTTAATTTTTTGTAGAGATAGGGTCTCACTATGTTGCCTGAACTGATGTTGAACTCCTGGCCTCAAGCAGTCCTGCCACCTGGGCCTCCCAAAGTTCTGAGATTACAGGCATGAGCCACTGCACCTGGCCTATTTTCCCTTTTCAGTAAGATACAGTTTATACTTGCAGCTGAGTAGCTTTCCAGCTTCCACTAAGAGTTTGCCATTCCTTCAGCCTTTGCCTCCTAGCCTCATTTTTCTGACTCAAAGCAAACACTCCACTTATAGATATACCATTTCTGTATCAGATATCTGTTGCTACATAGCAAATCACCCATATAGTTTAGTGACTTGAAACAACTTACCATTCTGTGGATTGACGTGAGTGTTCTTCTGCTTGGGGTCATGCAACGCCTGTGACTGTGAAAAGCTTATCAGTTGCATAGGCACTTATCAGGCTTTCCTTGTGTACTGTTTGTTGATGTCCTATTGGCCAAAGCAAGTCACATGGCCAGGCATGGAAGGGGATCATGCAGGAGCTTGGAAACCAAAAGACATGACTCACATGGGGCCATTTGTAGCAGATACCAACAGATTTTCAGGTCTACATTACTGTGTACTCTTGGGAAAATCATTTTACTTGTGTGCACAATTTTTTCACCTATTAAAAGACGTTAATAATACCTATCATGAAGTTGTGATAATGTTTAAATTTTTAGTAATTACCTGTTGATTTTTTCTGACTATAAAAGTAATACTTTTGTCATTGTACAAAATAGACAAACTACAGAAAAGTATAAAAAAGGAACAAACATCTGCTGAAATTCCCGTGTAATAAATATAGTTCTATACTACAAGCTCCTCAGGGGCCTTCTCTATATTATTTGCTACTATAGGTTTCTCTCTTCATTCTTATTCTGAAAGTTAAAAAGTCCTTGAAGGAAGAAACCATATTGTATTCATCTCTGTAAACCCCATAGCTTTGCATTTATGATTAAAAGAGATAATGTAGCTAGGAGCAGTGGCTCACACCTGTTATTCCAGCACTTTGGGTGTCCGAGGCAGGTAGATCACCTGAGCTCAGGAGTTCAAGACCAGCCTGGGTAACATGGCAAAACCCCATCTCTACCAAAAATACAAAAGTTAGCCAGGCTTGGTGTCGCACACCTGTAGTCCCAGCTACTCGGGAGGCTGAAGTGGGAAGATTATTTGAGCCTGGGAGGTGGAGGTTGCAGTGGGCTGAGATTGCACCCCTGCACTCAAACCTGGGTGACAGAGTGAGACCCCATCTAAACAAAAAAAAAAAAAAAAAAAAGAGAGAGAGATAATGTATGTAATGCCCTTAGACTAGTATCTGGCACAGATTATATTCTCACTTAAATTGGAATTCCATTAGACACTACTAAGGAGTCTTAGAAATTTTGAAGTTATGAGCGTGAGGAAAGTATACCAAGAGCACAGTATCTAAATGGAGCTGTGGAAGGTGGCCCTCCACTGGTCAACTTCTGTCTGGGATATCCTAGTGACTTGTGGGGAAGAGTGAGGAGTATTACAGAGAAGGAAGGTGTCAACATCTTACAGATCCCAAACTGCTCAGTAGAGAGACCTCTATTTAAAGATTCATTAGAAAGATATAATCCAAAAAAAAAAGTGGGGGGCAACCTATGGAATATTTTATTGTTGAAAACTGAAATCAGACATTAGTGATAAAATGGTGTTCTTGATATTCTAACAAATCTTACCTTTATGTTTTAGTCAAAGAAGTTTGGCAGAGATCACGGAGCTAATTCATATTGCTCTCCTTGTACATCGTGGGATAGTAAATTTAAATGAGTTGCAATCATCTGATGGTCCACTGAAAGACATGCAATTTGGAAATAAAATTGCTATCCTGAGTGGAGACTTTCTTCTAGCAAATGCCTGCAATGGACTAGCTCTGCTACAGAACACCAAGGTAAAATTGGGCAGGGTTTTGTTGTACCTGAATGGCTTCAGGTAGCAATTAGTTGGCTGCTGGAGCTGCAGGTCTGTGTGCCCGGCTGCCCCAACTCCCCTCATGTACATGCTCAGTAAACAGTAAAACTGTGATGAACATAATGATGGCAGTGTTAGTACCAGGCAAAGTGTAAATGCTAGGAAAGAGTTTTGAGAGTAATTTTTTTTCTGATTATGGATGAAATTATTAATTATAGGATAGGGTTAAATCTTCAAAACAAAGAAAATGTAAGTAAATATTACCTATAATCCCACTATCCAGAGATAATCACTGCTGGTTAATATCTTGATGTATTTCCTTGTAGTCTTTTTTTGTTGTTCATTAATGCCTTTATATATGTAATTTTTTGTAATATATATGAGAACTTGCTATGTATAAGGTTTTTTAATCCTGCCTATTTTTTCTTACATAATATTATGATGCGAGCATCTTCCCATGGTTATAACTTTTTCTATAATATCCAGTCACTTAGATATAATACCACTTGTTTATCAGATTCCTCATTGTTGGACATTTAGGTTGCTTCTTATTTTTACTATCATAAGTAGATCTTCAGTAAAGATCTTTGCATATCAATTTTCCCTATTCCAGATTATTTCTTTAAGATAAAGACCTAGAAGTGGTTCAAAGGGTTAAACATTTTTAGTGTTTTTTTTTTCCTTTTGTTATAGAGACATGGTCTCACTGTATCACCCAGGTTAAAGGCCAGGTGTGGTGGCTCACTCCTGTAATCCCAGCACTTTGGGAGGCCGAGGCAGGTGGATCACCTGAGGTCAGGAGTTCGAGACCAGTCTAGCCAACATGGTGAAACCCCGTCTCTACTAAAAATAAAAAATTAACTGGGCGTGGTGGCGCGTGCCTATAATCCCAGCTACTTGGGAAGCTGAGGCAGGAGAATCGCTTGAACCCGGGAGGCAGAGGTTGCAGTGAGCCAAGATCATGCCACTGCACTCCAGCCTGGTAGGTTGAAGTGAGCTGAGATTGTGCCACCGCACTCCAGCCTGGGCGACAGAGTGATACTCCATCTCAAAAATAAAAATAAAAATAAAAAAAATAAATAAAGTGCAGTAGCATAATCATAGCTTACTGCAGCCTCAAACTCCTGGGCTCAAGCGATCTCTTACCTCAGCCTCCTGAGTAGCTGGCTGGCTAATTTTTAAATTTTTTATAGAGACAGAGTCTCACTGTGTTGCCCAGGCTAGTCTTGAACTCCTGGCCTCAAACGATCCTCCCACCTCAACCTCCCAAAGTGCTGGGATTAAGGCATGAGCCACCACGCCTGGCCACATTTTTAGTATTCTTGATACATATTGCCAATCTGCTTTCTGGAAAGGTTATAAAGGTATTTCTTGTTATATCAGTTAGGATTAGGTTTGATTATAAGATAACAGTGCCCTATAAGATAGGAATGTATTTTTTCTCTCATGTAAAATCATCTAGGAGTAGGCAGTCAAAAGTTGGTATAGTGAGTCTGCAAAGTCAGGGATCCAGGCTCCTTCTGTCTTACTGTTTTGCCATCCTTATCTTACCACATCATGGCCCGAGGCATTTGCCATTATGGCTTCCCTCCAGTCAATAGAACGAGGAAGGACAAAAAAAGGGCAGATCTCCTTCCTTTGAAGGTTGGATCAGTGTACATCCTAGTTTGCTAAAGGAGAGTCTCAGTGTAAGCCAGCTATCCTGGGATCCCATCTGATTTAGCATTTATCCTGAATTTTTCATTTTTTAACAGAGAATTATTACTAATAATTATATTAGAATAAGCTGGGATGAATTTGGTAGATCCCCACTTAGTACTTCCAGCCTCTGTTTTTGTTTTTGTGTAATGTAATGTAATAGTATTCTGAGACCCTTACACAGTGGAGAGAGTTCTCATTATCAGTTGTCCTTTTTTTTTTTTTTGTTTCTTTTTTTTTAATGTTTCTTTTTTGAGACAGGGTCTTACTCTGTAACCTAGGCTGGAGTGCAGTGGCGTGATCACTGCAGCCTCAACCTCCCTGGTTGAAGCAATCCTCCTACCTCAGTGTCCCAAGTAGCTGGGACCACAGGTGCATACAGCCATACCTGGCTAATTTTTTGTATTTTTTTTTAGAGACGGGCTTTTGCCTTTCGCCATGTTGCCCAGGCTGGTCTTGAACTCCTGGGCTCACGAAATCCTCCTGTGTTGGCCTCCCAAAGTGCTGGGATTACAGGCATGAGCCACTGTGCCCAGCTTCATTTTAAGTTGTTAGGAAATCTGAAAGATACCAGAAATAACTTACCTCTTTTCCCAGCCCTTTCAGACACAACTAACACTTCCCAATCAAGGACAGAATGCAGGGCAATTGCTAATACAGTAAAGTGCACTCAGACACAAATGTCTAGGGGCAGCTAACTCTTTCCTGTATCAGGTGGTGGGAGAAGCTGGCTGTGTAGTGTGTCACCCAATTGTACTGTAGCCCATGCATGGCCTGCAAGAGTCACAAAGCTGCCAGATACCAGTTGATAAGTTCAGTGGGAAACAGTAAATTATAGGTTTGGGTGTCTGTAAAATATATATGGGAAATCAAGGCTGATCAGCTCTGCTAGGGAGCAAGTAGAGTGTAGAATGAGCACACTTGCTTGTACAGTGTAAATCTATAACTATTTTATTGCTTGGCAATACTTTGTTTTTGCAATAAATCCTTTTGGCAGCAGTAAACTGAAAAAACTAGAAGTATGTGTTTCATTTTTTTAAGTATTGATTTTTTTTCTTAAGAAAGTTAATAAGGAATGTATATTAATAACTTGAACAAAATGTTTGTTGACATTTACCAACCACTGTGGAGGCCATAGTGGTATCTATCATTGACCACATGAAAACAAGAAGAGTAAAGTCTGCTGAAGAAGTGTCAGGATCTACTTTATGCAGTTGCAGAAGGTATATATGCATACGACTCTGCAACATAACTTATATTTAGAGAAATGACTATGCTAAGTGATTGCACTGATTATCAACTACAAGTGTTTATGTGTATATAGGAAAAGGGAAGCAATAGTTCTTTTGCATCATTGTCAGTAGAAGAACTTTGAAAGCAGTTAAATAATTCCAGTTTTAGTTCAGTGTCATCAGGTATTTCAAGTAAGTAAATCATTTAAGTTAATTCTACAAATGGTTTGGTTTTTTTCTTTCCATTCATTCATGGGATTAAGGTAAAGTTTTTGGAAGTATATTCTATTAAACATAAAGCCTTTGTGAGTGAGATTGGAAATTCAGTTTAAAAGTTCAATATAGAAAATAAAATTATTAGTTTATAGTAACAATAGAAGTACAAATTTTGGTGAAGCACAGTGTTGTGGTAAAAACAATGTTTTTACTACGTTAAGCAACCTGTGGAGTAGTTGACATTGGTTGTGGCACACACACAATTGATCATTACATCTAAACAAGCACCAAAAGTCTTCTATTTTAATAGAAGCTATTGTTACATCAAAATTTACAAATATCTGAATAGTCACAGTCACTGAACTATATGATTTGGGAGTTGTAACTGATGTCAGATAAAAAATACACTTCAGGCCAGGCACGGTGGATGTCAGATGAAAAATACACTTCAGGCCAGGCACGGTGGCTCATGCCTGTAATCCCAGCACTTTCGGAGGCTGAGGCGAGTGAATCACCTGAGGTCAGGAGTTCGAGACCAGCCTGACCAAGATGGTGAAATCCCGTCTCTACTAAAAATGCAAAGAACATTAGCCGAGTGTGGTGGCACATGCCTGTAATCCCAGCTACTTGGGAGGCTGAGGCACGAGAATCGCTCGAACCTGGGTGGTGGAGGTTGCAGTGAGCCAAGATCACGCCATTGCACTCCGGCCTGGGCAACAAGAGCGAATCTCGGTCTCAAAAAAAAAATAATAATAATACACTTCAGCAGAGCAGTATGTGCCTTTTCTCTTTGTTGTCTGTCGTTGATCAGATTTTAGAAATCTTTATAAATCAATCTGTGCCCCCAACAGTGGTATTGAACTTTATTCTAAATGGGTCATCAAAAGTTTGGTGGCATTTGGGCACGGTGGCTCACGCCTGTATTTCCAGCACTTTGGGAGGCTAAGGCAGGCGGATCACTTGAGGTCAGGAGTCTGAGACCAGCCTGGCAAACATAGTGAAACCCCGTCTCTACTGAAAATACAAAAATTAGCCAGAGGTGGTGGTGCATGCCTGTGATTCCAGCTACTCAGGAGTCTGAGGCACAAGAATCACTTGAACCCAGGAGGTGGAGGTTTCAGTTCAGTGAGCCCAGATCACGCCACTGTACTCCAGCCTGGGTGACAGGGTGAAACTCTGTGTCAAAAAATACTACTACTACTACTACTAATAATAATTGGCAGCATTTCGTTCAACATCACTTGAGAATCTTAAATCAAGTATTCAATAAACAGAACACTACATGAGACTTTTAGGGAATTACAATTAATGAAAACAAAACAAAACTTCCATTAGAATTTTTCCTGACAAAAGCAAAGAAGGAATGATATAAACAGTAACAACTCAAACGATATACAAGATTAAAATTTTCAGTTCTGTAGTTGCGATTTGAAATGTCTCACCTTGCAGGAAGAATCTTGGTGGTGCTCCTACTTTGAATAAATTGCACACACACACACACACACACACACACACACACACAGACACACGAAATGAGATTGAGAAGGCCTAGATTTTGCACCATCTAAATTTGGCAAAACATTGAAAAGAATCATAGAGACAACTTATTTGACAAGTTTTGTCTTATAAAAATATTTGTTAGGCCAGGTGCAGTGGCTCACGCTTATAATCCCAGCACTTTGGGAGGTTGAGGCAGGCAGATCACCTGAGGTCGGGAGTTCGAGACCAGCCTGACCAACATGATGAAACCCTGAAATTATCAGGGCATGGTGGTGCATGCCTGTAATCCCAGCTACTTGGGAGGCTGAGGCAGGAGAATCGCTTGAACCCAGGAGGCTGAGGTCACAGTGAGCCGAGATCGCACCACTGCACTCCAGCCTGGGCAACAAGAGCGAAACTCCGTATGGAAAAAAAAAAAAATACTATTTGTTAAAGTAAGATACTCTGATGGAAGCAAAAAGAGAGTGCCTCTAAAAATATTTGGGCTGAAATATTTATACTGTTCAACATTTTTAAAATTAGAATTATGTCCTCCATTTAGCAAATTTACTCTGAACTTATCAGGTAACTTAGAACCTGTAGAAAGAGAATTTTCTCCATAATTGAAAGTATCAGTAATTTCAAACTAACCATAAACTGCAACTGTGAAGAATATTGCGGGCAGTTTTATTTTTAAATACTGTATTTTAATGAACACATTCTTCAGAAAAATGCCAGTGACACAATATTAGAGACAGATATGTCTAAGAAATGGATTAAACTATGTAGATATACATCAATAATAATTCTCATTATTTTTAAATATTCAGATAATCAGTATAAAGAAGTTATTGTTCTATTGTATGTACATGTATGTTATTTTTATTTCTTTTGAAATTTTATTTTTGAAAACAGTTTTTGAATAGAACCTGTTGAGTCCACCAATATAATAAAATCAGCTGTTTGTTTTTGAAATAAATACATATTTATTTCAATATAATAAAATCAGCTGTTTGTTTTTGAAATAAATACATATTTCAAAAAGTATAAAATTTTAGTTGTTTCAGCGCTTCTTTTTACTCTTGTGTCCCAGTTTGCATGATAAATTATATAGTATTCACACTTTAAAGACATTTCTCATAAGTTATATGAGATTTTTCTGCTTACATCCTGTTGACCAGAATTTAATTATATAGCCATACCTAGCTGTAAGGGAAGCTAGAAAATGTAATTTTTATTGTAGGTCATCATGGATCCAGCCAAAAATCTGGAAGATACAGATAAAAGATACTAGGAGACAAGTAACATTCTGCCCTACCTTCTCATCATGTGTTTGCATTTTTGGCTAGCACATATACTCATGAGGTAGACCTGCGGAATTTAAGGGAGAAAGTAGTATGGTACCTTTAATATCTAATTTATATTCATATTTTTTTAAAAGCTAAAGTAAAAAATGAATTGATCCTATTAAGCAGACTATTAGAGAATCTTGGTCAGGCATGGTGGCTCATGCCTATCATCCCAGTACTTTGGGAGATGGAGGTGGGAGGATAGCTTGAGCCCAGGAGTTGGAGACCAGCCTGGGCAACATAGCAAGACCCTGTCTCTACAGAAAAAAAAAACAAAAAACAAAAAACAGGCATGGTGGTGCATGCTGTTAGTCCTAGCTACTCAGCAGGCTGAGGTGGTAGGATTTCTTGAGCTTAGGAGTTGGAGACTGCATTGAGCTATGAATGCACCACTGTTTCTCTAGCCTGGGCAATAGAGCCCCTGTCTCAAAAAAAAAAAAAAAAAAGAAAGAGAATCTGATGTCTCTCTCCAATTCTATTTTATTTCATCTCAAATGTCTCTCTCCTTTATGCATATAGTATACTTTGACGGGTCCCACTAAATTCTCTCCTTCACTGGAATTCACATGTTAACAGAAGGTGAGTGGTTCTTTGCCCCTGGGACTCACAAACTGTATCATCCATCTCTCCTTTTCACCATATTTGCAGTGGTCTGTGATAAAACTTAGCCCTTGTTTAGAGAAGAAAGAGGCCTCAGAAAGTGCAGATCTGACATAGTGTCTGGACACCTTGAGCTGCACATGACCAGCTCTAGCTTCACAGGCTGGCCGTTCATGGATTAGACCTACAAAGCTGAGGGGAGGAGATATTCTGGACCTTGATAGTACCTAGGTCCACATTTTGGTAATTTGCCTCGGTATAGTTGCCACCTTAGAAAACCAAGACTCGTTGCCTTTGGACAAATTTCTATTTGTTTTCTGTAATCATTTGTTTTAACTTTGAACTATTCTGATGAAATCTTACATAAGGTTCAAACGGTGGTATTGTATACAAACATAATCATGTTAAATGATACAAACAAATAATCACTTGTTTAAACTGCTTCCCTTTATGGGACTAATATTTAACATGTTCCTTTTTCTTAACTAGCTTGTGTCAGTCACACATGCTTTTTTTCAATGTGGTTCAAGTACAGTGAAAATGGAAGCTTTACTCCCATCAAAATCAAATCAGATTCACAGCCTGTGAAATCCACTCTTGGTGTTTTGCATTCAGAAGCATCACTATAAATGTTCCAGAGTCTAAGACCTCCACCATCTGCTCCATTAGGCACTGGATTTCAGTAGCACTACTTGATTTAGAAAAAGAAAAAGAAAAACTTAGCATATCCAAGCAACTATTCAGCCTGAAGCTTCTTGAAATAAGAATGATCTGGCATTTCCTTCCCCTTCAGTGAGCCTCATAACTTCATGGTCTCTGCACAGGTTTACACCTTTAAATTTGCATTTTATCAACCTTTCTCTGGTGAGGAATTTTTTCCTTTTTAGGCTATGATATGTTTTTTTCTGAATTTGATAGTTGTATGTTGAATTGAAGGCTTTATTCTGTGCAGCCCTCCTGTTAATCTCAAACGTGAATCTTTTGCACCTTGTTCTTCAAAGGGTCATTGAAGGCTCTACCAGGTCAATTTCAGAAAAAAAAAAAAAAATGCCTCAGGGGTTCACTTTTTGTGAAAGACCTTAAGAACCATGCCCAGGGTCTGTAATTGATCTTCTCCAAATCAAGGCTTTTAGTAGCTCTCTTTTAATCGTAATAGATGATTTCCAAATCAGGTGAACAGTATTTTAAACTGAGGAGATTGTGAATTACTAAAGTTCTTGAAAGTCAGGAATTCCCTCTGATAAAGCAAATCTCCCATATTCAGAGCCAGTTTCTTTCATTTAAATACTTGGCAATATTTTCATCAGAATAATTTAAGGAAAGTGAAGTTATATCTCAGAAGAGGACTTATTTTATCAAATGAGCTCCCAGAAGCTTAAGTTGATTAAGTATAATAGTAACTATGGTTTTTTTAGAAGGAGGAGGTGGCGATAAATATTTCTTTGAAGTAGTAGTGTAGTAAGTTTTTTGCGTTTTGTTTGTTTGTTTGTTTGTTTGAGACAGTTTTGCTCTTGTTGCCCAGGCTGGAGTGCAGTGGCACGATCTTGGCTCACTGCAACCTCCGCCTCTCGGGTTCAAGTGATTCTCCTGCCACAGCCTCTCAAGTAGCTGGGATTACAGGTGCCCACCACCACATCTGGCTAATTTTTGTATTTTTAGTAGATGTGTTTTTGCCATGTTGGGCAGCCTGGTCTTGAACTCCTAACCTCAGGTGATCCACCTGCCTCAGCCTCCCAAGGTGCTAGGATTACAGGCGTGAGCCACCGCACCTGGCCAAGTTTTCTTATCTCTACATATGCTTAATGTCTTGGTAAAGTTAGATTCTATTTAATGATGTTTTAGTTTTCTTTTATAAGAAAGAAAATTTGTCAACAATAGCAACATAAATAGATACCACAGCAAGAGGAAACAGGCAAAACTTAATACAGAATTTCTGTTTATAATATGTCACTGTTTTTTCACAGTGACAGCCTGCTTTTTCTTTGAGGATGTATATTGGTAATTAAAGTTGGCATATTTGTAACAACTTTAATTTTTTATGACTTATTCATTCTACCAATTTCTCATTTTCTTGTGCTACTGGATTCTTGTCTGAATTTCTATATGATGTGTTTATCTCTGTACTTCTCATGGGGCAGGCCATTAGATGAAGGGTTCTGCAGTCAAATGAAATTCAGAGCTGTTTTATAATTGCCAAGGGTAAAATTAGCAGAGTCAATTATTTTCCCTTTGGCTTTTCCCTGAAGATATTAGGGGTCTTCAAGGTAATTGCCTTAGGTAACACTTAGATTTTTAAATATCTTCAAGTATAGAAATTGTTTATTAATCCTCTGGTAATTGTCTTCTTACCATTATAGCTGTAGTCACATAAATGCAAATTAACAAGATTTTGAATTCAAGAGGGAATTTAAAAATTAATGCTTGGGTTTTCATTCATTTTCAATTATGGAACATAAGGGCAAGTTTTTATTTTAGTACTTCACTGTACAAAGACCTGGACTAAAAGACCTCAGAATGCCTCTTTTTAAATCATAAATTTCCTGATTCCATTGGGATAAGTTGCTCTATATTGTGTCCATGTAGAACATCACTGGATGCTGTAGTGATGTGGTCATGCCAGAATCTAAAATTTTAGTGTTTGAGCAGCAAGCTATCAGTGAGACATGCTAACTAATTGGAAGGGAAATCATGAAGTGGAGAAGTACTATAATTTCGAAATCTAGCTGGCCATTAACAGGCTTCCTCTGGTCTTTGTATTTATTTAGACTGGGTTTGTATTTAGGATTAAGCCACAGTGCAAATAAGACTGTGTGGATTACTACCTGTCATCTTGTTTTTGAAAAGTCTTTTACTTTACATATATAATGATAAGCCTAGTATTTAAAGAATGGAATTTATCACGTTATTTTTTTTTCTTTGTAGTCATTTTCATTTAATGGACCTATTGCTATATATCAGATGGGAGACTGTGAGTCAGCCTGGATCTTGTCTAAACACCCAAGAGCATTGTCATGATGTCACTCCTGGAGGTTGTTCTATTAAGCATTAGTGATTTATACTTCCGGATAACCAGTGGCACAGATGTACTCTTTACATAGCTGATGTATTTCCTTATGTTAACTTTGTTTTCCTAAAGGCGTAAATATGTTGTTTAAAATGAAGTATTTTGTTTGTACAAATATGCTCAATTTATGCATATAAATCTCCCTTTACACCATCTATATAGTTTAATAAAGATGCTATTGTCTATTTGTGTTTGTCTTATCTGTTATAGTAATTTTACTTCCAAATTCATGTTAAATTGAAACCTAAAAACATGTATTAAGTTTTTCCCTGTCTTATGCATTTAAAATAGGCATTATTATGATAGTGTTTATAGTTTTGCTTGCACTATTTTACTTGTGGAAATTATTTAATATCTTTTAGGCTCTTTAGTTTGACACCCAAGGTTAATATTTTTTATACATGTAACCCACTCAAGTGTAGATTTGCATGACTAGGGTAAAGGGATGCAGAAGGTGGTAAGTGGGGTGTCATATAGTATAACAGTAAAAGAGACTATCTCCATATCAATTAATTAGAAAAGTCAAAATGCCATCATAAAATTATTTCAGAATCCCAAAATTAGCTTCTTCAGTTTTTTTCTGATTTGCTAATATAGTCACATATTAAACAGAGACTGTATCCATTTTCTGGTCATGCTTCCTTGATCTTTAAAGTGAAAGTAATAAATGATTAGTGTGTGCAAATTATACTAGAAATAAGACGAATTTTAAATAATATTAAAACCTGGAACTTTGCCCATTTTGAAGCCACAAGACAATGGAATGTAGTAGCTTTTTGGCACAGGAAGGTTAAATGCCATCAGGTGAAATTGACATTTCTCTGAGTATCAAACCAGAAACCTAACAACAAGGAAAAAGAGCAAGAGCAGCTTACATGTTTCTTCCATATGCCTGGCATTCAAAGACACCCTTTTTTTTTTTTTCAGTCTTGCTCTGTCACCCAGGCTGGAGTGCAGTGGCTCAGTCTCGGCTCACTGCAAACTCTGCCCCCTGGGCTCAAGCGATTCTTCTGCCTCAGCCTCCTGAGTAGCTGGGATTACAGGCGCCTGCCACCATGCCTGGCTAATTTTTGTATTTTTAATAGAGATGGGTTTTCGCCATGTTGGCAAGACTGGTCTTGAACTCCAGACCTCAGGTGATTTACCCACCTCGGCCTCCCAAAGTGCTGAGATTACAGGCGTAAGCCACCGCGCCTGGCCAAGGACACCCTTTTTAAAAAGAAAAAAAAAAATCTGCATTCTACAATACCTGCAAATAAATAAAATAGGAAAACAAACTGAACAAGAAATATTTGTTAAATTATTTTTAAATGTTGACATATAAAGGGAAATTTGGTTTAATAAGAGGATGAGGGTAGGCACTGGTTTTTTAATGCATATTTCATTTCTAATATTACCTTTTTTATTTTTTTAATTATTTTTATTTCTTTATTTTTTGTAATAGAGACAAGGTCTCACTACCTTGCCCAGGCCGGACTATCTAGCCCAGGCCAGTGTTGAACTCCTGGGCTCAAATGATCCTTGGCCTCCCCAAGTGTTGAGATGACAGGCGTAAGCCACTGTGCCCAGCCAAGTTTCCTTTTTTTTTCTTTTTTTTTTGAGACAGAGTCTCATTCTGTCACCCAGGCTGAAGTGCAGTGGCACGATCCTGGCTCACTGCAACCTCTGCCTCCCAGGTTCAAGTGATTCTCCTACCTCAGCCTCTCAAATAGCTGGGACTACAGGCACGTGCCACCATGCCCAGCTAATTTTTTGTATTTTTAATAGAGGTGGGGTTTCACCGTGTTAGCCAGGATGGTCTTGATCTCCTGACCTCGTGATCTGCCCGCCTCAAGCCTCCCAAAATGCTGGGATTACAGGTGTGAGCCACCTTGCCTGGCCCAATTTTCCTTTTTCTTAGCACGAGAGAAATCTTGCTTTCCTCTGATGTTTCTCAACTTGAAGATCCTTGGTTTATGTCTTCTTGAAAGGAGAAAGTAGAAGTCAAGAAGGTGAGTGGCAATTTTTCTGAAATAATAAGTAAAAGGAGAAAGAATAGAAAACTGGAGGATGAAGATTGAAGAGGATGTATATACACTTTAGAGATTACGTGAGGTGAAATTAACCGAGTTGTGAACAGTGTGTTAGGCTGTTCTTGCATTGCGATAAAGAAATACCTGAGGCAGGCCAGGCACAGTGGCTCACACCTGTAATCCCAGCACTTTGGGAGGCCGCGCGGGCAGATCACGAGGTCAGGAGATCGAGGCCATCCTGGCTAACACAGTGAAACCCCGTCTCTACAAAAATGCAAAAAAATTAGCCGGGCGTGGTGGCGGGCGCCTGTAGTCCCAGCTACTCAGGAGGCTGAGGCGGGAGAATGGCGTGAACCAGGGAGGCGGAGCTTGGAGTGAGCCAAGATCGCACCACTGCACTCCAGCCTGGGCAACAGAGCCAGACTCCATCTCAAAAAAAAAAAAAAAAAAAGAAAAGAAAGAAAAGAAATACCTGAGACGGGCCAGGCACGGTGGCTCACACTTGTAATTCTAGCACATTGGGAGGCCCAGGCAGGTTGATCACCTGAGGTCAGGAGTTCGAGACCAGCCTGGCCAACATGCCAAAACCCCATCTCTACTAAAAATACAAAAAATTAGCCGGGCATGGTGGCGGGCACCTATAATCCCAGCTACTCGGGAGGCGGAGGCAGGAGAATTGCTTGAACCCAAAAGCGGAGGTTGCAGTGAACTGAGATTGCGCCACTGCATTCCAGCCTAGGGGAAAGAGTGAAACTCCATCTCAAAAAAAAAAAAAAAAAAGAAAGAAAAGAAATACCTGAGACTGGGTAATTTTGTAAAGAAAAGAGGTTTAATTGGCTTATGGTTCTTCAGGCTTTACAGGAAGCATGGTGCTTGCACCTGCTCAGCTTCTAGGAAGGCCTTAGGAAGCTTACAATCATGGCAGAAGGCAAAGTGGGAGCAGGGACGTCACATGGTGAAAGCAGGAGCAACGGGAAGGAGGTGCCACACACTTTTAAACTACCAGATCTCCCAAGACCTCACTCACTATTGTGAAGACAGCACCAAGCCATAAGGGATCTGCCCCCATGATCCAAACACATCCCACCAGCCCCACCTCCTGCATTGGGGTTTACAATTCAACATGAGATTTGGGAAGGGACAGAAAGAGACACAGTATACAAGCCTGCTGGAGTGAAGAAAGGATAGATGGAGAAGAGATAGGCAGCTGCAGATGCGAAGGCAGGAATCAGCTGTCTATCCACCCAGTACTTAGTAAACTCCTAACTCAGAAAGTTCCTCAGGTGAGACCATTAGAAAGGGAAAAGAAGAGTACTGAATCACTCAAACTTGAAAATAGATTTTTTTTCTCGCTCTGGCTTTGGAGATCTAGCAAATGTCCATGAAAATGGAGGGGGGGCCAGGCGCGATGGCTCAAGCCTGTAATCCCAGCACTTTGGGTGTCTGAGGTGGGCAGATCACAAGGTCAGGAGATCGAGACCATCCTGGCTAACACGGTGAAACCCCATCTCTACTAAAAATACAAAAATTAGCCGGGCATAGTGGCGGGCGCCTGTAGTCCCAGCTACTCGGGAGGCTGAGGCAGGAGAATGGCTTGAACACGGGAGGTGGAGCTTGCAGTGAGCCGAGATTGCGCCACTGCACTCCAGCCTGGGCGTCAGAGCCAGACTCCGTCTCAAAAAAAAAAAAAAAAAAAAAAATGAAGGGGGAAGACTGATTTAATTAATTTTACTTCTGGAAGGTAGGAAATGGGATTTACAAAGATCAAGGTTGCTAAATGTATTATATATAATATTGCCATAGTCAATATATTTCTATTTCTCATGGCCAACCATGATGTGAGGTTCAACTGAATTTGAATACCATAAGCAAAAGAAAATTTAAGCTCATCCAAGAGTCTATGTGACTACTTTCCTCATTGATAGCCACATATAGCTCAGTCATGTTAATGTAATTTTGGTTTTAGCATTTCCATCATTTTCTTAAATTCTTAAAGTTGTAAATACGCAACAAAAAATTTACTTAGTCTAAGCCAAAGTTGGTTTATAGGGTCTTAGCCCAGGAGCAAATTTTATTTATTTAGCCATAGTGATTGGGAAGAGCCCTTTTCTGGCAGCTAATGACCTACTGGAGGACTTATGTGCCTAAGGCAAAGCTGAAGGCCATTAGCCCAACAGGTCATTAACTGACAAATGCCTGACCCTGAGGTCATTTCTGATATTGTAAACTGTGAAAACTTTAAAGTGGGTTTGTTGGAAAGTATGGCTGTGCCAAGCAAGTTTCTTTTTAAGCATTCTGGAAATTTCATTAAATTGTTTGTTGTCATTCCTATGGCTTAATTGTCATTGTTCTGGGACCATTTTCAGGGTGTAAAGTCAGGCAGAAATCTGGAAACACCAAAACTATATTGCAAATCAAGTCTTTGGTTTTTAAAGGATAGTTTCCCTGTTTAGAATATCAGAGTAACTGTTTACTAATAACAGTTTTAGCTACACTCTTGGGGATCACTTATATTTTCATAATGTGTTGAGCTACATAGCACTTATGTATTTTACATTCCTAGAGATGACATGTAAAGCTACAAAGAGAAGTGGAAAGAACCATAAAGTAGAAGTCTGTGGACCGAATTCCTAGCCTTGGCTTTTTTTCTCTTTCATTTTTTCTTTTTTCTATTTTTTTTTTTTGAGACAGAGTCTTGTTCTGTCGCCCAGGCTGGAATGCAGTGGTGCGATCTCAGCTCACTGCAACCTCCGCCTCCTGGGTTCAAGAGATTCTTCTGCCTCAGCCTCCCAAGTAGCGGGGATTACAAGCATGTGCCACCACGCCCGGCTAATTTTTTCCTTTTTTTTTGTATTTTTAGTAGAAGTGGGGTTTCACCATGTTGGCCAGGCTGGTCTTGAACTCCTGACCTCAGGTGATCCGCCCACCTTGGCCTCCCAAAATGCTGGGATTTCTGATGTGAGCCACCACGCCTGGCCTCATTTTTTCTTTTGTTTCTTTTTATCCCCCAATAAGCCATTTAACATTGAACTCTTCATTTTACCTCTCAGAATTCCAAATTCAGATCATTCATTCATCCATCTATTATTTCAGTCTATCTGATATCTTAATTCCCCATTTTTATCACTGAAATTAGAAACTTTATAGTTGTAGAAAATTTAATCATTAAAATTACCATCAAATATTTTAGAAATAACAATTTATATTTTTGAGGGCTTACTATACGGTAGGCACTGTTTTAAGTGCTTTATCTATATTAACCCATTTAATGTCTCCTGAGGTACAGGGAAAGGATAAGTAATTTCCCTCAAGGTAACACTGCTAATAAATGGTAGAGTTGCTGTCTAAATCCAGGCAATCTGACTGCAAAATCCTCATGCTTTACTAAAGTAGAAAACTGACAGACCAACAAAGAACCATGATACATTTTTGCCAACAATTTTGCAGTTATCAATCCTGGAATTTATGGTATCTTAAACGGTTATTAGTTTCTAAATATTGGAATACATATTTCAATACAAACATTGATAGGGGCTTCATGAAACTTTTTTTTTTTCTGAGACGGAGTCTCACTGTTGCCCAGGCTGGAGTGCAGTGGCACAATCTCAGCTCACTGCAACCTCCGCCTCCAAGGTTCAAGTGATTCTCCTGCCTCAGCCTCCCAAGTAGCTGGGATTATAGGCACCCACCACCACATCCAGCTAATTTTTGTATTTTTAGTAGAGATGGGGTTTTGCCATGTTGGCTATGGCTGGTCTTGAACTCCTGACCTCAGGTGATCTGCCTGCCTCGGCCTCCCAAAGTGCTGGGATTACAGGCGTGAGCCACTGTGCCCGGTGAAACATTTTAAATTAGCAACTTATAAGCAAAAGCAACTTTTTTTTTTTTTTTTTAGTTTTCTAAAAAAATAAAGGCAGCATCATGTCCATCTCTTAGATCCTTGCTGGTTCCAATATTCTATGGTTCCAAATGTTGTAGATGTTGTAGGAAAGAGTCTAAACTTGCATCTTATAACCAGATCCTGAAAATGGCATGACACATGAAGAAAAACAAAATGATTATAATCAAGGAAATTGTTAATAAAGTCAGGAAAGTAACAGAGAAGCCAATATCTTATATAAAATCAGAGAGCTAAAGATTTTTGTGCATATTTCAGCAATCTAAAGCAGTACCCCAAATTGGTAAACTCATCTTTATGGCGGATTTGTGTTGAAAATTTTATATATGGCTTAATTTGTTCAAGTACTTTAAAGGCTATAAGGTAATGTACAAATGTAAATTTCTGATAATATTGATTGAGCAAAGTGATAATTCACATTTATATTGAAACAGTTGTGATTTACACAAGTAAGTCACATACTAAAACAGTATTGTTAATTCAAAAAAAATTTTTGTGTGTGCATTGCATGAAGCATGAGAAATACCAGTTTAAAACCCAACTGGGACAGGAGTGGTGGCTCACACCCCTAATCCCAGCACTTTGGGAGGCCGAGGTGGGCAGATCACTTGAGGCCAGGAGTTTAATACCACTGACCAATATAGCAAAACTCTGTATCTACTAAAAATACAAAAATTATCTGGGTGTGGTGGGGCATACCTGTAATCCCAGCTACTTGGGAGGTCAAGGCACAAGAATTGCTAAACCTGGCAGGTGGAGGCTGCAGTGAGCCAAGATTGCACCACTGCACTCCAGCCTGTGTGATAGAGATCCTGTCTCAGGGGAAGAAAAAAAAAAGCCAATTGTATGTATATCTTTATAGATTGGAGTATTTCTAACCCAAGTATGTCCATTATTATTATTTATTTGTATTATTATTTTAATGAGACAGAGTCTCACTCTGTACCCCAGGCTGGAGTGCAGTGGGGCTATTGTCACTCACTGTAACCTCGAACTCACAGGCTCAGGTAATCCTCCACCTCAGCCTCCTGAGTAGCTGGGACTACAGCGCAAGACACCATGCCTTGTTAATTTTTTGAAGTTTTTGTAGACACAGAGTCTCTCTATGGTGCCCAGGCTGGTCTCAAACTCCTGACCTGAAGCCATCCTCCCACCTCAGCCCCCAAAGTGTTGGGATTACAGGCATGAGCCACTGTGCCTGGCCCAGGGTATCCATTATTTGATCCAAGGGTACAATGTGGCCAATCCCAGATTTATTTTATTTCATTTTATTTTATTTGTGAGACAGAGTCTCGCTCTGTCACCCAGGCTGGAGTGTAGTGGCATGATCTTGGCTCACTCCAACCTCCACTTCCAAGGTTCTAGAGATTCTCCTGCCTCAGCCTCCTGAGTAGCTGGGACTACAGTCGCCCACCACCACACCCAGCTAATTTTTGTATTTTTAATAGAGATGGGGTTTTGCCATGTTAACCAGGCTGGTCTCCAACTCCTGTCCTCAAGTGATTCACCTGCCTCGGTCTCCCAAAGTGCTGATTACAGGTGTGAGCCACCACGCCTGGCCTCTTCTATTATTGTTAATTAATTAATTTATTTATTTCTGGGACAGGATCTCCCTATGTTGCCCAGGCTGGTCTCAAACTCTTGGGCTCAGAGGCTTCTCCTACCTCAGCCTCCCAAGTGCTGGAATTACAGGCATGAGTCACTGTGCCCGGCCCCCAAATTTCTACCTGATAATTTGAAGGAAGGAAAAAAAAGATTACTTAATTTTTTAGAACACAGTACTAGTAGCATCAGTTATTTTTAGAATTCCATTGATTTGTGGATTTTGAAGAGCTTCAGAGTTATTTGGAAGAAATACAATTACAGCTTTAGTCAAATTGCATGGATTTTAAGGCACACGAATCATGATTTTATTTCTGTGCCTGCCTTTAGAGTACAAACCTTGGGATGTCTCTGAATTACAAACACCTGCCTTTTAGTGTGGCCCAATTTGAAGAGGAACTGCTTGAGCTGGAAAGTGAACTGTGTTACCCAAAAGACATGGCAGCACTGGAATTTGCAAGATGTATCTGTGACTCCTAGGAAATTACTGAAATTTTTAGCTCTTTGGCCAAATGTTATCTAAGCCAATTTGTTTTCAGGAATCTAACAGGATCCAAGCTAAGCATCAGGCAGGGCACCGTGGCTCACACCTGTAATCCCAGCACTTTGGGAGGCCGAGGTGGGTGGATCACCTGAGGTCAGGAGTTCGAGACCAGCCTGGGCAACACGGTGAAAACCTGTCTCTACTAAAAATACGAAAATTAGCCGGGCATGGTGGCATGCACCTGTAGCCCCAGCTACTCGGGAGGCTGAAACAGGAGAATTGCTTGAACCTGGGACGGGGAGGTTACAGTGAGCCAAGATGGCACCACTGCACTCCAGCCTGGGCGACAGAGTGAGACTCTGTCTCAGAAAACAAAAACAAAAAAAATGAAGCTAAGCATCAGCATTATTGATACAAGCCTACAAGATTGAAATGCACCCTAATAGAATATACTCCATAGTACCCAAGAATGATTCTGTTTTATCTTGCCTCTCTGTTTACCTTCACTTCATTTACATGTTTTTGGTAAAAAGTGATAAAGAAATAAATACCTCTAAAAATATATTTTAGAGTAACAATGTTTAAACTGCATCAAAAATTTGGAAGACCTTGTGTGTAATTACAAGGACTAACAAGGTATGAACTATACATAACATTTTTCAGCATGATATTGAATAATGTTTCAAACCACAGATCACATCCTTTTCATTGGGGAGTGGTGAAATCAATTTAGTGAATCACTATCAATACTTTTTGTTTGTTTTTTTTTTTTTTTGAGATGGAGTTTCACTCTTGTTGCCCAAGCTGGAGTGCAATGGCACGATCTCGGCTCACCGCAACCTCCGCCTCCTGGGTTCAAGCGATTCCCGGGTTCAAGCCATAGGACCTGGCGTGGTAGCTCACGCCTGTAATCCCAGCACTTTGGGAGGCTGAGGCCAGTGGATCACCTGAGGCTAGGAGTTTGAGACCAGCCTGGACAACATGGCAAAACCCCATCTCTACTAAAAATGCAAAATTAGCCAGGCGTGGTAGCAGACGCCTGTAATCCCAGCTACTTGGGAGGCTGAGGCAGGAGAATTGTTTGAACCCGGGAGGTCGAGGTTGGGGTGAGCCAAGATCACACCACTGCACTTCAGCCTGGGCAACAGAGACTCCATCTCAAAAAAAAAAAAAAAATAGAATGCAATAGAAAATTACATAATGAAACTTTTAATTTAATTTTGGCCAGGCGTGGTAGCTCACGGCTGTATTCCCAGCACTTTGGGAATACAAAGTCAGGAGTTCGAGACCAGCCTGGCCAACATGGTGAAACCCCGTCTCTAGTAAAAATACAAAAGTCAAAAGTTAGCTGGGCATGGTAATGGGCACCTGTAATCCCAGCTACTCGGGAGGCTGAGGCAGGAGAATCGCTTGAACCTGGGAGGTGGCAGTTGGAGTGAGCCGAGATCACACCACTACACTCCAGCCTGGGTGACACAGCGAGACTCCATCTAAAAAAAAAAAAATGTAGTTTTATATATGCACATGTATTTATACTGTGTCACAATGTGTATTGAAAGCCACTAATAGAAGGCAGTGTGCTAGCCAACAACAGTCTTTCAGTTTACATCACTGAGAGGGTCTCCAGATGAAGAAGCAGTGAAAGCAAAATGGAGCTCATCAGCCACATTGAATAAAAATGGGCCCAACACTAAAATGGCAAGGATAATTCTCTCAGAATTCTGTCAGAACAACATGCGGCAGTGTCGCTAGGTAAAGAACATACTGAGAATGGTATATCCTGAGTACAACAGACTTCATATTCAGCAATTCCCATACTGGGGGAAGGTGGAAAATAAAGCAACTAACTGCTATATGATAATCAGTTTTACGTTGCTTGTTTGTTTCATGACCAAGTATTCAATTCTCAGCAACTATTTATTATAGTTTTTATAGTAATGCAAAATACTTGACACAACCAACTTTTTAAAAAATCTGCTGGAAAACGTCTCCTTTTTCTTTATTTCTTATGAAAATTTTTATCTTTAAAAAAAATTATTTTTCGGCCAGGCGCAGTGGCTCACGTCTGTAATCCCACCACTTTGGGAAGCCAAGGTGGGCAGATCACGAGGTCAGGTGTTCAAGACCAGCCTGACCAACATGGTGAAACCCCATCTCTACTAAAAATACAAAAATTAGCCAGGTATGGTGGTGGACGCCTGTAATCCCAGCTACTCAGGAGGCTGAGGCAGGAGAATCACTTGAACCCGGGAGGCAGAGGTTGCAGTGAGCCGAGATCGTCCCACTGCATTCCAGTCTGGGAGACAGAGTGAGACTCTGTCTCAAAAAAAAAAAAAAAAGAAAGAAAGAAAGAAAAAGAAAAGAAAATTGCTTCATAGAGATGGGATCTCAGTGTTTTGCCCAGGCTAGTCTCAAAACTTCTGGCCTCAAGTGATCCTCCCACCTTGGCCTCACAAAGTGTTGGGATTACAGGCACGAGCTACCACACCTCACTGAAAATTTTCATCTTAAGCGCTTTAAATTGTCTGCTACTTTTTCAGGAACCTAATTGTTGTTTAAACAAATAAATGAGTCAGTGATCAATAAATGACTATTTGGCATTGCTTCAGTAGTCCAAGACCATGCACCTTTATTCAAAAGTAAAATCAGTTTTTTTATTACTCTTTTATTGTAGCTAAAAAAACTATTTTTTACTGTATCTCACAATTGTGAATTAAAAATGTATATAGCTGCACATTTAAATATTTCTAATCATAGGACTTATTGTTGATAAAACACAGAAACCTCTTATCTAGATAAGCAAACTGAGGGGCAAAGAAGTGACATGGTTGGCCCAAGGTCTTGCAACTTACGTATTAACCTTCTGAGTGATCAAAAACCAATAAATGGCCTTTATCTTTATGAAGTTATTTATCTAGACAATGTATCCTTTAAAAAGAACAACTATAATTTAAAAACACTGCAAAAAAAGTAAATGTAAAAGTTATTTATTAGACTTGTTTAGACATGGTCCCTTAGTGATACTTAAACCACAAACATGGCCGGGTGCAGTGGCTCACGCCTGTAATCCCAGCACTTGGGAGGCCGAGGCGGGCGGATCATGAGATCAGGAGTTCGAGACCAGCCTGGCCAGTGTGGTGAAACCCCGTCTCTACTAAAAAAAATACAAAAATTAGCCAGGCGTGGTGGCGCACGCCTGTAATCCCAGCTACTCAGGAGGCTGAGGCAGGAGAATTGCTGAAACCCGGGAGGTGGAGGTTGCAATGTGCCAAGATCAAGCCACCGCACTCCAGCCTGGGTGACAGAGCGAGACTCTATCTCAAAAAATAATAAAATAAACCACAAACATTTTTATATGTATTAATTGAATAAAGGAATTTTGATTTAGATCTTTTTGGTAGTGTCTCATGTATAACTGTGGCCTAACGAGACTAGTTTCATTAGTACAGTACCAGGCACATAGTAGGATATCAAACTGTTCATGAAATGAATCCACCAGCCAATATAAAATTAAACTTCATATTTAAGCCATCTTCCTGAATTTGTGGCCTATTTCTTTCAAGTTGTATCAGTTGCGATTTTAAAAATAGAACTTTCATTCATTTTTTGTTGAGATGGGTATCTCACTATATTGCCCAGGCTGGTCTCGAACTCCTGGGCTCAAGTGATCCTCCCACCTCGGCCTCTCAAAGTGCTGAGATTACAGGCGTAAGCCACTGCATCTAGCCTCAGTTGCAATTTTATACTTTTGTTTAGTTCACTGAATTTTCCTGAAACCTTTTTGACAAATGTTACCAGTAGTTAGTTTATGAACCAATGTATCAGCTGTTCTAAATTAAAAATTAAGATTATCAATTTGCTTAGTTTTTGCTGCACCTGTCCTGTTGGTAGTGCCATTTCTCTCTCTTCGCTACCCCCTTAGCCAGAAAGAACTTCCAGCTCACTAGAACAGATTGCCATCCCTCCCACAAATAAGCAAAGCCTTACACATTTGGCAGTACTGAAAAGGCTCCCTTCAAAAAACTGAGTTAGAAGCTTCCTCCAGAACTCCTATGAGTTGGTGTGCTTATTGCAACAGCCCTTTCATCATTGTCTACATTAAACCCAGTCCTAGTTTGATAGGAAGAAGTGGAGAGAGCCATCCTTTCAGAGACTTTAGCGATGGCTTTATCAAAGCCCTCATTTATTTTAATCAGCATGCAGAGTAGGGCTCATCTGGGTAGTTCGTGCCCAGGTGGTGGGTGAGTAGATTCACCCCTCATTTGGCCACTGCTGCTGTGCCCTGTGTTCTTCAGAAGTCGTTTCTCCACTGAGGCTGCCAGCCTGGAAGCTCTGGCTGAGCACTGGGGACTGAATCTACCTGGAATTAGATGGTTTGCTTAAATCCAATTGTAAATGATAAAGTGCTTTACAAATGTTAGACATTATTATTGGTCTCTATGGGAGGGTGCCACTCTTTAGTCCCTCTATACCTTATCTTGGCAATATAAATCTTTCCATCTTTATATGCGTCTCACAAATAGTTTGTGCTTCATTTTTATGAAGTAAAGAGTGACACCACCTGCTCTGGTTACCTTTATCGGCCTATTCAGCACCCTCTCAGTATTTTTCTGTAAGATATTTTCACTGATAAGAGTTTTTGTGGCTCAAAAAGAAATTTTGACAATATCCCTTCAAATTCCAAAGCTCTTTCAAAAGAGACTAAATCCATCTTTTGTTCCTCCCAAGATGTATATGAAAATTCATTCTTCCCCAAGAGTGTTTTACCTTTGCTACTACTTCATGCATTGCTGTTTGTTCCTGGGGGTGGAGGAAAGAGCGCAGTAAAGTTGTGCATAGTTAATGCCATCAGCACTGCAGATGTACATGCACACACATGAACACACATGACTGTTTTCTTTGCTAGCAGCTCAAAGCAGTAAAGGCTGAGGGGTGCCGTGTTATTCACCTCCAAATAGAGTGATGGACATGTTTTTCATTCCACACTGTAGTAAATCCATCATTAAAATCACCTGAGGACAAATTTTTGCAAGAAGATTACAAATCTGTAATGGCCTTCACAGTTTTTATATACCAAGCAAATTAAGTTATAAAGCAACCTTTTTCAAGTGAATTAAAATGCAACCATACTACCTTATTACATCAATCATATTATGCTGACTTGAGCTTTAATTGAGCCATGTTACCTTATAGTTTACATTTTTTCTAAAGATTTCCTTGTGGCCGGGTGCGGTGGCTCACGCCTGTAATCCCAGCACTTTGGGAGGCCGAGGCAGGCAGATCACAAGGTCAGGGGTCCGAGACCAGTCTGGCCAACATGGTGAAATCCTGTCTCTACTAAAAATACAAAAATTAGCTGGGTGTGGTGGCGGGCACCTGTAGTCCCAGCTGCTCGGGAGACTGAGGCAGGAGAATCACTTGAACCCGGGAGATGGAAGTTGCAGTGAGCTGAGATTGTGCCACTGCACTTCAGCCTGGGTAACAGAGCGAGACTCCGTCTCCAAAAAAAAAAAAATTTACTTGTATTTTAATTTAGGATAGGCACTCCTTTGCTCAAATTAGAGTGGTCTGCTGTACTAGTCAAACATCTACGACTCTGTTGAGTCTATTCAGCCTGTCAAGTGCTAACTGACAGTACTCCTGAATCCCATTTATTGAGAAAGGCACAACTTGTCTATCCAGAATGCTTACTGCCACTTACTGATCCTATTTTTTCTAGTCCAAAAACTATTGAGTGATATATTCCATAAATCAATTTGTGAACATAGCTTAACTTGAGGTCTCTCTGAGACTATAAACAAGGTATGCTTCCCCCCCCAACACCCTCCCCAAGGAAATAGGTTTATTGTTTTATTTAATTATAAAAGCAATACAATAAAAAGAGGGAAATAGTGTAATGCATTATATATGTAAGCTGTTATAAACTTAGCAATTATAAATTTAAGCAGAAAGATTGAAGAAAACAATTTTTTAAATTAAAAATCATCCAGAATCTATCATTTGTACATTATTATTATTTTGTTGTCTCTCCTTTCAGACTTTTTCTCTTGTGTATATAAACACATAGATTGACCTCATTTTTGTTTTTAAAATACCTTTCATACTACTTCTATTTTGTAAATAGCTTTTTTTCCTTAAGAATATGTTACAGACATCTTTGGATAGCAATGCGAGGATTTTTTTGCGGGGGGGGGTCAGTATTTTTGTCTTACCATCCCCTACTCCTCTCAATTTCTGTTTTTTATGATGAGAATTTATTATAGCTCAGGGCATAGTCATCACAATATCCTTTGTGAGGGTATTCATCATCTTGGTTTTTCAGTGTAAAAAATCATTGAATTGTAGTTACCCTTGCCAAAAGATAAAGAATGAAGCAATTATATATTCCCCTGAGATTGCTGAAATTTGTCCTGTAAATTAACCATTTAAGAAATTCATCACAAAGGTTAATTATGTCAGATCTATAATTTTGTTAAGGTTCAGATACACCTGGATACTATCTCTTCCTAACTTGGGTGAGACGGTGGTTATTGAAATGGGAGTGATCAACAATTTGCTTGAGAATAGCAACTAGACATGCACTGTCCATTTACTGTCCTATGCTGCAGCATTCTCCCCAGCAGCCAAAACAAGGGAGGTGGCAGGAGAAGCCAGCTCATGACACTTACATTAGGAGTGGTTGCCACTTCAGGTTCACTGGAAATTGAAGGATAGTGTATGGCTTTGCTGTAGAGTCGTATTTCAACATATGACCCAAACTGAAGAGAAGAGCATTTTTTTTTTATTTGCATGTGTAGGTAAGCAATGCTGCTATTCTCGCAGTCACCAGAAATGCAGAAAGTTATGTCCTGTTTAATTGCTCTCCAGATGGCTAAACTATTTAACATTGATGCTGACTGTTGTATAATCTAAAACAATATTTCAGGATGCAGCAAGTCAGTGTTTCAGAGGTCCCTGATTTTGGTTAAAATGGTCTTTGCATGTGTTCTGGGTTGGGTTTTGTTGTTGAACTAAAACTCACTTTCTTCCAAAATATTTAGGCACACAATTTTAAAAATACCATAATCTTGGTTTCCATACTCTGCTGTTCATCTACGCAAGGCTTGTACTGAATATAGCACGGTAATAGGGCAGTATGGAAGAAGAATAAGTTAACACTCACTGAAACTTATGTTCCAGATTCTCTTCTAAATGCTCTACGTATTTACTGTTTAGAGATACTCACGATATGGCCAACTTAGTACCATTATTTGTTTGATGCAACTTGGCAGTTAAGCCTGATGTCATTCAGAATCCAGTATATATAAATCATTTCCAAGCATTAGAGCCCTTCAAGAATCAGAGCTCAGCAGTGTTGCCTTTAATTGACTCAAGTAGGACTTTGCCAGTTGATGGGGTGCTCTACCAGTCATAATGGTTTTGAAAAATGGAAAGTGTTTTATTATAATTCTAGGTATTGAAACCAAAGGGGATTTGGTACAAAAAGTTTCACAAAGAAATTAGCCAGTAGAATTCAGATAGAGGGAAAGGTTCATGTGAAGACAACAGATAAAAATGAATTACATGAGCAAAGATGTTCCATCAAAATTTGCAGAAAAGGAGTTTTCAAGTTTACATGCCTAATTATAAATAATAAGACTTGCATTTGTAAAAGCTTAGAATTATAGGGCTGGAAGAGGCCTTAAGGAATCATCTTTTCCAATTCCCTTTATTGCAATTCATTGCATTGAGTTGAAGAAAATCAAAGCTCAGAAAAATTGATTTGCCCAAATCTCACAATCAAATTATTAGTAGACCTTGGAATAGAATCTAGATTCTGTGGCTGCTAGTATTCTGCTTTTTTTTTTTTTTTTTTTTTAACAGTTCCCTAATCTGTTGAGCTTCCAAGGGTAACTCACATTGAGGCTCTTTGAACCTTCTTTTTTTTTTTTTTCTTCCCCTAGTAGAAAGTGTTTGCTTGCCCCATGGGCCTGAGAAACAAAAGTCCTGGAATCTTTCTCAAGGTTGCACTTATCTATAGCAACAGGACTTCAGCTCTCAGCCCCAAGAGGTCTGGCTTTTAGGCCTCTGGATTCTCCTTTGGCTGCCATTATTCCTGCCAGCACTTTGAGTTGCCTGAACATGTCACTCCTCAAGAATCTGAGGGGGGAATATGTTATTAACCAAGTGTTTTCTTAAATGTAAGTATAGCAGTATCTAAACAGGTGAATGTCTGGGGTAATATGCAAAAAAAAGTCAGATTATTAAATGAGCTTACTAAATTGTGAGTGGCTGCTAGCCTTGTGGTCTCTCTAGAAATATTTGCAGTTTTAAGGAAGGGTGATACTTAAACACATCTTTCTTTTTTTTTTTGAGATGGAGTTTCGCTCTTGTCGCCCAAACTGGAGTGCAGTGGCGCTGCGATCTTGGCTCACTGCAAACTCCACCTCCTGGGTTCAAGCAATTCTCCTGCCTCAGCCTCCGGAGTAATTGGGATTACAGGCATGCCCCACCATGCCCAGCTAATTTTTGTCTTTTTTTTTTTTTTTTTTTTTTAGTAGAGACAGGGTTTCACCATGTTGGCCAGGCTGGTCTCGAACTCCTGACCTCAGGTGATCCACCCACCTCTGCCTCCCAAACTGCTGGTATTACAGGCGTGAGCCACTGCACCCGACCAAACACATCTTTCTTTGGTATAATTTTAAAAATAAACATTTCAGGCAATGTAAAGAGATTGATATGTGCACTGGGTAAGTCACCCTTATCTGGAACAGTTTCAACTTCTTAGGCTACTCTTGCTTTTTATAATCTCTTTCCTTCCTCGACTTGTTAACTCAAAGAAATCTAAAGCTTTTTCCTTAATGGGTTGTCATTGGCTATGGAGGTGGAGGTGTGTTCTGTTCAAGTAAGTATAGCCATTTGTAAGTACAGGTCATTTATAAATTATGAACTTGTAAGGACAGGTTTACGCAATGAGAAAAAGAGTCAGAGAACAAAATGTTCTTGTTGCTTCTGCCTGGTCTGGAATTTCAGGGAAGTAAAGGAACACTCTGGTTATCCAGAGCCAGATCCACTGTTAAAAGTTCATGCCATCATTTTGACATTTAGCGTCAGACTTTCTCTTTGTAAATCCCTCTTCACGTTACCAATGCTGGTCTCAGAGCTCAAACTGTTTCAAAACCATAACATTTCTTAGTGAGTGATTGATCTGTATTATGTGTCCAGCCATCAGGGGGATCTTGGGATGTTGCTTGTGTAAACTGTAATCCAATCTGATGCTGTGCGTTTAGTTACAGTCTTTCATAGACCTATTGGCGATACTCAGTCCTCCTGGATTTAGGAATAGGGCTTATCTGATACCTTCAGGGGGAAAAAAATCCATTCATTTTTCTCTCTTCCCCACTTAAATAACTCAACTCATGTGGTAACACTGTAGGATCATTGTCCTTCCAGTTCCTCTGCAGCTCATATTGCTACAATATTTCTTAAGTATTTGGTTACCTGAAGGACAATGTGATTTAAAAAAAATAAAAAAGACTTTGTATATGTCTTACAAATTAAACCATCCTTAAAGAGCTAGGAAAAAAATATGCCTTTAATCAGCAAAAATTTCATATCAGCAGTTCTGTGTATGTTATGTAGTATAAACGTAAATATATAAATTTGGAGATAAGTGCTCATGTGTTAAAATGTTAAAGCAAATCTTTCTACAAATTAATGTCATTTGCCTCTAAGAAAATGTTTATTAAACCCAGGGTACCTGAGATTGAAGTATCTTGTTGTTTGGGTCTGTATTCTTTGGCTTAATAATGTCTTCAATTACAAGAATGATAAAAGCTGAAACAAAATCCTTTAATTCAATCAGAATGGAGCTGAATTTTCGGAAGCAAAGAGTGGAAATCTGATACAGGACTGCATAACATAGGAAGTTAAATATACAAGATATTAAGACTTGTAAGAAGCGGATGGGGTTGCCTTGAGGAATTCTTATTTGAAATGGCTACATTGAACATTATCATAAATACCACTATTTTATCCTCTCAAATTAAGATGCTTTATGCAAACTACTCTAAATTGTACAGTAGTTCCAAAGAGACCATTTACTGTTTTCTGCTTGTTTTA
This sequence comes from Homo sapiens, assembly GCF_000001405.40. Classification (NCBI taxonomy): domain Eukaryota; kingdom Metazoa; phylum Chordata; class Mammalia; order Primates; family Hominidae; genus Homo; species Homo sapiens. Next base: position 107,246,273 of record NC_000006.12, on the reverse strand, counting down.
CATCCTGGAACAAGTTCAAAGCTTTTGATCTCACTTGATTTAACAAAAAAAAAAAGTCTCAGCCTTGAAAAATAATACAGGTTTGATGAATATGATTTCAGTATTACAGTTCTGTAAAAATTTTCAGTGTTTATGGTACATTTGACCCAGGGACCCCACAGTAAATATATCCACAGTGCATTTTAAGTGTAACAGAATGAACATATTTGAAAGATTATCCATTCTTTTGCTTTTGCTTTTTTTTCTGTAATAAGTATGAAAATTAACATTGTAATTGCTCCCAGAATGGGAGTACTGAAAAAGTATCCACCTGACAGAAATAAACATGCAGAAAATAAATTGAGTTAAGATTTCATTAGTTATCTGAAATGTAAGTTTATGTTCAAAATGGCTATTACTCGATTTTCATGTATATTAGTTAAATGCTATGCTTATAAGATTTTTTTTGGCTTGAATTATGACTGAAAAAATTTGGATCACAGCTTTAATATCCAGGTGGGCAATGCCATTTGCTGAGATCTTGGTGCATAGTCCCATTTTTTCTGTCAAGCACAGAAAAATTCTGCCTTGCCACTGAGCCTTCTGAAACATTCTGAGGTAACAATAGAGATATATTTAAATTTTTTTATTTTTATTTTTCTTCTTGCTTTTTAGGTTGTGGAACTTTTAGCAAGTGCTCTTATGGACTTGGTACAAGGAGTATATCATGAAAATTCTACTTCAAAGGTAAAGGATTTCAGAGTCATAAAATGTTATGTTATAAACCGTCGTGGTACAACTAGAATAACGAAAATGTCATTCTTGTTTTGTGTTTAAATTGTACATGGCTTTTTTTTTTTTTTTTTTTTTTTTTTTGATTAGTGTTTTGGCTACAAATTCATGGCCATACGCTTACTACATAGCAGATTTAGCCAATTAAAACAACCTCTTATCCTCTGGCTGGATTCACAGTCTGTTCAATCTGCAGCAGCTCAGTAGACACTGGGATGCTTCTGGCTAGCAGGTAGCAGTGTCACAGGCAGGCAGGCTGGAGGAGCAGCTCGTGCTGAGGCAGCTGAGCCCATCCTTTCCCCAGAGGAAGGGTCCTTCCGTGTCACAGAGGAGTGGACCTTGAGCCTAAGAAGATGACTGTTGGGGAGGTGGGATGGGGGTATCTTTTATATACAAGATGCATAATTTACTGCATTATTAGATTCTTTATTATAAGAAGTGGGATGATTGCACAGTTGGATTATTTTGATTAATTTTATAGGTCTAGAATTAAGATTTTTTTGACTCATTTAGCAGGACATCTCAAGAAAGGTTAGGTTTCATTTCCTTAAAATGCAGTTATTTCATTTCGGTAGGATGTTAGATGTGAAGTAATTGCTTCATTGACCATCACCATCATTTAACATGGTAGATACTATTATAAGGGGCTCCTATCTTAGTGTTTCATTATTCTAACTTCTTTAGCTTCTGTATTAGCAAGATTTCACTCACTTCAAATTAGAAAAGGTATGCACATATGCACATCTTAAGCTTTTTGACATTTTCATTTGAAAAAAGGAAGATAAATTTTATTAGAAGTGAAACATAGGGCATGAGTAACTTGGATAAGAAATTTAAAATTTAAAAGTATAACCCAGGGACTCTGGGTGGTTCAGAGACTGGTTAGAATATGAAGAATTGCACTTTGGACATCTGCCAACGTTTGGTTCAAGTAACCACAGTTCCTAGTAGGCACATCTGGCCTCACCTAAGCAGCATATTGGTATGCAGAGACCTCACAGGATGGATGACCACAGTGGACCTTTCAAAGACATGCAAGTTCACTACTATGGATGGAGGTTAATATCTGATTGTAAAATGGGTGACTACTGGTCTAGTTCCACTTGTAAAAAGTTACGTTGTATAGATAGTATGATGAAGATGACAACAGCTAAGCAAATAACCCTGTAGTAAGTGATTTGCCTGTGTTTCTTCATTTAATCCTCACAGAAATCCTGAGAGATAGGTACTACTGCTATCCCCATTTTACAGATGTGAACACTGGGGTTGAGAAAAGGTTAAGTAATTTTCCCAAGGTCACACAACTTGTTAGCTCTCAGGGATTTGAAGTCAAGAGCCCAGACTCTTTTTTTGTTTTGTTTTGTTTGTTTTTTTGAGATGGAGTTTCGCTCTTGTTGCCCAGGCTGGAGTGCAATGGCACGATCTCGGCTCACCACAACCTCAGCCTCCTGGGTTCAAGCGATTATCCTGCCTCGGCCTCCCAAGTAGCTGGGATTACAGGCATGCACCACCACACCTGGCTAATTTTGTATTTTTAGTAGAGACAGGGTTTCTCCATGTTGGTCAGGCTGGTCTTGACCTCCTGACCTCAGGTGATCTGCCCACCTCAGCCTCCCAAAGTGCTGGGATTACAGGTGTGAGCCACCATGCCCAGCCCAGGATGGGGGCATGGCAGACCACAGTGGTCTTGGAAAATGCAACAGTTAGGCACAAAAGCAGGAGTGCCTGTCCTCACCTAGGTCTGTAGGAGTGGAGCCCCAGCCAGGACCTGCCTTTCTCTACCCAGCACTTCCCCGTACCCGCTCCCATATCTTCTGTACTTTAGTGAAACCTGATTTGATAGCATCTGTCTGCCATACCTGAGATCCCACTCTATGATAATTATAGTGACCAGTTCTGGCTGTTGAGACACTGTTTTCCCTTGGGATATTTCCAGAGTGTTCAACTTAGTTCCATATAAGATATCTATATTTCACAATTAAATATGTTAATTTTTACATGAAAGCATTATTGTTGGTTTTAAGGTTCTTAATTTATCTACTCTTACCATTTGTCCACTATAATAAGCTCAGTTCATTAATAATTGTGTGACCATGTTTTAAGTATTTTTTATGTCAGGGAAACCTGACAGCTACGACAGTTAATACTTAGATAGCCCTTTACAGTTTGCTTATACTTTCTTTGTACACAATCACCTATGAAAAGGGTGACATTTGTTGGTATTCCCATTTATAGAGGAAAAGCCTGAAATTCAAACATAACAAATGGCAGGAAAGCATAGTGTCTGAAAATTATTTGTTAATATATTAACATGTTTCACAGTTCATAATGAACCCAGGTTTTTCTTGACTCTCAGTCCCATGCTTTTTCTAATATTTTTAATGTGTTTCTTCCTGAAAAAGAGAAAAGAAGAAGCAACAAAGTCTTTGAAGGGCTGTTGATTGTACTTGAACCACCACTTAGCAAGCACCAATTGCTGACTTTATTTAAATACAGAGATTCAGAGGAATGCTAACCTTCATTAGCTACATTTTATTAAAGAGACTTTATAGCACTGCTTCATTCATCTGTCCTCTTTCCCTGCCACCTCCTCATAGCCCTTTTTTAAGCAGTTAAATTTCTGAAAATAGCCAAACCATTTAAAGGGCCATTCTTTTTTAATAATGGAAACAGAATGGTGTGGTGGCTCAAGCCTATAATCCCAGCACTTTAGGAGGCCGAGGTAGGAGGATCTCTTGGGGCCAGGAGTTCAAGACCAGCCTGGACAACATGGGAAGACCCCATCTTTACAAAAAATAAAATAACTGGGCATGGTAGCCCATGCCTGCTCAGGATGCTGAGGCGAGGCAGGAGGATCACTGGAACCCAGGAGTTTGACGTTACAATAAGCTGTGATCACACCACTGTACTCCAGCCTGGGTGACAGCAAGACCTTGTCTCTTAAAAAATAATAATTTTTGGCCAGGCGTGGTGGCTCACGCCTGTAATCCTAGCACTTTGGGAGGCCAAGGCAGGCGGATCACGAGGTCGGGAGATCGAGACCATCTCATCTCTACTAAAAATATAAAAAAATTAGGCGGGCACAGTGGCGGGCGCCTGTGGTCCCAGCTACTCAGGAGGCTGAGGCAGGAGAATGGCGTGAACCCAGGAGGCGGAGCTTGCAGTGAGCCAAGATCGCGCCACTGCACTCCAGCCTGGGCGACAGAGCAAGACTCCGTCTCAAAATAATAATAATAATAATAATTTTTTCAAAAAGAATGGAAACAAAAATGCATAGTTGAACTGTAGTAGTGGGAGTGCTTCTTGATGCCTCCATTTGTGCCTCAGGTCCAATTTAGGTTAACCACATTTCCCTTCCTAACCAGAAAAATTCTGGCTTTTTTTCCTGAGTGTGCTTACCATTGCAATGGCTCTTCAGAATTTGTTTTTTCTAACAGCGCAAGAAGTACTTCAGATGCCAGAGAGAGCACTGCCCCCACATGGAGTGCTTTCAAGGTTTTCATGTTCTGGCAGGACTGGGAAGCAGCCACAAGTGGAGGTCATGTGGGAAGAGAGGCTCCTCTGTGGATCTCTGTTGCACAACCTCCGTAGCCTTGGGCCAATTTAGTACACAAAAGAATTTTTTTGTGATTTAAAAGAAGCTGCAAACCATTTCATCTTTCTAGGGGTAAGAGGATACAATAGCAGTCTGTTTTCTATATGGCAGCTTAATGCAGTGGTGAAGATCCTGGGTAGTAGGAAAATAGCTTTCTGTTAAATAGCATATATGTGACTAAGGTAGATGCATAGCAAAAAATGCAAGGGAATTGGAACTGGATACATTAGAAGTCACCTTCTCCAAAAGAAGTTTGTAGAGCAGCCGGGTGCGGTGGCTTACGCCTGTAATCCCAGCACTTCGGGAGGTTGAGGCGGGCAGATCACGAGGTCAGGAGATCGAGGCCGTCCTGGCTAACACGGTGAAACCCTGTCTCTACTAAAAATACAAAAAATTAGCTGGGCGTGGTGGTGGGCGCCTGTAGTCCCAGCTACTCGGGAGGCTGAGGCAGAAGAATGGTGTGAACCCGGGAGGCAGAGCTTGCAGTGAGCCGATATCTCGCCACTGCACTCCAGCCTGGGGACAGAGCGAGGCTCCGTCTCAAAAAAAAAAAAAAAAAAAAAGAAGAAGAAGAGGTTTGTAGAGCAATTACCTAATTCTCCTTAAAGCTGTGAAAATGTACATGACTTATATTACTAATACTTTTTTTTTTTTTTTTTTTTACCGAGTCTCGCTCTGTTGCCCAGGCTAGAGTGCAGTGGCGCGATCTCAGCTCACTGTAACCTCTGCCTACCCGGTTCAAACGATTCCTGTGCCTCAGCCTTGCAAGTAGTTGGGACTACAGGCACACACCACCACGTCTCACTAATTTTTGTATTTTCAGTAGAGACGAGGTTTTGCCATGTTGGCCAGGCTGGTCTTGAACTCCTGGCCTCAAGCGACCCATCCTCCTCAGCCTCCCAAAGTGCTATTACTTACTCATACTTACTGTACTAAGTAAGTTGAATTACAGCTATATAAACATACAAAATAGCTTAGGAAATTCATCCTTTGTTCTATCCATTGAAATATATTTTCATTTTTGCATTGGCTAGTTTGTGAACCATTTGCTCATTATAATAAAAATTAGCCATTCTGCTTTCTTTAGTGTTTATAAGAAAATATCTCCCCTCTCTGCTTTTTAAATGTTAGCTCATTGAAGAAAGAAGCATTTGAAATAGAAAAATTGCTTTTTTTTTTTTAAATTTTTATTTTTTACAGGTAGGGTCTCAGCCAGGTGCGGTGGCTCACGCCTGTAATCCCAGCACTTTGGGAGGTGGAGGCAGGCTGATCACCTGAGGTCAGGAGTTTGAGACCAGGCTGGCCAACATGGCGAAACTCCATCTGTACTAAAAATACAAAAAAAGCTGGGCTTGGTGGTGCGCGCCTGTAATCCCAGCTACTCGGGAGGCCGAGGCAGGAGGATCGCTTGAACCTGGGAGGTGGAGTTTGCAGTGAGCTGAGATTGAGCCACTGCACTCCAGCCTGGACAGAGTGAGACTGCAGTTTCAAAAAAAAAAAAAAAAAAAAGGTAGGGTCTCACTCTATCATCCAGACTGGAGGGCAGTGGTGTCATCCTAGCTCACTGAAACCTTGAACTCCTGGGCTCAAGCAGTCCTTGCCTTCCGAATAGCTGGGACCACAGTAGCCTACCACCACACCTGTCTAATTTTTTAAAACTTTTGTAGAGACAAGGTCTCACCATACTGCCCAAATTAGTCTTGAACTCCTGGCTTCAAGCTACCCTCCCTCCTCAGCCTCCCAAAGTGTTGGGATTACAGATATAAGCCACCATGCTCAGCTGGAAAATTGCATTTTAAATGGTCAAGAGTTCCCCAGTTAAGCTGTTTTATATATTACGCTCATGTTACTTACTGTACTCACTAAATATTTTACATTTTTACAAAATTGACTTTGGATTCACAGACCTGTATATCTAAATTCTAATTGTCTTATCATTTTAACTTATTTTCTGATTAGAAAAATAGGCCAGGCACGGTGGCTCACGCCTGTAATCCCAACACTTTGGGAGGCTGAGGTGGGCAGATCACTTGAGGTTAGGAGTTCGAGACCAGCCTGGCCAACATGGTGAAACCGTGTCTCTGCTAAAAATACAAAAATTAGCTGGGCATAGTGGCGCACACCTGTAATCCCAGCTACTTGGGAGGCTGAGGCAGGAGAATCGCTTGAACCTGGAAGGCGGAGGTTGCAGTGAGCCGAAATCATACCACTGCACTCCAGCCTGGGCAACAGAGCGAGACTCTGTCTCAAAAAAAAAAAAAAAAAAAAAAAAAGGTAGAGTACATGTTTATTAAATAATAATTGAAAACAGAAAAAGGTCAAGAGGAAAATAAAAATTATTTTATAAAACCATTCCCCAGAAATGAATCATGATTATGTTTTAGTATATTTCTTTCTAGATTTTATTCTGTATTTCTCCCAATTTTGAGTTGTTACTGTATATAACACTTTGCATATTGATTTACTTCCCAGCATAATCATTTTTGTCATTAAAAGTCTTCAAAAATATAATTTTAATGATTGTTTAATATTTCTTCACATTGTTATACTGTAATTTACTGAACAATTTCACATTTTGGGGGCATTTACTTTGTTTCCAATTTTGTTTTTGTTTGGTTTTTGGTTTTTTTTGAGACGGAGTCTCTCTCTGTCATCCAGGCTGGAGTGCAGTGGCACAATCTCAGCTCACTGCAACTTTTGCCTCCTGGATTCAAGAGATTCTCCTGCCTCAGCCTCCCAAGTAGCTGGGATTACAGGTGTGTACCACCATGCCCGGCTAATTTTTGTATTTTTAGTAGAGATGGGGTTTCACCATGTTGGCCAGGCTGGTCTCGAACCCCTAACCTCAAGTGATCCTCCCACCTCAGCCTCCCAAGTGCTGGGATTACAGGCGTGAGCCACAGTGCCTGGCCTGTTTCCAGTTTTCTTTACTAAATTAAACAATATTGTGATAACATCTTACTGTATATAACTTTGCTCAATTTCATACTATTTGCTTAAAAAAAAAAATCCTGAAAGTGAGATTCTTAAATCAAGAAGAGTATTTTCAGTATACCTCTGTGCAGAAAAGGATTACTGTCCTGAGAAAAACCTGCTTATAAGGTTGATCCTTGGCTAGCATCGGAGAAGCTGGATTTTAGGAGTGTTCCTACCATCCTCCAAATGATAAGAATGGCTCGCAGTGCCTAAACTGTTTACAGACAATATGGTTTATACTGAATACCTGCTTTCCTTATAGGAGTCTGGAATTTTGCTACATGCTAGGCAGAAAATGCCTACATGACCAGCCCTAATAAAAACCCTCACCACTAAGTCAGTCTCCAGTAAATCTCCGTGGTAGACAATGTTTCATACATGTTATCACAGCTCATTCTTGGAGGAATTAAGCACACTCTGCGTGACTCCACTGAGAGGGGATTCTTAGAAGTTTACACCTGGTTTCTTCCAGACTTCACCCTATGGGGCTGTCTCTTTTTAGTGGTTTTGCATTGTATCCTTTCACTGTAAAAAAGTCATTACGATGAATTTGACTATATGCTGAGTAACATCTGTCATCCTAACAAATCATCAAACCTGGGGGTGATTTGGAGATCCCGAACACACTCATTTTCTGATTTTTTATTGTTTATTTTCCACCCACTCCTGATCCTTCCTGGGGAATTTAATCAAGGTCCTCTGCAAAGGCAGTGTCTCTGACTCATGTTGGTGTTGAGATGGGGAACAAGACACCTCTTTCCTGTCTCCAGAGGTTCAGCTCTTATTGGCTTGGCCTCAGTCTCAGGAAAGTGAGAGGGTTTTAAAAGAGAATCCAGTTCTCTTGGGAAAGAACTGGTTTTAGCAAGTGACTTAAGTTGCAAAGATCCCATCTATTTTTTTCAAGCACGGATTATATTAATACTTTCAGTATCAGTCAGTGGATTATAATGATGAATATCATTATGTTTTTGTGGGGCAAGATAACTTCTGTCCTTCTGTCCATTTATTTTCTTTTCTTTTTTTTTTTTTTTTTTCAGAGACGGAGTCTTGCTCTGTAGCCCAGGCTGGAGTACAGTGGTGCGATCTTGGCTCAATGCAACCTCCACCTCCCGGCTTCAAGCGATTCACCTGCCGCAGCTTCCCAAGTAGCTGGAACTACAGGCATGCACCACAGCGCCTTGTATTTTTTTTATTAGAGGTGGGGTTTTAGTGTATGTTGGCCAGGCTGGTCTCAAACTCCTGACCTCAGGTGACCTGCCCGCCTCGACCTCCCAAAGTGCTGGGATTACAAGTGTAAGCCACTGTGCCTGGCCCATTTGTTTTTCTTTATGCTTATGTTCCTTTCGCTCTCAGGCAGCTTTCAAGTAAAGTATAAAAATAAGAGGCCAGGGCCAGGTACGGTGACTCATGCCTGTAATCCCAGCACTTTGGGAGGCCAAGGCAGGAGGATCACCTGAGGTCAGGAGTTCGAAACCATCCTGACCAACATGGTGAAACCCCGTCTCTACTAAAAATACAAAATTAGCTGGGTGTGGGGGTGGGTGCCTGTAATCCCAGTTACTTGGGAGGCTGAGGCAGGAGAATCGCTTGTACCTGGGAGATGGAGGTTGCACTGAGCCAAGATCATGCCATTGCACTCCAGTCTGGACAACAAAAGCAAAACTCCATCTCATAAATAAATAAATAAATAAATAAAAGAGGCCAGGAGTGATGGCTGATATCTGTAATCCTAGCAATTTGGGAGACCAAGGCAGGGCAATCACTTGAGCCAAGGAGTTTGAGACCAGCTTACGCAACATGGCAAGAACCCATCTCTACAAAAATTAAAACATTAACCAGACATGGTGGTATGCCTGTAGTCCCAACTACTTGGGAGGCTGTAAGGCAGAAGGATTGCTTAAGCCCAGGAGGTTGAGGCTGCAGTGAGTATATGCCACTATACTTCAGCCTGGGTAACAGAACGAGACCCTGTCTCAAAAAAAAAAAAAAGATAATTCAGTCCACTAGGAAGTTAAGGACTGTCTTCTACCTGCAAAGCCCTGTGCTGCCATCTAAAACATAGTAAAAAGAGCCAAATGATTTTTTTCCCATTAAGAAAAATAACAGGAGGGTAATGTGAACAAGAACTCACATCTAGTTGGGGAAATCAGAAAAGGCATCAAAAAGAATGTTACATTTGAGATGGACATTAAAGATTGGGAAGATGTCTATAGATGGAGATGTATGGCATTCCAAGTAGAGGAAATAGCATGATGAATGGAAAGAAAGCATATTTGAGATCAGGGCTTCCTTCACATAGAAGTAAAGGAACAGTGAAAAGTAATATTGCAAAAGTAGGTGTTTATAACGCATGGTAGAAGATCTGTAATGCCAGAATGTATTATTTTCCTTCTTCCTAAAAGATTTCTTTTAACCTTGCTTATAAGACAGGTCTGCTAGTAATGAACTCTTTTTTTTTTTTTTTGAGACAGAGTCTCGCCCTGTTGCCCAGGCTGGAGTCCAATGGCACAATCTCAGCTCACGGCAACCTCCACCTCCCAGGTTCAAACAATTCTCCTGCCTCAGCCTCCTGAGTAGCTGGGATTTCAGGTGTCAGCCACTGCGTCCAGCCAGTAATGAACTCTTTTAGCTTTTGTGTGTCTGAAATATATGTTCACTGGATATAGAGTTCTAGGTTGACAATTTAGTTTTCCTTCCATATTTTTAAAGATGTTGCTTCATTGTCTTCTTGCTTTTATTATTTTCAACAGGAAAGCTACTGCCATCTTTATCTTTGTTCCTGTAGTCATAAATAGATTATCATGTGCTTTCATGTTCTTTTTTTCATGTTTCTTTTGCTTGGGATTCACTGGGCTTCTTGGTTCTGTGAGTTGGTTTTCATAAAACGGGGAAAAGATTATTATTTCTTCAATTTTTTTTTCTGACTTTCCTTTTATCCTCTTTTATAGGGACCTCAATTACATAGTAGGCTGCTTTAACTTGTCCCAGAGTCACTGATTCTTCTTCTTTTTTAGTATTTGTGATTCATTTTGGATCATTTCAGTTGGTGTGCATTCAAGCAGACCAGTTTACATGTTCTGTGTTTCTACTTAATATGCTCAGTGTTTCTTCTAGCTCCTTGGCCATATGGAATATAGTTATGAAAACTGTTTTAATATCCCTGTCTACTAATTATATCATCTGTGTCATTTCCTGGGTTGGTTTCAATTGACTGATTTTTTTCTCCCTCATTATGGGTTGTATTTCCCTATTTTTTTGCAACTTGGTTATTTTTGGTTGGGTGCCAGACATTGTGAAATTTATTTTGTTGGATGCTAGATAGTTTTGTATCACTATAAATATTCTTGAACTTTCTTCTTGAATGTAGTTAAGTTACTGAAAACAGTTTGATTCTTTCAGGTGTCACTTTTAAGCTTTATTAGGCAGGACTGGAATAGCATTTAGTCTAAGGCCAATTTTTTTCACTATTAAAGCGAGACCTTTCTGAGTTCTTTACTGATGCCCTATGAATTTTGAAATTTTTTACTCTGACTTGTGGAACAGGAATTATTCCCAGCCCTGTGTGATCTCTAGGGATTGTTTCTGCTGTTCCTTCTGGGTGATTCTTTCCCTGGACTTTAGTAGTTTCTTTGTACCTATGCATTGGCAATACTCAGCCGAAGACTTTAGGGAGGATCTGTGTTTACCTTCAGAGCTCTCTCTGCAGCTCTCTCTTCTTGTGTACTCTGCCCTATGAACCCTAGCCCCTAATTAACCCCTTCGGCTTCTCTAGACATCCAGGTTCACCTTTTCAACTCAAAGGTAGTTTCCTCTGCATCCTGGCATTCTCTCCAGGCAGAAGCTAGAACAATTATGAAACTCATCTCATTTATTTCCCATTTCTTGGGTGTCACTGTCTTTTGTTGCCTGATTTCAAATGGCTTATAACTTTTGTTTCATATATTTTCTTCAGTTTTTAGCTCTTTCAAGCAAGAAAGAAAACCTCACCTCTTTTGCTCCATCTTGGCTGGAAGTGCTGATTTTCAGGACTTTTAAAAATTTATGTTATAATGACTTTTATAAAAATAACAAATAAAACATTTCCCTCCTATAAATTTTATGGTGCTATTGCATTGCTGGTACCCTAAGTGCATGTTTAGTGTGTCTATTGGGTACATTGGCCATGGGAATAAGAAATCAAAAATGACACCAATGTTTTGCATCTAATTGACCAGAAAACATGATTATATAGTTGCCAGCCAAAGACTGGTTTTAGAGAGAAGCAGATAAGTTTAGTTGAGGTTGAATTAATGTTGAGGTGCTGGCAGACTCTCCAGATGAAAGAGTAAAGAGCTCCAGAAAGATGATTTGGGAATTCATCTTTGTAGACTGATAGGCAAATATTTTTAGGTAGACAAAAAAAAAAAAATCTAGTAAGATAAAAATAGAGCCAGGCGTGGTGGCTTACACCTGTAATCCCAGCACTTTGGGAGGCAGAGGTGGGTGGATCACCTAAGGTCAGGAGTTTGAGACCAGCCTGGCCAACATGGTGAAACGCCGTCGCTACTAAAAATACAAAATTAGCCGGGCATAGTGGCACGCGCCTATAGTCCCAGCTACCCGGGAGGCTGAGGCAGGAGAATCGCTGGAACCTAGGAGGTAGAGGTTGCAGTGAGCCGAGATGGCACCATTGCACTCCAGCCTGGGCAACAAAGTGAGACTCCGTCTCAAAGAAAAAAAGAAAAAAAAAAAGATAAAAATAGAATGGAGAATTGGAGAATATGGAAAGGAAGTTGGAGTGATTATCTACCAGGCTTTACTGTAATTGGACTTTGAATTTGACACAGTTTCTTCCCAAGTAACACCAAAAGAGAAAATATATTATGTTCTGAGTTTTTCATTATATAATTACTAATGATACAGATAACTTATTTTTATTTTTATGTTTTTTAGAGACAGAATCTCCCTATGTTGCCCAGGCTGGTCTTGGGCTCCTAGCCTCAAGCAATCCTCTTGCCTCAGCCTCCCAAGTAGCTGGGACTACAGGCATGTGCCACTACACTAGGCTCTGGAAATTCTAGATTAATTGTTTCTCATTGGAGTCTTTATTTTTTTTTTTACATTTATATTTATTAATTCAGAGACAGGGTCTCACTCTGTCACCCAGGCTAGAGTGCAGTGATGCAATCATAGCTCACTACAGCCTCAGACTCCTGGGCTTAAGGGATCCTCCCACCTCAGTCTCCCAAGAAGCTAGGACTACAGTTGTACACCACCACGCCTGCCTAATTTTTTTTAATTTTTGTAAAGGCAAGGTCTCCCTTCGTTGCCCGGGCTGGTCTGGAACTCCTGGCCTCAGGTGATCCTCCCATCTCAGCCTCCCAAAGCACTGAGATTACAGGTATGAGCCACCACTCCTGGCCTCTCACTGGATTCTAATTAAATTGTTTGTTATCATGAATCCTATAGTACCCATAGAGCTATATTAGGCAGTTTTGGTAAAGTGTATATTAGTAATCTTGTATTGAATTTCTGCTGTGTGAAGAGTAGCATATTGAGTACTCCTGGAACATTCAAAACAAAGCAATAAAGAACACAGGCCAGCCCTCAAGAATCTGATGATGCTTACAGGTCATAGGAAATACATGCACATGAAGCCACAGGAGAGCAATTTTCCCATAAGACCACATGTAAAATTGTAAGGAACAGACTATATATGTAGGAGAAAGTGCAGCATTAAGAATTCAAAATGTTTCAGAGGGAGCTTCTTGGAAGATGTAATTTTAAAGCTGAGTCCTTAGAAGATACAGTAGAAATGAATCAATAGAAACTATTGGACCCAGCGCAGTGGCTCACATCTGTAATCCCAGCACTTTAGGAGGCCAAGGCAGGAAGATTGCTTGAGCCCAGGAGTTTGAGACCAGTCTGGGCAACATGTTGAGACTCTGTCTGAACAAAGAAAATTTTTAATTAGCTAGATATGGTGGTACATGCCTGTGGCTCCTTGGGAGGCTGAGCCCAGGGGGTCGATGCTGCAGTGAATAGAGATCGCGCCACTGCACTCCAGCCTGGGTGACAGAGCAAGACCCTGTCTCAAAAAAAAAAAAGAAAGAAAGAAACTATTGAAGTTTGTTGGGATCAGGAAATAGTCATTGAGCATTAGCTGGGAAGTCAGATTTGTTTATTCATTTAATGTGTCTTTTGAGCATCTGCTGTGTGGCAGGCACTGGAAATACAAGTGCTCAGTGAATGAGACATCTTTGCCCCCATGGAGCTCACATCTCAGTGGAGAGGCCAACTATAAACAAGAAATCACATGAATAGATGAACAAGAGAAATAACTGGAAGCAATAACTGTATAGGAGAGAACTAAATAGGGAGAAATGATAGTGAAGGATTGAAGGAGTTACTTTAGATTGGATGTTCATGGAAGGCCTGTTTTAGGAAATAACATTTAAGTTGAGATCTGAATGACAAAAAGCAGCTAACTATGTTGGGGGGAAAAAACATTCCAGGAAGAGGAAGCAACTCCAGCAAAGGCCTGAGGAAGGAATTGCCTTAATCTGTCCAAGGAATAGAAAGAAGGCCCACCCAGATGGAGCATGGTGGGTGAATAGAAGAGTTTCTGGGGAGGCCAAGGTAGGAGAATCACTTGAGCCAGGAGTTCGAGGCTGCAGTAGTTCAATTTCAGAGGGGCAGACAGGTGTTATGAAAATATATGTAGTATAAACATGAAGGTGCTTTGGACACAGGTTCAAGTAAATCTAACTAAGGAAAGGAATCTATCATTCTGTTTTAGTTATTACTCTGTTTTAGTTATTACTCTAGGACTGCTCACTCAACAGATGTTGAGTACCTATTACGTGCTAGCAACTGTGCTAGACAAATCAGGTACCCGTGTCTTGAGAGCTGAGATAGAGACAAAGGTACAATAGGAGCTGGAGCTGGGGCTTTACTAGGGAAGGGTGATAATTTTTTTTTTTTTTTTTTGAGACAGAGTTTCACTCTTGTTGCCCAGGCTGGAGTGCAATGGCACCATCTCGGCTCACTGCAACCTCCACCTCCCGGGTTCAAGCGATGCTCATACCTCAGCCTCCTGAATAGCTGGGATTACAGGTGCGCACCACCACACCCAGCTAATTTGTGTATTTTTAGTAGAGATGGGGTTTCACCATGTTGGTCAGCCTGGTCTGTAACTCCTGACCTCAGCTGATCCATCCACCTCTGCCTCCCAAAGTGCTGCGCCCAGCCAGGTGATAATTTTTGAAGGGAGAAATAACTCAGTGGATAGATCTTGAACATTTGTATTGAGGAATTTGGATTTAAAATAGTAAGCAGTAGCAAATAACCATAGGGTCTTATACAGTAAGATCTTTGATAAAGATTATGTAGAAGCTGTGAATAGGATAAATTGGAAGCCAAAGAAATTAGAAGCAGAGAGACCAGCTGGAGGAGCGTTGAAATAAAAACAGGTGTGAAGCAACAGACGAGATTGTTGGCAGTGGAAACAAGTGTAGGGCAAGGGCGCAGGAGTTCAGCAGGTATCCTACCTTTCAATTTATTAAGTCATTTACAACTGATGTCTCCTGTTTTATTACTCTCTTACTGTGTATTTTGTGGAACTAAGTCAACATCTACCATCTTTTAACCTGTTCTTTGCATATCACAGTCTTTTATTTTGATGCTAAGCCCCTCCAAAACAGCATTTTCACATGAAACTTATTGCATTGCACAAAAATATGGTTTAAAAAGTAATTGATAATAATTAGGAGTATAGGGTATTTGTACAGGTTCATTTCTGTCTCTTTGCAGAAAGTAGCATTTCTAGTCTGTCATGAGAGGCCCCAAGCTAAAACAGCCCAGTTTAGCCATTCCTGAATTCTTTAAAAAAATTTTTTTTAATTTAAATAGAGATGGGGTCTTACCATCTTGCCCAGGCTGGTCTCAAACTCCTGGGTTCAAGGGATCCTCATGCCTTGGCCTCCCAATGTGCTAGGATTACAGGCATGAGCCACCGTGCCCCGCCTCCTGAATTCTTAACCTACAGAAATTGTGAGAAAATAAATTTTTACTCTTGCTTTAAACCACTAAATTTGGGGTCATTTTTTTCGCAGCAGTAGATAACTTATGTACACATTCATGCCCTTTGCCATGTCACTGTAATGTCCTCCCATTATGGGCAGGGGGTACTTACCTGTCCTTTAACTCTGGGCTCACTTGCTTTGACCAGTAAGAGGCTCTCTTGGGCATGTTTTTCTCATCACTATGAGAAAAACATGCCCTGGCTAGTCTGCTGGTCCAGGAAGAGTGAGAGACCCTTGGAGCAGAGCCTCTCCAGCCAACCTAGAGATGTGCAGTGAGAGGCAGAGCTACCAGTCTAGATTAGCTGAATCTCAGCTGATCCAAAGACAGTGAGTGATAATAAATGATTGTTGTTTGAAGCCCCTGAGTTTGGGGGTACCTTTATCAATAGTAAACTGGAGTCAGATGGATTAAGAGATTTGTGGGGAACTGGTGGTCTAGGCCAAGCGTGAGATTAGGGAGCTGGTTTGAAGAGTTTAACTGGAGGCTTCTAGCCTGAGGACCTAAGTCCTACCCTCCAGGGTTAGGAACCATTTAGTAGTGGAATGTCAATCCTCCCCAGGCTGGAGAGGGCAAAGGTTTGGTACTTGGAGTTTCAGGAAAGCCATGTCAGGGCTGTTCATGAAGCACCTACAGTGGCTTTTTTTTTTTTTTCCTTCAGTTTTGTCGTTTGTGGTGACTGAATTTGCAGGATCACCACAAAGTCATTGCAAAATCTTTACTCCTTGTTTTTGCCAGCACCAACTTTGACCTTTGCAGTCTCCCTGACTGACTTCATTCTGTTCTTGCTCAGTTTTTTTGTTTCTTCAGGTCTTTTTCTTCTCACACAGGCTATATCTTTCAAGTCCATATCTGGGTTCACATTTCTTTGCATAATCCAGCGAGTCGTACATCATGCCAAAGCCAGTTTTCTTGCCGCCACCAATGTGAGCTCTGAATCCAAATACAAATATAACATCCAGTGAGATTTTGGTAGATTTTCTCTGAATTTCTGCCTTAGGTACTGTTGCCCTCCAAGGATAAAGGACATCAATTACCATTTGTTGTATTTCCACTGAAGTAGTCAGTCAGTTGGTCATGAACTTCCTGGACCAGATAGTTACCATAGAGTTCCTGATGATAGTAGATCCTCCAGCAGCCAGAGAGGACTACAGTGTTCATATGTAGACATTATTGTACATGTATGCCTACAGAAGCACAGAGTAATAACAATGGAAGATCGGGGCTTTGAGACTGTTGCCATAAAAATGGATGAAGGTGGGCAGGGGACGTCGACTAGAAAGAGGGAATCAGTGAGTTTGAGTTCAAAGAAGCTAATTCACCCTACCAAAGTAGAAGGGGGTTTATATTGAAAGTTTTATTTAGTAGATTAGAAATAGGAAAAGTGAGGCCGGGCACAGTTGCTCACACCTGTAATCCCAGCACTTTGGGAGGCCAAGGCGGGTGAATCACGAGGTCAGGAGTTTGAGACCAGCCTGGCTTATGGTGAAACCCCGTCTCTACTAAAAACACAAAAATTAGCCGGGCATGGTGGTGCACGCCTGTAACCCCAGCTACTCTGGAGGCTGAGGCGGGAGAATTGCTTGAACCCAGGAGGTGGAGGTTGCAGTGAGCCGAGATCACGCCATTGCACTCCAGCCTGGGCGACAGAGGAAGACAACGTCTCAAAAAACTAAAAACAAACAGAAATAGGAAAAAATGTATTTTTTTTCCTTGGAGTTAAAAATGTCTTAATTATATATACATGTAAAAGCTGTTTTTTAAAAAAGTGTATATTCTAAGAGGTTTAAAAGTAAAACAATGAGTGCTGTGTAAAAGCAGTAAGATACTCTGAAGTGTATTTCATTGGTCAATTTACTCACAACCTGTCCCTCACATTGTACCCAAGGCATGTATTAATGAGCTAATAAAACATGTCATGTCATGTTTTATTGTTTGCTGGGCATTTGTTCAAGCTTCTGTCACTCACAAATAAAGACTTTGAAGATGCTAGTGGTGATAATAAATACCTTTAATTTTACTGGCATCCTTTTTTATAAAGTAACCACAGTCATAAATCGTTTGATGCAAGTAAAAATACTGAACTTATTCAGATTTAAAGACTATTGAGAGGAATTTGTTTTGTTTGTTTGTTTGTTTGTTTGTTTGTTTATTTATTTATTTATTTATTTATTTTGAGATAGAGTCTCCCTCTGTCACCCAGGCTGGAGTGCAATGGTGTGATCTCTGCTCACTGCAGCCTCTGCCTCCTGGGTTCAAGAGATTCTCTTGCCTCAGCCTCCCAAGTAGCTGGGATTATAGGCGCTTGCCACCACGCCCAGCTAATTTTTTGTATTTTTAGTAGAGACGGGGTTTCACCACGTTGGCCAGGCTGGTCTCGAACTCCTGGCCTCAGGTGATCTGCCCACCTCGGCCTCCCAAAGTGCTGGGATTACAGGTGTGAGCCGCCGCGCCTGGCCTAGCAAACTTTTTTAATTAAAAAAATAAAAGTAGCAAATGTTTTGTGAAGTATACATGTTAGAAATCAAATATAGGAGTATTAGATTAAATATGCAAAGTGGTAAAGTGAAGGTTGATATAGATATTGAGAAGGCAGAGAAACTGTTGGTGACTAAGAAAGCTTAGTATGTATAGTGGCCCTTTTGATTAAGTAGACCCTCAAATTTAGAGTGGATCTAGTTGATGAATGTTTTTATTTGTTAAATGTCTAAATTGAATTTGTATACCATTTGGAGGCACTCTAGGTTACTTACAACTATCACAGCAAAATATCTTAAAAGGCAGTTTATTTGCCTGAGAGATAAAACATCACTATTAGGCATGTAAAGTGTTTAACAGAATACCATTCTGATCAAAGGACAAGAGTAAGCCATTCAGAAAATGAAACCCAAGCCTTCAATTACCATCTGTCTATAGGCTGGTGAGTCCCAATTTTTATCTCCATCCTGGGTCACTGCTGGGCTCTGGAGCTAAATATTTAACTGTTTTCTCAACACCTCCACTTGAAGTTCTCACAGGCATCTCAGACTCAGGACATCTAAGACCACATATATGATCTTTCCCTTCGAAGCCATCCCATTGTTCTCTATCTTCATAAAACACATCACCATTCATTCAGATTTTCAAGTCAAAAACTTGTAAGTCATCCTTAATACTTCTGCTCCTTACCAGGTTCACCTGGTGCCTGCCTTACTCTTCCGTACCACCACCTTCACCAGAAGCATAACTGGGAGGGAGCAGAGAAGGAATTTCTCTTTGGAGCACTCTCTTTAAAAGTAGACTCTGGGCCCGATGCAGTGGCTCAAGCCTGTAATCCCAGCACTTTGGGAGGCTGAGGCAGGCAGATCACTTGGTCAAGAGTTCAAGACCAGCCTGGCCAACATGGTGAAACCCGCCTTTACTAAAAGTATAAAAATTAGCCAAGTGTGGTGGCACACAACTGTAATCCCAGCTACTCAGGAGGCTGAGGCACGAGAATCGCTTGAACCTGGGAGGCGGAGGTTGCAGTGAGCCAAGATCGTGCCACTGCACTCCAGCCTGGGCCACAGAGTGAGACTCTGTCTCAAAAAAAAAAAAAAAAAAAAAAAAAAAAGGGCACAGTGGCTTACACCTATAATCCCAGCACTTTGGGAGGCCAGGGCCGGCAGATCACTTGAGGTCAGGAGTTCGAGACCAGCCTGGCCAACATGGTAAAACCCTGTCTCTACCAAAAATATTTAAAACATTAGCCAGATGTGGTGGCGGGCACTTGTAATCCAAGCTACTTGAGAGGCCGAGGCAGGAGATTCGCTTGAACCCAGGAGGCGGAGATTGCAATGAGCCAAGATTGTGCCCCTGGGCAACAGAGCGAGACTCTGTCTCAAAAAAAAAAGTAATTAAAAAAAAGGCTGGGTTTGGCTGGGCCGGGCGCGGTGGCTCAAGCCTGTAATCCCAGCACTTTGGAAGACTGAGGCAGGCGGATCATGAGATCAGGAGCTCAAGACCAGCCTGACCAACATGGTGAAACCACTTCTCTACTAAAAATACAGAAAAAATTAGCTAGGCATGGTGGCACACACCTGTAATCCCAGCTACTCAGGAGGCCGAGGCAGGAGAATCGCTTGAACCCCAGAGGCGGAGGTTGCAGTGAGCCGAGATTGCGCCACTGCATTCCAGCCTGGGCGACAGAACGAGACTCCATCTCAAAAAAAAAAAAAAAAAAATTCCAAAATCCTGAAAGTGACCCAAAAGATGCTTACATAGTCTGACCTCAGTCTGTCCCTCCAGCCTCACTTTCTACCATTCTCACCCTCACTGTCTGCATATCAGCCCTAATAGCTGATCCACAGACATCCTCCTCTGTATGGGCCATCCTTGCAGCTTGGAACACACTTTTCCATCTCCTTCACTCTTTACCCCTTATTTATGTTTCCTTTGTCAGCTCAAGTGTCATGTCCTCAGGGAAGCCATCTCCAGAAACCCCAGTCTCAGCCAAGTTCTTTTATTCCATGTGGTCATAGAAGTATGTTCATTTTCCTGCATCAGAAGTATCTCAGTTTATAATTATATTTCTTTTTTTTGAGACGGAGTCTCGCTTTGTCGCCCAGGCTGGAGTGCAGTGGCGCAATCTCGGCTCACTGCTGCAAGCTCTGCCTCCCAGGTTCACGCTATTCTCCTGCCTCAGCCTCCCGAGTAGCTGGGACTACAGGCGCCTGCTACCACGCCCAGCTAATTTTTTTGTATTTTTAGTAGAGACAGGGTTTCATTGTGTTAGCCAGGATGGTCTCGATCTCCTGACCTCATGATCCTCCTGCCTCGGCCTCCCAAAGTGCTGGGATTACAGGCGTGAGCCACTGCACCTGGCTATAATTATATTTCTTTGTGCGGTTATCCAATTGTTTGGCTTCCCCATTAGACTGTAATAACTATGAGAGCAAGAACTCTCTGGTTTTGCTCATTGGCATGAGTACTTACCTTGCACATAGAAGATATTCAGTCAATCTTTTTTTTATACTTAGTGAATCTTTAATAAATGAATAAATTGAGGAAGAACAAATGGCTAATAAGTGAAATGTCTTCCCAAGTTTAAATGAAGTGTCACTTTTTATCTGAAAAGTGAAACAATAATTCTACTTAATGGCAAGATAGTCTCAAACTTGGCTGGTTAGTATGCAGATCAAAAGAATTTTTCTAGAAAACAATTTGAAAGAATGTTTTAAGAGATTTTTATATATTCAGATCTGTTGACCCCAATAATTCTAATCACGAACTTCATCTGTGGTAGCCAGCCACCAAGATCACCCCCAATTAGCCCCACCTCCTTGTACGCCTTGTGCAAACCCTTCCTACATTGTACTAGAGTTGATCTGTGTGACCAATAATATAGAGTAGAAGCAATGGCATGTTACTTCCAAGATTAGGTTATAAAAGATAGTGAAGAAGGCCAGGCATGGTGGCTCACACTTGTAATCTCAGCACTTTGGGAGGCCAAGGCAGGCAGATCACAAGGTCAGGAGTTCAAGACCAGCCTGACCAATACAGTGATACAAAAATTAGCCGGGCATGGTGGCACACATCTGTAATCCCAGCTGTTCAGGAGGCTGAGGCAAGAGAATCACATGAACCCGGGAGGCGGAGGTTGCAGTGAGCCCAAGATCATGCCACTGCACTCCAGCCTGGGCAACAGAGTGACACTCTGTCTCAAAAAAAAAAAAAAAAAAAAAAAAAAAATATATATATATATATATATATATAAAAATATATATATAGTGAAGCTTCCTTCGTCCTTCTTGGGTGTGTTCTTACTCTCCTGGATCACTTGCTCTAGGGAAGCCAGCTGCCATGGCACGTGAGTGGCCTGTGTGGCAAGAACTAAAGCCTACTGCCGACAACCATTTAATTGAGCTTGGAGCAGATTCTTCAGCCCCTTCATATGACTGTAGCCGTGGCCAACAGCATGACTGCAACCTCACGAGAAACCATGAGCCAGAACCAGCCAGCTGAGCCATTCCTGGATTCCTGACCCTCAGAAACTGTGAAATAATAAATGTCAGTTGTTTTAAGATGCTAGTTTGTTTTGCAGCAATAGATAACTAATACACCATCCTAAGGAAATACTTACATGTTCTAGTAGTTGTTAATGTTGGCATATCTAGATTTCGTATAGTGTAACCATTTTTTATCTTAGGGAGTAAATTCATTGGAATGCTTTCAGCAGCAAAAAAATGGAAAACCCAATTAAATAGATGTGCATATAAGTGAAGATGTATATTTTACTCTCTCTATATATATTTTACTCTAACTGTATATGCAGAGGTAGTCAGGCATCAGGGATAGTTTAACATGACAACTCAGCACTATTGAAGCCCTCTCTGTCCGTGCTCTGCCTTCCTTACTGTTGTCTTTATCATCAGCCTGGTAGCAGTTAAGCTACAGTAGCCCTTGGTATGTCCTGTCAAGACAGGGCAACATCTAGAGGAAACAACTCCCACTTCTACGTGGGTCTTTCCTAGGAGCTCAGTGGTGGATTTCCCTCATATCTCTTAGGCTAGAATTGGATGATATATCCTTTCCTAAATTAATCATTAGCAGGAGCAGTAAATACCTGAAGAAAATTACGGTTTTATTAGTAAGCAGGGAGAGGAGAGAGAAATGGATCCTGGATGAGCAACTGTCCTGTCCACAATAAGGAGTGATCTTGTTTCGCTTTTTGAGCAGCTCATATTGTTGTTGCTTCTCAATCCCCACTTTACCTCATCCTTGCACACCTAGAATACAGCACTCAATGCATGGGGATGGTTTCGGGATGAAACTGTTCCACTTCGTATCATCAGGCATTATGGAGCAGGCAACCTAGATCCCTGGCATGCACAGTTCACAACGGGGTTCACACTTCTTTGAGAATCTAATGCCCATGCTGATCTGACAGGAGGTGGAGCTCAGGCAGTAATGCTCGCTCACCCACCGCTCACCTCTTGCTGTGCAGCCCAGTTCCTAAGAGGCCACAGAATTAGTACCAGTCCATGGCCTGGAGGTTGGGGACCCCTGCTCTAGACTCTGGGATTTCTTCAATGGATAATATTAAAGGGCTTGATTTACAAGTTTAAATGCTCTTGGTGGGTCGGGGTCGGGGGCGGGTACATAGATGTCATTCACTCTTAAATACAATCTACAACCCTGAGACAGGGTTTTACTCTGCTGCCCAAGCTAGAGTGCAGTGGCCTGAACGTGTCTCACTGCAGCCTTGACCTCCTGGACTCAAGCGATCTCCCCACCTCAGCCTCCCATGTGTGGCTGGAACCACAAGCATGTACCATCATGCCCAACTAGTTTTTGTTTGTTTGTTTGTTTGTTTTTTGAGATGGAGTCTCACTCTGTCACCCATCCTGGAGCGTGGTGGCATGATCTCAGCTCACTGCAACCTCCACCTCCCTCCCAGGCTCAAGCAGTCTTCCCACCTCAGCCTCCCGAGGAGCTGGGACCACAGGCACATGCCACCACAACTGGCTTGTTTTTTGTATTTTTGGTAGAGACAGAGTTTCACCATGTTGCCCAGGCTGGTCTCAAACTCCTGAGCTCAGGTGATCTGCCCACCTCGGCCTCCCAAAGTGCCAGGATTATAGGCATGAGCCACCATGCCTGGCCAATTTTTTAAAAAAATGTTTGTAGAGCGCAGTGGTTCACACCTATAATCCTAGCACTTTGGGAGGCTGAGGCGGGCGGATCATGAGGTCAGGAGTTCGAGACCATCCTGGCCTCTGCTAAAGATACAAAAAATTATCTGGGTGTGGTGACGCACACCTGTAATCCCAGCTACTCAGGAGGCTGAGGCAGGAGAATCACTTGAACCCAGGAGGCAGAGGTTGCAGTGAGCCGAGATTGCACCATTGCACTCCAGCCTGGGTGACAGGGTGATACTCCATCTTAAAAAAAAAAAAAAAATTTTTTTTGTAGAGACAGGGTGTCACTTTGTTGCCCAGGCTGGTCTTGACATTTTAGGCTTAAGCTGTCCTCACATGTTGGCCTCCCAATGTGCTTAGATTACAGGTATGAGCCACCACACCCAGTCTACAACCTGCTTTTAAACCGTAAGATATATTAAGTATTGCATATATTCTGTTATGTGCTAAGAAAATGGAATCCAATTGCTATACTTCTGAGACTCATCTCTGCCACATACTACGGTCTAATCTTGGTCAAAATACATTCTTGAAATCTTACCTTTTTTTTTTTTTTTTTTGAGACAGTCTTGCTCTGTCACCCAGGCTGGAGTGCAGTGGCACCATCTTGGTTCACTGCAACCTCTGCCTCCCAAGTTCAAGTGATTCTCCTGCCTCAGCCTCCTGAGTAGCTGGGATTACAGGTGCTGCCACCACGCCCAGCTAATTTTTTGTATTTTTAGTAGAGATGGGGTTTCACCATTTTGGCCAGGATGGTCTCGAGCTCCTGACATCAAGTGATCCACCCACCTCGGCCTCCCAAAGTGCTGGGATTACAAGTGTGAGCTACCATGCCCGGCCCTCCTTACCTATTAAATGGGAATAATGATAATTAATATTTCTGAGGGCTGTTATAATAAAGAACATAAAAGTGTCATCACATAGTTAGCTCCCAGGAGATATTAGATTGCATTCTTTTCCTTGCTTTTTTCTGATTCCCAAATGTGGAGATTTATAGACATTTTTCTATACTTGACCTTTTTTAAAAAAAATAATAAGGTATGTAAATTTTTGGCTGTCCAGTTTCTCAAAATAATTGAAAAGGCTAATTCAAAGCAAACATTTAACATGGTGAAATGGGTCATTAGAGAGATCTGGTGTCTCATCCAACCCAAATTTAGGTTGTATTTATAAAGATAGTGACCCAGAATATGAATCTGAAATCCTAAGCATGAAAACAGGCGACATTTGCATACTTTTTTAAAAAGTACTTTTAACTTCACAGGCAGCTAGCTTCTTTGTTTCCACCTCTTCTTTTCTGATTATGTGAAAGGTAGCAGTTTGGCTTGGCAGGTTCTTGCTGGGGCTTTGACACCTTTCCGGGCCAATTAGTTCACCTTTGTTCTGTGACCATGGACCAGACCTTTAATCCTGAGCAGCCACTGTTACAAGTGCAGTTTGTTCTCATGTGAGTAGATATGTACAAATGTCTCACCACCATTAGAAAAGCAACTCAAAGTATCTCTCGGAGCAGTAAAGTAGGAGAGCAGCATATGGCTGAGCAAAACCACCAGTACCACTATCTCAAGCAAGCATCATCTTGCAAGTTTCAGTTTTTTTCCCATGTTATTTGAACCAGCCTTACTTCAGCAAAAAGGTCATGTGACAGTGAGACCTACATTTAAAAAAAATTAACATACTTCTCTCTGATAGTCATTCAACAAGTATCTTGACATCTATCACCTTTCAGGAAAAAAAAAGGAAATCCCGTCAAAAGTAAATATTCACTGAATGTATCCTCCTTTTCTGTATAATAAACCTTAGTAAAAACTGCACATATGTAAGTTGATGATATAGGTGTATCTTTTTTTTTTTTTTTTTTTTTTTTTTTCGAGACGGAGTCTCACTCTGTCGCCCAGGCTGGAGTGCCATGGTGCGGTCTCGGCTCACTACAAGCTCCGCCTCCCAGGTTCACGCCATTCACCTGCCTCAGCCTCCCAAGTAGCTGGGATTACAGGCGCCCGCCACTACTCCCAGCTAATTTTTTGCATTTTTGGTAGAGACGGGGTTTCACCGTGTTAGCCAGGATGGTCTCAATCTCCTGACCTCGTGATCCACCTGCCTCGGCCTCCCGAAGTGTTGGGATTACAGGCGTGAGCCACCGCGCCCGTCCTGATATAGGTATATCTAAATCTCATTTACTCTGACTAACATGCATTCATTTCACAATTCTGTATATCTGGTATCTGAAGGTACTGATTTGGATGTGGTTATCATACTAGTTTCTTGGCATTTTACAATTTATACTAACTTTTCCTTTATAATAGAGCATGCTCTCTTAGTATATACACGGCAAGCTGATGGAAATGAGGGATTTTGTTTCATTAGTAACCAAACTCATAAAAGGTAATAATGTTTAGGGAATAAAATTTCTGATTAACTTAGGAACAGTTAATTTGTGGTCCAATTAACTTATGGTAGTAGATTTCAGGGGACTATAAATTAATCGTTTCTTGGTTTTCTGAATTTTCTATTTTTTTTCCAGTGATCGTGTATTACTTGAATAATTTAAAATGTAGAAATGATGAATAATAAAGTCTTAATCACAGTAAGAAATATGTAATAAACAAAACTGAATCTTTGATTTTAGAGATCTTTCAATTATTCTGAAATAGAATTATCTATACATTCTATATATAGATATCTGTATCTATATAGTTATATCTATATATTGATATATATACATTCTATCCCTGGACTGTGAGCTTCTTGAGGACAGGCTGTTTATTAATCTTCATATCTATATTGCTTTGCAGAAAGCCTGAACCATAATAGAACCTTAATAAATGGGTTTTTTTTGCATGAATAAATGAGGATGATATGCAAACCACAGTTAATTGAGAGTCATACATTTTTTAAAATGTTAATTTAAACATTTGAGACCAATAAATGTAAAATATTATGCTCATTAGCTTTTTTCTTTCTTAACAGCTTTATTGAGGTATATTTTATGTCATAAAATTCACCCATTTCAAGCCTACGATTCAATGATTTTTAGTAACTTTTATCAAGTGATACAGTCATTACCAAATCATTTTTAGAACATTTTCACACACACCCCTATAAGGTCCCTCATGCCCATTTACAGTTCCCACCCCCAGCCCCAGGCAATCACTAATCTACATTTCACATCAATGGAATTATACAAATATGTGGTCTCTTGTGTCCGGCTTCTTCCACTTAGCATAATGTTTTCGAAGTTCATCCATGGCATAGCATGTGTCAGTAATTCCTTTTTATTGCTGAATAGCATGTCATTATATGTCCATATCTACCCATTAGCTTTTAACATTTAAAACACACGCACACATCTACTTAATAATGCAACAGATAAACAGGTACTATTCATTTAGCAAATACTTGAAACTTGAATATGGCCTAAGTGATTAAAAAATATAAAAGTGACTAGTACCAGGTCTAACCTTCAAGGAAACATATAAGAAATCATACAGTTCAGAGAGAATTAACTGCTGTGTCATAATATAAATAAGATAATGTTAGTCTAAAGAGGAAAATATTTGTGGTAGTATTTGAGAGCGCTCCTCAAAGAAGTGATATCTGGATTAGATTTAAAGTTCACACAAGTAGGCCAAGCACAGTGGCTCATGCCTATAATCCCAGCATTTTGGGAGGCCAAGGCGGGTGGATCACCTGAGGTCAGAAGTTTGAGACCACCCTGGCCAACATAGCGAAAATCGTCTCTACTAAAAATACAAAAATTAGCCGGGTGTAGTGGTGCGCACCTGTAGTCCCAGCTACTCGGGAGGCTGAGGCAGGAGAATTGCTTGAACCTGGGAGGCGGAGGTTGCAGTGAGCCGAGATTGCGCCACTGCACTCCAGCCTGGGTGACAGAGCAAGACTCCATCACAAAAATAAATAAAATAAATTCACGCAAGTGTGAAAATATGTATTTTATTCAAGAAACAGCAACTTCCCCTGTGTGTTAAATTCAGGCCTCAAAGGGGATATTTTGTGTAGGAGATGGGACTAGAAGTATTGCTTGGTACTATAAAAGGGAATGCCTTGAATGCTATGCTATAGAGTTCATCTTGATTCTATGAGCAGTAGAGAGGCATTAAAAGAGAATTTTTTTTTAATTAATTTTTTTTTTTTTTGAGACAGAGTTTCACTCTTGTCACCCAGGCTGGAGTGCAATGGCGTGATGTCGGCTCACTGCAACCTCTGCCTCCTGGGTTCAAGTGATTCTCCTGCCTCAGCCTCCTGAATAGCTGGGATTACAGGCACCCACCACCAGGCCCAGCTAATGTTTGCATTTTTAGTAGAGACAAAGTTTCACCATGTTGGCCAGGCTGGTCTCAAACTCCTGACCTCAGGTGATCCGGCCGCCTTGGCCTCCCAAAGTGCTGGGATTATAGGCATGAGCCACCGCATCCAGCCTAAAGGAGAATTATTTCAATTCTTTATTCTGACCAAGTTAGGAAAGATAGAGGAAGGTACAAAAGAGGGAGAGAGATACCAAAAGAAAGACAAAAAATTCAACAAATATTTATTGCCCACCTAAGATACTATATTAGATGCTGATTGTGCAGCAGAGGCCAAACCAAGTCCTTGCTTTCATGGAACTTATAGTCTAGTAAAGGAGACAGACAATAACTCATTTAACAAATAAGTATATGAGTGGTCCAGTAATATCAAGGAAGAAAGGTTTAACGCAAGGTAAGGATATAGGAAATAATGGGGGAGGCTGGTAGACTATTAAAGATGAGTTGAAGTTTAAGTAGAGACCCAAAAGTAATGAGAAATCTAGCCATGCAAACGTCTAGAGAGTGTATCTGCAGAACAGCAAGTGCAGAGGCCTCCTAGAGGCCAAGAGGCATCTAGGAGGTGATGCCTAGAGTGTTTGGAACAGCTGGAGGCCATTGTAGTTCTGGTTTGTGTTTTTAAAGGTCACCCTGGCAGTTGGGTGAACAACAGACTGTAACCTTTGTCAAAGTCAAATAAAATGTATAGAGAGCCAAATATCTAAATTTAACAGTTTACTTGAGAGGAAAGAATTGCAATTCAGGGTGTACACACAGACCAAATGGTCTTTAGTATGTCTGAAGAACAGAGAGAAGGTTGGAGGTTTTATGAAAAGGAGAAATGTTACATATTGCTCTTTGAGAGAGTTCATCCGCACTAGTAAGGTTCTGGGGAGTTGGCAGATTTTGATTAGTGAATGATAGTGGTGGATAAAATTAGTCTTAGAGTTGCAGCAAGTTATTTCAGCAACTATTAGATAAAACTGATTTGAGATTATAGCAGGCAGCTTGAGCAGCCAGGCTTGTAGAGACTTACAGTTTTGGAGCAATGTTACATATTCTAAGTCCTTTTTCCTCCTGTGACTTCTCAACTCTGTTTTAGTCAGGTGTGACAAGATTGACCCAATTTCTGTGATCAACTTTCACACTTTGTACATATTTCATTTCGCATGTATGTAGGTTTATCTGTAGGATTAATTCCTGGACATGGGATTCCTGAGTCACAGGGCAAATTCACTTATAATTTTGATAGAGATTGTGGAATTTCCAGCTAGTTTCCACTTCCACCAGCCATATTTGAGAGGCCTATTTGGTCACAGCCTTACCATCACTAAGAGGGAAGCTGAGAGTTTTTTTTTTTTATTGGTCAGAAGTCACTAAATCAAGATGTTGACAGACTTGTATTCTTCCTGGAGTTCTATTGGAAAATCCATTTCCTTGCCTTCTCTAATTTCCATGTTTATTCCTTGGCTCATGGCCCCATCTCTCATCTTCAAATTTCTCTCTCCTGTCATTAAATTACCTTTTATGACTTTGACTGTGCCTCCCTCTTATAAGGACTACTATGATTACATTGAGCCCATCCAGTTAAACCAGAGTAATCCCCTCATTTCAAAATCCTGAATTTAATTACATCTGTATAGTCCCTTTTGCCTTGTAAGGTAACATTCATAGCTTCCAGGGATTAGGATATAGACATCTTTGCTTAAACATTGAGCATTGTTAGCCTACCTCAGGGAGATTCGCCGTTTGTCTGTGATAGGAAATATGAATTGTTTTCCTCATTGTCCTTTGTCTCCTAACATTGCCCGTGGTTTTGTGGTGGTTTTGCTGTTTTTGCCATTTAGAGTTTATCCTGGTAAATAGTACGAAATGCAGCTCAGACTTTATTTTTTCCAGATAGCTCTTTAGTTGTACCAGCACCATTTACTGAAAAGTTCAACTTCTTCCTAAAATATAGCAAATCCCTATATATAGTTTGGTTGCTTTCTGGACTTTCTATTTTGCTCCCTAGTCTGTCTCTCTATCTAAAAAGTACATATTTTTAAAATTTCTGAGATTTTACAGCATGTTATAGTATCTGGTAAGGCTTAGACAAAATTTGCTGTCCCTCTCCACCCCTCCCCCAACACACACACATTCATTGCTCTTCTTTTTCAAGATTTTCCTGGCTGCTCTTCTTTGTTTATTTTTCCCATATGAACTTCAGTTTGCCCAGTGTCAGAGGGAAAAGGTATTGTTAGTTTTATTGGAGTAACTTATGAGGTTGGATCTTACTATCTTTGAACATGATATGTCTTTATATTCATTCGAGTTATCTTTGTTCCTGCAATAGTATTTTAACATTTTCTTCATTCAGTTTTGCGCATTCAGTTTTGCGCGTTTCTAAGCTTATTCCCAGGTTTTGTTTTTTGTTTTTTGTTTTTTTTGGTTTTCTTTGAGATGGAGTCTGGCTCTGTTGTCCAGGTTAGAGTGCAGTGGCGCAATCTCAGCTCACTGCAACCTCTGCCTCCCTGGTTCGAGTGATCCTCCTGCCTCAGCCTCCCAAGTAGCTGGTACTACAGGAGTACTTCACCATGCCCGGCTAATTTTTGTATTTTTAGTAGAGACTGGGTTTCACCATGTTGGTCAGGCTGGTCTCAAACTCTTGACCTCAGGTGATCCGCCCCCTCACCCTCCCAAACTGCTGGGATTACAGGTGTGAGCCACCTCACCTGGCCTTATTCCTAGGTTTTTTTCTTTGTTTTGGGTTTTTTGTTGTATTTTGGGTTTTTTTGGACAGGGTCTCCCTTTGTTGCCCAGGCTGGAGTGCAGTGGCAAAATCTCAGCTCACTGCAGCCTCTGCTTCCCAAGCTCACGTCATTCTCCTGCCTCAGCCTCCCAAGTAGCTGGGACTATAGGCACAAGACACCACACCCAACTAATTTGTGTATTTTTGGTAGAGACGGGATTTCACCATGTTGCTCAGGCTGGTCTTTAACTCCTAAACTCAAGTAATCTGCCCACCTCTGCCTCCCAAAGTGCTGGGATTACAGGCATGAGCCACCGTTCCCGACCTTATTCCCAGTTTTTTAATCTTTTATTTTTGTATTCATAATGAAAGAAAAGATCCTATTTATAAAACTTACTGATTAGTTTTTATGTATGAAAGCTATAGTTAATACAATTTATTATGTTAATAATAAATTATTAATTTTAGACACTGCTACCTTACTGAATTATCTTCTAGTTTATAGTAGTTTTTTAGTTGAATCTCTTGATTTTCCCAGTATGCAGTTATATTGCCTTCAAACAGTAAGAGTTAAACTCATCTTTCCTAATTTGTTTACATCTACCTTTCTCTTATCTCTTCTATTACATTGTAAATATCAGTGGTGTTGTGTGCATCTCTGTCTTACTCCTGACATTAGTGAGAAAGGCTCATGTTTCCTCATAAAATATTTGCTGACTTTTGGGCTGACACACACACCCCTATCACATTAAAGAAATACACATCAGTTGCTATTTTTTTATTTTTTAGAGTTAGGGTTCTCACTGCGTCATCCAGGCTGGACAGCAGTGGCATGATTATGGCCCACTGCAGCCTTGAACTCCTGGGTTCAAGTGATCCTCCCTCCTCAGCCTCCTGAGTTGCTACGATTACAGGTGTGAGCCACTGCACCCAGCTCTTCCTATTTTATTCTGGACATTTTTTCTCATCAAGAATAGGAGTTGAATTTTGTCAAATACCTCTGCAGTATATATGGAGAGATAATATGGTTTTTCTTAGGTTTATTAATATATATTGTCACATTTTAAAATACATTCTCAGATTTATAAAATTAAGTATGTTATAATTTATACCTAATGTTTTGTAAAGAAGGTCTTAACATTATGCATTGTTTCTCTCCTGTGTGGCTTTTCTGTCATTATCCAATGCTGTGTTGCATATTTGCAACCATTGCCATAAGTGGAATTTTTTTTGTTGTTCAAATACTTAATAAAATTAAGGTGATGTTGGGCATGGTGGCACACACCTGTGATCCCAGTTACTTGGAAAGCTGAGGTGGGAGGATTGCTTGAGCTCAGGAGTTTGAGACCAGTCTGGGCAATATAGCAAGACCCCATCTCAAAAACATTGCATGAAGTTAAGCTAATAATTTGATTTGACCAGTGGGCTGAAGATGCCCCTCAACATGGCAGAAGAGGAGGGGGCTCTATTTCAGCTGACCTTTTGGTGACCACTTTTTTTTCTTAATATTTTTTATTTTGTCTCCAAGCAATTGTGAAAAGAGAAAGGATTATAGGATCAGGAGCAGGAAGAAAAGTGTATTGAGTTAATTAATCCTTCTGGGTAGGTTCCAGTTAGTTTGACGTTTCAAATAAATGCCATAAAATGAACATGGTTTTATATGTTTGCTTCAGCATTCCTTTCCTCAGAGCCCTACTGTCCAATGCTGAGCACTTAAATTGTGGCTAGTGAGGTGTTGTAAGTATAAAATGCACAGTGATTTTGAAAACTTAGTATAAAAAAAGTGTAAAGGCCGGGAGCGGTGGCTCACACTTGTAATCCCAGCACTTTGGGAGGCCGAGGCGGGCGGATCACGAGGTCAGGAGATCGAGACCACGGTGAAACCCCGTCTCTACTAAAAATACAAAAAATTAGCTGGGCGTGGTGGCGGGCGCCTGTAGTCCAGCTACTCGGAGAGGCTGAGGCAGGAGAATGGAGTGAACCCGGGAGGCAGAGCTTGCAGTGAGCCGAGATCGCGCCACTGCACTCCAGCCTGGGTGACACAGAGAGACTCCATCTCAAAAAAAAAAAAAGTGTAAAATAGCTCACTAATAATTTTCATATTCAATATATGTTTAAAATGATATTTGGATATATTGGGATAGATAAAATATGTCATTAAGATTAATTTTACCTGTTTCCACTTTTTTTTATATAGCCACTAGAAAAGTTTACATTACATATGTGGTTCACATTATATTTCCATTGGACAGCATTGGTCTAGAGGTGGTAGATGTGTATATATTTATTTATAAATTATATCCTCTTTTACACCTTGTTTCTTATGAGAATAAACTTTCATGAAGACTATAATATTCATTCTCCATTATAATAGATTACATCTTCTCTGATTTTTCTTTCTTTTGCTTTGTTTGTTTCTTTGTTTTGAGACAGTCTTGCTCTTTCGCCCAGGCTGGAGTGCAGGGGTGCAATCTCGACTCACTGCAACCTCTCCCACCCAGGTTCAAGTGATTCTCCTGCCTCGGCCTCCCAAGTAGCTGGGATTACAGGCACCTGCCACCACCCGGCTAATTTTTCTATTTTTAGTAGAGACAGGGTTTCACCATGTTAGCTAGGCTAGTCTTGAACTCCTGACCTCGTGATCCACCCACCTCAGCCTCCCAAAGTGCTGGGATTACAGGCATGAGCCACCATGCCCACCCTTCTTTTTCTTTTTTTAAGATAGAGGGTAAACTGGGCGCAGTGACTCATGCCTGTAATTCCAGCACTTTGGGAGGCCAAGGCAGGCAGATTACCTGAGACCAGGAGTTCAAGACCAGCCTGACCAACATGGTGAAACCCCATCTCTATTAAAAAAAAAAAAAAAAATTATCTGGGTGTGGTGGCTTATGCCTGTAATCCCAGTACTTTGGGAGGTCAAGGCTGGCAGATCACTTGAGCTCAGGAGTTCAAGACCAGCCTGGCCAACATGGAGAAACTCTGTATCTACAAAAAATACAAAAAATTAACTTGGTGTGGTGGTGCATGCCTGTGGTCCCAGCTACTTGGGAGGCTGAGATGGAAGGATCGCTTGAGCCCGGGAGGTCAAGGCTGCAGTGAGCCATGATCATGCCACTACGTTCCAGCTTGGGTGACAGAACAAGACCCTGTCTCAAATAAAAAGAGGGGGAGAGAAAGAGACAGGGTCTTGCTCTGTCATCCTGGCTGTAGTGCAGTGGTGCAATCATAGCTTACTTATAACCTTGAACTCCTGGGCTCAAGTGATCTTCCTGCCTCAGCCTCCTGAGTAGTCAGGACTACAGGGGCACACCCCCTTGCCTAGCTATTTTTTTTTTTTTTTTTTTGTAGAGTCTTGCTATGTTGCCCAGGCTGGTCTCGAACTCCTGGCCTCAAGCAATCCTCCTGCCTTGGCCTCCCAAAGTGCTTGGACTATAGGCATGAGCCACCATGCCCAGCCTTATTTTTCTATTTAATTATTTCTAAGAAAATGTAGTTCCTTCCATATGCCCTTGACATTTTCACATAAATTAAATGCAATAGGCTTCTTGTGCTTAATACCAGCACTTAAGAACTGATATTGACTATAGAAGGGAGTTAGTTTGAAGTCTTTCTACTTTTTCCCTTATCCTGTAGGGTATATTTTAATAGAAGTTCCCTAGCTTAGAATAAAATTTGCTTTAACATTTCTTTAACTTTCCCCCTATTACCATAAAAAAGCAGTTTTCCCACCACATTCTTTTTAGGTAGAGCTGAGGTTAGGCATCTTTTAGTTCTGTCTTGTTCCAATAGCCTGAGTGTTTTTGAATAGTTCGTTTCTTAACTTTTTTATTCTTCAAAAACAGAAACAATTAAATTACTCCTAAAGTCTTTTTTATCTTGGCTTTTGTTACATTTTTAGGAAAGTTATATCACAGATGATATTGGAATATCGACTTGGAAGGAGCAGACTTTTCTCTCCCATGGTGCCTTACTAGCAAAGAGCTGCCAAGCTGCAATGGAATTAGCAAAGCATGATGCTGAGGTTCAGAATATGGCATTTCAGTATGGGAAGCACATGGCCATGAGTCATAAGGTACTTTGCACACCCTTTATCTTTTTTCAGTACTTAAATAGCTAAAACGACACACAAGAAACCTTTTGCCATTTAATAAGCTTCTTTTATATTTCAAAAATGCTTATTGTGTGGTTCAAATCTGTCAGTCCTGGATGATTGTTATGTAATGTAAATAGTATAATTGCTAAGTATTGTGTAATTCTTACAGAAAGCCACAGTTTACTTGAACCATTTTTGTGATGTTTGTCTTTTCTTCCCACCTGAAAGGGTTCTTGAGAGAACTCTTACATATTATTAAATAACATATTTACAGACTGGAATATATTCACATAATGGAAGAATATTTGTCTTTTTTGTTACAGTTCCCTTATAGCTTTTTTTTTTTTTTTTTTGAGATGGAGTCTCGCTCTGTCACCCAGGCTGGAGTGCAGTGGTGCAATCTCAGCTCACTGCAACGCAACCTCTGCCTCCCAGGTTCAAGCGATTCTCCTGCCTCAGCCTCCTGAGTAGCTGGGATTACAGGCACATGCCACCACGCCTGGCTAATTTTTGTATTTTTAGTAGAGACGAGGTTTCACCATGTTGGTCAGGATGGTCTCGAATTCCTGACCTCGTGATCTGCCCGCCTTGGCCTCCCAAAGTGCTGGGATTACAGGTGTGAGCCACCACGCCTGGCCCCTTATAGCTCTTTATATAAAACATGTTATGAAAAGTTAATAAAATTCAGAAATATAGTGAATAAAATTGAAAGCTTTAATTTTAATAACTAATTCTTTGAATGGGCATATGAAATCTAAAATATCCCAAGATTAGCTGCTGTGTTGTTGCCTCTCTCTATATATATAATTTTAAATTTAATTTAATATATACTATTCAGATGTTACTTAAATAGTTCATAAGGGGGGGAATATATACATATATAATATCTCCAGGTGAGCTTTTTGCATATTTTATTTAATCTTAGATTAGTTTATTAAGCAATTCTATTTATTAAATCTTTATCTAAATCTTTTCCTTTAACTTAAAAAGTAAAATAAAGACCACCACCCACTAGAAAAGGAATGTATTAGGGAATAATTCTGGAGAATTTTACAGGTTATTGTTAATCATCTGAAATTTTTTTTTTTTTTTTTGAGACGGAGTTTTGCTCTCGCCCAGAGGGGAGTGCAGTGGCGCAATCTCGGCTCACTGCAACCTCTGTCTCCCAGGTTCAAGCGATTCTCCTGCTTCAGCCTCCCTAGTAGCTGGAATGTGTGTGCAAACCCCCCCCAATTTTTGTTTTTTTAGTAGAGATGGGGTTTCGCCATTTTGACCAGGCTGGTCTCAAACTCCTGACCTCAGGTGATCCACCCATCCCAGCCTCCCAAACTGCTGAGATTACAGGCGTAAGCCACTGCACCTGGCCTGAAATATTCTTTTGTTTATTAAAGTATATCTAAAAACTGCATTCCTTAAGCTTCATATTTCACTGCATTAACTGGTACTTTCTGAATATAACTAAAACATACTAGTGTATATACATTTCACTAATTTACTCATTTAATTGCTTCTTGTAGATAAATTCTGATGTCCAGCCTTTTATTAAAGAAAAGACCAGTGACTCCATGACTTTTAATCTAAACTCAGCTCCTGTAGTCTTACATCAGGAATTTCTTGGAAGAGATTTGTGGATTAAACAGATCGGAGAGGTAAAATGAAATTACTCCTGTTTTAGGTACCAGTAGTAATTAGTGGATTTTAGAACATAATTGATATTTCTTGGTGATATATGGCTATAGATGAGCCTTAGGCATATTCACGTAACAGGTAAAATCCTTTCTTTGTAATCTTCGTTTTTAAGAGGTAAAAGATTAGTTAAAGTTAGAGATTGCAGTACTGAATTTTTCTATTATCTGAGTTCTTAGAATACTGCAACACAAAACTAGTGCCTGTGGTGAATGCTAATTAACTCAGATGACTTTTTTTTTCTAAAGGCTTTCAAAAATTGGGCTATGGTAATAGCACCACCCTATAACTGACTGCAATTTCCCATCTGTGGACTCTCGCACAAGCTGCAGAATTCCAGGAGCTCCGTCTGTCAGCTCATTGGGTTATTTTAAAACAAACTTGGACCCTGAATACTTGTTCTGAGGCATTATCAAAGCGGGGGGGAAAAAAGCATGGCGAAGTGGGAGGGGTAAAGGGGCTTGAATTGGGTGAATTTCTCATTTTGGCAGATGAGAGGGAACTTTTTTGGTTTTCTTTTAATTCAGAAACTCTAGTGCAAAACTTCTTGCCTTTTTAGCCAAAGCCTCTTGGAATTTATTTAACTTCGTGGCTGTAATTGGTTGGGTTAATCTGAGGCTCTGGACAGAGAAACCAGGCACAGCTGAGGGTGGGGGTAGCCACCATCCTTAAAGGAGAGAGCATGGGTGGGCGCAGTGGCTCATGCCTGTAATCCCAGCACTTTGAGATGCCAAGGCAGGAGGATCACTTGAGCTCTTGAGTTCAAGACCAACAACATAGTGAAACCTCATCTCTACAAAATTAAAGTTTTTGAAATTTAAAAAAAAAAAAAAAAAAAAGCTTAGAGCCTAAGTGAGTATCTGCGTTCTGAAAGATTTCCCTCCTCCCAACCCTTATTGATTCTCAAAATGCTGGCTGCCAACTTAAAATTCCTCATATTCACCAAGTAGAAAACTGGAGGATTTCTTTCTGAAGAAACTGTCAAACTCAGGAGAAAAAGCCTTGCAGATGTGGATATTTGGGGCCTCCTCAGTAAACATGGCATATCCCTGAGCAGTCCTCCTACAGCAAGACCCACCACTTGACAAGCCTCAGAGGATCTAAGTGCCCAGAATATCTGCTGCCTTACTCTGAAGCAGAATAGGAAAAGAGGACCACTGGGCATTTGAGAAAAGCTGCTTCCACGAAACAGCAAGTCAAAAACAAACTGATAAAAAGGGAACTTAGCGGAAATAGAGACAATGCAATCAAAGGCAGATGTTTTTCAAAGCACTATAATCAATATACTTGACAAGGAAGGATATTAAATCCATGGTATAATAATAGATGATCCATTAAAAAGGACAATTCAAGAATAAAAATTAGAATTATAAAATATAAAAATATGATTGCAGAATTTTTTAATCAGAAGAATGGAAGATACAAATGAAAAAATCTCCCAGAAAAGTGGACAAAAAAGATGATTTTTTAAAAAAAGAAAAAAAATAAGAAAACTAAGGACTCTTTCAGGAAACCTTGTATCTATTAAGAGTCACAGGCCAGGCTGGGCACAGTGGCTCACACCTGTAATCCCAACACTTTGGGAGGCCAAGGCAAGTGGATCGCCTGAGGTCAGGAGTTCGAGACCAGCCTGGCCAACATGGTGAAACGCTGTCTCTGCTAAAAATACAAAAATTAGCTGGGCGTGGTGGTGCACACCTATAAGGCAGAGGCTGCAGTGAGCGAGATTGCGCCATTGCACTCTAGCCTGAGCGACAAGAGCTAAACTCCGTCCCCAAAAAAAAAAAAAAAAGTCACAGGCCAGGTGTGGTGGCTCATGTCTGTAATCCCAGTAATCTGAGCACTTGGGAGGCCAAGGGGGTGGATCACTTGAGGTCAGGAACTCAAGACCAGCCTGGCCAACATGGTAAAACCCTGTCTCTACTGAAAATACAAAAAGTAGCTGGGTGTGGTGGTGCACGCCTGTAATCTCAGCTTCTCAGGTGGCTGAGGCACAAGAATCACTTGAACCTGGGAGGTAGAGGTTGCAGTGAGCCAAGATGGAGCCACTGCACTCCAGTCTGAGCGACACAGTGAGACTGTCTTTAAAAAAAAAAAAAAAAAAAAAAAAAAAAAAGGCCAGGCATGGTGGCTTACACCTGTAATCCCAGCACTTTGGGAGGCCGAGGCAGGTGGATCACCAGAGGTCAGGAGTTCGAGACCAGCCTGACCAACATGGTGAAACCCCGTCTCTACTAAATACAAAAAATTAGCCAGGCTTGGTGACTCATGTCTCTAATCCCAGCTACTCGGGAGGCTGAGGCAGGAGAATCCCTTGAACCCAGGATGCAGAGGTTGCATTGAGCCAAGATTGCGCCACCGTACTCCAGCCTGGGCAACAAGAGTGAAACTCTGTTTCATAAAAAAAAAAAAAAAAAAAAAAACAAGTCATAGACAGAGAAAACTAAAAACAGAGGTAAGAAAATTAACACATTTTTAAAAATAAAAATAATGGCTGGACATGGTGGCTCATGCCTGTAATCCCAGCACTTTGAGAAGCCGAGGTGGGCAGATCACTTGAGGTCAGGAGTTTGAGACCAGCCTGGCCAACATGGCGAAACCCCATCTCTATTAAAAATACAAAAGTTAGCCAGGCATGGTGGCCCGGGCCTGTAATCCCAGCTACTCAGGAGGCTGAGGCCCTAGAATCACTTGAACACTGGAGGCAGAGGTTGCAGTGAGCTGATTGCACAACTGCACTCCATCCTGGCCAGCAGAGTGAGACTCTGTCTCACAAAAAAAAAAAAAAAAAAAGACACTTTACTGAGTTTATTTTAATCTTCTAAATTGTAATGTACATTTTTATGTAAAGCTTTATAAGATAACCATCTTGTTCTGTGAATGCCTCCTAGTCAGAAATAGGGAACACAATTTGCATAACACCTAGGAGAGACATTCCACCCTAAATCTCAAGGAGGTTGCTTATTAATCCTGAAATTAGTTCTCTTTCTGATTTTTTCATGTTATTTACCCTCCTGGATATCTTTGAGATCCTTTCCTTCCCTCCCCTAAAGCCCTCTCCTTCAGTTTTGAATTTGATTGCAAGATCCTTAACAATAATAGCAAACTCAGGCCGGGTGTGGTGGCTCATGCCTGTAATCCCAGCACTTTGGGAGGCCGAGGCAGGCGGATCACGAGGTCAGGAAATCGAG
Organism: Homo sapiens; assembly: GCF_000001405.40. Taxonomy (NCBI): domain Eukaryota; kingdom Metazoa; phylum Chordata; class Mammalia; order Primates; family Hominidae; genus Homo; species Homo sapiens. The sequence continues at coordinate 107,207,210 of NC_000006.12, read as the reverse complement.
ACCATCCTGGCTAACATGGTGAAACCCCGTCTCTAGTAAAAATACAAAAAATTAGTCGGGCACAGTGGCGGGCGCCTGTAGTCCCAGCTACTCGGGAGGCTAAGGCAGGAGAATCACTTGAACCCAGGAAGCGGAGGTTGCAGTCAGCTGAGATCGCGCCACTGCACTCGAGCCTGGGCGATAGAACAAGACTCCGTCTAAAAAAAAAAAAAAACAATAATAGCAAATTCATCTTTGAATTACCCATACTACCTGCCACAGTGGCTTACTTGGAGTAATTACCAAATTAATATTTGTCAAAAAGTGAGTGTGGTGTGGTCTTGCAGGTTGAGACTGTTTGGTGGCAGCCCGGTTTTGTTAGAGTTAAGTTGGTATAACAGAAATGGCCCACAGAGGACCAGGATTTGGAAGGTCAGATCAAGATTGTCCAGCCCTTATGAGCTGCATGCAGCCCAGAACAGTTTTGAAAGTGGCCCAACACAAATTCATAAACTTTCTTCAAACATTATGAAGGTTTTTTTGCAATTTTTTTTTTTTAGCTCATCAGCTACCATTAGTGTTCATGTGTTTTATGTGTGGCCCAAGACAATTCTTCTTCCAGTGTGGTCCAGGGAAGCAAAAAGATTGGACACTCCTGGTCTAGATTCTAATTTGGACTCTGCTAGCATCTAAGTAAACTTAATCACATTCTCTCATATCCCCATTATTCTTTTCTGTAAAATGATGGCATTAAACTAGATCTTTTCCAAAGTCCCTTTCAGCTCTAAAATAAATCCAAGAACTAGTTCTCTTAGACAAGAGATGCATTATAAGAAAAATATTTATCTCTATTAGAAACAGGCCGGGCATGGTGGCTCACACCTGTAATCCCAGCACTTTGGGAGGCCGAGGTGGGCGGATCACTTGAGGTCAGCAGTTCCAGACCAGCCTGTCCAACATGGTGAAACCCGGTCTGTACTAAAAATACAAAAATTAGCTGGGCGTGGTGGCGCATGCCTGTAATCCCAGCTACTCGGGAGGCTGAGACAGGAGAATCACTTGAGCCCAGGAGGCAGAGGTTGCAGTGAGCCAAGATCGCACCAGTGCACTCCAGCCTGGGTGACAGACTGAGATTCTGTCCCCCGCAAAAAAAGAAACTTTTACAAGTTTTAACACTGAGAAACAGAAAAATCTTGCTGTCAATGATGGAAGTCACCTGTGATTTCTTATTACCACATTTAAAATTACTTCTTTACTCTGCCCAGGCAGGTTTGTGTCTCATCTACTGTTTTGATTTCCTGCTTGGAAAGACTGAGAATTATTGACTAGACAAGGAAGCCAGGAGGTGACATACTCTCGATACCCGTTCAGCACCATTGTGAAGCTAGGAGCAAGAGCACCCCTGGGATTTTCCTTATCAGGCTGTGCCACCTCTTCTCCAGCAGCTCCTTTCTCCTGAAAAATCTTAGGATTAGGTAGCCCTCTTCCATCACAACTATAGGCCTATGGATGCATGTGCATGTTGACACACACGCACACAACCACACTCTTTCACAAAAGGCAGTTAAGACCGGAAACAGCTGAAAAACATTTGCTGAGCATTTTCTCCATACTAAATTCTACAGATCTCTCCCTGCCTTAATTTTAAATTTAAATTTGTAGCTGCTGAGAAATAATGATCAGGAAAAAATACTGTTAGTGAATGGGTTATTCACCCTGGGGAGGTGAAGTCATTACTCAGTTATCATTTTGATTCCTAATAAAAGAAAGTAGAATCCTTCAGAGCACCACAGAGCTCTGACTCTCTCAGGGAGTCCAGGGGCTATTGCAGGTCAGCAAGCTTTATTTTTAATGATCCTTCTAGTTTTCTGCTGCCACTATAAGTCACCTGAAGAAATAAGAATTATGGTTAGATTTTCTTGGCTATTCCTAATAGTACTGAAATGTCACTTGGGCTTGTGACATTCTGACACTGTCATGAAATACCTTAAGTGTACTACAAATTACCATTGCTAAGCTGTAACTCGCTTGTCCCTAGATAGCTTACTATTGCTCCTTATTCAGAAAGTAAAACAAAGACTGCTAGGCAAGACTGGTGTGCGTGAAAATAACACATGCCTATTCTTAAACAAAAGAGAAAATGCACATGCAGATTCCTCATTAATAACACATGTGATACTCTTCTAGTTCTTTAAGACATTTTTAGTGGTTTCAAAAGGAATAATATTAATATCATCCTCTATCATAGAAGGTATACAATGTAGGCATTTGAAAGAACTATATGCATGACCACAAAGACTATGAAATGGCTCTAGATATCTCCTAAATTAAAATATTTCTTAAGGCTTTCTGTTGCACTTAAGGAAACAAAGTGCTTGACTACAGGAGATACAGAAATAAGTTGCCTAAAGGTTGTCTATGGCCCAGTAGAGAGGAGATAAGATAAATACATAAATATAGAAACATAAGGAATACTGTGATTCATGCCACTTGGGGAGCATAGAGGAAAGACAATTGATGTTCAGTTGGAAAAGTCAAGAAAGAGGTTTATGAAGTCGGTATTAATAATATGTGAGATAGTCCTTAAAGAAGATTGGATAGCAAAGATGAGAATGGGGGCTTCCTAGGCAAAGGAAACCATGAAAAAGTGATACAGGTGCAGGCATGCAATGTTGTCAAATTAAAAAAAAGTGTCTTAATTTGGGTGGAATGTGAAAAACATAGGGTAGTATCAGGGACAGATGAAGAATTGCTCTGAAATAGTAATAACTATATTTAAAAGACTGGTTTATGTAAAAATATGTACATGAATGTTCAGATCAGCAATATTCACAATATCCAAAAGGTAGAAATAGCCCAGTGTCTATCAACTGATAAATGGAGAAGCAAAATGTGGTATATCCATACAATGGAATATTACTCAGCCATGGAAAGGAATGAGGTATTGATACATGCTGCAACATGTATGGGCCTTTAAAACATTATATTATAAGCAGTGCGCGGTGGCTTATGCCTGTAATCCCAGCACTTTGGGAAGCCGAGGGGGGCGGATCACGAGGTCAGGAGATCGAGACCATCCTGGCCAACATGGTGAAACCCCATCTCTACTAAAAATACAGAAATTTGCCGGGTGTGGTAATAGGCACCCGTAGTCCCAGCTACTTGGGAGGCTGAGGCAGGAGAATCACTTGAACCCGGGAGGCGGAGGTTGCAGTGAGCCTCGATCATGCTACTGCACTCCAGCGTGGGGACAGAGTGAGACTCTGTCTCAAAAAAAAAAAAAATTATAATAAGTGAAAGAAGCCAGATGCAAAAGGCCACATATCATATGATTCCATTTATGTGAAACATCCAGAGTAGACAAATCATAGAGACAGAAAAAAGACTGGTGGTTGCCCAGGGTTGGGGAGAGGCGAAGCGGGAGAGACTGTTTAATGGGTACAGGTCTCCTTCTGGGGTAATAAAAATGTTCGGCACTTGTTAGTGGTGATGATTGCATAACATTGTGAATGTACTAAATGCCACTGAATTATACTGTTTTAAATGATTAAAATGATTAATTTTATGTTATGTAAATTTTACCTAAATTTTTAAAAGACTTTGGGATGTTTGCCTATGGCAAACCAACTTGATGAAGAAGTCATGAAGCAGACATTGAAAGTTTTTGAGCCTGATATGATCAAGGTCTGAGCTGCGAGGGAGGTAAATCTGGCTATATTATATACGATGAAAGGAACAAAGAGATACTAAAAGCAAGGAGATCAATTAAGAAGTTTTTGGAAACCCATTGATAAGCACAAGAGAAAAGCCCAATCAGAGTGTTGGCAATGAGAATGGGAAGATAAGGAGGTTAAGCGTAAAACTCATTTCAGAGAAAATATATGGGACTAGAAAACTGATCTGATAGGGAGAGGCTGACAGGTGTGGACTGGGGAGTGGCACTCAGAGGCTAAAACAAGGATTTTGGACTAGGATAACAGAAAAAATTAAGCCATTAATAGAAATAGGAAAGTTAAGTGGAAAGACTGGTTTAACTTAGGTTCTTGACATGGTGAGTTTGAAGTACTCCATCAAGGTTGATGGCCGTTGCCTTGGGAACTTGCTGCTGGAGGAAGCAACTAAATTCTACTATTAGCCTGATTTCCTTAATCATGGCCTTTCTGAGACCTGAGTCGATTTTTTTTCCTGGTCACACTGTGCAATTTAAAATTTCATGTTTCTTCCAGATTCCAAGAGAGCAGCATAGCAAGAAAAACAGGTTACAAAGAAATAACAAGACCTCTGAGCAGAGAGAGATTTGTTATGTAGATAATACAAGTAGTATCTCCTCGCCTTACTCTAGTATATCTAGTATCTCCTTGCCTCTCTCCTTTCTAAAATTGGACACCATAGCCTTCTACATCTGCTGTTGCTTCTTTTTCTCCAGTGAACCAAAGGAACAGAATATGAGAAAATTAATTCCTTAGACATCCACGCTTGCCTCTAAAAGTCGATTAGCTTTCCCAGTTGAAAGAGATGGTAAAATCAGGTACCCAAGCAAAGCAGTCCAGGTGTGAATGGTGTTAACTTCCTTGCACATGCCTTCTGCGCTCTCTTATTCATAGAGAATGACCAAGATAGCAGAGAAAAGGCCTGCCCTGTTCCTTTATATTCTGCTATCTTTCCAGCTCTGTAACTAGAAAGCCGAGCAACACAAGGCCTGCTTCTACCAAACCAATACTCAGTGGGCTGCTCTAACTTCCGGGCTAGCAGATGTAGTAGATTTCTGATTTGTGACCCTTCTTTCTGTTATCCCCATACACTACACACTGTTTTGTTTTGTTTTGTTTTGTTTTGTTTGTTTTTTTTTTGCAGAGATGGCCAGCCTGAACTGTATTTTAAATAGCATTATAGGGCTGGGTGCAGTGGCTCATGCCTGTAATCCCAGCACTTTGGGAGGCCAAGGCGGGAGGATTGCTTGAGGCCAGGAGTTCAAGACCAGCTAGGCAACATAGCAAGATCCCATCTCTACTAAAAACTTTTAAAAGTAGCCAGGTGTGGTGGTGTGTACCTGTAATCCCAGCTATTCAGGAGGCTGAGGCTAGAGAATCTCTTGAGTCCAGGAGGTCAAGGCTACAGTGAACCATGATTGTGCCACTGCACTCTAGCCTGGGCAACAGAGGGAGACCCTGTCAGACAAACAAATAAGTAATTAACTATTATAGTAAATGTCAGTGTTCTTAGGGACAAATGCTGAAGTATCTAGGGGTGAGCATCCTTATGTCTAAAACTTACTCTCAAATAATAAATGGTCATGGAGAGAAAGGGGGAAAACAGAAGTGGTAAGGTGTTAGCAACTGTTGAATCTAAGTGGAGGGAAAATGAGTGTTCATTGTATTCTTTCAACTAAAAAGTTTGCGGGGGAAGGTAGTTTTCCTTGAAGATTTAAAAAGGAAATCTTTAAAAATGGCAGTTATTCTAAAATATAGCCTGTAACATTTGGGAAGAATAACCTGATAAGTAGAGATGATTAGTCTCTAGCAATTTCTGGACTCCCTGCTGTGGAATATTAGTTTTCTGCTTTTAGAAAAAGGTGTCCCCATATCCAGCTTTCAACTCCAGATAACAGTAGTTGGAAATTGGAAACAGTTCATTTATGTCATCCAATCCTTCTTTGTTACCTGACTTATAAAAAAACGTTTGTTTCTTAAAGTAAAAGACCACATTGTACATCCATTACTTACCAACAGGGAATCTGTCTGCCTTTAGTCTACAGAGACTGGTATATAAACCTTTGGAATTAATTCCTTTGTGCATCCTCTCAATCAGAGTGCTGGCTTTTTTTTTTTTTTTTTTTTTTTTGCTTTTGTATGGAATATTGTTTTACAGTGTTCACTATAGCTGTCCGAGGAGGCCTCCAGTGTCATGAGCACAGGCACACTATCTTGTCTATTTTCACATTTTTAAAAGATAAAACAAGGTTCAAACCACACATTCTCTGTGAACTGCTAAAGATTTGGAAAAAATTACTTTCTTTTCTCTTGACCTGGATTGACAAGAAGCACACCTACAGGAGGCAAAAAGATGAGTGAATCCCTTTTAAAGACCCTAGTAATGAAGCCCTCAGGGAATTGCTGTGTATGGTAGAATTTACAGCGGCTTCTGGGGACGAACAGTGTGGCAGGAAGAGGTTCAGGACTGCTGGCTGTTGAAATATAGATTCCATTTATTTTATATCAGCCTATTTTGGGCCCCTGTGAGAAAGTTATTTTAATAATATCTTGCTCTGGCTGGCCGCAGTGACTCATGCCTGTAATCCCAACGCTTTGGGAGGCTGAGGTGGGCGGATCACCTGAGGACAGGAGTTTGAGACTACCTGGCTAACACGACAAAACCCCGTTATACTAAAAATACAAAAATTATCCAGGCATGGTGGTGGGCACCTATAATCCCAGCTACTAGGGAGGCTGAGGTAGGAGAATCGCCTGAACCTGAGAGGTGGAGGTTGCAGTGAGCCGAAATCACGCTATTCCACTCCAGCCTGGGGAACAGAGTGAGACTCCATCTCAATAATAATAATAATAATATCTTGCTCTGCTAGAAATACACATGATAAGTGGCAGGTGTCAGAACAAAAAGGGAAAAGTTGCAGTCCATTCTCCTCGAGACTTATGGAGTTTACATAGTTGTTCTCTTTCAGCCTTTGAAGTAAACCCTGATGCACATAGAAGCACAAATTAAAAAAGACATTAGACATAGGCCAGACCAATGATCCTCAAACAAATCAGAATCACAGGGGTAGGCTATGGAGAATCTGCATTTTTCGCAAGCTACCCAGGTGATTCCAATACATCCAGCCCAGCATTTGTGAGAGCCCAGCATCTGGGAACTTCTGGTCTGGTCTGGTGTTCTACAGATCAAGAAATGAAGGCCTATACAAAAATGTAAAAATTATTCAAGTTATTAACCAATGAAGGACTAGAAACCATATTTTCTGGCTCCCAACATATCCATCTTCCCAGGTCACAATGCCTCTTGAAGTGTTCACAATTAAGATCTTAGGCCTTTTGCTGTAATCAGTAGACAAGGCCTTTAATCCCTGAAATTTTGAGGTGTATGTCTTGAAATCTCTCTGGAGATCTGTTAACTTCCATTCTAAGGTCTTTTCCTTTAGACGCACTGCTTTTAAGGTTGAAGCACTTAATTACACTAATTCTTCTCTGTCCTAGCCTTTTGTTGGTTAATTTTCATGAAATCATTGAATTTGTTTTCTACAGATGGAAGCTTAGGTTCCCTTCTTTAGTGTATTTATAAATAGAAGGTGGGTGAGAAAATGAAAATATGCCATTGTTCTATATGGGTAAAAATTACATGTAAGGCATCAGCTAAGGGCTCTACATTACCTGCATACTAGCTCACAAACAAAAACATCCAGCTTTCCTAGAACTAGGAGTGAGTAAAATTCGTTTTTCCTGTACATTCCCTGAATAAGTAGTACATAACCAATACATATAAAGAAAAAGCTTCATCCATTTATTCATTCACTCAGACACTGATCTCAACTTGGGATACAGTTGTGAGCAAGAGAAAATTTCCTTGCTTTCATGGAGCTTGGGAGATTGTAGACGAAGCATATCTAAAACAGTATTGTGTAGGTAGGTGCAGTGGCCCATGCCTGTAATCCCAGCAGTTTGGGAGGCCAAGGCAGGAGGATCAGTTGCATCCAGGAGTTCGAGACCAGCCTGAGCAACATAGTGAGACCCCATCTCTATAAAAAATTAAAAATTAACCAGGCATGGTGGTACATACCTGTAGCCCCAGCTACTCAGGAGGCTGAGGCAGGAGGATCACTTGAACCTGAGAGGTTGAGGCTGCCGTGAACTGTGATTACAGCACTGCACTCAGCCTGGGTGACAGACAGAGTAAGACCCTGTTTAATCAACCAATCAAACAGTCAGTCAATCACAATACTTTGTAACCTCCTAGAATATAAATTCCAAGAGGTCACACATTTTGATCTGTTCTGTTCATGCCTGTGTCTGTAGTGCCTAAGCAGTGTCTGACTCATAGTAGGTGCTGAATGAGTATTTGTTAAATGAATGAGCAACCAAGAGGTGTAATAGAAACTATCGCTTCTCCCAAATTAACTATCTTACAAAAAGAATAAGGATAGTATTTAATGAGAAATATCATTTATGTAGGAATCTAAATCATTTATTTGTATCTAACTTGACATATTTTTATTTATTTATTTTTTGAGACAGGGTCTCATTCTGTCACCCAGGCTGGAATGCAGTGGTGCAATCACAGCTCACTGCAGCCTTGACCTCCTGGACTTAATCAATTTGCCCACCTCAGCCTCCTAAGTAGCTGGGATTACAGGTGCGCGCCACCATGCCTGGCTGATTTTTGCTGTGTTGTTGTTGTTGTTGTTGTTGTTGTTGTTGTTGTTATTGTTTGTAGAGACAGGTTTCTCACCATGTTGCCCAAGCTGATCTCAAACTCTTGTGCTCATGTGATCTGCCCGCCTTGGTCTCCCAAAGTGTTGGAATTACCGGCATGAGCCACCGTGCCTGGTCAGTATATTTTTAAAAGCTCTAAAGCTTTTTGTGAGAAAACACCATATCAGAATGTCTGTTGTCAGGTATGTTTGGCATATTTAGATATTATACCCATGTATCAGCTGGAAACATATATGTATTATATACCTATAGAAGTTTAAATATTTACCAGAGTTTTTTCCTAAAATAAATGATACTTTTATGTACAAGCTAAAGTGATCAAGAGTAAAATGATTTCATAGAGCTAGAACATTTATTGTGACAAAATGAAAAGGATATTCGGGTGAGCCACATATCAATAGTTGCATGTTCAGATTATAATGGCTGTGGTAACGGTGTTGTCATTTTATGTAGGCTTCTACTCTCTCAGCTTTCAAAACATTATAGAGCTGATGTTGAGCAGATCTAGATTATATCCATGGAATTTCTCTGCCGTCATCCCCAACAATGTGTCCCTACTGGGTGACAGGGTAGTGGCCAAGCTAAGAAGACAAAGTAAAGTGAGAGAGTTTGAGGTTTGCAAATAAGTTGTGATTAAGCACAGGTAATTCAAAGTACTAGAATTTTCCAAGATGATTAGTCTATAAACAAAGTATGGGATGGGAAAAATGGTTTTACAGGAATTTGTGATAGGGCTATTCTAGATGTCCTTATCAGTAAAGAATATTATATTCACTCTTCTTACCTGTTGAATTTTTTTGAGACAGAGTGGGAGGTGGCTCAATGCAGCCAAAAGGAAAATTCCACCCCTAAGTCATTGTCAGTCATAGTTTCTCCATGGTTTGCCTTTCAGTCTTCAAGTACAGAAGTTCAACTTTCTAACTTTCAACAAATGCTACTTTCAACACTCTTAAGCACCGCATGATAAGCACTGAACGATGAGAATATTGAGAGAGCATGAAGAGGAGATGGTTAGAAGAGAGGCAACATTGACAGTGAGGAAATGACAGATGTGCTCAGTGTTGAGCTGTTTGACCTCAGGAACAATTCTCTAGGACTCCCAGTTTGTGCTTCTGTGAGTGGAAGAAAACACACTCAAAAGTGTTTGATACAGTCTCTCAAAAATAGTCAACACAGGACACTTCTATGACCCAACATGCAAGGATTTCTCCCCATCAACAAGCAAGCAATCACTTCAGCAAGCTGACACCAGCTGAGTGTCTCTAACTTACTTCTATTTTGACACTTCTTTTTTTTTTTTTTTTTTTTTTGAGATGGGGGTCTCACTTTGTTGCCTAGGCTGGAGTGAAGTGATATTCACAGGCACAATCATAGCTCACTGCAGCCTCAAACTCCTGACCGTAAGCTATCTTCTCACTTCAACCTCCCAAGTAGCTGGGACAACAGGCACGTACCATATTTTGACACGATCTACCTGGAGATAGTGTCAGATCCTATAGGTTGAGGGCTCAAGACTGCACCCCCCCCTTACCCCACCCCCACCTTCAGATGCCAGTCACAAGCTCCAGGTTACCTGTGCTTCTGATTGACCTGCTATAAAGTGGGGCTCCCACGACCACTTCCTTGGGTTCAGTTAATTTGCTAGAGCAGCTCCCAGAACTCAGGGAAACACTTACTTTCTTTTTCACAGCTATGTGAATTTTGGAACAGAAACACTTATACTTACCAATTTATTTAAAGAATATTACAAAGAACACAGATGAGAAGATGCATAAGTTAAGACAAGTGGGAAGGGGCGTGGAGTTTTCCATTTCCTCTCCAGTGTACCACCATATAGAAACCTCCATGTGTTCAGCTCCCCAGAAGTTCTCCAAATTCTGTGTTTTTATGGAACAAATTTTTGGGTTTTTATGGAAGCTTCATTACATAGGTATGATTGATTAAGCCATTGGCCATTGGTGATCAAGTTAACCTTCAGCCCCTCTCCCCTCCCCAGAAATTTGGGGGTGGGCTGAAAGCCCTAACCTTCTAATCCTGTCTTGGTCTTTGCCATGACCAGTCCCCATCCTGAAGTCAGGAGTTGCCAGCCATCAGTCAGCTCGTTAACATACAAAAAGGCATCACTTGGTGAGTTTCTGAAGATTTTAGGAGTTGTATGCCAGAAAACTGGACTATGACCAAATATATATTTCAGAATATCCTAGTGTCATTTGAAAAGTGCTGCACTTGAGCAATTCATAGTAGTCAGCAAAAGACAAGGAAAAGGATGGAGAGTGGAAAAAGTGGAAAACTTGTGACCACAGGATCAGCCTCAATGTCAGATGTCCATTAACCTAAATGAATTCAAGAGTCAGCTGCGAGTTTGAGAACTGAAAGACTAAGCATGTTGGGAAAGTGCTGCTGATGAAATTTTGGTCACAGGCCATCTGTGGATTATTCGTAAGATCAAGGCCAGTCCATATTTGGACAATATCAAAGTGAGTAGCTAGGTCATAAGTGAGCAATACAGATGTGTTCAGGGCTTCCCTACCACTTCTGCAGAAGTTACTATGGTGGGATTTTCAGTGTAGACAAAACTATTTTGGGAAAAGATGCCCATAAACAGACAAACGAATAAATATAAAATATCTAAGCATAGAGACTAACAGCTTGGTTTTGAAATTTCTTTAAGAACTCACTCATATTCCTGTTGGTACAATGCATCTCAGTACTAAGTTCAAACTCTTCTTAGTTCTCTGAAAATCCTAGAACACTAAAAAACTTCAAAAAGCAGACTGAAGACCTTACTCTTTTTATAGTAGATTGGTTGCAGAGGCCTTTTGTTTCACTGAAAATATTTAATCACAATTTTAGAGTGGTTTGTGGTGGTGCCAACAACTGTGCATGAACAGTGTTTTATAAGTTTCTTACTATGAAAATAAGAAAAACAAGGGCTGGGCGCAGTGGCTCACGCCTGTAATCCCAACACTTTGGGAGGCTGAGGTGGGTGGATCACATGAGGTCAGGAGTTCAAGACCAGCCTGGCCAACATGGCGATACCTTGTCTCTACTAAAAATACAAAAATTAGCCGGGCGTGGTGGTGGGTGCCTGTAATCCCAGCTACTCAGGAGGCTGAGACAGGAGAATCCCTTGAACCTTGGAGGGGGAGTTTGCAGTGAGCCGAGATACACCACTGCACTCCAGCCTGGACGACAGAGCAAGACTGCATCTCAAAAAAAAAAAAAAAAATGGAGTCATCTTCAGAAAAATTTTTAAAAGATTCTAAAGCAGCAAGAAGGGTCAGGACCATTTTTTTTTTTTTTTTTTTTGAGACAGGATCTCACTCTGTCACCCAGGTTGGAGTGTAGTGGTGCAACTATGGCTCACTACAGCCTCAACCTCCCAGGCTCAGGCAGTCCTCTCACCTCAGCCTCCCAAGTAGCTAGGACTACAGGTGCATACCACCACACCCAGCTAATTTTTTTTATTTTTTGTAGAGATGGAGTCTCACTATGTTGCCACAACTGGTCTTGAACTCACGGGCTCAAACAATCCTCTTGCCTTGGCCTCCCAAGGTGCTGGGATTACACGCATGAGCCACTGTGCCCAGCTTTAGGACCAATATTATAAACTTTTTTTTTCTCTCACGGAAGTAATCTGCCTATGTTAATTACCTGTATAATGTAAATTTGGACTCAGGAACAAAATGGTCTTGAGACCTAACCCGTTTGTAAGTTGGAGGACTCTTGTTCTATGCAGAAGTGGCAGGAGAAATTTTATTCTGAAGTCTGCAAAACACAAACTGACCTGCCAGCAAAAACTAACCCTGGTTGTTATGTTAAGATTTTTTTTTTTTTGAGATGGAGTCTTGCTCTGTCACTCAGGCTGGAGTGCAGTGGCATGATCTCAGCCCACTGCAGTCTCCGCCTCCTGGGTTCAAGCGATTTTCTTGTCTCCTCAGCCTTCTGAGTAGCTGGGATTACAGGCGCCTGCCACCACGCCTGGCTAATTTTTGTATTTTTAATAGAGACGGGGTTTCACCATTTTGGCCAGGCTGTCTCGAACTCCTGACCTCAGGTGATCCGCCTGCCTTGGCCTCCCAAAGTGCTGGGATTACAGGCGTGAGCCACCGCACCCAGCTGAATTTACGGCATTACTAAGAGTGAAACAGCCTGACATTTTGTGCCTCCTGAATTGATGGAGTATGTAATATTTCCACATAAAGTATTTTTGCCAAAAATGTTTAACCTAAATCTTAGCAGCCTTCTCCAGACCCAACTTTCAGTTTACAAGCAAAACAGAAACAAGTTAAATGACGCAATGAAGAAAGAAGAAAAAGGGATTTTATAAAACAGCTATCCTTGTCTTCTCAAAAAGTCAATGGTTTTTATGAAAAGAAGCATGGCTTTTATTTTCATTTTGTTAAAAATTGGGAGAGACTAGTCTAGGCAAAAAAGAAGAAATGATAATAATAAATAAAAGGCAACAAAAGAGGCACAAAAACCAGAATGCAATGTGTGAATCTTGATTAATTCTGGTTTTGGGGAAAAAAGCTATAAAAGATATTCTTGGAACAGTTGAAGAAGTTTGAATATAGGTTTGTGTTAGATGATATGGCATTATTGTGAGTTCATTAATTTTGATTGTGGTCATGGGGTGATGTATGAGATGCTGTATATGTATAAGATACATGCTGAAGCATGTGACATTAAGAGTCGTGACATCCACTCCTGCCAGATCTAGGTAGTGTCTATGCGTGCTCAGTGATCTGTTCGTTTAACTTTTCTATATGCTTGCAATTTACATGGATTATAATATATAGTTCAATATGTATATTAAATAGAGAGAGGGAAAGGGGGACAGAGAAGCTGAGTTCTATTCTTTGAGAAGCAAAAATTATAGAAGCACTAAACTTTTAGAGAAGTAACAAATTAATTTTCCCCTCTTCTTTTGTAGGCTCAAGAAAAAGGAAGATTGGACTATGCTAAGGTAGGCAGATTTTATACATACTGTACTATTTTACACATTTCAATTTGGTGTTTGGCTTTCGTTTATATTTGAAAGGTCAAAAGAGAATGATCACATTGAGAGCTGAAGGACATTTCCTGTTAAGTAACAGGCCAATAGCATGTGGAATAAGGTTCATTCAACAAGAAGTCTATTTATTATTGAGTACCTGTTTCATTCCAGACATTGTATTAGGTATTGAGAATACAACGGTCAACTAGATGAAGTCTTTCCTTTCAGAATATTTACAATTCTAGTGGGGAAAATCAATAACAAAATAAAGGACTAAATAAATAATGTCAAGTGTCAGCAAATGTGATGAGGAAAAATAAACAGTAAAATCACTAGCTATTGTTGAAAGATGCTATGGGGTGTGGATGGAAGACAACCTTTAGGGCCATCAGATAATAAGTAGAAAGCACCTTACAGGATAGACTTGAGCTCTCAAAGGCAGGAGTTCTCACATCACCTGTGGAACTTTTGAAAACACATGTGCCTAGGTACCACTGCATCAGACCCTCTTTCACCAAGATCAGAATCCCCTGATGGAGAGAGCAGTACAGGGGCAGGCTGGAGTGGTTTGAAAATGTCTCCACAGATAATTCTGACACACAGCCCTGGTTAAAAACTGCTGCGGGAGGTCAGATTTCAGTGCATCAGTACAGGCCTAGGAACACACTTGGGTCACGTTCTGTTTTCCCCTCAGGGACAAATGGAACATTTAGCAGGTGTATGGCATGTGTACAGCTGCTTGGCTAAAAGAACATGTCAACCATCTGATTTATGCAACAATCAGGAATATCCAGGATGTGAGCACACCTGCACTCCAAAGACAGGGAGGGAGAAACATGACCCAGAAGGGCTCTGCTTGCCGTGGGACAACCAAAACCCTCAAGGGCCTCTCCAGAGCTGACCTGGAACCTCGCACTCTCCTGGCAGCCTAGTGGGGCACACCCATGGCCCCCACCTTTACTCTTCTTTCCTTGCTGAAAATAAAGTCTCTCTTTTTTTTTTTTAACAATTACAAAATAGATTTACTTTGAACCACTGGTTCTTATACCCAGGAACATATGTCAGAATTACCTATGGAGGTTTTAAAAAATCCGTAAGTCCGGGTCTCCCGCTTGGAGAAGGTTGCAAAGCAGGTCAGGACCTGAGTGTTTCTAAAAAGTTCTTCAGGTAGCTCTGATGTTTCCTTCTGGTTGAATCACTGAATTTAGGTTGACAGGGATACTTTGGTTTTTGGGGTTTGGGGGCCATTTGCGGTAGGGTGTGGGAAGCTTTTCTTACAGATTTACTAGGAGCAGCAAATAACTTGGTCTCTGGCTTTTTTGGAGTCTGTCTCAGGTCTTTTCTCCCCAGTTAAGGATTTTTTTTCCTTCACTGCCTCTTCTTTGATTTTTGACTTTTTCCCTGGGCCTTTCCCTGGGGTCTCAGACTCTGCAGCTTTTGGGGTCTCAGAGGCTGTCAAGTCCTTTCTCTCCCTCCCATGAGGAGTGTTGGGACCGTCTCTCCTTTTATCTGCCTCCTTCAAGAAAAACTAGATAATAGGAGCACCTGTAAACCAAGGGCTTCCATATCTGCCACTCGGTCTTAGATGTGTACTTGAGCCTCATCATATACCCAAACGCAGGCTGTGGACTTACCCTCTTGGGTCTCCCACAGGCATGAGAGCCCAGTGCATCTTAAACTAAACTAAACATCTTTTCTGACATCTCTGGCCTTTCTGTTGCTGTTGTTTAATGACTTTATTTTTTACAGCAGTTTTAGGTTGACAGCAAAAGTGAGTGAAAAGTAGAGTTCCTATAGCCCCTGACCCCAAACACATGCAGCCTCCCTCACCATCAGCATCCCACACCAGAGAAGCACATTGTTACAATTGATGAATCTAAGGCCAGGTGCAGTGGCTCATACCTCTAATCCCAGCATTTTGAGAGGCTGAGGTGGGAGGACCACTTGAGCCCAGAAGTTCAAGACCAGCCTGGATAATATGGTGAAACCCTGTCTGTACAAAACAGTGTAAAAATTAGCTGGGTGTGGTGATGAGCACTTGTAGTTGCAGCTACCTGGGAGGCTGAGATGGGAGGATTGCTTAAGCCTGGGAGCAGAGGTTTCAGTGAGCTGAGATCATGCTGCTGCACTCCAGCCCGGGTGACAGAGTAAGACCCTGTCTCAAAGAAAAAAAAATTGATGAGTCTACATTGGTGCGTCGTTATCACCCAAAGTCCATATATTGCATTAGGAAGGTTGCAGTCCCTGGTGCTGGACCTCTGAGCCTTTTTTCTTATCCTCTCTCCTGTGATTAGCACTGTCATCCCACCAGTCAACCATGTGAGAAACTTACCATGTGAGAAACCACTTCTACTCCCCACCTCTTGTTCCATGACCAAGTCATACCAGTTTTATAGCCTACATTTTCTTGACTCCAACTCCTCCTCTTGGTCTCTCTTCCATTCCTCGTGCTCATAGTCTCTTCATCTGAACACTGAAAAACCTACTGCTCAGTCTCCACTGCCTCTCTTTTGTCCCCACAGATCTTTACCAGCCAGAGTGGCTGTCTAAACCACCAATCTGACCGTTTCTCTCTCCAGCTTAAAACCCTTCATTGCTCTAGGCCGGGCACGGTGGCTCACACCTGTAATCCCAGCACTTTGGGAGGTGGAGGCGGGCGGATCACGAAGTCAGGAGATCGAGACCATCCTGGCTAACACGGTGAAACCCCGTCTCGACTAAAAATACAAAAAATTAGCTGGGCATGGTGGCGGGCGCCTGTAGTCCCAGCTACTTGGGAGGCTGAGGCAGGAGAATGGTGTGAACCCAGGAGGCGGAGCTTGCAGTGAGCCGAGATCACGCCACTGCACTCCAGCCTGGGCGACAGAGCAAGACTCCGTCTCAAAAAAAAACCCCTTCATTGCTCTGTGTTGTCTATCCGGCACATTCGGAGCTTGCTGGGTTGGCATATACGGGGCTGTGTGATCTCTCCCCTAAAGAGACCCTCCAGCTTCATCTCCCATGGTCCTGCAGCAGCACCAAGTTTCATAAAGCATACTGCTTCTGTTCTCTGCGCCTTCACTCATGCTGTCCCCTCTGCTTAGAATGTCCTGCCGTCTTTATCTGGCTCCCTCTGCTCATCCTATGAAGCTTAATTTGGGATTGTCTCCTATAGCAAATCCTCTGTGGTTTCCCAGGCTGGATTAGGTGCTTTCCTCAGTTCCTCAATACACTGTGCATTTCTCAGTCACTGCTCTTACTCTGTTATATTATAATGATCCATTTATGAGACTGATCCTAGACTGTGAGCTCTTGGAGGGCAGAGACAGTTTCTTTTTTCTCTTAGTATATCTGGTACCCAACACAGTACTTGACACTTAGTAAGTGACGAGTGAATGAGCAAGTAAGCGAGTGAACAGAGGCCATGAGTAAGAAAATAGAAAACACACGCAGTAAGTTGGGGAGAAGCAACCTGCTGCAGGAGAAAATCGGGGGATAGGGCATTGGTTCTCAAGGCAGAGAGGAAAGGAAAGCGTTTGACACAGTTTGAGGATATCAGCAGGGTTAAGAAGATTGCTTAGGAAGGTTGTAGTAAACTAGTTTGAAGATAAAGACTGGGATTTTTACTGTGGTAGTGACAGAAAGCTAACATATGAATAAAAAGATAAGGGAAAAGAGTGACAATTGAACATTGATGCTTATTTTGGTTATTTTTGTTTTTTTTTTTTAGAGATAGGGTCTCACTCTGTCACTCAGGCTGGAGTGCAGTGTCACAATCATAGCTTACTGCAGCCTCCCACTCCTGGGCTCAAATGATCCTCTTGCCTCAGACTCCCAGGTAACTAGGACTACAGATATGTGTCACCACACCCGGCTATTTTTTTTTATTTGTTTCTTTCTTTCTTTATTTATTTAATTTTAAGGAACGAGGTCTCGCTGTTACCCAGACTGGTGATGCTTTTTTTATGACTCAAAGAATGCCTCTGGGGTTTCTTATCACAGAAGCACTTGACAATGGAAGAGATTTCCACTGGAAAATGGCAAAGAGAAAAATATGGTGCACAAATAAGAGCACCCCTGGACCAAGCAATGGCTCTGCCACCAACTCAATGCAAAATCTGGTAACAGTCACTGTGTTAGTCTTTTCTTGCCGTGCAATAAAAAATACCTGGCTGGGGCCGGGCACAGTGGCTCACACCTGTAATCGCAGCACTTTGGGAGGCCATGGGGGTGGACCACCTGAGGTTAGGAGTTTGAGACCAGCCTGATCAACATGGTGAAACCCCGTCCCTACTAAAAACACAAAAATTAGCCGGGTGTGGTAGCACGTGCCTGTAATCCTAGCTACTCGGGAGGCTGAGGCAGGAGAATTGCTTGAACCCCAGTGGCACAGGTTGCAGTGAGCCAAGGTCATGTCTTTGCATTCCAGCCTGGACAACAGAGCAAGACTCTGTCTAAAAAAATAAAAAGAAAAAAAATATATGTCTGGGTATAGTGGCCAACACTTTGGGAAGCCAAGGCAGGAGCACTTGAGCTCAGGAGTTCGAGACCAGCCTGGGTAATATGGCAAAATCCTGTCTCTAAAAAAAATACAAAAATTAGCCAGATATGTTGGTGCACACTCATACTCCCAGCTACTCAGGAGGCTGAGGTGGGAGGATTGCTTGAGCCTGAGAGGCAGAGGTTGCAGTCAGCTGAGATTGTGTCACTGCACTCCGTGCTAAAAATATTAAAAAATAGCTAGGTATGGTGGTGCACACCTATAGTCCTGGCTACTCAGGAGCCTGAGGTAGAGGATCACCTGACCCCAGGAAGTTGAGGCTGCAGTGAGTTGTGATCACGCCACTGTACACCAGCCTGGGCAACGGGAGTGAGAGTGAGACCCTGTCTCAAAAAAAATGAAAAAGAAAAGAGGTTTAATTGGCTTATGGTTCTGCAGGTATACGAGAAGCATAGTGCTGACATCTACTTCTGGTTAGGCTTCTGGTGAGCTTAGAATCATGGCACATGGCAAAGGGTATTGGGCATGTCACCTAGCAAGAGAGGGGAGGTGCCACACACTTTTAAACAACCAGATCATGCATGAGCTCACTGAGTGAGAACTCACTCGTCACCAAGGGCATGGCACTAAGCCATTCATGAGGGATCAGACCCCCTGACCCAAACACCTCCCGCTAGGCCCACCTCCAACAATGGAGGCCACTTTTCAACATGAGATTTGGAGGGGATAAAACATCCAAACCAAATTGTTCACTTAATCTCTTTGGTCTTTTCTTAGTTTCCTCAGTGCAGAACGAGCAGTTTAGAGTAGTGCTGTTCTATTCCCTAGGCCCATTCTAAATCTGGGAGGAGACATTCTTATCCTGAGGTCCAGACACACTCCTTCACCCAACCGACATTTATTTATTTTTAAATTTAAATTTTTTTTTTTTTTGAGACAGGGTCTCACTCTGTCACCCAAATTGGAGTGCAGTGGCACAACCTTAGCTCACTGAAACTTCCGCTTCCTGGGGTCAAGTGATTCTCCAGCCTCAGCCTCCCAAGTAGCTGGAACTACAAGTGCAAGCCACCAATGCGCAGCTAATTTTTGTATTTTTTGTAGAGATGGGGTTTTACCACATTGCTCAGGCTGGTCTCGAACTCCTGAACTCAAAGCGATCTGCCCGCCTCAGCCTCCCAGAGTGCTGGGATTCCAGGCATGAGCTACCTCACCCAGCCTTTATTTGATGTTAATATATTGGAGGCACTATGCTAGTGCCAAGACAACCATCATGAACACGACTGCCAGGGTTTGCCATCACAAGCTCCCTTGACTCCAGCTTCCCTATCTAAAGTAGCCACTCCACCTTTGCTCTGTTTTTTTCTCCTTAACATTTATCATAACATAAAATTATCAGTTTGTATTTAAGTGCATGTTTATTTCTTCTTCCACTAGCATGTAAAAGATCTAACGGCAGGTGCTTCGGTGGCCTTGCTCATGGTTGCATCACCCTCCCTAGCACAGGCTTACATAGGAGTGCTTGACAAACATGTGTGCATGAGTATTACATTCGTGTTATGTTAGGAGACGTACAGGAGGTTAGGAGAGGTCTGGGATCGAGGACCGTAGACTCAAATTAGTCATTTTAAGAGGTTTTTTTTTTTTTTTGAGATGGAGTTTCACTCTTGTTGCCCAGGCTGGAGTGCAATGGCACAATCTCGGCTCACTGCAACCTCTGCCTCCTGGGTTCAAGCAATCTCCTACCTCAGCCTCCTGAGTAGCTGGGATTATAGGCATGCGCCACCACACCCAGCTAATTTTTGTATTTTTAGTAGAGATGGGGTTTCTCCATGTTGGTCAGGCTGGTCTCAAACTCCCGACCTCAGGTGATCTGCCCACCTCGGCCTCCCAAAGTGTTGGAATTACAGGCGTGAGCCACCACACCGGGCCTTAAGAGTATATTGACTGTGTAATACATTCCATCCCAAAGTTGCCTAAGGTTGTCTTTTCAAGTGCCCAGTAATAGTATTTCTCATGCCAGTAAATAGAAACCCACCCCTCCTTGAATATGTAGTGCTATTCTGATATTTAAAGACATAACTCGATTTAGGTAGTTAATCCAGACCTGTCAGCCTTAAACAGACTTAAATCCAAGTAACATAGAGAAGAAAGATTATATCTTTCTCTACTAAGTCTTGGGGAGATGTCTGCAGTATTATGCCTTATGCAGTATGTTATGGACTCTTGGCAATGCATCTCATGACCTAAAGTCTACTCCTCCCTGCTTTGTGTGCTCTGCTTTTTGTGGTCATGATGTTCAGGCTAATATAGGCATCACACTTAGTGGCTTAGGGTTCCCCTGGTAGGAGTTATTTGTAAAATAGTATTTGAAAAACTCAGCAGCCATTTCAGGAGACTATTGTGAAATTCATTTATTGCTGGAAATTTCTTTATTTCCAAGTGATAGGTATTTGTAAACTCAAAAGCCAAATTTTGTCTGAAAAGTCAGATATCAAGAAAGTGTGCAGCCATAAAAAGGCATGAGATCATGTCCTTTGCAGGGATACGGATGAAGCTAGAAGCCATCATTCTCAGCAAACTAACACAGGAACAGAAAACCAAACACCGCATGTTCTCACTCATAAGTGGGAGTTGAACAATGAGAACACATGGACACAGGGAGGGGAACAACACACACCAGGGCCTGTTGGGGGGTAGGGGGGCGCGAAAGGAGGGAACTTAGAGAGCGGGTCAATAGGTGCACAAACCACCATGGCACATGTATACCTGTGTAACAAACCTGCACGTTCTGCACATGTATCCCAGAACTTAAAATAATAAAGAGTAAAAAAAAAACTATATAATTATTTCAGTCATGCACTCTGTGGCTTTATGGCCCATCACTCAATTTTGTCGGTTTCAGATGGTGAGGTAGTAGGGGAGAGTGTGGAAGAGGTGATCATTTTAAAATCATTCTCAACTGGACCTTCAACATGTGTGTCTCATTCAGCAAAATAGTGGTCTGTACACAGACACTCAGCTAGAAATTGAATTACTTTTTAATTGAGTTCCTGTTGTGATAGAGCCTGGATATGAATGCTTTACACTGCTGTAGTACCTTTCATCCTAAGATATCAAAGCACTTGACAACTATTAATTCATTACATCTCTCCCTGTCTCTTAAAGTAGTTAACACAGCACTGGAAGTCACTCTCCTCATTGCTGAAACTCACTCACCTGGGCAGTGGGCAAAGATGGAAGCTGTTTAACTGTGTAAGGCAATCCTACCTTAGTCGCTTTTAAGATGGAAAAACAAGGAATATCTTACCTAGTTAAAACTGCAGAAGTTGTATTAGATGGAATGTAATTACCAGAAGTGAAGTGTGACCAGGAAGCTAACACTTTTGCTCCAGTGCACAATGCTGTGGGGATCTTAATTCCAGTGACTGTCCTGCAGCCCTAGGTGCACATCTCAGACTGTTCCAGCTCTTTAGGCTTCTGGCCTCAAGGTTAGGCAGAGCCGCTTCAGCTCAGTGCTAGAGGGAAGAGTGCCACCTATTGAATTGTAGGAATTCTTGGAGATGTGTTGGGACTGGTGGAGAAGGCTCTCGGACCACATTCACGTTTGGTTTGCCATGGTAACTAATATATATATATCTAAAAGAAAACGAATATGTTGACTACTCTTGCTTAGAAAAACATCGACAAACGTCTGTGTATTTTCCCCAGCTGGAGCTGAGCGTATGCCTGTAGTTTAGCCTACTGCTACTTGAAATAAGCATGCTGCTAAAAAGACTGAGGCAGATGGTATTTTTACCACTTCAGGCAAAACATGGCACCTATGGTTCGACTTTCTACAATTTTAATTTTTTAACATTTTCAAAATGGCTTGTTTAAATATCTCCGTCACAGAGACACAGACTTTTTCCCAGTTTCTTTTTAATAATTGCTTCAGATATATAGATATGAATAACCATCAGTTGGTCAAAACCAGACTGTTCAGCATTGTAGAGCCTGCCTTCTGTTCATTCTTTCACCAGTGCCTAGGACTGTGCCGTAAATGAGCTTTGACATTCGCGCTCATTTTGATACAAAGACACTAAGTAGTTTATAATAGCTTGCATTATATTTATCTCTAGTCTTTCTTCTTCTCTTCTTCTTCTCCTTCTCCTTCTCCTTCTTCTTCTTCTTTTTTTTTTTTTTTTTTTTAGATATAAGGTCTCACTATGTTGTCCAGTCTAGAGTGCAGTGGCTACAGCCTCGAACTCCTGGGCTCAAGAGATCCTCCCATCTCCACCTCCCAAGTAGCTGCGACTACAGGTGCACTGTCTCTGCACTGGTCTTTCTCTAGGCTTTATTGTGCATTTCATATCATTTGTCTCATGACTCAACACACAAAAGGGAGGTTTTTGCTGGTTTTTTAAATGTCCTCTTATGAGGATCATTCTAAGCACAGAGAAATAATTGCTCATGCTTAAGCACTTGGTAAAAAAAAAAAAAGATCTTCCAGATATTAATTCATTAGCCATCCAGTTCTCTGTCAAATGTAAGAGATTTTTTATAAGGATAGGGTTTTTGACTCATCCTCCCTGCTAGAATTTGCTCAGGGTTCCAGAGTGTCACGTTCTGGCTCTATCCTCCAATGCCTCTCAGACATCAGCATTTAGCAGCTGCTGCTCTCCTCTGTCCTCTTCACCCCCAGAAGTCCTTGCACATTTGTTTTATTATAAAATGCATTTGCATAGAGCACACATTAAAATTCTCTTCCCACCAGCAAACAGTAATGTCCACAGACATTTGCATTTGCATGATCACATATCATTACTTCCCTTTAAAAAGAAAAAAGTCTTTCTTCTCATGTCATGATTCTCCTTTCCAAGGTTTGCCCTTTTAGTCATTTCTTCTTATTACACATAGATGCTTCAGCCATTTTTCTGCATATTGAGTCCAGAATTTTCTTTTTTGAGCCTTGAATATAGAAATTTTTTGTATATAGTATTGTTCTTTTTTTACTGACAAAGCCAGACTCCTTTATTCGTTTATTTATTTATTTTTGGTAGTCAATTTTTGCTGCTAGTTCCTTCCCATGACCCTAGCAAACTGGCTCTGAGACTTTTTCACATTGGCACATTTAGAAAACAGTTGTTGCTGTGTTTTCTCTTTCCTGTACCCCTTTCTTGGGCAGATGCTGCATCTCCTACCCTGGGACTTTACATTAGCTCTTTTTTGGTAAAATATGCCATACAACATCACTGAATGCACTAAATCTCTCATTTTCTCTAGCCCCGCAAAGATGTATTTTTTCTTTGCTTTGTTTTGTTTTGTTTTGTTTTGAGACAGAGTTTAATTCTCGTTGCCCAGGCTGGAGTGCAGTGGTGGAATCTTGGCTCACTGCAACCTCCACCTCCCAGGTTCAAGTGATTCTCTCTTTTTTTTTTGAGATGGAGTCTCACTCTGTTGCCCAGGCTGGAATCCAGTGGCGTGATCTCAGCTCACTGCAACCTCCACTTCCCGGGTTCAAGCAATTCTCCTGCCTCAGCCTCCCAAGTAGCTGCGACTACAGGTGTGCACCACTGCACCCAGCTAATTTTTGCATTTTTAGAGACGGGGTTTCACCATGTTGGCCAGGTTGGTCTCCAACTCCTGACCTCGTGATCTGCCTGCCTTGGCCTCCCAAAGTGCTGAGATTACAGGCGTGAGCCACTGCACCCAGCTCAAGTGATTCACTTGCCTCAGCCTCCAGAGTAGCTGGGATTACAGGCGCCTGCCACCACGCCTGGCTATTTTTTATATTTTTAGTAGAGATGGGGTTTCACCATTTTGGCTAGGCTGGTCTCGAACTCCTGACCTCAGGTGATCCATCCGCTTCGACCTCCCAAAGTACTGAGATTACAGGCATGAGCCACCGCACCTGGCCAAAGATGTCTTAGCATTTAGGATTTCTATTTTAGTGATAACTATGGAGATTGTGGAGCCATTGGCATTGCCCTCTCCTATCTTGTTCCATAAGGGACTTGTAATATAATTAGATAAGACGTTTATAGTAGAATTTAAAGAAAAAAAAATCCATATCAAAATACCATAATGGTATGGGTGCAACTATGTAACTTTTTTTTTTTTTTTTTAGACAGTCTTGCTTGTCACCCAGGCTGGAGTGCAGTGGCATGATTATGGCTCACTGCAGTATTGACCTCCCGGGCTCAAGTGATCCTCCCACCTCAGCTTTGCAAGTAGCAGAGACTACAGTTGCATGTCACCACACCCAGCTAATTTTTTAATTTTTTTGTAGAGAAGAGGTATCACTATATTACCTGGGCTGGTCTCAAACTCCTGGGGTCAAGTGATCCTCCTACCTTGGCCTCCCAAGGTGCTGGGATTACAGGTGTGAGCCACCATGACCAGCCCCTGTCCAAAAATTTTAAATCCCCCACTCCTCATTTCCTTAAAACCAGATTAAACCAGTTATTTTTCTCTTGGCAACTACATTTCAGACACCTGTTTTTCTTTGCAGCAATAGTGAGTAGATTCTCTTTAATCTGTTTTTCAAAACAATTAGTTTGTCAGTTTTTGCAACCACTGCTTTGATTTCATATCTCCTTCAAATTGCAATTATTAATGATGGAAAAATAATCACTGATCAGTTTCTGTTTACAGTAAATTATAGAAGCTTTTGTACCATGTGAAACATTATATCAAAAATAAATTATAGGCCGGGTGTGGTGGTTTATGCCTGTAATCCCAGCACTTTGGGAAACCAAGGTGGGCAGACCACTTGAGGTCAGGAGTTCGAGACCAGCCTGGCCAACATGGCAAAACCCCGTCTCTACTACAGATACAAAAATTAGCCTGGTGTGGTGGCGGGTACCTATAGTCCCAGCTACTCAGGAGGCTGAGGCAAGAGAATCGCCTGAACCCAGGAGGCAGAGGTTGCAGTGAGCTGAGATTGTGCCACTGCACTCCAGCCCAGGCAATAGAGTGAGACTCTGTCTCAAATAAATAAATAAATACATAAATAAAATAAATAAATTATACACACATGCAATAGTTAGTATCTTAAACCAGAGTTGTGCCTTATTATTAGCCTTGGTCTTTTGCAAAACATTTGCCCTCTCGACATTATTCATTCCTATCATCAAGCTAGTCTTTTTTCTCCTTAACTCTTTCAGTATGTTATTTTGTATTTGTCCCCAGTGACTATCATCTTGCTTTGATTATCTGTTCCTCTAATTTCTTAATGTTATTTTAAAATTAGATTCTTGTTCTCTGAGGTGTTAGCAATCCCACACACCTCAGTGGCATCAGCAGATTTAATTATCATAATCTCTATTCCTTTGTGGATCATGAATAAAATTATTAAATGATTTTAATGATAAGCATCTTTATGACATCATATAACATGCCACCCTCTCAGTTAGCCCAAATAATTTTTTTTTTTTTTTTTTTGAGACAGAGTCTTGCTCTGTCACCCAGGCTGGAGTGCAGTGGCACAATCTTGGTTCACTGCAGCCTCCACCTCCTGGGTTCAAGCGATTCTCCTGCCTCAGCCTCCTGAGTAGCTTGGATTACAGGTGTGCACCACCATGCCTGGCTAATTTTTGTATTTTTAGTAGAGATGGGGTTTCACCATGTTGGCCAGGCTGATCTCAAACTCCTGACCTCAGGTGATCCACCGGCCTCAGCCTCCCAAAGTGCTGGGATTACAGGTGTGAGCCACGGTGCCCGACCATCCATAATTTTCTTTTTTTCTTTCTTTTTTTTTTCTTATTTCTTTTTCTTTTCTTTTCTTTTCTTTTTTTTTTGAGACAGAGATTCACTCTTGTCACCAAGGCTGGAGTGCAATGGCACAATCTTAAATTACTGCAACCTCCACCTCCTGGGTTCAAGCAATTCTCCTACCTCAGCCTCCCAAGTAGCTGGGATTACAGGCGCCCACTGCCATGCCAGGCTACATTTTGTATTTTTAGTAGAGACGGGGTTTCACCATGTTGGCTAGGCTGATCTTGAACTCCTTTGGGAGGTGATTACCCGCCTCAGCCTCCCAAAATGCTGGGATTACAGGCATGAGCCACTGCGCCCGGCCCCAAGTACTACTGATACTAATTTAATATAGGCAGTTATAAATCTCTTTTATTTTTCTTCAGATTCTATATTCCTAGTTTATTGATGCTTGGTTTAAAATATTATATGTGGCTGGGTGTGGTGGCTCACACCTATAATTCCAGCACTTTGGGAGGCCAAGGTGGGTGGATTACCTGAGGTCAGGAGTTCGAGCCCAGCCTGACCAACATGGTGAAACCCCACCTCTACTAAAAATACAAAAGTTAGCTGGGCTTGGTGGTGCATGCCTGTAATCCCAGCTACTGAGGAGGCTGAGGCAGGAGAATCGCTTGAATCCGGGAGATGGAGGTTGCGGTTATTGCGCCCCTGCATTCCAGCCTGGGAGACAGAGTGAGACATCATCTCCAAATATAAATACATAAATAAATAAAAAGTAAATGAATAAAATGATATATGTAAAAGTTTACATTATTTAGCTCATAACAATATTTAGTGGGGCAGTCTCTCCCACTCTTCAATTTACCATTTTGTATTACTGACCCCTAAAAATTACATATCTACATAATATCTAATATTTATCAGGAAGCTAAGTCAGGCTTAGATCGTTGATGAAGACCAGTTCTTGACGGTAAGCATGGAATGGTGTCTTGAGTTTGCTCACCATTGCACCGTGAAAGCCTACTACAGCACCTGGTGCAGGATAGGTACCCAATAAATATTTGTTGACTGACTGTCGAATGAATGAATGAATGATGACCCAAGATACTGCGCGTTTTTGCCTAACCTCTGTTCTTCTAATTCATAAGGAATATTTAATTCCACCTTTGTTCCTCTTATATCCCCCCAAGTATATTTTTAATCAAATGATTACATCCTCAATGCCTCTCACCCCCTGGGTTGAGGCAGAGAGATTCAATTGGGGTAATCTTTTGAGTCTTATCTGGAAAGCTAACTAGAAATGCCCTTCAGGCTGGCTCTGCGGGTGGATGCTCTGCACTGTGGGATAGCTGGATTCAATTATTGCTCCCAGTTTGTGGTGTCAGAAGCCACCTGTGCACCAGGAGAGCCTGTATGTCTTTATGTCGAAGATAGAGCCCTCTGTCCCTATAGAAAAGCCTGTTTAGTCCATTAAAACTGTTTTAAAGTGGATCTGAAGGGAACACTATCTCTTTCCTTGTCATAAAATATAGTGGAGAGGCATGGGTTTCCCAAAATTATGGTTTTTGAGTGAAAAGAGAGGCACCTCTGTATAGATACTGAACGTAGTTTTAGTAAGTTAGAAGATATCGTTACCTAGATTCATATTTCCACAGTCATACACTAATCCTGCTGTCGGATTTTGTGTTGAATTAAGAATTTTTGTGATTTGAAGCTGTTTGAGCCATCAGAAAGCTGTAGTTGATTCAGTTGGTACATCTGAAGCCATTCCTCTATATTTCCTATGCAGTGTCTCCAAGCACTACTCAGCCTCCCCACTTACCACATCAGAGTATTGATCCCTGATAATGTACTTAACCATCTTTCCTGAAATAACAAGGTGGCTATGTCCCTCAGTTTTCAAACAGAATTACTTAGGTAACAGTAGAGATCATGGGACCTGCAGCATAGCTCAGTGAAGTGTGAAATGTTACTAAAGATTGTAGGTGAGTAGATTCTGTCCTTTTCCCCCGAGTCCTTGACATTCTGGCTTGATGAAAGATCTTAGCTAAGGCCGGATGCTGTGGCTCACTCCTGTAAGAAGGCCGAGGCGGGCGAATCACGAGGCCAGGAGTTTGAGACCAGCCTGACCAACATGGTGAAACCCCGTCTCTACTAAAAATACAATAATTAGCTAGGCGTAATGGCGGGCACCTATAATCCCAGCTATTCAGGAGGCAGAGGCAGGAGAATCGCTTGAACCCGGGAGGCAGAGGCAGCAGTGAGCTGAGATCACACCACTGCACTCCAGCCTGGGCAACAATGTGAAACTCCATCTAAAAAAAAAAAGAAGAAGAAGGATCTTAACTAAATCATAATAAAACCAAAGCTGTACCTCTGAAGATTGATTAGTGTGTAGCGCAATGGTGCCCCCTGTGGAAGATCTCCCTATCCTGGATCTAAGAAGATTATGCTAACCTGTATCTTTAATTGATTCCTAAGATTTGTGTGCAGCTGTCAGAAAAATGGGTAGACCTTTCTATGTGCTGTACTTTCTTTAAGATGCATGCCATTGTATGCGTGCTTTGCAGCGTACACTGTTTAAGACACACACTAAACACCTTAATCAAATGGTTCTATCGAATTCTGTGAATCCCCTCTTTTTATAGAGAAGAGCTCAAATAACCTAACAGTGTCCACACAATTATCTCACAGGGTCAAGATTCTACTCAGGTCTGCTGACTTCACAATGTGTATTCTCTTTTGTTATTTGTTTTTTTTAAGAGACAGGGTTTCACTATGTTGGCCAGGCTGGCCTCGAACTCCTGTCCTCAAGTGATCCGCCCACCTCAGCCTCCCAAAGTGCTGGGATTACAGATGTGAGCCACTTCGCCCAGCAGCAGTGTGTATTCTTTACCACCATCCTGCTTCTCAAAGTGCTTTAGACATACTACAAAAAGTTGTTGTTGTATTCAGGCTCTGATCTTGCAAGCATCCAGAAAACGGTGTGTATTAGTCTATAATCTAACATAATTCTGGTCTCAGAAATGTGATTGTCTAATAAATGACTGTGCTAGGATTTATGTTTGCTGAACCAGTGTAATAATTATTGTGACTTTAAGCTGATAAGCATGCTTCACTTTTGAAAAGAAAGTTTTATAGATAATAACCATTTAAAACAAACTCTGATCATCATTCTCTTGAAAGAGGCACAATCTAAGTTAACAAATACACCTTCCATAACACCATAGCGTAGAGACCTCCTACATTTGGAAGAGCTGTTAATCTTGCAGATATGATTACACTTACATGGCACAGAGTAAATATACATTCTTCACCTCATACATTGGCCCCCACACTGATGCAACCTACCTAGAAGACGTGGCTGAAGCCTACATTTATTTCATTAATAAATGTAGATAGAATTTCTCTGTCGTTTGAGGTGCTTTCTTGTGAAATTATAAATGTGTTTTAAACTCATCTTATATCAGGATGTATTTTAGGATGCTAGGAATCTAGGATCACATGGATGATGATAGTGGTAGTTTGGGGCAAGTGGTCCCTAGGTATCAGCATCCAAATACTAAAGCACATGAAAATTGGAACATGAGAAGGATATAAGAAATGTATAAGTAAGATAGGGATTCAAGTAAAATAACAGAAACCGAAACTCACTCTTAACATAGTTTATATATTCCTCAAATACCCCCAGGACTATTTGATTCCTACATGATGTGAATGCTCTCATCCCACAGTATTCTTTTTAATTAAATAACCAGCTTAGTATTTGTCATGAGATTACAGAGCTTACTATTTATTGATTCACTCCTAAAAAAGCTACAGGCAAGAGTGGCTCATTGCTGCAGTCTACAGCCTATGACATGTTTTGCTTGTTGAATTTCTATTACAGAGTTTGCTAAAAAGCTTTACAGTCCCAGTTTTGCTTTTGAATTTCAATGTGTAGAATTAAGTTTCTCTTTGGAATATGATACTAAAATTAAAAATTAACTTTGAATCAGAATATGGATAAATCCATGATTATTTATAAATCACCAAATATTCCTTTGGAAGACATGACAACCAAGAGGCAGTGATTGCTTTTCCTGTGAAATTAATCCTAAATGTAATATAATTCTATATTACTAACCTCAAATGCCAAACCTATCAAATGTTGATGCAAGTTTATAAATTAAGAATTACAGGCTGCGCATGGTGGCTCACGCCTGTAATCCCAGCAATTTGGGAAGCCAAGGCGGGCGGATCACCTGGGATCAGGAGTTTGAGTTTGAGACCAGCCTGACCAACATGGCAAAACCCCGTCTCTACTAAAAATACAAAAATTAGCCAGGCACAGTGGCACATGCCTGTAATCTCAGCTACTCGGGAGGCTGAGGCACAAGAATCACTTGAACCCGAGAGGCAGAGGTTGCAGTGAGCCAAGATTGCAACACTGCACTCCAGCCTGAGTGAGAGTGAGACCCTGTCTCCCAAAAAAAAAAAAAAAAAGAATTACATTACGTGTTTCAGCAGATACATGTAAAGAAAATAGAAAAAAAAAAAAGAATTACTTCGTCCATTTTGTCTCATTTAATTACATTTTGAGAGCAGGCATGTCTGCTCATACCCTGAAATGCAGGTTTTTTTGGTTTTTTTTTGAGACAGGGTCTCACTCTGTCATCCAAATTGACCTTCACTCCTTGACATAGCAAGCACTACTTTGTCTCAGTTCTTCTCTGCCATTCTGTCAACAATTAGGTCAATTTTAAGTGTACCAGTAAAATTATTTAAACTATATATAAATACCTCTAAACCATATAAACATGTTTATATGATGTAGATATATTTTATATCATATAAATGTATCCCTACCATATGGTTTAGGAGTATTTATACATATACAGTAGTATGGTTATATCTGTTCAGTTATGATAATTTGTACGAAATGAGCTGTTGCGTTGTGTTCAGCTCTTTGTGGATGGCAGGCCACAGCGTGAACTCACAAACGTACTTAGCAGAGAGGTTGAGCCTTGAAATAAGTTCTGAAGTCTCACTCCCAACAGGAGGCTGCATACCATCCAGACTAAGCATAATAGCCATACAGTTTTAAATTAGAAAACAGTAAAATTGATAAACGTGGAGGACAGGGCAAGAAAAACTATACTAAACATGCTTTTATATTTGTGTGTGTGTGTGTGTGTGTGTGTGTGTATGTGTGTGTGTGTGTTAAGGGGGAATAGAATACATTTTAAATAGTCAATATGATTTGGGAATTCATTTTTCAAAAATAGACATGTTTTGGCCGGGCGCAGGGGCTCAACCTGTAATCCCAGTACTTTGGAAGACTGAGGCCGGCAGATCACCTGAGGTCGGGAGTTTGAGATCAGCCTGGCCAACATGGTGAAACCCCGTCTCTACTAAAAATACAAAAATTAGCTGAGTGTGGTGGCGCTTACCTATAATCCCAGCTACTGGGGAGGCTGAGGCAGAAGAATCACTTGAACCCGAGAGGTGGAGTTTGCAGTGAGCTGAGATTGTGCCATTGCATTCCAGCCTGGGAGACAGAATGAGACTCTATCTCAATAAATAAATAAATAAATAAATAAAAGCAGTGAAAATAACCTGGGGCAATATTTGGTATTGTCACTGCATGAAACCACAAATACCACTACTGCAGTGAGTGCCTTTGGTTGATAATTTTAATAAAAATAAGTTTTGGTTAGTTAAGGATTTAAGTAAAAATATACTAGTTTTGTTTTGTGACTCAGTGGCGGATGAGATAATACCTGTCTTGCTCAGTGCCTTTAGGTTTAACAACAACAACAAAAAAGTATGACCAGAAGAATATACTTAATCAATTGAGATATGCATGACCTTTTTCTTAGCAGAAAATGTGGAAAATTTCTACCTCCAATTTCTACTGACATTTGTTCTACAACCATATGGCATTTTTAGGTTGGTGGAAAATATATATGTGTTGCAGTAGAGGTACATAATTAAATAATGGCTTCAATTTTCTGCAATCTCTATAAATATGGCTTTATCATAAGCTATTTGACTGGAGGTATTTTTTTTCTAATCTGTGATATGTATCTTTTAAAAAATCTGTCCTTGTACATAGGCATGCAAAGGACATTAGCGATATAGGTATGTGTTATGTTCTCAAATGAAATTGTAATGCTTTCTGGTTTGTTTAAGAGTGAAAGAAAGGGACTATAGCATATTGGTTAAGAACAAGAACTCATCTTGACTCCAGCACTTATCATCTGTGTTACTTTGGACAACTTGCTCTTACCTAAATTTGTTCCTTTGTAAAATGAAAATAATAGTAGCATCTACCTCGTAGGGCTGTTGTGAGGGTAGAAGATAGATATAGGTATAGATACAGATAGAGCGAGAGAGAGAGAGATCTTTTTTTTTTTTTTTCCTGAGATGGAGTCTCACTCTGTCGCCCAGGCTGGAGTGCAATGGCACCATCTCAGCTCACTGCAACCTCCACCTCCCAGGTTCAAGCAATTCTCCTGCCTCAGCCTCCCGAGTAGCTGGGATTACAGGCGTGTGCCAGCATGCCTGGCTAATTTTTGTATTTTTAGTAGAAACAGGTTTCACCATGTTGGCCAGGCTGGTCTTGAACTCCTGACGTCATGATCCACCCACCTTGGCCTCCCAAAGTGCTGGGATTCCTGGCGTGAACCACCACACCTGGCCAAGAGAGAGATCTTAGAACAGTGCTGGGCACACAGTAAGTACTATATATGAGATTGTCTTTATTGTCATTGCTGTTATTATTATTGCTTTTCTAATATTGGGAAACACTACTATTCTTACTGTATTTTTGCATGTGAATCTCATATGATTGAGAAATCTATTTAAAATTCTCTTTGTCTCTTTCTAGTTTTGTCAGATTAAGATGTTTAATTAAGATCGGTGAATTTTTTTTCCTATAGACTCTTGCAAATAATTTCTAACTCTGAGTAAAAAGGAATGCTTTTATGTTGTTTGCAATGCATTTCACAGTTTATTGTATTAGAAAACTGTAGCTTTTCCTTTTGTACCAAGTCTTGCCACTCAGAAGCTGTCAAGACCTTTCAGTTAAGCACTATCAGCTAGAATCTTGGGCTTGGGTAGACCTTTAGAGGCAGCGTCGTCCTATCTTTCACACTGGCGAAGAGTTTCAGTCATATTTTCTCCTACATGTGGTCATCCAGTCACTGAAGGCTTCCAATAATAGGGAACCCACAGCTTGTCAAAAATAATCATTCTGTTGTTAGACAACTCTAGTCATTTGAAGGTTCTTTTCTTATTTATAAGTGGAATCTTCTTCCGAGAAACTTTACCTTGTTGCTGTTTGTTCTGTCCCCTGAAGCACATAGAACAGGACTGTTCCTTCTTCCATTTAATTACTTCAGATATTTGAAGATGGCTTTTATATCCTCCCTTCCTCCAGGTTAAACATTCCCTAGGTGACATGTTTCCAAATCCTTCTTCATCCTAATACTGGACCCAATCTATCATGCCAGTGCCCCTCTTGACTCATGGCCCCCAGGACTGAAAATAGTTTTCTAAACATTAGTTGACCGTCCGTGTGCTGTGAGACCATTCCTGCCTGTGTTTTGGACATGTACACCTGCTGATGCTGCCAAAGTTTGCATTTGCATTTTTTTGTACCTACATCACAGCCTTGGCTGATACCAAGACTGTGGTTATTAAAGATTCTCAACATTTTTCATGAGTCACTGCCAAATTGCAGCTTATACTTTTACAATTAATTTTTGAAACCTAAATATACAACTATATAATTATCCCTGTTAGATTTTACTGGCTACTATCAGTCTTTTGTTCAACATGTCAATACCGTTAAAATTTTGATACTATCCATGTGTTACCTATCTCTCTTGGCTGTGTGACATCTGAAAATTAAAATTTAATATGCATTTCTTCTTCATCTTCATTCAAGTAATGCATAGAAACGTGATAAGAAGAAGAAACCAAGCATTAAGTTCTGGTAGCATGACACTAGAGACTGCTTTCCTGTTCTAAGCGTTTTTTTTTTTTTTTTTTTTTTTTTGAGACAGAGTCTCATTCCATCACCAGGCTGGAGTGCAGTGGCGCGATCTCGGCTCACTGCAACCTCTGCTTCCCAGGTTGAAGCAATTCTCCTGCCTCAGCCTCCCGAGTAGCTGGGACTACAGGTGTGCACCACCACGCCCAACTAATTTTTGTATTTTTAGTAGAGACAGGGTTTCACCATGTTGGCGAGGATGGTCTCAATCTCGTGACCTCAGGTGATCCGCCCGCCTCGGCCTCCCAAAATGCTGGGATTACAGCTGTGAGCCACCGCGCCTGGCCTGTTTTCCTGTTCAATATAAATCCACTACTAAACATTTCCTAGGAATAATTATTTTACATGTTCAAATCTATCTTACCATACTGTGACCTGTACCCTGTTTCTCTGCCTTATTCATGAAGGACTAAACTTCAAAAATCCAAAGTTACTCTATCTTTTTTTTTTTTTTTTGAGACAGAGTCTCGCTCTGTTGCCAGGTTGGAGTGCAGTGGCACAATCTCAGGTCACTGCAACTTCCGCCTCCTGGGTTCAAGCGATTCTCCCGCCTCAGCCTCCCCAGTAGCTGGGACAACAGGTGCACGCCACCACACCCAGCTAATTTTTGTATTTTTAGTAGGGAAGGGGTTTCACCATGTTGGCCAGGCTGGTCTCGAACTCCTGACCTCGTGATCTGCCTGCCTCGGCCTCCCAAAGTGCTGGGATTTCAAGCGTGAGCTGCCGTGCCCAGCCACTCTATCCTATTTCTGAAGCTACCAGCCAAGTGGCCACATTTTAAAAAAAAAAGAAGAAGAAAAAAAAAAAGAATGTGTGTGTGTGTGTTTTATTATGACTTGCTTATTGTGACCCACTTATCCTGGGGCTGCCACCACCATTGCCTTTTTTTCTAGAGCCCACAAACCATCTGTTTAACAACCCTTTTTGAAGTTTTGCCATAAATTCTCCATAAATTCACTGGTCTGTGTTTCAGAATGCTCCTTTGTCCTCTTTTTTAAAATTATTATTTATTTATGTATTTTGAGACGGAGTTTCACTCTTGTTGCCTTGACTCAAGTGCAATGGCGCAATGTCAGCTCACTGCAACCTCTGCCTCCCAGGTTCAAGTGATTCTCCTGCCTCAGCCTCCCAAAGTGCTAGGATTACAGGTGTGAGCCACCATTCCTGGCCTCTCCTAAGTCTTAAAGTCTTTCTCTAGTTTCCTTGGGCAGAAGTGGCTGCTGCCTCCACTTCTCCTAAGACTACTCAGAACCCATGCCGGGGCCTTCTCTTTAATATTTTAAAAGAACTTTTAGAACTTTTGAACTACATAGTTTTCAGAGACATACAGTGATTTTCTCAAGAGGGTCTTTTATGTAAGAGCAACATGTATCATTCAAAAGGTGTTTAATAAATGTTAAATAATAATGCACTTAATTTTAAGTACTTTGTATCCTCTTCTCTCTTTGTTAATATCTTTAATTGGATCCCCTAGCAGGGGATTTGGACTTAATTTATTTCAGGTGATACTGCACTTATACAATTATTTAGTTGACTTAATTAGAGATTTAATTATATTAGTGCCCTAAAGTGCTATATCAGAGAAATTAAACACTGACTGTTAATTCACCTTTCGTATTTATTGTGCTGTTTATGACTACAGCGATCTTCAAGCCATAAGGGCTTGAAGATTTGGAAAGTTCTTTCTATGCATCAGCTTGGACTTTGCCCATTCAAAATGTAGATGAAGGCAGGAATGGAAATGCCTTTTTTAGGCTGAGTGCAGTGCCTCACGCCTGTAATCCCAGCTCCTTGGGAGGCCGAGATGGAAAGATCACTTAAGGCCAGGAATTCAAGACCAGCCTGGGCAACATGATGAGACCACCCGCCATGCTCATGTCCACAGAATAAAAATAAATAAATTAGCCAGGCATGGTGATGCATGCCTATAGCCCTAGCTACTCGGAAGGCTAAGGTGGGAAGATTGCTTGAGGCTGGAATTTGAGGCTGTGGTGAGCTTTGATCATACCACTGCACTCCAGCCTAGGTGATGGAGTGAGACGCTGTCTCAAAAAGAAAAAAAAAGAACTTGAAAAAAATTGTGGTCTTTTATCTATGGCTATTAGAACCAAGATCATGGACGGTTGTGATGGTTCACACCTGTTACCTAGCACTTTGGGAGGCTGAGGCAGGAGGATCATTTGATCCCAGGAGTTTAAGATCAGCCTCTGGGCAACATGGCAAAACCCATCTCTACAAAAAATACAAAAATTAGCCAGGCATGGTGGCACGTGCCTGTAGTGCCAGCTACTCAGGAGGCTAAAGTGAGAGGATGGCTCAAGCCCAAGAGGTTGAGGCTACAGTGAACTATGATCTTGCTACTGCACTTCAGCCTAGGTGACAGAGTGAGACCTGTCTCCAAAATAAAGGCGTATTTAAAAAAAGAACAAAAAAGAACCAAGGTCATGGGTCCATTCCTTCACTGTTCTACTTAACCCTCTCTGTTCTACAGGCCTGTGACTACCTCTCTAACAGGTGGTCCTGGGAGGCAGCAACTGTGTTCCTCTCTGTATTTCCAGCATATACCAAATGCCTAGGTTATATAGGTGTCCAATAAACGCTTGTTGGTTTTAATTTGATTGTTGCAAAGACAACCAGTTGAAGTATGGTTAGAATAGTATAAACCTGGCTGGGTGCAGTGGCTCATGCCTGTAATCCCAGCACTTTGGGAGGCTGAGGTGGGAGGATCACTTGAGGTCAGGAGTTCGACACCAGCCTGGCCAACATGGTGAAACCTTATCTCTACTAAAAGTGCAAAAATTAGCCAGGCATCATGGCACATGCCTGTAATCCCAGCTACCCAGGAGGCTGAGGCAAGAGAATTGCTTGAACCTGGGAGGTGGAGGTTGCAGTGAGCCGAGATTGTGCCACTGCATCCAGCCTGGGTGTCAGAGTGAGGCTGTCTCAGAAAAAAAAAAGTGGGGGGGGGGGGGTGGTTCCAAGATGGCCGAATAAGAACAGCTCCAGTCTACAGCTCCCAGCGTGAGCAATGCAGAAGACGGGTGATTTCTGCATTTCCAACTGAGGTACCGGGTTCATCTCACTGGGGCTTGTCAGACAGTGGGTGCAGTGCACCGAGCGTGAGCTGAAGCAGGGTGCGGCATTGCCTCACCCAGGAAGTGCAAGGGGTCAGGGAATTCCCTTTCCGAGCCAAGCGAAGCTGTGACAGATGGCAACTGGAAAATCAGGTCACTCCCACCCTAATCCTGCACTTTTCCAGTGGTCTTAGCAAACGGCACACTAGGAGATTATATCCCGTGCCTGGCTCAGAGGATCCCACGCCCTTGGAACCTCGCTCATTGCTAGCACAGCAGTCTGAGATTGAACTGCAAGGCAGCAACAAGGCTGGTGGAGGGGCGCCCACCATTGCTGAGGCTTGAGTAGGTAAACAAAGCAGCGGGAAGCTCCAACTGGGTGAAGCCCACCGCTGCTCAAGGAGACCTGCCTGCCTCTGTAGACTCCACCTCTGGCGGCAGGGCATAGCCAAACAAAAGGCAGCAGAAACCTCTGGAGACTTAAATGTCCCTGTCTGACAGCTTTGAAGAGAGTAGTGGTTCTCCCAGCACAGAGTTGGAGATCTGAGAATGGACAGACTGCCTCCTCAAGTGGGTCCCTGACCCCCAAGTAGCCTAACTGGGAGGCATCCCCCAGTAGGGGCAGACTGACACCTCACACGGCCGGGTACCCCTCTGAGACAAGGCTTCCAGAGGAACAACCAGGCAGCAACATTTGCTGTTCACCAATATTCGCTGTTCTGCAACCTCTGCTGCTGATACCCAGGCAAACAGGGTCTGGAGTGGACCTCCAGCAAACTCCAACAGACCTGCAGCTGAGGGTCCTGACTGTTAGAAGGAAAACTAACAAACAGAAAGGACATCCACACCAAAACCCCACCTGTACATCACCATCATCAAAGACCAAATGTAGATAAAACCACAAAGATGGGGAAAAAACAGAGCAGAAAAGCTGAAAATTCTAAAAATCAGAGCGCCTCTCCCCCTCCAAAGGAATGCATCTCCTCGTCAGCAATGGAACAACGCTGGATGGAGAATGACTTTGACGAGTTGAGAGAAGAAGGCTTCAGATGATCAGACTTCTCCGAGCTAAAGGAGGAAGCTTGAACGCATCACAAAGAAGCTAAAAACCTTAAAAAAAGATTAGACGAATGGCTAACTAGAATAACCAGTGTAGAGAAGTCCTTAAATGACCTGATGGAGCTGAAAACCATGGCACAAGAACTACGTGACGAATGCACAAGCTTCAGTAGCCGACTCGATCAAGTGGAAGAAAGGGTATCAAGTGATTGAAGATCAAATGAATGAAATGAAGCGAGAAGAGAAGTTTAGAGAAAAAAGAGGAAAAATAAACAAACAAAGCCTCCGAGAAATATGGGACTATGTGAAAAGACCAAATCTACGTCTGATTGGTGTACCTGAAAGTGACAGGGAAAATGGAACCAAGTTGGAAAACACTCTGCAGGATATTATCCAGGAGAACTTCCCCAACCTAGCGAGGCAGGCCAGCATTCAAATTCAGGAAATACAGAGAACGCCACAAAGATACTCCTCGAGAAGAGCAACTCCAAGACGCATAATTGTCAGATTCACCAAAGTTGAAATGAAGGAAAAAATGTTAAGGGCAGCCAGAGAGAAAGGTCGGGTTACCCACAAAGGGAAGCCCATCAGACTAACAGCGGATCTCTCGGCAGAAACCCTACAAGCCAGGAGAGAGTGGGGGGCAATATTCAACATTCTTAAAGAAAAGAATTTTCAACCCAGAATTTCATATCCAGCCAAACTAAGCTTCATAAGTGAAGGAGAAATAAAATCCTTTACAGACAAGCAAATGCTGAGAGATTTTGTCACCACC
Source organism: Homo sapiens (assembly GCF_000001405.40). Classification (NCBI taxonomy): domain Eukaryota; kingdom Metazoa; phylum Chordata; class Mammalia; order Primates; family Hominidae; genus Homo; species Homo sapiens. Next base: position 107,168,670 of record NC_000006.12, on the reverse strand, counting down.
AGGCCTGCCCTAAAAGAGCTCCTGAAGGAAGCACTAAACATGGAAAGGAACAACCGGTACCAGCCACTGCAAAAACATGTCAAATTGTAAAGACCATCGAGGCTAGGAAGAAACTGCATCCAGTAACGAGCAAAATAACCAGCTAACATCATAATGACAGGATCAAATTCACACATAACAATATTAACCTTAAATGTAAATGGGCTAAATGCTCCAATTAAAAGACACAGACTGGCAAATTGGATAAAGAGTCAAGACCCATCAGTGTGCTGTATTCAGGAAACCCATCTCACATGCAGAGACACACATGGACTCAAAATAAAGGGATGGAGGAAGATCTACCAAGCAAATGGAAAACAAAAAAGGCAGGGGTTGCAATCCTAGTCTCTGATAAAACAGACTTTAAACCAACAAAGATCAAAAGAGACAAAGAAGGCCATTACATAATGGTAAAGGGATCATTTCAACAAGAAGAGCTAACTCTCCTAAATATATATGCACCCAATACAGGAGCACCCAGATTCATAAAGCAAGTCCTTAGAGACCTACAAAGAGACTTAGACTCCCACACAATAATAATGGGAGACTTTACCACCCCACTGTTAACATTAGACAGATCAACAAGACAGAAAGTCAATAAGGATATCCAGGAATTGAACTCAGCTCTGCACCAAGCGGACCTAATAGACATCTACAGAACTCTCCACCCCAGATCAACAGAATATACATTCTTTTCAGCACCACACCACACCAATCCAAAATTGACCACATAGTTGGAAGTAAAGCACTCCTCAGCAAATATAAAAGAACAGAAATTATAACAAACTGTCTCTCAGACCACAGTGCAATCAAACTAGAGCTCAGGATTAAGAAACTCACCCAAAACTGCTCAACTACATGGAAGCTGAACAACCTGCTCCTGAATGACTACTGGGTACATAACGAAATGAAGGCAGAAATAAATATGTTCTTTGAAACCAATGAGAACAAAGACACAACATACCAGAATATCTGGGACACATTTAAAGCAGTGTGTAGAAGGAAATTTATAGCACTAAATGCCCACAAGAGAAAGCAGAAAAGATCTCAAATTGACACCCTAACATCACAATTAAAAGAACTAGAGAAGCAAGAGCAAACACATTCAAAAGCTAGCAGAAGGCAAGAAATAACTAAGATCAGAGCAGAACTGAAGGAGACAGAGACACAAAAACCCTTCAAAAAATCAATGAATCCAGGAGCTAGTTTTTTGAAAAGATCAACAAAATTGATAGACCACTAGCAAGACTAATAAAGAAGAAAAGAGAGAAGAATCAAATAGACGCAATAAAAAATGATAAAGGGAATATCACCACTGATCCCACAGAAATACAAACTACCATCAGAGAATACTATAAACACCTCTATGCAAATAAACTAGAAAATCTAGAAGAAATGCATAAATTCCTGGACACATACACCCTCCCAAGACTAAACCAGGAAGAAGTTGAATCACTGAATAGACCAATAACAGGCTCTGAAATTGAGGCGATAATTAATAGCCTACCAACCAAAAAAAAGTCCAGGACCAGATGGATTCACAGCCAAATTCTACCAGAGGTACAAGGAGGAGTTGATACCATTCCTTCTGAAACTATTCCAATGAATAGAAAAAGAGGGAATCCTCCCTAACTCATTTTATGAGGCCAGCATTATCCTGATACCAAAGCCTGGTAGAGAGACAACAAAAAAAGAGAATTTTAGACCAATATCCCTGATGAACATTGATGCAAAAATCCTCAATAAAATACTGGCAAACCAAATCCAGCAGCACATCAAAAAGCTTATCCACCATGATCAAGTGGGCTTCTTCCCTGGGATGCAAGGCTGGTTCAACATATGCAAATCAATAAACATAATCCAGCATATAAACAGAACCAAAGACAAAAACCACATGATTATCTCAATAGATGCAGAAAAGGCCTTTGAGAAAATTCAACAGCCTTCATGCTAAAAACTCTCAATAAAGGCCGGGCATGGTGGCTCACGCCTATAATCCCAGCACTTTGGGAGGCCGAGGCGGGCGGATCACGAGGTCAGGAGATCGAGACCATCCTGGATAACACGGTGAAACCCCGTCTCTACTAAAAATACAAAAAAATAGCCAGGCGTGGTGGCAGGCGCCTGTAGTCCCAGCTACTCAGGAGACTGAGGCAGGAGAATGGCGTGAACCCAGGAGGCGGAGTTTGCAGTGAGCCGAGATCACGCCACTGCACTCCAGCCTGGGCGACAGAGTGAGACTCCATCTCAAAAAAAAAAAAAAAAAAAAACTCTCAATAAATTAGGTATTGATGGGACATATCTCAAAATAATAAGAGCTATTTATGACAAACCCACAGCCAATATCATACTGAATGGGCAAAACTGGAAGCATTCCCGTTGGAAACTGGCACAAGACAGGGATGCCCTCTCTCACCACTCCTATTCAACATAGTGTTGGAAGTTCTGGCCAGGGCAATCAGGCAGGAGAAAGAAATAAAGGGTATTCAATTAGGAAAAGAGGAAGTCAAATTGTCCCTGTTTGCAGATGACATGATTGTATATTTAGAAAACCCCATCGTCTCAGCCCAAAATCTCCTTAAGCTGATAAGCAACTTCAGCAAAGTCTCAGGATACAAAATCAAAGTGCAAAAATCACAAGCATTCTTATACACCAATAACAGACAAACAGAGAGCCAAATCATGAGTGAACTCCCATTCACAATTGCTTCAAAGAGAATAAAATACCTAGGAATCCAACTTACAAGGGATGTGAAGGACCTCTTCAAGGAAAACTACAAACCACTGCTCAACGAAATAAAAGAAGACACAAACAAATGGAAGAACATTCCATGCTCATGGATAGGAAGAATCAATATCGTGAAAATGGCCATACTGCCCAAGGTAATTTATAGATTCAATGCCATCCCCATCAAGCTACCAATGACTTTCTTCACAGAATTGGAAAAAACTACTTTAAAGTTCATATGGAACCAAAAAAGAGCCTGCATTGCCAAGACAATCCTAAGCCAAAAGAACAAAGCTGGAGGCATCATGCTACCTGATTTCAAACTATACTACAAGGCTAAAGTAACCAAAACAGCATGGTACTGGTACCAAAACAGAGATACAGACCAATGGAACAGAACAGAGCCCTCAGAAATAATACCACACATCTACAACCATCTGATCTTTGACAAACCTGACAAAACCAAGAAATGGGTAAAGGATTCCCTATTTAATAAATGGTGCTGGGAAAACTGGCTAGCCATATGTAGAAAGCTGAAACTGGATCCCTTCCTCACACTTTATACAAAAATTAATTCAAGATGGATTAAAGATTTAAATGTTAGACCTAAAACCATAAAAACCCTAGAAGAAAACCTAGGCAATGCCATTCAGGACATAGGCACGGGCAAGGACTTCATGTCTAAAACACCAAAAGCAATGGCAACAAAAGCCAAAATTGACAAATGGGATCTAATTAAACTAAAGAGCTTCTGCACAGCAAAAGAAACTACCATCAGAGTGAACGGGCAACCGACAGAATGGGAGAAAATTTTTCCAATCTACTCATCTGACAAAGGGCTAATATCCAGAATCTACAAAGAACTCAAACAAATTTACAAGAAAAAAACAACCCCATCAAAAAGTGGGCGAAGGATATGAACAGACGGAAACTCAAAAGAAGACATTTATGCAGCCAATAGACACATGAAAAAATGCTCATCATCACTGGCCATCAGAGAAATGCAAATCAAAACCACAATGAGATACCATCTCACACCAGTTAGAATGGCGATCATTAAGAAGTCAGGAAACAACAGGTGCTGGAGAGGATGTGGAGAAATAGGAACACTTTGACACTGTTGATGGAACTGTAAACTAGTTCAACCATTGTGGAAGACAGTGTGGCGATTCCTCAAGGATCTAGAACTAGAAATACCATTTGACCCAGCCATCCCATTACTGGGTATATACCCAAAGGATTACAAATCATGCTGCTATAAAGACACATGCACACGTATGTTTATTGCGGCACTATTCACAATAGCAAAGACTTGGAACCAACCCAAATGTCCATCAATGATAGACTGGATTGATAAAATGTGGCACCTATACACCATGGAATACTATGCAGCCATAAAAAATGATGAGTTCATGTCCTGTGTAGGGACATGGATGAAACCGGAAACCGTCATTCTCAGCAAACTGTCACAAGGATGAAAAACCAAACACTGCATGTTCTCACTGGTAGGTGGTAATTGAACAATGAGAACACCTGGACACAGGAAGGGGAACATCACACACCAGGGCCTGTCGTGGGGTGGGGGAAGTGGGGAGGGATAGCATTAGGAATTATACCTAATGTAAATGACGAGTTAGTGGATGCAGCACACCAACATGGCACATGTATACATATGTAACAAACCTGCACGTTGTGCACAGGTACCCTAGAACTTAAAGTATAATTAAAAAAAAAATTTTTTTTAAGTATAAACCCAAAACAACAGTCTTAAAATACAGTGACTCAAAATACATGCCCCAATGAGTAGGTACTCCCAAATCTGGCTAATCACTGGAATGACCTAAGAACCCTTTTTTTCAGTCCTGATAGACTCTATCTCCAGGGCTAGAGGCCTAGGCATCTGCATTTTAAAGTTCCCCACATGAGTCTTACGGCCAGGCAAGTTTAGGAACCCCAGCTTAATGTATCTGTTGTCACGTTTATTTAAAAAAGAACAAGATCAGCTGGGCGTGATGGCTCACACCTGTGATCCCAGCACTTTGGGAGGCCGAGGTGGACGGATCACCTGAGGTCAGGAGTTCAAGACCAGCCTGGCCAACGTGGTGAAACCCTGTCTCTACTAAAAATACAAAAATTAGCTGCGTGTGGTGGCATGCACCTGTAATCCCACCTACCCAGGAGGCTGAGGCAGGAGAATCGCTGGAACCCGGGAGACAGAGGCTTCAGTGAGCCGAAACCATGCCACTGCACTCCAGCCTGGGTGACAGAGCAAGACTCCGTCTCAAAAAAGAAAAAAAAAAAAAGAACAAGATCATTCTTTTCAAGATAGACCTATTGCCCATTCTAGTTTGCAGTAAAAATGAGTTTCATTTATGGTTTATCATAACTAAAGGATTTCCTTGGAGTCAGTAGTTTATGTTTAGCTAGCAGGAGTGTTTACAGATGTCAGTGAGGAATAATACCTTTCATGAAGGATTATATTACTGATAAGTCATTACTGGTGGGCATTTTACACATGAAAGCTATCAGGTTCCTCCTTGGTATGCAAAGCCCTGTGAGCCCAAGTCTGGAGTTGAGTATTGACTAAAGTAAAATAGTCATCAGGTATGAGAAATTAAATCCTCTAGGACTGTGATGTCCTCCTGGTTGCTCTTTTGCCCTAATCTGAATTACCCTTTTATCATAGTATTAAATACCCTGTTAGCTATCATCAGATATTTAGTTTAGCCTGGCTGAATAAAGCTCATAGAGGAACAAACTAAATGAAACAGTCAGGGGAATGTAGAATGTAAAACATTCTGGAGTGCAGGCTGGTCTTTCAAAATGACAATGTCATAGCAGAAAAAAGATTAAAGTGTCATAACAAACAAATGTGATTTATGAACTGGATTTATCATAGTTTAAAAATATGGTTAAATAAAAGCCATTCTGGAACCAATTGGAGAAATTTACACCTGGACTAAATGTTAGATAATTCAGCCCTGTGCCAGAATTATCGGGGCTGGGCACAGTGGCTCATGCCTGTAATCCCAGCACTTTGGGAGGCCAAGGCAGATGGATCTGTTGAGGTCAAGAGTTCGAGACCATCCTGGCCAATCTGGTGAAACCCCAACTCTACTAAAAATACATAAATTAGTCGGGTGTGGTGGCACATGCCTGTAATCCCAGCTACTCGGGAGGCTGAGGCAGGAGAATTGCTTGAACCCAGGAGGCAGAGGTGCAGAGCTGAGATTGCGCCACTGCACTCTAGCCTGAGTGGCAGAGTGAGACTCCATCTCAAAAAAAAAAAAAAATTAGGGAATTCTTGACAAAATAAAAAGAAAAAGTGTAAATTTTTAAAAATTGGAAACTTGAACAAACAAAAAATAAATAGGGAATGCTCTCTCCTTTTTTTTTTTTTTTTTTTTTTGAGATGGTCTCACTCACTCTGTCACCCAGGCTGAAGTGCAGTGGCATGATCTTGGCTTACTGCAACCTCCACCTCTCGTGTTCAAGCAATTCTCCTGCCTCAGTCTCCCAAGTAGCTGGGATTACAGGTGCACGCCACCATACCGGGCTAATTTTTGTTTTTAGTAGAGATGGGGTTACACCATGTTGGCCAGGCTGGTCTCACTCCTGGCCTCAAGTGATCCATCCCCCATGGCCTCCCAAGTGCTGGGATTACAGGCGTGAGCCACTGCGCCCGGCCGGGAATTCTCTAATTAGTTTTTCTAGTTAGCTTTCCTAGCTGTGACAATAGTATTGTGATTATGTAGGACAATGTTCTTCAGAGATGCATGTCAAAACAAGGGTGAAGCATCCTGCAGCCAATGATGTGCCCAAACCAAGTCCTAACGACTCACAGGCTATTATTAAATCTTCAAGAATTGTGTGACCCCACCACCCTTGGCAGTTTGAAATCAGCCATAATGGGAGTATTTATACCACAAAAATCTGCAAATGCAGGCTTTTGTCCCCCAAGAGAACTAATTTACTAGCATATCACTATCGGCGGTTTACTTTCAAATGGATCAGAAAACACACACACAGACACACATATAGATAGAACAAAAATGGCAAAATACTAACAATTGTTGCGATTGTTGAATCTAGGTAGAGAATCTATGGTCATTCATAGCACTAGTACTTGAGTCAGCAGACTTTTTCTGTAAAGGCCAAACTGTGAATATTTAACACTTTGTGGCCATACAGCCTCTCAGGCAACTCTGCAACTCTGCAACTCTGCCTTTATAGCACAAAAGGAGTCATGGATAATGCTCACATGAATGGATGTGGTTATTCCCCAACAAAACTTTATTTATGAGAACACAGGGTCAAATTTAGCCTAGGGCCATGGTTCAAGTTTTCTGTACTTTGAAAATAATTTATAATACAAATTGAACACTTTTTAAAAGTACAAATTTCTTTTTTTTTTTTTTTTTCCTGAGACGGAGTCTCGCTCTGTCACCCAGGTTGGAGTGCAGTGGCACAATCTCGGCTCACTGCAAGCTCCACCTCCCGGGGTCACGCCATTCTCCTGCCTCAGCCTCCACAGTAGCTGGGACTACAGGCGCCCGGCACCACGCCTGGCTAATTTTTTGTATTTTTAGTAGAGACGGGGTTTCTCTGTGTTAGCCAGGATGGTCTCGATCTCCCGACCTCGTGATCCGCCCGCCTCAGCTTCCCAAAGTTCTGGGATTACAGGCATGAGCCACCGCGCCCGGCCAAAAAGTACAAATTTCTTAGCCTAGGCTGGGAGTGGTGGCTCACGCCTGTAATCCCAGCACTTTGGGAGGCCGAGGTGGGTGGATCACTTGAGCTCAGGAGTTTGATATCAACCTAACAAAAATTGTGAAAACACATCTCTATTAAAAAAATACAAAAATTGGCCATGCGCAGTGGCTCACACCTGTAATCCCAGCACTTTTGGAGGCCGAGGTGGGCAGATCACCTGAGGTCAGGAGTTCGAGACCAGCCTGACCAACATGGAGAAACCCCATCTCTACTAAAAATACAAAATTAGCTGGGCATGGTGGCACGCCTGTAATCCCAGCCACTCAGGAGGCTGAGGCAGGAGAATCTCTTGAACTTGGGAGGCACAGGTTGCAGTGAGCCAAGAAACAGCAAGCTGTTTCATACTGATCTGTTTTCATTCCCTGGACACTCTGCACACTTTGGCCCCCTTTGTGCCTTTGCTCAAACAGTTTTCTTTCCCTACAATTTCCTTGCTACTCCCAAGCCCATATCTATTTATCAGCATTTACAAGACATCAACTGGCCGAGGTGACACACGCCTGTAATCCCAGCACTTTGGGAGGCGAGGGGCAGGAGGATCATTTGAGGCCAGGAGTTTAAAACCATCTTGAGCAATATAGTGAGAATGTGTCTCTACAAAAAAAAAAAATTTAAATTAGCTGGGTGTGGTGGCAGGTCCCTGTAGTCCCAGGTACTTGGGGGCTGAGATGGGAGGATTGCTTGTGCACAGGAGGTAGAGGCTACAGTGAACCATCATGATCCACCACTGCACTCCAGTCTGGGTGACAGAGGAAGGCCTTTTAGAATCTCTTTCAGTTAAAGTTGATCTCTCATTTCTCTCAATAGCTGTAGTCCTACATTTGTGCCCTGGTTTTGCTGCTTTTCACAGTTTACCCTTAATTAACTCTTGTTCTTTGTGTTTTTTTGTTTTTGTTTTTGTTTTGTTTGTTTTTTGAGACAGAGTCGCACTGCAGCCCCCAGGCTGGATTGCAATGGCGCGACTTTGGCCCACTGTAACCTCCACTTCCTGAGTTCAAGCAATTCTCCTGCCTCAGCCTCCCAAGTAGCTGGGACTACAGGTGCACGGCACCATGCCCAGCTAATTTTTGTATTTTTAGTAGAGATGGAGTTTTACCATATTGGCCAGTCTGATCTCGAACTCCTGACCTCAAGTGATCCGCCCTCCAAGGCCTCCCAAAGTGCTGGAATTACAGGAGTGAGCCACCGCACCCAGCCATCCCTTAATTAACTCTTGATCCACAAAGCAAAGAAGGCTTATTCTACTCTTTACATATAGTAAATACTCAATTAATACTCATAAATTAAACATCTTATCTAGTCATGCAGACATTTACATACCTAAAGGTGCTAACCTAGAAGTCTAGAATAGGAGGAGAATGTTGGTCTGCCTAATATCAATTTGGAGAAGAGATAATGAAAATAGGGGAGCTTGGCCCAGCGCAGTGGCTCACGCCTGTAATCCCAGCACTTTGGGAGGCCGAGGTGGGTGGATCGCAAGGTCAGGAGATCAAGACCATCCTGGCTAACACGGTGAAACCCCACCTCTACTAAAAAAATACAAAAAATTAGCCGGGCATGGTGGCACGTGCCTGTAGTCCCAGCTACTCGGGAGGCTGAGGCAGGAAAATCGCTTGAACCCGGGAGGCGGAGGTAGCAGTGAGCCAAGATCGCGCCACTGCATTCCAGCCTGGGCAACAGAGCAAGACTCCATCTCAAAAAAAAAAAAAAAGAAAAGAAAGAAAATAGGGTAGCTTGCTTGCTTTCTCTCCCTTCCTCCCTCCCTCCCTCCCTTCTTTCCCTTCTTCCTTCCTTCCTTCCTCCTTCCCTCCCTCCCTTCCGCCTCCCTCCCTCCCTCCTTCCTTCCTTCCTTCCCTTAAGACTGCTCTGATCCAAGTCCAGTTAGCTTTGAGGTTATTGTATATCACGTCAAAATAGACTTGATCTTGGTGGGTGGGATGGCTTTCTTGGTAATGGCTATGGGCTTAATGAAGGGAAACTAAGTCATCCGAGCATCTATTGTGATTTAGGCACTATCAGGCACTCTGTGCAGTGTTATGTAGTCCCCCCAGCAGTCCGACAAGGGACTTATATTATCCCCACTTAGAACTGAGAACAGTTAAGGCCGGGCGCAGTGGCTCACGCCTGTAATCTCAGCACTTTGGGAGGCTAAGGTGGGCAGATCACCTGAGGTCAGGAGTTCAAGACCAGCCTGACCAATGTGGTGAAACCCTGTCTCTACTAAAAATATAAAAATTGACTGGGTGTGGCGGTGGGCACCTGTAATCCCAGCTACTTGGGAGGCTGAGACAGGAGAATTGCTTGAACCTGGGAGGTGGAGGTTTCAGTGAGTCGAGGTTGCACCATTGCACTCCAATCTAGGCGACAAGAGTGAATCTCCATCTCAAAGGAAAAAAAAAAGAAAACAGTTAAATGGTTTCCATAAGATTATAAAGCTAGGATAGGAGTTTGAATCTGGCTGCTTCTGATACCCAGCACCATTTTAGTGCCTTTGTGCATTCAATGATTGGCAAGAGACCAAGGAAACCTAGGCTAGAACAGTTCCCAAAGGCTATATGCAGTGTGGAAATATCTGTGAAGTGCTGAGAATCTGATGGAGTTTAGTATTAAGTGCCACTGGACAAGGCATTAGAAAACCTGGCCTCTGGCGGAGCACAGTGGCTCACGCCTGTAACCCCAGCACTTTGGGAGGCTGAGGTGGGCAGATCACCTGAGGTCAGGAGTTCGAGACCAGCCTGGCCAAGATGGAGAAACCCCGTCTCCACTAAAAATAAAAAAATTAGCCAGGTGTAGTGGTAGGCGCCTGTAATCCCAGCTACTCGGGAGGCTGACGCAGAGAAATGCTTGAACCCGAGAGGTGGAGGTTGCAGTGAGCCACAATCGCGCCACTGCACTCCAGCCTGGGCAACAGAGTAAGACTCTGTCTCGAAAAAAAAAAAAAAAAGAAAGAAAACCTGGCTTCTGATCTCTACTCTGCCTGCCTCCATCTGTGATCTTGAGTCACTGAGTTTCTCTGGACCTCTGTTCTCTTGACTGTATAATTAGAGGAATAAATCAGCTTATTTATTTTATTCATTCATGTTTCATGCATTATACAGTAAGGACCTTGAAGTCTCATGAAGTCATAGATAAGTGAATGGAGAATTAAAATACAACACTAAGTCGGGCGCAGTGGCTCATGCCTGTAATCCCAGCACTTTGGGAGGCCGAGGCAGGCAGATCACGAGGTCAGGAGTTCGAGACCAGCCTGAACAACATGGTGAAACCCCGTCTCTACTAAAAATACAAAAAAATTAGCCAGGCGTGGTGGCGGGTGCCTGTAATCCCAGCTACTTGGGAGGCTGAGGCAGGAGAATCGCCTGAACCTGGGAGGCAGAGGTTGCAGTGAGCCAAGATCGCGCCATTGCACTCCAGCCTGGGTGATAGAGGGAGACTCTGTCTAAAAAAAAAAACAAAAACGCTAAAACAATACACTACTCCAGATGTGCACAGGGAGTACTCCAGGTACCCAGAGGAAGAGGAGCAACTAGCTCCTTAGGGCCATCTTCCTAGCTCAGTGCATTCCACCCAGGTGGAATTTGGGGAGCTTGTTGGGGTGGGGGAGACAGCCCCAGGGGGAGATGGTAGATCAGGTTACCTCTGAGAACTGCAGTTGGTTCCCCTATAATTAAAGGGGAGAAGGTTTGGGAGGCTGAGGCAGGAGGATCTCTTGAGCCCAGGAGTTTGAGATTAGCTTGGGCAATATAGTGAGACTTCATCTCTACAAAAAGTTTTTAAAATTAAACAAGGATAGTGGTGCATGCCTGTCTTCCCAGCTACCCGGGTGGCTGAGGTGGAAAGATCACTTGAGCCGGGGAACTGGAAGTTGCAGTGAGCCAAGATCACACCACTGCGCTCCAGCCTGGGTGACAGAGCAAGACTCTGTCTCAAAAAATACATAAATAAATAAAGGAGGAAAAGGGGGGAAAAGTGAGGCCAAGCAAGAGCTAGCTTGGCAAGGGACTTAAATGCCTCATGAAAGAGCTTAGACTTTTCTCTTAAGGCTATTGGAAGGGTTTAAGCAAGATTGTCTTTGCATTTTATTAAGATCTCCTTGGCAGCATAGTAGATGGAGTCCAGGGGTGCAGACCTGGTGGTGGGAAGACTCTTTAGGAAGTGATTGCAAAAACTAACTGAGGTGAGAGATGATGATGGCCTGAACTAATGTAGTGGCAATGGGAATGAGGAGTAGAGGATAAACTTGAGAGCTCTGAAGAGATAGAAAGACTGGGATTCATTGTTATCAGTCAAAATGGCTACAGATAATTTCACAACCTCGGCTGCCACAGGTGGGCGAGGCACTGTGGTGCTCATTACAGTCACTCAGGGATCCAGGCCAAGGAGCATCTCCAGTGTGGGCTGGTAGCTGTGCAAGAGGGAAAGCTCTCTAAGGACTCACAGGACAGTTAAATGCTGCAGCCACAAAGTGACATCCCTCATTCACAACTCATAGACCAGAACTTGTCACCTGGCTACACCCAATCTCTGGGAGCCAGAAAGTTCAGCTGTGAATGAGCAACCCTGAGACTGCCCCTGTGCCTAACCGGATGTGGGGAATGAAGACGTCTGGGTTTCTGACTTAGAGAATTAGCCAGACTGGCCAGGCATGGTGGCTCACGCCTGTAATCCCAGCACTTTGGGAGGCCGAGGTGGGCGGATCACAAGGTCAGGAGATGGAGACCATCCTGGCTAACACGGTGAAACCCTGTCTGTACTAAAAATACAAAAAATTAGCCGGGCATGGTGGTGGGTACCTGTAGTCCCAGCTACTCGGGAGGCTGAGGCAGGAGAATGGTGTGAACCTGGAAGGCAGAGCTTGCAGTGAGCTGAGATAGCTGCATCCCAGCCTGGGTGACAGAGCGAGACTCCATCTCAGGAAAAAAAAAAAAAAAAAAGCATTCAGGCCGGGCACAGTGGCTTACGCCTGTAATCCTAGCATTTTGGAAGGCTGAGGCAGGCGGATTGCCTGAGGTCTGGAGACGGAGACCAGCCTGGCCAACATGGCAAAACCCCATCTCTACCAAAAATACCAAAATTAGCCAGGTGTGGTGGCAGGCGCCTGTAATCCCAGCTACTCAGGTGGCTGAGGCAGAAGAATTGCTTGAATCCGGGAGGCGGAGGTTGCAATGAGACAAGATCATGCCACTGCACTCCAGCCTGGATGACAGAGCGAAACTTTGTCTCAAAAAAAAAAAAAAAAAAAAAAAAAAAAAAGGCCGGGCAAGGTGGCTCATGCCTGTAATCCCAGCTTTTTGGGAGGCTAAGGCAGGGGGATCACGAGGTCAAGAGATCCAGACCAGCCTGGCCAACATGGCGAAACCCCTTCTCTACCAAAAATACAAAAGTTACCTGGGCGTGGTGGTGCACACCTGTAGTCCCAGCTACTTAGGAGGCTGAGGCAGGATAATCGCTTGAACCCGAGAGGCGAAGGTTGCTGTGAGCAGAGATTGTGCCACTGCACTCCAGCCTGGCAACAGAGTGAGACTCCGTCTCAAAAAAAAAAAAAAAAAGTAACATTCAGATCTAATACTATGTGTCTTTCTTGAATTTTCATATGGACTATTGTGTCAACATATGGTGTTAAAAAAAAAGTTATTAACTAAGATATTAGTGAAGCCTTCCTCACATAAGAATATCAGGCTGCTGGCCAGGTGCGGTGGCTCACACCTGTAATCCCAGCACTTTGGGCAGCCTAGGCAGGTGGATCACTTGAGGTCAGGAGTTCGAGACCAGCCTGGCCAACATGGCAAAACGCTGTCTCTACTAAAAAATACAAAAATTAGATGGGTGTGGTGGCGCATGCCTGTAGTCCCAGCTATGTGGGAGGCTGAGGCAGGAGAATTGCTTAAACCCAGGAGGCGGAGGTTGCAGTGAGCCGAGATCGCACCACTGCACTCCATCCTGGGCGACAGAGCGAGACTCCATCTCTTTAAAAAAAAAAAAAAAAAAGGGAAGAATATCAGGCTGCTGAATTCAAAATGCCAGAGATGTAAATGCCCTCCGCCTTCTTACTGCCATCCCCCAGCATGGCACATTTCAAGATATTAAGGGATGGGAGTCAGGAGGAGCTGTAATTAAGCTGATTGGAACCTATTGTGCTGCTCTGGAGCACAGACACCAAGCAGCCTTAGGGAATGAGTGCCTCAAGATCACTGGGAAATGATGTCCTCTTTTCCAGAAAATAACGTAGCAGAAATACTCAATCTATACTATTTCTCCCTTTCTTTGTTTTCCATCTCCCCTCCCCAATTTAATTGTGGTGCTTACTGTGTACCTTTAAAACTGACTTTTATCATGCATTTGTTTCTTAACAGTTGCGAGAAAGAATCAAAGCTGGCAAAGGTGTGACTTCAGCTATTGACCTGTGTCGTTACCATGGAAACAAGGCACTGGAGGCCCTGGAGAGCTTTCCTCCCTCGGAGGCCAGATCTGCTTTAGAAAACATTGTGTTTGCTGTGACCAGATTTTCATGACATCAAATTAAAAAGACACTATTGTTAGTTAGCTGAAAATCCTAGGGAATGAGGTTGATTGGGAGCGCTTTCACGATGCGTTAATGACTTTTAAAACATATGCATTTTTCCTTCCTTTTATCACATTGCTAAATGAGTTCTGCTTTCTTTTTGGAACTGCTACAAACAAAATTAGAAGAAAAAAAGGTCAAGCAGTTTTCACTTGTCACGCCAGAAGCACACTTGAGGCTGCAGTCGCAGAAATAATTAATGAGATTCGCTCCTGTGACCTCAGCAAATGGACAGGAAATAAGTCCTTATTGATTGGACCGAGCCAGGGATGGCGCCAGGGCGGTGGCCTGTGGTTTTTCCTGCTAGAGAGGACAAAGCAAGTTGGAAGCTGCAGGTGTCAAGAGAAATGCTCTCAATACCAACCAGGGAGGATTGTCTAATCAAAAACTAGTGACCAATTTGTCATAATGGAGAGTAGTTCAATGGATTGAGAAAAATATGTTTTATTTGTTGGCTTGTAATTATGTCTCTGGATTATTATTATTTTTTTTTTAGATGTAGTTTTGCTCTTGTTGCCCAGGCTGGAGTGCAATGGTGCAGTTTTGACTCACTGCAACCTCCGCCTCCTGGGTTCAAGTGATTCTCCTGCCTCAGCCTCCCGAGTAGCTGGAATTACAGGCACCTGCCACCACGCCTGGCTAATTTTGTATTTTTAGTAGAGATGGGGTTTCACTATGTTGGTCAGGCTAGTCTCGAACTCCTGACCTCAGGTGATCCGCCTGCCTCGGCCTCCCAAAGTGCTGGGATTAGAGGCTTGAGCCACTGCACCTGGCCTCATGTCTCTGGATTTATAATGCAGTATGAATATACTTTGTGCTTTATGGTTTTTATAATGTCTTTTTGGAGAAATTGCCGAAAAGTTGCCAAATACTTGAAGTAGGAGATTAAAATGTTATCAAATGTTAAATTGGTTATATTAGGAATAGTCTGTTTTTCTTTCCTGAAGATCAGTTTTTTTATTCAAACACATTTCAAAGAACCAAATTTTTTTTTTCTTTAAGGAAAAAGGAGCTTTTTTTCAAGTGAAATGTATTCATTTGTAATACTTTGGTTTAAGGCATACTTTAATTTTTACGAGTTTCAGAAACAGAATTTTTGTACTAGGGAATTCATTGGTGAGAGTGTTCTTTTAACCTCAGAATGTCAAATTTTGGTCTTGAACCACAGACATCCAATTACAGAAAGAATATAAGCAATCTCACAGGCCTGCAATCGGACACTGTCTCTGTGTGGTTCATAGGAGATGATTTTTGAGGTTTGCACTCATGCAATTTGAGAACACCGTTGACAAGAAGGCTGAGTTTACATAAATGATCTAGATTGAAACTCAGCTACCTTTCTTCCTCATGTGGTGTAATTACAGCCCTATCTGGAGACAGCGAATACAGCAAACAGATTTTATTACCTAGTTCGCTCAAACACTACATGAAGTTATTTTAGTTAAAGCCCTCCCCCAAAAGTTATAAAACCATTTTATCAGGGCCCAACATGTGGCATGCAATGAAGAGAAAATGTAAAGCTACAGAGGTTAATGTATTGTATTATAAAATATTTTAAGTGTACTCAAAATATCATAATTGTACAGTTTATGCCACCATAATTTGAGGCCTATAGATTTAGCTTAAGAGAACACTGTTCTGTTTGAAATGCTTTCTGTCACTGAAATTGGCTTAATTAGTAACCATGGATAAGATGCTTTAGATCAGACTAGGTTTTAATCATTAACTTCCACAAAGAAGTCATACTTTGCGTTAGGTGTGCTGGTTGGATGTGCAGGAACTTCAGCAAGCAGTAGGTTTTACTAAGCAGATGGTCGGGCACTGCAGGGCACCAGGCAGGATCCTAGGGCGCCTCTTATTCTGCGTTAGCATCTGGTTTGCTGTATGACCTTGCACAAGTCACTTCCTTCTGAGCCTCAATTTTCTCATCTGTACAATGAGATTCAAAAGTTGACCTGAAAGTCAAGTGTGAAAAAAAAAAAGAGATTAAACAAGATAATTATGAAATTCTTTCCAGGTTTGTTTTATTTTCTGAAAGTTTACTATTCTTGACTGTCTAAATAGCAAAGATGCTGTGTGAGGTTCAGGGAGGAGGGAAGGTGAAACCCAAAGAGAGGCCCTGAAGGAATGGAGAGAGCTTAATGGCAAGCTTCCTGCCAAGCTGCCTCTGCATGACCTAAAGGATTCCAGCTCTCCTATGTGACATGTAACCCTGGACTTTTCTGTCTCAACACCTGCCTTGCTGCTTTCTTCGGGACCTTTCCTACCTCCCTGTCATCTTCCCAGCTGCTCTCGTGTCCTTTATCCCATCTCCTGTACCTTGCCATCCTGACTCCCTGGAACCTGGATCCCTGGGAGCAGTAGCCCCCTGCTGCCTGCTGAGTGACAGAGCTCTGCCTCCCCCACAGGGGTGGCTGGCCTCCTTCCTCAGGCCCCACTTAGCAGAATTCTCACTTCCTCAGCATCACGGCAGGCTTTTACAGAACATAACAAGTTGGCTAGTTCACTCCAAAATACAAGACCAATAGCCTTTCTCCCTGCCCCTTCTTCAGGGATATTTATTTCTTAGCACATATGAAGTTCTTATAGTTTCAGACAATCTCTAAGGAGAAATTTGGGGCACTGAAACATTCCTCAATCACACCTCTCAGCCTGCTGCTGCCTGGGTGTGGCTAATGGAGGCAGTAAGTAGAATTAATGGCTCTAGAATGTGTCCTTGGCCCCTCTCCAGCTTTCCCCATCCCCAGTTACCTGCTAGAGGGAAGAATTCATTCATTAGCAATTGTCCTGCTTTCCTCTGCCTAGCACCCCCCAAATTGTCAGCTGGCTCCTGCAAACCTCACTCACTACTCACTCCAGGCCCATGAACTCTCCTCCCTGTTCATTTCTTCTTTGTTAAGTATACTTGGCCAGGTGCGGTGGCTCATGCCTGTAATCCCAGCACTTTGGGAGGCTGAGGCAGGCACATCACCTGAGGTCGGGAGTTTGAGGCCAGCCTGAACAACATGGAGAAACCTCGTCTCTACTAAAAATACAAAATTAGCTGGGCATGGTGGCGCACGCCTGTAATCCCAGCTACTCTGGAGGCTGAGGCAGGAGAATCTCTTGAACCCGGGAGGCAGAGGTTGTGATGAGCCAAGATTGTGCCATTGCTCTCTAGCCTGGGCAACAGGAGTGCAACTTCATCTCAAAAAAAAAAAGTATACTAAAGGCTACATTAATGCAGGCTTCCATGTCCCAGGCACTCTGCTAGGGGCCTTGAATATACTCACTTGTTTTAACCCCCACAAACACTCTTGGGAGTAGGTGTTATCCCCCTATTTACAGATGCAGAAGCTGGCAGAGAAAATTACCTCTGATTGACTGGCTTGTCCTCCCACCGCACCTCCCACCTGAGGGTCTCCCAGTAGTGCCTCTTTCTTTTTTTTTGGCTTTTAAAAAGAAAAAAACAACATTTTTTTCCAACGATTTCAAGCCTGTTGCCTCCTGTCTCCTTCATGTCTCTATTCTTGAATCTTCAGTGTCTCTTCTGCTGGCTGTGAGTGTGTTCAGCTCTCCTTGTACCTAAAATAAAACTTCTTACTTCACCCTGTTTATCCTTCCACCTCCATTTCTTCCCCCAGCTTTACCAGCAAACCTTCTTACAGTCTACTAACTCCTTACCTCCTACAATCGGTCATTCACTAGCAGGTCCCCATTATCTAGATCAGCACCACACTTTAGGTACTCAAAGAATACTTGCTGAACAAATGCATCAGGCCTCTTGCTGCGCTGCTCTACTGAGATGGATTCTTAAAAGTTCACAGCTGCCGGGTATGGTGGCTCACGCCTGTCATCCCAGCACTTTGGGAAACTGAGGCAGGCGGATCACCTGAGGTCAGGAGTTCGAGACCAACCTGACCAACATGGTGAAACCTCATCTCTACTGAAAATACAAAATTAGCCAGGCATGGTGGCTTATACCTGTAATCCCAGCTACTTGGGAGGCTGAGGCAGGAGAATGGCTGGAACCTGGGAGGCAGAGGTTGCAGTAAGCCGAGATCAGGCCATTGCACTATAGCCTAGGCAACAAGGACAAAACTCCATCTCAAAAAAACAAAAAAAAAATTCACTGCTGGTGTCTTCACTGGAATTTGTGAGCAGCTCTAGCAGTGGCCCTGCACTCTGCCCTGAACTTGCTGTAGCATTTCATGTTGCAGCCTGCCCCTGGGTGCCCGTGACCACCTCAGTTCAGAGTCTTCTTTTTTTTCCCTTTTGAGATGGAGTCTTGCTCTGTCGCCCAGGCTGGAGTGCAGTGGCACAATCTCAGCTTACTGCAAGCTCCGTTTCCTGGGTTCAAGCAATTCTCCTACCTCTGCCTCCCAAGTAGCTGGGATTACAGGCACCTGCCACCACGCCCAGCTAACTTTTGCATTTTTAGTAGAGATGGGGTTCACCACGTTGGCCAGGCTGGTCTCAAACTCCTGACCTCAGGCGATCTGCCTGCCTCGGCCTCCCAAAGGGCTGGCATTACAGGCGTGAGCCACCGTGCCCGGCCAGTTCAGAGTCTTCTTCTCTTCTCTGACTACTCTTTTTTATTCCCACCCCTAGAGCCATACTTTTCTAAACATTTCAATTCTGTCTCCCCAGAAACAGTTTGACAAAGCAGTTTCCTGGCCCACTAAGTCCTCTTCTTTTAAATTCTCCAACTAAGAAAAATTGTTCTCTGACATAAGAACAATATCAGGCCGGGCGCGGTGGCTCACACCTGTAATCCCAGCACTTTGGGAGGCCGAGGCAGGTGGATCACGAGGTCAGGAGATCAAGACCAGCCCGGCCAATATGGTGAAACCCGGTCTCTACTAAAAATTTAAAAAATTATCCAGGCAGAGTGGCGTGGCAGGCTACTCGGGAGGCTGAGGAAGGAGACTCGCTGGAACCCAGGAGGCAGAGGTTGCAGTGAGCAGAGATCGCACCACTGCACTCCAGCCTGGGCTAAAGAGCGAGACTCCTCTCAAAAAAAAAAAAAAGAACAGCCGGGCGCGGTGGCTCACGCCTGCAATCCCAGCACTTTGGGAGGCCGAGATGAGCCGATCATGAGGTCAGGAGATCAAGACCATCCTGGCTAACACGGCGAAACCCCAGGCTGGAGTGCAGTGGTGCGATCTCGGCTCACTGCAAGCTCCACCTTCCGGGTTCACGCCATTCTCCTGCCTCAGCCTCCCAAGTAGCTGGGACTACAGGGAGGCTGAGGCATGGCTAATTTTTTGTATTTTGTTTAATAGAGACGGGGTTTCTCCGTGTTAGCCAGGATGGTCTCGATCTCCTGACCTCATGATCCGCCAGCCTCGGCCTCCCAAAGCCACCATGCCCGGCCAACCTTGTATATTTTACTTGATAACACCAAATTCTCTTGGGTTATCTTGCTTATATAATGTGGCTATCCAGTCACACCTAAAAATAAATGATCAGTGACATTGTTTGCCTGGTCCAGGGTTTCATTCTCCAGTGTTTGTAACTTTATCTTACCTATGACAATATTATTCTATGGCCCAAGATGTGGGTGACACCTACAAACTTGGGCTAAAAGACGTATACATTAATGCAAAATGTTCCAAAAAGATATAGGACTTTTTTCTGGTCACATTGAACTCCAGTAACCAGAAAGTAACCTGAATAATCCTCAATGATCTCCTTTCAAAATTTGACAAATGGCTATACTAAAGGTGTTTTTAAATAAGCAGGTTTTAGGCCGGGCGCGATGGCTCATGCCTGTAATCCCAGCACTTTGGGAGGCCAAGGCGGGCGGATCGCCTGGGGTCAGGAGTTTGAGATCCACCTGGCCAACATGGTGAAACCCCGTCTCTACTAAAAATACAACAATTACCAGGCGTGGTGGCGCATGCCTGTAGTCCCAGCTACTTGGGAGGCTGAGGCAGGAGAATCGCTTGAACCCAGAGGTGGAGGTTGCAGTGAGGTGAGATCGTGCCACTGCACTCCAGCCTGGGTGACAAAGCGAGACTCTGTCTCAAAAAAATAAATAAATAAAATAAACAAGCAGGCTTGGGAGCTTGTGGTTTTTGTTTTTTGAGTTTTCTTATGATATCTTTTTTTAATTTGGGAAAATGTACATATAAATTTACCTTTTTTTTTTTTTTTTTCTGAAACAGAGTTTCGCTCTTGTTGCCCAGGCTGGAGTGCAATGGTGCGATCTCGGCTCACGGCAACCTCTGTCTCCTGGGTTCAAGAGATTCCCCTGCCTCAGCCACCCGAGTAGCTGGGATTACAGGCATGTGCTACCACGCCTGGCTAATTTTTTTTAATCTTTAGTAGAGACAGTGTTTCACCATGTTGACCAGGCTGGTCTCGAACTCCTGACCTCGTGATCCACCCACCTCGGCCTCCCAAAGTGCTAGGATTACAGGCGTGAGCCACTGTGCCCGGCCACTTTTTTTTTTTTTAAGACTCCAGCTAATCAGCAGGTTCATCACTAATAAGGAGAACCTTGCTTTTCGGAAAACTGTTTTCAGACTCCTTCCTGGAGTTCTTAGTTTTAGGAAGATCCTTTCCTGCCTATTCATTTGTTTTCACACTTTGAAATCCTGTTGTTATGACGAATAGAAGCTCCAAGGAATTGTCTTTAGAATCTGTAAGGACTTCTTCTCAATCTGCAGAAGGCTTGCCACACCTTCACCAAAGCACAGTCAGTGATCGATTAGTTGGCTTGTTTTTAATTCATTTGATATAACTGAATAACTTCAGAGTAGCTAGAAATACAAGCGCAAACCACCCTGCCCAGCTAATTTTTTTATTTTTATTTTTTTGTAGAGACAGGGTCTCACTTTGTTGCCCAGGCTGGTCTTGGACTCCTGGCTTCAAGCAATCCTCCTGCCTCAGCTTCCCAAAGCACTGGGATTATAGCCATGAGCCACTGGGCCCTGCCAACATTGTAATTTATTATTATTATTATTTTGAGACACAGTCTTACTTTGTCACCCAGGCTGGAGTGCAGAGGCACAATCTCAGCTCACTGCAACCTCCGCCTCCCAGGTTCAAGCGATTCTCATGTCTCAGCCTCCGAAGTAGCTGGGATTACAGGTGCGCACCACCATGCCTGGCTAATTTTGTTTTGTTTTGTTTTGTTTTGTTTTAGTAGAAACAGGGTTTCACCATGTTGGTCAGGCTGGTCTCGAAGTCCTGATCTCAAATGATCCTTCTGCCTCAGCCTCTCAAAATGCTGGGATTACAGGCGTGAGCCACCATACCCAGGCTGTGATTTATTTTTATTTTTATTTTTGAGATGAAGTCTTGCTCTGTCACCCAGGCTGGAGTGCACTGCCAGGATCTCGGCTCACTGCAACCTCCGCCTCCCAGGTTCAAGTGATTTTCCTGTCTCAGCCTCCTGAGTAGCTAGGATTACAGGTGCGAGTCACCATGACTGCCTAATTTTTTGTATTTTTAGTAGAGACAGGGTTTCACCATGTTGGCCAGGCTCATCTAATCCTGACCTCAAGCTATCCTCCCACCTCCACCTCCCAAAGTGCTGGGATTACAGGCAGGAGCCACCCCGCCTGGCCTACCCAACATTGTCATTTTTTTTTTTTTAATGATAAAGGCTTGAATAGAGGGGCACATTTTATTGTTATTAATAGTTTCCATTATTGTTAATTATGTTTTATTAATAATAAAGTTGTTTGCACTGTCTTTTAAAAACACAAAGCACTCTAACAAGATAATAATAATTTACCTCTTTCTCTTCTCCCACCTTCAGTCCTGATCCCTTACATATTAACTGTTTTATTCTTTCAGAATGGGTCCTGGCTTTCCATTAGGGAAATTACAGACTTCCAAAGGTGACTTAACAAGAGGTGTCACCTGGTAAGAGGCCAGAACTGATAGTGGAATGTACCCCTCCTTTAGCTCACCCCACCTTGCATCAGAGCTCTCAAAGGCTATAGTTTTAAGGCCACTACAGATAGAATATTCCTAACTTAAATCCACTGGCATATATAGAGTATGACCAATTTGTTGTGAGCTTCCTAATTTCTAGTTATTTATGCAGTTCTATACCATGATTTTCTTTCCTTTCTTCCTATTTTTTTGAAGATTAGAACTGCTTTAATTGCATTCTTTTTAAAAAATAGCTGTATTAGGGCCGGGCGCGGTGGCTCACGCCTGTAATCCCAGCACTTTGGGAGGCTGAGGCAGGCAGATCACGAGGTCAGGAGATCGAGACCATCCTGGCTAACATGGTGAAACCCCATCTCTACTAAAAAATACAAAAAAATTAGCTGGGAGTGGTGGCGGGCGCCTGTAGTCCCAGCTACTCGGGAGGCTGAGGCAGGAGAATGGCGTGAACCCGGGAAGTGGAGCTTGCAGTGAGCCGAGATTGCACCACTGCACTCCAGCCTGGGCAACAGAGCAAGACTCCATCTCAAAAAAAAAAAAAAATAGCTGTATTGAAGTAAGTTTATACACCATAAAATTCGCCTATTTTAATTGTACCATTCAATGATGTTTTGGTAAATTTACAAAGATGTGCAATTATCACCACAATCCAGTTCCAAAACCAAAAGAGACCAGGCACGGTGGCTCACGCCTGTAATTCCAGCACTTTAGGAAGCCAAGATGAGAGGATCACTTGGGCTCAGGAGTTCAAGACCAGCTTGGGCAGCATAGTGAGACCCCATCTCTAAAAAAAAAAACAAAAAATTAAAAAAAAAAAGATCCTTTGTGTCCATTTGTAGTCAACTCCTACTCCCACCTTTAATTCTGTTCAGCCACCAATCTACCCTCTGTCTCTATAGATTTGCCTTTTCCAGACATTATCTATAAATAGAATTATAGAATACATAGTCTTTTGCATCTAGTTCTCTATCACTTAGCATAATGTATTTGAGTTTTATCCACGTTGTCTCATGTATCATTATTTCCTCCCTTTTTATTGCTAAATAGTATTCCATTGTATGGATATAAGACATATTGGCCAGTTGATTCACATGTGGATTGCCTCTTTTACCTATTCTGAATAATGGGAACATTCAAGTATAAGTCTTTGTGCAGACAAATGTTTTATTTCTCTTGGGTAGATCTCCAGGAGTAAGATTGCTGGGTCACATGATACATTTATGTTTAATGTTTTAGAAATTGCCTGTTGTCCGGCCAGGCGTGCTGGATCACTTAAGGTCAGGAGTTCAAAACCAGCCCTGCCAACATGGTGAAACCCCATCTCTACTAAAAATACAAAAATTAGCCAGGCATGGTGGCACATGCCTATAATCCCAGCTACTCAGGAGGCTGAGGCAGACGAATCACTTGAAACCGGGAGGCAGAGGTTGCAGTGAGCCGAGATCACACCACTGCACTCCAGCCTGAGCGACGGAGTGAATCCCTGTCTCAAAAAAAAAAAAAAGGCCGGGTGCAGTGGCTCACGCCTGTAATCTCAACACTTTGGGAGGCTGAGGCAGGAGGATTACTTGAGGTCAGGAGTTTGAGACCAGCCTGACCAACATGGTGAAACCTGGTCTCTACTAAAATACAAAAATTAGCCGGGCCTGGTGGCGCATGCCTGTAATCCCAGCTACTCTGGAGGCTGAGGCTGAGGCACTCCTACCTGGGTGACAGAGCAAGACTTCGTCTCAAAAAAAAAAAAAAAAAAAAGAAGAAAGAAATAATATAGTACTCTTTACAGTTTCACCCAATGGTAACATCTTGCAAAACTGTAATATGATATTCCAACCAGGATGTTGACATTGATAAAATCTATCAGTCTTATTCAGATTTCCCCCTAGGGAATTTTTTCAAAATTGTTTTGGCTACTTTGGGTTCTTTGCAGTTCCATAAAAATTTTAGGATCCGCTTGTCAATTTCTACCAAAAAAAAAAAAAAAAAAAAAATGGAGCCTGCTGGTATTTTGGGATTTTGGTAGGGATTGTATTCAATATATAGATCAAATTTTGGAAAATTGTTACCTTAATTAATCTAATTTTCCATGATCCATCTTTTTTCTTTTTTTTTTTTTCCAGGCAGCCTCCCAAGCCAGAGTAGGCTCAGAGACTCCCAATCCATCATTTTTTACTTTTTTACTTTTTTTATTTGGTAAAATATATATAGCATAAATGATTCATTTTTGTTATTTTAAGTGTACAATTCAGTGGCATTAACTACATTCACACTGTTGTGCAACCATCATCACTATCTTTTTCTAAAACTTTTTCATCACCCCAAACAGAAACTATGTTGTTGTTATTTTTAACAACAATACTGAAATTGCCAACTCAATAGTTACTGTATTGTCCTCTGTGGCCACAAAGTCCTTTTTCAGATCATGAATTTAATGCCAAATCTTAAATCTCAAGGAACCCTGGTACTGGACTTTGGAAGAACATAGACAGTCTTTGTTAAGAAATTAGGCTGTGGCCAGGCATGGTGACTCATGCCTGTGATCCCAACACTTTAGGGGGCCAAGGTGGGAGGATCACTTGGCAGTTCAAGATCTGCCTGGGCAACATGATGAGACCCCATCTCTAAAAACAAAACAAAAAGGGTGGGAGTTGCAGTCTTCAGATCCCAGCTCTGCCATTGACAATCCAGTTACTTCTCTGGGCCGGGTGCAGTGGCTCACACCTGTAATCCCAGCATTTTGGGAGGCCAAGGCAGGCGGATCACCTGAGGTCAGGAGTTCGAGGCCAGCCTGGCCAACATGATGAAACCCTATCTCTACTAAAAATACAAAAATTAGCCAGGTGTGGTGGCGTGTGCCTGTAGTCCCAGCTACTCGGGAGGCTGAGGCAGGAGAATCACTTGAGCCGGGAGGCAGAGGCTGCAGTGAGCCAAGATTGCACCACTGCACTCCAGCCAGGGTGACAGAGAAAGACCCTGTCTCCAAAAAAAAAAAAAAAAAAAAAAAAAAGTTACTTCTCTGAACTTACATTATCATACACAGATTTAAACATTTTTATTTCTATGATTCCCTAGGTGTGGGCTTCACTAAATGGGGGCTAGAGACCCTAAGGATATGCAGCACCCTGCCAGGTGCTGTGGAAGCCACAAAAGGAGCGTGCACATTGTCTAGCAACATTTTTCTTCCACAAAGTTAAAATTAGGTACTTTAACTACAAATGATTTTTCAAAACTTTTGTGGCATTCCAAGCATATATTATGGAGTTGAACATAAGATTCGGATTCATTTTAATATCACATGTAAGACAAAATAAATTTAAAGTATTTTCGGGTGCTCTGGGCTCACCCTCCTTCCTATCCATCACCCCCCTATTTCACTTAACAAGTCTTTTACCCGCTAGTCTCCCTCCCAGTCCTAGCAGACATTTACTCATCATTCACAGCCCTTTTCCTACCAACCCTCAGAATCCTCTCTTTATTTTTTTATTTATTTGAGATGGGGATCTCACTATGGCACCCAGGCTGGTCTCAAACTCCTGGGCTCAAGCGTCCCCCTTTGGCCTCCGAAAGTGCTAGGATTACAGGCAAGGGCCACTGCATTCAGCCTCAGAATCCTCAACACAGCACTCCAGGGAGCCACTATTCACACGTCTGAGCCAGCACACAAGTTGGGCAGCCATCTCTGTTCAACTGGTAGAGACGAGGTTTCACCATGTTGGCCAAGCTGGTCTTGAACTCCTGTCCTCAAGTGATCCGCCCACCTCGGCTTCCCAAAGTGCTGGGATTACAAGGGTGAGCCACCTCGCCTGGCTGTATTTTACCATTTTCTAGGTAAGTATTTGAAATAAAATCAGTAGCCCTGAAAATCAAGATTTTATTTACTTTCCAAATGTTATATTCTTCCTTTTAAATTATTTTACTTTCTCTGATTTGCACATAAATTATGATAAAGATAGGGAAAGGCATTATATGGTATGTTGACTTTTAAAATGGCAGAATCCATTATGTCATACAAGTCTGCTAGTCCAAAGGTATTTATATTTTATGTAACTTTGTCCTCCTAACAACCATCAACAGAAATTGAATGTCCATTAGTATGGAAAAATCTCTTTGAAATGTCTTTGCAAAACACTTTTTATGGGCTGGGCATGGTGGCCCACACCTGTAATCCCAACACTTTGGGAGGGCAAGGCTGGACGATGCCCTCAGGTCAGGAGTTCGAGACCAGCCTGGCCAACATGGTGAAACCCCAACTCTACTGAAAATACAAAAATTAGCCAGCATGGTGGCGCATGGCTGTAATCCCAGCTACTCGGGAGGCTGACACAAGAGAATCGCTTGAACATGGGAGGCAGAGATTTCAGTGAGCCAAGACCGTGCCACTGCACTTTTTTTGTACCTTTGTGATCATTAGTTCCTGTTCAAGAAAGGATAACGTGTATTGTTTTTCCCCTATTTAAGAAATCTTTAAATTTCATTTTATCTAATTAATTTTAACACTGGGGTTGGTTGGGAATTTTTTTAGATTGTCATCTCTTTTTTCAGATATATATGAAAGTGAGATGAAGAAATGGACAAGAGCAGGTAGCAGAGAGATCAAGCTTTTTTTTTCTTAAGCCATTAAACATCTATATTTTTCTTCCCAGTGTCCTACCTCCCAACTTTTGATGATCAGAGGCTGGTATGACAGATTACCTTAATTTGTATCTAGCTGTTGCTAAGTTATCGCCATGGTATCAAGACACTGAGGCAAATATAGATGGCTAAAAACAAATGTGTGAGAAGAAAAAATTGTCCCTAGTCCCCTCACCTCACTGTCATCTGGATGAGTAGCAGCATTAAATCTGTGTCGTAGTTGCTTCACAACCATAGCAAAAAAAAAAAAAAAAAAAAAAAAAGCTTGAAAACCCAATTATTGCATCCTATAAAAATATAACGATTTCTGCAAATTTTATATTTGTCATTTACAAAAGTCATCACCAGCCTTTGTTTCTATACTTTATAATGATTGAAACAGCCTGCATAGTAACATTTATTGAATTTTTGCCCTCTAGCAATATAAAATATCAGCAAAAACGCTGCCCTATTAATGATAGTTTTTATGTTCATGCAGTCAAAATGAATGGCATCTTTTTGTTCTAGCTCAATAAAGTTCTTCAAATAGTTTTCAAAATTTCAAATTCTGGTATGTGATTTCAGCAAAATGACATAGTATGAGCTTTCTCTTTTGAAAGTGGTATAAATATAAACTGCACTTTCCAATTTTATATCTTAGTCCTATGACTTCCTTTGCCTCTCCACATATACACAGAGGGAAATTATTTAATATTTAATCCAAACTGCTCAATTTTCTTTTTCTTTTTCTTTCTTTTTTTTTTTTTTTTGAGACAGAGTCTCGCTCTGTCGCCCAGGCTGGAGTGCAATGGTGCGATCTCCGCTCACTGCAGCCTCCACCTCCTGGGTTCAAGCAATTCTCCTGCCACAGCCTCCCTAGTAGCTGGGACTACAGGCGCATGCCCCAACACCCAGTTAAGTTTTGTAATTTTAGTAGAGACGGGTTTCACTATGTTGGCCAGGATGGTCTTGGTCTGCTGACCTCGTGATCCACCCGCCTCGACCTCCCAAAGTTCAATTTTCTTAAAAGTGACCACCAACACCATCAACATATGTTTATAGACTAGATGTATCACTTGTTTACCCAAATTGTAGCATAAATATCTGTTTTTAGAAAGCTTTTCCATAAGTCTTTCTATATGATTGGATTATTAAGCAAGGCTATGATTAGGAAATAAACCACTTTCCCCTTTAGCTAGTTCTAATGAAAGCTTTCCAAATTAAACACTGTGTTTGAACACTTCTTCCATTCATAGCATGTGCTCATCAAAAAGTGCTTTCCGTTTCTGGTATGTCAACTGTACTATTTATAACCTAGTTAACAAAGCCAACTAAAGGCAGTAAAAGGTGTGTATTTCATATGCAAATTCCTAGCAATAATTTCTACAGTTACATATAGTTGCTTGCTCCGTTATGTTCAACATCAGCGTTATAAAACTGATTACAGGAAGGAGAAAATAATACTAAAATTATATTTTTATATTCCTTAATGGGTTTTTATTAAATACATTAGAAAGATAAATAGTACAAAATGGAAGTAGCCCTGATTTATAATGGACGTTTTTGCAAAGTGACTGATGACCTGTTATAGTAACTGTGCAGAGGAAGAAAATCACTGTGTGACATAGGCTCTTTCTATTTTGTCTCCAAATTTGTGTTTCCTTTTTTTGTTTTTTTGTTTGTTTGTTTGTTTGTTTGTTTGTTTGTTTTTGAGATGGAGTTTTTGCTATTGTTGCCCAGGCTGGAGTGCAATCTCAGCTCACCGCAACCTCCGCCTCCCAGGTTCAAGCGATTCTCCTGCCTCAGCCTCCCAAGTAGCTGGGATTATAGGCATGCGTCACCACGCCCAGCTAATTTTATATTTTTAGTAGAGTCGGGGTTTCGCCGTGTTGGTCAGGCTGCTCTCGAACTCCTGACCTCAGGTGATCCGCCCGCCTTGGTCTCCCAAAGTGCTGGGATTACAGGCGTGAGCCATCGCGCCCGGCTCAAATTTGTGTTTCCTTAACAATCCTCTTTGCTTCTTTATTTTACCAGATTGTGATTCCCCTGACTTAGAAACCATCAACGGAAAAATAAGAGGCCGGGCGCGGTGGCTCACATCTGTAATCCCCGCACTTTGGGAGGCCGAGGCGGGCAGATCATGATGTCAGGAGATCGAGACCATCCTGGCTAACACAGTGAAACCCTGTCTCTACTAAAAATACAAACAAAAGTCAGCTGGGCATGGTGGCACGTGCCTGTAGTCCCAACTACTCCGGAGGCTGTAGGCGGAGGTTGTAGTAAGCCGAGATCACGCCACTGCCCTCCAGCCTGCGTGACAGAGTGAGACTCCATCTAAAAAAAAAAAAGAAAAAGAAGTAAGAAACCAGGATAAGTTAATGCCTTCTTTTCATTGACATTTATTAAGTGTTACTATGTGCATAGCACTGCCTTGGATACAAAGGTAAACCATAGAATGAGATTATTTGTGTCTTTCCCACTATACTGTGGGCTTCTTGGGATCAGATTCTCTTTGAAAATAGTGGAAGATAACCAATGGAATAAACAGATCTGGGTTCAAATCCTAGCTTCTTGGCTGGGCGTGGTGGCTTATGCTTGTAATCCCAGCACTTTGGGAGGTCGAGGCAGGTGGATCGCTTGAGGCCAGGAGTTCGAGGCCAGCCTGGCCAATATGGTGAAACCCCATCTCTACAAAAAATACAAAAATTAGCTGGGCGTGGTGGCGTACGCCTGTAGTTCCACCTACTCAGGAGGCTGAAGCACGAGAATCACTTGAGCCTGGGAGACGGAGGTTGCAGTGAGCAGAGATCCAGCCACTGCACTCTAGTCTGGGCAACAGAGCGAGACTGTCTCAAAAAAAACAAACAAAACAAAACAAAAAAACCTCAAATCCTAGCTTATCTATCAGGTGTGATGAGACAAATTCTCCAGGTTTCTTCTTCCTTTCTTGTGGAATTGGATAGTCGTGCTTACTAGTAAAGAATA
Organism: Homo sapiens; assembly: GCF_000001405.40. Classification (NCBI taxonomy): domain Eukaryota; kingdom Metazoa; phylum Chordata; class Mammalia; order Primates; family Hominidae; genus Homo; species Homo sapiens. The sequence goes on along the minus strand of NC_000006.12, from coordinate 107,139,088 downwards.
GCTGCTAATTGCCTGAAGGCACCAATCACTGTACCTACCACAGAGGGTGCCATTCGATAAATGCTGTTAAAGGAAATGTGTTTTTATAACAATGAAGCTTAGGCTGGGCGCGGTGGATCATGCCTGTAATCCCAGCACTTTGGGAGGCCGAGGCGGGCGGATCACAAGGTCAGGAGATAGAGACCATCCTGGCTAATATGGTGAAACCCCATCTCTACTAAAAAAAATACAAAAAATTAGCCAGGCGTTGTGGCGGGCGCCTGTAGTCCCAGCTACTCGGGAGGCTGAGGCAGAAGAATGGCATGAACCCGGGAGGCAAAGCTTGCAGTGAGCCGAGATCGCGCCACTGCACTCCAGCCTGGGCGACAGAGCGAGACTCCATCTCAAAAAAAAAAAAAAAAAAAACAATGAAGCAAGCAAGTAAAATAGAGTAATAGTAAAGGAACACTGGTTTACAAACTCTAATCAGAAGAATACAGGTTATAAAATAGGTCTAGAGACTTCTTTGAACATAAAGGACAGGACCTGGCACGGTAGCTCACGCCTGTAATCCCAGCACTTTGGGAGGCCGAGGCGGGTGAATCACCTGAGGTCAGGAGTTGGAGACCAGCCTGGCCAATATGGAGAAACCCCGTCTCTACTAAAAATACAAAATTAGCCAAGCATGGTGGTGCATGCCTGTAATCCCAGCTACTCGGGAGGCTGAGGCAGGAGAATTGCTTGAACCCAGGAGGCGGAGGTTGCAGTGAGCCAAGATCGCACCATTGCACTCCAGCCTGGGCAACAAGAGCGAAACTCAGCCTCAAAAAAAAAAAAAAAAAAAAAAAGGGAAGAGGTTGGATTAGAACAGTATTTGCACAATATGGTCTATGAACCACTCATATTAAAATCAAGGGCTTGCATTAGAATAAGGGCTGTATCCAGACCTATGTTTTTCAGAATTTTCAGGTAATTCTCACACACACACCCTGTTTTAGATCCACTGGAGTCGATGATACATTCCTAAACTTCCATTGACATATAATTCCTGGTGAGGGCCGGGCGTGGTGGCTCATGCCTGTAATCCCAGCACTTTGGGAGGCCGAGGCAGGTGAATCACTTGAGGTCAGGAGTTCGAGACCAGCCTAGGCAACATGGTGAAACCCTGTGTCTACTAAAAATGCAAAAAATTAGCTGGGCATGGTGGCACATGTCTGTAGTCCCAGTTACTTGGGAGACTGAGGAAGAAGAATCACTTGAACCCGGGAGGCGGAGATTTCAGTAAGCTGAGATCATGCCAGTGCACTCCAACTTGGGTGACAGAGCAAGACTCCATCTCAAAAAAAAAAAAAAAAAGATAATAATAATTCCTGGAGTGATGCAGCAGACACACATGAACTTTGAAGTAAGACAGGTTCCAGGCGTACTGGAATGCTTAACATTTAAGCCAGCAACAACTAATAAAAGCAACAATCCAATGCAAAGAAGAAAGGGGAAAAGAAAAATGTGTAGTGCTATGGTTTGGATATGGTGTGTCCCTATCAAAACTCATGTTGAAATTTGATTCCCAGCTGGGCACAGTGGCTCACGCCTGTAATCCCAGCACTTTGGGAGGCCAAGGCGGGTGGACTGCCTGAGGTCAGGAGTTCGAGACCAGCCTGGCCAACATAGTGAAACCCCGTCTCTACTAAAAATACAAAAAATTAGCTGGGCGAGGTGGTGGATGCCTGTAATCCCAGCTACTCGGGAGGCTGAGGCAGGAGAATCGCTTGAACCTGGAAGGCAAAGGTTGCAGTGGGCTGAGATCAGGCCATTGCACTCCAGCCTGGGCAACAAGAGCGAGACTCCGTCTCAAAAAAAAAAAAAAGAAAGAAAGAAATTTGATTCCCAATGTGGCAGTGTTGGGAGGTGGGGCCTAGTGGGAGGTGTTTGGGTCATGGGGGTGGATTTCTCATGAATGGATTAATGCTCTCCCAGGAACCCATTCTCACACTTGCAGGAATGAGTTAGCTTTCCAGAGAGTGGGTTGTTAAGAGTCTAGCTTCCTTGGTTTTTCTCCCTTGCTTTCTCTCTTGCCTTATGATCTTTGCACACTCCCATTCCCCTTCCTCTTTCCACCATGAGTGGAAGCAGCCTGAGACCTTCACCAGATGCAGCTACCCAATCTTGAACCTTCCGGCCACCAGAATCCTGAGCCAAATAAACCTCTTGATAAATTACCCAGCCTAATTCTGTTATAGCAACACAAAACAGACCAAGACCTGTAGTAAATGAAAAATATGGAATAAAAAGGCAGAAATAAGTACTTATAATGAATTATAATAAATAAAAATTAATTAAATTCAATTAAAAAACAGACTTTCAGATTGAATTAAACAGATCCAATAATAAGATTATCTCAAAGAGAAATTTAAATCAAAAAGACAGGCCAGGTGCTCATGCCTGTAATCCCAGCACTTTGGGAGGCCAAGGCAGGTAGATCACTTGAGCCCAGGAATTCAAGACTAGCCTGGAAACATGCAAAACTTCGTCTCTACAAAAGAATGCAAAAATTACCCAGCAGTGGTGGTACTTACCTGTAGTTCCAGCTACTTGGGAGGCTGGGGTGGAAAGATTGCTTGACCCTGGGAGGCAGAGGTTGCAGTGAGCTGAGATTGCGCCACTGCACTCCAGCCTGGGCAACAGAGTGGGACCCTGTCTCAAAAAAAAATAAATAAATAAAGACAAAAACAAATAAAAATTGAGCTGGGCATGGTCGCTTACAACTGTAATTCCAATTTATCAATTTCTGAAAAGCATGTGTTAAAATCTTTTAACCTGATGTATCTATTCCTGCAATTTTTTCAGGTGCTTCTTGCTCTATCATTCATCAGTGTGTAACACCCTTCTTTTTCCCTTATTATATATTTTTTCCCTTATATTCTACATTGTCAAATACTAAGATTCTTCCTCGATTCTTTTTTTTTTTTTTTCTTGAGACAGGGTCTAGCTATGTCGCCCAGGCTGGAGTGCAGTGGCGCAATCTCAGCTCACTGCAACCTCCACCTCCGGGTTCAGGAGACTCTCATGCCTCAGTAACCCCAGTAGCTGGGATTACAGGCATGCGCCACCACACTTGGCTAATTTTTGTATTTTTAGTAGAAACAGGGTTTTGCCATATTGGCCAGGCTGGTCTCAAACTCCTGGCCTCATGTGATCTGCCCATCAGCCTCCCAATGTGCTGGGATTACAGGTGTGAGCCACCGCACCCAGCCTCTTCCCCCTTTCTTTTGGGTCACTTTTTTATTATTATTATTTGAGATGCAGTCTCACTCTGGTGACGTGAACCTGTAGTCCCAGCTACTCGGGGGGCTGTCTAGCCTGGGCCACAGAGTGAGACTCTCTCTCAAAAAAAAAGAAAGAAACTCTGTAAGCATGAAGCCATCTAAAATGTTCAGTGAACTATTCAAGGAGTGGCCACACAATGTTGTGTGTTTGACATATAGTACCTGTTTTAGCCGGGCATGGTGGCTCACGCCTGTAATCCCAGCACTTTCGGAGGCTGAGGTGGGTGGATCACCTGAGGTCAGGAGCTCAAGACCAGCCTGGCCAACACGGTGAAACCCCATTTCTACTAAAAATACAAAATGAGCTGGGCGTGGTGGCGGGCGCCTGTAATCCCAGCTCCTCAGGAGACTGAGGTAGGAGAATCGCTTGAACCCAGGAGGCAGAGGTCGCAGTAAGCCGAGATTGCACCATTGCACTCCAGCCTGGGCAACCAGAGCGAAACTCTGTCCCCGCCAAAAAAAGACATACAGTACCTGTTTTAGACGGGTGAATGGGGCGGGGATGGCAGCAAGAGGGAGAGTGTGTCTGGGTGATCCAAGAGCACAATAATCACTGCAAAGGTTACTAATAATGGCAACACATACAGTGCTTATGATATGAAGCACTATTCTTAGTGCAAGAACAGTGCACAATAGTGCAAGACAGGCACAATTCTTTTCATCCCTGTATTGCTAATTTTCAGAGGAATGAAAGCCAAAATGAGATTTATTTGAAACTGAAGATAATTCCTACTCACCAAGCCATCTCCTACCTGAAAAAACATAACACACAGGGTGATATTGACAGAAAACAAATAAGTCACCTTCAAGGGTCCAATAACTAGTTTTACCAGAGGTAATTTTTTTCTTTCTTTTTTTTTTCTCCCCTTTTTGTGGAGAACAGGGTCTTACTGTATTGCCCAGGCAGGTCTCGAACTCCTGGGCTCAAGCCATCCTCCTGGCTCTGCCTCCCTAAGAGCTAGGATCACAGGCGTGAGCCACCGTGCCCAGCTACCAGTGGTAAATTTTACTAACTCCTTCACTGTATTTCTTGAGACAGAGTCTCACTCTGTCACCCAGGCTGGAGTGCAGTGGTGTGATCTCGGCTCACTACAACCTCTGTCTCCCTGGTTTGAGCAATTCTCCTGCCTCAGCCTCCTGAGTAGCTGGGACTACAGGCGCGTGCCACCCCGCCCGGCTAATTTTTTTTTTTTTTTTTTGTATTTTTGGTAGAGACAGGGTTTCACCATGTTGGCCAGGCTGGTCTCAAACTCCTGACCTCAAGTAATCCACCCGCCTTGCCCTCCCAAAGTGCTGGGATTACAGGCCTGAACCACCACGCCCAGCCTGGTTCACTTTTTTCTAGTACTTTTTCCATCTTTTCTTTTCCTTTTTTTTTTTTTTTTTTTGAGGCAGGGTATCAGTCTGTCTCCCAGGCTGGAGTGCAGTGGTGTGATCATGGCTCACTGCAGCCTCGACCTCCCAGGCTCAAGCAATCCTCCCACCTCAGCCTCCCGAGTAGCTGGGACTACAGGCACACACCACCACACCCAGCAAATTTTTGTAAGTTTTTGTAGAGAAGAGGTTTCGCCATGTTGCCCAGGCTGGTCTCAAATTCCTGGGCTAAAGCAGTCTTCTCACCTCAGCCTCCCAAAGTGCTAGGATTACGTGTGTGAGCCACCATGGCCAGCCTTCATTTTTTCTTTGTCTATTTTGGGTTTTTTTGAGAGAGTCTCACTCTGTTGCTCAGGCTAAAGTGCAATGGCATGATCATAGCTCACTACAGCCTTGACCTCTTGGGCTCAAGCAACCCTCACACCTCAGCCACCTGAGTAGCTGGGACTACAGGTATGTACGCCCATGCCCAGCTAATTTGTGTAATCTTTGTAGAGATGGGGTCTCACTTTATTGTCCAGGCAGGTCTTGAACTCCTGAGCTCAGGTGTTCCTCCAGCTTCAGCCTCCCAAAGTGCTGGTATTACAGGTGTGAGCCACCATGCCCAGCCTGAAAATTTCAGTAATATAATAAACTGGGCTGAGTGCGGTGGCTCACGCCTATAATACCAACACTTTGGGAGGCCGAGCAGTGTGGATTGTTTGGGGTCAGGAGTTTGAGACCAGCCTGGCCAACATGGCACCACTGCACTCCAGCCTGGTGACAGAACAAGACTTTGATTCAAAAACAACAACAAAAAAGAAAACAGGATGTTTAGCCGGGTGCGGTGGCTCATGCCTGTAATCCCAGCCCTTTGGGAGGCCGAGGTGGGTGGATCACCTGAGTTCGGGAGTTCGAGATGAGCCTGACCAACATGGAGAAACCCCGTCTCTACTAAAAAAAACCCCGTTTCTACTAAACGGGGTTTTAGTAGAAACCCCGTCTCTACTAAAAATAGAAAAAAAAAAAATAGCCAGGCAGTAGTGGTGCATGTCTGTAATCCCAGCTACTCGGGAGGCTGAGGAAGGAGAATTGCTTGAACCCGGGAGGCAGAGGTTGCAATGAGCCAAGATTGCACCACTGCACTCCAGTCTGGGTGACAGAGTGAGACCTGTCTCAAAAAATAAATAAACTCAAGCTATGAGGGGGGTGTGTGTGTGTGTGTGTGTGTGTGTGTGTTTATTGGTTTTCTTAATTTTTTTTTTTTTGCAAAGTTAAATAAAAGTGTCATCCTTGTGCAGAGGCCATGCTAATCTCTGCATCATTCCAGTTTTAGTATATGTGCTGCCAAAGCGAGCATTCTGTATATGTGTGTATAAATATTTTATATATATAATATGTATATGTATAATTAGCACAAAATAATTAGTACAATGTCTAATTTAATATTCTTTGGCCTTTAGTTTACTAAGAGAGTACTTTCATCAATTATTGGTTATAAATTAATACAGTAAATCCTATTGTAATTATAATTGTAATTGTAATTATAACTGAGATCCAAATAAATCAGTCATATGAAATGGAAGGTTACAATTTCTTGCAGGGTTAACAACAAAATGACCATTGTGGGTCAGTCTAGCTAGCTGTGAGGAATTTGGGAGCTAACTGCCCTATCTAAATTCATGCCAGGTCAGGCACAGCAGTTCAGGCTTGTAATCTCAGCACTTTGGGAGGCTGAGGCGGGTGGATCGCTTGAGCCCAGGGGTCTAAGACCAGCCTGGGCAGCATAACAATACCCTGTCTCTACCAAAAAATTTTTAAATAAATCAAAAATAAATTCATGCCAGACTCAGTTGTGATTTGATGCCACCTGGTGGTGGTGGTCGGCCCCAAGTTAAATATTAATGGGGACAATTTTTTTTTTTTTGGAGACGGAATTTCACTCTTGTTACCCAACCTGGAGTGCAATGGCGTGATCCCGGCTCACTGCAACCTCCACCTCCCAGGTTCAAGCGATTCTTCTGCCTCAGCCTCCCAAGTAGCTGGGATTACAGGCACGCACCACCAAGCTTGGCTAATTTTGTGGGGTTTTTTTAGTAGAGACAGGGTTTCTCCATGTTGGTCAGGCTAGTCTCAAACTCCCGAACTCAGGTGATCTACCCACCTCGGCCTCCCAAAGGGCTGGGATTACAGGCATGAGCCACCGCACCTGGCTAAACATCCTGTTTTCTTTGTTGTTGTTTTTGAATCAGAGTCTTGTTCTGTCACCAGGCTGGAGTGCAGTGGTGCGATCTCGGCTCACTGCAACCTCCGCCTACCCAGTTCAAGCGATTCTTCTGTCTCAGCCTCCAGAGTAGCTAGGACTACAGGCACACACCACCATGCCCAGGTAATTTTGTATTTTTAGTAGCGACAGGGTTTCACCATATTGGCCAGGCTGGTCTTGAACTCCTGACCTTGTGATCTGCTCTCCTCGGCCTCCCAAACTGCTGAGATTATAGGTGTGAGCCACCATGCCCGGCCTACTGGGGACAATTCTGAGTGCAGAAGCTGCAGGATAACATTAGCGATTTGGGAAATGTCCCAGTTAGTTGGCCAGATTCAGCTGGGAGAATAATTAGGACGAGATTTACCCCTCACCTCTTCTCTCTCTGAAACAAGTTCACATGCCTTTTCCCTATCTTTATGGCCTTGGCCTCCTCTCTAAGACCTCCCTCTACCTGCCCTGTTTAGGGGCTAGGCAGGGAATGGGAGCCAGCTGTCAATTCTGCATCATATCTAAAATTATATTTTTGGCCGGGCACGGTGGCTCACGCCTGTAATCCCAGCACTTTGGGAGGCCAAGGGGGGCAGATCACCTGAGGTTAGGAGTTCAAGACCAGCTTGGCCAAAATGGTGAAACCTGTCTCTACTAAAAAAACAAAAATTAGCTAGGCATGGTGCTGGGCACCTGCAGTCCCAGCTACTGGGGAGGCTGATGCAGGAGAATCACTTGAACCCAGGAGGCGGAGGTTATAGGGAGCCGAGATTGCACCACTGCTCTCCAGTCTGGCGACAGAGCAAGACTCCATCTCAAAAGAAAAAAAACAAATTTTATTTTTGGCCGGGTACAGTAGCTCATGCGTGTAATCCCAGCACTTTGAAAGGCCAAGGTAGGGGTATCACTTGAACCCAGGAGTTTGAGACCAGCCTGGGCAACATAGTGAGACTGTCTCTACAAAAAATCAAAAAATTAGCCAGGCATGGCGGTGTGTGCCTATAGTCCCAGCTACTCAGGAGGCTGAGGTGGGAGTATCATTTGAGCCCAGGAGGTGAAGCTGTAGTGAGCCATGATCACACCACCATACTCCAGCCTGGGTGACAGAGCAAGACACGGTCTCAAAAATAAATAAATAAAATGAAATCATATTTTTGATGAGGGCATTATCATGGGGTTTTATTGTGCTTATCAAGGAGCTCTTGAATGCTTAGAATATAGTAGCACTGTATTTTTTATTTTAGAGCTTTTGTGTACTCCATTTGTTTTGGTTGGCTATAAGAAGCCATTATTGGGCCGAGCACAGTGGCCAACACTTTGAAAGGCCAAGTTGGGCGGATCATTTGAGGGCAGGGGTTCAAGACCAGCCTGGCCAACATGATGAAACCCCGTCTCTACTAAAAATACAAAAATTAGCTGGGCATGGTGGCACGCTCCTGTAGTCCCAGCTACTCAGGAGGCTGAGGCAGGAGGAACACTTAAGCCCAGGAGACAGAGATTGCAGTGAGCCAAGATTACGCCACTGCACTCCAGTCTGGGCGACAGAGCAAGACTCTGTCTAAAAAAAAAAAAAAAAAAAAAGCCATTGTTAGGCTAAGACTAATTGAAATTCAAGCAGAAAAAAAAAAAAGGTAAACATGCAAAGGTGAGAAATCCATCCAGAGGCTGTTTACCCTATTGCATCAATGCCATGAAATTTTATTTTATTTTATTTATTTTTTTTTGAGATGGAGTCTCTCTCTGTCGCCCAGGCTGGAGTGCAGTGGCATGATCCCGGCTCACTGCAAGCTCCGCCTCCCAGGTTCACACCATTCTCCTGCCTCAGCCTCCCGAGTAGCTGAGACTAATAGGCGCCTGCCACCACACCTGGCTAATTTTTTATATGTTTTTAGTAGAGACGGGGTTTCACCATGTTAGCCAGGATGGTCTTGATCTCCTGACCTCGTGATCTGCCCACCTTGGCCTCCCAAAGTGCTGGGATTACAGGCGTGAGTCACCGTGCCCGGCAATGCCATGAAATTTTAAATTAACAGTTGCCTCTTGTGGATGATCTCTTGTTACCCAGCAGGATCAGAACTCTTCGTTTGTTTTATTCCTTGTTAAATTCTTTGCTGTGTTAAGGCAGTTTCTCCTTCTTTGCATATACAAACATGTGACCCTGCTCTAGTATATTAGGCATTGCCCCTGAACAGCTTAAAACTGGGCTTCTTGGAAGCCATGTGGGGGTATAAGACTGTAGAGGGCAATGGTCAGTTACTGGTTATGTTTCTGTCCCTATCCCTCTTCCTGGCATCTTCCCAATTCCGAGTTACCACTGTATTACTGAGTCCGAGATAAGCAGTCTGAGAGACCAGCATTTGCGGCCAGCAGCAGAGCTCCAGTTCTTGGATCAGGGTCTTCTTGGTTTGTGGCTGCCAGTGGTCACATTTGTCTTCGATGAAATAGTCAAGCACCAGGCTGATTGCCAGGTTTCAGAAGATGTGTGGCTCAGACTGGAAGAAGGCCTCAATCTGTTCACCACCTGTCTCTCTGGCCTTACCTGTTACTTCTCCCTCTAACTACAGTGCTCTCTGTTTTTCACTCAGAAGGGCTATTTATAGGTTTCCAAATATGGCCTGCAGTTTCCTGCCTCAGCTGCTGCCCGCAATTTTCCCTGCCCAGAGTGCCCTTCGCCCAGCCTTCATGGGTCAGAATCCTGCTCAGCCCCTCCTCCATGGAATCTTCCTGATCTCTTTGAGCTCCTTGCTCCCCCGCACTCTGGGCCTCTCCTTTCTGCTTTACATCACAGTTTCCGGGGCTCACGATTGATTCCTCGGTTAGATGATAGTTCTATGAGGACAGGGACCTTGCTTATCCATTTCTTAGTCCCCAAAGGACTCAAGGCTTTCAATCAGAGGTGCTCAATTCTTTGTTTGTTTATTTGTTTGTTTGAGACTGAGTTTCACTCTGTCACCAGGCTGGAGTTCAGGGATGCGATCTCGGCTCACTGCAACTTCTGCCTCCCAGGTTCAAACAATTCTCCTGCCTCAGCCTCCTGAGTAGCTGGGACTACAGGAGCACGCCACCATGCCCGGCTAATTTTTGTATTTTCAGTAGAGACAGGGTTTCACCATGTTGGCCAGCATGGTCTCGATCTCTTGACCTCGTGATCTGCCTGCCTTGGCCTCCCAAAGTGCTGGGATTACAGGCATGAGCCACTGCACCCAACCCTGTGGTTTTTTTTTTTTTTTTTTTTTGTAGCTACAATGACTAAACATTTTTAATTTTGGAAGCTTTTTTCACATTAAAGCTACCCAAGCCATCTTCCAAAGAGGTCTCATCTTCTCCTGCCAGCTGCATGAATTCTCAGCCCTATATTTAGGTACTAAGTGGTCTTGCTCACCTCTCTCTACTGCTGATATGAGCCGAATTCCATCACTGCAAAAATTATCTCAGAACATAGGCATTGGGAAAGCACATTCACTTATTCCAGCCTAGAGTAGAGAACTCTTTGATACCTGAAGTAATTTACTTACTTATCTAATGTCAAGTCCTAATAAATGCAGCTTCCATAAGTATAACATTTACTTACTGAAAGCTAGGATCATAATATGCCGGAAGAATTTACAGGCTATAGATGCTGCACTTTTTATGTGTCTTAATTGTTTTAATATTAAATGTTATTAAATCATTGGCTATCAACTTGGATGTAATATATTTTGTTATATATGCCATTTGAAAACTTTGTTATCTCCACAAAGAGAATTCAGGAAATACCAAATGTTTGAGTCTTAGAGGAGTAAAACATATGTGCCATGTCTGTCCCAATACTCGCTATGAGTTTCACCACACATATGCCACTGGTTTCTGCTGATTCTATTACTTTCTTCTAAAAAATGGTTTTCATTTTATTAGGGGAAAGGAACCCAAATCTTCTGTCATTTCTAATGTAAAATATTCAGAGGGAAGAAGTAGGTAAATGTGGGTTATTGGTTATTGAATTCCTCTGTCCCCCTTCCCTCAAACTCACACACTCGGGTTGCACAGGGCAATTATTCCTGTTTGCTCCATGCTGATTATATAGGTCAAGGGGGTAATAAGGTCGTTTATTTGAAGGATTTTCATCTGGTGGATTTCTAATATTCTTGCCCCACTCCTGACCACCTAAGTCAGTATCACACTGAGACCAGCATCTCTCTCCCACCACCAAAGAAAATGATGAAACAAAGGTAATTTGAGCCTGAACTTTCTGCTCCTAAATTTATCATCTTCCCAGAGCATAGGGGTTGTGTTGCTTTAGTCCTTCAAATCAGCAATGGCTCAGTAATAACTAGTATCATATGTTTATTATTAACTCGGCAGATAAACCTTCAAGGTGCTAAACTCCTTTTGGTGTATTAAATGTATAACATTTTTTTCAAAAACCTTATTATTCAATTCAGAAATTGCCCCTGGCAGAATCAATAAACAAGGTACTATACTAGTAAAAGTGAACATTCTAATATATTATTAAGACAGTGGCGACCTGGTGTGGTGGCTCATGCCTGTAATCCCAGCACTTCGGGAGACTTAGGCAGAAGGATTGCTTGAGCCCAGGAATTTGAGGCTACAAGTGAGCTATAATCACTCCAGTATGGATGACAGAGACCCTCACCATTAAGAAATATAAAATATAAAAAGGGAAGATGCTGTGTTACATACATATATTTTACTGTAAAAATTGAATATTTGATTATTTGGCTGAATTGGGATTTCCTTACTACAATATTTTCGTAAATAATCTCAGATCAAATATGTTCAGTAAGTATGTGGGGCAGGATAATCTTTTTTTTTTTTTTTTTGAGATGGAGTTTTGCTCTTGTTGCTCAGGCTGGAATGCAATGGCGTGATCTTGGCTCACTCCAACCTCCGCCTCCCGGTTTCAAGCAATTCTCCTGCTTCAGCCTCCCAAGTAGCTGGGATTACAGGTGTGAGCCACCACGCCTGGCCTGAGGTATTAATCTATACTTTTGTTCTGGTATTTTCCCCTTTCCCTTTCCTGCCTCTGACCAGATACTTCCAATCTGTTTATTTTCTTAGTGAAGAGATGAGATGGGGCAGAAAGCTGAAATAAGCTCAAGCTTATTTTTCTCCCCCAAGCTTTTGTTTCTAAAAGCTTAAGCCCCAGCAAGGGAAAGGATTTGAGCCACAGGCAAAAGCAGAATTCTTCTGGGTGGGGTGGTGGGCTGAGCAGGTGGTGGGCTTTCCAGAGACCTAGCTAGCAGGCAGGACTGTTCCTGGAGATGTGGCTGAGGGCCGCAGCCAGGTCCCAAGTCACAAACGAGTTACTTTGGGCTGGATCTGACCTGCAGATGGGATTTGGCCATGTGAATTTCAGTCATTCAGGATTTTAAAACTAGGCAATTTCACATAAAAATTCAGATTTTGTGGCCGGGCGCGGTGGCTTACGCCTGTAATCCCAGCGCTTTGGGAGGCCGAGGCGGGTGGATCACGAGGTCAGGAGATCGAGACCATCCTGGCTAACACGGTGAAACCCCGTCTCTACGAAAAACACAAAAAATTAGCCGGGCGTGGTGGCGGGCTCCTGTTGTCCCAGCTACTTGGAAGGCTGAGGCAGGAGAATGGCGTGAACCCGGGAGGCGGAGCTTGCAGTGAGCCGAGATCGCACCACTGCCCTCCAGACTGGGAGAGAGAGCGAGACTCCGCCTCAAAAAAAAAAAAAAATCAGATTTTGTCTTCTCTTTAAGAATTGGCAAATTTGACCATACTGGGTTCAGTCCGTCATGGCATCAAATGGCTGCCTGTATTGGAGAAGAAATGGGTGGTTTAGCTTGTCACAGTGTCCACCAGTCCCTGCTGTGTCCCAATGCTGAGGCCAAAGATTAGTTGCCATTCATGACACTGGCACTGCTGTTTTCTAGGCAATAGAGGAATGTCCCTCTTTACCCAAGATTTTTCCCATAAATGGGGAAACAATAGAGAGACTAAAGATGGCTCATGTTGAAAGAAACATGGAGCTAGCGTATTTCTTTGTAAAGGTGAAGAGCGTTCTCACGTATTTAGTAGGCAAACTACCTGGTTCACTTATGAACTCTCCTTGCCTGCTCCCTGCAGGCATTTGCATCACATATCCCTGCTCTAGGCAGCCTTGCAAAGAGATGACCTTGTCCCTGGTTGGGCATGGCAGAGCCGCTGCCTGCAGGGCATGGTGAGCCAGTGATGGATGGCTCTGCAAGAACCCCAGTGGACAGATGCCCGGAGGGCAGAGGCCCCTGGAAGTCCCTGGGGTTGGGGAGGACTCCAAAAGGATAGGACTCAGAATAGCAAGTAAATTATAAAAATAGCTATTTCATACACACAGATCTATGAACCGAGACTTGCACACACTGCCTCTGCTGTCCACTGACCTGGTTGTTTAGCCCAGGGATCTAGGGCCACCAACATGCACATGTGATGGAGGCTACTAGAACCTGTCCTAGAGAAGGACGGGACTCATCGCGCCTTTCCTTAAGGGGCGGGGCAGGGGGTGCAGAGAATGTGGCTTAAGGACCATCACATTTTAGAAATGTTTCAGAATTATAGAGCGGTATTTGTGTCACTTTTTGGGTGGGGTGTGAATGTAAAGTGGTCCTCTACAGGTGTCTTCCAGAAAGCATTGAGGCTGTTCATGTGAACCTTTGTGCTTTTGCTGCTAAACTAGAAGCATAGTTTTGGATTGGTTTATTGTTTTGTCTTCTATGAATAGAAAAAAATAATCAAAACTGTTTTAATGTGTCTGGGCTAATTATTTCAACATTTCACTTGCCTCATGTATGACCAATAAAAATAAGAGCTACCGTTTACTGAACTAACCTTATGACAGCCACTGTACCAGTACTAACCAGAAGTGCCTTGTATACACCTACCCTGTAGGATGGGGTTGCCCCGTGGTGTGAATAAGGAAATGGAAACTAAAAGCTTCTGTAGTTTCCTAAGGTCACTTACTTAGTACATGCTGGAGCCAGGATTCAAATCTGCATCTGTGTGATTTCATACCTCCTGCACTGCACGGCTAACGAGTGCAACAGCATTTGCCACCACCTGCTGTCTGCAGGACAACAGAGCTGGAGAGAGGGGAAAATGAATGCAAATGGCCAAGTCCACAAGGAGCAGCAAAGTTAAATTAGTCACATTCTTGTTTTCTTTTGAGACAGGGTCTCGCTCTGTCACCCAGCCTGGAGTGCAGTGGCACAATCACAGCTCACTGCAGCATCAACCTCCCAGGCTCAATTGATTCTCTTACCTCAGCCTCCTCAGTAGCTGGGACTACAGGCTCAGGCCACCACGCCCAGCTAATTCTTGTATTTTTTGTAGAGACGGTGTTTTGCCATGTTGCCCAGGTTGTAGTCACATTCTGGTAGTCACTTTCTTTAAGGGAAAAAAAAAGGAAGGCAGAGGCCGGGTGCAGTGTCTCACACGTGTAATCCCAGCACTTTTGGAGGCCAAGGTGGGCAGATCATGAGGTCAGGAGTTCAAAACCAGTCTGGCCAACATGGTGAAACCCCTGTGTCTACTAAAAATACAAAAATTAGCCGGGCACAGTGGCACGTGCCTATAGTCCCAGCTACTCAGGAGGTTGAGGCAGGAGAATCGCTTGAACCCGGGAGGCCAGGTTGCAGTGAGCCAAGATCGTGCTACCGCACTCCAGCCTGGGCAACAGAGAGAGATTCCGTATCAAAAAAAAAAATTAAAAATAAAAAAATAAACAAAAGGGAAGGCAGAATCCTCCAGTGCCTGGCATTTAAGCTTGCAATAATTATGTGTTAAATGAAGGAATGAATTACAAACCATGTAATCTCTCTGGACATTTATTGTTGTCATCTGTGTAAAAATGGGGTGGACCTGTTCCACCTCTCTCAGGCCTGTCATCAAGGGCAAACAGGAAACCAAAATTTGAAAACACTATTTTTATGGACTAAATGATTGTGTCCTTCATATGTTCCCCCTATTCTCCAGTGTGATGGTATTTGGAGTTACAGCTTTGGGCGGTAATTAGGATTCGATGAGATTATAAGGATAGGGCTCTCATGATGGGATTAATGCCCTTCATAAGAGATAACAGCCGGGCGCAGTGGCTCACGCCTGTAATCCCAGCACTTTGGGAAGCCGAGGCGGGCGGATCACCTGAGGTCAGGAGTTCAAGACCAGCCTCAACATGGAGAAACCCCGTCTCTACTAAAAATACAAAATTAGCCGGGCATGGTGGTGCATGCCTGTAATCCCAGCTACTGGGGAGGCTGAGGCAGGAGAATTGCTTGAACCTGGGAGGCGGAGGTTGCGGTGATCCGAGATCACGCCATTGCACTCCAGCCTAGGCAACAAGAGCGAAATTCCATCTCAAAAAAAAAAAAAAAAAGAAAAAAACAAGAGATAGTAGAGTAGCCTGCTCCTGCCCTCAGGGATGCTAGAGTGGGGAAGATCAGAGCAAGAAGGCTGCCATTTGCAAACCAGGAAAACAGCCCTCACTAGAAAGAGACCATGCTGGCACCCTGATCTTGGACTTTAGACTCCAGAACTGTGAGAAAATAAATTTCTCTTGCTCAGCCCACCCAGTCTATGGTATTTTATTATGGTAGCCCAAGAAGACCAAGGCAACTATGGAAAGAGGACGGCTGAAGAGAACTTTATGGCTATGTGATACTATTATTATTACTGCAGAGTTAGTGTAGTGTGGGCCTGCCATGAATTGGCTGCCTACCTTTGGATCACTGCCTTAAAACGGTATGTGTGATGCAGGGACAATTCCAGAAGGCACCATTCATTATAGACTAGGGATGGTTCTGCTCTCAACCTTTAACCCTTCAGTTTTTTATCTATACAGAAAGGAAAGGGAATGGAACACTGGTGTCTAACAACTCAGGTATTCTTTCAGCAAGTATTTGTTGAGAGTCGACTATGTCCCAGGCACAGTGCTAGGCACTTGGAGGTATAGTGATCAGACACGGTCCTGCCCTCCAGGAGTTTACATTCTAGCTAGGGAAACAGACGAAGAAAAAGGCAATTACAGCTGCTTGTGAGCAGGGTCTCTAGTAGTCTGCTTGGGCTGTTATAAAATACAACTGGGTGGCTTAGACAATATAATTTTTTCTTTCTGAGTCAGCTTCCTAGGGAATATAAATTTTTCTCATGGTTCTGGAGGCTGGAAGTCCAAGGTGCTGACAGGTTTGGTCTCTCCTGAGGCCTCTCTCCTTGGCTTGCAGGTGGCTACTTTCTCTCTGTGTCCTCACGCAGCCTTTCCTCACATGCACTCCTTGTCTCTAGTCTCATTTCCTTTTTTTTTGAGACGCAGTCTCACTCTATCACCCAGGATGGAGTGCAGTGGCATGATCTCCGCTCACTGCAACCTCCACCTCCTGGGTTCAATCGATTCTTGTATCTCAGCCTCCTGAGTAGCTGGGACTACAGGCATGTGCCACCACGCCCAGCGAATTTTTTGTATTTTTAGTAGAGATGGGGTTTCACCATGTTGGCCAGGCTGGTCTTGAACTCCTGACCTCAGGTGATCCACCTGCCTCCGCCTCCCAAAGTGCTGGGATTATAGGTGTGAGCCACCTCGCCCGGCCTTTTTTTTTTTCTTTCTTTTTTTGAGACGAAGTCTCTCTCTCTGTCACCCAATCTGGAGTGCAGTGGCGCAATCTCGGCTCACTGCAACCTCCACCTCCCGGGTTCAAGTGATTCTCCTGCCTCAGCCTCCCAAGTAGTTGGGATTACGGGCACCTGCCACCGTGCCCAGCTAATTTTTGTACTGTTAGTAGAGACGGGGTTTTGCCATGTTGTCCAGGCTGGTGTCAAATTCCTGACCTCAAGTGATCCGCCCGCTGCTTCGGCTGCCCAAAGTGTTGGGATTACAGGCATGAGCCAGCGTGCTGGTCTCTTCCCCTTCTTGTAAGGATGCCAGCCCTATCAGATTAAGGCCCCACCCTTGACCTCAAATAACCTCAGTTACCTGCTAAGGGCCTTATCTTCAAATATTCTCATTCCAAAGTGTACTGGGGGTTAGGACTTCAACATATGGATTTGGAGGGGAACCAACTCAGTTCATAGGAGTCTCCATGGACAGAGCAAGCTGCCATGGGGGTGCAGCACAGGGCCTCCATCCCAGGCTTGGGACACATGTGGCCTCTTGAGGAAGGGACTTAAGCTGCCTAAGGACTAAAGGGTGAGGTTGGGGGCAGGGCCTGATAATTTAAATGAATACAATTCTGTGAAGCACAGACCTTATAGATTTCACTCCTTGACGGTTTCTTTCTTTTTTTTTTTTTTTTTTTTTTTTTTTTGCCTGTTTGATGTTTGGTAGTAATAATTTAGAAAGTGGAACCCAAAACCATAATTCTAAAGCCCAATAGCCTTGAGCAAGCCACCCTTTCTTTTTGCCCCAGTTTCCTTAGCGGTAGAACCAGGCAGTTGACACCTATTATTTCTCAGGCCCTCATGTGTAATGACTAGAGGGAAATCCTTACATATATTCACAGTGACCTCTTAAAATACCGTGTTGACACTTCAGCAACTTGAAAAAAGGAGGCTTTGGATTCTGTAACCAAGTGCCATATTTACTTTGGGGTCATTTTTACCAGGATTTCTTCTCTTCCTTTTATTTCAGCCATAAAATTATGTAGAGAAAGGGGGGGATTGGTGACGTGTTTAAGTCTAGGCTCTTACACCAGCTGAGCATGACTTAGCTACTCTAGAGTGACTTCTGCTCTTTAGGCCATGGTAATGACTGTTTTTAGTCTGTGTGAGGGGAAAGGGCTACAAAGACGTAGATACTCATTATGGGGGAAAACAACCAAACATCACACACATGTATAACGTGAAAAAGTCCCTCTCTTCTCTCTATCCGATATACCTCGCGGTCACCTCTATGACCTCTGTATTTCCCAGAACATTTTTTTTTTTCTTTTTGACACAGGGTCTCACTATGTTGCTCAGGCTGGTCCAGAACTCCTGAGCTCAAGTGATCCCCCTGCCTTGGCCTCCCAAAGTACTGGGATTACAGGCTTGAGCCACCACACCTGGCCTCCCGGACCTTTTCCATTCACAACCCAGATACATACGTGATGTTCTTCTTGACAAAAATAAGATTACATTATATATAAATCTGTCGGCCAGGCACGGTGGCTCAGACCTGTAATCCCAGCACTTTGGGAGGCCGAGGCGGGCAGATCACGAGGTCAAGAGATCGAGACCACCCTGGCCAACATGGTAAAAGCCCGTCTCTACTAAAAATACAAAAATTAGCTGGGTTTGGTAGTGTGTGCCTGTAGTCCCAGCTACTTGGGAGGTTGAGGCAGGAGAATCGCTTGAACCCGGGAGGCGGAGGTTGCAGTGAGCCAAGATCGCGCCACTGCACTCCAGCCTGGCGACAGAGCGAGACTGCGTCTCAAAAAAAAAAAATCTGTCATTTTCTTCTTTTACTCAACAATATGTCATCAACATTCTTCCATATCCATAAAAAAGAACACCTCCCTTTCCTCTTTCTAGTTTACAGGCCATGCATGATGGCTCACACCTGTAATCCCAACACTGTGAGAGGCCAAGGCAAGGAGGATCACTTGAGCCCAGGAGTTTGAGACCAGCCTGGGCAACACAGCAAGACCCTGTCTCTATAAAAAGAGAAAAAAAAATGAGTCCGCCCTGGTGATTTGGCCTTGTAGTCTCAGCTACCTGAGAGGGTGAGGTGGGAAGATGGCTTGAGCCTTGGAGTTTGAGGCTGCAATGAGCCATGATCATACCACTGCACACTGGACTGGGTGATAGAATGAAACTCTGTATTTAAAAAAAAAAAAAAGCTTACATAGTATGTCATGGAAGGTATTTTTAGCTATTTTCCAAGTTCTCTTCGATTTCTTTGCTATCACAAATGATCCTGCAACGAACATATTTGTCTATGTAGACCTTTTTTTTTTTTTTTTTTGAGATGGAGTTTCACTCTTGTTGCCCAGGCCGGAGTGCAATGGCACGATCTTAGGTCACCGCAACCTCCGTCTCCCGGGTTCAGGCTATTCTCCTGCCTCAGCCTCCCGAGTAGCTGGGATTACAGGCATGCGCCACCACGCCTGGCTAATTTTGTATTTTTAGTATAGATGGGGTTTCTCCTTGTTGGTCAGGCTCATCTCGAACTCCCGACCTCAGGTGATCTGCCTACCTCGGCCTCCCAAGGTGCTGGGATTACAGCTGTGAGCCACCACACCCAGCGCAAATAAGACTAATCTTAACATATATCCTATCATTTAGAGTCTTTGTTTTGTTTTGTTTTTCTCAGAGATAGGGTCTTTCTCTGTCGTCCAGGCTGGAGTGCCGGGATTCCATCATGGCTCACTGCAGCCTCAAACTCCTGGGCTCAAGCAATCCTCCCTTCTCAGCCTCCTGAGTAGCTAGGACTACAGGCATGTGCCACCACACCTGACTAATTTTTTGATTTTTTTTTTTTTTTTTTGAGACAGAGTCTTGCTTTGTCGCCCAGGCTGGAGGGCAGTGGTGTGATCTTGGCTCACTGCAACTTCTGCCTCCTGGGTTCAAGAGATTCTCCTGCCTCAGCCTCCTAAGTAGCTGGGGTTACAGGTGACTACTACCCCACCTGGCTAATTTTTGTACTTTTGGTAGAGACAGGGTTTCACCATGTTGGCCAGGCTGGTCTTGAACTCCTGACCTCAGGTGATCCACCCACCTCGGCCTCCCAAAGTGCTGGGGTTACAGGCATAAGCCACTGCGCTCAGCCATTTTTTGATTTTTTTTGTAGAGACAGGGTCTCATTATGTTGACCAGGCTGCTCAAACTGCTGTGCTCAAGCAGTCCTCTTGCCTGGGACTCCCAAAGTATTGGGATTACAGGCTTCAACCACCACACTCCACAGCATACAGTAATTTTTTTAAAATTGGTCAATTGCTAGAGCAGTATGTGTCTCCTTTTTCATTTCTAATGAGCTCTGATTGGCTGGGAAGCCAGCCAACACTTGCTCCCTGCTTCCTGCCTGCCCCTGCAGCTGTGTGATCAGTTGGGGAAGGCCTAAGTACAGGCCCTTGGGCACCCCTCTGGGTGCTGGGGCCCTAGTGGCTACAGTGCCTCTAGCCAGCAGCGTGGGCTCAGAATGAGTTGCCGTTCAGATTGGCATTTGTTTTCTCAAGGGCTTGAAATTGAGAGTGGGACTGCAGCAGTTTTCACTCTCCCTCATGTTTCTTTTTGCAGAATCCTATTGTGCAAACCAGATATTCAACAAAAATCAGATCCTGATGGCTGTACTGGGTGCTTACAATCTCAAGCTGCTATAAATTATTAAATAGTTCTCCTACACATAAGGAAAATGTCCAGCACAAATTGTCTGTAACTTTTCATTTGAAACCTCATTTTTTTCATGTTGGGTCATGGTATATCACTTACCTGCTCCACATTCCAATAAAGATAGTTGTTGGCCGGGCGTGGTGGCTCACGTCTATAATTCTAGCACTTTGGGAGGCTGAGGCGGTCGGATCACAAGGTTAGGAGATCGAGACCATCCTGGCCAAGATGGTGAAACCCGGTCTGTACTAAAAATACAAAAATTAGCTGGGCGTGGTGGCACATGCCTGTAATTCCAGCTACTCAGGAGGCTGAGGCAGGAGAATCGCTTGAACCAGGGAGTCGGAGGTTGCAGTGAGCTGAGATCGCGCCACTGCACTCCAGCCTGGGCGACAGAGCGAGACTCCGTCTCAAAAAAAAAAAAAAAAAAAAGATAGTTGTTTATTTTTTCAGCACACAGGGGTTAACCATTGAGGCATGTCTTTCTGTAGGTCCTATTTAATATAGTACTACCTCTCACGCCCCTGTTTTTCACCCTCTTACTTTTCTGTTGTGAGTATTCACAGAATCTGGATCTGCCAGCTACTTCTGTTTGAAGTTGAAGACTTGGCGAAATTATACATCCAGCAGGCAAGAAATAAAGTGGAAATGTCTCACAAGTAACAGTGAAATCTGTTGCGTTGTTTTAAGTCTTTACTGAAAAAAAGTCCTACTAAATATTGTCTTGCCAACTATAAATATATTTTAGCAATGATAAAAGCCTTTAGAGTAACAGTTATCTGAAACCTAATGTCTGTCTGTCTGCCACTCTTAATTATATATATTTACATTTTATATCCCAATCTTCTTTTATATCCCATTTTATATAACGCAATTTTCCATTTGAGTTTTTACATTTAGTGTCTCAGTGTTTTATATGGTCAAGTAGCCAGTTTTCCCCCTGCTACATTTTACTCAGGTACAAATGAAAATGAGTTGACTAGATCGATGGCAGCAGCTCTAATTTGAAATCTTGAAAAATGCATTTTTTATTAAGCAATTTCAAATTGAGCAGACCTCTAAAAACCAGGTTGTTATTTTTCCGGGTCTTTACACACACATCCGTATGAACCATGAACTGTTACTGCACTTTCAAAACTATTATGTCTTGAAGTTTCCAAAATTATATACAACTATTCCAATACATTTTTCACCTTTATGCGTTATTTTCCTTCTCCATATAAAAAAGAAAACCACATAGAAAACCATTTGAAGGAAGGTGATTTCCTTTCTTGGATAGCAATGACTTCTATTTCTATTAATAACTTATTTGAAACAAGCCACTTACTTTGTTAAGTAGATAGATCCATTTATGCAAATATAAGATACATACTTTTACAATAATATTCAAGGTCCGTTTGAGTTTCCTGAAAGTTGTTTTGAAAAGTCAGCTATATCAGTTCAATTATTGTATTTGACAGAAATCTTTTGTTTCAAGCAATATGAACAGAGAAATGTTAATTTCTATCTCTATTGTCTTATTATTTAATTTCTCCTTAAAAACCTGAGTTGTCACTGTGAAAGATTGGTTAAATATATATCCCCTCACTACACACGTTTCATCTAGTCCTCTTTCCAAAAATTTAACAAGGTCGTTTTACATTCTTAAAGCACCACAGCAAAGTGATTTAAATGCAAAATGTGCTTAAGTGCTACTTAACTATTCCTAACTCTTCTACTGGGAAATCCTAGAAAACTGAACTAATGAAATGCAACTTCTACTTTAAAAATTCTAATTATAACTGTCACATTAAATTGAAGGTGAGAATAAAACTGGTGTATCTGTTAACTAAGTCAAGCGATGTACTGTGTCGTACGTGTTATTTAATGTGCAAGTGTAAAAGTCAAGTTCTCTGCAGAAATCGAAGTGCCTCCCCTCAGTCTTCTGCGAATGTATAAATTAACCATTCTCCCCCAAGCAGTCCTCCTCCCTTCCTCCCTCCGCCCTATTTTAAATGTAGATAGGGCGACCTAAGTCTTTTGAATTTGAAGGGCTGCTATCTCGGCCCCATTCTTTTCATCATCCTGTTTTCAATGACACTGAGCACGTATAGATTCTTCTATAAAAGCACCCCCTGGATGCAGGGCTTGGTTCTTCAGGCTGCTTGCTTAATTTTGCATAGCAATTAGTACTGACTTCACTAAACCAGTAATCCAAATACAGCTCGAGAATGTTCCACGTAGTTCCTCAAACTTAACCCTGTGCCTTTTGATTTCAAGCCCGAAGGGGGGGAACTTGCATAATTACTAAATTCCCAATTGGAGTGGTCTGAAGGAGGGTACGGTAAACCCAAACTATACGTTAATTCAAACCCTCGCCGCGACTGGGCAGCAAGGAGCCAACATATGCCTTCTTTTAAAAATCTATTCTACCTATTCACTGACCGCGCAGGGCCGTGCCACATGGTCCTCCCTTGCAGCCAGTCAGCTGTGAGCAGCAGATGGGATCATTTGCATTTTTCTTTTTATACTTTCTTTGATCGGCAAATTAAAGGATTTTTCTTAAATTTACATTCTCATTGTTTGCCTAAAATACAAACGTGGCTAAACTGTTGAATTGGGCTTCCCTGACTCTCACCCAGCACCTCCCCCTCCCCCTACCCAGCCACTGAGACTTGAGAAAATACCCGAGGGGTAGATTTCGTATTTATCAACTGGGAATCTACAGTCCAAGAGTTAGGAGTAGACAGAATCAGCCTTTATTGAGTTGGTGACTCGTGTTTTTCTATTTTAGGCGCTCGGCGCAGACAGCCCGTGGGTTTGTGTTTGTGGGGTGTGTGTCTGTGAGCGCGGGCGCTTCCGAAGCTCTCGCTCCGCAGCCTCACACCCCAGAACTTCGGGTTGCAAGAGCAGATTTTAGCTCTGAGGCTCACAACAGAGGGCGGCCACCGTGCAGGGGGAGTGGCCAGAGCCAGCTTTTCCCAGCGCCAGGGTCGCTCTCCCGGGTCCCGCCGGACTCCATGCCGCCCCGCGGGGCCGCAGGAGCCACCCGGGCCCTCGCGCCCCAAGGTCTTTGTGCCGGTGGCGGCGCGGGAAGACCGGCCCCGGGGGCCTGGGCTGCGGCCCAAAGGCCAAAAATGCGGGAGAGGCGTGGGCG
The DNA here is from genome assembly GCF_000001405.40 of Homo sapiens. Lineage (NCBI taxonomy): Eukaryota > Metazoa > Chordata > Mammalia > Primates > Hominidae > Homo > Homo sapiens. The sequence goes on along the minus strand of NC_000006.12, from coordinate 107,115,744 downwards.
CGAGGCGGGACAAGCTCCGCACAGTCGCCGTCCCGCAAGGGGCAAAAAAGTAGAAAAAGCCGTTTGGGGCCAAACTCTCGGGTCTGAGAAACCACGTTTCCGAGGACGAACTCGCGGTGGGAGGACACATGGGGTACAGGGGACATTGTTCGCGGCGCCTGCCCGGCGCGCCGTGGGTGCGCGGCCGCCGCCCCCGCCCCGGGCAGCCAGCGCGGGCCCACGTGGAGCCACTGCGCTGGCCGAGCGCGCCGGGCCGCCTGGGTCCCGGGAGTGCGCGCCCGAGCTCCCCGCCGCGGCCGTTCACGCCCGAGCGCCGCCGCCGCCGGTCCCGCGTGTGCCCCGCTGAGGGGGAGGGGCGGGCCGGGGGTGGGGGCGGAGGGGTTGTGGTTCCACTGCAGCGGGGGCTCCTGTGTCCTTGTGCGGAAATGACACACGGAGTCCCGTCACGTCACGCGAGAGCGCAGCGCACGGACACACACAAAGAGAGGGGAAAATACACGGCGCTCGCCCGCCCGCCGCCCCCAGCGCCTCCCCGGGCCGCCCTGGCCAGGCCCTCCGCGCGCGGCCCCCACTCCCCGGCCCCGCGCCCTCCCCCCCACGTGGCGCCCAAACTCGGCGCGGGCCCGCCCGGCAAAGTACAGAACTCGCGTCCCAGGTAAGTGCGGGGCGGATCAAGCCGGCCGCGCGGCGGCGGCAGCGTTGGCGGCTCCGGGGCGAGCGGCCGGTAGAGTGGCTGCAACATCCATGCCGGGGTGGGGGCGGGAGCAGGGGAGGGGACGCGGAGGGGGGCTGCTCCGAGCGCGCCCGCCGGTAGTAGCGCCCACCCCCGCGCGGGCCGAGCGACCGGAGCGGGCGCCGGGCGCCCACGGGCTCGCCGCGCCCATTGTGCTGCGCGCCCCTTTGTGCCCGCTCGGAACGCGGCGGCTCCATGGCGTTCTGGGGAGCACGCGCGCCGCGCGGGGGCGGGGGGTTCGCGCGGTGGAACCGTCCGCGCCGCCGCCGCCGCCCGCCCCACTCGCGCCGCGCGCCGGCCCCGCACCCCCGCCGGGCGCCGCGATGGAGCGGCCGGGGCGGCCGGAAGGCTCTGCCGTACTCGCGGCGGCTTGGCGCTCGCGCTCGGCGGGGCTTTGGCGGGGCACTGCTCGGCGTGTGGAAGGGGGTGTCGGAGCGGGAGCAGGGGGCGGGGACTGGAGGGAGATGCCGGGCGGCGAGCGGGAGGCCGGGGGAGCAGCCGCTCGGAGGAACGAAGCCTCCGGAGGCTGCAAATGGAGCGAGGCCGGCCCGCGGCGGCGGCGGCCGGGAGCGGAGAGGGATGGGCCCCGCCGCCAGGGGGCGCAGCGCTCCCTTCCCGGCCGTTCCACGGCGGTTCGCGGTTCCCGCTGCCCAGGAGCTGGAGGCGGGCCCGGCGCCTTGGGTGTGCACCCGGGCTGGCGCGAGGCCTGGCCGGCCGGCCGCAAAGCTGAAGCCTGGGGCGCTCGCCGCTCCTCGTGAGCGCTCCTTTCCTTCTCTATGATAAACGTGATTTCCCACGCATGCTTTGCCCTTGCCTCATCCGTGAGCTGTGCACCACCGATTTGGAGGCCCTTGTGTGCTTGTTTACCTACGTCTCCCTATGTAGCTATTTTAAACAAGGTGTTTTTACAGAGATAAAAGTTTTATTGATTGCTCAGGTGGTCTTTCTGGAAGAATTCTGCACGTAAACGCTAACTCGACAAGAGTGCCGGGAGGAACAAGGTTACTCACTAGAGTTGGAAATGTGCAGTTCATCTCCTTAAAGTAACTTTTGAATGGTTGAATACAAATAGTAAACATGCCACAGGGCAGCGTGGCATAGTGCCAGAAAGCTACGGTTGCAGGAAACTGAGGTAAGGAACTGAGTCCTTCAGGTAGCCAGGTATATAAACGGCTGGGATGGAGGACTTTCTCTTGTTACCCGCTCCCCACTTCCACCCTTGCAGTCCGTTTTTCTCTCTTTTTTTTTTAAACCATTCATCCCTAGATATTGGCTTTATACTACCATACAAGAGCCTGTCAAGCTTTCCTCGGTACTGGGACTTGGGCAAGATTTTTTATCTCCCTCACAGTTTCACATCCCCAGCCTCTAACCCGGTGTCTCATAACTTAGTAGGCGTTCAGTGCGTATTTCCTAAATGAATGGAGAGAGCCTCTTGGATTCTAGAGGAAAGATGGAGCCAGAGCGCCAGTTGCTGCTGCTGGGTTAGCTGGTGTCTGTGTGGCCCTTGAAATCTGTCACATCAACCTCCTGTCATGGAACATGAGTTTTTTTTTTGTTTTTTTTTTTTTTTTGAGACGGAGTCTCGCTCTGTCACCCGGGCTGGAGTGCAGTGGCTTGATCTCTGCTCACTGCAACGTCTGCCTCCCGGGTTCAAGCGATTTTCCTGCCTCAGCCTCACGGAGTAGCTGGGATTACAGTCCATGTGCCACCATGCCTTGCTAATGTTTGTATTTGTAGTAGAGACGGAGTTTCACCATGTTGCCCAGGCTGGTTTCCGGACCTCAGGTGATCTGCCTGCCTGGCCTCCCAAAGTGTTGGGATCACAGGCATGAGCCACCGTGCTTTTTTTTTTTAGACAGAGTCTCGCTCTATCACCAGGCTGTAGTGCAGTGGCGTGATCTCTTCTCGCTGCAACTTCCGCCTCCCAGGTTCAAGGGATTTTCCTGCCACAGCCTCCCGAGTAGCTGGGACTACAGGCGCGTGCCACCACTCCCGGCTAATTTTTTGTATTTTTAATAGAGACGGGCTTTCACCGTGTTAGCCAGGATGGTCTCAATCTCCTGACCTCATGATCCGCTCACCTTGGCCTCCCAAAATGTTGGGATTACAGGCGTGAGCCACCGCGCCCAGCCTTTCTTTTTTTTTTTTTTTTCTTGAGACAGAGTTTTGCTCTTGTTGCCCAGGCTGGATTGCAATGGTCTGATCTTGGCTCACCGCAACCTCTGCCTCCTGGGTTCAAGTGATTCTCCTGCCTCAGCCTCCCAAGTAACTGGGATTATAGGCGCGCGCCACCATGCCCGGCTAGTTTTGTATTTTTAGTAGAGAGGGGATTTCTGCATGTTGGTCAGGCTGGTCTCGAACTCCCGACCTCAGGTCATTCGCCAGCTTCGGCCTCCCAAAGTGCTGGGATTACAGACGTGTACCACCACGCCCAGCGTTTTTTTTTGTTGTTGTTGATACCAGAGATGCCATCTTCTTGCTGAAGAACTAATATAATGGGAAAGTTTTATGTGATTCCGCCTACCTTCTCCATGCCCAGCAAGACGATAGGCTGGTTAGGAACTGGCAGATGAGACAGTCAGCATCCCAACAATCTATTAACAGGTGCCATATTGACACATTTTCTTTACATCCTCTCCCTGTGGGTTCTTTCTTGGCTCCTAAGCACCCCTGTGTGAGCAGAAGCATAGCAGAATGTCCAATAATTACAAAGAGAAAAATTGGAGTGAGCCCTGACACAGGTTTGATTAGGTGAAAATGTAATATCCTATATTAATGTCTCACCTGCTACTTTTTAGCGCTGCCTAGAAAGTCCCTGGAAACAATGAGAAGGAAAACAGCATGTTTATATGAATTGTATTGACACCATGATGAAAAGTTTAAAGACCTCAAATTGTATAATGTAGAAGCATAGAGTATGAAGGTCGCTAGCCAACCAGCAAAAATGATTTGGTGTTTGTATATGGGAGGCTGGGATGTAGTGTTTTTTTCCTGGTGCTTAATTTTTTTTTTTTTTTTTTTTTTTTTGAAACGGAGTCTCACTCTGGTGCCCAGGCTGGAGTGCAGTGGCGCGATCTCGGCCCACTGCAACATCCATCTCCTGGGTTCAAGTGATTCTCCTGCCTCAGCCTCCCAAGTAACTGGGATTACAGGTGCGTGGCACCACACCCATCTAATTTTTGTATTTTTAGTAGAGATGGGGTTTCACCTTATTGGCCAGGTTGGTCTTGAACTCCTGACCTCAAGTGATCCACCGGCCTCAGCCTCCCAAAGTGTTAGGATTACAGGTGTAAGCCATCGCGCCTGGCCTGGTGCTTAATTTTGGTGTTAAGTGATAGGTTTTGGTTGCTAACCTAATTGTATTGTTCCCATCATTGGCTAAGGTAAGCTTGGGGAATTAATTGTAGAATTACTCTTTGGAATGGGAAACCTATTCTGTATCTTTTTAGGGGTGTTTATAGGGATGTGTATGTGTTATCTCTCTCTTTTTTTTTTTCTGAGATGCAGTCTCACTCTGTCACCCAGGCTAGAATGCAGTGGCACAATCTCGGCTCAGTGCATCCTACGCCTCCTGGGTTCAAGTGATTCTCCTGCCTCACCCTCCCGAGTAACTGGGATCACAGGCATGCACTACCATACCCGGCTAATTTTTGTATTTTTAGTAGAGACGGGGTTTCACCATGTTGGCCAGGCTGGTCTCAAACTCCTGACCTTAGGTGATCTGCCCACCTCGGCCTCCCGAAGTGCTGAGATTACAGGCGTGAGCCACCACGCCTAGCCTACATGTGTTATCTTTCATAGAATGATACACTCCTAGAGAGTCAATTTTACTCTGGGAATTTTTGAGACAGGGTCTTTCTCTTTCACCCAACCTGGAGTGCAGTGGCACAGTCTAGGCCCATTGCAACCACTGACTCCCGGGCTCAAGCGATCCTCCCACCTCAGCCTCTCAAGTAGCTGGGCCTACAAGTATGCGCCACCACACCTGGCTAATTTTTTATATTTTTAGTAGATACGGGGTTTCACCATGTTGGCCAGGCTGGTCTCGAACTCCTGAGCTCAAGTGATCTACTTGTGTCGGCCTCCCAAAGTGCTGGGATTGCAGGTGTGAGCCACTGCCTGACCGGGATAAATTTTTAAAATGAAACTTAAATGACTGGGTGCAGTGGCTCACACCTGTAGTCCCAGCATTTTGGGAGGCCGAGGTGGGTGGATCACCTGAAGCCAGGAGTTGCAGACCAGCCTGGCCAACATCGCGAAACCTCGTATCTACTAAAAATACAAAAATTAGCCAGGTATGGTGGTGGGTAATCCCAGCTACTCGGGAGGCTGAAGCGGGAGAATCGCTTGAACCTGGGAGGAGGAGGCTGCAGTGAGCCAAGATCGTGCCACACTGCACTCCAGCCTGGGTGACAGAGCAAGACTCTGTCTCAAAAAGAAAAAGAAAGTCACACACAAAAAAATGTGCTAAAAACTGATTTTTTTGGTGCTTTGTATCACCTTGCTCTGACAGTCTCTTTCCTTCTCCAAATTTGATAATGCTCTTCTTCTGCTTCTGATACGTCAGTATTTCTTGCAACATCATTGTTTCAACCCAGAGCTCTTGTGGTTTCTGGGATTAGCTGCCACAAGTTCCCCACACATGTCAAACTAAGAGCTCTCCATGCCAGTATCAGCCCTCAGAGTGTTAAACAGGAGAGGGGCTGTTTTAAGAGTGGCAGTGAATGCTTGGCATGTTAGTCTGTGAATTTTGTATGAAAACCACTTTTACAAACTATTGTTTTAGAGCTGAAGTTTTCTCAGCAGGTCACCTGATACCATGCTCTCCCTCCAGTTTTTGTAAGACAGAGTCTGGCTGTGTTGACCAGGTTGATCTTGAACTCCTAGGCTCAAGCAATGCTTCCGCCTGAGCCTCTTGAGTAGCTGGGACTATGGGTGCACACCACTGTGCCCAGCTTCCTTTTTTTTTTTTTTTTTTGAGTCAGGGTCTCACTCTGTCACCCAGGATGGAGTGCAGTGGCACGATCACAGCTCACTGCAGCTTCAACCTCCTGGGCTCAAACGATCCTCCCACTTCAGCCTCCCAGGTGGCTGGAACTACAGGCCTGTGCCACCATGCCTGGCTGATTTTTTTGAGACGGAGTTTTGCCCTTGTTGCCCAGGCTGGAGTGCAATGGCATGATCCCGGCTCACTGCAACCACCGCCTCCCAGGTTCAAGCAATTCTCCTGCCTCAGCCTCCTGAGTAGCTGGGATTTCAGGTGTCCGCCACTACGCCTGGCTAATTTTTGTATTTTTAGTAGAGACGCGGTTTCTCCATGTTTGCCAGGCTGGTCTCGAACTCCTGACTGCAAGTGATCCGTCCGCCTCAGCCTCCCAAAGTGCTGGGGCTACAGGCGTGAGCGACCGTGCCGGCAATTTTTTTGTATTTTTTATAGAGATGGGGATTCACTGTATTGCCCAGGCTGGTCTCAAACTCCTGGAGTCAAGTGTTCCAACCTGTCTTTGGCTGAGATTACAGGTGTAAGCCACTATGCCTGCCCCACCTCGATTTTTTTTTTTTTTTTGAGACAGAGTCTTGCTCTGTCACCCAGGCTGGAGTGCAACGGCACTATCTCAGCTCATTGGACCCTCCATCTCCCAGGTTCAAGGATTCTCTTGCCTCAGCCTCCTAAATAGCTGGGATTACAGGCCCGTGCCACCATACCCAGCTAATTTTTGTATTTTTAGTAGAGACGGGGTTTTGTCATGTTGGCCAGGCTGGTCTCTCAACCTCAGGTGATCTTCCCACCTCGGCCTCCCAAAGTGATGGGATTACAGGCATGAGCCACCACGCCCAGACCGCCCCCCGCCCCCACCAATTTTTAATCCAAGTTGAAACGTGTATTTAAAGTCAGCCCTCTTGGCTGGATGTGGTGGCTCATACCTGTAATCCCAGCACCTTAGGAGGCTGAGGCGGGTGGATCTCTTGAGGCCAGGAGTTCGAGACCAGCCTGGCCAACATGGCCAAACCCCATCTCTAGTGAAAAATACAAAAATTAGCCAGGTGTGGTGGCACATGACTGTTGTCCCAGCTACTCGGGAGGCTGAGACAGGAGAATTGCTTGAACGCGGGATGCAGAGTTGCAGAGAGCCGAGGTCGCACCACTGCACTCCATCCTGGGCAACAGAGCGAGACTCCATCTCAAATCAATCAATCAATCAACCCTCTTAATTTTTTTTCTACCTGTGGCCACCTCTCCTCTTGTCTGATTTTCAGTTATTTCTGACTAGTGAAACACAGTTGCATCAGTATCAGGGCATTGATTGCTCAATTGAATAAGTCATTTACTGGCCTTTTCTTGTATGTCAGGGGCTGTTTTGGTTTGAGCATGGAGCTAGCAGAGCGAAGGACTGAGGCTTGCTTAGGATTGGGGGTGCAGTATACACCCAACTGCCCCGAACCCTAATCAGCTTGTGTGGTCACAAAATAAAACACTTGATAAAATGGGAAGTGCAGCGGAAACTCAGCTTATACCTCCTAGGAAAATTAGTCACCGTTGTGCAGTCAGTCACATGGCTGGATGCTGGAATGTGCGGTCCCTCCTTCCACCTTGAGCCTCAGCTTCTGCATGCCAAGGTTAATACGCAGAGTCTCCTGTGAGCCATGTGAGGAGGTAGCCCTCCACGAGGTTGGGGAGAACGTAAGTGGAACTTCTTAGCTGAGGAAGATGGCACATTTACTCAAGACTCAGAAGACGCAAGTGACCAAAGATTAAGACGCCAAATCACAGGCGCGCGGGCAGGGTTGTGCGGCTGTGCTTGGCTGCATGCGGAAGATGAGGTTGTGCTCTGACTGAATAAGGAAGGCAGCTACAATTACAGCTTTAGAAAAACTCTGGGGAAAATTGCCCTGGTTTTGTGAGGACTGGTATTTTTCAAACTGCATTTGCAGATGTGCCTAAAAATAAAAACAAATTGCGAACATGTCCTGCAAGTCCCTTGGGCAGGATGCCACTGCCAAGGGGGCTGGGTCCTGAGACCCTTGAGGCTCCCAGCCGGTCCTGTGAACCCAGAGACCCGCGGCACCAGAGTGGATGGCATGGGAACATTCCTCCTGTCCTCAGGGAGAGCATTTTATTTGGTTTCATCCCCCTCCCTCCAGTTTCTATGTTTCATTGGAAAGAAAAGTTACTAAACCTTTTTAATCTTTTAAGCCATTTTATTTAATTTGCAGTTCTTAAAAATTCACTATTAAAATGTACTTTAGGCTGGGCGGGATGGCTCACACCTGTAATCCCAGAACTTTGGGAGGCCAAGGCAGGTGGAACTTTGAAGCCAGGAGTTCAAGGCCATCCTGGCCAACATGGTAAAACCCCGTCTCTACTGAAAATACAGAAATTAATCAGGCATGGTGGTGCCCACCTGTAATCCCAGCTGCTTGGGAGGCTGAGGCAGGAGAATCGCTTGAACCCAGGAGGCAAAGGTTGCAGTGAGCCAAGATTGTGCCACTGCACTCCAGCCTGGGCGACAGAATGAGACTTTGTCTCAAAAAAATAAAAAAATAAAATGCACTTTAAACATCTTTTCCTTAAAAAAAAAAAAAGAAGCTTTATAATAGGTAACTTTGAGTGCTATGTGTCAGACACTTTCTCCTTTGTAGTTTTCACAAAAACTTTTTGAGGTGAGGTAGATGTGTCCAGCTCCTATTACAGAATACAGCTTGGATGGGTAGGTAAACAGCTGGCCTGGTGTTAGATGCTAAATATTTTAACTCGGTTAAAAACCTTTTTGGGCTGGGTGCAGTGGCTCATACCTGTAATCTCAGCACTTTGGGAGGCCGAGGCGGGTGGATCAGCTGAGGTCAGGAGTTCCAGACCAGCTGGGCCAACATGGTGAAACTCTGTCTCTACTAAAAATACAAAAATTAGCCGGATGTGGTGGTGCATGCCTGTAATCCCAGATACTTGGGAGGCTGGGGCAGGAGTATCACTTGAACCCGGGAGGCAGAGGTTGCAGTGAGCCGAAATTGTGCCACTGCACTCCAGTCTGGGCGACAGAGCGAGACTCCGTCTCAAAAAAAAAAAAAAAAAAGCCCTCTTTGAAAACTGGGCTGGGTTAAGGGTCAGGTGTGGTGGCTTGCATCTGAAATCCCAGCACTTTGGGAGGCTGAGGCCGGAGGGTTGCTGGAAGCCCGGAGTTTGAGACCATTTTGGGCAACACCTGGAGACCCTGTCTCTACAAAAAATAAAAAATTAGCTGGGTGTGGTGGCGTGCACCTATAGTCCTAGCTACTCACAGGCTGAGATGGGAGAATCATCTGAGCCCAGGAGTTCAAGGCTACAGTGAGCTCTGATCATACTGCTGCACTCTGCCTGGGTAACAGAGCAAGACCCCCATCTCTGGGGAAAAAAAAAATGAAAAAACTGGATTAAAAGCCAGGGTTTCATGCAGTTCCATCTGACTCCAAAGTTTAGTAAAGAATTCCATTTTTTGGAGGGTCACCTGCACTAATTCCTGCCTTGGTCACAGACTGGCCCATCTGGCTTGTTGACTTGCTCATGCACCTGCACCCAGCTCACAGCTTAGCAGGAAGAGGGAAAGAAAGCTGGGAGGTCATGGCCCATTCCTCAGTCCCAGCTTCCTTGGAAGGCTGGAATGAAGCTCTCATGCCGGGAGTCTCCTGAAGTCCTTCCTACTCCCTGGTCTCAGCTGCATCCCTTGGGCAGCACAAATCACCCCACCCCCGCCCCGTTCCCTATCTGCACAAGAAGCAGTGCTGGTGGGGACTGTGTGGGTTGACATATGTAACACTTAGAACATGAAGCCTGTGCCACATGAATACTAACTACTGTCCCCCTCTTCTAGGTTTAATTTTTAGAAGTCAATGTCACCTGTAGCAGAGAAGTTCCTTGAAATCAAATCAGACATATGGCAATTGTGAAAAGATTGAAGTAAGGTTTAGGTCTTGGTTAAATTTTTAAAATCCTTGAGTTTGTTTTGTTAATGACTGAGCATATTCTCTCCACTTTACCTTTTGTGTGTGGCAGGGGCCACACAGCCACCATCCCTATTGTTTCAGGTTCCAATCACATTCCTGTTCTGGGGCCCACATTCTCAAGGGAATCTTCTGGTAGTGAGAGTTTGCTTCAGTTTGCATCTGGAAACAGCTCTTAGGGGTAAGGGGGATTTGCCCCTGAGTGGCATGAGGTCAGGGCTGCTGGGGCCAGGTCTTCCTGGACTGGCACCTCAGCACAGTGGCGAGGACATCTCTGATCTAGCAGGGTAAAATCCGGAGTCAGCTGGCTGGAATTTGAACCTCCAGGTTGCAGGAAGCCCAAGTACTTCCCATTTCTGGGCCTGCCGCTTGTCCTGTGTGACTCCCCGGCCCACAGGCCTCTGGCAGCTCTGATTAGGCTCACGCTGCTGTCCCAAAAGACCTGGTCTGTCTGCTCTCTCCACAGCAACTGACTATTCAAAGAACTTGATAGAAAGGTACCCCGGGCCACTCCCAGCCGCCTATGGGTTCACTAGAGAATGTCCTTTTGGAAATCTATGGGCTGGACAGGGAAAAGGCCAGTGATCCTGATCAACCGCCCCCTGCTTAGAAGACCATGTCATCTCCCATCCCAGTTCTTTTTTTTTTTTTTTTTCTTTTTTGAGACAGAGTCTTTCTCTGTCTCCCAGACTGGAGTGCAGTGGCGCGATCTCGGCTCACTGCAACCTCTGTCTCCCAGGTTCAAGCGATTCTCCTGCCTCAGCCTCCGGAGTAGCTGGGACTACAGGTGGGTGCCTCCACGCCCAGCTAATTTTTGTATTTTTAGTAGAGATGGGGTTTCACCACGTTGGCCAGGATGGGCTCCATCTCTTGACCTCGTGATCCACCTGGCTTGGCCTCCCAAAATGCTGGGATTACGGGTGTGAGCCACTGCGCCCAGCCAACAGTGGACTTTTTAACCAAATATCCTTTCATGCTTGCTGATTTTTGTTCTGTGTGCATGTACAGTCAGCCCCGCCACATCTGCAGGTTCATCCAACTGCAGGTAGAAAATATTCCAGAAGCTGGAGCTGGACACAGTGGCTCACACCTCTAATCCCAGCACTTTGGGAGGTCGAGGTGGGTGGATTGCTTGAGCCCCAGAGTTTGAGACCAGCTTGGGCAACGTAGGGAGGCCCGTCTCTACAAAATAAAAAACTAGCTGTATGTGGTGGCGCATGCCTGTGGTCCCAGCTGCTTGGGAGGCTGAGGTGGGAGGATGGCTTGAGTCCAGGAGGTTAAGGCTGCAGTAAGACACGATCATACCACTGCACTGCAGCCTGGGTGACAGAACCCATCTTAAAAAAAAAAAAAATCCAAAAGAAAAACCAGTAAAAAATTACACCACGAAAAAACTATACACTATAACCACTATTTATATACCACTTACATTGTATTATTATAAGTAATCTGGAGGTGATTTAAAGTATACAGGAGGATGTACACAGGTTACATGCAAATATTATGCTATTTTTTATCAGGGACTTGAACATCTGTGGATTTGGGTGTCACTGGGAGTCTTGGAACCAACCCCCTGAGGATACTAAGGCATGACTATATTACCTGGTAAAAAATGGGGAAAAGCCACATTATGTATCTTCCCTCTTAAAATGAACACTAAAAAGATGAAGTGTCCTGTAGTGTGTAACTCTTTCCAGCCTATCTCTTTGTGATGTGGTTCTTCCTTTTTTTTTTTTTTTTTTTGAGACGGAGTCTCGCTCTGTCGCCCAGGCTGGAGTGCAGTGGCGCGATCTCGGCTCACTGCAGGCTCTGCCTCCTGGGTTCATGCCATTCTCCTGCCTCAGCCTCCCGAGTAGCTGGGACTATGGGCGCCCGCCACCACGCCTGGCTAATTTTTTTTTGTATTTTTTTTAGTAGAGATGGGGTTTCACCGTGTTAGCCAGGATGGTCTCCATCTCCTGACCTCGTGATCTGCCCGCCTCCAAAGTGCTGGGGTTACAGGTGTGAGCTACCACGCCCGGCCTTCTCTTTTTTCTTTGTTTTTTCTTTCTTTCTTTCTTTCTTTCTTTCTTTTTTTTTTTTTTGAGACGGAGTTTCGCTCTTGTTGCCTAGCCTGGCGTTGAATGGCGCGATCTCGGCTCCTCACAACCTCCGCCTCCCGGATTCAAGCGATTCTCCTGCCTCAGCCTCCTGAGTAGCTGGGATTACAGGCACGCGCCACCATGCCCAGCTAATTTTGTATTTTTAGTAGAGATGGGGTTTCTGCATGTTGGTCAGGCTGGTCTCCAACTCCCATCCTCAGGTGATCCGCCCGCCTTGGCCTCCCAAAGTCCTGGGATTACAGGCGTGTGCCACCGTGCCTGGCCTCTTTTTTCTTTTTCTTTTTTCCTAGGCTTAGCTCAGCTGTCTGAGGGACATAGAACAGACATCCCTTGGGGAGAAAGTTGATTTTGGGGAACGTGTGGATGTGTTGACTGTCCCATAATTTGAGGTTTATGGTGGGAGGCATGAGAACATTTTGAAAATGAGAGAATGTCAGAATGAGAAGTTCTCCAGAGTCCAGGAGGCAAAGGGAATGCTCACAGCAGCCTTTAGGAGGTGGGTGCTGTGGTGGTTGGGTAGTTGTGGCAGCGCCTACGTAGCCTATAGTCAGGTAGGCGAGAGGAATGTCTGTGGCATGCTAGGCATCTGGGTGCTGGGTGTCCACCCAGGAGGAGCAGAGCTTGTGACCCTCATCTGGGCAGGTGACCAGGAAATGGAGGTAGCAGTGTGCTCCCCATCCCCTTTCTGCCCAGCTGTGACATTGTTGGTGTGCTGTCCCTGCGCCAGCTGGGGATGCAGGGAGTGGCCTACACATCTCTCTTGTAGAAGCTTTTCTGTATTGTGGGGTGGAGTCTGTTTCTACGCACGGAGCAGACTGACTTTCCAGAGTGCTAATGGAGGCAGAAGGAGATGTGGTTTCCTGGTGCTGTTGGACAGAGGGACTCAAATTTGGAAACAGGCCCATGGTTCATCAGAAGAAGCTTAACAAAAGAATGAAGACTCTATTATTTCCTCCCTGGCTGGCTGAGGGAAGGCACAGAAAGACTCGATTTGAAGCCAGGTTCTGCCACTCAGTGATGTGACACTGGAGGAGTTACCTGTCCTGGGTTTCTCTATTTGTTGAAATTGGAACTAAAATAGCTCAGGGTGAGGCACAGGCACACATGCAGTGGCCAGCCCAGTGCCTGGTGTGAAGTTGGTGGGCTGCAGATGTTACAGGGGATGCTCACCTCACTCCCCACTGCGCAAGCCAGGGGCAGGCGCGAGGTTTCCAGGCCTTGCAAATGGGAGATTCCCCAGCTTCTTAATGAGTGAAGCTGATTTGCTGGCCCGGAGGGAAGGGGCCCACCATGCTGTGTTCTGGGCTACTTCTGGGCTAACCTAGCATCTGTCACTAGTCTATAAATGGACACGGAAGTGTTTTCCAAAGCACAAGCACTCGGTGTCTTGAATGCCCAGGCAGCCGCACCAGCACCCCTTCCTCCCACCTCAGCTGCATGAGCCCTCTGGGGTTTCTGCCCACTGCAGGTGGCTGAGATGTGTGCTCTTCCTTCATCACTTTATAGGGGCTCAAAATTCAGAGGCCAAATTGCCTGCTGTAGGGTCACATGGTGGTGGTTCAGAAAATAGCCTCCTTCCAACCCCACTGGAAACAAGGAAAAATAAAAAATCAGAAAATAGGTTTTCTGCTCACCAAGCCACATTCCCGGCAGGCTCCATGTGGCAGCCTGGACTCCAGCCCTGCACTGCTCCCTATGTGATGGGCCTGCCAGAGACACATGGTTGGGCGAATATAATGGCAGATAAATAGACTGCCCTTCTCACCACCCATGGCCCTGTCTGCTGTGTTCTCTCATCGACGCCTGTTTTGTTTTGTTCTAGTATTTGCCCATCCTTTTAGTGCTTTCCACTTACCAGAATCTTTGACTCTTTGCAATTTTTCTTTCACCATGACCCTTTTCCTCCCCAAATAAACCAACCGCTGTCTCCTCCCTCTCTGCCTTTTCTCTGCCAAATGTAATTTGTTTTGTAAAGTATGTCCGCCTCTGACAGCCATCGTTTTGCCCCATCTGTTCTGCATCTCAGAACTCCCCTTGATTGGCAGGAATGGGTTATGTGACCATGGCAGTTTCCAAGGGCAGGGGCATTCAGGTGACCTGCAGTGTGTTTCCTTGAGAGGCCTCCTACCAGGCTGGGAATCCGGTCTTGAATTTCTGCCTGGCATTGTCCAGCCCTTCTAGCCACTCAGAGACACCCAGCTCAGATGATGGCGATCCAAAGTGAGGTGTAGTTCCTTGAAATACAGTGGAAGGAGTTGCTAAAATTTGACTCTGGTAAAATAGTTCTCGGACCCTTGAAGTTGACTTATTATTTGTTTTCTGTCAATATCACCCTGTGTGTAATGTTTTTTCAGGTAGGAGATGGCTTGGTGAGTAGGAATTATTTTCAGTTTCAAATCTCATTTTGGTTTTCATTCCTCTGAAAATTAGCAATACAGGGATGAAAAGAATTGTGCCTGTCTTGCACTATTGTGCACTGTTCTTGAACTAAAAATAGTGCTTCACATCATAAGCACTGTATGTGTTGCCATTATTAGTAACCTTTGCAGTGATGATTGTGCTCATGGATCACCCAGACACACTCTCCCTCTTGCTGCCATCCCCACCCCATTCACCTGTCTAAAACAGGTACTGTATGTCAAACACACACCATTCTGTGGCTACTCCTTGAATGGTTCACTGAACATTTTAGATGGCTTCATGCTTACAGAGTTTCTTTCTTTTTTTTTGAGACAGAGTCTCACTCTGTCACCCAGGCTGGGGTATAGTGGTGTGATCTTGGCTCACTGCAACCTCTGCCTCCCGGGTTCAAGCAGTTCTCCTGCCTCAGTCTCCCAAGTAGCTGGGACTATAGGCGTGTGCCACCATGCCCAGCTAATTTTTGTATTTTTAGTACAGATGGGGTTTCACCATGTTGGCCAGGCTGGTGTTGAACTTCTGACCCCAGGTGATTCGCCCACCCCAGCCTCCCAAAGTGCTGGGATTACAGGCACGAGCCACCATTCCCGGCCAGAAATTTCTTAAGAGATACTTCTTGGTCCTGCTCTCCACTCATCCTCAACCAAAATGAGAACTCTGTGTTTGTAGTCAGCTTAATCAGTTGTGGGGATCACAACTCCCAAGTGTCAACATTAAAGATTGCAATGTATATTCTCCAAATGTTACTACCTTTGTATCTTGTACTATTTATGTACATGCTGTCATGGTATTCGGAGATATCAGAGACTTAGTGGTAATTTTGTTTGTTTTGTTTTAGTGGTGCTTTGCCTCATGGTGTCAGTTCCATTCCAGCTGAGGCAGGCAGGTTTTGCTTCAGACCCTGCAGCCTGGAACAGAGCACTGCCCACCTTTCTAATGAAGCTTAGGCTGGGCACAATGGCTCACACCTCTAATCCCAGCACTTTGGGAGGCTGAGGTGGGCGGATCATGAGGTCAGGAGATCGAGACCATCCTGGCTAACACGATGAAACCCTGTCTCTACTAAAAATACAAAAAATTAGCCGGGAGTGGTGGCTTATGCCTGTAGTCCCAGCTACTCGGGAGGCAGAGGCAGGAGAATCACTTGGAGGCAGAGGCAGGAGAATCACTTGAACCCAGGAGGCGGAGGTTGCAGTGAGCCAAGATTGCGCCACTGCACTCCAGCCTGGTGACAAAGCAAGATTCCGTTTCATAAACAAATAAATGAAATAAAGTATTGTATTTAGCCCAGTAAGTCCAAAATATTATCATTTCAACATGTAATCAATATAAAGCAATTATTAGGACTGGGCACTGTGGCTCAGATGTGTAATCCCAGCACTTTGGGAGGCCAAGGTGGAAGGATCGCTTGAGGAGTTCAAGAGCAGCCTGGTCAACATAGTGAAACCGCATCTCTACAAAAAAATTTTTTAATTAGCTGTGGGTGGCGGCATGTGGTACCTGTAGTCCTAGCCATTCTAGAGGCTGAGGCAGGAGGATTGCTAGAGCCCAGGAATCAGAGGCTGCAATGAGCCATGATAGTGCTACTGTACTCCAGCCAGGGTGAAAAGAGTGAGACCTTTCCTCTAAAAAAAAAAAAATTACTAGTGAGATATTTTGCATTTCTGTTACTAAGTCTGAGATTTGGTGTGTATTTTACACTTATAGCACATCTCCATTGGACTAGCCACATTTTGAGTCCTTGGTAGCCAGGTGTGGCTAGTAGCCACCTTCAGGTCATGGGCAGCACAGTTCTCTTGACAACCGTAAGTCCTAAGATTTCAGGATCCATGGCCCCCATCCTTCAGCCTATTTGTTTTGTGGCTGGAATTTATAAGCATGGACTTAAAAGAGATAATTAAAATTGGGGTCTTTTTTAAGAGTTGATTTGTTCTTGTAATGTTCCCATGGCTCAGTAAGTGGCTATCAGTGGATGCTGTAAGACACATTCTGCTCACATAAAGTCTTGGAGAAGAGCTCCCAGCAGGGATGCACAAGGCCTGGCTGCTCCTGAGTGTCTGCAGACAAGATTAGGAGGACACATAGCTTCCACAGTGCTGTGCTGCTCTGTTACCTAGAGCTGGGGTTGGGAGGGTAAGAGGATTTTCTGTGGGTAGAGAAAATTAAGAAATAAATCAAGCAATAAGTCAACACATTGTCTTTGTCTTTTTATTTAGCGGAATAGAAGATGAACTCAACTGAATTCACCGAAGATGTAGAAGAAGGTAAAAAAAAAATGCCCTTTTTGAAAAATGTTTTTAACTGAATACTTTTGATCAGGTCATACATTCACATGGTCCAAAAATATACAAAGTTATATAGTGAAAAGTCCCCTCCACCCACACACTTGTTCCCCGGTTCCCATCCCCCTCCACCCACACACTTGTTATAAGCACCTTGTGTCACTTTTTAAAAATTACTTTTTTAAAGCACAAAAAGATAATATTTTATGTCTCTCCTTCCACTGTCTTCCCCCCCAAAAAAAGATGTTTAAACCAATTTGAACTAAATGCTCTTGGAACATGGCTTTATTGTACAGCACTAGTGCGGTGAGATAAAGATTGCATCGTTGGAAAGCTCAGGTTTGTTACAACTAGACATCATTATCTCAGCACTGGTGTCAAAGGGCGGCCCACAGACACCCTGCTGCTCAGAGAACCCTGCTGATCTCTGAGCAGCCCTGGTTTTTCCCACTGAGCCCTATTTCTTCTCTGACACAGTTCTAAAAAGTATCACTGTGAAAGTGGAGACAGAGGCTGAAGATGCTGCTCTGGACTGCTCCGTGAATTCCAGGACTTCTGAGAAGCACTCTGTGGACAGCGTCCTCACTGCCCTGCAGGACTCCAGCAAACGAAAGCAGCTGGTCAGCGATGGCCTGCTAGACTCTGTCCCCGGCGTGAAGAGGAGGCGGCTGATCCCCGAGGTGAGGGCCTAGCTGCTGTCACTCTTTGCTTGGGCTCTAACCCTCTCTGATTCCATGCTGAATCTCCCTCTTGTTTTGGGCATCCTGGCAACTGCTGAACCCTTGGGCATGGGAAGGTTTCATTTAAGCTATCCCATCTCTGGCTTCAGTTTCTCGAAAGTGTCTGTCTTTAACTGGAATTCTTGTTTGTGTTGGGATTCCTGGTGGGTAAAGGGAGCCTTCACATTGCAGCTGCTTTTGCGTTATTTTGCTGTGCTTTGTGGGGGAAAGCAGGAGCTTGCTGATAGTGAGGACGGTTAACGTAAGCCTACCACACTTGACATAGTAGCTGATTCTTGCAAAAGTGGGGCATTAGCTGGAGGTCAGGTCTTTTCCTAAATTAAATCTATCATTCACTTATTTAAATAGAGACTGGATCTCACTATGTTGCCCAGGCTGGTCTTGAACTCCTGGCCTCAAGTGATCCTCCTGACTTGGCCTCCCAAAGTGCTGGGATTACAGGCGTGAGCCATAGTGCACAGCCAACTCTTTGTTTAATTGGTTTGTTTTAACTCTCCCCTGTTGGATGTTAGGGCAGATCCAAACAAATTAGGAAGTTATACATTTTAGGGATTTGGTTAGGCTTTAATTTGCATAATGATGAGACTAAGATTTTAACCAAGATTTAAATATACATGTTTATAGTGAGGACCTACATTCCACATCATGGAACACTGAGTGATAGGTTTGTTGGGGTTTTTTTTTTTTTTTTTTTTTTTTTGAGACGGAGTTTTGCTGTTCTTGCCCAGGCTGGAGTGCAGTGGCGCAATCTCAGCTCACAGCAACCTCTGCCTCCTAGGTTCAAGCGATTCTCCTACCTCAGCCTCCCGAGAAGCTGAGATTACAGGCATGCGCCACCATGCCCAGCTAATTTTGTATTTTTAGTAGATACAGGGTTTCTCCATGTTGGCCAAGCTGGTCTTGAACTCCCGACCTCAGGTGATCTGCCTGCCTTGGCCTCCCAAAGTGCTGGGATTACAGGTGTGAGCCACTGTGCCTGGCCATGAGTGATACTTTTATTTACTATTTTATTTATTCAGGGTTTTTTTTTTCTAACTCTTTATTCTGGTCTGAATGGCTTTTCTTTTTTAAACAACTTGTTTCTCTAATTTATTTGGGCTTTAATTTTTTTTTTTTCATCTTTGAGACAGAGTTTCACTCTTGTTGCCCAGGCTGGAGTGCAATGGCGCGATCTTGGCTTACCGCAACCTCCGCCTCCTGGGTTCAAGCAATTCTCCTGCCTCAGCCTCCCGAGTAGCTGGGATTATAAGCGTGTGCCACCACGCCCGGCTAATTTTTGTATTTTTAGTAGAGACAGGGTTTCTTCATGTTGGTCAGGCTGGTCTCAATCTCCTGACCTCAGGTGATCCGCCTGCCTCAGCCTCCCAAAGTGTTCGGATTACAGGTGTGAGCCACTGCATCAGGCCCAAAACAACTTTATTAAGATATAATTCACATACTATACCTTTCACCAATTTAAGTTATATAATTTAATGTTTTTGTTTGTTTGTTTGTTTGTTTTTGTCTGAGACAGGGTCTCGCTCTGTCGCCCAGGCTGGAATGCAGTGGCGCAATCTCAGCTCACTGCAACATCTGCAGTGTTGGTCCAGGCTGGTCTCAAACTCCAGACCTCAAGTGGTCTGCCTGTCTTGGCCTCCCAAAGTGCTGGGATTACAAGCATGAGTCACCGCGCTCAGCCCTAGTTTAATGGTTTTTAGTATATTCCCAGAGTTATGCTATTTTAGGACATTTTTATAACCTTACAAAGAGTCCCTGCCCATTAGCAGTAGCTCCTCATTCCCTACTTTTCCAGCTACTGACAATCACTAATGTACTTTCTAAGGATTTGCCTATTGTGGGCATTTCATTTTTATTTTTAATTGATTGATTGATTGATGGATGGATGGAGTCTCGCTGTGTGGCCCAGGCTTGGAGTGCAGTGTCATGAGCTCAGCTCACTGCAGCCTCTGTCTCCTTGTTCAAGCGATTCTCCTGCCTCATCCTCCCGAGTAGCTGGGATTACAGGTGGGCACCACCACGCCTGGCTAATTTTTGTATTTTTAGTAGAGACAGGGTTTCACTATGTTGGCCAGGCTGGTCTCAAACTCCTGACCTCACGTAATTCACTCGCCTCGGCCTTCCAGATTGCTGGGATTACAGGCGTGAGTCACTATGCCCGGCCAATTCTAGGCATTTCATGTAATGTAATCATATGTTCTATGGCCATATGTGTCTGGCTTCTTAGCATAATGTTTTCAAGGTTCATCATCTATGTATCAGTACTTCATTTCTTTTTGTTTTAACAGACTTTATTTTATAGAGCAGTTTTAGGTTTACAGAAAAATTGAGCAAAAGAGACAGATTTCCCATATACTTCCTTACCCCTGCATGTTTATAACCTCCCCCATTGTCAACATTGTATACCAGATTGATGCATTTATTACAACTGATGATCCCCCATTGACACATTATTGCCCAAAGTCAGTAGTTTACATTAGGGCTCACTCTTGCTATTGTATAGTCTGTGGGTTTGGACAAATGTATATACCATTTGTAGTATCATACAGAGTAGTTTTGCTGTCCTAAAAATCTGTTATGCTCTATCTGTTCATCCTTCACTCCCACATAACCCCCAGCAACCACTGATCTCTTTACCATCTCCATACTTTTATCTTTTCCAGAATGTCGTGAAGTTGGAATCATACAATGTGTAGCCTTTTTAGATTGGTTTATTATACTTAGCAATATGCATTTGAGTTTCCTCCATGTCTTTTCATGGCTTAATAGCTCATTTTCTTTTAGCACTGAATCATATTCTATTGCCCAGATGTACCAGAGTTTATTTATTCATTTACCTACTAAAGGACATCTTGGATGCTTCCAAGTTTTGGCAATTATGAATAATGCTGCTATAAACATCCATGTATAGGTTTTCATGTGGACATAAGTTTTCAGCTCCTTTGGATAAACACCGAGGAGTGTGATTATGTTTAGTTTGGTAAAAAACTACCAAACTGCCTTCCAAAGTGGCTGGACCATTTTACAGTCCCACTAACAAGTTCCTCTTGCTCCACATCCTTGAAAGCATTTGCTGTTGTCAGTGTTCGGATTTTGACCATTCTAATAGGTATGTGGTAGTATCTTGGTTTTTTTCTTTGTTTAGTTTAAAAAAAATTTTTTTTTTGCAGAGATGAAGGTGGTCTCACTATGTTGCCCAGGCTATTCTTGACCTCCTGGCCTCAAGCGATCCTCTTGCCTCAGCCTCCCAAAGTGTTGGGATTACAGGCATGAGCCACTGTGCCCAGCAGTTGTGTTTTTGTTTATGTTATTGTTGTTGTTTGAGACAGGTTCTCTCTGTTGCCAGGGTGGAGTGCAAAAGCAGTGGCACAGCTAGGTGTGGTGGTTTAACACCTGTAATCCTTGCATCTTGGGAGGCTGAGGCAGGTGGATTGCTTGAGTCCAGGAGTTCCAGATCAGCCTGGGCAATATGGCAAAACCTTGTCTCTACAAAAAATACAAAAAAATTATCCAGGCGTGGTGGCACACACCTGTAGTCCCAGCTACTCGGGAGGCTGCGGTGGGAGGATCGCCTGAGCCTGGGAGGTCGGGGCTGCCGTGAACCATGGTTGTGTCACTGCACTCCAGTCTGGGTGACAGAGTGAGACCCTGTCTCAAAAAAAAAAAAAAAAAAAAGGCAGTGACATAGTCAGCTCACTGTAATCTCAAACTCCTGGGCTCAAGGGATCCTCCTCTTTCAGACTCCCAAGTAGCTGGGACTACAGGCATGGCAGCACCATGCCTGGCTAACTTTTAAAGTTTTTGTAGAGATGGAGTTTGTTGTTCGTTTTATTTATTTATTTATTTATTTATTTATTTATTTATTTATTTATGAGATGGAGTTTTGCTCTTGTTGCCCAGGCTGAAGTGCAATGGCGCGATCTCAGCTCACTACAACCTCTGCCTGCTGGGTTCAAGCGATTCTCCTGCCTCAGCCTCCCGAGTAGCTGGAATTACAGGCACGCACCACCACGCCCAGCTAATTTTGTATTTTAAGCAGAGACGGGGTTTCTCTATGTTGGTCAGGCTGGTCTTGAACTCCCAACCTCAGGTGATCCACCCCCCTCAGCCTCCAAAGTGCTGGGATTACAGGCATGAGCCACCACGCCCGGCTGTTGTTCTCTTAATTTGTGCTTCCCTGACAACATATGATGTGGAGAATCTTTTTATATGCTTATTTGCCAGCAGTATAGCTTTTTTGGTGAAGTGGCTATTAAGATTTTTGGCCCGTTTTAATTTTTATTTTATAGAGATAGCATCTTGCTATGTTGCCCAGGCTGGTCTCGAGCTCCTCGGCTCAAGTAACCCTTTGGCCTGAAGCCTTCGAAAGTGCCGGGATTACAGGCTTGAGCCACCACACCTGGCTGGCCCATTTTAAAATTGGGTTTTGTTTTTATTGTTGAATTTTAAGAGTTCTTCATATATTTTGATTAACAGTCCTGTATTTTGATTAATAGTCCTTTATCAGGTATGTCTTTTGCAAATATTTTCTCCCAGCCTGTGGCTTGCCTTTCATTCTTTTGACAGTATCTTGTAGAGCAGAAATGTTTACTTTTAATGAAGTCCACTTTATTAATTCTTTCATAGACTGTGGCTTTGGTATCATATCTAAAAAGTTACTGCCAAACCCAAGGTCATCTATGTTTTCTCTGATGTTATCTTCTAGGTGTTTTATAGTTTTTCATTTTACATTTAGGTTTGTGATCCCTTTTGAGTTGATTTTTGTAAAGGGTGTAAGGACTATGTCTAGATTGACATATTTGCATGTGGATGTCCAGTTTGGTCCAGTAAAATATGTTGAAAAGACTGTGTTCCATCGTATTGCTTCCGTTGACTGTCTTTATGCAGTTCTGCTTCTGGGCTATTCTGTTCTATTGATCTATTTGTTTATTCTTGCCCCAGTACCACCCTGTCTTGATTACTGTAGCTTTATGGTAAATGTTGCAGTCAGGTAGTATCAGTCTTAACTGTGTTCTTTTCTTTTTTTTTTTTTTGAGACGGAGTCTCGCTCTGTCGCCCAGGCTGGAGTGCAGTGGCGCGATCTTGGCTCACTGCAAGCTCCGCCTCCCGGGTTCACACCATTCTCCTGCCTCAGCCTCCTGAGTAGCTGGGACTACAGGCACCCACCACCACGCCCGGCTAATTTTTTTGTATTTTTAGTAGAGACGGGGTTTCACCGTATTAGCCAGGATGGTCTCGATCTCCTGGCTTCATGATCCGCCCTCCTCAGCCTCCCAAAGTGCTGGGATTACAGGCAACTGTGTTCTTTTCTTTCACTATTGTGTTGGCTATTCTGGGCTTTTGTCTGTCCATATAAATTTTAGAATTAGTTTATTGATATCAGCAAAATAGCTTGCTGGGATTTTGATTGGGATCATACTGAATCTATAGGTCAAAGTGGGAAGAACTGACATCTCGAAAATACTGAGTCTGCCTCTTTATGAGCATGGAATGTCTCTCCATTTATTTAATTTTTAAATTACTTTCATCAGTTTTGTACTTTCCCTCATATACATCTTGTATACATATGTATTTTGTTAGGTTTATAACTTAAGTATTTCATGTTTTTGGAGTCCTGATATAAATGGTATTGTGTTTTTAATTTTAAATTCTACTTGTTTATTGCTGGTGTATAGGAAATAAAATTGACTTTTGTATAGTAACCTTGTATACTACAACCTTCCTATAATTGCTTTATTAGTTCCAGTTGTTTTTTGGATTCTTTTGGATGTTCTACATAGACAATCATGTCATGTGCAAAGAAAGACAGTTTTATTTTTTCCTTCGCGATAGTATACCTTTTATTTCATTTTCTTTTCTTATTGCATTACCTAAGACCTTCAGTACAATATTGAAAAGGAATGAGGAGAGGGAGACATCCTTGCTTTGTGCCTGATCTTCATGGGAAACCTTCTGATTTCTCACCATTAAGTACAATGTTAGCTGTGGGATTTTTGTAGGTGTTCTTTTTCAAGTTGAGAAAGTTTCCCTCTAGTCCTAATTTACTGAGAGTTTTTGTTATGAATGGTGTGGGATTTTGTGAAGTGCTTTTTCTGCATTTATTGACATGATCATGTGATTTTTCTTCTTTACCCTGTTGCTGTGGTGGATTTCATTAACTGATTTTTAAATGATGAACCCCTTTGCATGTCTAGGATAAATCTAAGTTGGTCATGGTGTATAAAATCTTTTTTTTTTTTGAGACAGAGTCTCACTATCTCCTAGGCGGGAGTGCAGTGGTGTGATCTCGGCTTACTGCAAGCTCCGCCTCCCGGGTTCAAGCAATTCTCCTGCCTCAGCCTCCCGAGTAGCTGAGACTACAGGCACCTGCCACTACACCCGGCTAATGTTTCCTATTTTAGTAGAGATGGGGTTTCACCATGTTGCCCAGGCTGGTCCCCAACTCCTGAGCTCAGGCAGTCCGCCCACCTCTGCCTCCCAAAGTGCTAGGATTACAGGCGTGAGCCACCATGCCTGGCCTCAGTTTTTTTTAATGTGAGGCTGGCCACGTGGGAGACAGAATTACGACTCAAATCAGTCTCCTGCTAATGTTTTATTGAGGGTTTTTCATCTGTGTTCATGAGAAATATTGGTCTGTAGCTTTTTTTCTTGTAATGTCTTTGTCTGGTTTTGGTATTAAGGTAATGCTGGCCTCATAGAATGAGTTAGGAAGTAGTTTCTCTACTTCTGTTTTCTGAGACTGTAGAGAAATTGTATCATTTTTCCCTTAAATGTTTGGTAAAATTCACCTTTGAACCCATTTGGGCCTGGTACTTTGTGTTTTGGAAGGCTATTAGTTACTGATTCAATTTCTTTAATAGATATAGCCCTATTTGGAATGTCTCTTCTTCCATGAGTTCTAGAAGATTGTGTCTTTTAAGGAATTAGTCTCTTTCCTCTAGGTTATCAAATTTGTGGACATAGAGTTGGTCATAGTGTTCCTTTATCATTCTTTCAATGTCCATGGGGCCTGTAGTGGGATCTCTCATTTCTGATATTACTAATTTGTGTCCTCTTTCTCTCTCTAACTTAGCCTGCTAGAGGCATATGGATTTTACTGATCTTTTCAGAGAAACAGATTTTGGTTTCATTGATTTTTTTTTATCTATTGATTTCCCGTTAGTAATTTCATTGATTTCTACACTAATTTTTTTTTGTTTCTTTTCTTCTGCTTACTTTGGATTTAATTTGCTTTTCTGGTTTTCTCAGGTAAAAGCTTAGATGATTTTTAGATCTTTTCTATTATATGCCTTCAATACTATATATTTTCCTCTAACCACTCTTTTTGCTGCATTTCACAAATTTTGGTAAATTGAGTTTTCATTTTCTTTCTTTTTTTTTTTTCGAGATGGAGTATCACTCTGTTGCCCAGGCAGGAGTGCAGTGGTGCGATCTTGGCTCACTATAACCTCTGCCTTCCAGGTTCAAGCAATTATCCTGCCTCAGCCTACTGAGTAGCTGGGATTATAGGTGCCCACGACCATGCTCGGCTAATTTTTGTATTTTTAGTAGAGACGGGGTTTTGCCATGTTGACCAGGCTGATCTCGAGCTACTGACCTCAGGTGATCCACTGCCTCTGCCTTCCAAAGTGCTGGGATTACAGGCATGAGCCACTGCGCCTGGCCTAATTTTATCTTTTTTTAGCATGTTAATTATACTTTTTTCTTAAATATTTTTTTCTTTTTTTTAATGGTTGCCCTAAAGTTTGCAACATATATTTACAACTAGTCCAAGCATATGTTCAAATAACCTACCACTTCAGAAGTGGTGTGAGTACCTTATAATAACAAAAGAGTCCAAATTCCTCCCTCTTCTCCCTTGTCTTATTGCTGTCACTCATTTATATATAAGTGCGTGCACACGCGCGTGCACACACACAAGCATATATAGTTGACTACATTGTTGCTATTATTATTTTGAACAAAGAGTTGTCAGATCAGAGTAAGAAAAATAAAGTTTTTATTTTACCTTCAGTTATTCCTTCCCTGATGCACTTTCTTTCTTTATGTAGATTCATGTTTCTGACATTTTCTTTCTCTCTGAAGAAATCCTTTGAACATTTCTGGCAACAAACTCCCTAATTTTATTTATTTATTTATTTACTTGAGACAGAGTCTTGCTCTGTCGTCCAGGCTGGAGTGCAGTGGTGCGATCTTGGCTCAGTGCGACCTCCACCTCCAAGGTTCAAGTGATTCTCGTGCCTCAGCCTCCCCAGAAGCTGGAATTACAGGCACATGCTACCACACCCAGCTAAGTTTTGTATTTTTAGTAGAGACAGGGTTTCTCCATGTTGGCCAGGATGGTCTTGAACTCCTGACCTCAAGCAATCTGTCTGCCTTGGCCTCCCAAAGTGCTGGGATTACAAACATGAGCCAGTGCACCTGGCCTCTGTAGTATAATTTAAAATCAGGTAATGTGATTCCTTCAATTTTGTTCTAGGATAGCTTTGGATATTCTGGCTCTTTGGTGGTTCCGTATACATTTTAGGATTATTTTTTCTATTTTTGTGAAGAATATCATTGGAATTTTGATAGGGATTGTAGTAAATCTGTAGTTGGTGGCCAGGCGCAGTGGCTCACGCCTGTAATCCCAGCACTTTGGGAGGCTGAGGTGAGTGAATCATTTGAGGTCAGGAGTTCGAGACCAGCCTGGCCAACATGGTGAAACCCCATCTCTACTAAAAATACAAAAATTAGCCGTGCACAATTGTGCGTGCCTCTTATCCCAGCTACTCAGGAGGCTGAGGCGGGAGAATCACTTGAACATGGGAGGCAGAGGTTGCAGTGAGCCAAGATCATGCCCTTGCGCTTTAGCCTGGGTGACAGAGCGAGACTCTGTCTCGAAAAAAAAAAATCCTTTTTTTTTTTCGAGACAGAGTCTCGCTGTGTCGCCCAGGCTGGAGTGCAGTGGCACGATCTTGGCTCACTGCAAGCTCCGCCTCCTGGGTTCACACCATTCTCCTGCCTCAGACTCCCGAGTAGCTGGGACTACAGGCGCCCGTCACCATGCTGGGCTAATTTTGTTTTTGTATTTTTAGTAGCGATGGGGTTTCACCGTGTTAGCCAGGATGGTCTCAATTTCCTGACGTCGTGATCCGCCTGCCTTGGCCTCCCAAAGTGCTGGGATTACAGGTGTGAGAAAAAAAATAAAATCTTTAGTTGGCTTTTGGTAGCATGGATAATATTTCACTTTAACAATATTGATTTTTCGAATCACGAATGTGGAATATCATTCCTTTTTTTGTGTCTTCTTCAATTTCTCACATGAATGTTTTAAACGTTTTCATTGTAGAGATATTTCACTTTTTTTTTTTTTTGAGACGGAGTCTCGATCTTTTGCCCAGGCTGGAGTGCAATGGGGCGATCTCGGCAACTTCACCTCCTGGGTTCAAGTGATTCTCCTGCCTCAGCCTCCCAAGTAACTGGGATTACAGGCACCCACCATCACGCCCAGCTAAGTTTTGTATTTTTAGTAGAGACTGGGTTTCGCCATGTTGACCAGGCTGGTCTCCAGATCCTGACCTCAGATGATCCACCTGTGGTAAGTGGTAAGATTATAGGTGTGAGCCACCGCGCCTGGCCGAGATCTTTCACTTCTTTGGTTAAATTAATTCTTAGATACTTTATTTTTATTTGTAGCTATCGTAAATTATATTACTTTCTTGATTTATTTTTCAGATTGTTCACTTTTGGCACATAGAAATACTCCTGGTTTTTGTATGTTGTTTTTGTATCCTGCAGTTTTACTGCATTTGATTGTCAGTCCCCTTCCTTGCTTGCACAGTTTCTAAGGAGAATGTAGGTGTAATTCTTATCTTTGCTCCTCTATAGGTAAAGTGTTTTGTTCCCCACCTTACTTCTTTCAGGATTTTTTTTAATCTTTGATTTTCTGTAGTTTGAAAACAGTATGCCTAGGTATAGTGGATTTTTTTGTTTTGTTTTGTTTCTCGTGTATCATGTTTGCTATTCTCTGAACCTCTTAGATCTGTGGTTTGGTATCTTACCTTAATTTAGGGAAATTCTCAGTCATTGTGGTTTCAAATATTTCTTCTGTTCCTTTTTCTCTTTCCATGTATTCCCATGGTGTATATGTAACACCCTTTGTAACACCTTTTGTAGTTATCCCACAGTTCTTGGGCAGTCTGTTCAAATTTTCCATTCCTTTTTCTTGTTGCTTTTCTGTTTTTGAGGTATCTATTAAGATATCCTCAAATGCAGAGATTCTTTTTTCAGCCGTGTCCAGCCTACCAAAAAACCCATCAAAAGGATTCTTTTATCTGGGTGTGGTGGCACATGCCTATAGTCCTAGCTAGCTACTTAGGAGGCTGAGGCAGGAGGATTGCTTGAGGCCAGTAGTTTGAGGCTGCAGTGAGCCAAGATTGCACCACTGTATTTCAGCCAGGCAGGGGAACAAAGCAAGAACCTGTCTCTAAAAAAAAAAAAAAAAGGGCTCTTCATTTCTATTACAGTGTTTTTTTTTTTTTTATCACTAGCCTTTCTTTTTTATTGTTTCTTAGAATTTCAGGTCAAGTGTGGTGACTCATGTTTGCAATCTCAGCACTTTGGGAGGCTGAGGTGGGAGGATCATTTGAGCCCAGAGTTTAAGACCAGCTTGGACAACATAGCAAGACCCTGTCTCTAAAAAAAAAAAAAAAAAAAAAAGTATTTTCATTTGTGTGTCCATTGACCATCTGTTTTTTTGTTTGTTTGTTTGTTTCGAGATGGAGTCTTGCTCTGTCGCCCAGGCTGGAGTGCAGTGGCACAATCTCAGCTCACTGCAACCTCCGCCTCCCAGATTCAAGCAATTCTCCTGCCTCAGCCTCCTGAGTAGCTGAGATTACAGGTGCGTGCCACCATGCCTGGCTGATTTTTGTATGTTTAGTAGAAATGGGGTTTCACCATGTTGGTCAGGCTGGTCTCAAACTCCTGACCTCGTGATCCGCCGGCCTCGGCCTCCTAAAGTGCTTGCGCCTCGCCGACCATCTGTTCTTGCATGTTGTCTACTTTTTCCATTAGAGTCCTTGGCATATTAATCATAGTTGTTTCACATTCTCTGATAATTCCAGCATCCCTACCACCTCTGAGTCTGGTTTGGTCTTAGTACGCCTTGTCGTTTTTTCTTTTCTTTTCTTTTTTGAGTTGGAGTTTTGCTCTCTTACCCAGGCTGGAGTGCAGAGGCGCAATCTCTGCTCACTGCAACCTCCACCTCCCAGATTCAAGCAATTCTCCTGCCTCAGCCTGCCAAATAGTTAGGATTACAGGCGTTCGCTGATTTTTGTATTTTTAGTAGAGATGGGGTTTCGCCATGTTGACCAGGCTGGTCTCGAATTCCTGACCTCAAGTGGTCCACCCGCCTCGGCCTCTGAAAGTGCTGGGATTACCGGCCCAGGCTTGTAGTTTTTTTTTCTTTTTCTTTTTTTTTTTTTTTTTTAGACAGAGTCTTGCTCTGTCGCCCAAACTGGAGTATAGCAGCTCAGTCTCTGCCCACTGCAACCTCCGCCTCCCAGGTTCAAGCAATTCTCCTGCCTCAGCCTCCCGAGTAGCTGTGACTACAGGCGTGTACAACCATGCCCAGCTTATTTTTGTAGTTTTAGTAGAGACGGGGTTTTACCATGTTGGCCAGGATGGTTTCAATCTCTTGACCTTGTGATCCGCCCACCTCGGCCTCCCAAAGTGCTGGGATTACAGGCGTGAGCCACTGTGCCCAGCCAGTTTTTTCTTAGTAACCAGACATGGTATCCTGAGTACAAGGAACTCCTGTGAATAGTCCTTCAATAATGTCGGGGGAGAGGAAAGGGGAGGGCAGCATTCTCCAGTCCTGGATTTGGTCTGTCTTTTTTTTAAGACGGAGTCTTGCTCTGTCTCTGGCCAGAGTGCAGTGACGCGATTTCGGCTCACTGCAACCTTCGCCTCCCAGATTCAAGCGATTCTCCTGCCTCAGCCTCCCAAGTAGCTGGGACTACAGGCGCACGCCACCATGCACGGCTAATTGTTGTATTTTTAGTAGAGAGAGGGTTTCACCATGTTGGCCAGGATGGTCTCGATCTCTTGACCTCGTGATCCGCCCACCTCGGCCTCCTGGGGTGCTGGGATTACCAACATGCGCCTGGCCAGGTCTCAGTCTTTTAGCAACCCTGGATCTCTGGACTGTAAACTTCACTTGGACTTTGTAGTTCCTCCATTCCTCCCTTAAGTGGGACAGGATGAGTCAAGTGGGCTGATGTTGGCTATTTCTCTTCCTCCAGGTGAAAGGCAGGAGCTGGAGTTGGGTATCTCCCTTCTGGTCAGTTAGGCTCTGATAAAACCCCTGCAGGTTTAGCTCACGTTAAATAGTTCTCCGGAGGGCAAGCCTTAAGAAAAGAGAAGGCGGCCAGGCGCGGTGGCTCATGCCTGTAATCCCAGCACATTGGGAGGCCGAGGCGGGCAGATCACGAGGTCAGGAGATCGAGACCATCCTGGCTAACACAGTGAAACCCTGTTTCTACTAAAAATATGAAAAAATTAGCTGGGTGTGGTGGTGGACACCTGTAGTCCCAGCTACTTGGGAGGCTGAGACAGGAGAATGGCGTGAACTCAGGAGGCGGAGCTTGCGGTGAGCCGAGATCGGGCCACTGCACTCCAGCCTGGGCGACAGAGCAAGACTCCGTCTCAAAAAAAAAAATAAGGCCAGGTGCGGTGGCTCACGCCTGTAATCCCAGCACTTTGGGAGGCTGAGGCAGGTGGATCATGAGGTCGGGAAATCGAGACCATCCTGGCTAACACAGTGAAACCCCATCTCTACTAAAAATACAAAAAATTAGTCAGGCGTGGTGGCAGGCGCCTGTAGTCCCAGCTACTCAGGAGGCTGAGGCAGGAGAATAGCATGAACCTGGGAGGCAGAGCTAGCAGTGAGCCGAGATCATGCCACTGCAGTCCAGCCTGGGCGACAGAGTGAGACTCTCTCTCAAAAAAAAATAAAAAATAAATAAAATTTAAAAAGAAAGAAAAAACAAAAGAAAAGAGGATGCTCTGGTATTTCAGATTGGTTCCCTTTCCCCTCCCCCTGCCAGAAGTAGAAGGGGATTTTTCTCTAATATTCGCTGTGAGAACCTGGTAGGGTTCTTGGAGGTAGTGTGTCTGGAATTTATTCCTTCTGGTGGATTCTTAGTCTCACTGACTTCAAGAATGAAGCCGTGGACCCTCACAGTGAGTGTTACAGCTCTTAAAGATGGTGTGTCCAGAGTTTGTTCCTTCAGATGTTCAGATGTGTTGGGAGTTCCTTCCGGTGGGTTCGTGGTCTCGCTGACTTCAGGAGTGAAGCCGCAGACCTTCGCAGTGAGTGTTACAGCTCTTAAAGGTGGCGCATCCAAAGTTGTTTGTTCCTCCCAGTGGGTTCGTGGTCTCGCTGACTTCAGGAATGAAGCCGCAGACCGTCGTGATGAGTGTTACAGCTCATAAAGGTACTGCAGACCCAAAGAGTGAGGAGCAGCAAGATTTATTGTGAAGAGCGAGAGAACAAAGCTTCCACAGCGTGGAAGGGGACCCGAATGGGTTGCCACTGCTGGCTTGGGTGGCCAGCTTTTATTCCCTTATTTGGCCCGTGTCCTGCTGATTGGTCCATTTTACAGAGCGCTGATTGGTCTGTTTTACAGAGTGCTGATTGGTTCATTTACAGTCCTTTAGCTAGACACAGAGCACTGATTGGTACGTTTTTACAGAGCGCTGATTGATGCGTTTTTACAGAGTGCTGATTGGTGTGTTTACAATCTTTTAGCTAGACACAGAGTGCTGATTGGTGCAGTTTTACAGAGTGCTGATTGGTGCGTGTACAGTCCTTTAGCTAGACACAGAGTGCTGATTGGTGTGTTTACAATCCTTTAGCTAGACACAGAGTGCTGATTGCTGCAGTTTATAGAGTGCTGATAGGTGTGTTTACAATCCTTTGGCTATACACAGAGTGCTGATTGGTGCGTTTTTACAGAGTGCTGATTGGTGCGTTTTTACAGAGTGCTGATTGGTGCATTTATAGTCCTTTAGCTAGACACAGAGTGCTGATTGGTGTGTTTACAATCCTCTAGCTAGACAGAAAAGTTCTCCAAATCCCTACCTGACCCAGAAACCCAGCTGGCTTCACCTCTCAGTAGAACCCACGAAAGTGTGGGGTCTGTGCTGATTGGGTAACCTTGGAGATTTTAACTCTCAGACTTGTCCACACTGCGTCTCCAGCAATTCCTCAGTTGCAGTTCAGGTTTCCCTGCCCTAGTGCTGGTTCCTGTGGAAGTCTGCTCTCTGGTGTCTGCTGTGGTAAGCTGGGAGTCTCTGTACTCACCCGTCTGTTTCGCCAAGTCTGGGGGCAGTGGTTTGCCCTGTGACCTTACCGGTCTTACGGGTTTAAGAAAACGTGTTGATTTTTTCAGTTTGTTCAGCTTTTTCCTTGTAGTTAGGATGGAATGCTGACTTTCAGGCTCCTTCCATGCTGGCCCAGATACCTGAAGTCCTTCATCTTCTTTCATGGCCAAATAATATTCCATTGTAGAGATGCTTTTTCTTTTTCAAGATAGGGTCTCGCTGTGTTGCCAAGTCTGGTCTCAAACTCCTAGCCTCAAGGAATCTCCCACCTCGGCCTCCCAGAGTGTTGGGATTACAGGCGTGAGCCATGGAGCCCAGCCTCACCACATTTTGTTTATCCATTCATCAGTTGACAGATATTTTGGGTTGCTTCTACTTTTTGAGTATCATAATTCATACTTGAACGAGACATTATTTAAAAATCTGTAATGTCCAGAAAAAAATGTTGACTTTTTTTTTTTAATACCTATGAGTATTGTTTTCTTTTTTTTGAGATACAGTCTTGCTCTGTCACCCAGGGTGAGTGCAGTAGTGTGACCACGGCTCACTGCAGCCTCAACCCCCTGGGCTCAGTGGATCTTCCCACCTCAGCCTCCCAAATATCTGGGACTGCAGGCACGCACCACCACAACTGGGTAATTTTGTTTTTGGGGGTTGTTGTTTTTCTTTTGTAGAGATGGGGTTTGGCCATGTTGCCCAGGCTGGTCTGGGACTCCTGGGCTCAAGCATTCCTCCCGCCTCAGCCTCCCAAAGTGCCGGGATTACAGGCATGAGCCACCGTGCCTGGCCGATAATTTTTAATAAACGAATAATTAGAAATATTCCACCCTTGACTGCTGCTGCCTAACCCTGCCACTTGCCGCATACCTTGTGATCTGGGCAAAAGTTTCACGCCTGGATGGCAGTTTCTAGTGCAGTGAGTAATAACTAGATGAAAACCCACAGATCTGATCTGTGATCTGCTGTGGCAGATGAAAGCTACAAGACAGTTAGTGGAATAGCTTAACCATATTTTATTATCCTTTTCCTTTGTGATTGATATTTAGATGTTTTCCAATTTTATATTATTACAAGTAATGCCGGGAAAACATCCCCATACATCAACCCAGTGACTGTATGAGTGTTTCTGTAGGTTAGATTCCTAGAGGGTTATGCTGGAAGTGATCAGAAGTTTGACAAGCAGTATGTTAATTTCCTAAAGGAACTCCCAAAAATATTTTTCTCTGTGTCATATTACATTTCTGTTTGTGATCAGTTCTGCAAACTCACTTCAAGTTTTCAAGTAAAGCCAGAATTCGGGAAATGAAAGACAAAGTTTAGTGTATCAGTTCACTTGTGCTGTGTTGTGTTACATAGCACAGAACCACTCCAGAACCTAGTAGTTTAAAGCAACCACTAGGCTGGGCGCGGTTGCTCACGCCTGTAATCCCAGCACTTTGGGAGGCTGAGGCAAGCGGATCACCTGAGGTCAGGAGTTCCAGACCAGCCTAGCCAACAAACCTCGTGTCTGTTAAAAATACAAAAATTAGCCCGGTGTGGTGGCGTGTGCCTGTAATCCCAGCTACTCAGGAGGCTGAGGCAGGAGAATCGCTTGAACCCAGGAGGTAGAAGTTGTAGTGAGCCAAGATCACACCACTACACTCCAGCCTGGGTGACAGAGCGAGACTACTGAGACTTCATATCAAAAAAAATAAAAAGCAACCGCTATTTTATTTTTTCATGATTCTCTGGACCAGCTGGTGGTTCTGATTTGGCCTGACACATTCAGGGCTGGGTAGTCTGGAATAACCTCACTCACGTATCTGGGTCCTCACCTGGAATGAGTGGCTGGGATGATTGGAGCTTCCCTTTACGTACATTATCCCCCTGGAGGGAGCTAGTCCAGGCTTACTCACATGACAGTGCAGGAATTCCTAGGGGCAAGAGAGGGCAGGCTTGTCAAGCTTCTGCTTGCATCACATGTGCTAGTGTCCTGTTGGCCAAAGCAAGTCACATATCCAAAACTACACCCGAAAGTGGAAAAGTAGACTCTGTCTCCTGTTGATAGAAGCATAAAATCACCTTGCAAAGAGGCATTCACACAAAGGTGGGAGGGAGTATTGTGGCTATTGTTATAAACAGGGAGCAGCAAGCTCTCCCAACAAGTTGTGTCCATGTGTACATCAGGTTGTAGCCTTTGTGGACAGTCCGAGATAATTCTGTTGCCTTGCTGCACAAATGATGTCACACTTCACCCTTTCACTCAACACATTTTTATTGTAACAGGATCATAGAGAAGGCAGCATCTTCATATGCTTGGGGACACAAAGGAAAGGGTATATTCTCCTTTATTTATTTTTTTTTTTTTTGAGACAGGGTCTCACTCTGTCTCCCGGGAGTAAGTTTTGTCTGGCTGGAGCTTCAGGTATCACCCAGGGACTCTGACATGTTTAGGGAAAAAGGATCAAAACCAAAAATGCATTGGCGTATTTCTCATATGACTTGCCCAGTCTACATATACAAAAATGGTCACGTGTATTTACTGTACTTTTTAGTAGATAGGATACAGAAGGCAGTTCTGACCCATTAGATCTGAAGGGGAAATCGTGTTTAAAGTCCTGGATTTGGCCAGGTGCGGTGGCTCATGCCTGTAATCCCAGCACTTTGGGAGGCCGAGGCGGGTGGATCACCTGAAGTCAGGAGTTCGAGACCACCCTAGCCAACGTGGTGAAACCCCATCTCTACTAAAAATACCAAAAATTAGCCAGGCGTAGTGGTGGGCGTCTGTAATCCCAGTTACTCGGAAGGCTAAGGCAGGAGAATTGCTTGAACCTGGGAGGTGGAGGTTGTAGTGAGCTGAGATCGCGCCACTGCACTCTAGCCTGAGTGACAGAGCAAGATTCCATCTCAAAAAAAAAAAAAAAAGTTTGTGTAAATTGAGGCCAGGCGCTGTGACTCATGCCTGTAATCCCAGCATTTTGGGAGGCTAAGTTAGGTGGATCACTTGAGCCTAAGAGTTTGAGACCATCCTGGCCAACATGGCGAAACCCCCATCTCTACATAAAATACAAAAACTGAGGTGGGAGGATCACCTGATCCTGGGAGGTTGAGGCTGCAATGATCCTGCCTCTGCACTCCAGCTTGGGCAACAGACTGAGATCCCATGCCAAAAAATAAAAAATAAATTTGTATAAGCTGATGTATGTGCCAGTAAGTCAATAGTCTTAGAACCCTGGGGACTTTATTTATTTTATTTACTTTTTTGAGATGGAATCTCTCTCTGTCACCCAGGCTGGAGTGCAGTGGCATGATCTCGGCTCACTGCAACCTCTGCCTCCCAGGTGCAAGTGATTTTTCTGCCACAGCTTCCCGAGTAGCTGGGGTTACAGGTGCGCACCACCACGCCCAGCTAATTTTTTTGTATTTTTATTAGAGATGGGGTTTCACCATGTTGGCTAGGCTGATCTCGAACTCCTGACCTCAGGAGATCCACCCGCCCTGGCCTCCCAAAATACTGGGATTACATCCTTGAGCCACTGTGCCCAGCCAACCCTGGGGACTTTAGAACAATCCATCTGTTTTATGAAATTATACTTATGTTAATTTTTCAAAAAAGTACTAGTCTTAATTCAGGGTGAATATTCTCTTATCCTCTGCCGCTGAATCTTCTGTTTCTTCTAAGATATATATGGTGACTGGAGTAGGGTGGGGTGTATGTACTGTTTTCTTCTTTTTCTTTTCTTTTCTTTTTTTCTTTTTCCTGTTTTTTGTTTTTTTTTTTTTTTTTTTTTTTGAGATGGGATCTCATTCTGTGGCTCAGGCTGGAGTGCAGTGGCACAGTCCTGGTTCATTGCCGCCTCGACCTCCCGGGCTTAAGCAATCCCCTCACCTCAGCCTCCCAGTGGCTAATTTTTGTAATGACAGGGGTTTGCCATGTTACCCAGGTTGGTCTCCAACTACTGGGCTCAAGCAATCTGCCCACCTTGGCCTCCGAAAGTGCCGGGATTACAGGTGTGAGCCACCACAGCCAGCCATATGTAATGTTTTCTGAAGCACTTTCATTAAAGACAGGAGGAACCTAGAGGATGCAGCCAGTGATAATCAAAAAAGTAGAAAGGGTGAGGCGTGGTGGCTCATACCTGTAATCCTAGCGTTTTGGGAGGCCGAGGCGGGAGGATCACTTGAGCTCAGGAGTTCAAGACCAGCCTGGGCAACATAGTGAGACCCTGTCTCTATTTAAAAAAAAAAAAAAGTAGAAAGGAAGCACACTAACAGTTACCAGTAGCTACTCAACAAATAGTGCCTTCCATACCTTATTCCATCTAATCCATAAAACAAACGAGTTAATACCTCAACCAGGCAGCTGAGCAAACTCAGGCATGTAAGTTAAAAGGTGCCAGGGTGCCAGTGGGGCAGCCTTGTTACTGGGGTGAGATTATCAGGACTGATTGGGAAGACACTGTCACTTTCTCTGAGTCATCCTACTGAAACGGGAAAAGTTCCGTTGTCCCCTTGCAGGGCATGCGATGGGGGTGTGGCTTGCTTCTTCAGTGCCCCACTGCTCAAACCTCTAGGGGGCATACAGACCAGTCAGGCTGTGGGGCTCTGACCCCATGGCAGTGTCTAGGGGTGGATGTTTACAGCTCCTGAAGCCCCAGTGGGCATATGTTACAGGGTGCCTTTTTAGTTTTGCTCCTGTCTATAGGCAGCTTGTATTAACCAGCTCAATTAGACCCTCCACCTTGTTGCAAGGACAGAGGGCTTTCTGTATCCTGGGTTCTTGCCTTGGTGTACCAGAAGAATCGGATCACACCTGGGCTTAGAGAATGAGTGCAAGGTTTTATTGAGTGGAAGTAGCTCTCAGCAGATGGGGGAGCCAGAAGGAAAATGAATTTCCCCTGGAGTTGGGCTGCTTAGTGGCCCGGGCCCTCCTCCTACTGCCCCTGCCAAACTCCACATTGTTTTGCTGGTCAATGACCTGTCATCATGCTGTGCTCCCGACATCCTCTCGACATCCACCCAGTTGTGTGTTCCTCCACCCGTGTGTTTCTGTAGACATCCAGTTGCTTGTATCTTCTTCCACTGATCCGCTCCTCTGGACATCCAGCTGCTTGTGTGCCTGCCTGCTAGGGTCTCGGGGATTTCTATAGGCACAGGATAGAAATGGGGGCGTGGCAGGCCAGGGTGGTCTTGGAAAATGCAACATTTGGGTGCAAAGGCAGGAGTGCCTGTCCTCACCTAGGTCCATGGGCACAGGCCTGAGGGTGGAGCCCTAGCCAGGGACCCGCCCTTCTCTACCCAGCACTTCCATAGCCCCCTCCCATATCACTACCAGCATGCTAAAATACAAGAACAAGCAGAGAATCTGGGGTCAGACGAGGGGCAGATCGCCAAAACTCAGGTTCCTCCACCGTCATGAGGGGTGACACTGCCCGCCTCGCTGGGCTGTTGTGGATCACTGAGATAGTCCACATGAGGACGCAGCATGGGGCATGCTCCATGTCAGCCTTTAGAAATGTTGTTTACTGGGCCGGGCACGGAGGCTCACGCCTGTAATCCCAGCACTTTGGGAGGCTGAGGCAGGAGAATGGCATGAACCCAGGAGGCAGAGCTTGCAGTGAGCCGAGATTGCACCACTGCACTCCAGCCTGGGTGACAGTGAGACTCTGTCTCAAAAAGAAATGTTTATTTATTGCCTCTGAGCTCCCATCTCCAGCCCTCAACCCCATGACCAGCATTCAGCTGCCTCCCTCTACATTTATCAGAATGAAATCAGCATGGCACCATCAAGGGAGGCCACCTGATGCCCTTGAGGACACCCAGCCTGGGCACCATCCAGTCAGGACATAGACCATCTCCTGTCTTCTCTCCCCTGCCCCAAGGAAAGTGCAGGAGGGCAAAGTGGGGAGCCCTGATGCTAACAGCATGTCACAGGCAGGCGTCTATCAATGTTGACAACTTGTTTTATGAGTGACATTTAGTACAATGCTTAGAAGAAAAAACCTCCCTCAAAAAGTCTAACAAAGGGCTGTGTAAAGACTTATTTGGCACCTCTGTTGGAGAGGACTTCGTAGCCAAATACAGCAGATGTGGGAGGTGCATAGCCAAAGTTTTTATTGGTAATCATCTTTTTGTTCACAGAAGTGGGGCAGTGTTCAAGAGCCGTATGCCAGGCAGAGGTTAGCTTTGTTCTCCTGGGGTTTTTCGTTTATTTTTTTAAGTCCTAAAATGTCTCTGTGGTTTGTTTTTCATTTGGAAAATGGAAATGGCATCTCATGCAGTGCAAATGCACAGAACACCTCCTGAGTGTCAGTTACTGTGGTGTGAGCCGAGGATTCTTAAGAAGTCTCTCAACAACTATCGCAGATAGGTACATTCCCATTTTAATGAGGCTCAGATAAGTTAGCACTACCAAGCCTGCGTGATTCCGAACTGGGCACTCAAACATCATGCTGGTGGGATACTGGGATATTTGTAAGATGCATGAGAAGCCTTAGGTGCACTCATATCTTGCTAGGTCTTCTGTTCTTCCTCTTTTCCCTTCATTATAGTTGCTTTATCTCCCCAGAATCTTGTTTCTTCGGCCATCTTAGCACATCCTTCACCCTTACCATATAGTGTTGGCAGCAGAAGGATGACCCACAGAGTAAGAGCCGTGAGAGCAGAGACTGTGTCTGGCTTGATCCTGGGAGGTCACCGTATTGATGCTGAACTTAGTGAGGGGTACCACTGGGTTGCCTAAGGAGGGGTGAACCGGCTCAGGTCAGAAACAGAGCAGGTCAGAACTCCCCTGCTGATCAGTAGTGGGGTCACGCCTGTGAACATAGGCAACTTAGTGCAGCCCTGTCTCTGATTTAATTTAAAAAAAAATTGTTTTGGCCAGATGTGGTGGCTCACACTTGTAATTCCAACACTTTGGGAAGCCAAGGTGGGCCGATTACTGGAGCTCAAGAGTTCGAGGCCAGCCTGGACAACATGGTGAGCACATTTAAAATAGGATTTTGTGCAGAAAGAGATCATTAGAAATTCATATACTGTGCAACAAGAGTACATGTTCTAGAGGGAGACCTGCCCTAATTAATACCCAGGATAGAAAAATAAGTACAGGGTCTCTACTAAAAATACAAAAAAAATTAGCTGACCATGGTGGTGTGTGCCTGTGGTCCCAACTACTTGGGAGGCTGTGGTGGGAGGATAACTTGAGCCTGGGGAGGGTGGGGAGTGATGGCGAAGGTTGCAGTGAGCCAAGATCACATCACTGCACTCCAGCCTGGGCAACAGAGTGAGATCCTGTCTCAAAAAAAAATTTGATGATGATGATGAAAATAATAATGTTGAAAATGAAAGTGGTATAAGCATCATTCATGCGACTGTGATTCCAGGAGGGAGATGCCAGCCCAACTGACCACTGTTTCACATGGCCTCTCTGCTTCCCCAAGCCATGCTGCTTTCTGAGTGTTCCAGCGTGCTGACTCTCAGGGCACTTTTGAGCCACTCATTCATTGAACTAAATTCAGTGACCACTCTTGGATTTGGGGTTGCGATGAAGACGTCTAGCACTTGGAGCATCTCCAGGGTGTCCCACTCCCTGGGATGTCACTGGGCATGGACACCTGGAGTCTCCCTAAATAGTCTATTTACCCCTCACTTGTAACCCAACATCAGCTTCTTTTTGTTCAGTCAGATTCTCCAGCTGAGAGATTTGGGCATTCTCTCTGGGTTCTACGGGTGCTGGTGGCTGAATGAAACGCCCTGATCAAGATCCGGGCTAGACGCTGGCATTGCAGAGCCTGAGCTGTACAGCAGAGTTCCCATATGGTTGGAAGACGAGCCTCAGAGAATTGGGAATGTGTCAGCCAGTCCTACCCAGTGCCAAGTAGCACAGATTTAAAGATTTCTTGATACTCCTAGACAGCTGAGCCGAGATTTTATCATCAGCCACAAACGCAGCCAGCCCATTGCCGCCTTGGCAGCATTTGTGGAATTAATTGGAGCACTGAGCTGACAGGACACCAGTGTGGGAGTATCTAAGAAGTTTCTCTTCAGTGCTTGTGTTGTGTTCTGTGTTGAATTGTGTACCCAAGGTTTCTGGGAGTGAATATTGCCCTCTACTGGGACACTAACATTTTTAATTCAAGCAATCTAGCCAAAAATGTTTCTGTTGACGGCAGTGTTTCTAACATGCTTGGTGGAAATGGAAATATTTGTATTAATGAGGCTGAATATTGAGAGTTATGGGGGGTTTCCCAGTTTCAATGTACTCTTGCCTCCCACCTGCTGTAGGAATGTGAGGGAGTCAAACCTTGTGTGTGTTGTTGGTATTCAAATAATTCACCAGAAACTTTTCCCTGTACTCATTTCTCCCCTGGGCAAGTCTCCCTCTAGAACATGTACTCTTGTTGCATGCTATATACGTTTCTGATGATCTCTTTCTTAGGAAATTCTATTTTAAATGTGCTAATGGAACCTTATTTTAAAGCAAAGTCTCCTTTTCTAAAATCACTCCTAATATAGTTATGATTTGTAATTGTTAGTACTCCAAACCCAAATTTCTCTCTATTGGTAAACCTTATAGTAATCTTATAGTCCATGGGACCTCTAAAATTATTTTAGTGTAATAGAACTAAATGGTGAATAAATTGCCAAAAATTTTACTTTACATTCTACAGGAATTAGCAAGTAAGGCACTTTGTATTTGTTAGGGCAATGGTTTTCCACAGTGACCCACAGTTATAAATCACCTTATAGAGCAATACAACTTACCTGTATGAATTTGTAAATAAGTATTTAGACATACACATAGTAATGAAACAAAACTCTTAACTTGATTTACTTTGTGCAGTACACTTTGATATTTTCTATTCTTTTTGCTTTCTTATTTCCTCCTTCCCTCCCTCTTTATTTATTTATTTATTTATTTTTGAGACACAGTCTCACTCTGTCGCCTAAGCTATGGTACAGTGGTGCAGTCACAGCTCACTGCAACCTCCACCTCCAAGACTCAAGTGATCCTCCCACCTAAGCCTCCCTAGTGGCTAATCCTTCCCTCTTCTTTTTTTTTTTTGAGACGCTCTGTTGCCCAGGCTGGAGTGCAGTGGCACTCACTGCCACCTCCGCCTCCCGGGTTCAAGTGATTCTCCTGCCTTAGCCTCCTGAGTAGCTGGGACTACAGGCGTGTGCTACCACTCCCAGCTAATTTTTTGTATTTTTAGTAGAGATGGAGTTTCACTGCGTTAGCCAGGATGGTCTCAATCTCCTGACCTCGTGATCCACTCACCTCAGCCTCCCAAAGTGCTGGGATTATAGGCATGAGCCACCGTGCCCGGCTCCTCCCTCTTCACGATCCACCAAAATCAGTTATCATCTACTATCCCACAATTTGAAACACTGCATTAGGGGTAAAGGTTTTCAGCTATCTCCACCCCTTCCTTTCTGGTGTGTGTATATGTTTTCTTTTCTTTCTTTTTTAAAGAAATAATGCCAGATAACAGAACAGAAGAAACATAAAGGGCTTAAATTCCCAGCCTTTAGGACAAACAGACCTCTAAGAAGTGCCTTCCATGAGTGACTTACCCTGAGGCACTGTGGGAAAGTCCTTCTCAGTGTACTTGAGAGTGTCATTACAACTCCCCTAATAAAAGTCCCCTACAGAACTACCTCTGCCATGGCTTGGGAATAGCATTACGTAATAATAAATCATATTGTAATAATAAATTTTTATGTATTTATTTTTGAGACAGAGTCTCACTCTGTTGCCCAGGCCAGAGTGCAGTGGCACGATCTTGGCTCACTGCAACCTCCGCCTCCCAGGTTCAAGCAGTTCTCCTGCCTCAGCCTCCCGAGTAGCTGGGATTACAAGCACGCGCCACCACACCCAACTAATTTTGTATTTTTAGTAGAGATGGGGTTTCACCGTGTTGGCCAGGCTAGTTTCGAACTCCTGACCTCAAGTGATCCACCCGCCTCGGCCTCCCAAAGTGCTGGGATTACAGGCATGAGCCACCGCACCCGGCCATAAATATTTATTAAGCACTTAGTGTGATTCAGATAGACTCAGTGCTGTGTGTGCACTGTCTCCTTAAATCCTCACAACCACCCTGTGGGACAGGTAGCATGATTTACCCTGAGTAAAGGAAGGTGAGGCTTACAAGGTCACAAACAGAATGCTTGCTGATTGAGCTGAGTTCTTAGCCACACCTTCATGCCAGTGCTCTTATCAGAACAGCTCCTTTTCTTTTTTTTCTCCTTTTCTTTTTCTTTCTGAGACAGGGTCTTGCTCTGTTGCCCAGGCTGGAGTGCAGTGGTGTGATCTCAGCTTACGAAGCCTCAATCTCCCAGGCTGAAGCAATCCTCCTACCTCAGCCTCCCGAGTAGCTGAGACTACAGGCACACACCACCACTCCCAGCTTATTTTTGTAGAGGTGGGGTTTCACCATGTTGCCCAGGCTGGTCTTGAACTCCTGGGCTTGAGATCCCCTGCCTCAGCCTCCCAAAATACTGGGATTACAGGTGTGAGCCACTGCACCTGGCCTCACTTTTCTTAAGCATGTATTTGAGAATGGTGGAACACTTTGCCCTGCTTTATTCACGTGTGGTTGACAGAAATTCATTGACCTCTTCTGTACCCTGGGCACTTTGCTAGGCACTGGGGATAGACTCAGGAACAACGTGGTCCCATCGCACAACCATCATGCAGTTTGACAGGATGGGGACAGCTTGGCAAGGAGACCCCAGAGGGAGTGGGGCAGGTGGCTGGCCACCCCTGACAGGCTGCCTCCACTCTGGTATGTCCTTGGTCCTCTGCTCCTGTGAGTGCTGTAGAGGGGAGGGGTGGGGAGTGGGGTCCACAAGGGCCAGTTGCCACTGACCATTTGCTCACATACATATATATATATATATATATATATATATATATATATATATATATATATATATATATATATATACATACACATACAAACCCTGAAGGAAGTATTGGCCAGCTCTGTGATAACTAATGCACTTACGAGTCCCTTTATAAGGTCACTAAGGGAGTAGTTTTTCTTTTGCATGGTTGTCCTCATGGGGGCACAAGAGAAGAATTAACATTTCTCTAATATGAGTCAGATTATTCTATTATCCAAAAGAGAGAGTCTAGGAAGTAATTTATTAATTATTATTGAGATGGGGTCTCACTCTGTCACCCAGGCTGGGGTGCAGTGGCAAGATCTTAGCTCACTGCAGCCTCCATCTCCCAGGCTCAAGTTATCCTCCTACTTCAGCCTCCTGAGTAGCTGGGACTACAGGTGCACACTACTGTGCCAGGCTAATTTTTTTTGTATTTTTTTAGTAGAGACAGTGTTTCGCCATGTTCCCCAGGCTGGCGGAACTTCTGAGCTCAGGAGATCCACCCATCTTGGCCTCCCAAAGTGCTGGGATTACAGGCGTGAGCCACCACGCCCAGCCGTTCATTAATTTAAATGAAAAAGAACACATGGAAGGTTCAGAATGATGAAAGTTTTCTGTTTATTTGGGCTCTTGGTTTCTATTCCCCCTGGATCTGCCTATTCTCAGCCTCATATAGCTCACTTGCTGTACGAAGCCTCGCTTCTGAGGTTGTCTCTTTTCCCTACGTTGGCTGAGGCTGCAGAGAAAAACACCTCATGCACTGTTTTGTGCTGGCATTAGTTACCTGAAAACTTTCAAATAACCCTGATCTGCCTGGATGAGATAAACTGAGAGCAAACACTGACTGCCAAGCCCTGGCTACTCAGAGAGGATAGACAGCAGCCACAGCACCCAGGAGCTTATTAGAGATGCAGGCCCAGGGTTCACACTCTGCATTCCAGCAAGACCCCAGGTGATTCAGTGTGTACACTAGAGCTTAAGAAGCGCTGGGCTAGGCCAGTCCCAGCCACCTGTACTCTTCCCAAGTGTGGAGAGAAGCACCCCAGGATGCCGTTTGTTCTTGTCCATTCCCAGTTGCCCGAGGCACATGCCTGTCAGTGGGAGCAAAGGCTCCCTGCTCCCCCGACACCCACCAGCGCTCACTGACTAGCTCATCTGCTTTCCTAAAACTCAAATATACATTTACATAAGTATCTGGGTCGAATTCAACATTTGTCAAAAACAGGCTTATTAGGTTATGGCTGAAACTCAAAGAAGGATACATATTTAAGGTATACAATTTGATACGTTTTGACACGTGTCTACCAGTGAACCCACAGCCACAGTCATGATGATAAACATCTGTCACCCACTGACGTTCTCCATTTCATTCTCTGTGTCCCATCGAATTCTCCCTGCCATCCCTAGGCAATG
Organism: Homo sapiens; assembly: GCF_000001405.40. Lineage (NCBI taxonomy): Eukaryota > Metazoa > Chordata > Mammalia > Primates > Hominidae > Homo > Homo sapiens. Next base: position 107,071,847 of record NC_000006.12, on the reverse strand, counting down.
ACTATCTGCATTCTGTCACTATAGGCAAGCTTGCGTTTTCTAGAATTGTACATACACAAATGGAATCATACACTACGACCTCTTTTTTGTTATTTATTTTGAGATTTATCATGAGTACTTTGTGTACTGTATCAATAATATCTTATTGCTGAGTAATATTCCATTGTATGAATATAACATAGTTTATATACTTGTGGATTTTTCAGAAACGGGGGGTTGTTTCTACTGTCTCACAGTTGCACAGGCCAGAAAGTTCTGGGCCGGCTTTTTCTGGTCTAAGATGTGATTTCAGGCAGTGGTGGAGTTGGCATCAGACAGCCGCTCTCCACAGCCCAGTTCTCAGGTGCCCCGACCATGCATCCCAGATGAGCCTTCCCGAAAAGGGACGCCTGCTCTCCCAAAGGCTGCAGGCTAAAAGGACACACTGCTGCCTTTGGGAGCTACCATAGGTAGGAATCTCTGTCCCTTCCTGAGAGCAGACGAAGGCACGGGTCCATGGGGTGACCTGCCCGTGGCCGGCAGCTGCACAAGCCCGTTGCCTTCCTATGCTCTTCCTCCTGTTTCTTGCAGAGTTCTTGCCCAGTATTGCCAGCATCAGTGTCAGCCCTCTGACGGAAAGGAAGTCCACTGCTGGTGCCCTGTGAGAGCGCAAAGCCTCCCTGGGCCCAGCCTGAGTCTTTTCTCAGGGAATGGGGAGAGCAGCAGGTTTGGGGTGGTGGGGATGCAGGTTTGTATCAGTGGTGCATCCTTGGATGACAGAGTGATTCAGGGTGAGGAATCAGTTTCTTACATGCTCCCAAGGTTGACCTCGGCCTCTGTGTGCTACACAGACCCTTGTTTAGTGTCATAAACCACAGCACCCACCTAACACTCTGGGAAATGATTTTTGTTTTGCAGGCTCTCCTAGCAGGCATGCGGAACCGTGAGAACAGCTCGCCCTGCCAAGGCAATGGTGAGCAGGCCGGCAGGGGCAGGAGCCTGGGCAATGTGTGGCCTGGAGAGGAGGAGCCCTGCAACGATGCCACCACCCCTTCCTACAAGAAGCCTCTGTATGGCATCTCGCACAAGATCATGGAGAAGAAGAATCCTCCCTCGGGGGACCTGCTAAACGTGTACGAGCTCTTTGAGAAGGCAAACGCCAGCAACAGCCCCTCGTCACTGCGGCTCCTGAATGAGCCACAGAAGCGGGACTGTGGCAGCACCGGGGCAGGCACTGACAACGACCCCAACATCTACTTCCTGATCCAGAAGATGTTCTACATGCTGAACACCCTCACGTCCAACATGTCCCAGCTGCACAGCAAGGTGGACCTGCTCTCCCTTGAGGTGAGCCGCATCAAGAAGCAGGTGAGCCCCACTGAGATGGTGGCCAAATTCCAGCCGCCCCCTGAGTACCAGCTCACAGCCGCAGAGCTCAAGCAGATCGTGGACCAGAGCCTGTCAGGGGGGGACCTGGCCTGCCGCTTGCTGGTGCAGCTCTTCCCCGAGCTCTTCAGCGACGTGGACTTCTCCCGGGGCTGCAGTGCCTGTGGCTTTGCGGCCAAGCGCAAGCTGGAGTCGCTGCACCTGCAGCTCATCCGCAACTATGTGGAGGTCTACTACCCCTCGGTGAAGGACACGGCTGTGTGGCAGGCCGAGTGCCTGCCCCAGCTGAACGACTTCTTCAGCCGCTTCTGGGCCCAGCGGGAAATGGAGGACAGCCAGCCCAGCGGCCAGGTCGCCAGCTTCTTTGAGGCAGAGCAGGTGGACCCCGGCCACTTCCTGGACAACAAAGACCAGGAGGAGGCCCTGTCTCTTGACCGGAGCAGCACCATCGCCTCAGACCACGTGGTGGACACGCAGGACCTCACTGAGTTCCTGGACGAAGCCTCCTCACCAGGCGAGTTTGCCGTCTTCCTCCTCCACCGGCTCTTCCCCGAGCTCTTCGACCACCGCAAGCTGGGTGAACAGTACAGCTGCTACGGGGACGGTGGAAAGCAGGAGCTGGACCCGCAGCGGCTGCAGATCATCCGCAACTACACGGAGATCTACTTCCCTGACATGCAGGAGGAGGAGGCCTGGCTGCAGCAGTGTGCCCAGCGCATCAACGACGAGCTCGAGGGCCTGGGGCTGGACGCGGGCAGTGAAGGCGACCCCCCGCGTGATGACTGCTACGACTCCTCCAGTCTGCCCGACGACATCTCAGTGGTCAAGGTGGAGGACAGCTTCGAGGGCGAGCGGCCGGGTCGCCGCTCCAAGAAGATCTGGCTGGTGCCCATCGACTTCGACAAGTTAGAGATCCCCCAGCCTGACTTCGAGGTGCCCGGTGCCGACTGCCTGCTCAGCAAGGAGCAGCTACGCAGCATCTACGAGAGCAGCCTGTCCATCGGCAACTTCGCCTCGCGCCTGCTGGTGCACCTGTTCCCCGAGCTCTTCACGCACGAGAACCTGCGCAAGCAGTACAACTGCAGCGGCTCCCTGGGCAAGAAGCAGCTGGACCCCTCCCGCATCAAGCTCATCCGCCACTACGTGCAGCTGCTCTACCCACGCGCCAAAAACGACCGCGTCTGGACCCTGGAGTTCGTGGGCAAACTGGATGAGCGCTGCCGGCGCCGGGACACGGAGCAAAGGCGCTCCTACCAGCAGCAGCGCAAGGTCCACGTGCCGGGCCCTGAGTGCAGAGACTTGACCAGCTATGCAATCAACCCCGAGAGGTTCCGGGAGGAGTTTGAGGGGCCCCCACTGCCCCCCGAGAGGAGCAGCAAGGACTTTTGCAAGATCCCCTTGGACGAGCTGGTGGTCCCCTCGCCTGACTTCCCGGTGCCTTCTCCCTACCTGCTGTCTGACAAGGAGGTGCGTGAGATCGTGCAGCAGAGCCTCTCCGTGGGCAACTTTGCCGCCCGGCTCCTCGTCCGCCTGTTTCCCGAACTCTTCACCGCCGAGAACCTCCGGCTGCAGTACAACCATTCCGGGGCTTGCAACAAGAAGCAACTGGACCCCACGCGGCTGCGGCTCATCCGCCACTACGTGGAAGCCGTCTACCCGGTGGAGAAGATGGAGGAGGTGTGGCACTACGAATGTATCCCCAGCATCGATGAGAGGTGCCGCCGCCCCAACAGGAAAAAATGCGACATCCTCAAGAAAGCAAAGAAAGTGGAGAAGTGAAGGCCCGTGACCTGCCCAGAGATTCGGGGTCACCAGAGGCTGAGCGATGGGCACCCTTGGGACTGAGCAATACTTGGGAGCACGCCTATGGCATCCACAGACAGGCACCTTATGTCCGTGGGGAGTGGCTTACTACATTTGCACACGTAAACACCCACCCAACCGCAAGAAAGAAGCCTTGAGTTTGGTCTCTTGTACTTACAACTTCTGTCCTATGTGCCCCGGCGGGGCAGCCTGAGTGTGGGGAGAGCAAGCTGTGAGGGCAGGGACCAGAGGTTAGGGGTCCTCTCTCCCTGGTTGTGCCCTCCCCAGCCCCTCACAGCTTATAATGCAAACCCAGCAACTCTCTTGCCCCTCTTCCCATATTTTACATCTTCCATTTTGACCCATTTTTTTTTAATTAAAAAGAAACCCTTAAAAAAAATCATTGGGCTCTTTGGGGGCCATTTTACTTAGAAAAAAATCTCTTTAAAAGTGCCATGTTCGTGCACAGTGGCTAATCATAGCTTCAGGTGGCATGGATACTGATTTTACTGACCTTGTTTTTTACATCTGATTTTGGAAGAGTCAAGATGCCCCTTGGATGGCAGTAGAGGGGATGGAATAGTGCGAAGTCCTTTACGACCACATGCAAGTTTTCCCTTCTGCTCTGGTGCCAGGGAAGGCTTCCGTTCAGCTTGGCCTGTCCTTCAGGCGCGTTGGTAGAATGTTGTGTCACTCTTTAGGCGAGAACACTGGATGATGATGATATGAATGTAGACAGCCGTGGAAACACGTTCGCAGTGTCTCCATCTGAGCCGTGTCCTTCCGCTGCCCCCATTCCTTCTCCATACATGGTTGCTGGTTGGAGGGAGTGGACATGTTTCCTTGGAAAACAGTGCAGGGGCTTTTGGCTTCTTGTTAGATTTAAGGGTGGGCCTCTTTGAGCTCACCATGAACTGTTTACTTTTCCGTGTGTGTATTTGTACAAAATCCAGGTTCCGGGAGCTTTGTGGTGACTTCCCCAGACCTCAGTGTTAGCTACTCCAGGCAGTACTACATCCTCATTCCTCAGGGCGGGCCCAGGTCTGGGCCCCTCTTGGGGATACCATGCATTGGAAGGACACAGGCCATTTTAGATGGGGTACACATGTCCCTTCCCAGGGTCCACTCAGAACTTTCCTCTTGGACTCTCTAGAAGGTCCTGCTGTCCTATACCTGGCCACCCCCTGCCTTGGGGGGCACATGTCTTCGTTCCCTCCCGACTGGGAATGTCAGGCTCCTGCAGGCCAGCTGCATGCTCTCCAGGAGCACCAACTGGGAAATCCCCTGACAGGTAAAGTCCTTTAAAATGATACTTTTACCTACCTAACTCTGGGGGCCAAATGCTTAAGAGGGAAAGGAAACAGTCGAATGCAAACAGTGTGTCATACCAGAGTCCTGGAAAATTTATTGAATCACACAGGGTAGTCATAGAACCCCTGTGGGATGGCTTAATATTTTGCTACTTTAAAATGCAGAGATAACAGAAACAATCTGGATTTTCTTCATTCAGCTGATAAGAACTTCAGTTCCAGTGGCTGTATGACATAATTTTGCCTGTACCCAGGAGCATTTTTTAAAATACAGGATTTTAAAAGCAATGTTAAGTTGCTGATCTAACTAGTAAATTTGCTCCTAAGTGTCATTTACAGATTATTTCTGTTGAAACTGCAAACAGATTTAGAAAGGCACAGGGACTGAATGACTCTCTGTCTTACACAGCTACTCATGCACACACGCACTGCTTACTAAAAGCTGAAGTGAGATGAAGGGGGCCTACACGAATAACAAGTTCAACTTCTTTGTGCCTGGAAAGGAGGGACTGGAGCAGCCAGGAGACTCACTTTCCCCCCTCGCTTGGGCCCTTCTCTATGCCTTAGTCTCTCCAGCACATGCACACAGCATGCACACACACGCACCCTACCCAAAGACAGCTGTGGCCCTCTCCCACCACCTCCCCCTTCCCACCGCTGGTTGTTGGGGGCTGGAGGCGGGAGGTCCCATGGAATTTGTTCTGGTTTCTAGGATGTAAACGAGGACTCCAAGCCATGAATTGCCCTGCTTTCTAGAGGGTGGAATGTTGACCCTGCAACTTTAGAAGCACAATCATTTATTAATAATTTTTTTGAAACTCCCATCTACCCCTGTTAGAGAAATCAACAGGTTCTAGGAATTAAATATGTCTCTTTGTAACCCAGAGCATGTTCAATTTTTGGAAACCGTATTTCAGTGATTTTCTTAATACCTTACATGTGTAGGGCATCTTCCCCCAGAATCTTACAGTCCCTTTCTGTGAAGAGAAGTGGACACACGTGGGAACTCTCACCATCTCTGGACTGTCGTCAGGAAACGCCTGCAGGTCCTTGCCCTGTCTGTATGGTGTCCTCACTTCTCCATCCATACAGGTGGCTCCAGTGGGCATTTTTTTATTTTAAATTTTTTACATGAAGCAATAGAAGTACAAAATACTTATTTTTTCAAAATTTAATGTGTTCCATGAAACCTGTTGGCAGTCGCTTTCCTTCCCCCACATCTAAATTCTTTGGTTTTTAGTTGTTTGTTTTTTGGATTTTTTTTTTTTTTTTTTTGGCCTTGTATCCCAAGGACTAAAAGATTAGCACAGACACGTTTTGATGTTGAATGAACTAGTAAGTCACAGTAGGTGGTAGTCTTCATTGATTTCTCTGTAAGTTTTTAAAGAATGTATGAAGATAGTCACGAATGTACTGAGTGTTCGCATCCCCCTTCAGTTCACCTTGGCTGTGTCTACAGGACAACAAATGTTTGACAGGGAATAAAGTCGTGTCTGGTGTCATTTGCGCTAGCGTGCCCCTCCCCTTTCGGTGTTGGCTCCAAACCTTCCTTTCCTTTTATGTTTGTGGGGAGTGGGGAACCACATCAGCAGCAATCATCAACCAACCAACCAATGGGATCTACTTAGTGGTGAATAGATTGGCTATTTAATTGGTAAAAGTTGCTGGTCTGACCACACCACAGCATGACCACTGGGTTCATTTAGAGATGGCCTCCGTTTCCAACGTTCCCCACAAATGTTTGCTTCTTTCCCAGTCAAGAGGGGATCTCGAGACTCCCGAGTGGAGGTCGTGAGCTTGCACCCCGCCTGGCTGTGTAGATCGACTGTATAGATACATGAAGTGGGGGTGAGGGCCAAGGGGCTATTACTGCTGTTGGGAAATACTTGCCTCTCGTAGATCCAGCCTTAATGTTTTTCTGACATCCTAGTAATAGCAGACCCTGCACAAAGTGGATATCAGACTTAATACTGTGAGGAGACAAAATAATGAGAATAGTTTTACCAAAGATAATGAAATCTCGCATCATGTCTGCATTTTACCATAGATTGGAGTGCATCCTTAGGAAACTGAATGTAACAAAAACCCAGGACATTTTTGGAAATTGTATGCTCTCTAGCAACTTTGTGTGAATTTTTATACAAACACTGTTTTATGAGTTATATAAAATGTTATAAAAATAGAAAAACATGGTCTCGTAACATGTTATTTTCTTAGAGCACTGGTCTCTCAGAATATGTCTTGGTCTATTTGTCTTTGTGCGTGGCCTCCTCACCCACCTCCCAGGGAAGAACGTGAATATTCCGGGGGATTTCAGCTTCTGGGGCTTCCATACTCTACGTGTCAGGGGTACAGCTCATAGGATTTCAGTTTGGCCACAGCTGAATGAATGAGAAATTGCCAGATAAATCCTCCAAACCATTTCTCCACAAACCACTTCCTGGCCATGTAGTGGGAGGCTTGTTTGACCTTTTTTAACCTTTCCTGGTCAGGTGCCAGGCCAGTCCTGCAAAGCCAGCAGAGTTTCATTTTCATTTAACCGCCTTTTTTTTTTTCACTTTGGATCAAATGGGTTTTAGTTTCCCGCCGCCCCAACCCTGCTAGAGTGCAGTGGTATAATCATGGCTCACTGCAGCCTCGACTTCCTGGGCTCAAGTGATCTTCCTGCCACAGACTCCTAAGTAGCTGGGACTACAGGCCCACACTACCATGCCTGGCTAGTTTTATTATTGTAGAGATGTGACCTCACCATGTTACCCAGGCTGGTTTCAAACCACTGGCCTCAAGTAATCCTCCCACCTCAACCCCCAAAAGTATTGGGATTACTGGTGTGAGCCACTGTGCCCGGCCTCATGTATTATTATTTGTAAAAAGGGATGTTTTCCCTCACCTTCTCTTCTCTTTGGCTAATTATAAATCATTAAACTTAATATTTTATAGTAATAATTAGGCCAGGTGCGTTGGCTAACACCTGTAATCCTAACACTTTGGGAGGCCAAGGTGGGTGGATCACCTGAAGTCAGGAGTTTGAGACCAGCCTGGCCAACATGGTGAAACCCCATCTCTACTAAAAATATAAAAATTAGCCAGGCATGGTGGTGCATGCCTGTAATCTCAGCTACTCGGGAGGCTGAGGTGGGAGAATCGCTTGGACGTGGGAGGCAAAGTTGCAGTGAGCCGAGATCATGCCACTGTACTCCAGCCTGGGCAACAGAAACTCTGTCTCAAGGAAAAAAATATATATATTTATATATTTTTAAATATATATAATATTATACATTAGATGTAATATATTTATATATATATAACATATAGAGTAAAAATTCTATCTCAAGATGTCAGAGAAACTTCCTTGGCCCAGGGATCAGAAGATATAAAGTAGTTGGTGGCTCGTGATTGAAACACTTACTACAGTGAGTATTTGCTTATTTGATAGCCTTGAAATCTATACAGCCAGCACATCTGTGCTGTAAACCTTCTCAGCAGGTGTGCCTTGGTTGGGTGCTGGACCTGAACCTCCAAATGCTAAATCCACTAGCCAGTTTAAGCAAGAAGTGAGGAAAAGCTAAATTCTTTGAGACTCTTGTGGCTGTGGGTATCTTTGTCTTCTTCCAAAAAGAACATTCACAGAGTATTTCAGTGAGAGTATACTTGTAAGATCTAGTTCTCAGAAATAATAACTCGACACCAGATTATCATGATCATTGGAATGGTGAAATGCAGTGGACTCTAAGGAGCTTTCAGATAAGTCTGGAATATCTGGGCCGGCGTGGTGGCTCACACCTGTAATCTCAGCACTTTGGGAGGCCGAGGCGGGAGGATCACTTGAGGTCAGGAGTTCGATGCCATCCTGGCCAGCATGGTAAAACCCCGTCTCTACTGAAAATACCAAAATTGGCTGGGTGTGGTTGTGAGCACCTGTGGTCCCAGCTACTTAGGAGGCTGAGGCAGGAGAACTGCTTGCACCTGGGAGGTGGATGTTGCAGTGAGCCGAGATCACACCACTGCACTCCAGCCTGGGCGACAGAGTGAGACTCCATCTCAAAAAAAGAAAAAAAAAATTTGGAATATCTGGCCAGTGGTGGAGAAAGGAAAGAACAAGCATTGCTTCTGACTGGGATGGCACCAACATTCCTTGAGTATATTGTATGTGCCAGACACTGCTAAGAATGGAACCTGGGCAACGTGTTATCCTTTCAAAAGCCTTGTGAGGTAAGTACCATAATTATGCCTTGTTAACAGGTAAGAAAGCTAGGGACGCAAATGGTGTCTACATTATCTCATTTGCTTCTCATAAAAACTCATTGCTGTGGTCACTGTTATTAACTCAGTTTTGTGGTAAGGAGAGAAGTTGGTTTCTTGCTCAAGTTCACACAACTGGAAATTGGCGGTGCCAGGATTTGAGCCCAAGTTGGCCTCTGATTTCCATCATACCCAAGCCACAATACACAAGACTCAGATCCTAAAACAATTGCAAGTCAGCAGTGGTGTCTATCACTCCCATCCTCTAAGCCCCAGTGTGTCTGATCTTAGATATAGGAGTGCTTGTTTTAGAATTAAGCTTCAATGACAGAGCCTTGGGAGCTAATGAATGTAAATAATAGAATTAGGGTGGGCGCGGTGGCTCACTCTTGTAATCCCAGCACTTTAGGGGGCCAAAGTGGGTGGATCACCTGAGGTCAGGAGTTGAGACCAGCTTGGCCAACATGGTAAAACCCCACCTCTACTAAAAATACAAAAATTAGCTGGGCATGGTGGCGCATGCCCGTAATCCCAGCTACTCGGGAAGCTGAGGCAGGAGAATCGTTCGAACCCGGGAGGCAGAGGTTGCAGTGAGCCGAAATGGCGCCACTGCACTCCAGCCTGGGCGACAGAGTGAGATCTTTTCTCAAAAAATGAAACAAACACAAAAAACTTATCTGGGCATGGTGGCGTGCACCTGTAATCCCAGCAACTGAGGAGGCTGAGTCAGGAGAATTGCTTGAACCCAGGAGACAGAAGTTGCAGTGAACTGAGATCAAGCCACTGCACTCCAGCCTGGGTGACAGAGTGAGACTGTCTCTAAATAAATAAAATAAAATAATAGAATCAAGCTAATTCTAAATAATTATAGCAATTGTGAACTTTTTTTTTTTTTAAGAATGTGAAAGTAACTGCCGTAGATCAGGTTCCCTAGGAGCAGAGGCAGAGACTGAGATTCTTAGGCCATTAATTGAGGGCGTGCTGTCAGGAGACAGGACTCAGGAAAGGAAGAGAACCGGGGAAGGCGAGAACCAAGATTGTGGTCTCCAATGCAGTCTAGCCACACTCTCCTCCATGAGGAAGCCCTGCAATGTGAATTGTATGGCAGAATTAGTTCTGGTTGAGGCAAAGGGGCTGCTGGTGGGTTGTTGTCCGAGGTCTTCCCTGGGAAAGGGGTAGTGTCCCTGTCCCTCTGGCCAGGACAAGGCTCCAGAGGTGCCGCTGTGGTGGTTAGCAGTCAGCCCTCAGCAGCCAGGGCGTGGGTGCTCTGGTAAAGGGGTTTGGGTGGGATTCTGTCTGCATCCACTGCTGCAGTGGGTCTCAAGAGTTTACCTGCATCAGAATCACCAAGGAACAAGTTAAAACAGATCGCCGTGAACCACCCGCAGAGATTCTGATGCAGAGGGTCTGGGGTGGGGCCCAAGAATTTGCATGTCTAACAAGTTCTCAGGTGATGCTGGCGCTGCTTGTCCTGGAACCGCAGGGGAGGACCAAGGCACTATAGGTATCTTCCCAAAATGTGCTGTGTGTGGTAGAGAAACTGAAAGGTTAGCATTTTCCTGGGTATTAGCAACAGATCTGAGTTGAAATCTGTGGTTTCCTGTTGTATTCAAATAAAACTGACTGCTGCTTTAACTAAATCTTTAGCTTAGGAAACTAAATCTTAGCTTTCAGGCCGGTGGGAAGAGGCCGGTTTACTAATGCTTCACCATCAGGGCTTATGGGCACTGGCCACATACAGCACTTGACAGAACGTTTCTTCACAGGGAAGGCTGTCTGTTGATTTTGGGGATTAAGAATTCATTTGTTCTTCTAAACAGTCTTTGTATTCCTGATGGTGAACTGTGTTCCTAATAGAGGTTGAGAGCGTGTAACGCTACAGCCTGTCCTTCCAGGAGCTCCTACAGTGTGACTCTTGTGGATTCAGAAGTGGCCACGGGTCCTGAAATCAGAGTTCTGTTTCTAATAATAGCTCCCATTTTTGAGCACCTGTATTGGGTCAGGGATGTTGCTGGGAACTTGATATATGCCATTTCATTTAATCCTTACAGAAACCCATTTTATAGATGGGGAAATGGATGCTTCCAGAGTTAAATATCTTGGCCAAGGTCAAATAGCTGGCAGAGCTGGGGCTTCTAACGAAGGCCAGGCTGACTCCAAAGTTTGTGCTCTTCAACTCTCTGCTGCCACTTATGTAGCTGTGCCAAGTAAATCAATTTCTCTGTCTCTCTGCCTAGTGGTTCCTGTGATTTAACTTGGGGTTTTGCTGACTGTCCACTATTTCTGGGCTTCTGGATCGCCCTGGTGAGAGAGTATAACCCAGGAAACCGGCCGGGTGCAGGGGCTCACGCCTGCAATCCCAGCACTTTGGGAGGCTGAGGCAGGTGGATTACCTGAGGTCAGGAGTTCGAGACCAGCCTGGCCAACATAGTGAACCCTCATCTCTACTAAAAATACAAAAAATTAGCTGGGCATGGTGGTAGGTGCCTGTAATTCCAGCTACTTGGGAGGCTGAGGCAGGAGAATCGCTTGAACCTGGGAGTTGGAGGTTGCAGTGAGCCGAGATTGCGCCATTGCACTCCAGACTGGGCCACAAGAGCGAAACTCTGTCTCAAAAAACAAAAAGTAAACCCCCCCCCCCAAAACCAGGAAACCTTTCAAAGCCACAGAAAATAGACTAAGGAATGCAGTAAGAATATCTCTGCCTCTAAGGCAGTTGATTCATTCAGCAAATACGTTTGGAGGACCAGCTATCTGCTGGGCAGTGATCCATAATTCTAACAAGTCCCAACCTCGTGAGTTGGTAGTTAAGAAGTTGGCCAGGCATGGTAGCTCATGCCTGTAATCCCAGCACTTTGGGAGGCCGAGACGGGCGGATCACCTGAGGTCAGGAGTTCAAGACCAGCCTGGCCAACATGGTGAAACCCCGTCTCTACTAAAAAATACAAAAATTAGCTAGGCATGGTTGCAGGCGCCTTAATCTCAGCTACTTGGGAGGCAGAGGCAGGAGAATCGTTTGAACCCGGGAGGCCGAGATTGCAGTGAGCCGAGATCGAGCCATTGTACTCAAGCCTGGGGCACAAGAGCGAGACTTCTCCCAGAAAAAAAAAAAAAAGTCCATTTGAGCTTGAAGAGAAGGTTTTGGTAGTAAACAACACAAAACCTGACATCTCTTACCTGAAGCCAATTTTCAACATGTACGAGGATAGAACCAGACTGGGAAGCTTGGCTCCTCCTCACAGTGCAGACAGCTGAGGCCATCGCAGATGGAATTAGGCTGGGCTCTGGCCTGAGGCACACCTGCGGGACTACAGTATTTCCTGACTCCTGTTTCTCCAGAGACTGAAACATAGTTGCTAAGTGTGCTGTGAGTGCTGACAGCAGAATTCAAGAGCCCTGGTGTTTCTGGTGTGTGTTTCTGGTATAGCTTGTGCTCTTTTTGACACAGGGTATTAGACATGCCTCTCCTCCTTGGTTTTGACAAGCTGAAATCTTAGCCCAGGCACAGTTCCATGCGTAAAGAGGCATATACTTCAGCATAGGTAAGGAAGGCCCTAGTGATGGGTGCCTTCTCCTCAGGTAGTTCATGCTGATTGCATTGCTTACGTCCAAAGAGTTGGCCACTATCATTTCAGCCCCACCTTTCATTTGTCTGTCTTAGAATCAAGAATTAAAGGATTTAAGTAAAATAAGGGTTACTAAAAAAAAAAAAAAATTAAGGGATTTCTCCTACAATCCTAACAAAAATTCTACATGCATTCTGTGAAGAAGCATCTAATAGTGACTCCTCTGAGTGAGACTCCAGAAGAGAGTCCTTACCGGACCTCTAAACAGAAATTCTCCATTTTAGACACCTGTGGTCCGGCCTTGACTGTGGTCTTTAGGATTTCACTTGTCTACCTTAGGGAAGGTCTCATCAACTTTAAGAATAAAGTTGCATTGGCCAGGCGTGGTGGCTCATGACTATAATCCTAGCACTTTGGGAGGACGAGGCGGGTGGATCGCCTGAGGTCAGGAATTCCAGACCAGCCTGGCCAACATGGCGAAACACCATCTCTATTAAAAATATAAAAAATTAGCCAGGCGTGGTGGTGGACCCCTATAATCGCAGCTATTCAGGAGTCTGAGGCAGGAGAATTGCTTGAACCCAGGAGCCAGAGGGTGCAGTGAGCCAAGATCGTACCAAAAGGCAGAAGCAGCAGGCTGTGAGGCTTGTGTGTATAAGAAAGATGTTATGCTGGGCGCGGTGGCTCAGCATCCATACAGAATCCCAGCACTTTGGGAGGCTGAGGCAGGTGGATCATGAGGTCAGGAGTTCGAGACCAGCCTGACCAACATGGTGAAACCCCGTCTCTACTAAAAATACAAAAATTAGCTGGGCGTAGTTGTGCGCACCTGTAATCCCAGCTACTCAGGAGGCTGAGGCAGGAGAATCGCTTGAACCCGGGAGGCAGAGTTGCAGTGAGCTGAGATCATGCCACTGCACTCCAGCCTGGGTGACAGAGCGAGACTTCATGTCAAGAAAAAAAAAAGGAGAAAAAAAAGTTATGAGGAGTTCATGTTAAAAAATAATCTCTTTACGGCTGGGCGCGGTGGCTCAGGCCTGTAATCCCAGCACTTTGGGAGGCTGAGGCGGGTGGATCACGAGGTCAGGAGTTCGAGATCAGCCTGACCAACATGGTTAAACCCCATCTCTACTAAAAATACAAAAAAATAGCTGGGCATGGTGGCGGGCACCTGTAATCCCAGCTACTCAGGAGGCTGAGGCAGGAGAATCATTTGAACCTGGAAGGCGGAGGTTGCAGTGAGCCGAGATCGTGCCATTGCATTCCAGCCTGGGTGACAGGGCAAGACTCTGTCTTGAAAAAAAAAATACAAAAATTAGCTGGGCGTGGTGGCAGTCACTTATAATCCCAGCTACTTGGGAGGCTAAGGCTGGAGAATCCCTTGAGCCCAGAAGGCAGAGGTTGTACTGAGCCGAGATCGCACCATTGCACTCCAGCCTGGGTGACAAGAGTGAAACTCTGTCTCAAAATAATAGTAATATTAATCATCTCTTTACACCTGTATTATACTGGCAAAAATTAGAAAGCTGAGTAATGCCAGGGGCTGAGGTGATGGGTCTAAGGCACTCTCCTGTGGGAAAGCAGCCAGTGCAGCCATTCTGGTGGATAGAAGTGCTATGTTATTTGTCGAGAGGAGAACTGGGTACAGTTTGGGACAGTGTCACTGGGAGCATGGGTAAGCAAAGTGCATGGTGGATGCACTTTGGTCTTTATCCTGCAGCAGTGAGAAGCAGTGGATTCAATGTACCCATAATGCCATGAATGGATCTTAAAAAACATCCTGAACATGCAAGAGGAAATATAATAATGCCATTTGTAAAATTTAAAATATATGGACAGAACAGCAAAATATGTTTTACAGGAGCATACACCATCACCCCGAACTGAAATGTTTTCTTCCAGTTTCTTTCTTTTCTTTTCTTTTCTTTTTTTTTGAGACAGAGTTTCACTCTTGTTGCCCAGGCTGGAGTACAATGGCACGATCTCGGCTCACTGCAACCTCCGCCTCCCGGGTTCAAGCGATTCTCCTGCTTCAGCCTCCCGAGTAGCTGGGATTACAGGCGTGCGCCACCATGCCCGGCGAATTTTTTTGTATTTTTAGTAGAGATGGGGGTTTCTCTATGTTGGTCAGGCTGGTCTTGAACTCCCGACCTTAGGTGATCTGCCTGCCTCTGCCTCCCAAAGTGCTGGGATTACAGGTGTGAGCCATTGCACCCGGCACTTCCAGTTTCTTGAAAGCCAGTAATGTTTCTATCTCCTCCCCAACGACTATTGCCCAAATAAACCATGACTTTAAAATTATCCCCCAGGCCGGGCGCGGTGGCTCACACCTGTAATCCCAGCACTTTGGGAGGCCGAGGCGGGCAGATCATGAGGTCAGGAGATTGAGACCATCCTGGCCAACATGCTGAAACCCCGTCTCTACTAAAAATACAAAAATTTAGTCAGGACTTGGAACATCTTTATGAAACAGAGAAACATGAAAGCAATTCATAAAGATTTATGGAGCTCTTGGAACTCATTACTAGACCCAAATGATAACTGCCTTTTAATGTGGTCCTGGCAAGGCTTCCTCAGTGAAAAATGTGACCAACATATGAAAAGATTAAAGAAAAAAATGTCTAATGCAGTGGTTCTCAACTGGAGATGATTTTTCCTGCTGGGGAAGTTTGGCAATATCTGGAGATATTTTTGGTGGTCATGACTGAAGAGGTGCTGTGGGCCTCGTGTAGGTAGAGGCCAGGCATGCTGCTGAACACCCTCCAATATACAGGACAGCAAATACCTATCTGACTTAAAATGTCAATAGTGCTGAGGTTGAGGAACCCTGTTCTAATTAGGGTGACAAGGAAGAATTGTGTTTTTGTTTTGTTTTTTGAGATGGAGATTCGCTCTTGTTGCTCAGGCTGGAGTGCAGTGGCATGATCTCTGCTCACTGCAAACTCTCCCTCCCGGGTTCAAGTGATTCTCCTGCCTCAGCCTCCTGAGTAGTTGAGATTACAGGTGCCCGCCACCACACCCAGCTATTTTTTTGTATTTTTAGTAGAGACGGGGTTTCATCATATTGGCCAGGCTGGTCTCAAACTCCTGACCTCAGGATCACCCTGATCCACCCGCCTTGGCCTGCCAAAGTACAGGAATTACAGGAGTGAGCAACTGTGCCCAGCCAGAAATTTTCTTTTTTTTTTTTTGACGGAGTCTTGCTCTGTCACCAGGCTGGAGAGCAGTGGTATAATCTGGGGTCACTGCAACCTCCGCCTCCCGGTTTCAAGTGATTCTCCTGCCTCAGCCTCCTGAGTAGCTGGGACTATAGGCACGTGCCACTATGCCCAACTAGTTTTTGTATTTTCAGTAGAGACCGGGTTTCACCATGTTGGCCAGGATTGTCTTGACCTCTTGACCTCATGATCTGCCCGCCTCAGCCTCCCAAAGTGCTGGGATTACAGGCCTGAGCCACTGTGCTCGACCCCAAATTGTTTTTTTTAATCTAAGATATAGTTCTTGCTTTCCCAGGAAAGTCTGAAAATATTGCTAGTGTCTGCAGTTTTTAAAGGATGAAACAATTTAAAGTTATGACTTTTGGAAGAGGACTATCCAGCCAGCTCTTCTTCTTCTTTTTTTTTTTTTTTTTTTTTTTGAGACGGAGTCTCGCTCTGTCGCCCAGGCTGGAGTGCAGTGGCGCAATCTCGGCTCACTGCCAGCTCTGCCTCCTTGGTTCACACCATTCTCCTGCCTCAGCCTCCCAAGTAGCTGGGACTACAGGCGCCCGCCACCACGCCCAGCTTTTTTTTTTTTTTTTGTATTTTTAGTAGAGATGGGGTTTCACCGTGTTATCCAGGATGGTCTCGATCTCCTGACCTCGTGATCCGCCCGCCTTGGCCTCCCAAAGTGCTGGGATTACAGGCGTGAGCCACTGCACCTGACCCCAGCCAGCTCTTTTACCAGTAACGGTAATCCTTTCAAAAGAAACAGATCTCCTGTAGGAAACATGGTGCTAACTGCATTTCCCTGCCAAACAGCATTTACTATAACTTGTTAGCTTGAAAGTAGGGAAAAATAAAAAGATAATAAAAAAATTTTTTTAAAATAGCATTTACTAGTTTCCCTGGAAATTTACATAGATGGGTAGGCAATAGTTTATTATTTTTAACATTTTTTTTAAAGTAGACATTTGGGGGATAATATTATTTTATTCATTTTTAAAAAAATTTTTATTTTTTTTGAGACAGAGTCTCGCTCTGTCACCAGGCTGGAGTGCAGTGGCGTGATCTCTGCTCACTGCAACCTCTGCCTCCTGGGGTCAAGCGATTCCCCTGCCTCTGCCTCCTGAATAGCTGGGACTACAGGCGCCCGCCACCACACCTGGCTAATTGTTTTTTTGTGTTTTAGTAGAGACGGGGTTTCACCATGTTGGCCAGGATGGTCTTGATCTCCTGACCTTGTGATCTGCCCGCCTTGGCCTCCCAAAGTGCTGGGATTACAGGCGTGAGCCTCTGCACCTAGCCCCCTTTTTTTTTTTTTGAGATGGAGTCTTGCTCTTGTCGCCCAGGCTGGAGTGCAATGGCACCGTCTCGGCTCATTGCAACCTCCACCTCCCGGGTTCAAGCGATTCTCCTGCCTCAGCCTCCCGAGTAGCTGGGATTACAGGCACCCGCCACCATGCCTGGCTAATTTTTGTATTTTTAGTAGAGATGGGTTTTCACCATGTTGGCCAGGCTGGTCTCGAACTCCTGACCTCAGGCTATCCACCCGCCTTGGCCTCCCAAAGTGCTGGGATTACAGGCATGACCCACCATGCCCTGCCATTTTTTTGATTTTTAATAGAGATGAGGTTTCACTGTGTTAGTCAGGCTGGTCTCGAATTCCTAACCTCAGGTGATCCGCCCACCTCGGCCTCCCAAAGTGCTGTGATTACAGGCATGAACAGTGCCTTTGTTTTTTTTAAAAAACAGAAGGTTTGAATGGGCCAATGAAACCCTCCCAAGCAGCTAAGTTGAGGTACTAATGACCAATAGAACTTCAAAAAGCCTTTCAAATGGCCCTGTTTTCTAGCTACTGTCAATGCATCTTACCTCATACTACTCATTTTAACTTTCTTTTTTGAGACACAAGATAGAACAATCAGTACCTTAGGCCAGGCGCGGTGGCTCACGCCTGTAATCCCAGCACTTTGGGAGGCCGAGGCGGGCGGATCACGAGGTTAGGAGATCGAGACCATCCTGGCTAACATGGTGAAACCCCGTCTCTACTGAAAATACAAAAAATTAGCCAGGCGTGGTGGTGAGTGCCTGTAGTCCCAGCTACTCAGGAGGCTGAGGCAGGAGAATGGCGTGAACCCTGGAGGCGGAGCTTGCAGTGAGCCGAGATCGAGCCACTGCACTCCATCCAGCCTGGGTGACAGAGCGAGACTCCGTCTCAAAAAAAAAAAAAAAAAAGAACAATCAGTACCTTGATCCCCATTTGACCAGTGAGGAAACCAGCTCAGAGAGGTTAAGGTGAAACTATGACCAAGATAACCCAGTGTACTAATGGCAGGACTGGGCCTGAATGCCAGGACCCCTGACATCACTAGATTGTGCTGCCCTCACCAACCAGGGTTTCGTAGATTTTCTGATCACTTTCCAAAGAGAAGTCCAGAGATGGGAAGGAAGGGGGGAGGGGGAAGGTAAAGGGGAGGTGGGAGGAAGGAGAAGATGAGAAAAGATATGGGCATCTAATTTCCTAAATTATAATTCAGACCAGGTGTGGTGGCTCATGCCTGTAATCCCAGCACTTTGGGAGGCTGCGGTGTATGGATCACCTGAGGTCGGGAGTTCAAGACCAGCCTGGCCAGCATGGTGAAACCCTGTCTCTACTAAAAATATAAAAAAATCTGGGGGGCATGGTGGCAGGGGCCTGTAATCCCAGCTACTTGGCAGGCTGAGGCAGGAGAATCTGAACCCAGGTGGTGGAGGTTGCAGTGAGTCGAGATCACACCATTGCACTCCAGCCTGGGTGACAGAGTAAGACCTCGTCTCATTAAAAAAAAAAAAAAAAAAAAAAATCATAAATAACGCGTGGAAATTAAGCTACTATTTTTACTGATGACTCAAGAAAGCCAAATTCACAAATGGTAAAATAGAAAACCCCCCGTTACACTGCATAGTATATATTATTTCTTTCTGAGAGTTTAACTTTTCAAATAAAAATCAATTTTCTTGAGTCTTTTGAAAAACAAGCTGGTAGGCCATGTGCGGTGTCTCACGCCTGCAATCCCAGCACTTTGGGAGGCTGAGGCGGGCAGATCATGAGGTTAAGAGATTGAGACCATCCCGGCCAACAGTGGCAAAACCCTGTCTCTACTAAAAATACAAAAATTAGCTGGACTTGGTAGTGTGTGCCTGTACTCCCAGCTACTTGGGAGGCTGAGGCAGGAGAATCGCTTGAACCCGGGAGGCAGAGGTTGCAGTGAGCCGAGATCACGCCACTGCACTCCAGCCTGGTGACAGAGCAAGAGTCCGTCTCAAAAAAAAAAAGAGAAAGAAAAACAAGCTGGTTAACAGTTCCAGACACATGAGCCCAAACATCCCACTGCTTTGGGCTATAGAAGTTTCTCTTCACTGACAGTTAAGGATTCTCAGGAGTTCCTGGGGGACAAATAAGAGCCCAGATACAGGGTCTTTTTTTTCTTTTTTTTGAGATGGAGTCTTGCTCTTTTTGCCCAGGCTGGAGTGCAGGGGCGCGATCTCTGCTCACTGCAAACTCCGCCTCTCAGGTTCAAGCGATTCTCCTGCCTCAGCCTCCTGAGTAGTTGGGATTATAGGTGCCTGCCACCATGCCCAGCTAATTTTTGTATCTTTAGTAGACATGGGGTTTCACCGTGTTGGCCAGGCTGGTCTCAAATTCCTGACCTCAAGTCTCAGCCTCCCACAGTGTTGGGATTACAGGCGTGAGCCACTGCGCCTGGACCAGCCAGTCTTTTCGATGTGACATAATCTAACAAGTCTCTTATTGGAGGTGATCTCTCCAAGTGCCAGGAAACAGCTCCTGGGAATTTATAGCCTGGCCTACTCATCCGCAAGTCCTTTCTTAGATGACGTACATTATGTGTGTGTCTACCCCGCCACACTACTCTGCTAAGCCTTCATCCATTTTATGACACTTTGAGAATTAGAATTGGTTTTATTCTCTTCATTGATAAAACAGGTATGTTTGCTTTCACCCGAAAATTAAACCCTTACCTATTACTCTAAACTAGGGGTCAAAAAACTTTTTCTGTAAAGGGGTAGATAGTAAATATTTTAGGCTTTGGCCAGGCATAGTGGCTCATGCCTGTAATCCCAGCACTTTAGGAAGCCGAAGTGAGACAGTCACCTGAGCTCAGGAGTTGGAAACAGCCTGGGCAAGAGCGAGAACCCTCCTCTACAAAAATATGGCGTTTTTTTAAGAGAGAGACGAAGTCTCACTATGTTGCCCCAGGCTGGTCTCAAACTCCTGGGATTAAGTGATCCACCTGCCTTGGCCTCCCAAAATGCCGAGTTAGCAGGTGTAAGCCACTGTGCCCCGCCAAAAAATTTAGTTTTTTTAAAGTAAGTATTTTAGGCTTTGTGGGCCACAGAAGGTCTCTGGCTGTGTGTGTGTGTGCATGCGCCTGTGTGTGTGATGTAAAAACCATTCTTGGCTCAAGGGCCATAGAAAAACAAGTCTTTGGCTGCCTTCGTTTATGGACCCCTGCTAAACTAATCATTTCAAATGGGCTCTAACTAGCTGGTTTGAAATTAGCTGGAACAACTTTATTCATCCACACTTGTGAAGACAAATTGAAGGGCACTAAGGCCCCCCGCTGGTAATTCAGAAGGGCAGGGGGAGAAAGGGCTCTCCCAGAGGTTATCCCCTAACATCTGAAGGTACCCTTGACTTTGCTTGGTTTTGTCTAAAGAAACCTGAACCTGGGAAGCTGGCCCCGCTGGACAGGGAACATTTTAAATAAAAACACTAAGACAACAAGGCCAGTTTATTTTACAGTGACTCCTGAGGTAGTTTATGTGGGAAACAGCAGGCAAGCCATTAAAACCCTCTGGGGCTTAGTTCATTCTGCACACGTCTCACTCTGGCAAAGGGGTTCTCACACGAGGAGGTCAAAGGAGCATGGATCAAGGTGGGCAGGGGGTGGAGGTGAGGCAGGCCTTGGGAAGTGTCTCCAGATATGGATCCCAATTTCCACAAAATGGCTCGGCAGATTCCACAAACGCTAAGAGAACTTTATTTTAATAAAAATGTCCTATTTTTCAGGTGACCCCTTCCTTTACCACTAGAAAGCAGCTCTATTGCTAAAAAGCAATCCATTTATTTAGACATTCTCTTCTTAGGCAACTTTAAACTTTTCCACCGCCGTAACACCACTCTGTATTTTTCACTTTCAGTCTTCTCTTCAAACACTTTTTTCAAGAGAATCCGCATAACTGTCTCTGTTCCTGCTTCTTTATCCTCTCCAATGAGAAGATCCAATGTATCTCCCACTTTCACCTGAAAATTAAAAGAAAACAGAGGCTTGGTTACACTTCGGGAAATCCAGGCCAATGCAAACATTACTGCTCTGAGTTTTCACCACATGATCATGACCCAGAGGAGGGGCAGGTGAGTAAAGGCCCTGACCTTAGTCACTGTCACCTATCCCAGTGCCTCAGCGTGAAAGGGAGGGTGAAAGGTCAGGTGCGGTGGCTCACGCCTGTAATCCCAGCACTTTGGGAGGCCAAGCTCGGTGGATCACCTGAGGTCAGGAGTTCGAGACCAGCCTGGCCAACATGGTGAAATCCCGTCTCTACTAAAAATAAAAAAATTAGCTGTGTGTGGTGGTGGGTGCCTGTGATCCCAAATACTCGGAAGGCTGTGGCAGGAGAATCGCTTGGACCCGGGAAGTAGAGGTTGCAGTGAGCCAAGATCATGTCACTGCATGCCAGCCCGGGCGACAGAGGGAGACTCCATCTCAAAAAAACGAAAAAAACGAAAAAAAAAAAAAAAAAAAAAAAAAGAAAGGGAGAGTGCCTCAAATACAAGGGCCTCAATATCAGCCAGTGTCCTTCCTTCAGAACTAGACAACTGGCTGGCTGTGGATAGTCCCTGCGCAGAGTAGCTCAAATACTCACATCTATTGGGTGACTTAAGGAAATATTTGAATGGACACATTTATCTTGGTAACACTGGCAAAAGACAAAGAAAGTGGGGGCAGTCTTAGAGACTGTGTGCACAGTAATTACTACATGCACAGTGAAGACAATTTCCAGTGCAACACTTGCCTCAACTCACTCACAAAGGTAGAATGCCACAGAAAGCAGAGTTGGATGCTGATTCAATGGGTTAAAAGGCTGAGGTCAAACCCATTTTTGCACAGAAAGCAGCTTCAGTTGAGACAGTGCAATGCATGCCCTGGGGCAGTTATGTCAGCTCCAAGGTCAAGGACACTGGTCTGTGCTGAAGGTATGGACAGCCCAAGACAGATACCGGGTCCAGGCAGCTCAGGATCTCAAGGGATCTTTCCAGACACTCAAGAAGGGCCAAACAGGGCCGAGCACAGTGGTTCACACCTGTAATCCCAGCACTTTGGGAGGCCAAGGTGGGTGGACCACCTGAGGTCAGGAGTTCAAGACTGGCCTGACCAACATGGTGAAACCCCGTCTCTACTAAAAATACAAAATTAGCTGAGCATGGTGGCACACACCTGTAATCCCAGCTACTTGAGAGGCTGAGGCAGGAGAATCACTTGAACCCAGGAGGCAGAGGTTGCGGTGAACCAAGATGGCGCCATTGCACTCCAGCCTGGGCGACAAGAGCAAAGCTCTGTCTCAAAAAAAAAAAAAAAAAAGAAGGGCCGGCTGGGCACGGTGGCTCAAGCCTGTAATCCCAGTACTTTGGGAGGCTGAGGTGGGCAGATCATAAGGTCAGGAGATCGAGACCATCCTGGCTAACACGGTGAAACCCCGTCTCTACTAAAAATACAAAAAATTAGCTGGGTGTGGTGGCGGGCGCCTGTAGTTCTAGCTACTCGGGAGGCTGAGACAGAAGAATGGCATGAATCCGGGAGGCGGAGCTTGCAGTGAGCCGAGATCTCGCCACTGCACTCCAGCCTGGGCGACAGAGCGAGACTCCGTCTCCAAAAAAAAAAAAAAAAAAAAAAGAAGGGCCATACAGACCCAGGAGCCACATGCTGCTGCTTCTACTAAAACATAAGCCAGGGATGACTGGGAGCCATCTCATACCCCTCACCACTGCTTCCAGTAGGGGGTGAGCAAGCCCATGTGTGGACCACTGACAGTAAGTGGGCACACATTGCCATTTATAAGGCTACTAGAGGGCTTCTGTTTAAGAAGTATGGTGTCAAATGCTGACTTTTATCTTATTTTACAATTAATGTTCTTTAAGGCAGATACAACTTCAGACTCTGAAACCTTTCAACCTCCCCAGAACAAGCCCATGTCTATTCTCCCACCCACTCAAGACCTCTGCAGGCCCAACAGTCAGTCCACAACATGGGCATGCGCACCTGCTTGCCACAACAGTATACTGGCCAATCCAGGAAACCCACAATAGCTGGATATAAAACTCACAGAGGGGCAGATTTTAAACCATTAACTTCCTCTCCTGTGGGCTGAGAAGCAGAAAGGCTCATACCACAGCTATTGTCAAGACTGTTTCTCCCCTTGGGTTTGAGGGATAGGACAACACAGGTACCTGGGCAGGGGTGGGGGGGTTCCACCCTTCTGTAGTTCTGCTGGTTCAATTTTTTTTTTCTTTTTTTTTTTTTTTTGACATGGAGTCTCACCGTGTCACCAGGCTGGAGTGCAGTGGTGTGATCTCGGCTCACTGCAACCTCCACCTCCCAGTTTCAAGTGATTCTCCTGCCTCAGCCTCCCAAGTAGCTGGGACTACAGGGATGTGCCACCACACCCAGCTAATTTTTGTATTTTTAGTAGAGACAGGGTTTCATCATGTTGGCCAGAATGGTCTTGATCTCTTGACCTCATGATCCACCTGCCTTGGCCTCCCAAAGTGCTGGGATTACAAGTGTGAGCCACCGCGCCCAACCCTGGGTTCAATTTTTTAAAATGACTACTTCAGCCTATGTGGACATTTTAAAAAATCCGTCTAGAAATACAGGCCAGGCGTGGTGGCTCACACCTGTAATCCCAGCACTTTGGGAGGCTGAGGGTGGATCACGAGGTCAGGAGTTCAAGACCAGCCTGGCCAACATGGCGAAACCCCGTCTCTACTAAAAATACAAAAATTATCAGAACGTGATGGTAGGTGCCTGTAATCCCAGGTACTCTGGAGGCTGAAGCAAGAGAATCGCTTGAACCTGGGAGGCAGAGGTTGCAGTGAGCCGAGATCGTGCCATTGCACTCCAGCCTGGGCAACAAGAGCAAGGCTGTCTCAAAAAAAAGAAATACAAGGCTTGGGAACTCTGCTTTACCTTTTTGGTATAACCTTATTTCATTCAAATTACTATTTTTAAAGAGATGAGGTCTCACATGTTGCTCAGGCTGGAATGCAGTGGCTATTCATAGGCATAATCATAGTGTACTGTAGCCTCAAACTCCTGGGCTCAACGACACTCCCTCCTCAGCCTCCCAAGTGGCTGCGACTACAGACACACACCAACTTGCTCAGCTAAAATTCTTTTTTTGTTTGTTTTCTTTTTTTGAGATGGAGTCTCGCTCTGCTGCCCAGGCTGGAGTGCAATGGCGCGATCTTGGCTCACTGCAAGCTCCACCTCCTGGATTCAAACGATTCTCCTGCCTCAGCCTCCTGAATAGCTGGAATTACAGGAGCCTGCCACCATGCCCGGGTAACTTTCTGTATTTTTAGTAGAGATGGGGTTTCACCATGTTGGCCAGGCTGGTCTCAAACTCCTGGCCTCAAGTGTTCCACCTGCCTTGACCTCCCAAAGTGCTGGGATTACAGGTGTGAGCCACTGTGCCCGGCCTACAATTCATTTTTAATAAGTAATATATGCATATGATACAAAATTTAGAAGATACAAAAGGGTAGACAAAGAAAAGGTGTATAGGCCAGGTGTGGTGTCTCATGCCTGCAATCTCAGAATTTTGGGAGGCCAAGGTGGGTAGATCACTTGAGGTCAGGAGTTTAAGACCAGCCTGGACCACACAGTGAGACCCTGTCTCTATAAAAAATAAAAAATTAACCAGACGTGGTGGTGTGCCTGTCATACCAGCTACTCGGGAGGCTGAGGTGGGAAGATCACTTGAGCCCAGAAGGTCAAGGTTGCAATGAGCTGTGGCTGCACCACCGCACTCCAGCCTGGGTAACCGAGCAAGACACTGTCTCCAAAATAAAATAAAGAAAAAGAAAAAAAAAATATACAAAGAAAAGGATACTCTGTGTATATCCTTTCATAGAGATACTGTGCATGATGTCTGCCTCTGGATAGAGAAGGCTAGTGTGTGGCTAAAGAATGAATCCCTTTGGCGGGGTGTGGTGGCTCACGCCTGTAATCCCAGCACTTTGGGAGGCCGAGGCAGGTGGATCACAAGGTCAGGAGATCGAGACCATCCTGGCTAACACAGTGAAACCCCGTCTCTACTAAAAATACACACACACACACACACACACACACACACACACACACACACACACAAGAATGAATCCCTTTGGAGCTTCCTTGTAGCACAGAGAAGGGGTGCTCCTCCTTTACCCAACTGATCCCAGGAAGAGATGAGTTTAGGAAGGATTCAATCCCCATACTTGGACACCACACACCCACTGTTTAATCAACAGTTACCCAACACCTACCACACCCTGGGCTTCACCTGGTTTTCAGCTCAAAGAAAAGCTTTGCTGAATCGCAGACAGCCAGGGTTAGAGCTGCAGCATCAGACAAGCACCTGACCCTTCGGGGTCAGCAGCCAGGCACAGGCTCCACAGAGCAGACCAGGGAAGGCGAGGCATTCTTTATTCCCCTCCACGGCCCCTGTCCCTCAGCAGACACAAAGCAAAACTGGCTGGGATTAGGAGCTGTTCCAAATATCTACATTTCAAATCTCTAGTTAGCTGCAGTTTCTATGGCTACCAGGCCTCCTAGTAACAAGACAGCTGAGCGTTAATAATGCCCCCTTCCTTTGCTGACCCTCACAAGAAACATGGAAGGCAGCTGAGACAACAGAACACCCAAGGCAGAATGAAGCAGCAGCAATTAGGCTGTAGTTAACAACATCACAAAACGGGGGCGGGTGGGAGGGGTGTGAGGAAAAATAGTCTAGTGGGGTTTGTAAATGAGGCCCCAGCACAGAGACAGGGTGTTCAGGGAGTAATCATTCTTTACTCCAAGAATACATCTTGTTTTTGGAATACTGCAGCTTAGAAGGAGGGCAGGCTACAGCAGGAAAAAGCTATTCAGAGATGAGAAGGGCTTATGACTGCATGTAGCTCACTGAGCAATAGCTGCTGACAGCCAGCCACAGTCCCAGCCTGCCGGTTCAAGTCAGGGGCATCACCAGGGCCCTGGGACTTGGGGGCTGAGACAGCTTGGGGGAGTTTTCCCTCCTTCTGCCCACAGAGCTACAAGAACCTGCATGATCCCAGTTAGCAAGGACTGCAGGAAGCCTCAGTGCTCACCCAAATGCACGGCTGACAGCCGACAGCCTCAATTTCCCATGTCCTAGGGCAACCGGATGTAGTTCGGATCCTCCAACCCCAGGGGTATTTTGAAATATGAAAGATGAAATGAAAACAATCTCCAAAGTATGTCTAACTTCTCTGGAACCTTTGTTCCCTGAACACTGAGTTAGATTATGTCTTCCAATACCTCGTGTCTTGTGTCTTCCACACTTTTTAAGGGTCTCTGTCATAACTTTTTATTGTGTTTTGTTAACTTTTATTATCAGTATTGTTTTTTCCATTATGAAAGTGATACATACTCATGGTAAAAAAATTCAGAAAATAAAAACTATGAAATTAACATAACCCATAATGCTTCAATTAAAGATAAATGCTAGTAACAGCAGTATTTTAATTCCAGATGTATATATATACGTAACTTACTTTTACAAAAAAATATTTTCTAACAGAATTTTTTTTTTTTTTTTGAGACGAAGTCTCGCTCTGTCGCCCAGGCTGGAGTGCAGTGGCACGATCTCGGCTCACTGCAAGCTCCGCCTCCCAGGTTCATGCCATTCTCCTGCCTCAGCCTCCCAAGTAGCTGGGACTACAGGCGCCCACCACCACACCCGGCTAATTTTTTTTTGTATTTTTAGTAGAGATGGGGTTTCACTGTGCTAGCCAGGATGGTCTCGATCTCCTGACCTCGTGATCCACCTGACTCGGCCTCCCAAAGTGCTGGGATTACAGGTGTGAGTCACTGCGCCCAGCCAGAATTTTTTTTTTTGAGACAGGGTCTCACTCTGTCACCCAAACTGGAGTGCATTGGCATGATTATGGCTCACTGCAGCCTTGACCTCCTAGGCTCAGATAATCCTCCCGTCTCAGCCTCCTGAGTAGCTGGGACAAGCGCCTGCCACCACGCCTGGCTAATTTTTTGTATTTTTTGTAGAGACAGTTTTGCCATGTTGCCCAGGCTGGTCTTCAACTCCTGGGCTCAAGCGATCTGCTGGCCTCAGCTCCCAAAGTGCTGGGATTACAAGCATGAGCCACTGTGCCCCAGAATTTTTATATATGATTTATTGTTAGAAAAGTGGAGACTGGAAACACATTTTCTTGTAACTGACTTTCACTTAACAACAGTATTGATATGGACTTGTCAGAAAATACAGAACACATCCTTTTCTATAACTGCTCTGCACACAAAGCCGTGCATCCAGCAAGCACTCACTGGGTACTGCTGAGCTGTATAGAATTACACATCTGCTCAGATACCACTGGCCAAAGAACAATTCTACGTGGATCAAATGTTTCTTTGAAATCTGATTATGAGGATTCCATGAGGGCTAACATTAATGACCTGGAAGTTTAATTAATGGATTTCTGCCAGTTCTAACAGTGGTGTATTCTAAAATTTTAAAAGGGAGAAGCTTCATCAGAAGATCATTAAGGCTGCAAAAGTGAAAGTGCCTGTGTGTCTGAAGCCTGTAGCTGATTCCCACCAGCTTGACGTGGAGGACCACAAAGGACCTCAGAGAAAGAAGAGGAGCCAGAGGGAAAATTTGGGACAGCATTAATTGAGTTACTAGCAGAGTAAGAGACGAAAACATCTGGCTGTCATTTTAGGTTAGTATCTCACCGTTCTGCTTTTCTTCCATAATTTTTCCTCATTCAGCCTGAGTTCACCTTTGTAGAAAGCATCTTCCACTTTGCTACAAAACAAAAAAAAGCAACAATGTACACAATTTGGGTGATGGGTACACTCAAGCCCAGACTTCATCACTATACAGTATATCCACGTAACAAAACTACACTTGTACCCTCAAATCTATTTTTTTTGTTTGTTTTTTGAGACAAAGTCTCACTCTGTTGCCCAAGCTGGAGTGCAGTGGCGCCATCTCGGCTCACTGCAACCTCCACCTCCTGGGTTCAAGTGATTCTCCTGCCTCAGCCTCCCAGTAGCTGGGACTACAGGCACACATCAACATGCCTAACTTTTGTATTTTTAGTAGAGACAGGGTTTCACTATGTCGGCCAGGCTGGTCTTGAACTCCTGACCTCGTGATCCGCCCGCCTTGGCCTCCCAAAGTGCTGGGATTACAGGCGTGAACCACCGCGTCCGGCCTCAAATCTATTTTTTTTAAAGGTAAAGTGCTTTAAAATATAGAAATATACTCAAAACAATTGCAGTTGACCCTTGGCCAGCACGGGTCCAAACTGTGCAGATCCACTTATATGTGGATTTCCTTTAGCCTCTGCCACCTCTGAGACAGCAAGTCCAACGCCTCCTCTTCCTCCTCTTCCTCAGCCAGGATGAAGACCTTCATGATGATCCACTTCCACTTAATAAATAGTAAATATATTTTCACTTCCTTATGATTTTCTTAATAACATTTTCTTTTCTCTAGCTTACTTTATTGTAACTGTGTATCAGTAAGGCCTTTGGTCAACAGTAGGCTATATTAGTAGTTAAGTTTTCTGAGTGTCAAAATATTAGTAGTTAAGTTTTCTGAGTGTCAAAAGTTATATGTGGCTTTTCAACTGCATGGGGGTTGGCACCCCTAACCCCCACACTGTTCAAGCATCAACTGTATACAAGTTTGAGATAAACACTTGCCATTACTTTTTTTTTTTTTTTGAGATGGAGTCTCGCTCCATTGCCCAGGCTGGAGTGCGGTGGTGTGGTCTCGGCTCACTGCAGCTTCCACCTCCCAAGTTCACGCCATTCTCCTGCCTCAGCCTCCTGAGTAGCTGGGACTACAGGCGCCCGCCACCACGCCTGGGTAATTTTTTTTTGTATTTTTAGTAGAGACGGGGTTTCACCATGTTAGCCAGGATGGTCTCGATCTCCTGACCTCATGATCCGCCCACCTCAGCCTCCCAAAGTGCTGGGATTACAGGCGTGAGCCACCGCACCCGGCCCTCCATTAATGTTTATTCTGACAAGGATTCCCCAGTCTCCATTTTGAGTCCTGGGAAAGTGAAAGTCACCTGCTCTGATGTGTATCTGAAACAGGGAGACCAAAGGGCATTTCTAAATAGATGTTGAACTGCTGCAAAGATTTGCTAGTGCTCTTAGGCAGTTAATTGGAGCCTTAAGAAAGGTTTTAGCATAGATGTCAAGCTCCATTCTGGACAGGGGCCTGGGGTACTCCACCTGACTCCCAGTGCAGAGACTACATGGCCAGGCTGCAGCTCTGGTGATTCACAACAGCCAAAGTGAGTGGGCACTTCCTTCCCCTCAGACACCTGCTCTGTACACTGAGAGAAAAACCAGGCACCACATGTATGGCAAGGCCATTAAGAAACCCTCTGCCAGTTTGTACTGAGGCTGGGGAGATTCCAATCTGACAGCTGCTGATCTCTCTGAACTTAACGCACTAGGGCAACCAGACCGGGGGAGGAAGCAGCTAAAAATCAGTACACCTTTTTTTGATATCTGATTCCAGGTGACTGACATGTGGAGCTTGGCTTAATAACAACAGCAGGAGTTACTACTCTGGGAGAGGAGAGGCCCCCTTATTTGTTTGCCAGAGTTTAGAGAACATTCTCTAATGGCACCCTGATCAGAATGCCAAGGGTGGGGCCTGTGGGCTGGCTCATTTTTATGAACCTTTTTTTTTTTTTTTTTTGAGACGGAGTCCCACTTTGTTGCCCAGGCTGGAGTGCAGTGGTGCGATCTCAGCTCACTGCAAGCTCTGCCTCCTGGGTTCACATCATTCTCCTGCCTCAGCCTCCCAAGTAGCTGGAACCACAGGCGCCTGCCACCACGCCCGGCCAATTTTTTGTATTTTTAGTAGAGACAGGGTTTCACTATGTTAGCCAGGATGCTATCGATCACCTGACCTCGTGATACACCTGCCTTGGCCTCCCAAAGTGCTGGGACTACAGGCGTGAGCCACCACACCCGGCCCTTTTTATGAATCTCTTAAGCTTCAGGGATTAAAAAATTAAACTATGCCATTACATTAGGTCATAAAGGTACAAATTACACAAGAAGTTTTGCTGCATTTATTCATATCACAATTCTTACATTGTATACAATATGCATGCAATCATTCCTAAGGGAATAAATGAACAATGAAGGCCACTATTCTTATATAATTAATCTAGCAGAGAGGGAATCAGAATACTAAAGAAATCTTCGCCAGGCGCGGTGGCTCACGCCTGTAATCCCAGCACTTTGGGAGCGGAGGTGGGTGGATCACGAGGTCAGGAGATCGAGACCATCCTGGCTAACACAGTGAAATCCCGTCTCTACTAAAAAAATACAAAAAAATTAGCCAGGCGTGGTGGTGGGCGCCTGTATTCCCAACTACTCGGGAGGCTGAGGCAGGAGAATGGCGTGAACCCGGGAGGCGGAGCTTGCAGTGAGCCGAGATCGTGCCATGGCACTCCAGCCTGGGCAACAGAGCAAGACTCCGTCTCAAAAAAAGCAAAAAACAAAAAACAAAAAAACCCAGAAATACCTCTATTATATATGAACATATGTAGTATTTTCTTCAAAATAGCCAACATATGTTGAGTACTTACTATGTGCCAGACACTGTAATAAGTGTTTGACATAAATATATAGTCACTCAATCCTAGCAACCACTCTCTAAACTAGGTTCTGTCATCTTCATTTTACAGATGAGAAAACTGAGGGTCAGAAAGTTTAAGTAACTTGCCCAAGGTCACACAGAACCAGGATTGAAACCCCAGTAATCTCACTCCAAAGCCTGCATTCTTTTTTTTTTTTTTTTTTGAGACGGAGTCTTGCTCTGTCGCCCAGGCTGGAGTGCAATGGCGTGATCTCGGCTCACTGCAAGCTCCGCCTCCCGGGTTCCCACCATTCTCCTGCCTCAGCCTCCGAGTAGCTGGGACTACAGGCGCCTGCCACCACGCCTGGCTAATTTTTTGTATTTTTAGTAGAGACGGAGTTTCACCGTGCTAGCCAGGATGGTCTCGATCTCCTGACCTTGTGATCCGCCCGCCTTGGCCTCCCAAAGTGCTCGGATTACAGACATGAGCCACTGCGCCCAGCCAAAGCGTGCATTCTTAACCAACATCTTAGTATACATCATGCTGTTAATTCTAAGAGGTACCTCTTTTTTTTTTTTTCAGATGGAGTCTCACTCTGTTACCCAGGCTGGAGTGCAGTGGCGCGATCTCGGCTCACTGCAACCTCTGCCTCCCGGGTTCAAGTGACTCTCCTGCCTCAGCCTCTCAAGCAGCTGGGACTACAGGCGCCTGCCACCTCGCCCGGCTAATTTTTGTATTTTTAGTAGAGACAGGGTTTCACCATATTGGCCAAGCTGGTCTTGAACTCCTGACCTTGTGATCCGCCCAGCTCAGCCTCTCAAAGTGCTGGGATTACAGGCATGAGTCACCATGCCCAGCTGAGGTACCGTCTCACATTATAGCATTTGTGAAATATCCAGGTACATTTTACGTTTGCTACATACATCTAATATGGTGATTCATTTTCTCCTCAAGAAGCTGTTTTTAAATCAATGGTTCATCTTACAGTCAACTGTGTCTTAGATTCAAATATGGCACATAGGATTTGCAGGCAGTCACTTGACTTCTTTGGAAATCAGTTTGCTCATCTATAAAATGAAATAATTGAAACAGGTTACCTACAAAGGTCCTTTTATTGTGGTTATTCTTCACCATAATATGGGCCAAGTGATTTGTAATGCTATATTAAAATAACATGACTACGAGCGAGTTTATAATGAAATGCGTATCATACTCACTTTCTCCCAATATCTAGCCCCGTCTTCAGGACAACATCATACCGAAAAGACTGAACTGCTTTTTCCAGGTCTTTATAGTTTTTGACTACAGTAGGATCATCCTCAAGCTCCTCTTCCTGCTCACTCATCTCATCATGATGGCTTTCTTCATCAGAGTCCTCTTCATCTACTTTTTGCAGAGACTTTTTAGTAGATTTTGTAGACCTTATATTACTTTTGAGTCTTACGGAAAAAGGAAAAATACATTCTGGAGATAGTAAAAGCCCTGGGAGTCTCAGTGAGAAAATATTATAAAAAAGTGTTTTATAATTTGGTGCACGTAACTTGGTACTAGAAAAATACAAGTATCGATTCCAGGAAGTACAGAGTTTGTATGATGAAGGTGTCCCTCGGAGAACACCCCAGAGTCCAATCCAGGCATCTGGCTTTCTTAAAACACCGGCAAGCAATTTAACACTAGCCATAGCCATGGCGCTTATAATCTGAAACAGATAATAAATCAGTTTTATCTCACAAGTGCAGTGTCATGACATTATTACAACATAAACCATATGCACTATGAACGCTTTATGTACAGTACTATACGTATTCGCCCCTAAAAAGTCCTATTGGGCCTGGCGCAGTGGTTCACGCCTGTAATCTCAGCACTTTGGGAGGCTGAGGTGGGTGGATCACCTGAGGTCAGGAGTACAAGACCAGCCTGGCCAACATGGCAAAACCCCATCTCTACTAAAAATACAAAAATTAGCCGGGTGTGGTGGCAGGCGCCTGTAATCCCAGCTACTCGGGAGGCTGAGGCAGGAGAATCACTTGAACCCAGGAGGCAGAGGTTGCAGTGAGCTGAGATCACGCCACTGCACTCCAGCCCAGGCAACAAGAGAGAAACCACATCCCAAAATTAAAAAAAACCAAAAAACAAAAAAACAAAAACAGGGTCATATCAATCTGCATGTACTAAGGGCCATATACCACAGCACAGTGAATCTTCTAGCTGCAACTAATGTGCTTAGCTCATAGGATTGTCAGGAAGGTCCAATGTGATATGAGTATATGTGAAAGCACTGGTTCTACTCTTCTCCCTCCCACAAATTAGCTTTGGGTACTGATTGCTCCTAAAAAAAATACTAACAATAGTTCTCAATTATGTTTGTTTTTTTATTTATTATTATTTTTTTTGAGATGGAGTTTTGCTCTTGTTGCCCAGGCTGGAGTGCAATGGCGTGATCTCGGCTCACTGCAACCTCCGCCTCCTGGGTTCAAGCTATTTTCCTGCCTCAGCCTCCCCAGTAGCTGTAATTACAGGCATGCACCACCACGTCCAGCTAATTTTGTATTTTTAGTAGAGATGGGGTTTCTACACGGTGGTCAGGCTGGTCTTGAACTCCCAACCTCAGGTGATCCGCCTGCCTTGGCCTCCCAAAGTGCTGGGATTACAGGCGTGAGCCACCACGCCTGCCCTGGTTTTGTTTTTAAAGGAAAATTTGGAGAGAAAGACTGTTGACTGACATACATTACATCCTTACAACATTGACTTTGCCAAGGAAGGACACCAGATCATGACTTCATAAAATCCAGAGTGAATCTCTAAACTTTATTTCAACCTCCAGCCCCAGCAAATCAGAGGTAAGGGTGAGCAAATTGGACAGACCTGCATTTTAACTCCTTTTACATCTCCTTCCCAATGTTTAACAGAGGCATTAACTAGCAGACAAGGAAGGGGTCTAGAGATCCACAAACTAGGGAACTGCAACAAGTGCTTGTGACATGTCAGAGGGCAATCAACTCCTACAGTTACTTCAAATGTAGCAGAAACCATCTTATGATGGTGGCAGACTCACACTCACCCCCACCCCTGCAAGTATATCAAGAAGGTTTTAGAGACCATGATTTGGTAATGAGGGAAGGGTTTCCATATGGTTAACATCCTTGTACCGTGAGTCTGCAAATGACTTTCCTTTGTGCCTAGATTGTACCTTAGGATTGATACCTCTGATTATGGCTCACTCAAAAACATGGAGCTAGCTACTTCCAATTTATATTTAACATTTTGGGCCTTATTTCCCTGGCATGGATGAGCATACGACCCAGTCTCAACTCTATTAATCCACCACTCTTGGGACTCCAATCTAAGTCTTAAAAGGGAAATAAAGCAGACTGAATGTAAAGACTCTGTTTCAACATAACTATAATTTGGAATAATTTTAAAATGCTAGGGTGGGCATGGTGGCTCATGCCTGTAATCCCAGCACTTTGGGAGGCTGAGGCGGGTGGATCTCCTGAGGTCAGGAGTTCAAGACCAGCCTGGCCAACATGATGAAACCCCATCTCTACTAAAAATACAAAAATTAGCCGGGTGTGGTGGCATACGCCTATAATCCCAGCTACTCAGGAGGCTAAGGCAGGAAAATTGCTAGAACCTGGGAGGTAAAGGTTGCAGTGAGCTGAGATTGCACCACTGCACTCCAGCCTGGGCGATAGAGTGAGACTCTGTCTCAAAAATAAAATAAATAAATAAAATGCTATATAATCCAGAGTACTCTAAAATAATGACTAGAAACTACCTGAAGTACCTTCAAGAGAAATGTTGCCAATAATTACTTTTACACATATTCTAGCGTAATAGAGAATGAATAATACCCATTCATAAAAATGCCTTTAAATTTTTTAGATTTAATTTATTTAGTAGAGATGAGGTCTCGCTAATTTTAAATTTTACATAATCAGGCTGGGTACAGGCTCACGCCTGTAATCCCACCACTTTGGAGTCCAAGGAGGGAGGATCACTTGAGGTGAGGAGTTCAAGACCAGCCTGGCCAACGTGGTGAAACCCCATCTCTACTTTTAGTACGAAAATTAGCTGGAGCCAGGCATGGTGGCTCATGCCGGTAATCCCAACACTTTGGGAGGCTGAGGCGGGCAGATCACTTGAGGTCAGGTGCTTGAGACCATCCTGGCCAACATGGTGAAACCCCATCTCTACTCAAAATACAAAAATTAGCCAGGTGTGGTGGCGGGTGCTTGAACCTGGGAGGCAGAGGTTGCAGTGAGCTGAGATCGTGTCACTGCACTCCAGTCTGGGATTTCAGCATTTCCCAGGCTGTATATTTCATTGATTAGTACAATTAAAAAAACTTTTTTTTTAAAGGTAACTAGGCTAGGCGCAGTGGCTCACGCCTGTATCCCAGCACTTTGGGAAGCTGAGGCAGGAGGACTGCTTGAGCCCAGGAGTTTGAGACCAGCCTGGGCAACAGTAAGACTCTATCTCTACAGAAAAAACAAAATTGAGAAAGATACCTCATGGTGGACTCCAAGAAAGATTTCATGCCAAAAGAGTAGGAAGGACATAATCTCAGAATTGAACCACTTTTTTTTTTTTTTTTTGAGACGGAGTCTCACTCTGTCGCCCAGGCTGGAGTACAGTGGCGCGATCTCAGCTCACTGCAAGCTCCGCCTCCTGGGTTCACGCCATTCGCCATTCTCCTGCCTCAGCCTCCCGAGTAGCTGGGACTACAGGTGCCCACCACCACGCCCAACTAATTTTTTTGTATTTTTAGTAGAGACGGGTTTCACCGTGTTAGACAGGATGGTCTCGATCTCCTGACCTCGTGATCTGCCTGCGTCGGCCTCCCAAAGTGCTGGGATTAGAGGCGTGAGTCACCGCACCCAGCCAGAATTAAACAACTTTTTTTGAGATGGAGTTTCGCTCTTGTTTGCCCAGGCTGGAGTGAAACGGCTCGATCTCGGCTCACTGCCTCTGCCTCCTGGGTTCAAGTGATTCTCCTGCCTCAGCCTCCTGAGCAGCTGCGATTACAGGCATGCGCTACCACGTCTGGCTAATTTTGTATTTTTAGTAGAGATGGGGTTTCTCCATATTGGTCAGGCTCGTCTGGAACTCCTGACCTCAGGTGATCTGTCCGCCTCAGCCTCCCAAAGTGCTGAGATTATAGGTGTGAGCCACAGTGCCCGGCCAGAATTAAACTTCTTTAAGATGAATAAATTTTGCATTATAAGAAATCAACTATTGTCATTTATTTTTCTCACTGTGGGTCTAGGAAAACTTTGTCACAGGTTTGTATAGCCACGGCCCAGTGTTGCCAACAGTAGTATATTTGAATATCGGGGCATTAATAATACATTTAAATTAGATGCCCCCCCAAAAGTCATAACTAGGAAAGGTTGAGTATACCCCCTATATGCAATAATATTTTTTCATAAAATTTCTGATTATATGTATATAAAATAAATTTTCATGTAGAAAATTTGAAAAAATATGAAGAAAACTGGACGGGTGTGGTGGTTCACACCTGTAATCCCAGCACTTTGGGAGGCCAAGGCTGGCAGATAACCTGAGGTCAGGAGTTTGAGACCAGCCTGGCCAACATGGTGAAACCCCATCTCTACTAAAAACACAAAAATTAGCCAGGCATGGTGGTGGGTGCCTGTTATCTCAGCTACTCGGGAGGCTGAGGCAGGAGAATCGCTTGAACCCAGGAGGTTGAGGTTGCAGTGAGCCAAGATTGTGCCATTGCACTCCAGCCTGGGCAACAAGAGCGAAACTCCATCTCAAAAAAAGAAAATTAAAACCAGCCATACTCCACTCTATGTTAACCACTGTAAGATTTTGGCATAGATCCTTCACAATGTAAAATCTGAAGAAAAATAATTAACTCATAAGCACAGCCTCTCATACTCTCCCAACCACCCAAAACACACAGGAAGGTTTAGCCATAGGTGGCCAGAGCTCTCTAACATCATCCCCAGGAAGTCTGTGTTGGTCTTAAGTCCTAGAGTCATTATTCAAAGTTTTACTTAGGTGGCTCATGCCTGTAATCCCAGCACTTTGGGAGGCTGAGGTGGACTGATGACCTGAGTTTGGGAGTTTGAGACCAGCCTAACATGGAGAAACCCGGTCTCTGCTAAAAATACAAAATTAGCTGGGCATGGTGGTGCGTGCCTGTAATCCCAGCTACTTGGGAAGCTGCGGCAGGAGAATTGCTTGAACCTGGGAGGCGGAGGTTGCGGTGAGCCGAGATTGTGTCATTGCACTCCAGCCTGGGCAACAAGAGTGAAACTCCATCTCAAAAATAAGAAAAAAAAAAGCACCCTCTGAGGGATGACCTTGTGCAGTTCCCTCATTTTGCAGATGAGTACAAACAAAAGTTGAAGCAATTTAAGAATACGCTAAGTGGCACAGCTAGTAAATGACAGGGCTAGGATCCCAAGGTCAAGTCTTCTTTTTTTTTAAGACGGAGATTCACTCTTGTTGCCCAGGTTGGAGTGCAATGGTGTGATCTCGGTTCACTGCAACCTCCGCCTTCCAGGTTCAAGTGATTCTCCTGCCTCAGCCTCCCTAGTAGCTGGGATTACAGGCATGTGCCACCACGCCTGGCTAATTTTGTATTTTTAGTAGAGACGGGGTTTCTCCATGTTGGTCAGGCTGGTCTTGAACTCCCGACCTCAGGTGATCTGCCCACCTTGGCCTCCCAAAGTGCTAGGATTACAGGCATGAGCCAACGCACCCGACCAAGGTCAAGTCTCCTTAAAGCTCATTGTTTTCACCGTGGGCCAGGCATTGCTCTACACGTTAACTCATTTGTTCCTTGCGACAAGCCCATCTCAGTTATAGGGTCACACAGATACTCTTCAAATCTAGGCATCCGAGCTGCAAAGCCTAGACTCATTACTACCATGCTGAACTGTCCATCAGTGTTCTGACTCCAAGTTAAGCACTCTTTCTTCCACACCCTGACATCTATTTTCCTTTTTTTTTTCTGGAATAAAAACTCACCAACCAGTGCAATACCAGAGAGAACAGATAGTTTTCAGGGGTAGAAGAGTGGGAGGAACTGTTGCCCCAACTTAGAAAATATCCTAAGAGGAGACACCTAGGGAAGGGAAGTAGTCCTGTTTCTGTGTCAGACCCTGGGTGCCCACACTCCCCATCCATAAGTTCTATTTTTATGTTTTTCAGTATCTTTTTTACACTCTTTTCCTGACTTTGAGAAAAGTCCTAGCTTTATACCGTACCGTTGTTTACTTTGAGGAATGCCTAGATATGATGTGGCTCTCTGCTACCTGCATTAGGAAACCTTTCCTTGCAGAAAATAACTATTTAGAATCAGGTGCACTTGTAAATTCAACAAACATACCAAAATGTCAAGCCACGTATTCCCTTGTGTTTATTAGCTACTCACTACCTCTCATTGTGATCAGCTTAACTTTCTAGCAGGCAAACATTGGCAAATGTTGGAAGCTTAGATAAAATTCATTAAAAACATAAAATTGAGGAAACACATTAAGCTAATTCTTGCTGGAGATGATGACCATTTGTAGTTGTTAGCAGTGGGCACTCAGGGTCACAAGGGAGGACCCAGATTCTGCCTCAGAACTTTGTTATTATTATTATTATTTTTGAGACGGAGTCTTGTTCTGTCGCCCAGGCTGGAGTGCATTGGTACAATCTCAGCTCACTGCAAGCTCTGCCTCCCAGGTTCCTGCCATTCTCCTGCCTCAGCCTCCCAAGTAGCTGGGAGTACAGGCACCCGCCACCACGCCCGGCTAATTTTTTGTATCTTTGGTAGAGACGGGGTTTCACCATGTTAGCTAGGATGGTCTTGATCTCCTGACCTCGTGATCTGCCCAGCTCAGCCTCCCAAAGTGCTGGGATTACAGGCGTGAGCCACCGTGCCCGGCCCTGCCTCAGGACTTTGAAACTGGTCAGGGGAGCCCTGAGTTGGAAGTGGGGGTGCCAGAGAAGAAAGCTAACCAGGCACCCAGCTCCTCTCAAGCCAAAGCAGCACTGGAGAATACTGGGTTCCTTATAGCTCACTTGAAAAAAAAAAAAAATCTACTACTGAAAAATTCCTGTCCCTTTGTCATGGTCTCCTCTTCCTCCAGACTCCACACGAGTCACATCCTCCTCTACCAAGCCATGCCCCACATGCCCTTTTCCATACTCTGGTTGCACCAACACTACACATTTTTTTGTTACTTTTGAATTAAGTCACAAATTATCTCCCAAACTCTAAGTGTAGTGATAGGGACTACACAGTGCCCTGTTCTTCACTCCTCTGCTCAGGACATACCAAAACCAGTGAATGGTTGCAGATTCAATTTCTAGAAATGAAATGAGCATCCTGCCCATTACTATAGCCACCCCTACAATCACTCGTTCGCCCACATATGCCAAGTTCCTGGGTAGGCCTTGGTATAAAACACACAGTCCTTGTCACCAGGGAACTGCCATTTAAGTGGAATGTGGACAAGTAAACTGACTGCCAGGGCACAGATGTGAAAGCAGGTCCGGGGAGGCTGAACCCTGCACCAGCTGGAGCGCAGAGCAAGGATGCCTACAAAGTTCTGAGAGCAAAGGTGGCCTGAAACCGAGCTATGGGGAAATATCAAGTTACAACAGTGATTTTTTTGCTTGATAATGGACCAGTCCATTGGCATGCTGTTATTTTTCTCTCATTCAAGGATGAATGAGGATGAGCATTCAAGGATGCTCAGGCATTTTTTTATTTTTTTGAGATGGAGTCTTGCACTGTCACCCGGGCTGGTGTGCAGTGCTCAGCTCACTGCAACCTCCGCCTCCTGGGTTCAAGCAATTCTCCCGCCTCAGCCTCCCCAGTAACTGGGACTACAGGCACACGGCACCACGCCTGGCTAATTTTTGCATCTTTAGCAGAGATGGGGTTTCACTATGTTGGCCAGGCTGGTCTCGAACTCCTAACCTTGTAATCCGCCTGCCTCGGCCTCCCAAAGTGCTGGAATTACAGGCGTGATCCACTGCACCCAGCTCAGGCATTCTTGCTCTGAGCTCCAGCTGATGCAGGGTTCAACCTCCCCTGGACCTGCTTTTACATGTGTGCCCTGGCAGTCAGTTTACTTGCCCACATTCCACTTAAATGGCAGTTCCCTGATGACAAGAATTGCGTGTTTTACCAAGGCCTAGCCAGGCACTTGGCATATGTGAGGAAATGAATCAACGTGGGGGTGGCTATAGTAAAGGAGAGGATGCTGTTACTTTTGTCTCATTCAAAAGCAAGCAATTACACAAACCTCTTGCCTCCACTCCTCCCCAGCTACCACCTCTTTTCTTGCTCCTCTTTACCATAAAACTTCTCAAAACAGTTGTCTAACTCTCCTCAATTCCACTCCTTTCATTTTCTAAATCCAAAAGGTCATGTTAGTCCTCATCTTAATTGACTCCTCAGCAGCACTTGAAAAAACCGATCACGCCTCTCTTCTTCACTTGGTCGCCAAGACACCTTACTCTTGGTTTTCTTCCTGTCTCTCCTGTGGCTGCTGCTTCTCAAGACTCCTCTGCTGGCCGGACACGGTGGCTCATGCCTGTAATCCCAGCACTTTGGGAGGCCGAGGTGGGTGGATCACCTGAGGTCGGGAGTTCGAGACCAGCCTGACCAACATGGAGAAACCCTGTCTCTACTACTAATACAAAAATTAGCTGAATGTGGTGGCACGTGCCTGTAATCCCAGCTACTCAGTAGGATGAGGCACGAGAACCGCTTGAACCCGGGAGGCAGAGGTTGCAGTGAGCTGAGATTGCGCCATTGCACTCCAGCCTGGACAACAAGAGTGAGACGTCTCAAAAAAAAAAAATAGCTGGGCACGATGGCAGGCATCTGTAATCCTAGCTACTCAGGAGGTTGAGGCAGGAGAATCACTTGAACCTGGGAGGCGGAGGCTGCAGTGAGCCGAAGCCATTGCACTCCAGCCTGGGCAACAGGAGCGAAACTCTATCTCAAAAAAAAAAAAAAGAAAAGACTCCTTTGCTGCCTCCTTCTCTTCTCCTTTTTTCTTTTTTTTTCTTTTTTTTTTTTTTGAGACAGGGTCTTCCTCTGTTGCCCAGGCTGGAATGCAGTGGGTGGCGCGATCTTGGCTCACTGCAACCTCTGCCTCCCCAGTTCAAGCCATAGTCTCCCACCTCAGCCTCCAGAGTAGCTGGGATTACAGGCGCCCACCACCACACCCGGCCACTTTTTATATTTTTAGTAGACACAGGGTTTCACCACCTTGGCCAGGCTGGTCTGGAAATCCTGACCTCAAGTGACCCGCCCACCTCAGCCTCCCAAAGTGCTAGGATTACAGGCCTGAGCCACTGTGCCCGGCCCTCCCTGATATCTTAAAGTTGGAGCGGCCCAGGGCTCTATCTTTGGTCCTCTTCTCTTCTACATTCACTTTATCCAGCTCAGCTCTTAAATGTACCCAATTAGTTCTTACAAATGCATTATCAAGACATCAATCATTTCTGTGGCTTTAAATACCACCTATATGCCAACCACACCCTAATCTATATCCCCATTCCAGAACTTTCTCCCAAATTCCAGACTCGTACATCTGTGCAGAAACGAGTTAACATAACAGGCCTGAGACTGCTATCCTTAGAATGCCTGCTTGCAAAGTTGGCCCTTGGCTAGTGTCTCAGAACTTGAACTTCACGAGGGTTCCCACAATTCCCACCTGGATAAGAGTGGCTCACTGTGCTGGAAACTGTACAATGTGATTCTAAA
The DNA here is from genome assembly GCF_000001405.40 of Homo sapiens. NCBI lineage: Eukaryota > Metazoa > Chordata > Mammalia > Primates > Hominidae > Homo > Homo sapiens. The sequence goes on along the minus strand of NC_000006.12, from coordinate 107,030,697 downwards.
CACCTGCTTTTTTTCTGGGCGGCGGAAATTTTGGCACATTCTAGGCAGACAGTGCCTATGTGACTTTTTATTGGAAAAATGAGCTCTACAAGCTTTCCTGATAGATCTCTCACGTCTTGTCATAATTTGATGCTGCAAGAATTAAGCATACCCCATGTGACTCCACTAGGAGAGGACTCTTAGAAGACTGCACCGGGTTTCCTCCAGACTGTGTCCCATGCATCTTTTCCCTTTGCTTATTTTGCTTTGTATCCTTTTGCTATAATAAATCACAGCTGTGAGTATGACTACGTGCTGAGTCTTTTGAGTCCTCTTAGTGAATCAATGAACCTGGGGACCTGCAACACAATAGCTGCCTATTTGACACCTCCACGTGGGCACATAATAAAGTCATTCATACGATGTCACTCCTTTCCTCAAATCCCTACCAAAGCACTCAGAGAACAGCAAAGTCTCTACGATGGTCTAAAGGCTCTATAGGATCTGGTGCTCCCTCAACCCCCATTTCCTCTCCAACCTCATCTGCCAATTTGACTCTTGCAAATTCAGCTTCAGCAACACTGGCATCCTCCCCTTAATTAAGCACTTACCATGTGCCAAGCACTAATCTGGGCACTAGGAATTCAGCAGAGGAAAAAAATACGAAGATTCCTATTCTTGTAGAGTTTATAGTCTAGTAGGGGAAACAGGTAGACAAAAAAAAAAACACCCTGTAAATTATATGATAGCTGGTGGTTAATGCACTGGGGGAAGAAAGTGGAGCAGGGTAAGGGGGATTGAGAGGGCAAGATGAGGTCAGGCAGGTGGCTCACGCCTATAATCCCAGCACTTTGGGAGGCCAAGGCAGGAGACTCGCTTGTGTCCAAGAGTTTGAGATCAGCCTGGGCAACACAGTGAGATCTAAAATAAAAATAGTATGGGCGCGGTGGCTCATGCCTGTAATTCCAGTACTTGGGGAGGCTGAGGCGGGCGGATCACTTGAGGCCAGGAGTTCAAGACCAGCCTGGTCAACATGGTGAAACCTCGTCTCTACTAAAAATACAAAAATTAGCCAAGCGTGGTGGTGCACACCTGTAGTCACAGCTATTTGGGAGGCTGAGGCTGAAGAATCGCTTGAACCTGGGAGGGGGAGGCTGCAGTGAGCCGAGTTCACACCAGTGCATTCTAGCCTCGGCGACAGAGCGAGTGTCAAAAAAAAAAACAACAAAACAGGCCGGGCGCGGTGGCTCACGCCTGTAATCCCAGCACTGTCGGAGGCTTAGGCGTGCGGATCAGGAAGTCAGGAAATCGAGACCATCCTGGCTAACACGGTGAAACCCCGTCTCTACTAAAAATACAAAAAATTAGCCGGGCGTGGTGGCAGGCGCCTGTAGTCCCAGCTACTCGGGAGGCTGAGGCGGGAGAATGGCGTGAACCCGGGAGGCGGAGCTTGCAGTGAGCAGAGATCGCGCCACTGCACTCCAGCCTGGGCGACAGAGCGAGACTGCGTCTCAAAAAAAAAAAAAATAGCCGGGTGTGGCGGTGTGCGCCTGTAGTCCCAGCTGCTGGGGAGGCTGAGGCAGGAGAATGGCGTGAACCTGGGAGGCGGAGCTTGCAGTGAGCCGAGATCCCGCCATTGCACTCCAGCCTGGGCGACAGAGCAAGACTCCGTCTCAAAAAAACAAAACAAAACAAAACAAAACAACACCCTGTGGAATAAAAATTGATCAGGAGGACGGGTGCATTCGAATGAATCAGGAAAAGAACACGCAATGATGGACCCTGGGAAGTGACCTGATGGAAGTTCATTTTAAAAGATCTCTTTGGCGTTGGTGTGGGATGAGTGGAGAGATGATCACGGCAGAATCCCATAGGAGGTTTTGGGTGACATCTTCAGGAGAGGTATACAATCTGAACTAACCGAAGACTGTAAGAAAAGCAGTGTCTGTAAAAAAAGCAGCGCTGACTTTGACCTGCTTGACGCCAGGAAACGCTCCACATTCCTGAGCCCGTTCACCGCTCCGTAAGATGGAGAAACTGGTCTAAACGCTTTGAAGTCTAATGCAGCTAAAGATCCTTCCCTTTACTTGGAGACCTCGGAGGCTGTGGGCTGAGACAGGGTCGGATTCCTCTCGCTCCCTCCCCACCCCCGCGGGCAGTGCACCTTCCTGGGTCCCCAAGGTCAAAGGAAATGGACAACTGCGTCCCCGGGTTCGCAGTCTGCATTCGGAGCCAGCAGGAGCGACAGGAGGCAGGAACGGAAGGCTTCGCCGCGCTCAATTACCACAGTCCCTGCGCAGCCCTGAGCTCGCGGGGCGTCCCGAGGCTGGCAGGACACGGGACACTCACGGGGAGACCCGGCGGGAGCGTGGGCGGGGCGGAGAGGCGAAGTGACAGGGGGCGCGGGCAGGGGGCCCGGCGCGGCGCGCCAGCAGAGGCGCACTCACCTGTACGTCAGGCCCTCTCGTCCCTCCCCGCGGCCGCGCGGACTGCAGGCCTCCAGGCTACCCCTATCTGCGCCCCGCCCCTTCCGCCGGCGCCGGCGCAGTGAGAGCGGGTCGGGCGGGGCGCGAGGCCAGGGCGGCAGCGAAGCAGCGACCCCTGCTGGAGGCCGCGTCTTGGAGGACTGCGCGGGAAGTAGGCTCGGGGCACACCATTCTCCCGGGTTCACGCCATTCTCCTGCCTCAGCCTCCTGAGTAGCTGGGACTACAGGCGCCCACCACCACGCCCGGCTAATTTTTTTGTGTTTTTAGCAGAGACAGGGTTTCACCGTTTTAGCCAGGATGGTCTCGATCTCCCGCCCTCGTGATCCGCTCTCCTCGGCCTCCCAAAGTGCTGGGATTACAGGCGTGAGCCACCGCGCCCGGCCATCTTAATTCTTTTTTCTTTTTTTTTTTTTTTTGAAACCGAGTCTCACTCTTGCCCAGGCTGGAGTGCAGCGGCGTAATCTCAGCTCACTGCGACCTCCGCCTCCCGGGTTCAAGCGATTGTCGTTCCTCAGTCTCCTAAGTAGCTGGGACTACAGGCGTGAGCCACCATGACCGGCTAATCATCTTAATTATTAATGAAGTGATCCTTTCTCTGGGACCACTAACCCCTTTGAACATTTTTTTTTTTGACAGGGTCTCACTCTGTTGCCCGGAGTGCAATGGTGCGATCTCGGCTCACTGCAACCTCTGCTACCCAGGCTCAAGCTGTTCTCCCCACCTCAGCCTCCCCAGTACCTGGGACTCCAGGTGTGTGCCACCACGGCCTGCTAATTTTTGTTTTGTTTTGTTTTGTTTGTAGAGATGGGGTTTCGCCATATTGCCCAGGCTGGGACTCAAGAGAAGCGATCTTCCAGCCTCAGCCTCTTAAAGTGCTGGGATTACAGGTGTAAGCCACCGAGCCCGCCCTCTTTGAACATCTCCAAGAGATATAGGCGTTGTTTCCAGAAAAATGTGCAAATACGTCAGACTCGCAGTTTAAGGAAACATCTTTTCAAGACCAACGCAATTTACACGTGAGCCAATTCCCCTTTCCCTCCCAACCAACTATCCATCCATTCGTCCATCCATCCATCCATCCATCCATCCATCCCTCTCTCATTAGGTCTGTCTGTGGAGAACTCTGACTCATACACCAAACAAGATGTCACCCTGCAACATTCTAACAAAACTTCTAGTCAAAGTCACAGATGACCTCTGCAATGTAAATCCAAAGGTCTGGTCTCATTCCTCAACTTACTTGAGTTATAGGATACCCCATTGGTTTCACCTACCTCACTTGCCACTTAATCTTCTTCCCTGTTTTTTCTTTTGTTTTGTTTTGTTTTTTTGTTTTTGAGAATGAGGCCTGCTCTGGCCCCCAGGCTGGTGTGCAATGGCATGATCTCTGCTCACTGCAACCTTCACTCTCGGGTTCAAGCGATTCTCCTGCCTCAGCCTCCTTAGTAGTTGGGACTACAGGTACGCACCACCATGCCCGGCTAATTTTTGTAGTTTTAATAGAGACAGGGTTTCACCAATATTGGCCAGGCTTGTCTCAAACTCCTGACCTCAAGTGATCCACCTGCCTTGGCATCTCAAAGTGCTGGGATTACAGGCATGAGCCACCACTCCCAGCCAGCTGTTTTTTCATTACATCCTTAGAATGCCAAAGAGTAAGTGCCCCATACTTAGACCTCTAATCTTTTTCCTTTTTATCTATCCTAGTTCCCCAGTCGATCTCCAACAATTTCGTGGCTTTAAATATTATCTATATATGGACGATCCTCAAATTTGTATTGCGAGCCGAGATCATTCTCTTGCATTCAAGACTACAACTGCCTACTTAACATCTTCACTTGGAAATCTAACGGAAATCTCAAACTTGATAGGACCAAAACCCAGATCCGGGTCTCAATGCGTTCCTCCCACAGCATTCCTTATTTCAGTTAATGAGTCTTCCACCCTTCCTGTTACTTAGGTCAGATATCTTAGAGATACACTCAATTTCTCCCTTTCTGTCTCACCTGGGATTAGAGGCGTGCACCACCACACCTAGCTAATTTTTGTATTTTTAGTAGAGATGGGGTTTTACCATGTTGGTCAGGCTGGTCTCAAACTCCTGACCTCAGGTCATCCACCGCCTCAGCCTCCCAAAGTTCTGGGATTATAGGTGTGAGCCACCACGCCTGGCGGCTTACCTTTCTTCAGGCTATCCTCAGGACAATAACCAGAGTGATCCTATTAAATCACAAATCAAATCCTGTCATTACTTAAAATCCTCCTGGGCTGGGCGCGGTGGCTTATACCTGTAACTCCAACACCTTGGGAGGCCGAGGCGGGCAGATCATGAGGTCATGAGTTTGAGACCCGCCTGACCAACATAGTGAAACCCTTTCTCTACTAAAAATACAAAAATTAGCCGGGCGTGGTGGTGTGCGCCTGTAATCCCAGCTACTCAGGAGGCTGAGGCAGGAGAATAACTTGAACCTGGGAGGCGGAGGTTGCATTGAGCCGAGATCGCGCCACTGCACTCCAGCCTGGGTGACAGAGCGAGACTCCATCTCAAACAAACAAACAAACAAACAAACAAAAAACCAAAAACCCAAAACCATCCCAGGCTACCCACCTTATGTTACAGTTAAAGCCAAAATCCTTTCAATGGCTGGTGAGGCCTTCTGCATCTGAACTCACCTACATTGCTGACCTCATCTACACTACTGACCTCATCTCCCACCACCTTCCTCCTCCCTCTCTGGGTTCAGCCATACTTGCCTCCTTGCCATTCCCGGATGAGGTCCCTGGAAACCTCAGATGATGTCTTGCTTTAGGGCTTTTGCACACTTTCTTCCCTCCATCTGGAATCCTCTTCCCTCAGCTGACCACGTGATTTGTTTCCATACTTCCTTCAGGTTTTCACACAAATGTCATTTTCTAAGTGAGGCATTCTCTTAATTATACTATTTTAAATTAACCCCCTACGTGATGGCATGTGTCTCTAGTCCCAGTTACTCAGGACTCTGAGGCAGGAGGATTGCTTGAACCCAGGAGTTTGAGACCAGAAGGATCAAGAGAATATTTTTGATCCAGCCTAAAAAAATTATTAAATGTCCTAAAATTTTTCAATTTTTCTTCACAACACTAATCACTATCTAATATGTTTCCCACTTATTTAACTCTTCTGTCTACTCCCACTAGAATGTGAGCCCTATCAGGGTAAAAATCATGTTTAACGTACTGCTGTATCCAATGCCTAGAACTGTGACTAGCACATAGTAGGTTCTGAATAAATAAGAGTTGTTTGAGAATGGAATAAATCTACATGTACAGAGATATGCACTGCAGCTTTATTTGTATGATACTAAAAAATGAAAACAACCTGATTTTCCATCGGTGTAATTATTTATTTAATTATTTTTTTGAGACAGGGCCTCACTTTGTCACCTAGGCTGGAATACAGTGGTGCCATCTTGGCTTACTGTAGCCTCGAACTCCCAGGCTTAAGCAATCCTCCCACCTCAGCCCTCTAATTGTTGTATTCTTCGTAGAGATGGGGTTTCACCATGTTAGCCAGGCTGATCTCGAACTTCAAGCCTCAGGTGATCTGCCCGCCTTGACCTCCCAAAGTGCTGGGATTACAGGCGTGAGCCACCAGACCTGGCCCCATCAATGTTTTTATTTATTTTTATTTCATTTTATTTAACTTTTGAGTTGGAGTCTCACCCTGTTGCCCAGGCTGGAGTGCAGTGGCCCAATCTCAGCTCACTGCAACCTCTGCCTGCTGGGTTCAAGCAATTCTTCTGCCTCAGCCTCCTGAGTAGCTGGGATTACAGGTGCCCGTCACCATGCCCAGCTAATTTTTGTATTTTTAGTAGAGGCAGGGTTTCACCACGTTGGCCAGGCTAGTCTCCAGTTCCTGACCTCAGGAACAGGCACTCCAGCCTGGGCAACAAGAGGGAAAATCCGTCTAAAAAAAAAAAAAAAAGGCCGAATGCAGTAGCTCACACCTGTAATCCCAGCACTTTGGGAGGCCGAGACGGGCGTATCACGAGGTCAGGAGATTGAGACCATCCTGGCTAACACAGTGAAACCCCATCTCTACTAAAAATACAAAAAATTAGCTGGGCGTGGTGGCGGGCGCCTGTAGTCCCAGCTACTCAGGAGGCTGAGGCAGGAGAATGGCATGAACCCGGGAGGCAGAGCTTGCAGTGAGCCGAGACTGCACCACTGCACTCCAGCCTGGGCGACAGAGCAAGACTCTGTCTCAAAAAAAAAAAAATTTCCAGGGGACAAACTTTCATAAAGTTTTATACATGTTCACGGGAATGTATGCTATATTAAATTAGAAATAAGGCCCAGCGCAGTGGCTCATGCCTGTAATCCCAGCTCTTTGGGAGGCCGAGGTGAGTGGATCACCTGAGGTCAGGAGTTCGGGACCAGCCTGGCCAACATGGCAAAACCCCATCTCTACTAAAAATACAAAAATTAGCCAGGCATGGTGGTGCACACCTGTAGTCCCAGCTACTTTGGAGGCTGAGGCAGGAGAATTGCTTGAACCTGGGAGGCAGAGGTTGCAGTGAGCCGAGACTGTGCCAATGCACTTCCGCCTGGGTGATAGAGCAAGACTCCATCTGACAAAAAATAAATAAATAAATAAAAATAAACCCTCTGTATATCCAGAGGAAAGGAACATCCTTATTTCTGAAGACACACGGACACAGAGAAGATGCTGAACAAAGAGGCCTTGTGGCTGGGCTCGGTGGCTCTTGCCTGTAATTCCAGCCCTTTGGGAGGCCAAGGTGGATGGATCACTTGGGGTCAGGAGTTCAAGACCAGCCTGGCCAACATGGTGAAACCCTATCTCTACTAAAAAAAATATAAAAAATTAGCTGGGTGTGGTGGCACGTGCCTGTAATCCCAGCTACTCCGGAGGCTGAGGCAGGAGAATTGCTTGAACTTGGGAGACAGAGGTTGCAGCGAGCTGAGAGCACACCACTGCACTGTAGCCTGGGTGACAGAAGACTCCATCTAAAAAAAAAAAAGAAAAAAAGAAAAAAAACCCCAACAACAACAACTGAAAAAGAGGCCTTGCTAAATATCCCCCCCAGCATATTACCATTAGATCATACCCCCTTAGTCTATTCATTATGATCTATTTCTTTATCAAATCTAGTATATAACATACACAGGTTGGCTGGGCATGGTGACTCATGCCTGTAATCTCAACCCTTTGGGAGACCAAGGTGGGAGGATCACTTGAGCCCAGGAGTTTGAGATCAGCCCGGGCAACCTAGCAAGACCCCATCTCCATAAAAAGTTAAAAAATTAGCCAGGTCTGGTGGCCAATGCCTGTAGTCCCAGCTATTAGGGAGGCTAAGGCAGGAGGATTGCTTGAGCCCTGGAGGTCAAAGCTGCAGTGAGTTGAGTTTGTGCCACTGCACTCCAGCCTGTGTGGCAGAGTGAGACCCTGTCTCAAAAAACAACAATAACAACAAAACCAAAAAAAAAAAAGTACACAGGTTTACCCTTTTCTTTTCTTTTTTTTTGAGACGGAGTCTCACTCTGTCGCTCAGGTTGGAGTGCAGTGGCACAATCTCGGCTCGCTGCAAGCTCAACCTTCCCAGTTCACACCGTTCTCCTGCCTCAGCCTCCCGAGTAGCTGGGACCACAGGCGCCCACCATCACACCGGGCTAAGTTTTTGTATTTTTAGCAGAGACGGGGTTTCACCGTGTTAGCCAGGATGGTCTCAATTTCCTGACCTCGTGATCTGCCCGCCTCGGCCTCCCAAAGTGCTGGGATCACAGGCATGAGCCACCGCGCCCAGCTGTTGTTTTTCTAAAGATGGGGTTTTGCCATATCGCCCAGGCTCATCTCAAACTTCTGGCCTCAAGTGATCCTCCTGCCTCAGCCTTCCTAGTAGCTGGTATTATAGGCATGAGCCACAACACCCGGACTTATTTTTAATTTTTCAATACAAACACTGAAGACTAAATATTTCCCTCTAAGGACCGCTTAAACTGTACCCCACAAGTGTTTCCAATACTATTGCTTAGACCACAGTTGAGATTGCTGGTGTATATTGGTTTATGGCAAGTAAACTAAATTTGTTGGCACTTACTAATTATAGGTGACTATAATAATCACTTTAGGAAGTGAAGAACCTGCAGGAGATGCTGCTCACTTCCTTCCTTCTACCCATTAGGTAAAGTAAACCTATTGCATATTTTAGTTGTGACTCATTTCCTCAAAGTTGTACAAACCTAATAATGTTCCCTGTTATAAGGATCTTAGAATCAATAAGGATAAAACAATGCCAATGATAAGTAGTGAAGCAAGTGACCCAAAACATGAACAATGAAGATAAACAGTCCCAGCTCCAAGATATTTACTTAAGTAGCAAGGAGTATATCAAGGAAAATGGCAGTTTTCTTCATAAATGTACTTTTATCTTGTTGTCTACCCTTGCCTGAAGGATGAACTAAAAATTATAGCTTACTAGTAAAATGAAAAGGAAGAGCTCTTTGGCCAGAAGTATTTTTGGCTCTTTGAGCCATGTGATTTGGAATGTTCTCAAGGGCAGCTTTTCATGGTTTGTGTAATTATAGTCAAGGCTGGAATCTATAATTTGTTCTAATTTTCCATGAGTATTCCCCTTGCCACCATTCACTTTCTGCTATTCCACAATTTCTAAGATCCATATTTGGGTGTATATAGTGCAGGTAACTAGGCAACTTGAGAGATTTTTTTTTGTCCGTTAGTGTTATGAAGATCCAGAAGAATGAGGGAGGATTGCATTCATTTATATATCATGTGTATTTATACTAGGTTGAACCATATGAAATTGCTGATCTTTGATCATTTTTATTTCTGGTCATTTTATTTTTTTATTTTTTATTTATTTATTGTTTTTTGAGACAGAGTCTTGCTCTGTCACCCACGCTGGAGTGCAGTGGTGTGATCTTGGCTCACTGCAACCTCCGCCTCCTGGGTTCAAGCGATTCTCCTGCCTCAGCCTCCCGAGTAGCTGGGATTACAGGCATGCACCACCACGCCCAGCTAATTTTTGTATTTTTAGTAGAGATGGGGTTTCACCATGTTGGCCAGGCTGGTCTCGAACTCCTGACTTCAAATGATCCACCCGCCTCGGCCTCCCAAAGTGCTGGGATTACAGGCGTGAGCCACCGCACCTGGCCTTTTATTTTTTTGTGACAGGGTCTGGCTCTGTCACCCAGGCTGGAGTGCAGTGGCAAGAACACGGCTCTCTGCAGCATTGACTTCCTGGGCTCAAGTGATCCTCCCACCTCAGCCTCCCAAGTAGATGGAACTACAGGTGTGAGCCACCACGCCTGGTTAATTTAAAAAGTCTTTTTGTAGAGAAGTAAAAAATTACTTTTTGTAATTTAAAAAGTCATTTTGCCCAGGCTAGTCGAACTCCTGGGCTCAAGTCATCTGCCCACCTCTGCCTTCCAAGGTGCTGGGATTACAGGCATGAGGCACTGCGCCAGCCTTCAACCATGTTTTCATTTCTTTATTTTTGAGACATGGTCTCCATCTGTTGCCCAGGCTAGAGTGCAGTGATGCAATCATGGCTCACTGCAGCCTCTACCTTCTGGGCACAATTGATCCTCCTGCCTCAGTCTCCCGAGTAGCTGGGATTACAAGTGTGCCACCACACCTGGCTAATTTTTGTATTTTTTTGTATAGACAGGTTCTTGCCATGTTGCCCAGGCTGGTCTCAAACTCCTGAACTCAAGCAATCTGCCGCCCCAGCCTCCCAAAATGCTGGGATTACAGGCGTGAGACACCGTGCCTGGCCAACCATTTATAACCTGTGGCTCAACCTTGTATAATTAGAAGCAAATCCTAGGTCATGGTCATGAAAACTCCCTTTTCTGATAAGAGAAAGAAAAAAATGGAGAAAATTAAAGTAGTTTTGTCTTATGTTGATAACTTAAAATTCAAGGCTACTAACTTTTTTTCCACTCTTTTCTTTTCTTTCTTTCTTTCTTCCTTCCTTTTTTTTTTTTTTTAAGCCTCTGAGGGCAGTCAGAATGTTGAACTTTTGATAAGCAGGTTAAGTCTTATCAGGAAATAAGCCTTTTTTTTTTTTTTTTTTTTGAGATGGAGTCTTGCTCCTGTTGCACAGGCTGGAGTGCAGTGGCGTGATCTCAGTTCACAGTAACCTCCACCTCCCAGGTTCAAGCCATTCTCCTTCCTTACCCTCCTGAGTAGCTGGGATTACAGGTGTGCGCCATCATGCCCGGCTAATTTTTCTATTTTTAGCAGAGATGGGGTTTTGCCATGTTGGCCAGGCTAGTCTCGAACTCCTGACTTCAGGTGATCCACCTGCCTTGGCCTCCCAAAGTGCTAGGATTACAGGCATGAGCCACCGCACCCGGCCGGAGATAAGCCTTTGTTTGCTTTGCTTTGAGTCTAAAGGGAAAGACTGGTGATATTACAAATTCTTGGCACACTATTAGATGGGTTTTGTTTTGTATTGAGCACCTGGGGAGAAAAGGACTGATACGGGGAGTGGGAAGGAGTACAGAAAAAATATTGTTGAGTGTGGTGGTTCATGCCTGTAATCCCAGCACTTTGGGAGGGCGAGGCAGGCAGATCACCTGTAGTTGGGAGTTCAAGACCAGCCTGGCCAATATGGTGAAACCCCGTCTGTACTAAAAATACAAAAAATTAGCTGGGCATGGTGGCGGGCGCTTGTAATTCCATCTACTGAGGCAGGATAATCACTTCAACCAGGGAGGCGGAGGTTGCAGTGAGCCGAGATCGCACCACTGCACTCCAGCCTGGGCTACAGAGCGAGACTCCATCTCAACAACAACAACAACAAAAACATTGATATCACAAAGGACCAAGTTAAATTCACTATTCATTTTCATCCAGCCTTGTCATATGAAGAACCAAGACTGTTGCTGTCTCAATAATCTCAAATGAGAATGAGGCCAGTTGTTCTAGAATGCAAACTAATAATACCGTCAGTGCCAACCTGCCCCCAGGGCAGTTTTGCTGCTGCATTGCATACTGGTCCCGTTCTCTGGTCTCGTGTGCTTCTAGCATTTGGTCTTGCTGTGCATTCGTTTTGTGTGTGCATTGCAATGAAACTCACATTCTTAGAAATTTACAGACCTGATTTTTGCCATAATGAATAAATGCTACCCCTGTCCTCCATTTTTCATTTATACAATACTGGAAGGTCTTTTTTTTTTTTTTTTTTTTTGAGATGGAGTCTCGCTGTGTCGTCTAGGCTGGAGTGCAGTGGTGCAATCTCAGCTCACAGCAACTTCCGCCTCCTGGGTTCAAGTGATTCTCCTGCCTCAGCCTCTTGAGTAGCTGGGACTACAGGTATGCGCTACCAAGCTCAGATAATTTTTTGTATTTTTAGTAGAGACGGGGTTTCACCATGTTAGCCAGCATGGTCTCAATCTCCTGACCTCGTGATCTGCCTGCTTCGGCCTCCCAAAGTGCTGGGATTACAGGCATGAGCCCGGCCACCAGAAGGTTTTTTGTTTTTTTTGAGACAGAGTTTTGCTCTTGTTGCCCAGGCTGGAGTGCAGTGTTGCGATCTCGGCTCACCGCAGCCTGCGCCTCTGGGTTCAAGCTATTCTCCTGCCTCAGTCTCCAGAATAGCTGGGATTACAGGCATGTGCCACCACGCCTGGCTAATTTTGTATTTTTAGTGGAGATGGGGTTTCTCCATGTTGGTCAGGCTTGTCTCAAACTCCCGACCTCAGGTGATCCACCCGCCTTGGCCTCCCAAAGTGCTGGGATTACAGGTGTGAGCCACCGTGCCCGGCCCGGAAGGTCTTTTTAACTTTAAAAATCAGAACCTAGCCGAGCATTTTGGGAGGCCAAGGCGGGAGGATCACCTGAGGTCAGGAGTTCAAAACCAGCCTGGTCAACATGGTGAAACCCTGTCTCTACTAAAAATACAAAAATTAGCTGGGCGTGGTGGCGCATGCCTGTAATCCCAGCTACTTGGAAGGCTGAGGCAGGAGAATCGCTTGAACTCGGGAGGCAGAGGTTGCAGTCAGCCAAGATCGCACCACTGCATTCCAGCCTGGGTGACAGAGCAAGACTCTGTCTCAAAAAAAAAAAAAAAATCAGAACCCAGAGCTTTGCATGTTGGTCAGTGAGTGGGGTATACTCTGATAATTTGAGAACAAGGTCAGAAAATGGGATTCAGTGATAGGATGGTAGTAATCAACATAAAAGGCACAAAACCGCCATCAGTGGAAACGAAGCAGGCTGAGTTTGGTTTTTAGATGTGTGTCAGTAGATAGATGTGTGACTTTGGACAAATTGTGTAATCTGGCTATGTCTCAGTTTCTGGATCTGTAAAATGGTTATAATAGTGCTTACCTCACAGAATTATTGTGATTAATGACACTCTGTGTACAAGACTTAGCAAATAGGAATCTGGAATAGCTAGTTAAATTTGAATTTCAAATGAACAACCAATTTTTGTTAGTATAAGTATATCCCAAATATTTTATGGAACGTATGCATTCACATTTAGCTGGGTGTTTTATCTGGCAACCCTGTGTAATTGTTCATTTTAGTGACTAGCACAAATAAATGAAAGCTGTTTATGGGTTGGGCATGGTGGCTCATGCCTGTAATCCCAGAGCTTTGGGAGGCTAAGGCAGGAGGATCACTTGAGGTCAGGAGTTTGAGACCAGCCTGGGCAAAAGAGTGAGACACCATCTACAAAAAATGAAAAATAAATTTTTAAAAAATTAGCTGGGTGTGGTGATGCACACCTGTAGTCCCAGCTACTCAGGAGGCCAAGGCAGGAGGATTGCTTGAGGCCAAAGTTTGAGGCTGTAATGAGTTATGATTGTGCCACTGCACTCCAGCCTGGGTAACAGTGCAAAACCCTGTCTCTAAACAAAAATGAATAGCTATTTCCCATGTCTCCATCAAGAATATTGTCAAGAAGGCATCTTTCAAATTGCATCCAACAGACTAAAATTATCAATAACATAAGATAAACTGCAGTATTCTAGCTGGCTGTTACTTCTCTATCCCCTCCCAGACTGTAGGCTCCCAGAGGGCAGTAACCATGTTTTGTTCTTATTTTCCTGCTCCTATAATCTAGTACTTAGGATAGTGCTTTGCATGTAGCGAGGAACAGGATAAATGCTTATTTGTAGAAAGAAATTCAAGTAAGAGCCAAGTCAAAAGTCTGGCCATGTCTTCACCACTGGCTGGCTGACCATCACAAATCTTCCTATCCAATTAGGGAGAGGAGTTGGGGTGTAAGCTTGTCTGTCAGGGTCCATTGAAATCTTCCAGTTTGTTCACTTCATTTCTATTTTAACCCAGCAACTGATATCTATGATATCAGATATCTTGATATCAACTGATACCTCTTTCTTTCTTTCTTTCTCTCTCTCTTTTTCTCTCTTTCTTTCTCTCTCTCTCTTTTTCTCTCTTTCTTTCTTTTCTTTCTTTTTTTTTTCTTCAAAACAGGGTTTCACCATGTTGCCCAGGCTGGTCTCGAACTCCTGACTTCAAGCGATCCATCTGCCTTGGCCTCCTATAGTGCTAGGATTACAGGCGTGGACCACCGTGACTGTCCGAGGCTGTTTTTCAACTAGACTTTTCTCTCAGGAAATATATATGCTGGGCCGGGCACGGTGGCTCACGCCTGTAATCGCAGCACTTTGGGAGGCCAAGGTGAGTGGATCACGAGGTCAGGAGATCAAGACCATCCTGGCTAACATGGTGAAACCCCATCTCTACTAAAAATACAAAAAATTAGCCAGGCGTGGTGGCGGGCGCCTGTAGTCCCATCTACTCAGGAGGCTGAGGCAGGAGAATGGCGTGAACCCAGGAGGCAGAGCTTGCAGTGAGCCAAGATTGCGCCACTGCACTCCAGCCTGGCACTCCAGCCTGGGCGACAGAACCAGACTCCATCTCAAAAAAAAAAAAAAAAAAAAAAAGGGAAATGTATATGCTGGCCCAGCCACACAAGTATTCCATTCTGGTCAGTAATCTTTCCCAAGACAAATGAGTAAAGGGATAAACAACAACAACCCCACCAAAATGCTATAGAATAGTTATTAGAATGGATTCTGAAGGCAGATGGCTTGGGTTCAAATCTTCGTTCCAACACTTACTAACATTGTGACCTTGGCCATGTCATTTAACCTCTATGCCTCAGTTTCCTTATCTGTAAAATGCAAATAATAATGTATCTATCTTAAAGGATTGTGTTGAGGATTAAGTGAGTTAATATATGTAGAGTACTAAAATAGTGCATGATACATGGCAAGTAATAAATATGTTAGCTGAAAAAAAAGAAGGATGCGCTTCTTGATCTTTGTGCACAGGCAGGACATCTCTCTAATATCCTTCAATGAACTTGACAATTTAGTTATCATTACCTGTGACTGCTCTATGAAAACATAAACTCTTCTCTTGTAAATGACCAAGGTAGAACTTTCTCAAAAGTTCTTACAGAGGCCAGGCACAGTGGCTCACGCCTGTAATCTCAGCACTTTGGGAGGCCGAGGCTGGCGGATCACCTGAGGTCAGGGTTTCAAGACCAACCTGGCCAACATGGCAAAATCCTGTCTCTACTAAAAATACAAAAATTAGCTGGGCATGGTGGCACACGTCTGTAGTCCTGGCTACTCAGGGAGGCTAAGGCAGGAGAATCACTTGAACCAGGGAGGTGGAGGTTGCAGTGAGACAAGATCACACCACTGCCCTCCAGCCTGGACAACAGAGCGAGACTGTGTCTCAAAACAAAAACAGAAACAAAAAACAGCTCTTACAAGGTTTATGTCAAAAGCCCATTTGTAGATTTTCTTCTTCATTTTTTAATTTTAATTTTATTTTTTGAGACAGGGATCTTGCTCTATTGCCTAGGCTATAGTGCAGTGGCACAATCTCACCTCACTGCAGCCTTGACCTTGTGGGCTCAAGGGATCCTCCCACCTCAGCCTTCTGAGTAGCTGAGACCATAGGTGTGCACCACTACACCCAACTAATTTTTGTATTTTTAGTAGAGATGGGGTTTCACCATGCTGGCCAGCCGGGTCCAAACTCCTAAGCTCAAATGATCCTCCTGCCTTGGCCTCCCAAAGTGCTGGGATTACAGGTGTGAGCCACCGCACCCAGCAAGATTTTCTTATTTTCCCCTCCTCCCTCCCTCCCTCCCTCCCTCCTTTCTTTCTTTCTTTCTTTCTTTCTTTCTTTCTTTTCTTTTCTTTCTTTCTTCTTTCTTTCCTTCTTCTTTTCCTTCTTTCTTTCTTTCCTTCTCCTCCCTTTCTTTCTTTCCTTTCTTTCTTTCTCTTTCTTTCTTTCTTTCTTTCTTTCTTTCTTTCTTTCTTTCTTTCTTTCTTTCTCTTTCTTTCTCTTTCTTTCTTTCTCCTCCTTTCCTTTCTTTCTTTCTTTGTTTTTTTCTTTCTTTCTTTCTCTTTCTTTCTTTCTTTCTTTCTCTCTCTCTCTTTCTCTCTCTCTCTCTCTTTCTTTCTGTCTGTTTTGAGACAGAGTCTTGCTATGTCGCCTAGGCTGGAGTGCAGTGGCACGATCTTGGCTCACAGCAACCTCCGCCTCCCAGGTTCAAAGGATTCTCCTGCCTCAGCCTCCTGAGTAGCTGGGATTACAGGTGCGCACCACCACTCCCAGCGATTTTTTTAATTTTTAGTAGAGATGGGGTTTCACCATGTTGGTCAGGCTGATCTTGAACTCCTGACCTCATGATCCACCCACCTTGGCCTCCCAAAGCGTTGGGTTTACAGGTGTGAGCCACCGTGCCCGACCAGATTTTCTTCTTTCTTCACAGGAAATGATGATGCTATTTAGCAGAATAGCCTTTGACAAGTTTTGGTAGCAAAGTGAGTGTCCTGCCAGGGGGCTGTGAGGCTCTGAGGAGAAAGCTGTCCCTCTGTGCACAGGCATGCTCTTGGCTGGCACACTCTCCACCAGGGTCCCTGGCCAGGTAACTGGAATCAATGGAAAGACTTTTGAGATATTTGCCCTGGATCATGTTGCTGGCAGCAGCCACTGCTCACCACGCTGCCCTTGCTGCATTCTGTGAGGGGTGAAGTGGGTTGGCAATGAGAAAACACATCAACACGTCTATATAACACAGGAGTCTCCAACCCCTGGGCCACATACACGTACTGCTCTGTGGCCTGTTAGGAACAGAGCTGCACAGCAGGTGAGCAGTGGGTGAGCGAGCATTACTGCCTGAGCTCCAGCTCCTGTCAGATCAGCGGAGGCATTAGATTCCCATAGGAGTGCGAACCCTATTGTGAACTACACATGCGAGGGATCTAGGTTATGTGCTCCTTATGAGAATCTAACTAATGCCTGATGATCTGAGGTTGAACAGTTTCATCCCAAAATAATCCCCAACCCTGTGGAAAAATTGTCTTCCAGGAAACTGGTCCCTGGTGCCAAAAAAGTTGGGGACTGGTGGTATAACATGTAACTGTGTATGTATATGTACACATATAGGTATATATATAAATATATATGTAAGCATATAGCATGTAGGTGCAAAAGTAATTGTGCTCAAACACACACACATACGTGTGTGTATATATGTGTGTATATATATAGAGAGAGAGAGAGAGAGAGAGAGACTCTTGTCTCTCTCTGTCGCCCAGCTAGAGTGCAGTGGTGTGATCTCAGCTCACTGCAACCTCCAACTCCTGGGCTCAAGAGATTCTCCTGTCTCAGCTTCCCGAGTAGCTGGGACTATATCCGTGTGCCACCATACCCAGCTTAATTTTTTTGTATTTTTAGTAGAGACGGGGTTTCACCATGTTGGCCAGGCTGGTCTCAAACTCCTAACCTCAGGTTATCTGCCTGCCTCAGCCTCCCAAAGTACTGGGATTGCAGGCGTGAGCCACCTCACCTAGCCTCAAACACATCTTTATTAATCAAAATGGGAACCATTACAATCAACACATTTTTGCCAACAAGAAATAAGTTTATTCCTGTATTGTAAAAAGTTGTGCTTTGGGATTTGACAAACTCTTGGAAAGCATTTTTTGCATCTGAGGCAGGACAATAGACTCTGGAGGCAGGGAACATAAGGCCAATTCACACTTCAGCTATAACAGGAAATATCCTCTCCATAGGGTGTATGCCGTAAATAACTTTGTAACTTTACTTCATCCTCTCCATTTACATGGGGCATACCCGAAATAGCCAATGGAATCCTCTAGCGGGTATTTAAACTCCCAAAAATTCTGTAACACGGTCTTTGTGCCCCTCTGCCGAGGCCCACTCCCACACTGTGGAGTGTACTTTCATTTTCAATAAAACCCTTCATTCCTTCCTTGCTTTGTTTGTGTGTTTTGTCCAATTCTTTGTTCAAGACACCAAGAACCTGGATACTGTCCACCGTTAACACATCCTGCTGGTTGTGGAAGCATTTTCCCTGCAAAAAGTTGTTGAGATGCTTGAAGAAGTGGTAGTCGGTTGGGGAGAGGTCAGGTGAATACGGCGGATGACACAAAACTTTGTAGCCCAATTCATTCAATTTTTGAAGCGTTGGTTGTGCGTGTAGTTGGATGTTGTCATGGAGAATTGGGCCTTTTTTTCTTTTGACCAGTGCCGGCTGCAGCCCTTGGTTTTCAGTGCATCTCATTG
This sequence comes from Homo sapiens, assembly GCF_000001405.40. Lineage (NCBI taxonomy): Eukaryota > Metazoa > Chordata > Mammalia > Primates > Hominidae > Homo > Homo sapiens. The sequence goes on along the minus strand of NC_000006.12, from coordinate 107,012,618 downwards.
ATTTGCTGAGCGTACTTCTCAGATGTAATGGTTTTGCCTGGATTCAGAAAGCTGGAGTGGATTAGACCAGCAGCAGACCACCAGACAGTGACCAGGACCTTTATTGGGTGCAAGCTTGGCTTTGGGAAGTGATATGGAGCTTCTTCGCTTGGTCCAGCCATTGAGCTGGTCGTCGCCAGTTGTTGTATAAAATCCACTTTTCATTGCACGTCACAATCTGATTGAGAAATGGTTTGTTGTTGTTGCATAGAATAAGAGAAGATGACACTTCAAAACAATGATTTTTTTGATTTTTGCTGAACTCATGAGGCACCCAGTTATCAAGCTTTTTCACCTTTCCAATGCACTTTAAATGCTGAACAACTGTAGAATGGTTGACGTTGAGTTCTTCAGCAACTTCTCCTGTAGTTGTAAGAGGATCACCTTCGATGATTGCTCTCAATTGGTCGTTGTCAACTTCCAATGGCCGGCCACTATGCTCCTCATCTTCAAGGCTCTCATCTCCTTTGCAAAACTTCTTCATTTTCTTCTTCTTCTTTTTTGAGATGGAATTTTGTTCTTGTTGCCCAGGCTGGAGTGCAATCTCGGCTCACTGCAACCTCCACTTCCCGGGTTTAAGCGATTCTCCTGCCTCAGCCTCCCCAGTAGCTGGGATTATAGGCATGTGCCACCACACCCGGCTAATTTTGTATTTTTATTTTTATTTTATTTTGAGACAGAGTTTCGCTCTTGTTGCCCAGGCTGGAGTGCAATCGTGCAATCTTGGCTCACTGCAACCTCTGTTTCCTGGGTTCAAGCGATTCTCCCATCTCAGCCTCCCGAGTAGCTGAGATTATAGGCGCATGGCACCATGGCCGGCTAATTTTTGTATTTTTAGTAGAGACAGGGTTTCATCATATTGGTCAGGCTGGTCTCGAACTCCCAACCTCAGGTGATCCACCTGCCTTGGCCTCCCAAAGTGTTGGGATTACAGGCGTGAGCCACCATGCCCGGCCTGCAAAACTTCCTGAATCACCACCACACTGTACATTCCTTAGCAGTTCCTGGGCCAAATACGTTTTGATTTTGTGAGTTGTCTCCTCTGCTTTACGACCCATTTTTAACTTGAATAAGAAAATCGCTCAAATTTGCTTTTTGTCTAACATCATTTCCATGGTCTAAAATAAATATAAAATAAACAGCAAGTAATAAATCATTAGTCAAACAAAAAGCGAGAAATGTGCATTAAAGCGGTGTATAACATAACCACACTTATTTAAGAATGCATTCTAATAGCAAACGGCAAATTTCAACACTGCAAACACCACAATTACTTTTGCACCAAACTTAACAAAATGAATCGTGTAAGCCCAGCGATCCATGGGTTAATAAGCCCTCCAGGTGATTCTGATGCACACTTGGCTGGCTACGGCAGCTGTCCTCCCTCTCCTCCTCCCCTCCCTCCAGACCTTCCTCCCTTCTTTTACTTCTCTACTTCTCCTCCTCCTCCTCTCTGTCGCCCAGGCTGGAGTGCAGTGGTGCAATCTCGGCTCACTGCAAGCTCCGCCTCCTGGGTTCATGCGATTCTCCTACCTCGGCCTGCCAAGTAGCTGGGACTACAGGCGCCCACTACCACGCCCGGCTAATTTTTTTTTTTGTATTTTTAGTAGAGGCAGGGTTTCACCATGTTAGCCAGGATGGTCTGGATCTCCTGACCTCATGATCCACCGGTCGGCCTCCCAAAGTGCTGGGATTACAGGCATGAGCCACCGCGCCCGGCCAACCCCTACTCCCCTTTTAAGGAAAGGGAACTGGATAGGTCTTTCCCACTGTTATGCACACACAAACCCAGTTATCTCAGAAAATCTGGAAAGGGGATTTAGCATTTTTTCTTCTTGGAGTTTAGGGATTGCAAAGTGCTTTCTTTGCAGGTGAAAAATCAGATAATCGGCCGGGCGCGGTGGCTCACGCCTATAATCCCAGCACTTTGGAAGGCCGAGGCGGGCAGATAACGAGGTCAGGAGATCGAGACCATCCTGGCTAACACGGTGAAACCCCGTCTCTACTAAAAATACAAAAAATTAGCCGGGCGTCGTGGCGGGCGCCTGTAGTTCTAGCTACTCGGGAGGCTGAGGCAGGAGAATGGCGTGAACCCGGGAGGCGGAGCTTGCAGTGAGCCGAGATTGCGCCACTGCACTCCAGCCTGGGCAACACAGCGAGACTCCCTCTCAAAAAAAAAAAAAAAAAAGAAAAAGAAAAATCAGATAATCAGCCTTAGTGAACCTAATTATAAACCCCGTTGCCTTTACAAGCCTCATTCTCTGTAGTCTGTAGTCTCAAAAACCTATGAGAAAGAAGTTGAGTGATTTATCCCTGACACAGAAAAGTTTCCTTTTTTTTTGAGATAGAGTCTTGCTCTGTCACCCAGGCTGGAGTGCAGTGGCGCGATCTCGGCTTACCGCAACCACTGGCTCCTGGGTTCAGGCGATTCTCCTGCCTCAGCCTCCCAAGTAGCTGGGATGACAGGTGCATGCCATCAGGCCCAGCTAATTTTTGTATTTTTAGTAGAGATGGAGTTTCACCATGTTGTCCAGGCTGGTCTCGAACTCCTGACCTCAGGTGATCCACTGGCCCCAGCCTCCCAAAGTGTTGGGATTGCAGGTGTGAGCCACCACGCCCAGCCTCCCTGACACAGAAAGTTGTATGAAAACGTAAATGATCTCAGACCACTCCAACCCGAAGAACAGAAGGGGTTAAGGCTTCATTACTTTGTAGATGTTTTCAACATGGTGCTCTGGGTCATGGATTGGAATAAACCCATCACCTATCACTCTCTGCAGGAAACGCCTGGGATCCACATGGGTAGAAGTATAAGCATTTGTCTGTCCTCCCATCTGGGGAAGGGATACAGGTTACTCCCTTTAGCTGTCCCCTCAGAGGGCTTGGTGGAACGGAGGTCAATTCTCTGGACTTTGAGCTGTCAGTCTTCTCCTGTCATCTAGTCCCTCTTGCTGGGTTTCCAGGTTAATAAAATGAGAAGCAAAAGGCTAAAGAAGGTTTTTGAAATTACTCAGCTTGTAAGTGGCTGAGTTTTTGTTTGTTTTTAGTACAAAAAAATTATAATGAGGTAGAATTTGCCTATGTTGCAGGTCAATGATAATCTAAAGCTGTGCTGTCCAATATAGTAGCTACTAGCCACATGTGGTTATCTTAAATTAATTGAAGTTAAAAATTCAGTTCCGCCGGGCGTGGTGGCTCACACCTGTAATCCCAGAACTTCGGGAGGTGGAGGCAGGTGGATCATGTGATCAGGAGTTGGAGACCAGCCTGGCCAACATGGTGAAACCTCGTCTCTGCAAAAAATACAAAAATTAGGCCGGGCGTGGTGGCTCATGCCTATAATCCCAGCACTTTGGGAGGCCAAGGTGGGTGGATCACCTGAGGTCAGGAGTTCGAGACCAGCCTGACCAAAATGGAGAAACCCCATCTCTACTAAAAATACAAAATTAGCCAGATATGGTGGCACATACCTGTAATCCCAGCTACTAGGGAGACTGAGGCAGGAGAATCACTTGAACCTGGGAGGCGGAGGTTGTGGTGAGCCGAGATTGTGCCATTGCACTCCAGTCTGGGCAACAAGAGTGAAACTCCGTCTCAAGAAAAAAAAAAAAAATTAGCTGGGCGTGGTGGCACATGCCTGTAGTCCCAGCCACTTGGGAGGCTGAGACAGGAGAATCGCTTGAACCCGGGATGCAGAGATTGTGCCACTGCACTCCAGCCTGGGTGACAGAGCAAGACTCCCTCTCAAGAAAAAAAAAAAAAAATTCAGTTCCTCATTCGCACTGACCACATTTCAAGTGACCAGCAGCTGCGTGTGGCTAGAGGCTACTGTATTGTAAAGTACAGATACAGAATACTTCCATCACTGAGGGATGTTTTGTTGGATGCACTGGTTGTCATATTATTATTTTTTCATTTCTCTTTTTCTCTTTTTGAGACAGGGTCTCACTCTGTTGCCCAGGCTGGAGTGCAGTGGTGCGATCTCAGCTCATTGCAACCTTTGCCTCCCGGGCTCAAGCGATCCTCCTGTCTCAGCCTCCTGAGTAGCTGGGACCACAGGCACACACCACCATGCCCAGCTAATTTTTTTATTTTGTGTAGATACAGGGTTTTCCCATGTTGTCCAGGCTGGTTTTAGAACTCCTGGCCTCAAGTGATTCTCCCATCTTGGCCCAGCAAAGTGCTGGGATTACAGGGATGAACCACTATGCCTGGTCTATTCAACTATTCCTTAAATTTTTTTTGTTTTTTGGACAGCATCTTGGTATGTTGCCCAGGCTAGTTAGAAAGTTAGAACTCGTGGCCACAAGCAATCCTCCTGCCTCAGCCTCCCAAGTTGCAGGGATTACAGATGTGAACCACTGTGAATGGCCATTGGACTATTCTTTTGGTTAGTATTACATCCCTACTGTGTTCCTGGCACTAGTGTAGGTGCTGGGCTATTGCACTGCCCACTAGGAGCTACTGTCTGGAGGAGATAGTCACAAGAACTAACAATTTTAATGCCAAGTGATAAATGCTTTATGTTATGGAAGGACTTATAGGAACAGAAAGAAGAAAGAGTTGCTGGGCCTGGCAGATTTTGAGAACTCAGACTTCACAGAGAAGATAACATTTGAATTGGGGTTTGAAGGATGCATGAGTTCGCCAATGAGCTAAGGCACCCTGGGCCACGTGAACAGCATGCACGAAGACACAAAGGCATGAAATGGCTGATGTGCTGGTGTGCTGAAGTGCACTATGACAGGGGAGGGAAGGAGAGACTGGGGTGATTAACAGGTAGTGTGTGCCTTTACTTTTTTCTTTTTTTCTTTTTTTTGAGACGGAGTTTCACTCTTGTTGCCCAGGCTGGAGCGCCATGGCGTGATCTCGGCTCACTGCAACCTCTGCCTCCCGGGTCCAAGCGATTCTCCTGCCTCAGCCTCCCAAGTAGCTGGGATTACAGGCATGCGCCACCACGCCTGCCTAATTTTGTATTTTTAGTAGAGACAGGGTTTCTCCATGTTGGTCAGGCTGGTCTCGAACTCCTGACCTCAGGTGATCTGCCCGCCACGGCCTCCCAAAGTGCTGGGATTACAGGTGTGAGTCACTGTGCCCAGCTACCTTTTTAACAATTTTGAACTTTGCCTAATAGGCACTAGGGGCTGTTTAAAGTAGCCTCCTACATACAGTTTTCATATACTAAATCCTATTAAACCTCTGGTGTGTTGTGTAGTTGAAGGTATCATCAAAGCATGTTATATGCTTAGCACTGGGCCTGGCACATGGCAGATGCTCCACAAATCTTGATTCCTGCCCCTGCCTTTTCCTTGTACCTTTGCTCTTCTTTCCTCTTAACAAGTTGCTGCTTTTACCTGCTCTTCCACAGTGTATTTCTAAGTCTCTAGGAGTGGCCCATTTGTCTTCTCATTTCCCCAGCTATTAAGTCTGACACCCTCATTGATACGGTCCTTTCAATCACAGCGGAGATGTCCACTTCAATTTACCTACTTTCTTTCCCCTGCTGTTTTTCTCCTTCCTTTGAGATATATGATGTTTCTGCACATAACTTTACAAAGGGATGTCTCTGGTCTATATATTACTGTCCATGACATCCTATCATAAGACAGCATTATAAATGAACAATTTTCAGCAATAGTTTCTTTTTAACTTTTATTTATTAGTATTATTTATTAGAGATAGTGTCTCACTCTGTCTCCAGGTTGGGATACAGCGGTATGATCATAGCTCACTGTAACCTTGAAATGCTGGGCTCCAGCAATCCTCTTGCCTCAGCCTCCTGAGTAGCTGGGACTACAGGTGCACAGCACCATGCCCGGCTAATTTTTAAATTTTTGGTAGACACGCCTGGCCTCAAGTGATCCTTCTGTCTTGACTTCCCAAAGTACTGGGATTATGGGTGTGAGCCACCATGCCTGGCCTTCTTTTTGAAAAGGGCATCTCTTATTTCTGAATGATTGCAGAGATTTCAGTTGCGAGTAACTGTGCCAGACAGATATTGCTTTTAATTCTGATGGATTAATAACAGGCACCTAATTCATTCTAGGTCACTAACATATAGGGCAAGCATAAAAATGGAGGCATATTCCAAGTATGTAAATGCTATAAATCAAGTTAACAGCTGTTAAAATATAATTTGTCTTTGTAAATTGACAAATATAACTTTATAATGGGCCAGGCACGGTGGCTCATGCCTGTAATCCCAGCACTTTGGGAGGCTGAGGTGGGTGGATCATTTGAGGTCAGGAGTTTGAGACCAGCCTGGCCAACAAGGTGAAACCCTGTCTCTACTAAAAATACAAAAATTAGCTGGGCATGCTAGTGTGCACCTGTAATCCCAGCTACTCAGGTGGCTGAGGCACAAGAATTGCTTAAACCGGGGAGACAGAAGTTGCAGTGAGCAGAGTGCAGTGGAGCCGCTGCACTCCAGCCTGGGTGACACAGAGTGAGACTGTCTCAAAATTAAAAAAAAACACTTCCACCTAAACCAAATCAAACAAAAAAAATTTTTAAAGCCACTTTATAACAACAAAATAGAATGTGTTAACTTTTTTTTTTAAGAGACAGGGTCTGGCTCTGTCACCCAGGTTGGGGTGCAGTGGCATGATCATAGCTTACTGCAGCCTCTAACTCCTGGGTTCAAGTGATTCTCCTTGCCTCAGCCTCCTGAGTAGCTGGGATTACAGACACACTCCACCATGTCTGGCTTATTTTAAAATGTTTTTGTAGGGACAGGGTTTTGCTATGTTGTCCTGGCTGGTCTTGATCTCCTGGCCTCAAGTGATTCTCTCTTTTTAGCCTCCTAACGTGTTGGAATTACAGGTGTGAGCCACTGCACCAGGCCTAAAATGTGTTTAAAATGATGGCTTTGGCTGGGCACGGTGGCTCATGCCTGTAATCCCAGCACGTTGGGAGGCCCAGGTGGGCAGATCACTTGAGGTCAGGAGTTTGACACCACCCTGGCCAACATGGCAAAACGCCGTTTCTATTAAAAATACAAAAATTAGCTGGGTGAGGTGGTGTGCGCCTGTAATCTCAGCTACTTGGGAGGCTAAGGCAGGAGAATCGCTTAAACTTGTAGGGCAGAGGTTGCACTGAGCTGAGATGGTGCCACTGCACTCCAGCCTGGGCGACAGGTTCTGTCTCTAAATAAATAAATAAATAAAACGGTGGCTTGTATTGACAGAAAGTTGCTGAACTATCTGAGATTATTAAATCTAATTATTATTGCCTATATGTCTGAGCATTCTGTTAATGGGCTACTGACGTCTGGATGAAACAAAAAGACATACATAACTCATATATGTTTTTGTAATTTTTTTTTTTTGAGACGGAGTTTCACTCTTGTTGCCCAGGCTGGAATGCAATGGTGCCATCCCAGCTCACTGCAACCTCTGCCTCCTGGGTTCAAGTGATTCTCCTGCCTCAGCCTCCCGAGTAGCTGAGATTACAGGCGCCTGCTACCACGCCTGGCTAGTTTTTTGTATTTTTAGTAGAGACGGGGTTTCACCATGTTGGCCAGGCTGGTCTCGAACTCCTGACCTCAGGTGATCCACCTGCCTCGGCCTCCCAAAGTGCTGGGATTACAGGCCTGAGCCACTGAGCCCAGCTTGTTTTCATAAATTTATTTTTCTTACCTTCAGTTCTGCAGAATTATTTTGTTGTTATAATCAGTATTTTTGGCAATGACCTAAAGAAACAAAGAACGTGCCAGGCGCAGTGGCTCACGCCTGTAATCCCAGCACTATGGGAGGCCAAGGCGGGAAGATCATGAGGTCAGGAGTTCAAGACCAGCCTGAACAATATGGTGAAACCCCATCTGTACTAAAAATACAAAAATTAGCCGGCTGTGATGGTGGGTGCCTATAATCCCAGCTACTTGGGAGGCTGAGGCAGGAGAATCGCTTGAACCCGGGAGGCGGAAGTTGCAGTGAGCCGAGATCATACCACTGCACTCCAGTCTGGGTGACAGAGCCAGACTCTGTCTCAAAAAAAAAAAAAAAAAAAAAGAAAGAAACAAAGAACATATAACTGTATTCAAATATTAGTTGGGTAGGTTTTCTTTTTTCTTTTTCTTTTTTTTTTTTTTTGAGACAGGGTCTTGCTTCATTGCCCAGGCTAAAGTGCAGTGGCACAATGTCAACTCAACCTCCGCTTCTTGGGTTCAGGCTAAATAGGTTTTCATTTAAAATATATATTAAAATAAACCATAGAAAAAGTAAATTTATTTTTATTTATTTAGGTTTTTGAGACAAGGTCTTACTCTGTCACCCATCCTGGAGTGCAGTAGTATAACTATGGCTCACTGCAGCCTTGAACTCCCAGGCTCAAGCAATTCTCCCATCTCAGACTCCCACTGAGTCTGAGGGACTGAGTTGTGGGACTACAACTGCCACTACCAAGCCCAGTTAAATTTTTTTTTTTGAGACAGAGTCTCGCTCTTTTGCCTAGGCTGGAGTGAAGTGGAGCGATCTCGGCTGACAGCAACCTCAACCTCTGCCTCCCAGGTTCAAGTGATTCTCGTGCCTCAGCCTCTTGAGTAGCTGGGATTACAGGTGTGTGCCACCATGCCTAGCTAATTTTTGTAGTTTTAGTAGAGACGGGGTTTCACCTTGTTGGCCAGGCTGGTCTAGAACTCCTGAGCTCAGTTGATTTGCCAGCCTCGGTCTCCCAAAGTACTGTGATTACAGGCCTGAGCCACCATGCCCTGCTCCCAGTTAATTTTTTTTTTTTTTGAGACAGTTTCTCTGTTGTTGCCCAGGCTGGAGTGCAATGATGCGATCTCAGCTCAACGCAACCTCTGCCTCCTGGGTTCAAGTGATTCTCCTGCTTCAGCCTCCCAAGTAGCTGGGATTACAGGTGTGTGCCACCACAACTGGCTAATTTTTGTATTTTTAGTAGAGACGGGGTTTTACCATCTTGGTCTTGAACTCCTGACCTTGTGATCTGTCCACCTAGGCCTACCAAAGTGCTGGGATTACAGGAGTGAGCCACTGCGCCCAGCCCACAGGAGTATACTTTACTCAATTGTTAAAAGCTGTAAATAGCTGAAAAGTTTCCTTGACTCTGAAAAACAAAACAAAGGATCATCAACGTTTTAAGCAAAATTAAAAAAAAATGACTTTCGACTTCTTCAGCTTAATTCTGATTGGTATACATGAACATTTCAGCTCTCCATGAGTCCTGAAAGTGTTTTCCTCTATTCTAATGTTACAATTTCCAAAGTTATCAGAAACTTGCATTTAAGAATATCTGTCAGTGGGGCGTGGTGGTTCACGCCTGTAATCCTAGCACTTTGGGAGGCCCAGGTGGGTGGATCACCTGAGGTTGGGAGTTCGAGACCAGCCTGACCAACATGGAGAAACCCTGTGTCTACTGAATACAAAATTAGCCGGGCGTGGTGGTGCACACCTGTAATCCCAGCCACTCGGGAGGCTGAGGCAGGAGAATTGCTTGAACCCAGGGAGCGGAGGTTGTGGTGAGCTGAGATCACACCACTGCACTTCAGCCTGTGCAACAAGAGTGAAACTCCCATCTCAAATTAAAAAAAAAAAGAATATCTGTCAAAGTCCTGTAGTTGATCATAAGCCACCTTCTAAAGACGATTAAAATAAGACAACAATTGACTGTGGATGACAAAAAGTCCTAGGATAGCCATTATTAAAGTCACAAGTTACTGGGAAATTGTGGTCACTTCTATGGTACACAACAATTTCACATAACAATTATAATTATTAATAACATACACTAAGTCATATCAGAAATATAGGAGTTTTTTTATAATTTTGCAACATATACTAATAACACATTTATACAAATACAGCCCCAAGTAAGCAAAACACCATTTCATATTTGATAATGCTTCCTGTATGATTTTTATACCAAATAAGCCAAATATCACTGTTGCATTAGTGCATTATTGATGTCAAACTCAATTCTTGATAAAACGTTATAGATAAATGTAGCCAATTTTATTTAGTTTGACCACAAGGTAAGATTTTCATAGCCTTTTATAACCCTTTACAACTTTTGTTAAAGAGCAGATCATAAGCAGGTTTTTGTCTAAGAAAAACCTGTTGTGCTTTTATTCCAATGTTTAATTTACAGAAAAACTGAATACCCCTTTAATTTTAGCCAATATGTTCACACACAGAATTTTTTTTTACATTTAATTTTTTTCGCAAATCTCTCATAACTTGTTTAAACCTTTAGATTTTTCCTATCTCACTCAAAACAATTCTTTAACCCTTTAATCTAGGCAAAAAAAAAAAAAAATCCACATTCCCATGACTTCTTATCTTTTACCAAAAACACACTTCACTTTTTTTTTGTTTTGAGACAGAGTTTCGCTCTTGTTGCCCAGGCTGGAGTGCAATGGTGTGATCTCGGCTCACTGCAACGTCCACCTCCCAGGTTCAAGCAATTCTCCTGCCTCAGCCTCCTGAGTAGCTGGGATTATAAGCATGCACCACCACGCCCGGCTAATTTTGTATTTTTAGTAGAGACGGGGTTTCTCCATGTTGAGGCTGGTCTCGAATTCCTGACCTCAGGTGATCCGCCCGCCTTGGCCTCCCAAAGTGCTGGGATTACAGGTATGAGCCACCGCACCCGGCCACATTTCACTTTTTCTATACACCTTGCACGTATAACTTTTTTTTTAGTAGTCCCAAATATATGTTACACTGTTAACTCTTAGCAACTTTTACTTTTGGTGAAAACCTTGGTAAGTTCAGAATTTTTTTTTTAGACGGAGTCTTGCTCTGTTGCCAGGCTGGAGTGCAGTGGCCCGATCTCAGCTCACTGTAACCGCAGCCTCCCGGGTTCAAGTGATTCTCCTCCCACAGCCTCCCAAGTAGCACCACCATGCCTAGTTAAATTTTGTATTTTTAGTAGAGACAGGGTTTTACCATGTTGGCCAGGATGGTCTCAATCTCTTGACCTCGTGATCCACCTGTCTCGGACTCCCAAAGTTCTGGGATTACAGGCGTGAGCCACTGTGCCTGGTTGAGTTCAGATTTTTAATTATGTGCTAGGTGTGGAGCCTGTGACAGTAGACAGAAGTGCAGATAAGGTCTGACTCTTTTCGTTGTCTAACTTCATGTGTCCCAGGCCTTATCTAGCTGTAAAGCAGGAAAGTTGTACAGTTAAGAGTCCTAATGGCATTTTATGAAGCATTTAGGAGACCCAGAAACCTTTAACTTATATATTTCTTGCATAAATTCCCTTTTTTAAAGCAATCAGTCATTTTACTTTAGGACAAGTATTCACCATACAACATCCTTTCTTATACAAAATTTCTTCTTTTATTTCTTTTCTTTTCTTTCTTTTTTTTTTGAGACAGAGTCTTGCCCTATCGCCCAGGCTGGAGTGCAGTGGCCCGATCTTGGCTCACTACAACCTCCACCTCCCGGGTTGAAATGGTTCTCCTGCCTCAGCCTCCTGAGTAGCTGAGATTACAGGTGCCTGACACCACTCCCGGCTCATTTTTGTATTTTCAGTAGAGATGGGGTTTTGCCATGTTGGCCAGGCTAGTCTAAAACTCCTGACCTCAAGTAATCCACCCTCCTCGGCCTCCCAAAATGCTGGGATTATGAGTGTGAGCCACCACACCCAGCCTTAAAATCTTTTCTTTATAACCTTCTTTGCATAGCTAGGGGGCATGGCTAATTCCACATATCCTAGTCTTTATTTAGAATCTAATGCTCCAAAGTAGGTAAATTGAACAATTTTCAAAAGACAAAGAAGCACTTTATGACCTTAAAGCATTTAGTAAACTTAATATCTGACTTGCATAATTTAGACCAAATGCTTACTTTTTTTTTTTTTTTTTTTTTTTTGAGAGAGTCTTGCTCTGTCACCCAGGGTGGAGTACAGTGGCGCGATCTCGGCTCACTGAAACCTCCACCTCCTAGTGCAAGCAATTCTCCTGCCTCAGTTTCCCGAGTAGCTCGGACTACAGATGTCCACCACCACGCCCGGTTAATTTTTGTATTTTTAGTAGAGACGGGGTTTCACCATGTTGGCTAGAATGGTCTCAATTTCTTGACATCGTAATCTGCCCGCCTCACCCTCCCAAAGTGCTGGGATTACAGGTGTGAGCCACCGCGCCTGGCCGGGAGTTTCTTTATTCCATTTCAGCAGGGCCAGAGATGTCCATGAAGGCCTTGGTGTGTGATGGAACAGACAGTTGTCTAAGGGGTGCACAATGAATGCAAGTTCTTCCCATCTCCGAGTCAAGGGTTTTCTGGGAAACAGTAGGGGATAACAACTTTCATAAATTTATACAATTATATACACTGAATTTATACGATTATGTACGTATATAATTATGTACATATTTGATTGTGTACACTGAGAAGATTAAGCCAACTCTTTCAAACTCATGGAGTTTACTTCTTGAAATTGAAAGGCCTCAGAGATAAGCCTCAGAACCAAGTTCCCTCTCTTGACTTTTCCCAGCTTTTCTGTCTCTTTGTTTCTCTTTCTTTCCCAGGAACTCTCTCTGGAATTTCCTTATCTGACTAACAAAGCTTCTTTCCAAAATAAATGCAATTATTTTAAGACCCCTCTCTCTAGGAACCTCATCAGATAGCCAGGAATGATCAACTACCCGAGAATAGAAGAGACTGGGAGTCATCACCATACCCAGATAGACTTTCCATCTATTTTTATTTTATTATGTAAATTTTAAATTATTAGTAAAAAAAACCTTTTTTTTTGAGACAGAGTCTTGCTCTGTTGCCCAGGCTAGAGTGTGCGATCTTGGTTCACTGCAACTTCTGCCTCCTGGGTTCAAGCTATTCTCCTGCCTCAGCCTCCCAAGTAGCTGGGATTACAGGCACCTGCCACTGTGCCCGGCTCATTTTTGTATTTTTAGTAGAGATGGGGTTTCACCATCTTGGCCAGGCTGGTCTCGAGCTCCTGACCTTGTGATCCACCCGCCTTGGCCTCTCAAAGTGCTGGGATTACAGGCGTGAGCCACCGCTCCCGGCCAAAAAAAATTTTTTTTGAGACAGCAGCTCACTCTGTCAACCAGTGTGGAGTACAGTAGCGAGATTACAGCTCACTGCAGCCTCTACCTTCCAGGGTCAAGCAATCCTCCTAACTCAGCCTCCACCACTTCAGCCTCCAGAGTAGCTGGGACTACAGCTGTGTGCCTGGCTTTTGTGTTTGTGTGTATGTGTGTGTGTGTGTGTGTGTGTGTGTGTGTAGACACAGGGTTTTGTCATGTTGCCCCGGCTGGTCTCAAACTACTGGGCTGAAAGGGCCCTCCTACCTCAGCCTCCCAAAGTGCTGGGTTAAAGGTGTGAGCCACTGTACGCAGCCTTCAACTATTCTTCTTCTTTTTTTTTTTTTTTTGAGACGGAGTCTCCCTCTGTCACCCAGGTTGGAGTGCAGTGGCTTGATCTTGGCTCACTGCAACCTCCAATTCCCAGGTTCAAGTGATTATCCTGCCTCAGCCTCCCCAGTAGCTGGGATTACAGGCACTTGCATCCACACTGGCTAATGTTTGTATTTAGTAGAGACAGGGTTTCCCCATGTTGGCCAGGCTGGTCTCAAACTCCTGACCTCAGGTGATCTGTCCGCCTCGGCCTCTGAAAGTGCTGGGATTGCAGGGGTGAGCCACCGAACCAGGTGGAGCTTTTAACTATTCTTCTGACAGCAGCCCTGAGAGATTGCCTGGGAGACTTTATCTGCATAATAAGACAACATTGATGGTCTGGGCGGTGGCTCATGTGTGTGTGTAATCCCAGCACTTTGGGAGACTGAGGCAGGTGGATCACCTGAGGTCAGGAGTTTGAGACCAGCCTGACCAACATGGTGAAACCCCGTCTCTACTAAAAATACAAACATTAGCCGGGCGTTGTGGTGCGCACCTGTAGTCCTAGCTACTGGGGAGGCTGAGGCAGGAGAATTGCTTGAACCCGGGAGGTGGAGGTTGCAGTGAGCCAAGATCATGCCACTGCACTCCAGCCTGGGTGACAGAGTGAGACTCTGTCTCAAAAAAAAAAAAAAAAAAAAAGAACACTTGTTCACAGTAATAGTCCACCCCTCACCTTCCTGCCGCCTTCCCCAGTGCTCAAAGGAACTTTGTCCCCAGCCATCGTTCTTTGGCTCATTCATTTCCTTTGGAAATCATTTACTCCTACAACCCCTGTCTCCCTTTCCCCATGGAGAAGAATATAAGCAGCCGGGCCTCATCGGGTTACTGGGTAATCATAGTCTTGTGATTTTCTTCTATGCACATTAAGTAAATTTCGTATGCCTTTTTCTCCTGTGTATCTGCATTTCATCAGTTTATGCTCTGCAAACCTTCAGTGGGCAGAGAGAAAGCTTTCCCTCTGCCCCCAGTGTGGCAACAGGCCTGACTGGGGCAATGCTGCTGCCTTGCTTTTGACGCCCCCCACACACGACCGCGTCCCCCTTTCTGCTCTGTGGAACGCCTCCAGCCCCTGCTGAGGCTGGCTTGCCCATGGCAGAATGTCACCTCAGGTTGGGGGCCTTTCAAAATGCACCCCAGAGAGCTCTCCTGGGAGCCCACGTCTGGAACGTAGAGCTGAGTGTCTCTGGCTGACGTTGGAGGATGGGCAGGCTGCCCATGATGCAGCCCCTTTCCTGCTCTGGCACAGCCTTGACCTTTAAATTTCTCATTCTTTTTTCTTCTTCCACTAAACTCTAAGAGATAAGTGTTTGTCTCTCCCGTTATTCCCCTAAGAGCACCTCTCACTGGACTGGGGTGAGGAGAAAGCGCCTTTGCTCTGCAGTTCCTGCAGGGGGCGCTTGGCACCTCACTTTGGAACCTGAGAACTTGTTTTGTTGAAGGCCTTTGAGCTTCGGTTGAAATGGAGACAGAAAGGACTTCCATGTTCACATCCTGTTACACTCTCCAGCATAAATATGATCATTTTCATTTTACAGGAGGCTCAGAAAGGCAAGTCTGTGGTGGAAGTGGGTGAGCTGAAATCTGAGCTCAGGTCTGCTTGATCCTGTAGGTTACAGATGAGACAGAAATGATATGCCCTGTTGTACCCAGGGTGGCCACATCTGAGGCTCTAAGACAAATAAAAAATTACCACCATAGTGGAAAGATTAAATTCTCATGTACAACCAAATCAAAGTCTTCATATACAGTTAGAATAAAACACAAATTTCAGAAGAATGACCCACATACGTGTCGGTTTATTAGTGAGTGAAGATGTGTTTTAGAAACTGGTTATATAAATCAAAAAACTACCATCGAAGGGCTCTAAGATTAGCCAGGAGGCTTAATAGTATCCTAATTTAAGAGTTACTTGAAGATATTTTCTAAGATTGCTGTTTCTGTTGAGATATAAAATGGCTCTTAGCCTAGGATGTTAATAAATTCAAGATAAAGTGAGTAGGCGGAGTTAGAGTAAAAGGTGGCCTTCCTCTCATTGTGCTTGGATTCTGGTGGTTCCTGTGTAGAAATTCATTTGCTGAGGACTTATTATGTACTAGGCACTTTACTAGGTACTGGGGAAAGGAAGATGAACATGATGTGGTTCCTTTCTTTAAGGAGCTCAGCTGGTGAGGAAAAAGCTGCAATCCCTGTTACACGTACAATGACAGAGGAAAGCTTGGGGACTTGGGGGATGCAGGGGTGGACACTTCAGAAAGGCCCTAACCAAGGCTGAAGGGTAAGGGATGGCTTTCCAAGGAGATGACACTAATCTGGGTCCTGAGAAATGCATAGAAATCATCCAAGCAAAGAAAGACCTTGGCTTGCGTTCTTCCTTGTGTTGTGCTGGGCCCCCAAACAGGCAAACTGGGAAGGCACAGTCACCGAGAGACCGAAGAAAAGACCTGAAGACAGTGGGTAAGACATAGAGTTTAGGGCGGGCATGGTGGCTCACACCTGTAATCCCAGCACTTTGGGAGGCTGAGAGGGGCAGATCACCTGAGATCGGGAGTTTGAGACCAGCCTGATCAACATGGAGAAACCTGGTCTCTACTAAAAATACAATATGAGCTGGGCATGGTGGCGCACGCCTGTAATCCCAGCTACTCAGGGGGCTGAGGTAGGAGAATCACTTGAACCCAGGAGGCAGAGGTTGCAGTGAGCCAAGATTGTGCCATTGCACTGCAGCCTGGGCAACAATAGTGAAACTCCATCTCAAAAAAAAAAAAAAAAAAAAAGACAGAGTTTATTCAGGGGACTTATGTATGGAGTGTCCAAGAGTGGAAGGCTGGACAGGAGTTCCACTGCCTTTTGTGGAAAGCATGCAGGTTAGTAGGAACTCCCACACAGCAACCTCTACTTAGCAACCTCCACCTAGCTTAAAACAAAGGCCATTGATTTATTTTTTTTTCTTTTTTTGAGAAGGAGTCTTACTCTGTCTCACAGGCTGGAGCACAGTGGTGCCATCTTGGCTCACTGTAACCTCTGCCTCCTGGGTTCAAGCGATTCTCATGCCTCAGCCTCCCGAGTAGCATGGTGGGCACGTGCCACCATGCCCGGCTAATTTTTGTATGTTTTTTAGTAGAGATGGGGTTTCACCATGTTGGCAAGGCTGGTCTCGAACTCCTGACCTCAAGTGATCTGCCTGCCTTGGCCTCCCAAAGTGCTGGGATTACAGCCGTAAGCCACTGTGCCCAGCCTAGGCCACTGGCTTCTTGTATGACTTGTGTTCCAAGGAACGAGGCCAGGGTCCAGGTGTTCTTCATGCCCCCATCTGTGTCCCTGCTCTGAGCCTTCACACCTTCATAAGTACAGCGTAAACATCCAGGTTGGCCTCTCCCAGAGTCCATAGCTCAGAACAGTGAACAAACATTCACCAAAGAACATAGGGTCAGCCATGTATGGCAGCTCATGCCTGTAATCTTAGCACTTTGGGAGGCTGAGGCAGGAAGATCATTTGAGCCCAGCAGTTCAAGACCAGCCTGGGCAACACAGTGAGACCCCTGTCTCAAACAAACAAACAAACAAACAAACAAACAAACGGCCTGGTACAGTGGCTCACACCTGTAATCCCAGCACTTTTGGAAGCTGAGGCAGGCAGATCACCTGAGCTCTGGTCTCATTCGAGACTAGCCTGGGCAACATGGTGAAACCCAATCTCTACCAAAAATACAAAAATTAGCCCAATGCGGTGCTGTGCACCTGTAGTACTGGCTACACGGGAGGCTGAGGCAGGAGAATCACTTGAGCCTGGGAGGTGGAGGTTGCAGTGAGCTGAGATCGCACTATTACACTCCAGCCTGGGTGACAGAGTGAGACTTTGTCTCAAAAAAACAAAGAAAGAGAACCTGGGGTCATTCTCAGGGTATGCTTGAATTATTGTTATCTGGCAAGACATCCCCACCATATACCCTGAAGGATTTTTTTTTTTTTTTTTTTGAGATGGAGTCTTGCTCTGTTGCCCAGGCTGGAGTGCAGTGGCGCGATCTTGGCTCAATGCAAGCTCCGCCTCCCGGGTTCACACCATTCTCCTGCCTCAGCCTCCTGAGTAGCTGGGACTACAGGCGCCCGCCACCATGCTCGGCTAATTGTTTTGGATTTTTAGTAGAGACGGGGTTTCACCGTGTTAGCCAGGATGGTCTCGATCTCCTGACCTCGTGATCTGCCCCTTGGCCTCCCAAAGTGCTGGGATTACAGGCATGAGCCACCGTGCCCGGCCTACCCTGAAGGATTTTAAACAGATCAATGAAATGATCAGATTTGCATTTTAGAACTACTTACCTGGGAAGCATTGAAAAAGGGCATCACTGAAGGCTGAAAAAACAGGAGATTAACTAATAACCTTTGCAAGAAATGTTGAAGAACTGAACCAAGGCAGTGGCAGCATGGATGGAAGGGGAAGGATAGTTAAGGTAGAATCAATAGGTCTTTGTAATGGATTAAAAAAAGAGAATTAGGCAAGTTAGGATTAAGTTTGGCTGTTCATGACAGAAATCCCAAAGTAAAAGTGGCTTAAACAAGAAAGAAGTCTATTTCCTCCTTATGTAAATGTTGGCAGGCCAAAGCGAATATGGCAGCTCCACAATCATCAAAGATCCTACCTTTTTATTCTGTCATGATTAACACCTTATGGTCCAAAATTGCTAGTGCAGTTCCAGTCATCACATCTGCATTTTAGCCAGTAGGAAAAAGAAAAGGGGAGAAAAAAGGCTTTCCTAAAAATTTGCAAAGACCATTTCTGTTTATCCCCAGTTGGCCAGGCCTTAGATACATATCTATACCTTGCTACAAAGGATGCTGGGAAATATAGTCCTTTCAGGATGGCAGTTTCTTCCCTTAAAGATTGGGAGTTTTATCATTATGGAAGAAAGGACAAGCAAATATTGGAGGACAAGGGGCAATTAGCAGTCTTTGCCAGTGGATTTGAGGTTTGGTCTGGCAGTCTGTTTAAAACGAGTGCCATGAGTGATTCTGAAATGTATCTAGGATTAAGAACTACCACAAAGACAATGGAGAGCCACTGAGTATTTTGGAGTGGATGAATGAATAAATATCACTTTAAAAAAAAAAGAGAGAAAGACTGCCGGGCCCGGTGGCTCACGCCTGTAATCCCAGCACTTTGGGGGGCCGAGGCGGGCGGATCACGAGGTCAGGAGATCGAGACCATCCTGGCTAACATGGTAAAAAATCCCGTCTCTACTAAAACTACAAACAAAAATTAGCCAGGCGTGGTCGTGGGTGCCTGTAGTCCCAGCTACTCCGGAGGCTGAGAGGCAGGAGAATGGCGTGAACCTGGGAGGCGGAGCTTGCAGTGAGCCGAGATCGTGCCACTGCACTCCAGCCTGGGCAACAGAACAAGACTCCGTCTCACAAAAAAAACAAAAAAAAACAAGGTAGTCTTGTTCATTCAGAATATATGGTTTTTACGTTTGTTTTGTTTTGTTTTATTGTTGTTGTTTTGAGACAGGTTTTTCTGTCACCCAGGATGGAGTGCAGTGGCACAATCAGAGCTCACTGCAGCCTTGATCTCCTGAGCTCAAACAGTCCTCGCACCTCAGTCTCCCAAGTAGCTGGGACTACAGGCATGAGCCACCATGCCTGGCCAGAACATGTGTTTTTAAAAGGAGGAATGAGAGGTTGAGAGACATGTTAGGAAACAACTGTGAAAGTATTCAAATAAGGCTGGGTGAGCTGGCTCATGCCTATAATCCTAGCACTTAGGGAAGCTGAGATGGGAGGATTACTTGAGTCCAGGAGTTCAAGACCAACCTGGCCAACATAGGAGACCCTATCTCTTCAGAAAAACAAAAAAACTAGCCAGGCATGGTGGCACATGCCTGGGTCCTAGCTACTTGGGAGGCTGAGATGGGAGGATTGCTTGTACCTGGGGAGTTGAGGCTGCAATGAGCTGTGATCATGCCACTGCACTCTAGCCTTTGTGACAGAGCAAGACCCTGTCAAAAAAAAAAAAAAAATTAAAATATGATAGAATAAGAAGTGAAGCCTAAGACAACAGAAAAGAACTATTTAAAAAATGATTGCGGGGCCAGGCGTGGTGGCTCACACCTGTAATCCCAGCACTTTGGGAGGCTGAGGTGGGCAGATCACCTGAAGTCAAGAGTTTGAGACCAGCCTGGCCAACATGGTGAAACCCTGTCTCTACTAAAACTACAAAAATTAGCCGGACCTGGTGGTGCACACCTGTAATCCCAGCTACTCGGGAGGCTGAGATAGAAGAATTGGTTGACCCCAGGAGGCGGAGGTTGCAATCAGCCAAGATTGCGCCACTGCACTCCAGCCTGTGAACAGAGCGAGACTTTGCCTCAAAAAAAAAAAAAAAAAAAAAAGATTGCAAATGGAAGCAAAGATGCATGAGGATTAAAACACTGCAATCTTCAATGCTTGAACAACTAAAATAGGAGAAGCAGCATGTTTATGAAAGGAAAGGGGACACTTGCTGTTAGAGAATGTTGAGCCAAGGATGAAAGGGGAATATTCAGAGAGAAACATCCAGGAGGCAGGTGGTGACGTGGAGCTGGAAATTCCAATAAGAAGCTGGCATAGGTTTTGGGCTGTCCTTAGAGAGGTGACGGGAGAAAGCATGAGAAGAGATACATGAATATATCACGTGGACAATGGAAGCAAGTGAAGACCTGTATATGTAATTAATACTTGCTTTTTAAAATTTTTTTTTAATTTTAAATTTTTGTTTATTCTTTTTAAATAAAGATAGGGTTTCGCCATGTTGCCCAGGCTGGTTTTGAACTCCTGGGCTCAAGCAATCTGCCCGCCTCAGCCTCCCAAAGTGTTGGGATTATAGGTGTGAGCCACTGCATGCAGCCAATACTTGAATTGAGTTTGGGGTGGTACAGGAAGAGCTGGGAAGAACTGGAGTGAGCCACTGGCTTCAGGGGGGATGCTCAGGTTTTAGTGAGGAATGAGGTCCATCTGCAGACTCCTCTTCAGACTGCCACTCATGCTCAGGGGTCAGATCCTCCCTCCACTTGGGGTTTCTCACATAATCAGTCAAATGGGAAACTGGAGAATTGCTTGGAAAATATCCCCATCTGTGTCTCTGCTCTGAGCCTCCTGTTACTGGTAAAATGGCATGCAGGGAAAAGGATCGATTCTTTCTGTTGACTGGCTTAGAGTGGTCCTGCTATGAGTCAAGGGGAAAGGTGTGAGGGTATTTACCAAGATATCCTCCTGGGAGCCCTCTGATGTTACAGTCACCTGGCCTTTCTGTAAATGGCCTTTTTAAAACTATTTCTCTCAGCCTATAGGACTTGCCCATTAAGTCAGGGCAAGTATAAAGTAGAATTGTAAAAATAAATGCAAATAATATTTTCCAGCCTCTACTTGCTTTGAGGATCCAGATTTAAAATAATACTGGCTGGGTGTGGTGGCTCATGCCTGTAATCCTAGCACTTTGGGAGGCCGAAGTGGATAGATCACCTGAAGTCGGGAGTTCAAGACCAGCCTGGCCAACATGGTGAAACCCTGTCTCTACTAAAAATACAAAAATTAGCCGGGTGTAGTGGCGCATCCCTGTAATCCCAGCTACTCGGGAGACTGAGGAAGCAGAATCGCTTGAATCTGGGAGGTGGAGGTTGCAGTGAGCCAAGATCGTACCACTGCATTCCAGCCTGCGTGACATCTCAAAAATAAATAAAAATAATACCAATACATTCTTTATCTATTAGAGATGACAAGCCTGGGTACGGTGGCTCACATCTGTAATTCTAGCGCTTTGGGTGGCCAAAAGAGGTGGATCTCTTGAGCCCAGGAGTTCAAGACAAGCCTGAGAAATACAGAGACCCCTGTCTCTACAAAAAATACAAAAATTTGCCAGGTATGGTGGTATATGTCTGTAGTTCTAGCTACTTGGGAGGCTGAGGAGGGAGGATCACTTGAGCCTGGGAGGTGGAGGTTGCAGTAAGCCAAGATGGTGTCACTGCACTCCAACCTGGCTGACAGAGCGAGACGCTGTTTCAAAAATAAAACAAACAAACAAACAAACAACAACAAAAAGAAACAACAAAATGTTCTTAACCTACCATACCTTTATGCTTCTAGTTCTTTTGAGACTGAATTCTTTATAGAGACACATGATTGCTAAAACCAGTGTTTGGGTATCCTGTAATTCCCCAGATCTCTGGGTTTGGTCGATACAGAATAACACTGTTCAATATGGCAGCCACTAGCCAGTGGTTACTGAGTACTTGAAATGCGGCTGCTCTGACTTGAGATATGTATGTTGTAAATGGAGAACACACAGAACTGTACATCTTGAAGGCTTAATAAGTGTAGTAGACAGACTCTAAAATGACTCTCAATAATTTCTGCCTTCCGGTATTCACACCTCTGTGGAATCTCCTTCCCCTGAGTGTGGGCAGGAACAGTGATTTGCTTCTAATCAGTAGAATATGACAAAGATGATGGGATGCCACTTTCGTGATTATGTTACATATGATTGTAGCTTCCATCTTGTTGGAAAAAATGATTATGTTACATATGATTGTAGCTTCCATCTTGTTAGAAAAGTTTCTCGTTTTAAAAAAACATTTTTTAAAATGTTTACATTTTATTTTTATTTATTATTATTTTTTTTGTTTTGAGATGGAGTCTCATTCTGTCACCCGGGCTGGAGTGCAGTGGTGCGAGCTTGGCTCACTGCAACCTCCACCTCCTGGGTTCAAGTGATTCTTCTGCCTTAGCATTCCGAGTAGCTGGGATTACAAGCGCCCACCACTACGCCCAGCTAATTTTTTGTATTTTTAGTAGAGACGGGGTTTCATCATGTTGGCCAGGTTGGTCTCGAACTCCTGACCTCGTGATTCACCCCAAACTCCTGACCTCGTGATTCGCCCCCCTCTTGGCCTCCCAAAGTGCTGGGATTATAGGTGTCAGCCACTGTGCCTAGCCTTTTTTTTTTTTCTTTTTCTTTTTTTTTTTTTTTGAGACAGGGTCTTACTCTGTCCCCCAGACTGGAGTACAGTAGCATGATTTCAGTTCATTGCAACCTCTGCCTCCTGGGTTGAAGTGATCTTCCCATCTCAGCCCCCACAGTAGCTGAGACTACAGGCATGTGCCACCATGCCTGCCAATTTTTTTTTTTTTTTTTTTGAGACAGAGTTTTACTCTTGTTGCCCAGGCTGGAGTGCAATGGCACGATCTCAGCTCACCACAACCTCCGCCTCCTGGGTTGAAGCGATTCTGCTGACTCAGCCTCCTGAGGCTGAGTCTTTTTTAATATTGATGACTTGTTGAAATAATATTTTTAATATTTGAGTTAAATACAATATTTTATCAGACTTAATTTTATCTATTTCTTTTTACTTTTTTATGTGGTTACTAGAAAATTTAAAATTTACTTATTTATTTATTTTTGAGATGGAGTCTTGCTCTGTTGCCCAGGCTGGAGTGCAATGGCACCATCTTGGCTCACTGCAACCTCCACCACCCGGGTTCAAGCGATTCTCCTGTCTCAGCCTCCTGAGTAGCTGGGATTACAGGCACCCACCACCAAGCCTGGCTAATTTTTTTTATTTTTAATTTTTTTTTGTAGAGACAGGGTTTTACCATGTTGCCCAGGCTGGTCTGTAACTCCTGAGCTCAGGTGATTTGCCCACCTCAGCCTCCCAATGTGGTGGGATTACAGGCATGAGGCACGGTGCCCGGCTGAAAACTTAAAATGTAAAATCTTTGGTTTGCATTGTATTTCTATTGGCAATACTGGTATAGATCTCCAAGGAGACAAGAATTTCATGTAGCTTATATAGCTCAGCATACTAAAGGGAGTTGGCAATCACATCCTTAACATCACCCTCTCACTTACTAGGGCATGCTGTGCAAACAGAAAACACTCTACCACTTCTGGAAAAGAATGTTTCACTCTTTTTTAAGTTCGGTGAAGCTGCTGTATAATTTTTTTGCCCAAAGGTGAAATCTGCAGTCTTCTTACTTTTGAATACTGCCTTTAGGGTTTAATTGTTTCAAATTAACAGCAGGTGGCAGATGCAATTAAAGGGAAAAACACAATCGCAAATTAAGCATGATATTTTGAATTTCCTTATTTGCTACGGCAGCCACACATTCAGGGAATAAATGCTAATTATTTTGAATTATTTGTTTATGCATTGTCATATGTTTGCCTTTTACTGATTAATGCTCCACAACTTACGTTAAATCCTTTGTGGCTAATTAATAAAGCTGTAGTGGCATGACTAGCGACTCTGAACTCTAGAGGACTCTTTCACACAGGACACCATTACCCCAGTCCCATGGGAATTGCTGCTGTCCAAAGCAATTGATGCTAATGTAGGTTGCTACAACCCTCCAGTGTGTTAGGACAGAAAAAAGTGTAGAGAATAACTTTAATGGAGACATGTGGGTGCTCAGGGAAGGGTAACTAGTTGTTGCACCTTTAAATTTAAACCAGTATTTTAAAATATTTGTACCTTTCATTATTTATTTATTTATTTATCTTTTCGAGATGGAGTCTCACTCTATCACCCAGGCTGGAGTGCAGTGACGCAATCTCGGCTCACTGCAACCGCTGCCTTTTGGGTTCAAGCGATTGTCCTGCCTCAGCCTTTGGAGTAGCTGGGATTATAGGTGCACACCACCAAGCCTGGCTAATTTTTGTATTTTTAGTAGAGACAGGGTTTCACCATGTTGGCTAGGCTGGTCTGGAACTCCTGATCTCAGGTGATCTGCCCACCTTGGCCTCCCAAAGTGCTGGGATTACAGGCGTAAGCCACCACGCCTTGCCTGTACCTTTCTTTAGAGGAGAGTTTGAGAAGTTTAGAGAAGAGTGAGGAACTTCCAGCAGCAACGCCACTCAATATCTTCTCTATTGTCTCAAGCAATTTAGCCAGCAAAACAAAACAAATAACAAAACAATACTGTTTGATATTACTGCATCCAAGTACTTTCCCAAGTGTGTATCAAACATTCCTTCACACCACATATAGAATTCTCAAGAAAGAAGAATTTTAAAGAAAATATTGTCTTCATCTTATTTATAGTGGTGCTTTCGGGCCCCTTGGAGATTGGCACACTGGGCACTATTTGGCAGTCCTCACCCTTAATTTGACTCTGGACAGTCAGATGTGCAAGATCCTCACTCAGATGAATCTCTCATGAACACATTTCTTTCTTTCTTTTTTTTTTTTTTGAGATGGAGTTTTGCTCCTGTTGCCCAGGCTGGAGTGCAATGGCACAATCTTGGCTCACTGCAACCTCCACTTCCCAGGTTAAGGCGATTCTCCTGCCTCAGCCTTCCAAGTCGCTGGGATCACAGGCATGAGCCAGTGCACCTGGCTAATTTTGTATTTTTAGTAGAGATGGGGTTTTACCATGTTGGCCAGGCTGGTCTTGAACTCCTGACCTCAGGTGATCCACCTGCCTCAGCCTCCCAAAGTGCTAGGATTACAGGCGTGAGCCACTGTGCCCGGCCACGTTTCTCTTTTCTTTTCATTTACTTATTTTTATTCTTTTCTTTTTTCCCTCCCAGCTAGTGGATTTCAAACATTTTTTTTTCTTTTCTATTTTTTTTTTTTTGAGACAGAGTCTCGCTCTGTTGCCCAGGCTGGAGTGCAGTGGCGCAATCTCAGCTCACTGCAAGCTCCGCCTCCTGGGTTCACACCATTCTCCTGCCTCAGCCTCCCGAGTAGCTGGGACTACAGGCGCCCACCACCAAACCCGGCTAATTTTTTGTATTTTTAGTAGGGATGGGGTTTCACAGTGTTAGCCAGGATGGTCTCGATCTCCTGACCTCGTGATCCGCCCGCCTTGGCCTCCCAAAGTGCTGGGATTACAGGCATGAGCCGCCATGCCTGGCCTTTCTTTTCTATTTTAATATTAGGTTCAGGGGATAGGTGGGCAGGTTTGTTACTTGGGTAAACTGCTTGTTGCTGAGGATTGGCATACAAATTATCCTGTCACCAAGGTAGGGAGCATATTATCCCATAGGTAGCCTTCCAACCCCCACCCCTCCTCCTCCTCCTCCCTCAAGCCATCCCCAGTGTCCACTAACATGGGTTTTTGTTTTGTTTTTTGAGAAAGAGTCTCGCTCTGTTGCTCAGGCTGGAGTGCAGTTGTCCAATCATGGCTCACTGCAGCCTTGACCTCCTGGGTGCCAGTGATCCTCCTACATCAGCCTGTCAAGCAGCTGGGACTACAAGCACACAAGCACATTCCCCCACACTCGGCTAATTTTTTTTTTTTTTTGAGACGGAGTCTTGCTCTGTTGCCCAGGCTGGAGTGCAGTGGTGCGATCTCGGCTCACTGCAACCTCTGCCTCCTGGGTTCAAGTGATTCCACTGCCTCAGCCTCCTGAGTAGCTGGGACTACAGGTGTACACCACCACGCCAGGCTAATTTTTTGCATTTTAGTAGAGGCGGGGTTTCACTGTGTTGACTAGGATGGTCTCGATCTCCTGACCTTGTGATCCACCTGCCTCGGCTTCCCAAAGTGCTGGGATTGCAGGTGTGAGCCACCATGCCTGGCCACACTTGGCGAATTTATTATTATTATTATTTTTTTTTGAGATGGAGTCTCACTCTGTCACCAGGCTAGAGTGCAGTAGCATAATCTCGGCTCACTGCAACCTCTGCTTCCCGGGTTCAAGCAATTCTCCTGCCTCAGCTTCCCGAGTAGCTGAGACTACAGGCGCATGCCACCACACCCGGCTAGTTTTTGTATTTTTAGTAGAGACGGAGTTTCACCATGTTGGCCAGGATTGTCTTGATCTCTTGACCTCGTTATCCGTCCGCCTTAGCCTCCCAAAGTGCTGGGATTACAGGCGTGAGCCACCGCGCCTGGCCTTGGCTAATTAAAAAAATTTTTTTAAGTTTTATTTTTAGTAGAAACGAGGTTTATGCTGTCGTTCCCAAGCTGGTCTCAAACTTTTGAGCTCAAGCAATCCTCCCACGTTGGCTCACCAAAGTGCTGGGATTACCGGCATGAGCCACAGACCCAGCCCCGACAAACATATTTCTTGAAGGTGATTAAAGGCTAGGCGCCCGTGGCTCACACATGTGGTCTCAGCACTTCAGGAGGCTGAGGTGGGTGGATCCCTTGAGCTCAGGAGTTTGAGACCAGCCTGGCAAACATGTGAAACTCCATCTTTACAAAAAATAAAAAAATCAGCCCTGTGTAGTGGCACGTGCCTGTAGTCCGAGCTACTCGGGAGGCTGAGGTGGGAGATCACTTGAGCCCAGGAGGCGGAGGTTGCAGTGAGCCGTGACTGGGCTCCTGCACTCCAGCCTGGGTGACAAAGTAAGACCTTGTCTCAAAAAATAAAATGAAATGAAATAAAAAATAAACCAGAATACAGCATTTAAAAAATTAAAAAAAAAAGTGGTTAAGAGGACTGAGTTCATGTCTCAGCGTACCATATTCTGTAGTCACATTGTGTATTAAAAAATTTCAAAACTGAAGAGGTGTTCCTGGCCCCGCCAAGTTCCAGTATATATTCAGAGGAGTTTACAAGCAGAACTGTTTTAGCCTAAGTACATAAGACTGGTTATAGAGAGACCAGTAGACTTCTAGGTGTTCTGATCTCACCTTCATGCATGTAGATTTTATCATCTGCCCAGTGAAGATTTCAGGACCTGGAAACGCGTTCTGACTCTCCTGGAAAATACTGCATCTCTGTCTGCTTTGCAGCCTGACTGCAGTGACTTGATTCTACATCCTTCAGGTGTTTAGGCTCTATTGATCTAACCGAGAGACGCCTGGGTCTAGTTTCTTCTCACCCTGAGTGCACTCTGACATGTATCACTCCTACAGATGGGCAAAATTTATAAAGAACAATTTAATTCATAAAAGGAGACTCCAAATGGCTAATAAATGTCTGGAAAAAAGGTTAATCTCATTGATAGTAAACATACAATTAAAAATGAAATCTTTATCATGCCACTGCACTCCAGCCTGGGTGACAGAATGAGACCCGTCTCAAAATAAATAAATATAAAAATGAAATCTTTTTCTCCCATGAAATTAAAAAAATATATTTTGCACTTTAATTCTCATAGTTAGCAAAAGTTTGTGAATTAGACAATCTTCCACACTGCTGTTGTGAGTGTACATTTCTGGAGGACAATTTGGCAGTTTATATCAAGACCCAGACTTTCAATGTACGTGACATTTTCTAATTTATGTATTATTATAATTTTTATTTAATTAATTAATTTTTTTGAGACAAAGTCTCACTCCAGCCCAGGCTGGAGTGCAGTGGCACAGTCTCAACTCGCTGAAACCTCTGCCTCTCAGGTTCAAGCTATTCTCCCGCCTCAGCCTCCTGAGTAGCTGGGATTACAGGTGCACGCCATCACGCCGAGCTGATTTTTGTATTTTTAGTAGAGATGGGGTTTCACCATGTTGGCCAGGCTGGTCTTGAACTTCTGACCTCAGGTGATCCGCCTGCCTAGCCCTCCCAAAGTGCTGGGATTACAGGTGTGAGCCACCGTGCCTGCCCTATTTATTTTTATTTTATTTTTTTGAGACAGGATTTTTATTTTCTTTTTTTTGAGACAGGCTGAAGTGCAGTGGTGTGATCTTGCCTCACTGCAGCCTCGACCTTAGAAGTGTATTCTAAGAAAATAACCAGAAATAAAAGCAAAACATGTGTATAACAGTGTTTCTTATGAGATTATTTACAATAAGAGCAACTGTCCAAATAGAATATTGTATAGTCATTATGAAGTGTTTTTAGAAAACATGTAATGACCAATAAAAATACAGTAAAACCTGGCAAAAACTTTTTCCTAAGATAATGCAAATTCAGTTTGGCTACCATCCTCACCAGATCCCCTTCGCTAATGGGGTGCACTAAAGAAAGCTCTTATCTTCTAGGATGTGGGGAATGCAGAAAGAGGACAAGGCGAGTCGGGGAAAACAGAAATCCCTTCTAGAAAGCAAGGAAGCAAGGAGTTCTGCCCCAGGGTTCTCCTAGCTCCAAGAGATTACAAGCCTTGCCACTGCGGTCCTGGAGGTCCTGTCAACCCCGAACCCAGAATCACCTCCACTGATAGGTGGTGGAGATAAATGCCACCAGGGGCCTCAAACTGGAGCCAGGACCTGGTTGGATCTGGACATTGCAGAAATTCTGGCTGACCACCTGCATAAGCCAACCCAGATATTTCGTTAACTTTGTAGGAATGTGACCATGAATTTTGTGATTAATTTTTTAAATGTTTTCTATTATGTAAAAAAAAAAAAGCAAGATAGAAAACTTTATGGGCCTGCCTTGGTGGCTCATGTCTGTAAGCTCAGTACTTTGGGGGGCCAAGGCAGGCAGATCGCTCAGATCGCTTGAGCTCAGGAGTTCAAGACCAGCCTGAGCAACACGGTGAAACCCTGTCTCTACAAACAAACCAACAAACAAAAAAAATTAGCTGGGTGCGGTAGTGTGCACCTGTAGTCCCAGCTACCTGGGGGGCTGAGGCAGGAGGATAGCTTGAACCCAGGAGGCTGAGGCTGCGGTGAGCTGAGATCACACCACTGCACTTCAGCCTGGGTGACAAAGTGAGACCCTGTCTCAAAAAAATAAAATAAAATAATAAATAAATAAGAAAACTTCACGTACATTTGCTCCTACTTCAGCAAAACAAATAAACAAGCAAACTCTCTTTCTCTACATATATGTGAAAAGAATATATTTTAAAATGTTATTAGTGATTGCCTCTGATTAGTGGGCTATGGGTAATTTTATTTTTTAAAAATTTATCCTTATTTATTTATTTATTTCACTCGAGATGGGGGTCTTGCTATGTTGCCCAGGCTGGTCTTGAACCCCTGGGCTTAAAAAATCCTCCCACCTTGGCATCCCAAAGTGTTAGAATTACAGGCATAAGCTACCACCCCCGACCTGGCTATGGGTAATTTTAATATTTTTATTTTAATATTTTTATTATGCTTTTCTGCATTTTCCAAAAAAAATTTTTTTTTCTTTTTCTGTCGAGACAGGGTCTCTCTCTGTCACCCAGGCTGGAGTCCAAGCAAGCTGGAGTGCTGTGGCACAATCATGGCTCACTGCAGCCTCGACATCCTGTGCTCAAGTGATCCTCCTGCCTCAGCCTCCCAACTACAGGCATGTGGGACCAACCCAGCTATTTTTAAAATTTTTTCGTAGAGATAGGGCCTCCTTATGTTGCCCAGGCTGGTCTTGAACTCCCAGGCTCAAGAAGTCCTCCTGCCTTGGCCCCACAAAGTGCTGGGATTACAGGTGCAAGCCACCACACCCAGCCCAAATTTTTCTATACTGCACGTGTATTACTTTTATAATATGAACAAGAAAAAATATACAAAAGAACATTGAAGGCTGGGCATGGTGGCTTACGCCTGTAATCCCAGCACTTTAGGAGGCAGAGGCAGGTCGATCACCTGAGGTCAGGAGTTCGAGACCAGCCTGGCCAACATGGCGAAACCCTGTCTCTACTAAAAATACAAAAAAATTAGTCGGGTGTGGTGGCAGGTGCCTGTAGTCCCAGCTACTTGGGAGGCTGAGGCAGGAGAATTGCTTGAACCTGGGAGGCAGAGGTTGCAGTGAGCTGAGATGGTGCCATTGCACTCCAGCCTGGGAGGCAGAGGTTGCAGTGAGCTGAGATGGTGCCATTGCACTCCAGCCTGGGAGGCAGAGGTTGCAGTGAGCTGAGATGGTGCCATTGCACTCCAGCCTGGGAGGCAGAGGTTGCAGTGAGCTGAGATGGTGCCATTGCACTCCAGCCTGGGAGGCAGAGGTTGCAGTGAGCTGAGATGGTGCCATTGCACTCCAGCCTGGGAGACAGAGCGAGACACCTCAAACAACAACAACAACAACAACAAAGAATATTGAGAGAAAGTTTTTTCTTTTTTAAAAGTGGAGACAGGGTCTTGCTATATTCCCAAGGCTGGTCTCAAACTCCTGGCTTCCAGTGCTCCTCCTTGCCTTGGCCTCCCAAAGCGCTGGGATTAGAGGCGTGAGTCACCATGCCTGGCCAAGTTGTTTCTTTTTTAACTCTGAGATCTACATACAAATATATGGTTCACAACAGAGAAGTCCTTATTCAACCGAGCTAATTAAATTCATATGTTCTCCTTTTATTGGCTGACTATTACAGAATACTTTTTCCTCAGAGTGACATCTTAAAACTATATTGAATAAGATGTCAGCCAGCATCTGCTTTAGATATTATTGAGTGGAATCTTGGAAAAAGTATGTTAACAGATTTAGAAAGGATTTCACGAAGTCTGAAAATGTGATCCCTGTTTCAAGTTCAATGTAACATTTCATTAAGTATACCATTGTGAGGCTGGGCGCGGTGGCTCACGCCTGTAATCCCAGCACTTTGGGAGGCCGAGGCGGGCAGATCATGAGGTCAGGCGTTCGAGACCATCCTGGCTAACACGGTGAAACCTCGTCTCTACTAAAAATACAAAAAAAATTAGCCAGGTGTGATGGTGGCACACGCCTGTAGTCCCAGCTACTCGGTAGGCTGAGGCAGGAGAATTGCTTGAACCTGGGAGGCGGAGGTTGCAGTGACCTGAGATCGCACCCCGCACTCCAACCTGGATGACAGAGCGAGACTCCATCTCAAAAAAAAAAAAAAAAGTATATGGGTATAAAATATACATATACTTTTCCACTCTTCCAATTTCATTATTTCCCAGCAAAGAATCATTCAGGATCTGCCTGCAAATGGCAAATGATGTAGCACTTTTGTGGTCTGAAGACTCTTTTCTAGGAGGTAGAAGTGGGATTTCGCTTCTGCTAGAACTTAATTACCCCAATTAGGCCTGGACTCTGCCTCCTGCACAGGGGTGGAAGGGGGCTCTTAGAAAGGTCCTACTTATGGGATGAGCCCACCCAGCTCAGGCCATTCTCTGAGGCAAACTCTGCCCACCGGAGGCTTTCCTCCCCCATAGCCTTTATAACTTGAGGCTCCGGAAGGAAGAACAAAATGTGGAAACTGATGCGATGCCAAGCGATTTCTCATGATTTTTTCTGCAGCTGGGTTCTTCATTTTTCTTCACTTTTACTGAAACATTTTTTGTGTGTGCCATCTGGACTGAGAGAATTTGGTCTCACAGTTGTCATAGATGGATGAATTGAGGCAAAATCAAATTTCTGCTTGAGAACTTGCCAGTGATGGGAGGAGGGCTCCTGATGAGGAGGAGGGTGATTCTGAGGCCTTGGGGGCTGGAGAGAGTTCCTTTGCACATATTTGCTTTGTGGGAGTTGGGTAGGTAAAGGCCACAGAGTATATTGACTTATTAACTTATTTAAATTACTTTATTTGTGAATGAGTGATGGTACAAGCTAACGTGATGAAAAATGCATCTCATTCTCGTGTGCCCTGGCCACCCAGTTTCTCTTCTCAGTGGCCAAGACAATTTCTTGTGTATCTCTTTGGAAATACTTTCTCTGTCAGGTTTTTGTTTTTTATTCTTAAAATTTATTATTTATTTATTTTTTGAGACAGGGTCTCGTTCTTTGCCCAGGCCAGAGTGCAGTGGTACCACCTTAGCTCATTGCAGCCTCAAACTCCTGGGCTCAAGTAATCCTTCTGCCTCAGCCGCCCAAAGTGCTGGGATTACAAGTGTGAGCCACCCCCGGCCAGTTTTGGTTTTTTAAACACAAAGTACCATGCTGTACACACAGTTATGTATCTTGCTTTTTTCACTTAAGAATTTATCTTGGATTTTCCCCTGTAGGATAGATTATGTTCCTTTACTCTTTTTAATGACTTCATAATATTTCATGATATGACAGTGCTGCAACAAATCCCTGAACATACATTATTCTGCATTTGTAGAAATTTATCTGTAGGTTAAATTCTTTTTTTTTTTTTGTCACCCAGGCTGGAGTGCAGTGGCATGATCTCGGTCCACTGCAACCTCTGCCTCCTGGGTTCAAGCAATTCTCCTGTCTCAGCCTCCCAAGTAGCTGGGATTACAGGCATGTGCCACCATGCCTGGCTAATTTTTGTATTTTTAGTAGAGACAACGTTTCACCATGTTGGCCAGGCTGGTCTCAAACTCCTGACCTCAGGCGATCTGCCCGCCTCGGCCTCCCAAAGTGCTAGGATTACAGGCATGAGCCACTGCGCTCGGCCAGGTTAAATTCTTAAAATAAGGAGAATGTGCATTTTTAATACTGAGAGATGTCAAATTCCTTTCCATAATCCCATCAGCATCGACGAGAAAGACTTTTCTTGCATCCTTGCCAATACAAGGGAGACACCAAATTTAAATTCTGGCAAAAGAGATTAAGAGTTGCTTCTTTCTTTTATTTCAAACACCACAGGATGCTTAGAGGTAAGCATCCTATTATTCAATTTGCATCTGAAAACAGTCACAATTCTTTCTCTTTACATTTGTTTTCTGGTCTCAATGAGGGTTAAGAGAATTTGAGTGACTCTACAGGGGGAAAAAGGAAGTAACAGTCAAAGAAAATCATCGTGGTTTATTAGCTTTATAAGGATTCCAAAATGCAGGGCTTTTTACATTCAGCACGAGTTGTTTTTGTTTTCCTGACAGTGAGCGCGTAAGGTCCCAGTGGCCAGCAGGGGGCAGCACGTCCACACAGAGAGTCCGGCTGGGACGCCACCAGCTGATTGAACATGCTGCAGCTACTGGACCTAGGACCTCATCAGTCAGAAATGCAAACTCACTTTGGTACCTTCACTGCCTTCTCATGATTGGCAGTGAAGAACAAAGCTCCACTGAAAGACCCGGATAAATGGAAATATTCCATTTATGCCAACCAAGTGCAGGGTGGCACAGAATTAAGAGGGAAAAGAGGGCCGGGCGCGGTGGCTCACACCCAAATCCCAGCATTTTGGGAGGCCAAGGCGGGCAGATCACAAGGTGAGGAGTTCCAGACCAGCCTGACCAACATGGTGAAACCCCGTCTCTACTAAAAATACAAAAATTAGCCGGGCGTAGTGGCGCGCGCCTGTAGTCCCAGCTACTCAGGAGGCTGAGGCAGGAGAATCACTTGAACCTGGAAGGCGAAGGTTGCAATGAGCCGAGATCACGCCACTGCACTACAGCCTGGGCGACAGAGTGAGACTCCATCTCAAAAAAAAAGAGTATTATGAACACAACTAAGAATTGCATCATGTTGTAGAACAGAATTTATATTAAATATTTGATTATTCCAGCCACTATTTGTGCTATAAAGCACAGATGGAACACCTTTATTGGATTCACATTATATTTCATACCTATTTTGCCAAAAGTGCTAAAAATGTCAAATAATTAACCCCTGTGTCTTCTGTTCCTCTAGAAACAGGATTTACTATTTTATCTTAAAAAGCAAATTAACCTGTTTCCTTAATATTAGTCCATTCAACCAGCAAGGACTGATTGCATGCCAGGTGCAGTGGATATTGGGTAGGCAAGACATAGTCTCTCGGGAGGCTAAGACAGGAGAATGGCTTGAACCAGGGAAGTGAAGGTTGCAATGAGCCACTGCACTCCGTCCTGAGTGACGGAGTGAGGCCCTGTCTACAAAAAAAAAAAAAAAAAAAGAGAAAGTGGTGGTGCAGGATTCAAATCCATATTTGACCCCAGAATCCACTATGTGCTATGCCAGTCTGGTCTCAGGTCTGCCCTTAGAAATTGTAGGCATTTTCCGGGCACGGTGGCTCATGCATGCAATCCCAGCACTTTGGGAGACTGAGGCGGGCGGATCACCTGAGGCCAGGAGTTCGAGACCAGCCTGGTCAACATGGTGAAACCCTGTCTCTACTAAAAAAATATAAAAATTAGCCAGGCATGGTGGCAGGCACCTGTAATCCCAGCTACTTGGGAGGCTGAGGCAGGAGAATCGCTTGAACCTGGGAGGCAGAGGTTGCAGTGAGCCGAGATCGTGCCATTGCACTCCAGCCTGGGAAACAAGAGCAAGACTTCGTCTCCAAAAAAAAAAAAAAAAGAAAAGAAATTGTAAGCATTGCTCCTCCCTCAGTATTCTCAGAAGAGAACCAGCATCAAATGAGGGAGTTTTTCATACTATCTCATGAAAGCTATGAAAACTGAAAGTTATAACTTTCCACACATACATCAATTTATGCAATCAATCTGTTTCAAAATCATTCTATACCACACTTTCTCTATAAAATGGAAATTGGCCATGTGTCTCAACAAAAAGTTCAGGATAACTGGTAAGAGTCTCAATTTGTTAGTGGCGTGAGTTATTATTGGCTAAGGTTTTTTTTTTTTTTTTTGAGACAGAGTCTTGCTCTGTCATCCAGGCTGGAGTGCAGTGGCACGATCTTGGGTCACTGCAACCTCCGCCTTCTGGGTTCAAGCGATTCTCCTGCCTCAGCCTCCCGAGTAGCTGGGACTACAGGCGTGTGCCACCATGCCCAGGTAATTTTTTGTATTTTTAGTAGAGACGGGGTTTCATCATGTTAGCCAGGATGGTCTCGATCTCCTGACCATGTGATCTGCCTGCCTCGGCCTCCCAAAGTGCTGGGATTATAGGCGTGAGCCACTGCACCCAGCCGTGGCTCAGGTTTTATTAGCAAACAAACTATGAAAAACCAGGAGAAGTGGATAAAGAATAGGAAGAAAGAATCACAAGCCAAAAGAACTGCAAAGGAAAAATCAGGCAGTTTTCTTGAGTTTCTAGCTGTACAGGAAAAGGGTAGGGTGGAGACCTGTAAAGAGAAGTATCTTACCTGTGTTGGGCCTCCAGTTGTCAAAGTCCTGGGCAACACCCCCGGTAGGATGCCCAGGGGGAACTCCTGGGCAGAGGTGAAGGGCTTTGCTACGTGAATTATCCAGTCTCATTAGCTGGTGATGAAATGGTTCACAAAGCACAGATTCTGAGTGCCTTGCCAGTTTTGGGAATTATTTGGAGACTGATATTCTTTCACGTATCACACAGTGGCAGAGAAGGTAATTACCTTCTGGTTGCTGGCACCTTCAGTGGAAGAGCAAATATTAAGTGAGAGCTACTACTCTGAGGCAGGCAGTATTCTAACACTTATATATACAATAACTCTTTAATAACTAATTAGTAATGATGTTATTATCTCCATTTTATAGATGAAGGAACTGAGGCTTTTTGTCTCCAGCAAAATTAGCAGAGCCACGGTTTGAACTCTGGCAGTCTGTCTTTAGAGGCTGTCTTATCCTAGGAATACCACCAGTTAGTTCAACAAGCAGCTTGTGGAGGACATAGTATGTTCCTTGCCTTGGAACCCGGCACTCCTGAGTCACAAACAGTCCATTTTTTTCACCCGGAAAAGGAATGGAGAAGCTGGGCCAGACTATTTCTTTTTTCTTTTTTTTTTGAGACAGAGTTTTGCTCTTGTTGCCCAGGCTGGAATGCAATGGCCTGATCTCTGCTCACTGCAACCTCCACCTCTCAGGTTCAAGCTATTCTCCTGCCTCAGCCTCCCAAGTAGCTGGGATTACAGGTATGAGCAACCATGCATGGCTAATTTTGGATTTTTAGTAGAGACTAAATTTTAGTAGAGACTAGATTTTAGGTTTCACCATGTTGGTCAGGTTGGTCTGGAACTCCTGACCTCAGGTGATCAGCCCTCCTCAGCCTCCTAAAGTGCTGGGATTATAGGTGTGAGCCACCACGCCCGGCCAAAGTATTTCTATATAATGTGGTACACTGTTAAACAGGAAAGTCCACTGGTGCTCGACAGAAATTCTTGTGTTCCCAAGCACATCTTAAACGTGCTTGGAAAGTTACTGAGCTAAAGTGACTGACCTTGAAGGCACAAACCAATTCAGTCACTATTCAGTCAACAAACCTACTGCAGATTTCATTGTCACTTTGCTTCCCTGAAACTTACTTTGTTTTAATGAGACTGCCACGCAAAAGTGAAATTTAGACAAATTTAGAATCTTACTACTCTGTGGTTTACTTTAAAGACCGAAAAATGCTTGGGCTAAACCTTAAATAAAAGTATTAAGTCTTGCAATTAAAAATTGAACCAAAAATACTAACGAGAGTGTTCTGCAAAACTGAAATTTAAACAAATTTACAACCATACTAGGTTTGGTCTCTGCTGTTTGCTTTAAAGACTGAAAAACACTTGGGCTAAACCTTCAATAAAAAGATTAAGTCTTGCAATTAAAATTTAAACTCAAAATACTCCACCAGTAAAATTACTTCAACTTTTGTTGTATGCTTGAAAGTTTTCACAATAAGATGGATAGGAAAAAAGTATTCCACCAAAATCTAAAGAGTGATGACGAATCTCCTCTTTGTGCCGGTTCATTAAATTGCCTAATGGCAACTACGGATAAGTAAATGCCTTTATCTCGAACGGTTCTGCTCTTTAAACGAATGACGGGCAACAGAGACCGAAAAAGTGTATCCCCAGGAATTCGAGAGGGACGGTGAATTGTAGTGGGACCGCCAGGAGGGGAGGTTCCTGCCCCCGAGTAGAACCTGGGAGCAGAGCCGCTCGGGGAGGGCGGTGGGGGCTTCAGGGCCGCGGAGGGGGTCCCCTCAGGGTGGGCCGTCTCCTCCTCGCCCGCCGCAGGCAGGAGCGCGGGGGACCGAAACCCTGTAGTTTGCAGCGTCAGGCAGCGGGTCTGCGCCCAGCGAGCGGCTCCCCAGCTCCTGGGAAGATGCGGACCCGGGACGCCCCCGTGAGCTCACTGCGCCTGGCTGACACGAGGCGCTCACAGAACAAAGCAAGGGCTTCGGGGAGGGCGCGGCCGCGGGGCCGAGCGCGCAGATCGCTCCGGACCCGGACACCGCCTGCGAGGAGCGCCGACCAGCCGGGAAGGGTTCGCGCTAGGCGGCGCCCGGGTCCCGTCGGCCAGGGTGAGCGTCCGGCCCGCGTCCGCGCCACGCCCGCCGCGTTCCCCTTTCCTCTGCGGCGGGCCGAGAGATAACCCTGCCCGAGGGGTCCCGGCGCCCGCCCCCCACGCGGTCGCACTGGAATTCGCAGCCCCTCTCGGGTCCCCGGGGCGCATTTTGCAGTCTGAGTGGCAATGCACTTGCTCCAGGACAGGCGGCTACCCCGCCGCAGCGGAGGCGCGGACTTTTCTTTTGGGGGGTAAGATGGCAGGTCCCGGGAAACAAAGGAAACTTGGGCCCGGCCCCCAGCGCGGCGTGTGTGGCTCGCGTGTGTGCCCCGGGTCCTGTGCCGGAGGCGCTGGGCGCCTGTGCCAGCCTGCCCGCAGCCCGCAGCCGGCGCGGGGATACCAGCCGGGTACCAGCAGCCGGCGGCGCCCGCCCACCTGCAGCGGCGCCCGCCCGGGGGGCTCCCGGCCCGCGAGGGCCGGAGCGGCGGTGGCAGTGGCGGCGGCGGCGGGGGCGCTGGGGAACCCGGAGCGGGGCGGGGAAGGCGGGGAGGCGGCGGGCGGCGGCGGAGGGGAGCCGGGGTGGGCGGGCGGCGCCACGTCACGGCTATTGTGGCTTTCCTGGTATATAAGGTCTCGCCGGCTCGCCGCGCTCCCCACCTTGCCTGCGCCCGCCCGGAGCCAGCGGTTCTCCAAGCACCCAGCATCCTGCTAGACGCGCCGCGCACCGACGGAGGGGACATGGGCAGAGCAATGGTGGCCAGGCTCGGGCTGGGGCTGCTGCTGCTGGCACTGCTCCTACCCACGCAGGTGAGGCCCTGGCGCCCGGCGGGGCTCGAGGGCCGTTCCCGGGGTGGGGGCAGGGGAGATGGACCCGGTCCCGGGGGACCGTCCTGCGCTCCTGCCTCGGGCCACGGACAGGGACCGGGAGAGAATCTTGCTTAGCTGACCAGGGGAGAGGGCCATGTGGACCCCATTTTTCCATTCCCTTGCGTGCTGCCCCCCCTCCTCCCACGGCCCTGGGAACAATGCAGCTCCGCGTGCGGGCTGAGAGGACCCTGCCCCACCCCAGGTTCCACGCTGTCCCTTCCCAGGCAGCCAGGTGACTACTTCCCACTTTCACCCAGAGGCCCGAGGTGCCTGCAGGGATTAGCGCCTGGAGAGCTCGGGCTCCCTGGGGACGTTGTCCCTGGGTCCCTGAGGACTCGCTTTCCCCTAGGAATGTCTTCGCGCTCCCCGCGCTCTACACAAAGAGAGGCGACGGTCCCTTTCGGGGAGGGCGGCTCACGCCCATCCTCCACCCTCGGAGTTGGATTGGGTATCCCGGAGAAGCTACGGCTATCTGGCCCTTTTTAAACAAACCCCGGTTCCGGGCTGAAGCCGAGGCGGGGACCCTCTCCTGACGCTGCGCTCTCTGCGAGGCAACCTTTCACGTCCATCGCTTGTCATCTTAGGATCCCCATGTTATTTTAGCCCAGATTGGCTAGTTCTGGGGAGGCAGCATGGTGGGACGATTCTGTCCCGAGTCCCCGCCAGGCTTTGTTCGGGTCGCCGCTACCAGCGCGGTCTCCCTAGATCCTCCATCCGGGGAACCTCGCCCCGGGTGCGGGTACCCGGGGCCGCGCAGCGCTGCCTCGAGGGTGTATGGATGCACCGCGCCGGCGAGAGAGACCGGGGGCTGGGCCTGGGAGACCCTAGCGGGGGCGGGGGCGAAGAAGGTACGTTTGTTTGGGTCAGTTCGGGTTTGGAGGATGGGAGTGACGGCTCTCCAGCGCCTTCGATTGGGGTTAATCGAGGACTGTCACTGGGGCTTCTCCCCCAAAGTTGGGCGCGCTGCGTCCTCCGTCCCCAGACATCGAAAGTCCGGGCTCACCTGGGAGTGCAGCCTGAGTGTGGAACGCGCTTCCCCACCGCTGGCGGGGTAACCGTACCCTATTGTCTTCCTCCCAGTCCGCTGCGCTCCCGAGCCTTCCTCAATTCTTTGATGGGGGAGGGGCGCGGCTGCGAGAAACCGGCCCCCTCCACTCCCCGCCCCATCTTCTCTCCGACCAGATTTTTTTCCTCCAACATTGTAAGTGAGAAGTTTTAATAATGCGAATAAATCTAGCTTGGGAGAGAAAATTTTGTTTAGTGTCAGTTTAATAAACATAATTTTTTTGTTGGTGTAGAGGATCTTTAGATCCTCAGATTGATACACCAGGTTTTAAAAAGAAAACATCACCTGCTGCAGTAAAACTCATTGCATGAATAAAGAACAGGTTACTTTGCGGGATCCCAAACAAGGTGTCCAAAACAGGCACCCTGTTTTAAGTAAATTACCATATTAATGCTTTTCTTTATTGGGAGTGCCGTTTCCTGATGGGACACACTAAATCTTGCACACAGTAGGTGCCCGATAAATAAATTTGACTTGATCAAGATTTTTTTGTTGTTGTCACTAATCTATTTTGGATAGGATTTGTACATTTCTGTAGTCAATATTTGTTTAATGACCTTATGGATTTTACAACAAAAGGAGCTGGTGCTGATGTAGGAGGGCTTTATCTTTGGATTAATAGGCAGCCAAATGTACACGGGGCCCAGACTCTTGCCTGGTGCCACGTCCTCCCTCCAGCCTGTAATCAGAAGCTCTTGTAAACCCTCCCTTGCAGTGAGGGCTGAAAACTCCGATCTGCCTTTGTTCCATGACAAAGGAGAGATTATCACGTGCCCTACTGGACTGTGCATTTCGTGGCTTGAAAAATCAGTGGTGAATGATGCCACTCAGACGCTGGGACACTGGGAGAACCTTGGTTCTTGGCCACAGCAATGAGCTTGGCGACCAGTGAGGCTGCTGCTGGTGAAACTTAACACCATAACCTCTCGTTGTCTTTTGTGAAATCGTTCCGACTTCATGGTGTTTTCTTGAAGTCATTCTGCCTTAAAGGAAAAACTCATTTTCTTTTTCAATTTAACACAAATATTGTGGCCATTTTTTAGAAGAGTTACTATTTCAAATTTCAAGGGAGAAGATAAGACTGCATTTCCCCCTTAAGGAAAAGGCTAAGTTACCAAGGCTGTATTAAATTGAGTATGTGAAAGTTACCTAGCAAATCCAGGATAGACAGTGACCCAATGAATTCTAGTTCCATAAGTCTCAGTTACAATATTTAAAAATCCCCATTTTTTTGTGCAACTTTAAAATCTCCCCCTTTCTGGGAAAATAGACCTTATTGCAATGCCATTAAGTCAATATAATCTTGGAAACTGAATTAGTTAACCTGGTCCTTTTTTCCTTTGCAAAGAAATAAAAACAGGAGTTATAGTTATTGAATAACTTTTTTGTTCTTGTTGCCACTTGGCATTTTTGAGGCATCTCTAGGTAGTTTGTTTTGAAACTAAAGAGAATGACCTTGGTGGGTTGAGCAAGAATTCAGAAGTTAATGATGTTGGGTAAGAGAACAATGGTAAGAGAGCAATCTAAGAATATATCACCTACTTTAATTTTATATGAGAGTACATGGAGGTAGCTGTGATGTGGAAATGTATCCATGTAACTTTTTATGTATTTTAGATTTATTCCAGTGAAACAACAACTGGAACTTCAAGTAACTCCTCCCAGAGTACTTCCAACTCTGGGTTGGCCCCAAATCCAACTAATGCCACCACCAAGGCGGCTGGTGGTGCCCTGCAGTCAACAGCCAGTCTCTTCGTGGTCTCACTCTCTCTTCTGCATCTCTACTCTTAAGAGACTCAGGCCAAGAAACGTCTTCTAAATTTCCCCATCTTCTAAACCCAATCCAAATGGCGTCTGGAAGTCCAATGTGGCAAGGAAAAACAGGTCTTCATCGAATCTACTAATTCCACACCTTTTATTGACACAGAAAATGTTGAGAATCCCAAATTTGATTGATTTGAAGAACATGTGAGAGGTTTGACTAGATGATGGATGCCAATATTAAATCTGCTGGAGTTTCATGTACAAGATGAAGGAGAGGCAACATCCAAAATAGTTAAGACATGATTTCCTTGAATGTGGCTTGAGAAATATGGACACTTAATACTACCTTGAAAATAAGAATAGAAATAAAGGATGGGATTGTGGAATGGAGATTCAGTTTTCATTTGGTTCATTAATTCTATAAGGCCATAAAACAGGTAATATAAAAAGCTTCCATGATTCTATTTATATGTACATGAGAAGGAACTTCCAGGTGTTACTGTAATTCCTCAACGTATTGTTTCGACAGCACTAATTTAATGCCGATATACTCTAGATGAAGTTTTACATTGTTGAGCTATTGCTGTTCTCTTGGGAACTGAACTCACTTTCCTCCTGAGGCTTTGGATTTGACATTGCATTTGACCTTTTATGTAGTAATTGACATGTGCCAGGGCAATGATGAATGAGAATCTACCCCCAGATCCAAGCATCCTGAGCAACTCTTGATTATCCATATTGAGTCAAATGGTAGGCATTTCCTATCACCTGTTTCCATTCAACAAGAGCACTACATTCATTTAGCTAAACGGATTCCAAAGAGTAGAATTGCATTGACCACGACTAATTTCAAAATGCTTTTTATTATTATTATTTTTTAGACAGTCTCACTTTGTCGCCCAGGCCGGAGTGCAGTGGTGCGATCTCAGATCAGTGTACCATTTGCCTCCCGGGCTCAAGCGATTCTCCTGCCTCAGCCTCCCAAGTAGCTGGGATTACAGGCACCTGCCACCATGCCCGGCTAATTTTTGTAATTTTAGTAGAGACAGGGTTTCACCATGTTGCCCAGGCTGGTTTCGAACTCCTGACCTCAGGTGATCCACCCGCCTCGGCCTCCCAAAGTGCTGGGATTACAGGCTTGAGCCCCCGCGCCCAGCCATCAAAATGCTTTTTATTTCTGCATATGTTGAATACTTTTTACAATTTAAAAAAATGATCTGTTTTGAAGGCAAAATTGCAAATCTTGAAATTAAGAAGGCAAAAATGTAAAGGAGTCAAAACTATAAATCAAGTATTTGGGAAGTGAAGACTGGAAGCTAATTTGCATTAAATTCACAAACTTTTATACTCTTTCTGTATATACATTTTTTTTCTTTAAAAAACAACTATGGATCAGAATAGCCACATTTAGAACACTTTTTGTTATCAGTCAATATTTTTAGATAGTTAGAACCTGGTCCTAAGCCTAAAAGTGGGCTTGATTCTGCAGTAAATCTTTTACAACTGCCTCGACACACATAAACCTTTTTAAAAATAGACACTCCCCGAAGTCTTTTGTTCGCATGGTCACACACTGATGCTTAGATGTTCCAGTAATCTAATATGGCCACAGTAGTCTTGATGACCAAAGTCCTTTTTTTCCATCTTTAGAAAACTACATGGGAACAAACAGATCGAACAGTTTTGAAGCTACTGTGTGTGTGAATGAACACTCTTGCTTTATTCCAGAATGCTGTACATCTATTTTGGATTGTATATTGTGTTTGTGTATTTACGCTTTGATTCATAGTAACTTCTTATGGAATTGATTTGCATTGAACACAAACTGTAAATAAAAAGAAATGGCTGAAAGAGCAATCTTGCATTTTAAGTTTTTCCAGTATGAGGAATACTTTGTGGGTAATCATGGTTCTATGAGCCTGTTAAAATTTTTAAAAATAATTAAAAACAAATTTTTGGGAATTTTTTTTTTTTTTTTTTTTTTTTTTTTTTGTGGACACAGGGTTTCATCATGTTGCCCAGGCTGGTCGTGAACTCCTGGGCTCCAGTGATCTTCCTGCCTTGGCTTCCCAAAGTGTTGGGATTACAGGCATGAGCCACCACGCCTGGCCCCCTAAGTCTATTAATTTAAACCATAGGGATATACCTCAGTATTTTTCTCTTTCTTTCTTTCTCTTTTTTTTTTTTTGAGACAGAGTTTTAGTGTGTCGCCCGGGCTGGAGTGCAGTAGCGTGATCTTGGACATTTAAACTGAGATCCAAATGACAAGACAGTTGTAGGAGGATCTAAGGAAAATTCCCTGGTAGAAGGAACAGCATGTGCCAAGTCCATGAGCTGCAGCAATTTTTCCCCTATCTACAGGTCCACAGATCCTTTTGGTTTATCTCTCTATATCTATCTATCTGTCTAATTTATAAGAGATGGGTCTCACTTTGTTGTCCAGGCTGGTGTTGGACTTCTGGGCTGAAGTGATCTTCCTGCCTTGGCCTCCGAAAGTGCTGGGATTACAAGCCACCATGCTTGGCCCTCTTTGGTCATCTAAATTGTCACTTCCATCTGCTTTCATGCCCCTGAATTTCTTTGAGACCCTTCAAGTGCATTCCGAGGTGGTTCAGGGACAACCTGGAAAGGCAGGCTGGAACTTGGGAATATGTGGAAGTTGTAGTCCACAAGTGTGCTTTCTTTTTTTCTGTTTTTTGAGACGGAGTTTTACTTTTGTTGCCCAGGTTGGAGTGCAATGGCGCCATCTTGGCTCACTGCAACCTCTGCTTCCTGGGGTCAAGCGATTCTCCTGCCTCAGCCTCCCAAGTAGCTGGGATTATAGGCATGCGCCAGCACATCTGGCTAATTTTGTAGTTTTAGTAGAGATGGGGTTTCTCCTTGTTGGTTAGGCTTGT
This sequence comes from Homo sapiens, assembly GCF_000001405.40. Lineage (NCBI taxonomy): Eukaryota > Metazoa > Chordata > Mammalia > Primates > Hominidae > Homo > Homo sapiens. Next base: position 106,968,790 of record NC_000006.12, on the reverse strand, counting down.
CTTGAACTCCCGACCTCAGGTGATCTGCCTGCCTCGGCCTCCCAAAGTGCTGGGATTACAGGTGTGAGCCACCGCGCCTGGCCTTACAAGTGTGCTTTCTTCAATGAACTTCAGTTCAGCCTTTAGGGCCTTTCAGTTGATGGAATAAGACCCCCTCAGATGATCTAGGTATCTATGTATCTATGTATCTATCTATGTAGCTATCTATCTATCATCTATCTATCATTTATCTATGTATACATCTATCTATGTATACATATATATATACAGACAAACATAAGAAATATAACTATTAGAATTCTCTTTTCTACAACTGGTCATGTGGCTGAGCTGGTTTTACAGTTACCTTCTTCCATTATCAATTCCATATTAACTTGGCTGTCAGTAAGCATCTCAGCTGGTCATTGTTCGAAGCCTGGCAAGGTGAACCAAATCTTTGCTTTAATTTTATTGTGGTTTCCCTTTGATTGTATTTTATTTTATTTTTGGAGACAGAGTCTTTTGCTTTGTCGCCCAGGCTGGAGGGAAGTGGCACGATCTCAGCTTGCTGCAACCTCCACCTTTTGGGTAAAAGCAATTCTCATGCCTCAGCCTCCCGAGTAGGTGGGACTACAGGCACGCACCACCATGCCCGGCTAAGAGACAGGGTTTTACCATGTAGGCCAGGCAGGTCTCGAACTCCTGACTTCAAGTAATCTGCCTGCCTCAGCCTCCCAAAGTGCTAGGATTACAGGCTTGAGCCACTGTGCCCGGCCTCCCACTGATAGTGACAGGACATAGTAGTACTAAGAGATGCCCTAAGACATCCGTATTTCAAACATACTTTTCCTTAACTTCCATTGTATAGTAGCAACCCAATTTCCTCATGGTAATCAGAATTAATCACTTCAACAGTACAGTAACTCCCTTCTTTGCCTTTTTTTTTTTTTTTTGAGACGGAGTTTTGCTCTTGTTGCCCAGGCTGGAGTGCAATGGCACAATCTCAGCTCACCGCAACATCCACCTATCGAGTTCAAGTCATTCTCCTGCCTCAGCCTCCTGAGTAGCTAGGATTACAGGCATGTGCCACCACTCTTGGCTAATTTTGTATTTTTAGTAGAGACTGGGTTTCTCCATGTTGGTTGGGCTGGTCTCGAACTCCTGACCTCAGGTGATCCACCCGCCTCGGCCTCCCGAAGTGCTGGGACTACAGGCATCAGCCACCATGCCCAGCCCTTGTTTGCATTTTGATGCAGAGGCTTGAGGAGCCCAAAGTGATTGGATGGCAGTCTCAACTTCCAGTTCAGTGGGATCATTGCTGTTTCCGGGTTGGAAACATTCTTCCATTGGAACTACGACCTCTAGACCAGCAGAGGTTAAGGTAGTAACAATTTTGCTAGTGAATCACTAGGGGTAATGATGAGTAGTGTCACTAAATTTCCAGTCCTTGATTCCTGGGTCTGCAAACCTGGCTATGAGAGAAACAGCACCATCTTTAGACCATATATAGCTTCCTGGAGGACACTGCCCCAGTCCTGCAAGGTATTGCCATCTAGTTGGTCCTGTAACTTGTTTCCAAAATGCCATTCCTCTGTTCCGTCAAGTCATTGGCTTTATGAGGGACACACTATGCTAAGATCAGTGAATTCCATCACCATGGGCCCGTCACCACACATCATTGGCTATGAAGTGAGTTCCCTGGTCAGAAGCAGTGCTGTGTGGATTACCATGATGGTGGTGAGCATTATATAAGTCCATGAATGGTAGTTTTGGCAGAAGCACTGTAGGCAACAAAAGTAAATTCATATCCTGAATAAGTGTCTATTTTACTAAGAACAAAATGCTGCCCCTTCCATGATGGAAGAGGTCCAATGTAATCAACCTTCTACCACATAGCTGGCTGATTACCCTGGGGAGTGGTGCCACAGAGAAGACTCAGTGTTGGTCCCTGCAGCAGCAGGTTGGGCACTCCCCAGTGGTTGTAGCCAGGTTGGCCACGGTGAATGGAAGTCTATGCTGCTGGGCTTCTGCCACCATGAGCCCACTGGACAATGACAAGGATGGCTGGAGAAAGAGGTTGATTGATACCCACAGAATGGGTCCTCCGATCCACTTGATTATTAAAATCCTCTACTGAGGTCACCCTTTAATGAGCATTCACATGAGACACAAATATCTTCATGTTGTTTGCCTATACACCTCTATCCTTGCATCTCTTCCCTAGATCTTCTTGTTACCAACTTTCCAATTATGTCTCTTCCAATTCCATTCAGCCAAATCATGGGCCATAGCCTGATGGCCAGATTCATATCTCTGGCCATTTCTCCTTTCAAGCAAAATGAACAACCAAGTGCACTGCTTGTAATTCTGTCCACTAGGGGTATTTCTCTTCACCACTGTCCTTCAGGGATGTCCTCAAGGGGTTTGTAGAGCTGCAGCTCTTCACTTTTAGGTGGATCCTATGTATTGTGCAGTACTTTCTACAAAGCAGACCCAAGTATTTTCCTATAAGTCAGACCCAAGTTTTGTCTTTCTCAATCAACCGAGCATAAGGAACTCTCCATGAGGAAAGAGGTACAGGCTGGGAGAGAGAAGGTCACGTAGCAAGGAGTAGGGACTGTGGGCATCTGGGCTCCTTCCTCATATAATTTACTCTTGTCTTTAGGGCCTGCTTGAGCCAGTCTTATATATACCACTTTCATTTGACAATGAGTGCCGCTATGCACACCCAACTTTATGGTCTGGTGGGTTAGACAAAATGATGTCTAACCCACCAAATCATGATGGGCAGCTCAGGTCCCATGGTAGCCCATGGTTAAGGGTTCAGTCTCACTAAAGCACGGTAGCAAGCCAGAAACTGTTCCTCGAAGAAGAGTTGTTGTCTGCAGAGAATTGGCAAGGCTTTGCTTTGAAATCCTAAAAGTCACCATCATGCCAACGCTGGATCATTATCATATAAGTGACAAAAAATTTGGGTGAATATCTTAAAAAGTAATCATTGGCAGGGCGGGCTGGTTTATACCTGTAATCCCAGCACTTTGTGAGGCTGAGGTGGGTGGATCACCTGAGGTAAGGAGTTTGAGACCAGCCTGGCCAACATGGTGAAACCCTGTCTCTACTAAAAATACAAAAATTAGCTGGGCGTGGTGGTAGGTGCCTGTAATCGCAGCTACTAGGGAGGCTGAGACAGGAGAATCACTTGAACTCGGGAGATGGAGGTTGCAGTGAGCCGAGATGGCACCATCGCACTCCAACCTGAGTGATAAGAGTGAAACTCCATTTTGAAACAAACAAACAAAATAATGATCAATCCTTACAGAGGAGGAAATTAGTAACTTTTTTTCCACTTGTCTTTGAAAATGCTTTTAAACTCATCTGGGCTATTTTATTTATCAGATTTTCATTCTGAGGTTATATTTTTAATATTCACACTTAAATACTACTCATATGATTTAAGGCTAAATTGAGTAATGAGTAGCCATTGTATGAGTGTCTCTTCAACAAATTTTAGCCTTAGAAGATAAAAGCAAACAGTGTAGAAACAAAAATCTAGTTGAAGTATTATCCATAAAGGGAAGACGAACATCTATTTAGAATGAAACATTCTAAAGACACACACCCAATGCCACCACTGTCCTTAAAATAGAACTCAAATATTTAGTTAGCTGAAAAGTATGTGTTTTTCATGTCTCATAGGCCTCATTGGGGCTTGGCTTGGTTATCTTTGGATTCCTTACTCAGTATAAAAAAGTATTTTTTTTTTCTAATTTTGGTAGGATGGCACTTTTTGAAACAACAAAATCACCATCATGGGTTCCTTCTCAGTTTCTCTTCAAATTACACCTAAATTCTAAAATCAATGCATTTCTAAGAAACTTTAGGAAGTATCCATATGTATGATTTTGCAAAGAAATATCTCCGTGAGCCCAAAAGATCTGAAGTGACTTAACTGTCATGCCTCTTAGCAACTAACTGGCAGATAGTAAGGCTTGTGGAAACCTAACATGTCCAGAAGTGAGCTCATTACCTTCCTCCAGGTACTCCTTTACCGACTCCTTTTCTATCCAGAGCACTCGCTTGTTAAGTCGCTTTCATTACAGGCCTGGGAGCTGCCTTCCTTTTCTCTCTCCCTCTCCAATCAGCCATGATGAAATCCTGTCATTTCGAAGTCAGAAGTGTCCAGGTGTCCTGCCTTTCTTCTCCCTCCACCCCACTGCCTTCCTCTAACTTGCATCATCTGTCACAGTTGTACCTCTCTGTCCCCATCTCTCCATCCTGTGGTTATTCTCACCCTTATCTTTTGAAATGTAGATCTGCTCACTTTGTTTCCTGATTTAAAACTTTGGCTGGCAATATCCAAAGAAAAATAAATTGTTCTACCAAAAAGACACCTGCACTTGTATGTTCATTGTGGCACTATTCACAATCTCAAAGACATGGAATCAACTCTGGTTTCCATTAATGGTAGATTGGATAAAGAAAATGTGGTTCATATTCACCATGGAATACTACACAGCCATAAAAAAGAATGAAATCATATTCTTTGCAGCACCTCAGATACAGCTGGAGGCCATTTTCCCGAACAAATTAATGCAGAAACAGAAAACCAAATACCTCATGTTCTCAGTTATAAGAGGGAGTTAAACATTGGGTACACACAGACACAAAGATGGGAGCAATGAACACTGGGAATTTGAAAAGTGGTGAGGGAGGGAGGACATGAAGGGTTGAAAAATTACCTATTGCGTACTATGCTCACTGCTTGGGGCGATGGGGTCATCAGAAGCCCAAACCTCAGCATTACATAATATACCTTTATAACAAACCTGCACGTGTACTCCCTGAATCTAAAATAAAAATTAAAAAGATGAAAAAAGAAAACAAAACTTGGGCGGGCTACCCTTTGTCTAGAGGAGATAGAACAGAACGCCCTGTTCATGGCCTGTAAGGCCTTTCATAATTTGGCCCAAACCCAAATTTTCAGCCCTGTGGCCAGCCACCCTGAATAGCTCACCATTCTTTGAATCAACATCTTTTCATGCCTCTGTGACTTTTAGTACATTCACTTATCCACTCAGTGTGGCGGAAAGGTGTGGACACTAGAGACAGGCTGCCTCAGTTTGGCTCCCAGCCCAACTACTACTAAAGGACCTTAGGCAGTTACACACAGTCTCTATGGCCCAGGAATCTTGTCTGTAAAATGGGCTTCATAGTAATGGTACCTATCTTATAAAGTTGTTGGGAGAATTAAATGAGGTAATACACGAGGTCTTAGAGTCTGGCACATTGTGAGTGCTTCATAAATGTTGGCCAGTGCATTATTTTCTATTGATGTGTAAAAATTATGTTGCCCTGACTGTGAGCTCCTTGAAAGCAAGAGCTGTGTCATATTCATTTCTGGGTTCTTGGCATATGACTGAGAGCAGGTGCTCAATTAATGTTGAGAAGTAAAATAGCCAACAGTAATATCTTAATACCAGGGTAACTTAGTACCATGGTAACTGGGGGAGGGGAGGGCAGACCTTGGATACTGTATGAGGTCATGGGGGGATGTCTAAGAGGATGGTGAGGACTATTTCTAAGCAGGCTGGCCTCTTAGGGCTGCTCAGCCCTCATTAGGTAGGCAGCCTCCTTGTCCATCTATAGCAGTGGTTCTCAACCCCAACCACATATTAGAATCACTTGGGAAGTTTTTTGTTTTTTGTTTTTTTTTGACAGAAATCTGGCTTTGTCACCCAGGCTGGAGTGCAGAGGTGGGAACATGGCTCACTGCAGCCTCAGCCTCCTGGGCTCAAGTGATCCTCCTGCCTCAGCCTCTCAAGTAGCTGGGATTGCAGGCATGGGCCACCACACCCAGTTATTAAAAAAATTTTTTTTGTAGAGATAGTCTCGCCATGTTGGCCAGGCTGGTCTTGAACTCCTGTGTTCAAGTGATCCCTCTGCCTTGGCCTCCCAAAGTGCTAGGATTACAGGCCTGAGCCACCCTTCCTGGTCTTGGGGAAGCTTTTTTTTTTTTTTTTTTTTTTTGAGACAGAGTCTCACTCTGTCGCCCAGGCTGGAGTGCAGTGGCACAATCTCGGCTCACTGCAACCTCCACCTCCCAGGTTCAAGCGATTCTCCTGCCTCAGCCTCCCGGGTAGCTGGACAGGTGCATGCCACCACACCCAGCTAATTTTTTTGTATTTTTACTAGAGACGGAGTTTCACCGTGTTAGTCAGGATGGTCTGGATCTCCTGACCTCGTGGTCTGACTGCCTCAGCCTCCCAAAGTGTTGGGATTACAGGCATGAGCCACCGTGCCCAGCCTGGGAAGCTTTTTTAAAATAGTGATGTCTGCCACCTCTACCTACCTAGGAGACTCTGATTTAATTGGTCGGGGTGGAGCTCAGTCATCTGCAGCTTTTTTTTTTTCTTTTTTACATTAATTGACACATAATAATTGTACATATTTATGGGGTTCAGTGTGATATTTCGATTCATATATACAATGTGTAATGATCAAATCAGGGTAATTAGTATATCCACCACCTCAAAATTGATCATTTCTTTGTGTTGGGAACATTCAAAATACTCTCCTCTAGGCCAGGCTTGGTGGCTTACATCAGTAATCCCAGCATGTTGGGAGGCTGAAGCAGGAGGATTGCTTGAGGTCAGGAGTTCAAGACTAGCCTGGGCAATATGGTGAGACCTCATTTCTACTAAAAATACAAAAAATATCTGGATGTGGTGGTGTGTGCCTGCAGTCCCAGCTACTTGTGAGGCTGAGGTGAGAGGATCACTTGAGCCCAGGAAGCAGACGTTGCAGTGAGCTGAGATTGCACCATTGTACTCTAGCCTGGGCGACAGAGCCAGAACCTGTCTCAAAAAAACCCAAAAATACAAACAACCAAAAATAACAAAGCAGAAAAAAATCCTCTCTTCTAGCTGCAGTCATGTGTTGCTTAACAACAGGGATCTGTTCTGAGAAATGCATTGTAAGCCAGTTTCCTTGTTGTGTGAACACCATAGAGTGTACTTACACAAAGTTAGATAGTATAGCCTATTGCACATCTGGGCTATACGCAATAGTCCATTGCTCCTAGGCTACGAAACTTTCCAGCATGTTTCTGCACTGAAAGGCAGTCATAATACATTGGTAAGTATGTGTGTATCTCAACATAGAAAAGGCACAGTAAAAATCCCATATTATAAGGTGTGGGACCACTGTCATATATGCAGTCCGTCATTGACTGAAATGTTATTACGCAGCACATGACTGTATTTGAAAATATACAATAAATTATTGCTAACTAAAGTTGCCTTAATCAGTAGTTTTTAAAAGTTCCCTAGATGATTCTAAAGTGCAGCCACATTGAGAAGCCCAGTTGGGTGTGGGTAGGGGCACCTCTCCTCTCATGCCAATGAGCTGGCAGGGGCTGTTGATTCAGACATGGTTCAGACCCTTGGCTTCAAATCCTTGTGCCTAGGAGGTGTACACACGTCAGGGTTGTGCTTGGAGATAAGTGAGGTCATTTTCCTCCAGTCTGTTGTTTGGATTTCTACCCAACCAAAAGTGGCATTGAAGTGCCTCTGCTCTGTGTCCACCGGAATCTCCTTTCCAAGGCACAGAGGGCACCCCTTCCTTCTGAGCCACAGACCGACCCACTGTGCTCCCTCCAGCTGAGGAATAAATACTTAAGTTGTGCAGATAGAACATTCAGCTTCAACTGGAAGATGAGTAAAATGATACCACAGATTAGAAAGTGTGGTTACCACCACAGCAGGGTGTGGTTGAATGGACACATGGATTCATGCTACAGTTGCCTATGTCCAGTGCCTGAGGCATCATTGTCAGGGGATCCCAATCCCAGCCCTGGGTCTGCCAACTTGCTGCACGGCCCCTGAAAGCATCTTTGGACTTCCAGAGGATTGCATTTTTTGGAGGTACTTTAGTTTTATTTTTTTATTTTTTCATTGAGACAGCGTTTTGTTCTGTCACCCAGGCTAGAGTGCAGTGGTGTGATCTCAGCTCACTGCAGCCTCTGCCTCCTCAGTTCAAGTGATTCTTGTGCCTCAGACTCCTGAGTAGCTGGGATTACATGCGTGCGCCACCACACCTGGCTAATTTTTGTATTTTTAGTAGAGATGGGGTTTCGCCATGTTGTCCAGGCTGGGTCATGAACTCCTGACCTCAAGTGATCCACCTGCCTCAGCCTCCCAAAGTGCTAAGATTACAGGTGTGAGCCCTTGCGACCGGCCTCCAGTTTTAAAATACTAAGATTCCATACAAATTAAAAACAAAATTACATGAATCAAAATGTTGTCTTTCTGTGAGCTTTGGTGAACTTGCTGTCTCATCCATGAGAAATTGGGCTCAGTGCTCCCAAGCTGAGCCTATAAAAATTAATGCAAATTCCTTGCCATTATTCTAGGAGATCCTGGGCATTCATCATATTCATTTGTTCTGTTACCTGGTTGTCATATGTGCAACCTACTGTTTTTTATGAAGACTTGGAAAAATTTCCCCTAATGATATATTAGCACAACTGACTGCCTCATTGGTAGTTGCTGTTCATCTTAAATGAGATTGCAACAACTTCGAACTGTTTGGTGGGGCAAGACAACCAGTCACACAACCCTTGTTGAGACATGACTGTGACTGCAATCAGCAAACAGAATTTCCTGTGTGGCTTCATGTTACCACTATGTGTTATCAGCATGTATTTGGTTTTATATTTACTTATTACTTGCTTATTGACTTTCATGTTCTGTCTCATTCTTGTCCCCCAAAGTATTTTGAGTTAACTTGTAAAAATATGCATTAAGCAACAGGTTACAAATAGATTAGGAATTTGAGGTAGAGGACAGGTAAAGGTAGAAAATAATCTATAAATTCATGGATAGGATTCAAGGATGTTTGCCACGGGGTCCTGAATAACTGCTATAGCTGATGGGAGGGAAGGCCTATGATTAGAAACAGAAGCTAAACCGCCTTTGCATCTAAAACACAAGACTAACCCAGAAGTGCTGAGGTCTGAGGAAAGATTCTCATATGGGTCCTGATGAAGGGGCTTCCAGGTGAAATGTGATCACTGTTATTGGCACCATCCCTACAATGATGCTACGGCACCAGCAAGTTTTTAAAATTTTCATGAAGACAAGTGACACAGCAAATACTTTAGCAGAAGCAATATTACCAGCAGCTAAAATAGTGCTAACCAAATAATGCAGCTCTAAAATTGAATATGTATAGGAAGAACCCTGATTATTTAGAGGAATACATGGACAACATTTTCCATGAATATTATTTCTTATAATTTAGCCTTTTGATAAGGATTGAACAGAAAATTATAATGGCAAATATCACATACCAGTCACTATTCTCAGTGTTTTTACATATATTTGCTCACTTAATACTCACAACGTTTCTCTGGAATCAGTGCCATGAGCATCATGATCTCTTTTTTACAGATGAAGAAACTGAAAGACATTGGGTCGCTTGCCCAGGGTCACCCTACGAAGCCCATGTCGGGTGGCTCCTTGCTCTTGGTCACTGCATTAGCATTTCCTCTATGAGAGTTTGGAGGGTTCTCTTTGACAAGATCCTGGAGTTTGGCTCTTCTGTTCGCTGTTAAGAGCAAGTGCATAAGCTTTGTCACTTAATCAAGCCCAGGGTGAAGCCGACATCATGTCATGACCATAAAGGAGCCAGCTCAGGGATAGTGAACAGCCCATGCCTACACTGGGCATAATTATTCAAAAATAATTTTTAGGCTGGGTGTGGTGGCTCATGCCTGTAATTCCAGCACTTTGGGAGGCCAAAGCGGGTGGGTCCCTTGAGTCTAGGAGTTTGAGACCAGCCTGGGCAACATGGTGAAATACCATCTGTATTTAAAAAAAAAAAATTTTTTTTTAGCGTGCACATTTTTTTTTTTTTTGAGACGGATTCTCACTCTGTTGCCCAGGCTGGAGTGCAGTGGCGTGATCTCGGCTCACTGCAAGCTCCACTGCCCGGGTTCACGCCATTCTCCTGTCTCAGTCTCCCGAGTAGCTGGAACTACAGGCGCCTGCCTCCACACCCGGCTAATTGTTTGTATTTTTTAGTACAGACGGGGTTTCACCATGTTAGCCAGGATGGTCTCCATCTCCTGACCTCGTGATCCACCCGCCTTGGCCTCCCAAAGTAGTGTGCACATTTTTAAATCTTGTGATGTACATTGCCCTACTATCTGCCAGGAGGGTGTTAGTAATTTCCATTCCCACCAGCGTGCAGTTATTTTAGTTAGGACATTTTGTGAAAAAGACATTAGCAATTACTCATCTATGGCTATTAATATTTTGATGTATAGAACATTATATATAAAACATAAAATATATAATCCTATATATATTCTCTCTATAAGATACGTTCTGTGTATCTATATATGTTATCTCTATCTAACATATAGAGTACGTGATCCATAGAATGCCCAACTTTAAGTAATTTAACTTGTAGCATACTTTCAAAAATAAGATTTTTACATTTTTTAAAGACAGGATCTCCCTCTGTTGCCCAGGCTAGAGTGCGGTGGCTCGATCTTGGCTCACTGCAGCCCCTGGCTTAAGGGATCTTTCCACCTCAGCCTCCCAAGTAGCTGGGACTACAGGCAAGTGCCACCATGCCCAGCTAATTTTTTAATCTTTTGTAGAGAAGGGGTATCACTATGTTGCCCAGGCTGGTCTTGAATTCCTGGGCTCAAGTGATCCTCCCACCTTGACTTCCAAAAGTGCTGAGATTACAGGCGTGAGCCACCATGCCCAAGATTATTTCAAATGGTTTCCTAAGTAACCAGGCCTTCCTCGAGACGATCTGCTCTGTAAGTTATCAATTAACATCTACTAAACATGAATTTGGGGCTGAGAATATTTGATCTTCAGCCACTTTCTCTGCCATTTGTATTTCTTGGCAATAAAACTATGCCATTTACATATAAGATAATCTTGTCTTTCTGTTTTCTCTGAGAAGAAAATGGGATGGTTCATGTTCTGCTTGGCTCCCAATAGTCACTCCCTGCCTTTCTCTGTCCTGCTCTCTGTCCTGTGACACTATTGCCTCCCTCGGACTCTTTTGGCCTCTGGCTACTGGCTGGGTCAGTTTATGGGAAGCACTGACTGGAGATTTGAGGGTGGAAAGAGAGGCTTGGGGTGTTTTACCTCCTCAGCAACTGGGCTTCACTCTAGTAGGAGCTGCCTCCTTCTGCGTCTCCTACAGTTCCTACAGTTCCTGTAGAGGGTCCCTCTCTCCCAATTCCAGTCCTGTCCTGGAATCTGAGGGAGACCAGGGCTTTTCAATGTTGCTGAACATAGTGGCTCCCCTACTAGTTCCCTTACTGGTACACATCAAACCATGGTCTACAGTGGAACAGCCCATCCTAAAACCCACTAGCTTCTCATTGAGAATATGGGCCTGAGAAGCCAGACTTGCAATTTATCATGGAGGACTTTTAGCTTAATTAACTTAAAAGTTTAATTGCTTTTATGTTAATTTTATTTATTAAAAAAATTTTTTTTGAGATGGAGTCTCACTCTGTTGACCAGGCAGGAGCGCAGTGGCATGGTCTTGGCTCGCTGCAGGCTCCACCTCCCGGGTTCAAGCGATTCTCCTGCCTCAGCCTCCCAAGTAGCTGGGATTACAGGTGCCTGCTGCCACGCCTGGCTAATTTTTGTGTGTGTGTGTATGTATGTATATATATATATATATATATATATATATATATACACACATACACTATATATATATATACACACTATATATATACACACTATATATACACACACTATATATATACACACACTATATATATACACTATATATATACAAAATATATGTATATACAAAATATATATACATATATTTTTTTTTTAGTAGAGACGGGGGTTTCACCATGTTGTCCAGGCTGGTCTCAAACTCCTGACCTCGTGATCCACCCACCTTGGCCTCCCAAAGTGCTGGGATTACAGGCATAAGCCACCGTGTCTGGCCTATTTATTATAATATTATCCAGAAAGGTCTTTAAAAATAATTATAGCATACATTTATACCCTGACTTCTTAAAGCAACTTCCTTAAAAAAAACAAATTTCAAATGACCAAGAGAAATTGTCAAGGACTTTAAGTTGGATCCTTAAGTGATTAGGTTTGTGTTGAGGGATTTTAATAAAAAGATTTGTGGTTTCCAATAGAGAGAAAAGCAAAAGCCACCAACCAACCAACCAACCAACAAGCAAAAACTCCCTAAAATTTGAATACTAGATTTATTTTTTGGTGTAGTGGGGAGAAGGAGAATACAGAAAAGTATGTGGGATAGTATAATAACCTGGGTTTTCATAATCAGGATGAACAAATGTTGGTGTTTTGTCGTGTTGCTTCAGTTCAATATATTTTTAGAAATACCATACACAGACCAGGTGCAGTGGCTCATGCCTGTAATCCCAGCACTTTAGGAGGCCGAGGCTGGCAGATCACGAGGTCAGGAGATCAAGACCATCCTGGCTAACACAGTGAAACCCCGTCTCTACTAAAAATACAAAAAATTAGCCGGGCATGGAGGCGTGTGCCTGGAGTCTCAGCTACTTAGGAGAATCGCTTGAACCCGGGAGGCGGAGGTTGCAGTGGGCCAAGATTGTGCCACTGCACTCCATCCTGGGTGACAGAGTGAGACTCTGTCTCGAAAAAAAAAAAAAAAGCAGCTATTATAAATAATTTGATATGTATCCAATTTATGCTAAACTAGTACGTACAGTAATTTATTTATTTTAACTCCTATGAGTATTGTATTATATCCACAATTACACAATTGCACCTCAATTTATGTATCTAATTTTCTGCTGGAAAACTTTTAGGTTTCTTTCCAATTATGATCATCCTACAAACAATATTGCAATGGCCCTTCTAGTACGTGTCTCATTGTGCATATATTTTACAGTGTTTATACCTAGACATGGAGTTGCCAGGCCATGGGGGCATGCTCATTTCCAGTTACACTAGATGGAAAGAACTGATTGTGTTAGTCAACCAGTTTATTGGCGTTACCTTAATTGAACCTCCAGATGGCCGTTAAATAGATTTCTGAGGTTTCTCAAGAAGAATTGGCATTACTGGGTGCAGTATGCGACTTCAATTCTAAATACATGCCCAGGTACAGTGGAATGGCTAGAATGAACAAAATCACCTGCAACAATGAGACTAGGCAGACCTCTAGCAGTATCTATGTGATGTAGTACTTCTGTGTAGTGTTTAAAAATAATTTTAAGCTGGGTGCAGTGTCTTACACCTGTAATCCCAGCACCTTGGGAGGCCGAGGCGGGAGGATTGCTTGAGCCCAGGGGTTTGAGACCAGCCTGGCCAATATAGTGAGACCTCTAAAAATTAAAAATAATGATAAAAAAATTAGCTAGGTGTAGTGGTGTGGGCCTGTAGCCCTCGCTACAGGGGAGGCTGAGCAGGGAGGATTGCTTGAGTCCAGGAGGTCGAGGCTGCAGTGAGCTATGATTGCACCACTGCACTCAAACCTGAGTGACAGAGCAAGACCCAGTCTCAAAAAAAAAGAGGAATGATAATAATAATTTTAAAACCTCAGAAATATGAATATGTCATGCCCCAAGAAATCTCTTGCCAAATATCACAATTAAACAACAACACTTTTATGCACCTTTGGTATAAAATCACCAAAACTAGTCTAAACAAATCTCAGAAACAGATGGTGTGAAGTCCCTAAAAAGAGTGACTTTATATTGGAATAGAAGCACAAGTGGTCAGAGAGCAGTCAGTCATAACTGTTTTCAGTACCATGAATTTTCCTATTCTTTTGGTAATGCCTTTGAACAACTTCACTGACTTTGGTTGTAAATGGGGACCTTTATATCAAGGTCAGCTAGTTCCTTGGATCAAATTGCATAAAGTCCTGTCTTGCATTCTTAATGGCACTCTTGTGTCTATCAACCTCAGTTCATATTTACATGGACATAAAGGGAAAGCATTACTTTTTTTTTTTTTTTTTTGAGACAGAATTTTGCTCTGTTGCACAGGCTGGAGTGAAGTGGCGCGATCTCGGCTCACTACAACCTCCGCCCCCCACTGGGTTCAAGCGATTCTCCTGCCTCAGCCTCCCGAGTAGTGGGGATTATAGGCGTGTGCCACCATGCCCGGCTAATTTTTGTATTTTTAGTAGAGATGGGGTTTCGCCATGTTGGTCAGGCTGGTCTCGAACTCCTGCCCTCAGGTGATCCACCTGCCTTGGCCTCCCAAAGTGATGGGATTAAAGGAGTGAGCCATTGCGCTCGGCCTAAGGGAAGGCATTTACCTGCTTTCAGATGGTTTAGTGTTTGAATTTTCTGACAAGAAGTTGGTGTTATTTCCCTTTTATCTGGATCACGTTCTATGCTCAGCAGCTGCACTAGAGACAATTTTAAAATAAAGTACATGCCGTGTAGTCTAGTGCTGCTTAAGATTTTATTTTTTATATGCTGCAATTCCTTTCTTACAACCACAGCATAAGGTAATCCAAAGTTCCATTTCATATTTTTGGTTGTGTCCTTATTTTAAAAGAAAAGGAACAGGATTTCTTCTAGATTGCAGTTCCTATTTTGAGTGGAAATATTTTCACTATTTTGTTCCAGCCCTGAGAAAGAAACCAGATCGTCTCTAGTTAAGAGTTCATGGCTAGCCAAGGGAATCCTTTCATATTTTAGGTCCCCAGTACGCATGATTGGGCCACTAGATTCTTTCTGGGTGGCTCCTGTGAATGAAATGGAGCTGCTGAGAAAAAGTGGAACAAAATTCCAACATGGAAAATTACCCCACAAAGAAGTGACTTGTAACTTAAGATGTGATGTTACCACCTGATTTCCCATGACTGCATTTGTGGTTGACTTTATATACTTTTTGTCCCCTAAACTCTTCCTACTTAATAAACAATAATTACAAATAAAAATGATTGATGATCACAAACTATAAAAGCCACTGTGAAAAATTACATCTAGAAAATTTTGCTTCATGTTCTCAAAATTTGTGTTTTGGAGTCATTTTCAAATGACTCACCATAGAAGCAAATTTCACAGACAACAATGATAAAGAGAAATATTGAAATGAAAATAAGTAAATAAAACTTCTTTTCACAGAAAAGTTTTTTATTGTGGTGTAAAATATACATAATGTAAAATTTACCAACTTTTTTTTTTTTGAGATGGAGTCTTGCTCTGTCACCCAGGCTGGAGTGCGGTGGTGTGATCTCGGCTCACTGTAACCTCCGCCTCCTGGGTTCAAGTAATTCTCCTGCCTCAGCCTCCTGAGTAGCTGAGATTACAGGCACATGCCACCATGTCTGGCTAATTTTTGTATTTTTAGTAGAGACAGAGTTTCACCATGTTGGCCAGGCTGGTCTCGAACTCCTGGCCTCAAGTGATTTGCCCACCTCAGCCTCCCAAAGTGCTGGGATTACAGGTGTGAGCCACTGTGCCTGGCCCCATCTTGTATTTTATTTTATTTTTTTTTGAGATGGAGTCTTGCTCTGTTGCCCAGGTTAGAGTGCCTTGGCTCAATCTTGGCTCACTGCAAACTCCGCTTCCCAGGTTCAACCGATTCACCTGTCTCAGCCTCCTGAGTAGCTGGGATTACAGGCGCCTGCCACCATGCCTGGCTAATTTTTGTATTTTTAGGAGACAGGGTTTCACCATGTTGGCCAGGCAGGCTGGTCTCGAATTCCTGACCTCGTGATTCACCCACCTCGGCCTCCCAAAGTGCTGGGATTACAGGCGTGAGGCACCATGCCCGGCCTTTTTTTTTCTTTTTTTTTAAGACGGAGTTTCACTCTTGTTGCCCAGTCTGGAGTGCAATGGCACGATCTCGGCTCACTGCATCCTCTGCCTCCTGGGTTCAAGTGATTCTCTTGCCTCAGCCTACCTAGTAGCTGGGATTACAGGCATGAGCCACCACTTCTTGCTAATTTTGTATTTTTAGTAGAGATGGAGTTTCACCATGTTGGTCAGGCTGGTCTCAAACTCCTGACCTCAGGTAATCCACCTGCCTCAGCCTCCCAAAGTGCTGGGATTATAGGCATGAGCCACCACTCCTGGCTTTTTTTTTTTTTTTTGACAGAGTTTTGCTCTTGTTGCCCAGACTGGAGTGCAATGGTTCAGTCTTGGCTCACCACAACCTCCACTTCCCAGGTTCAAGTGATTCTCCTGCCTCAGCCTCCTGAGTAGCTGGGATTATGGCACGTGCCACCACGCCTGGCTAATTTTTGTATTTTCAGTAGAGACAGAGTTTCGCCATGTTGGCCACGCTGGTCTCGAACTCCTGGCCTCAAGTGATCTGCCTGCCTCAGCCTCCCAAAATGCTGTGATTTATGGGCATGAGCCACCATGCCCGGCCCCATCTTGTATTGTTAAGTGTACAGTTCTCTGGCATTTACATTGGTCTGCAATCATCATCATCATCCATCTCTAGAACTTTTTAATCTTATAAGGCTGAAACTGTATCCCCTAAACACTAATGCTCCATCCTCATTGCACACCCCGCCCCCATTGCCCTGGTCCCTGGCAAACACCACTCTGCTTTCTGTCTCTGTGAATTTGACTACTGTGGTATCTCATATAAGTAGAATCATATTTGTCCTTTTTGTGACTGACTCATTTTACTTAGCATGATGTCCTCAAGGTTCATCACACATTGCATATGTTGGAATATCCTTCCTTTTTTTTTTGAGATGGAGTTTTGCTCTTGTTGCCCGGGTTGGAGTGCAATGGCGTGATCTTGGCTCACTGCAACCTCCGCCTCCCGGGTTCAAGGGATTCTCCTGCCTCAGCTTCATGGGTAGCTGGGATTACAGGTGTGCACCACCACGCCTGGCTAATTTTTTGTATTTTCAGTAGAGACGGGGTTTCACCATGGCCAGGCTGGTCTTGAACTCCTGACCTCAGGTGATCTGCCCACCTCGGCCTCCCAGAGTGCTGGGATTACAGGCGTGAGCCACCGCACCTGGCTAATATCCTTCCTTTTTAAGGCTGAATGATATTCCATTGTGTATATGCCATATTTGTTTTTCTAGTCATCCGTTGACGTGGACATGGGTTGTTTCCATTTTTTGGCTATTGTAAATAATGCTGCTGTTAACATGGGTATACAAATATCTGTTCTAGTCCCTCCTGTGAATTTTGGGTCTATACTCAGATGTGGAATTGCTGGATCATTTAATAATTCAATGTTTAGGCTGGGCACGGTGGCTCACGCCTGTAATCCCAGCACTTTGGGAGGCCGAGGTGGGTGGATCATGAGGTCAGGCGTTTGAGACCAGCCTGGCCAACATAGCGAATCCCCGTCTACTAAAAATACAAAAAATTAGCCGGGCGTGGTGGTGGGCGCCTGTTATCCCAGCTACTGAAGCACAAGAATCGCTTGAAACTGGGAGGCGGAGGTTACAGTGAGCTGAGATCGCCTTACTGCACTCCAGCCTGGGCAACAGTGCAAGACTTTGTCTCAAACAAACAAACAAACCAACCAACCAAAAAAATTCAATGTTTAATTTTTTTTTTTTTTTTTTTTTTTTTTTTTTTTTTGAAGGAGTCTCGCTCTGTCACCTAGGCTGGAGTGCAGTGGCACGATCTCGGCTCACTGCAACCCCCGCCTCCTGAGTTCAACCAATTCTCCTGCCTCAGTCTCCCAAGTAGCTGGGATTACAGGTGCCTGCCACCACGCCCAGCTAATTTTTGTATTTTTAGTAGAGAGGGGGTTTCACCATGTTGGCCAGGCTGGTCTTGAGCTCCTGACCTCATGATCCGCCCACCTCGGCCTCCCAAATCCTCCGCCTGGGATTACAGGCGTGAGCCACCGCGCCCGGCACAATGTTTACTTTTTAAGGGAACTGCCATACTGTTTTCCACAGAAACTGCGCTATTTACTTTCCCACTAACAGTGCACAGGGGTTCCAGTTTTCCACATCCTCACCAACACTTAATTTTTTAAAATAATAGCCATCCTAATGAGTGTAACGAGCCAGGAAAAGTCTTTAATGTCAACACAAATACAGATATATTTTATCTTTTTGAGGGACATTTAGCTTGTTTTTAGCTTTTTACTGTGAAAACAAAGCTATGATGAATAAAATCCTTGCCTGTACATCTTTGTGATTGTGGCTTATTGTCAACTTGTATTATGTTACTAAAAGTTGAATTGCTGGATTGAAGGATATACATTTACAATATTTATTGCCATTTATACTTTGAGGGTTTCTTTCTTCCTTGCTTTCTTTCTTTTTGTTTTTTGAGACAGAGTCTTGCTCTGTCGCGTAGGCTGAAGTGCAGTGGTGCGATCTCAGCTCACAGCAATCGCTGCCTCCCCGGCTCAATGGATCCTCATGCCTCAGCCTTCTGAGTAGCTGGGACTACAGATGCGTGCCACCATGCCTGGCTAATTATTTTTTTGTATTTTCAGTAGAGACAGGGTTTCACCATATTGGCCAGGCTGGTCTTGAACTCCTGACCTTATGCAATCTGCCTGCCTCAGCCTCCAAAGGGTTGGGATTACAGGTGTGGGCCACTGCACCCTGCCTACTTTGAGGATTTCTGATCCTCATACACAACCCTCCCCTAACAAGAGCAGGTATTATCAATTAATTTTTTTTTTTTTTTTGCCAAGAAAATGGGCAACAACTGATACCTCATTGTTTTTATTGTATTCTTTAGTTTCTAATAAGGGTTAATATCTTTTGATCTTTTTACCTCAATCTCTAATTAAATGAATTGAAAATTGCAAATAAGTGGTTTCCCAAGGAAAACTGGGATACTATTACCAAAAGAAGGATGAGGATATACCATACAGGCAAAAGCTACACACTTTTGTAGTTTTAATTTTCTTATTTTAACATTTGATTCATCCAGAATTTATCTTAATGGCTTTATTTTTCCAAATTCTTAGCTAGTTGTCACAACATTATTTACTTAGTCCATATTTTCTCCACTGATTTGAAATGCTACCTTTATTATGTTTAAATTGTACATACTTGACTCTTTTTTGGAATACAAATATGAATATATATATATATATATATTTTTTTTTTTTTTTTTTTGAGACAGAGTTTCACTCTTGTCACCCAGGCTGGAGTGCAATGGTGTGACTTTGGCTCACTGCAACCTCTGCCTCCCAGGTTCAAGTGATCCTCCTGCCTCAGCCTTCTGAGTAGCTGGGATTACAGGCACCCACCACCATGCCCGGCTAATTTTTGTATTTTTAGTAGAGATGGGGTTTCACGAAGTTAGCCAGGCTGGTCTTGAACTCCTGAACTCAGGTGATCTGCCCATCTTAGCCTCCCGAAGTGTTGGTACTACAGCCACTCTGCCTGGCCATTTTTTTGAAGTGTATATTTTGTTCTATTGATTTGTCTGTCATTTCTCGTGCTAGTACTACACTGCTTTACTTACTGTAGCTTTATAATCTCTTTCAATGCCTGATAGGGCAAATCTGTTCATTTTTCTTTCCTTCCTAAAATTTCCTGTTGTTTTCACATGTTTATTCTTCCAGCACAGTAGTTCTCAACCTTGGCTGCACATTGGAATCACTCAGGGAACGTTAACAAATGCTGATAACCTCACCCCACTCCCAGAGGTCCCAGCTTAATTGCTAGGGGTGCAGTATGGGAACAGAGTTTTAATAGCTCCCCAGATGATTCTAAATGTGTAATCAAAGTTGAGTACCACTTTGCAAGATGAACTTTAACACCATTTTCTTCCATTTCTGTTACAATTTTTATTTGTATTGCATTGAATTATAGATTAATTTAGAGATAATTGACATCTTTACAATACCATGTCTTTCTATTTCATTTGGTCACGGTTCTTTAGCTGAAAAAATCAGAAAGATTTTGGCTGATGCTATGGACTGAATGTTTGTGTTTCCCTCAAATTCATTCATATGTTGAATCCTAAATCCCCAATATGATGGCATGAGGAGGTGGGGCCTTTGAGAGGCGATTAGTGTTCTCATCAGGCAAGGAATCTGCCAGGCACCTTGACCTGGGACTCCCAGCCTCGAGAACTGTGAGAAATGAATTTCTGTTGTTTAAGCCACCCGGTCTATGGTTACTTCTTGTAGCAGCCTGAACTAAGACAACTGATTTAAAGGAAAAGTTGAAAGAAAGGATTTTCTGAAAGGATTTGGAGTAGCTCACAGATGTGAAGAAAAGCTGAAGAACTAGATGTGGGAATGGGAAAATTAAAGCAGGTGTTGGACTCAAAGCAGCTGAACTCAACTCCACTTACATTCTTAGCTCCTCCAGCTTTCCAGCTTTCAGGTATTTTGCTCGAATTTCGGATTCTGAAAAAGAATTCAATGGTCCTCCTTTGGGTAGCTCATCTACTCCTTGCCTGGAGGATGCTTTGAGTGACAGTCGCTACAAACCTGCACACGGTGGGGAACCCAGAGAAGGGAAATCAGTAGCCAGGATGTTGGGGCAGTGGTGAAATGACAGTAACAATGACAAGTGCGACAAAAATAGCCATGCACTATGTCGGTGTGAGCAAGGCATTTCTCTTCAGTTATATTTTCTTTTTTCTTTTTTTTTTTGAGAAGGAGTCTCGCTCTGTCACCCAGGCTGGAGTGCAGTGGCACGGTCTCGGCTCACTGCAAGCTCTGCCTCCCGGGTTCACGCCATTCTCTTGCCTCAGCCTCCCGAGTAGCTGTGACTACAGGCGCCCGCCACCATGCCCGGCTAATTTTTTGTATTTTTAGTGGAGATGGGGTTTCACCGTGTTAGCCAGGATGGTCTCAATCTCTTGACCTCGTGATCCGCCCGCCTCTGCCTCTCAAAGTGCTGGGATTATAGGCGTGAGCCACCGCGCCGGGACATCACTTATATTTTCTTCAGTGTTCCTTGATGTTTTATAGTTTTTCTTATTTAATTTGCATATTACTCATTTAGCTAATTTCGAAGTGTTTCATGCATTTTATTTCTATTGTGACTAGCAGTTTTTTGTTATTTTATTTTGTTATTTTTTATTTATTTACTTTTTTGAGACGGAGTCTCACTCTGTTGCCCAGGCTGGAGTACAGTGGCACGATCTCTGCTCACCGCAACCTCTGCCTCGCGGGCTCAAGCGATTCTCCTGCCTTAGCCTCCCGAGTAGCTGGGATTACAGGCATGCACCACCACGTCCCGCTGATTTTGTATTTTTAGTAGAGACAGGGTTTCTCCATGTTGATCAGGCTGGTCTTGAACTCCTGACCTCAGGTGATCCACCCACTTTAGCTTCCCAAAGTGCTGGGATTATAGGTATGAGCCACTGCGACTGGCCTTGTTTTTTAAACTAAAATGTTTTCCATTTTAGTTCACAAACTGAGTACACAAACCTTATTCTTTTTTGTTCTTGTATATTATGCCAGTTTATAGATATACTATAATGTATCTAACCTGTCTTCTACTATTTGGGTTGTTTTAAATCTTTATCCATGAAAACAATGCTGCAGAGAATAATCTTATACATAAGTGATTTCACATGTGTGAATATATCTATAGGAAAAATTTTGGTAAAGTTTCTGCTAAAAAATATATGCATTTGTATTTTTTATAGGTTTGGCCAAATTGCCCACCACTGAGATTATACCAATATCACTCTTACCATTGTTGTATGAGAGTGCTTATTTCTGCATATTCTTGCCAATACAGACATTATATATTTTTATATTTGTTAATCTTACAGGTGAAAAAGGTGTCTGTGAGATTTAATTTGTATTTCTCTCATGAGTACAGCTGGTTACCTTTTCATATTTTAAGAACCATTTAAAATTCCTTTTATGTAAACTTTTGCCAATTTTTCTATTAGGTTGTTAATCTTTTTCTTATTGTTTATAGGAGCTCTTTATGTTTTAGGGAAAGTAGCCCTTTATTTTGATGTGGCCACAAATAATTTATTCCCACTTTGTTGTTTGACTGTTAACTGTTGACTCTGGTTATCCTTAGTGATCGAAAGGTTTTTATACCTTGCCATGAGCCCATCAATTGTAAACTATTTTATTTTATTTATTTATTTATTTATTTATTTTTTTTTGAGACGGAGTCTTGCTCTGTCGCCAGGCTTGAGTGCTGTGGTGCAATCTTGGGTCACTGCAACCTCTGCCTCCCAGGTTCAAGTGATTCTCCTGCCTCAGCCTCCCGAGTAGCTGGGAGTACACACACCCACCACCATGCCTGGGTAATTTTTGTATTTTTAGTGGGACGGGGTTTCACCATGTTGGCCAGGATGGTCTCGATCTCTTGACCTCGTGATCCACCTGCCTTGGCCTCCCCAAGTGCTGGGATTACAGGCGTGAGCCACCGTGTCTGGCTATTTATTTATTTATTTAGAGACAGGTTCTGTTGCCCAGGCTGGAGTGCAGTGGTATGATTATAACTCACTGTAATCTCAAACTCCCAGGTTCCAGCAATCCCTGCCTCAGCCTACCAAGTAGCTGGGACTACAGATGTGTACCACTGCACCTGGCTAATTTGTGAGCTATTTTAATTCTGATAAATATTGCTATTCCTTTAATAAATTCTTCCCTTTAGTTTCTTCCCTTTTCTGGATTTCTATTAGTTGGATTGTAGACCTCTCGGATTAACCCTCTAATTTTCTTATCTTTTTTTCATATTTCTCATTATTCCTGGAAAATGGATTAAACTTTATTTTCTTTCTTTCTTTTTCTTTCTTTCTTTCTTTCTTTCTTTCTTTCTTTCTTTCTCTCTCTCCCTCTCTCTTTCTCTCTCTCTCTCTTTCTTTCTCTCTCTCTCCCTCTCTCTCTCTTTCTCTCTCTCGTTCTCCTCGTTCTCTCTCTTTCTTTCTCTCTCTCTTTCTTTCTTTCTTTCTTTCTTTCTTTCTTTCTTTCTTTCTTTCTTTCTTTCTTTCTTTCTTTCTTTCTTTCTTTCTTTCTTTCTTTCTTTCTTTCTTTCTTTCTTTCTTTCTTTCTTTCTTTCTTTCTTTCTTTCGAGATGGAATCTCACTCTGTCACCCAGGCTGGAGTGCAGTGGCGCGATCTTGGCTCATTGCAACCTCTGCCTCCTGGGTTCAAGTCATTCTTCTGCCTCAGCCTCCTGAACAACTGGGATTACAGGTGCCCGCCGCCATGCCCAGCTAATTTTTGTAGTTTTAGTAGAGATGTGTAGAAACTCGAACAGCACTGCATCCACCATGTGTCAGCCTCAAGCCCCTAATTTGAAATTTTTATATTTTTGAGACAGGATCTTGCCTTGTCACTTAGGCTGGAGTGCAGTGGCATAATCACAGCTCACTGCAGCCTCAACCCCCTGGGCTCATGCAGTCCTCCGACCTTCACCATGTTGGCCAGGCTGGTCTTGAACTCCTGACATCAGCTGATCCAACGGCCGCAGCCTCCCAAAATACTGGGATTACAGGCCTGAGGCACCTTGCCATGCCTATTTTCTAATTTGTTAATTAATGTCTTTTCAATTTGGTAATCATATTTTAAATTTCCTAGAGCTATTTCTTGTTTTCAGAGTGTTCTTTTTCCACAAAATTGTGTTCTTGTTTTATGGATGAATTACATTTCTTGCTTCTCTGAGGATATGTATAATAATGTTTTGAAATTTTTTTTCCATACGTAGAACCTTTAGTGAGCATCCGCCATGCAGAGTAATGTGCCCAATGTGGGACTCCTCCACTCCAGTCCCAACTCCAGCTGGCATCTCCTTGCTTCCCATGGTGCTCCCACCTCTTTTTGATACTCACTTCCCTAACACATGTGACCCCTAGAGGCTGGGATCCCCAGGACCAGCCCGAAAACCACCCCCAAAAGCAGCAGGCCCAGGGTCCCTGGGCAAAAGGATCTTCTGTCTCCAGAGGGGTTGAGGGCCAGAAGCAGCTGTGAGGCTCACTGGGGTGGAGAACTGGGGTCCTCAGGATTTCCATATTATCACTGGGAACTTACAGGTGGTCAGGGATGCCACAGAGGCAGTGACCAAACTCTCCATGCCCAGGGTACTGAGGGTGCCATGCAGGAGGCCACAAGTGAATCCAGGCCCCAGATCATCGGGATGAGGAGTGGAAGCTGTTGTCCTGCAAAAAGTAGGTCCCTTGGTGATTGGTGCACAAGCTGTCCATCTATTGGAACACAGCCACCCACAGATTTTTGCATATGAACTTGAGGACACCCAGCTCCTCCCTGAGACGAGCATCTTCAGGGGCAGTCTCTCGCCTAGAACCTGGCTCACACAGAAATCCATGCTCTCCAGGATCAACAGGCTTATCTTCTGTCCCGCCATGGACAGGGTTGGGTTTGTGATCCCACAGCTCTGCTTCCATCTCCATGTGTAGAAACTCGAACCGTGCAGCATCCACCATGTGTCAGCCTCATGCCCTTAATTTGAAATTTTTATATATTTTTGAGACAGGATCTTGCCTTGTCACTTAGGCTGGAGTGCAGTGGCATAATCACAGCTCACTGCAGCCTCAACCCCCTGTGCTCAAGCAATCCTCCCACCTCAGCCTCCCAAGTAGCTGGGACTACAGGTATGCGCCATCATGACTGGTGGAAATTTTTTAAAAAAATTTTGTAGAGATGGAGTCTCACTGTGTTGCCCAGGCCAGTCTTGAACTCCTGAGCTCAAGCAATCCTTCCACCTTAGCCTCCCAAAGTGCTAGAATTATGGGTGTGAGCCACCACAGCTAGCCAATGCTTTTTTAAAATTAATAAATATGCCCCGTGTTATCTGTTTTCTCTAAGATCCTTTAATTCTATTTCTTTGTTTTGCTCTTTGTCTTCCTGTTAGTGGTTCTCCTCAAATGTCTGATAATTCTTGGACAGCCAAGACACAAGTACTCAAAAAGCTGATCAGAGGTTCTAAGTGTTTGTCAGAGAGGGGAGGAAAGAACTGATTGACTGGTGGGATTCACTGTAGAGAGAGAAGCCAGCAAACGAACATTTTTTTTTTTGAGCAAATGTCAGTGTCTGTAGGTGTTTTTCTTGACTTGGTCAGTTTCCACAGAAAGGTACCCTCTCATTTTCTCCCTGGGAGTATATGTCTGGCTGTCAACATTTTGATTGCCAGAGGGGAAAGAGGGTTGGAAGACTCATTCGAAACTCCAACTTTCATTAAATCCTCATTTCCCTATAGTCCCTTACCCATACCTTTGCGTACCTGTACCTGCCCTGCTTAAACCTTTTATGTCCCAACCCTGAAGAGATTAATAGACCTTTCCCTTTTTGCCAGAGTTCGGGAGTAGAGGTTGCCTAGCCTGGCATGGGAAGCAGTGAGAGTGTCCAGGGGACCTCACTGCTCCTTACACAGACTTTCTACACTCCCTTTTCTTTTCTCAGCCCTGCGGAACTCCAGCATTCAAAGTTGGCTCCTTCCCCTACCTCAGGGAATCTTTTTGGTCTGAGGTGAGGATAACTCTTCCTTATTTATCCTATAACCACCCAAATCTCTTATCTGTTCATTCCCTTCCTTCAAAGCCTCGGCCTTTGAAATTCAAAAGCTGAGGAGCTTTACCTCTTTTCTCTGCCTTCTGCCCTCATACTCCTTACATAATGATCTGCATGACTGACTGGGACCAAAAGTCAAATGGTAAGAGAATACTTGGAAAAAAAATATCAGTTAAGACTTCAAAAAATATTGTCCTACTGCGCTATTATTATACAGTACTGTCTCAGTTCTGACAGCTATAACAAACATATCATAGACTGGGTGTTAAACAACAGAAATTTATTTCTTTCAGTTCTGGAGGCTAGGAAGTTCAGGATTAAGGTGTGGACAGATTCAGTTCCTGGCCTGATGTGCGGACAGCTGTCTTTTTGCTGTGTCCTCACCTGACAGAGAGAGAACATAAATCTCAGATCCCTTCTTATAAGGTCACTAATTCCATTCACGTGGGCTCCACCCTCATAACTTAATTATCTTCCAAAGGCCTTACTTCCAAATACCACTACATTGGGGATTAGAGCTTCAAGATATGAATTTGGGAGGTGGATACCAACATTCAGTCTGTATCAAGTACCTACTAGATGAGGTCACTGTCAGGTACCTCAATTACATTTTCTATTCAGTCTTCTCAACAACCCATTCTGTAGATGAAAACTGATGTTCAGAGAAGTTCAATAACTTGCCCAAAGTCACACAGTCAGTATGTCACAGAGCAGGGATTTGGTATCTGATTTAACACCAAGCTGATGTCCTTTCCACAGTAGCAAGTGGCCTCCTGTGAGTTCATAATAAACCTTTGAAAGTAGCAACCGGAATCTAGGATTTCTTCTTTTGTTTGACTAGATAACAAAAGGAATTTTGATTATGATTCTTCAAGAGTACTTACTTATTATGTCTCCTTTCATTGGTTGTCAAGTTTTACCATACATCATCTAGTTTTCTAGGTTATTTAGAGACCAGCACATGCATTTCACCAAATCAAACATATTTAAGGAAGCAAGTATTTGTGTTATTCAGCAGTATCTGTATTTACTATCCAAACATCTGGCAATTAACTTTCAGTGCTGACACAACTTCCAACAAATTACAGAGCATTTACAACAGTGTACTGTATGACACAGAATTCCTGGTTTTAGTGAGATTCTCCTAAATACCTGGTAACTGAACCAAACCTCTCAGAAGCCACCATTGGTGGAGGTGGGTTCTGTCCCTCAAAGATCCCTTAGATACCTTAAGATTTAGCACAAGGCCAGTCAGTTTCTAGCCATGTTCATTTCTTCATCAGATGCTCAGAATCAGGAAGAGGGACAGAAGGGGGAAGGACTAATCCATTATTAGATTTAAAAGGAAGCCACAGAAGCCAACACAGATACAAGTGTTGTTGGCTGTCTGTGAGGTCTTCCCTGGCTTAGTGAGACTGCATTATTTTCAGCTCTGCTGCAAGAACTACTGCCTTCTCCAGCTCTGCCGGCACCTCTCCCCATTTGAGTCTTTACCAAGAGTCTATCTGATCTACTAAGAAGTGATAGTTTGGAATAGGTATAAGCTAGAGGTGAATCCATTAGCTAGAGTGATTATCCAGACTCAAGGAAAACTGTAAGTACGAAAGTTTGCTATG
Organism: Homo sapiens; assembly: GCF_000001405.40. NCBI lineage: Eukaryota > Metazoa > Chordata > Mammalia > Primates > Hominidae > Homo > Homo sapiens. The sequence continues at coordinate 106,941,771 of NC_000006.12, read as the reverse complement.
AGGCCCTCTTAGCTTTCCCTTCAGGATTCATCTTGCTATCTCTCTTTCATTTACCACTTTTGGGTGGCTGTCTAATGTTGATGTCCCATAAGAATTCTTTCCACCAGATCTTCCTCTCACTAAGTTCAGATGAACAGTAATATGTAATTAAGGTGCAATGTTTCAACAAGCAAGTCTCCAGAGCCAAAAGGAGACTCTAAAATAGTGGCATTTCAGGCATCACAATAGGAAAAGAGCTGGGTAACTTCAATTCATATTTGCTCTGACCTCAACTGAGAGTTGGGATAATAAACAAAGGTAAGTTCCAAAAAATTCAGAACATCCCCTGAGTCCGCTAGGATGGCCCTCCAAAATCTCCTTAAAGTCTCTGCAAATTTAAAGCCCTAACTCCATGTCTTCTAAAACACTGAATTTTTCCGGTGTCTCTGGTTAGGAGTGGTCACATGACCTGAGAAAGCCAACACATCCTTCTGCAGTGGGTAAATGGCTCCCTCAGTTCAGATCTGTTGGATCAGCTGCCAGGTCAGCACCCTCTCACTGGAGAAGCAGGAACTCCATGGGTTTTGCTGCTTAGTTGAGAAAAAAAAAACAGGCTCTCCTTCTGTTGTGAAAAATTTCAATCTGCAAAGACATGTGTTCCTAAAATGACTAATCATTCAGGGTTTCAATTGCTGCTATTGTTTATTAGAATTTTGTTTAATTTAGTGCTGTTATAGGTAATCATTTTGCTACTGCTCACCTTTCACTACTGAATATTTCATTTTTTTAGGCATGTGATAAAAATTCAGCAATGATAAGATTTGTGTGGGGTGCCTGAATAAATAATTAGGTTTATGCATTTTTTTGTGGCTAATTCTGTTGCAGTTATGTTATGTATGTGTTGATGCATGACCTATTTAGTTTTGGTTTGACCGGGGATTTACTGCAACTGTGGGTGACTCCATGTTACACATAAACGTGTCTTTGTTGGCTCCTTCCATCTCCTTCCTCTCTTCATGTTTCTCTCTCTTTTTTTTTTTTTTTTTTTGAGACAGAGTCTTGCTCTGTCACCCAGGCTAGAGTGCAGTGGCATGATCTCGGCTCACTGCAACCTCCTTCTCCCAGGTTCAAGCAATTCTCCTGCCTCAGCCTCTCAAGTAGCTAGGATCACAGGCGTGCACCACCATGCCCGGCTAATTTTTGTTTTTGTTTTTTTTGAGATGGAGTCTTGCTCTGTCACCCAGGCTGGAGTGCAGTGGCGCGATCTCGGCTCACTGCAACCTCCGCCTCCCGGGTTCAAGCAATTCTCCCGCCTCAGCTTCCCAAGTAGCTGGGACTACAGGTGCATGCTGCCATGCCCAGCTAATTTTTTGTATTTTAGTAGAGATGGAGTCTCACTGTGTTGCCCAGGCTGGTCATGAACTCCTGAGCTCAGGCAATCTGCCTGCCTCGGCCTCCCAAAGTGCTGGGATTACAGGCGTGAGCCACCGTGCCCAGTCATTTTTGTATTTTTTTTTTTTAGTAGAGACGGGGTTTTACCATGTTGGCCAGGCTGGTCTTGAACTCCTGACCTTGTGATCTGCCCACCTCGGCCTCCCAAAGTGCTGGGATTACAGGCGTCAGCCACCGTGCCCGGCCCATGTTTCTCTTATATGTCTTTGGTTTTAACTCCACCCAGAAGACTCCCACTTCTATATCTGCATACCTGACCTGACTGCTGGTTTCTTGCTGTGTGCTGGGCACTTCCTCCCACAGGCTCAGTGGTAGCTAGCTCAAACACGGACTTCCCCTTCATCTCCACAAACTCTTCATTTCCCCAAGCCGGCAGCTCCTCCTTCCTATTGCTTTCCGTCTGCTCCTGCCCTCTGCCCTGCAATTTACCCAGTTCGGGGCTTCCTCACCGGCAAAGTCTTCCTGGGCCAACCCACCTGGCAAGGACCTCCTGTGAGATGGGACCCGGGATACAGGGTTAGGCAGGGACATTTGGGATTTCAACTGTGCCCTGGTTAATTATGGGACTGTGGCAATTTTCTTTCCCTCTATGAACCTTTGTTTTCAGTGAGACTGTCCTGATCTACCCCATGGAGTAGTTGATGGGATTATGTAAACATTTATGTGAAGCTTTTGAAATGTTTGCCTCCATTCCTACTCTTCACCAGAGTTCTTCAAAGTGGGGTGTGAGCATGGGGCCCCCAACACTTCCTTGGAGCACGGTAAGAAGATATTAAAATATCTATTTATATTTATCTAAAAATATAAATTCTGCTTTGCTAATATTCTGCTTTGCTAATTTGCTTTGCTAATATTCAGTGTTTGTTTTGACTCCTGGCACTCACCCCTGTGAGCTGTACTAGGTAATATGATCCTCATATTATCTAGTACATAATATGAACCTCATATTGTCTAGTACGTAATATGATCCTCATATTATCTGGCACAACTGAGGGCCATGGTGCCTGTGTCAGGTGTGCTGTTGGAGAGGCCTCAACTCACAGGGGGATGGGCGGCACCCTCCTGTAGCCCCTCAGTGCATTTTGACCACTTATAGCTGATGTGAGCCCAGTTTAGTGGATTTAGGGGTTATGCTTTCTCATTTAACGAAAACATCCACCTGATCCATGGAATAGTGGCTGCGAAGAAACTGTGGTTGAAAATAGAACTAAGAATGCAAGCTCAGGAAAGCACGGGAGTGGCCAAGGGGTCCCCTCTTCTAATCTTGTCTGAGCTCTTTTTCAGTCCATGTCTTCCTGAGACATAACTTCCTATAATTCAAGAAACAACTTGGGAGCTAGTTCGGTCCCACCAAAATAATTGGCCAATGATCTTTCTGTATAGGATGTTATTTTAAAGGAATTCCACTATTTTCTATTTCAGAGATTGACTTTATCTTCCATCTCCCCAATTCTGGGTCTCTCTCCTGCTGGTTCACAGGTGTGACATTGTGTAGTGTGACATTGTGTCACAGGTGTGACATTGTGACATTGTGCTTTCTTTTTTTTTTGTTTTTTGAAACAGAGTCTTGCTGTTGTTGCCCAGGCTGGAGTGCAATGGCATGATCTCAGCTCACTGCAACCTTTGCCTTCCAGGTTCAAGCAATTCTCCTGCCTCAGCCTCCTGAGTAGCGGGGATTACAGGCTCATGCCACCACACCCGGCTAATTTTTGTATTTTTAGTAGAGACAGGGTTTCACCACATTGGCCAGGGTGGTCTTGAACTCCTGACCTCAGGTGATCTGCCCACTTCAGCCTCCCAAAGTGCTGGGATTACAGGCATGAGCCACCGCACCTGGCCTAATATAATTTCTATAGAGTGCATGACATGGGCACAATGGTCATAAGTTAACATATTTTTAAATTAGACTAAACATTATATTTTAAAAATTATTAAAGTAGTATATATTCAATATAGAAAATGTGGTTACTATAGAAGAAGAAAGTAAAAACTAAAATCATAGCACTTGGGATAGCAGCTGACAGCTGACATTCCTTTTTGTGCATATCTATTTCTTTTTGTCAAAAATAGATTGTATTGGACACCCTATTCTGTAAACCACTTAAAATTTTTTATGTAGTAATCCATCCAAGGATTAGCTAAATTAAAGCTACTGCAAAATTGTCTGAAAACAACTGAAAGGCTAAAAATATCTCCTTAATCCAAATTTTATGCTCATATTTTCTTTTATTAATTTTCTTAATCTTTTGCTCTTTTCATGGATAAGAAATTAATGTTATTTATTTGTCTTATGTTCCTTCAGAATTCTCAGCCTGGCAATCAACTTCTGGGAAAGAGTTCAGATTTTTTTTTTTTTTTTAGTCTTTTTTTTGAGACAGTGTCTTACTTTGTCACCTAGGCTAAAGTGCAGTTGGACCATCACAGCTCACTACAGCCTCGATCTCCTGGGCTCAAGCAATCCTCCCAGCTCAGCCTCCTGAGTAGCTGGGACTATAGGTACACACCACCACATCCAGCTAATTTTTAAAATTTTTCGTTAGAGATGGGATCTCACTATGTTGCCCAGGCTGGTTGTGAACTCTTGCACTCAAATGATCCTCCTTGCCTCAGTCTCCCAAAGTGCTGAGATTATAGGCATGAACCACTACACCTAGCCAGATTTCAGAGTCTTTTGCAACCTCAGTAATCTCTGTTTTATGTAAGAGGCAAGAAGCCCTGCCAGGTAGAGAGAATAATGATAGCTATTGCTCACTCTGCTGTTCTGCTGCAAGCTTCTCCTGCTTTGCTTTTCCTTTTCCATTGACTTCTAATAATATGAGTGATTCAGACCACAGACTGGACATGTCCAAAACAAGGGAGAGAAAAAAAAAAGAGGAGAGGGAGAGTAGGGAGTCCTGATGAAATAGCCCATGTAGGGTGATGCAGCATGCTCATGTATTGAGGCAGAAGAAAAACAATTCTTTTTTTTTTTTGAGACAGAGTTTTGCTCTTGTTACCTAGGCTGGAGTGCAATGGCCCAATCTCTGCTCACTGCAACCTCCACCTCCCGGGTTCAAGTGATTCTACTGCCTCAGCCTCCTGAGTAGCTGGGATTACAGGCATGTGCCACCATGCCTGGCTAATTTTGTATTTTTAGTAGAGACGGGGTTTCTCCATTTTGGCCAGGCTGGTCTCGAACTCCTGACCTCAGGTGATCCGCCAGCCTCGGCCTCTCAAAGTGCTGGGATTACAGGCGTGAGCCACCATGCCTGGCTGAAAAGCAGTTCTTTTAAGTGAAGACTCACACTGCAAAGGTAACTGCAACCTTGTTCCCTTTTGCTTAATAGTGATTTTTTTCATGTATATGAACCATATCTCAATTATTATGCTTTTGAGAGGGCAAAGACTATGTCCTTTTCATCCTTTTGATCCCCATATTATCTAGTACAATGTTTTTTACTAAGTAAACACTCACTAAACATTTGTTGTTTGTGATGACAATTATGATAATAGGGTAGCATGCACAATAAAATAAGGAATCTCCACAAAAAAAGCAGTTTTAGCTAATTCACAGATGACATGATTGACTAGAATGAAAACTCAAAAGAATCAACAGACATTTATTGGAGCTGATAGGAAAATACAGCCAGTTTGCTGGGTTTATATGGAATATCCAAAAGTCAGTTGATTTTTTATAGTTTTATGGGTTGAATGGTGGTTCCCAAAAGATATGTCTACATCCGAACCCCCAGAACATGTAAATATACTTATATAGTAAAAGAGAGTGGATATTACCTTTTATGACAAAAAAAGGTATTTAAGGGTTTTTTTTGTTTTTTTTTTTTTTTTTGAGACAGGGACTCACTTTGTCACCCAGGCTGGAGTGCAGTGGCACCATCTCCACTCACTGTAATCTCCACCTTTCAGGCTCAAGCGATTCTCTAGTCCCAGCCCCCCAAGTAGCTGGGACTATAGGCATGAGCCACTGTGCCTGGCTAATTTTTGTATTTGTTTTTTTGTAGAGATAGAGTTTCTACGTGTTGCCCAGGCTGGTCTCGAACTCCTGAGCTCAAACAATCCTCTTGCCTCAGCCTCCCAAAGTGCTAGGATTACAGGTGTGAGCTACCACATCTGGCAAGTTTTTTTGAGAGGAGAAACTTGTCTTAGATTATCCAGATAAGTCCCAAGTCCAGTGACAAGGGAGAAGCAGAGGGAAATTAGACACACACAGGAGAACACCATGTGGAGACAGAGGCAGAGGCTGAAATGATGCAGCCACAGCCTAAGCAGAAATGCCAGGGCAGGCCGGGTGCAGTGGCTTACACCTGTAATCCCTGAACTTTGGGAGGCCGAGGTGGGCGGATCTCCTGAGGCCAGGAGTTCGAGACCAGCCTGGTCAACATGGTGAAACCCCATCTCTACTAAAAATACAACAACAAAAATTCGCCAGGCATGGTGGCGGGTGCCTGTAATCCCAGCTACTTCGGAGGCTGAGGCAGGAGAATCGCTTGAACCCGGGAGGCGGAGGCTGCAGTGAACCGAGACTGTACCATTGTACTCCAGCCTGGGCGACAGTGCAAGACTCTGTCTCAAAGGAAAAAAAAAAGAAATGCCAAGACAGCTACCAGCAGCTGGAAGAGGCGAAGAAGAATTTTCCCTTAGAGCCCCTGGAGAGAGCATGGCCCTGCTGGATTTTGTATTTTTAGCCTCTGTAACTGTGAGAGAATAAATTTCTGTAGTTTGTTATTGCAGGCTCAGAAAACTAATATAAGAGTGTCCAGAAGAACAGAGTGCTGCGATTAAGAACGTGTGCTCTGGAGCCAGAGTTCCTTTGTCAGAATCTCCACTCCACCAGTTACTAGCTGAGTAATGTAAGGCACACTAGGTAACAGCACACGGCCTGCCGTGAATCTAGAGCATATAGACCTGTGAGTGGTATATTGTGAACATGGAACACATGCTAGTTATTTTTATCATCACCCTCATTACTACCATTATTATTATCACCAGCACAATTAGAAAGTGCAGCGTGAGGCCGGGCACAGTGGCTCATGTTTGTAATCCCAGCACTTTGAAAGGTGGAGGTGGGAGGATCGCTTGAGCCCAGGGATTCAAGACCAGCCTTGGCAATATGTTGACACCTGTCTCTACAAAAAATTTAAAAATTGGCCAGATATGGTGGCATGTGCCTGTAGTCCCAGCTACTTGGAAGGCTGAGGCGGGAGGATTGCTTGAGCCCAGGAGGTCGAGGCTGCAGTGAGTCATGTTTGTATTACTATCTGTATTTACCACTATCTGTATTTTGTAATAATAATTCCCCTGCTGTTCTTAACAATTTAATCACATGTTGTTCAGTTTTTGCCTGCTTATAAAGGGTACATATTTGTCTCTGACTTTTTTTTCTTTTTTATGAGACAGAGTTTCACTCTGTTGCCCAGGCTGGAGTGCAGTGGCACAATCGTGGCTCACTGCAACTCCTGCCTCCCGGGTTCAAGCAATTCTCATGCCTCAGCCTCCCGAGTAGCCAGGACTACAGGTGCCCGCCACCACGCCCAGCTAATTTTTGTACTTTTAGTAGAGACGGGGTTTCACCATGTTGGCTAGGCTGGTCTTGAACTCCTGACCTCAAGTAATCCATCTGAGCCAGCCTCCCAAAGTGCTGGGATTACAGGTGTGAGTCACCGTGCCCGGCCAATCTTCCAGTTATTTTTTATTTATGTATTTATTTTTTTGAGATGGAGTCTCACTCTGTCACCAGGCTGGAGTGCAGTGGCGAGATCTCGGCTCACTGCAACCTCCACCTCCCCAGTTCAAGCGATTCTCCTGCCTCAGCCTCCCGAGTAGCTGGGACTACAGGCACGTGCCACCATACTGAGCTAATTTTTTTGTATTTTTAATAGAGACAGGGTTTCACCATGTTGGCCAGGATGGTCTCTAAATGCTTACTGAATTGAGAAAGGAAATTTATATACATGTGTTGAGAAGTGTTTTCAGAAAATGCATCCCTAAAAAATCCATCCTTTGAGTGACTTACATTGCATTTATGATTTTTAACAAACTGTTAATCAACAAACACTTTTTTTTTTTTTTGAGACAGAGTTTTGCTCTTGTTGCCTAGGCTGAAGTGCAATGATGCGATCTCGGCTCACCACAACCTCCACCTCCCAGGTTCAAGCGATCCTCCTGCCTCAGCCTCCCGAGTAGCTGGGATTACAGGCATGCACCATGACGCCCAGCTAATTTTGTATTTTTTAGTAGAGATGGGGTTTTTCCATGTTGGTCAGGCTGGTCTCGAACTCCCGAACTCACGTGATCTGCCCACCTCAGCCTCCCAAAATGCTGGGATTACAGGCGTGAGCCACCATGCCCAGCCAACAAACACTTTTTAAAAAATACATAGTATCTCAACAAAATCATCCATAGAAGATGAAGTTAGTAAGCCAGTGAAGCCAAAATCAGAGTTTAAAAACAATATATATGCAAGTGTCTTCTCAGCAGAGCACTGTACGAGATGGTGAAGAGGAGATGGTGCGACTGATACACCCTGATTCTGGATGTTTGCATCTCTAACTAGCTCAACTTTTTTTTTTTTTTTTTTTTTTGGAGATGAAGTCTCAAAGTCTTACTCTGTCACCTAGGCTGGAATGCTTGGCACAGTCTTGGCTCACTGCATCCTCCGCCTCTCAGGTTCAAGCAATTCTCCTGCCTCAGCCTGCTGAGTAGTTGGGACTACAGGCACGCGTCATCACATCTGCTAATTTTTGTATTTTTAGTAGAGACGGGGTTTCACCATGTTGGCCAGGCTGGTCTTGAACTCCTGACCTCAAGTGATCTGCCCGCCTTGGCCTCCAAAAGTGTTGGGATTACAGGCGTGAGACACCACACCTGGCCAAACTAGCTCAATTGTTAGCTCTATTACAAGTAGGAGAAGGAATAGTAAAGGCCCTATGAAGCAACTAAAGAAACAGGAACATATGCTCTCAGATGGGAGGAGGGAAATTCAACGGCCATGCTGAAATACGAAAAGTGGAAGAGGCCGGGCATGGTGGCTCACACCTGTAACCCAGCACTTTGGGAGGCCAAGGCACGAGGATCACGTGAGGTCGGGAGTTGGAGACCAGCCTGACCAACATGGAGAAACCCTGTCTCTACTAAAAATACAAAATTACCTGGGCGTCATGGCACATGCCTGTAATCCCAGCTACTTGGGAGGCTGAGGCAGGAGGATCACTTGAACCTGGGAGGTGGAGGTTGTGGTGAGCCGAGATTGCACCATTGCACTCCAGCCTGGGCAACAAGAGTGAAACTGCGTCTCAAAAAAGAAAAAAAAAAAAAAAAAGTGTAATCATAAATGCAATGTAAGTCACTTAAAGGATGGATTTTTTAGGGATGCATTTTCTGAAAACACTTCCCAATACATGTATATAAATTTCCTTTCTCAATTCAGTAAGCATTTATGGAATACGTACCATATGCCCACGAATGTCAAGGGTGAGGATGTTCCAGGGAATGAGTGTTTTACAGTTAAAGAGTCATCAGTTTGAGACTATTGCTGTTTTCATTAAGAAGGCTCTTATAGGTGACTTTTTGTATCTGATTTTTAAGAGTAACAAGGTAAATGTGAAAAAAGTTCTTATTAAGTTTTCATGATCATCAGGTTAGGTTTCTACCATAAAGTAGTATGTTTATATTGTTTGGACACTATAAACAGCCTTTTTTTTTGAGACGGAGTCTCGCTGTGCCACCCAGGCTGGAGTGCAGTGGTGCAATCTTGGCTCACTGCAAACTCCGCCTCCCAGGTTCAAGCGATTCTCCTGTCTCAGCCTCCTGAGTAGCTGGGTTCACAGGCAGCCACCATCACGGTTGGCTAATTTTTGTATTTTTTAGTAGAGACAGGGTTTCACCATGTTGGCCAGACTGGTCTCAAACTCCTGACCTCAGATGATCTGCCCAGCTCAGCCTCCCAAAGTGCTGGGATTACAGGGGTGAGCCGCCACACCCAGCCTATAAACAGCTTTTTAAGTTAGTGTGCTTTTAAAAAATTAAAAATAGATGGTTAATGAAGAAACAAAAACTTCAATTAATCAGAAGTGTGGGTACAAATGTTTGACTGACATGCCTATTTCATTTCAATTTAGACTTCTTCAATTTTTGACTAGAGTGTTTGCTTATAGGAAGAGCCTTATCGCTGAGTCTTTTTTCAAGTGTAAAAAAATGTCCCACATTGGGAGAAGAAAAAGAGGCTAGAACGACCCCTGGACTGACCAAAGCCCTGCGTCCAGCGCCTATGTCGTGCCGCTGTCGCCGCCACCACCATGCCCAAGAGAAAGGCTGAAGGGGATGCTAAAGGGGATAAAGCCAAAGGGAAGGATGAACCACAGGGAAGATCTGCGAGGTTGTCTGCTAAACCTGCTCCTCCAAAGCCAGAGCCCAAGCCTAAAAAGGCCCCTGCAAAGAAGGGAGAGAAGGTACCCAAAGGGAAAAAGGGGAAAGTTGATGCTGGCAAGGAGGGGAATAGCCCTGCAGAAAATGGAGATGCCAAAACAGACCAGGCACAGAAAGCTGAAGGTGCTGGAGATGCCAAGCGAAGTGTGTGGATTTTTGATAACTGTACGTATGGTGACTGTACAGTTTGAAATACTATTTTTATCAAGTTTTATAAAAATGCAGAATTTTGTTTTACCTTTTTTTGAAGTTATGTTGTTAGCATACAGACCACCTCATTGTTGTTTTTTGGGGAAGGGGCATATGTCACTAATAGAATGTCTCTGCAGCTGGATTGATGTGGGGGAAACACCTTTCCCTTCTAGTTTTGAGAAACTTCCTCTTGGCTCCCAGGAGGAGGGATTCCCTGACTTTGACACACAAGGCCTCTTTGCACAAAAGCCTCATGGTATGGAAAAACAAATTCGTTTGTATGTCCTCTTCGACCTTTCCATCTTTCAGCATATACTTAACTCCCTTAAGCCCAGACATCTGTTGGGACCTGACCTCCAATCATTGGTTACCAGTGTGTCAGGCAATCTGGACTTTCCAGTGATGCCACTGAGATGGCACCTGTCAAAAGGAGCAGTGGTTCCATTTCTAGATTGTGGATCTTCAGATAAATTCTGCCATTTTCATTTCACTTTCTGAAAGTCAGGGTTGGCTTGTGAAAAGTTGTTAAAAACAAGCTAAATGTGAACTGTCAACCCTCACTCTAAGCTTTCCCTGTTCAGAGCATCAGATGAAGACTTCATTGGGTTTTATAGTGGCTTTCCAATTTTTGGTAGTCCATTGAAGAAGAGAGTTTGAAAGTTGTATACGTTAATGATTGTCTGCCCTGTCCTGCCTGAAATACCATGATTGTTTATGGAAAGTATCTTTAATAAAGCTGGATACAGTTTGGCTTGGGAAAAAAGAGTTCCACATCAATATAACTGGGAACACAATGAATAATCATTAAGAACTACAACAAGCATTTATGTGTGACATATGGACTTTCTAACTTCAAAGCAGTTGCAATTAAAGACATGTTTAACATGACCATTAAAATGAAAATAGATCATTAGATTCTAGATTGAAGGATGGAGAAATAAGTAGAGTGAAATCTAAGCTAATGTTTTACCCTGACTTATGTATAAATTTCTCTGTAAGCTTCCTCGTAGTCAAGCTATGACAGCATAGGTTATAGGTTATAAACTATAGAATTCTCATTATTTGCAAACAGAGAGATAAGTTCCTTGGGATAAAATATTTTAAGTTTTAAAAATATTTAATTTAAAAAATTATCATGTAGTTAATTATACAAGAAACATTGAGCCACATATTTAACCATGGTTTCTGAAAGATAGAGAAATATCATTCATGTAGAAAATTTATATATTTTTCTTCAACAAAAACCTAGACTGTAGTATTTAGATTTTACAGAGTAAGGTTTTTTTTTGTTTTGTTTAGTTTTGTTTTTTGGGGGGGATGGGAGGTGGAGATTGTATTAGTGAGGATCCTTTTAGAAAAGAGAAGGTAATTCGAGTTGATAAAGGGGCTCTTTACAAAGATGTATGTAGGATGCAGGGAAACCATAAGGAATTGTGCAGTTCTGCGGGGCTGGTAACAAGGGATACTGCTACTCTCCTAGGCTTGAAAGGGATAAAGAGAAGATCCCATCACCAGAAGAGAACTTGGAGACCGAGACTGAGCAGAGAAGGCTCTTGGACAGGAGTAGTGACTTTTAGTCAAGAGATGAATCCAGCCTGTGGTACCCCCACAGAAAGCCAAGGAAATAAATACCTTTAACTTTCCACCTACTCCCTCTGATCTCTTGCTGGTGCTTTTCATTGGCTGAATTCAACTAGAAGCTAAGGGCAGGCACAGGGAGTCTGGTGGTGCTTGTTAGCCTTCTGGTGCAGAGAAAGGATGAAGAAAGGACATATGGAAGCTATCAAGCCAGGAGGACATATTGGAAATTGGGGAGCTTTATAGAGTTCACCCTTGCCCCATTTTGATAAGCCTCTCTGGGTAGAGCAGAAAGGGACTTGCCCTCCTGCCTTTCCCACTCAGACTTTGGCGGAGAACCACTGCAGTGTAATGACAGATGGTCATTCTGTTAGCTGCGTGTAAGGAAAAAAATGTTGAGAACCAATGATCTGTAAGAAAGGACAATACCATTTTCCTTAAATGTTTCTTTTTCTCAAATGGATTTACACTGGAGCTAAGTCAACCAGCTCTGGAATAGAGAAATTTAATAGAATGTGAAGACAGTCCTTAAGCTTAGAATATCAGATGGGTTATGAGTCAGTGCCCAGGCAGAATTAGATAACCCTTGGGGGGAATAGATTCCCTTCCCCATGACCTGGGGGTAGATCTCACCCTATGTGAAGGCAGATACACTAACAGGGGCCTCTGAGGACCATGTCTGGTGACCTGACATCTGGATGTTGCTTTGATTGCTCATAGATAAGTGCACCCCAAGCTCAGACAACTTGAAACCTATGCATCCCTATAGCAGCAATAATTATAATGACAGCCAGGCCTAAAAAGCCAACTGCATTGCCAATGAAGCCATTTAAAATATTGAAAGATACATTCTAAAACTTATGAAATCTCTGGCCTAATCTCCAATATTATATGTTCTCTCCAATTTGAAAATCCACCCTTTAAAAAAATAAAAACAAAACCAAGTATAAAAATGTAACTACAGGTTTCTTTAATTTGTTTTTTTGTTTGTTTTGTTTTTTGGCACACAGTCTTTCTCTGTTGCCCAGGCTGGAGTGCAGTGGTGCAATCTCGGCTCACTGTAACCTCCACCTCCTGGGTTCAAGCGATTCTCCTGCCTCAGCCTCCCGAGTAGCTGGGGCTACAGGCATGCTCCACCATGCCCACCTAATTCTCATGTTTTTAGTAGTGTTGGGGTTTTGTCATGTTGCTCAGGCTGGTCTCGAACGCCTGACCTCAGGTGATCCACCCACCTCAGCCTCCCAAAGTGATGGGATTACAGGCGTGACTGCCATGCCTGGCCCACAGTTATATTTTTATACTTAAACTTTATATAAATCCAAATGTTTCTTTTTTTACACCAAAATATAAATATTTTTCAAACTTAATCACGTGAATGGAAGATTGTTTGGTTCCAGCGCAGCACTGAGGAGTAAATGGAATTTATTGAATTCACATTCTATATTATCTTCTTGTGCTGCTAGGGAAAGAAGTGACAGGTTGAAAAAGTTATTAACTTCTCGTGTGTATTAAAACAACACTTGAAGGCAACTGACTTTAGATAAGACAAAATAATCAGTATAGCCTGTGATGTTACTTTAGTTTAAATCCAGTCTGCCCTGAAGCCCAAACAGAGATAAAGAGCAAGAGTAGGATGAATGTTTTCATTGAAGTCCTAACTTCAAATATTGTGAGGGTCTCAGGAGGTTATCCAGTCTATTTCCAGCCTTTGGCAGGATTACAGTTAAACCGGCTCAGGCAGATGGCAATCCATCTTATTTCTAAAATTGTCCACTCAAGGAATTCCACATAACTCTTTCCATGGTCCTTTTTATAACCGTATTTTTCTTTAAATCCTCAGGGGATATATGCATATAACAAATGGAAAGCATAAAGCAAAGTACATATGACCCTCTTCCCATCATGAAGGGGGCAGATTTATCTGTTAGTATCTATGATGATTTGTAAACAATACCAATCCTAGACCAATCTCTCTTCTTTATCCAACCTCACAAATATTCTGCCTCTCTAAGTAGCCCTTGTCCCTTTGCCCCTCTTGTTTCCGTTTGTTTCCTCCTTTCTCACCTGGTTCAGAATGCCTAGGAGAGTTTGTATAAGATTCTTAATGCCCTAGGAATAGGAAAAGCAATCATGCCTCAGGCCATAGGCCTGTTGTCAGCACCACGGACAGCGGCTCATCAGGCTTGGCAAGCATTGTACAGAGGTATAACTTGCCAGTAGAGAATGTTGATGACCTTTTTAATATCTTTGAAAGTCTTCATCAGTTCATTCCCCTTCTCTTCTTAGCCTTCTATTTTATTGAGGTGGATGACGTTAAGACTTCAACTTTTTGGTGCAGGCAGAGGAGCCCACATCTCAGTAGTCTGTGAGAAGGAGGGGCTCAGGCTGACAGGAGGCAAACTCATCTAGGCCTGCTGAAGTTAATTCATCACTTGGCTCTAGGGTTCAGGGAACAAAATACAGAAGGCAAAGAAGAACAATGGAATCAGCAAGAGAGGTAACTCCTCTCTTCTCTTGCAGATGCCTCAATTAAATCTATTTCACAAAGGGTTAGTGGCCCTGAAAATATGCAATTATGCCATTCTTCACATCCCCTATTTTACTGGTTAGAAAACATTTGTTGTGACTTTATATCCATTAAAAATTAGCTATTCAGTCTTGGCTATGTCACCTAAGATCTCTGTCTAATCTTGGAGAAAATGGAGAAAATTTCACAATACTTCTCAAAATTTTAAATGCACATATTTTTTTGACCCTACAACTCCAACACAGAAATGATCCAACAGGCTGGTATGGTGGCCCACACCTGTAATCTCAGAACTTTGGGAGGCCAAGGTGGCAGGATCACTTGAGACAAGCCTGGGCAACATAGCAATACCCCATCTCTACAAAAAACTTTTAAAAATTAGCTGGGCATGGTGGCACATGCCTGCGGTTCCACCTACTCAAGAGGCTGAGGTGGAAGGATTTCTTGAGCCCAGGGGTTTGGTGCTGCAGTGAGCTATGATCACACAACTGCACTCCAGCCTGGATGACAAAGTGAGACCCTGCCTCTGAAAAGAAAAAAATTCCATCAATATAAGACTGTTTAAATAAAGTATAAGTTTATGCAATCAAATATTAAGGAGCCATAAAAAAGTGGAAATTCACTATATACTCATATGAAAGATCTCCAGGATATATTACGTTTAAAAAAGCTGGGTTCAGAACAAGGACTATATTAAGATATTACATAAAAAGAAGAAAAATCATGTATAGCCATCTGTACTAAGCGTACAATATCTCCAGGAGGATATATATTAGAAATAAGAAATAGAAGTTTCTTCTAGGAAGGGAAATTGGGTGGATAGAGGTGAGAAGTGGAGGGGAGTTTTTTTCAGCATACACCTTTATGTACTTTTGGAATTTTGAATAATGTGAATTCGTCAACTATATAAAAATGAATAAATAAATTTAAATAAAATGAAATAAATTATCTGTGACTCAGTTTCTTTCTCTGTGAAATGGATATAGTCTGGATATAGTCATATCCATTTGGATATAGTCTGGATATAGTCATATGCATTTGATTGTCCTGAGAATCAAATAGAATAGTGTATGTAAAGGTGTTTTGAAAAATATGTGTTCTTCATATACGATGTTTACTGCTAGTATTTTAGTAATGTATGGACACTTTAAGTTCTCCATATGCTTCCTCCTGAATTTTGGAGTTTAGAACTGGACATAACTCTGAAATAATGATAATAAAAAGTAAATTAAATATTTGGGAGGTATTTTAGAGTTTTTCACTGTAGCGTGGCTATGATATAAAAATAACTTTATCCTGCACTTCCTTTTGCGGTCTTTTCCTTCATGCAGTTAGAATAATTTTTGCCTTTTAATAATGGGTACTTTTCAGCTGCCTCAAAGAAAGGTGAAGCATGCTCAAGCTGACTGGAAGGGCTTAATGAGATTATTCAGTAACTTGTGGAAAACTGCAGTGTACAAGAAAAGGGAAAACAGCTGGATCATTAAAATGCTCGTGTAACCCACTGTGACACTGGAAAGGGAAATCCTTTGTTGGATATGTAGAAGGAAGAAACACTATACTTTCTGGGAAAAAAGTTTTGGCGGTCTTGTTACAACATATTTAAAAAGTAATTTTAAAAAGCCAGTTTAGAAGGGTTTCTTGTCAGTCCTAAAAGACAGAAGGAGATTTGAAAGGTGGTAGTACCCCTAAAGGGATGTGTTTTTAAAAAAGGAACTCCAGTTTCCCACATTCCAAGGGGTCCCCTGAGGCCATCCTACACCTCATTAAATACATGAACAAGCATGAGACTTGGAACCTCTGTAGAGACTTCTGGCCTAGCCTGGCAGAGAAAATGATGAGAGATTTGTGGGTTGTATGAAGTGGATCACGGTATAATATAAAACCAAAACAAATCACCTCAGGCCCTACCAAGGGAGAAGACTATTAAAAGAGGAAAATAAACCCACCATCTCAGTTCATT
Source organism: Homo sapiens (assembly GCF_000001405.40). Taxonomy (NCBI): domain Eukaryota; kingdom Metazoa; phylum Chordata; class Mammalia; order Primates; family Hominidae; genus Homo; species Homo sapiens. The sequence continues at coordinate 106,925,656 of NC_000006.12, read as the reverse complement.
TTTTTTCTCCTAAGGAATATTTTTTTTCTCCACACATTTATGCCAAGAGAATCCAATTTATTTTCAGAATGTCTTCTCCTTTTCCCTTCTTTCTCTTCCTCCCTGAGCTATTCCTCCTTCCTTTTTCTTTCTTCCTTCTTCTCCTCCATTCTTTTTCTTTCTCTTTTTCCTTCTCTTTTTCCTCCTCCTCTTCTCCTTGTTCTTCTTCTGTATTAGGAGTTAGCAAACTTTTCCTGTAAAGAGCCAGAAAGTTAAATATTTCAGGATTTGCAGGCCAAACTGTCTCTTGCAACTACTCAACTCTGCCCCATGTAGTGCAAAAGCAGCCCTAACAAGACATAACCAAATGGGCAAAGCTATGTTCCAGTAACACTTTGTGTATAAACACAAGCTGTGGGTCAAATTTGTCCCTCATAACATAGTTTATCTGCCCTTGTTCTATGTTATAATAGTTTAAATAAAGTTCACAGTGTAGCAGGACAAGCTGCAGACAAAACCCCTCAGACACCGAGTTAAACAAGGAAGGGCTTTATTTGGCCGGGAGCTTCGGCAACACTCACGTCTCCAAAAACCGAGCTCCCCGAGTGAGCAATTCCTGTCCCTCTTAAGGGCTTACAACTCTAAGGGGGTCTGCGTGAGAGGGTCGTAATCGATTGAGCAAGCAGGGGGTACGTGACCGGGGGCTGCATGCACCGGTAATCAGAACGGAACAGAACGGGACAGGGATTTTCACAATGCTTTTCCTTACAATGTCTGGAATCTATAGATAACATAACCGGTTAGGTCAGGGGTCAATCTTTAACCAGGCTCAGGGCACGGCGCCAGGCTGTCTCCCTGTGGATTTCATTTCTGCCTTTTAGTTTTTACTTCTTTTTTCTTTGGAGGCAGAAATTGGGCATAAGACAATATGAGGGGTGGCCTCTTCCCTTAACAGAAGAGATATAATAATCACTAACTGTTTAGGACAACAGAGTTAGCTCTCTGGAAGAAAATACGTTTGTACCATACCTCACACTTCTTTAAAAAGCTCAAAGGTGATAAAAAAAAAAAGAGTAAATAATAATAAGACTAGAAAAGAACATAGAAAATCATTTAAATACTTCAAAATAGGGCAAAAATCTCTTAAAATTATTTTAAAATGATAGATTCAACCACATGAAAATGTTTGTATAAAGCTACTATCAGATAAGTCGGGAGACAAATGACAAGCTGGAAAAAATATCTGCAACTCATGTCACAGATAATAGAATAACCTCCTTAACATATCGATTTCTATGAATCAATAAGAAAAGTAAAGTAAACAAGCACTCAGAAGAAAGGTGGGACAATGCTCTGTCTAGAATTCACAGAAAAGGAAATGCAAATTGCTGTTAAATATTTTAAAGGAAATGTTCTACATCATTCATAATAAGAGACACACGAATTTATACTTAAATGCCATTTTCACACATCAGATAGGCAAAAATCCAGATATTTGATAAAACACTGCGTTGACAAGGCCTTCCTTTATATTGTTGGTGAAATATAAATTGATACAACATTTATGGAGGGCAATTTGGCAATACCAATCAAAATTTGAAATGCATGTCTTTTTTGATGCAACAACTCACTTTAAAGAGCTTAGTCTATAGATATCACTGGGCATATGCAAAATGTCTACACGATGTTAGTTATTGTTGCACATTTTGTAACAGCAGAAATAGAACATGACATGTGTGTCTACTAATAGTGGATTGGCTATATCTCTTATGGTATATTTGTATCATGGAATATTATGTATCTGTAAATCACTTCTTCTTAAAAAAGTGTGCATGGTATGCTTACTGTTATTTAAGAAGGGAAGCATAATATACGTTTGTATCTGTTTGTATAAAAAGTCTCTGTGAGGACACACAAGAAACTAGTAATGGTGCCTCCCAGTTTAAAGGGGAGATAGGAAGAATTACATGGATGAGTGACAGAAATAAGGAGAAGACTTCTCACTATATGGCCTTTTAATTCTTTTTCATTTTTGAACCATTCAATACTACTATTAATATTAAAAAATAAAGTCCAGTAAAAATCACCCAAATAACTTGGTTTTACACACACAGCGACACACACATACACTTTTGTTATTTTTAGACTCATGGGACATTATACTACTTTGGGTTATGCTAGTAAGTATATTTTAAACTATCTACTTAATCTTGAAAAAGTTTTCTACTTTGTGTGTGGGGAGAAGATTAGGAGGATAAACCCTTTTTTTTTGTATAGTCCCAACTAATTAATCAGAGTAGATACAGAGAAGACTAACAAAAGCCCAGTAATGGAAAGACTAATAAAAATCAGTGTGCTATAAAGAGGAACTGGGCTGCGTTGGAAAGCAGCGAATTCCCCATCACTGGGCTTGTTTAACTTCAGGGACTACTGTGGAAAGGGTAACAACTCTAAGTTCTATTCCAATTTTGACAGTCTACAACTACAAGAAAAAGGTGAACACCATGTATTTTATCATAAGCGGTAAGATTCTTTGAAAAAAAACCACCTTAGAGATTCATGTTTTTTGTTTTCTGTTTGTTTGTTTTTTTGTGTTTTGGAGACAGGGTCTCACTCTGTTGCCCAGGCTGGAGTGTAGTAGCCTGATCATGGTGCACTGCAGCCTCGACCTCCCCAGGCTGAGGTGATCTTCCCAACTCAGCCTCCTGAGTAGCTCAGACTACAGTTGTGCCACCATGCCTGGCTAATTTTTGTATTTTTTGTAGAGATAAGGTCTTGCTATGTTGCCCAGGCTGGTCTCGAACTCCTGGACTCAAGGACTCTGCCTGCCTTGGCCTCCCAAAGTGCTGGGGTTACCAGGTGTGAGCTATTGTGACCAGCCCCAAAACTAATTTCTAACGTGCATAAATCTCAGGCCGGGTGCAGTGGTTCATGCCTGGTAACTCCAGCACTTGGAGAAGCTGAGGTAGGTGTATTGCTTAAGCTCAGAAGTTTGAGACCAGCTTGGGCAGCATAGTAAAACCTCATCTCTCCAAAAAAAAAAAAAAAAAAAAAAATGCCAGGCGTGGCGGCTGAAGCCTGTAATCCCAGCACTTTGGGAGGCCAAGGCGGGTGGATCACCTGAGGTCAGGAGTTTGAGACCAGCCTGGCCAACATGGTGAAACCCCGTTTCTACTAAAAATACAAAAATTAGCCAGGCACGGTGGCGGGCGCCTGTAATCCCAGCTACTCGGGAGGCTGAGGCAGGAGAATCACTTGAACCTGGGAGGTAGAGGTTGCAGTGAGCTGAGATCGCGCCATTGCACTCCAGCCTGGGCAATAAGAGCGAAACTCTGTCTCAAAAAAAAAAAAAATTTACTCAGGAGGCTGACGTGGGAGGATCACCTCAACCTGGGGAGGTCGAGGCTGCAGTGAGCCATGATTGGGCTATTGCACTTCAGCCTGGGTGACAGAGTGAGACTGGTTTTTTTTTCTTAAAAAAGAAAAGAAAAGAAAAGAAATTAATTTGGGTAACAGAGAAGGTACAAAGAAGGTAACGATGGTGGAAGGAGAGCAGGATCCTCGGGGATGGAGCAGGCAGTCAGCCTGGGTTAGGAGGAGAGCCCAAACTCAAGGACACATAGATAGTCACATCAAACTAAACAGCCCTAGTAGATGAGCAGGATGCAGGTTTCAGGGTTTTGCTGGCAGAACAGAAGAGAGTGAAACACAACACACCACTTTCCAGAACACTATGCAATGTGTAGATGGAAAGTAATTTTTAAGGAAATGACTGGAAATTATTGACATTGATTTTTGAAATCATCCCTCTTTGTCAGCTGGTAAAACACCTGGAAGCTAATGCTTCCAAGCACTCTAATTTAAAGTCGGCTTTAGCTGATGTTCATACCCTTAGCTGGATACCACAGCTAATACGGTAGAAGACACTTAGTTAATTTTTGATGAGAAAAATGCTAGGCAAAATGCAATGCTTTTACAGTGGGCATTTGGAAAGGTGAGAGAGGTAGCATGGAAAAACCCTTCTCTCACCTTTGCTTTTTCCTTTCCCATCCCTTTTCCTTTTCCTTCTTCTTCTTCTTCTTCTTGCTTTTTTTTTTTTTTTTTTTACTTTGTTGCCCAGGCAGGAGTGCAGTGGTGCAATTTTGCTCACTGCAGCCCCCAACTCCTGGGCTCAAGAGATCCTCCCACCTTAGCCTCCTGAGTAGCTGGGACCACAGGCACACACCACCATATCCGAATAATTTTTGTATTTTTTTGTAGAGATGGGGTTTTGCCACATTGCCCAGGCTGGTCTTCAACCCCTGGGCTCAAGCAATCCTCTCTCCTCGGCCTCCCAAAGTGCTGGGATTAGAGGCATGAGCCACTGCACCTAGCCTTCTTATAAAGTTATGTCCTGGCTGGGCACAATGGCTTATGCCTGTAATCCTGACCCTTTGGGAGGCCGAGTGGGTGAATCCCTGAGCCCAGGAGTTTGAGACCAACTTGGGCACATGGTGAGACCCCATCTCTATTTAAAATTTAAAAATAAAATAAAGTTATGTCCCTAGGCCTCCTGAGAAAATACTGGTCTGTGGGAGAAATAGTGGACTGGTGGTGCTCAAAATTTCAAAAAACTTCACATAGCCACATGTGTTGTTACTTCCTACTATGCTCTCAGTGTGAGGGAAATAGCAACAATACCATTTCTAATGTGCAGTGAGCTGATGGTCAGGCATGTTAAAGTTACTGACAGAGGTGCAATTAGATACCAGGTACATTTCATGTAATCAGGGATCTAGGGGAGATTTTGGGGGATTATGGAATTGTTAACTGTGCTGGTTAATTTTGTGTCAACTTGGCTGGGTCACAGTGCCTAGATATTTGGTCAAACATTCTGGATGTTTCTATGAGGTTGTTTTTTTTTGGATGACATTAACATTTAAATTTGTAGATTTTGAGTAAAGCAGATTAGCTTCCATAATGTAAGTGTGTACCATCCCATCCACTGAAGTCCTTAATAGAATAAGACTGGCCGGGCATGATGGCCATGCCTATAATCCCAGCACTTTGGGAGTTTGAAGCAGGTGAATCGCTTGAGCCCAGGAGTTCAAGACCAGCCTGGGCAACATGGAGAGATCCCGTCTCTACAAAAAATACAAAAAGTTAGGCGGGCATGGTGGCAGCATGCCTGTAGTTCCAGCTACCTGGGAGGCTGAGGTGGGAGGATCACCCCAGCCCAGGAGGTTGAGGCTACAGTGAGCTGTGATGGTGCCACTGCACTCCATCCTGGGGAAAGAGTGAGACCCTGTCTCAAAAAACAAAACAAAACAAAACAAAAAACAAGACTGACATCCCCTGAGGGAGAAGGAGCTCTGCCAGCAGACTGCCTTTGGACTTGAACTGCAACATGAGCTCCTTCCTGGGTCCAGCCTGCCAGGCCAACCTGTACATTTTGAACTTGCCATTCTCCGTAATCACATGAGCCAATTTCTTAAAAAATCTCTCTCCCTCTATTTACATACATCTTATTGGTTCTATTTCTCTGGAGGACCCTGACTAATATATTGACCATACTCTTTTTTTGTATACATGCCATTCAAAATTATATAATATTTTGCAAGTGAAACTACTTAATTACTTCTGTATTATAAGCTACCTCTCTCAATTTTAATTTTCTCACCTGTAAAATGAGAGAAGTATGGTAAAAATTGTTAGTCATCCACCAAAATCTACTCTCCCCTTCTTCATGGATACATTATCCTGCATTTCCCACCCCCAGCAGTCAAGGGGGGGCTGTGGGAACACATGACTATGTTCTTTCCAGTGGCACGTGAGTGAAAGGTATATATGGCAATTCTGGGTCTAGGTCTTAAAACAGTGGGTAACCTTCATCTGTGCCATCTTCCTGCCAGGGATGGATCTGTGGCCTCCCAGATTTTGACCATAAAAATACCTGAGAGAATGGCGGAGCTGCGCTACAGGAGGACTCACAATCCCCGAATGACTGTGTGGAGCAGAACTGTGTCCACAACCTCGACCATTCGCCTCAACACTGTTATGTGAATGAGCAATACATTTCTTTGCTCTTTAAGCCATTGTATTGTTAGTCTCCATATAGTAGCTCAGCCTTTGCCCTAACTAATACAGGGTGATGACAGCAGTTGTCTTACCTACCTCATAAGATTTTTAAAAAAATCCAGATCCTGCACAACTTCATGGGATTTTTGTGAAGATCAGATGAAAGAAAATGGTTAAGGCTGTGCACAAATGCTATGATGCCATCTTTACTTGATTATCCAACATTAAAACATTGTCTGGACCTCAGTAGCCCTCTGTAAAATGGAGACACTGGATTCCATGATGCCTAGGATTGCTGTGCTCTTTTTCTGACAGGAAAGAAACTGCCTTGAGATAAAGAATTACATAAAAAATACAAAATGGCTAACAGATTTTGCTAATTACCACCGACCATGTCTGGATCATATTTGGGAACTAGCAGCCAATATAAACAGTGGGAAATGAGTGGCTATTGAAAGCAACTATCACATTAAACTTAATTTTATAACCATTTCTCAAGCTGGTGGCAATCCCTAACGTGTCCATGTGAACTACAATATGTTAAATGTCATTAATTGTTTAGACTTTGCCAGAAAGCCAGTCTAGGGTGACAGGATTTATGGTAGAAAATCCTGTAGTGGCACAAAATCCACTAAACCACATTAGTCAGGTGAGAAACAAGTATTACTCTCAGCTGATTCTTATTTTACAAAAAGATCTTCCATTTCCAAAGTACAATGTATATCAAGTCCTTATATTAAAAAAGGAAGGCTTCATAATAGAACAAGTCCACAACTGAAGTAGATGTGAGCAGACATTAAGAAAAAATAAAGAGGAAAGGAAAGAAAATGATTGATTACATTACATAGCCACGCATAGCCTTGGAGTTTTTGTGTAATTTTTTGTGGGATGAGAAAATGGAATCTTTCCTCTTCCTTCATATGGACAGAGGCAGGTCAGATGTGCCAGATGCAGTGGCTTAGAGGCCTCTGAAAAGAAATATTTTCACATCCCATGGACACTGCTTTCATTTGGTTGTCAAAACGTAGTGCTGGAAAGGAAAGCGATTAGTGGTTCCCATTAGGAAAAGTGATCCATTAGGAAAAACCTCAGGAGGCACTTCCAGGTTGGAAGAACGATGCCATGGACTGGAGTCAGCTGTGATGGAGTCTGGAATGGTAGGAAAGGACATTCTGGGGAAAAACAAAAACAAAAACATAAAACATGTGAAAATGTACAACATGCAGCAGCCAAGTGTAATGCAATAGAGTTTCCTTGGAAACACACACACCGACTCCTCTGAGCAAGCATGTTCCCAAGGCCACCTGTTTCCTTTTGACACTGGCAGCTGCTTCTCTCCGCAATGGCTTAAACAGAAAACCAACAGGAATTATTTTGGCAGGAAAATGGGATTATCTTAGGTGCTTAATGAGAGAAAAGATCTGAGCTTATTTGTAATAAGAAATAAATATTAATGGGTTGGGGCACATTTGGGAATTTTCATCATAGTAATAAATGTCAAAGAGAAATGTTTTTCCTTTATCATTAGACCTCAGACTAATTTACCCAAATACAAAGTTGTCTTTGCCCAATGAGAAAGAGAAAAATAAAACTAAATGAAGTGAATAATTAAACAGGGAGAAGAAAAACAAAATGAGACTGTATTTTACATATGGCTCATGAGGTTCTCTTTGGGCTGAAGAGGATTAACTGTTATGAGGATTTTATGCTGTGGGGAGTTGATGGAATGGATTTATGACAGATGAGGGAGATGGGGATGAATGTGCAGCTCATTCAGACACCTCCAGTTTCTCGTTCAACATTTTGCTAAAGATTAGGGGTAAGAGATCAAAGCAGAACCAAGTCCCACAGCTCTGTATGGAGAATTACAAAGCCTGGAACAAAATATGCTTACACTTAGTCCTGTTTGGAGTTGATTTGATTTGTATACATTTGAGTCCTTGTATTAGAGTTTTCCAACTCTAGTTTTCCATATGTATATATAGAATATATGCATATATAGAATATATGGTATATTCTATATTCTGTCTATATAATGTATATTCATATATAATATATAATATATTCATATATCACATATAATATATTCATATATAACACATTATATGCATATATTATATAGTCATATATAATATATTATCTATTATATACATATATTATATATAATATACCTATAATATATATTCCATATATACATATCACATATTATATATATTCTATTTATACATATCATATATATGTATTGTATAAAAAGATATTTATTATAAAGAATTAAGGAACTGGCTCAGGTGATTATGGAGGCTAAGAAATCCCGAAGATCTGTGGTCACAAGGTGGAGGCCCAGCAGAAACAATGGTATAGTTCTAGCCTGGGTCCGAAGGCCTGAGAACTAAGAGAGCAGATGTTGTAAGTTCCAGTCTGAGTGCAAGTCTGAAGGCAAAAGAGGATCAATGTCCCAGCTTAAAGATCATCAGGTAGAGAGAATGAACTCTCCCTTACTGTGCCTTTTGTTCTATTTAGGCTTTCAACAGGTTGGATGAGGCCCACCCATGTTGATAAGGGCAATTCGTTTTATTCATTTTACTAATTCAAATGTGGATGCCATCCAGAAACACCCTCACAGACACCCAGAATAATGTTTAACCAAACATCTGGGAATCCAGTGGCCAGAAAGATGATATATAAAAGTAACCATCACAGTCATATTATGCAAATGTTGAATTTAGTATCATTTTAAGAACTTAGTACATGCCCTAATGATCACACAGGACCTTCATTTCCCACCCACACTCCCAAATACTCCTTTATGAAATTAGTATCAAAGAGTGAGGCAGGAGGAAAAGAACTGGACATTTACCTCCTGCCTCAGGACAATTGTTCTCCCTGCCCTTTTCTTTTGTGTTACCATTTGTTTTTCACTCCGAGAGAGAGTGTGGAAAAGGAAAGAGAAGGAGGCAAGTATGAGGAAGAACTGTCAGATTCTATTTTACAAGTAGAAGAAAAATGAAAGGGACTCAGAGAAGACTGAGTGTTCTCCCCACTGGCTCAGATAATGCCATCCGCTGAGTACACACTGAGTACTTTTGTGTCACCAAGAACACAAATTTTTTTTTTTTTGAGATGGAGTCTCACTCTGTCGCCCAGGCTGGAGTACAGTGGTGCAATCTTGGCTCACTGCAAGCTCCGCCTCCTGGGTTCACGCCATTCTCCTGCCTCAGCCTCCCAAGTAGCTGGGACTAAGGCGCCCGCCATCACGCTCAGTTAATTTTTTTTTTTTTTTTGTATTTTTAGTAGAGACAGGGTTTCACCGTGTTAGCCAGGATGGTCTCGATCTCCTGACCTCGTGATCCACCCGCCTCAGCCTCCCAAAGTGCTGAGATTATAGGCATGAGCCACCACGCCCAGCCAGAACACAGACTTTATCCTCTGTTTTCTTCCAGTTGTTTTATAGTTGTAGCTTTTACATTTTGGTCTATGATCTATTTTAGTTATTTTTTTTTATATGGTTTGAGGTGAAAGTCCAGGTTTCTTTTTTCCCAAAGAATCATCCAATTATTCTAATACCACTTATTGACAAGATTATTCTTTCTCCATTGAATTAAACTGGCATCTTTGTTGAAAGTCAGTTAACCACATGCATTATCTGTGGTTCTATTTCTTTCTCTTTATTTGAGACAGGGTCTCACTCTCTTGCCCAGGCTGGACTCAAACTCCTGAGCTCAAGTGATCTTCCTGCCTTGACCTTCCAAAATGCTGGGATTACAGGCATGAGCCACTGTTCCTGGCCTATAATAAATCTTGAAATCAGGTCGTGTATAAGTCCTCTGACTATTCTTTTTCAAAATTGTTTGCCTATTCTATGTCGTTTGTATTTCCATATAAGTTTTAAAATTAGCTTGTCAAGTTCTACAAAAAATTTTCTGGAATTTTATTTGGGATTATTTTGAATCTATAGATCCATTTGGGAGGAATTGATATCTTCACAATATTGAGTCTTCCAATCCATGAACAAGGAATGTCTCTCCATATGTTTAGATCATTCTTAATTTCTCAAGGAAATGTTTTGAAGTTTTCAGTTTATATGTCTTGCATATACATTTTGTTAAATGTATCCATAAGTATTTCACATTTTTGAGGTTATTTTACTCTATTGTTTCTTAACTCATTTTCAAATTGTTCATTACTGTTCTATAGAAATACAGTTAATTTTTATGAATTAACCTTTTGTCTTTCATATTTGTTTTATTTACTAATAGGCACAGATTTTAAAAAATCAATCTCAAGACGTTCTACATTGATAATCATGTTATCTGTGATAAAGGCAGTGTTATTTTTTTTCTTTTCAATCTGGGTGCCTTTTATTTCTTTTTTCTTGCCTTATTTCACAGGCTAGGAACTCTGGTACAATGTTGAATAGAAGTGGTTAGAACGGACATTCTTGCTGACCTTCAGGAGAAAACATTTAGTCTTTCACCATTAACTATGATATTAATATTAATGATAAGTTTTTCTCAGATGTTCTTTGTCAAGTTGAGGAAGTTTATTTCTAGTCCTAGTTTGCTGAGAGATTTCATCATGAATGGGTGTTGAATTTTGTAAATGCTTTTTCAGCATCTATTTTTTCTTTTTATATATATATATATATATATAAATACATAAATACATATATATATATATATAAATACATAAATACATATATATTTTAAGAGACAGGGTCTCTCTATGTTGCCAGGGTGGCCTTGGACTCCTGGGTTCAACGATCCTCCTGCCTTGGCCTCTGAGAGTGCTGGAATTACAGGCGTGAGCCACCGCACCTGGACGTCAGCATCTATTAAGATGACCAGATGGGCCAAGCACAGTGGCTCACACCTGTAATCCCAGCACTTTGGGAGGCCGAGGCAGTCAGACTACCTGAGGTCAGGAGTTTGAGACCAGCCATGGTCAACGTGGTGAAACCACATCCCTACTAAAAATACAAAAAATTAGCCCGATGTGGTGGCAGGTGCTTGTAATCCCAGCTACTCAGGAGGCTGAGGCAGGAGAATCGCTTGAGTCCGGGAGGTGGAGGTTGCAGTGAGCCAAGATCGCACCATTGCATTCCAGCCTGGGCAACAAGAGTGAAGCTCCGTCTCAACAAAATAAAATAAAATAAAAAAGGCCGGGCGCTGTGACTCATGACTGTAATCCTAGCACTTTGGGAGGCTGAGGTGGACGGATCACAAGATCAGGAGATCGAGACCATCCTGGCCAACATGGTGAAACCCCATCTCTACTAAAAATACAAAAAATTAGCTGGGTGTGGTGGCGCATGCCTGTAGTCCCAGCTACTCAGGAGGCTGAGGCAGGAGAATCGCTTGAACCCAGGAGGTGGAGGTTGCAGTGAGTTGAGATCGTGCTACTGCACTCCAGCCTGGTGACAGGGCGAGACTCAAAAAAAAAAAAAAGATGACCAGATGGTCCCTCCTGTCATGAGCTTTCATTCTGTTGGTAAAGACAGACATCAAACAAATGAGAACAAAGAATGTGATGTGTGAAAGATAGAGAAGGCCCAGGGTGCTGAGAACCTAACAGGGGCCTAGTCCAGCCCAGGGCCAGAGAGGTCTTTTTCAGGAAGTGAAGTTTAAATTGAGACTGCAAGAGAAGTAGGAAACAGCTAGGTGAAAGGAGGTACAAAGCAAACAGGAGCTGAGGTCACAGGACCTGTGTTCCAAATCTGGCTCTGCCGCTTTCTAGTTAGGTGAGGAGGGGAGAGTTCCCACAGAAACTCTGAGTTACATCTTGAGTCATCCTCTTAGCATGTAAGAGACAACTTTGTGAACTTTCCTCTTGATGATAATGTGGAGGTGTCACTTTTTTTTTTCAACCACTCTGTGAGGTCCTATAAGTATCTTTTACTTTACCTCAGCAATTGTTTGTTTGTCTTCTAGTGAACAATGAGATTCGGGTAACGTATCTGATTTCTGTTCTGTCTCAGGCGCCTGGAAGTTCAGAGACAAATCTGAGCCTCTGTTTAGTGACAGAGTACGGCCTTATGCAAACACGTGTTCTAATTTTCTCCTGGTCATAACCTTTTAAAACATTTTGCATTTTTTTGACTTTATATTTTATTGAATATATTTCTTATATCCTATAGACTACTTAAATATTTTATGGAATAAAGTAGATTATAAACAAAAAATAGGTTATATAGAAATATACAAAACTGTAGAAGGGCATAAAAATAAAAACTTCAGAGAAACCACTCCCTTATTACTAAGTTTCTGGGTCACCTAACAGGCCCAGCTGCTTCTCCTTCCTTCTATGACAACTATGTGTCCTGTCCAAAGCTTCCTGACTCACCCTGTTCCTCAGGTTTTCCTTCTTCTTTCAGGCTGCCCCAGCCCATGATTAACTGTTGTTCCCAAAGCAAACACACAGATCCTTTTTGCTTTAGGCATTTTGAAAAGGTTGTGTTACTGGAAAGTATACTAGGAAGATAATAGAAGAAGCAAACATGAGGAAATTAAAAAGATTCCAGAAAGTTCCCAAGGCCTTACTTGTTCCTGGTCCCTGACTTATGCTTTCTCACTTTCTTTCAATATGGCACTTAGACGAGCCTTTTGAATTTCTGTTCAGCCTTTTCCTCCCACAGTATAACACTTAAAACTCTCTTCCTCATGGTGTGCACTTAGCCCCTTTAAAGGTTCATCTTCCACTCCAGAGGCCCATGAGGACAATCAAGGCCAGACAGTGGCTGCCTCCCATCTTCATAGTAACTTGCTTTTATGAAGACCTCAGGACTTGAGCAGCCCAAGAGGATTAAACCCCAGTGGGCATTTCCTTGCATTCTGTATCTCTTAATGTAATCTCTGTGACTCCCCAAGGTCAAGGCTCTACATCTTAGGTGCAAAATGATTGTGGTTTTGTTGTGATGGCCGCTGGAAGCTCTGCAGTCATCAAGGCAGCAGTGCTAGAACCTGGTAAGAGTGCCGAGGTGAGAGAGCGGGTGGGCAGGGAGGGTGATGCTGGCATTGCTGGGGCAGGCGAGCTGGGGCCTTCGTGCATGTTAGTATGGAGGGCTTCTTCTACCAAGTTTTCAGAGCCATGGGTGGAATGGTGTAGTTCCTGGGCTTCTGCCCTCACCTCCTGGAACTTGCTGAACCCCTCTTCCCTGGCCTGGGTCTCCCTCCCCAAACCAAACAGTGCATGGATATGGCTTCTTCTACTCAAAATCATCTTCAAAATTGCCTTGTGACCAGTCACTCCAGCCAAAGAAAGCAGATGGAGTCTTTCACTAGCAATTCTTTATAGGATCTTATGTTTACTCCATCTTTGGAACACTCAGTCTTTCCTGCCAGGTGCTAAATCCTCTTTATGTTGTGCAACACCCTAAATAAACAGTATATATGCCAATGGGAGTGAATTTCCAGAGGAATTCTGATTTTGTTATTCTTTCTTCATGCCATGTTTTGTTTTTAAAAGACATCAAATTTCCTTTCTTTGCTGACAAATTCCTATCTCTTACCTTTCATTTAACAATGGAACCAAAATGGGAAGCTTTGCCTCAGAAAGCCCTATGGGTAAAATTCTCAATACTGAGAAAAATAAAACCTAAGCCCCACCCCCACCCCCCCCCAAGTAACTGAATGAATCCCATCTTGGCCAAGGGGACTGCAAAGAAACCTTGAAACCTGAGTTCCTGGCCATGATGGGATGGGAGGTCTGACAGGTCAGACATGCCTCATTATACCCCCTCCCTTGATAACTGCCATTAGTCTTTCTTCCCTAAAGATTAAACAGAAACCAACCCTTTTGAAAGACTCCACTGTGGATATCAAACAACTCCCTGACACTGCCCCTCCCTTTTTGTGGTTTTGACACACTGATAAGCCTGCCTTCCTGATAAGAGACCACTGCCTGTGGAGTGGTCCTGGCCAGTCTACAGATGATGTGCACTGAATACCTTCATGTCCTCTGCTTCGCCTTTTGACATTAGAAGGCCCAAAACTCCATCCTTGGATCCATGAAGAGCATAAAGTTCAATTACACAGGGTTGTGTTTCTCCTTTTGTAACTATTCATGACTCGTCTTAAAGTTTATTCAATATGTATATTCGGTCACGCTGCTCAGCATAAATTCCTGTTCCCTTTACTCCTCCCTTGAAGTGCTGTTTCTGGCTTCTGACCAGAAGCTACACTTCCCAGCCTGTTAGAACGGCTACCTTGCAAACTGCAACCCTTTATGAGAAATAAAGTTCTCCTTTCCAAATTTATCAACCTCATGATTCTTCAGTTGACAGTGTGTTAAAATACCTACCAAGCAGTGCTGCACCAAATAGCTGTTGAATATTGAATCACTAAGAAGCAGCACGGATACCTTGGGCAAGCAGCAGCATCTGGCCTTGTTTACTTCCCTGAGCTGCAACTAGAGGGACGGGGCCTCCTAGGGGAGTGCAGTTCCTGGAGAGGCTTCTGTGAGTGCCCCATGTCATATTTGTGTTCTGGAGAAATTTGGCTAGAGTCAACACTCAGGAGGAAGTTTTAAGAACAAAGGGAAATGTGACAAAAGATCCATGGGTAGGTTTTCTTAGGAATCCAAAGAGGCCATTAAATAAAAGGCTGCTTCCTTTATTTTAGGCTACTGGTATATTTTTACACATAGAAAATGACAAAACAGAGTTGCAAAATATTCATTTAACCATAAACTTTCATACTTACAAACACAGTGTTTTGTGTTTAATTTCCTTTGACAATAATGTTGTGTGTATAATTCCATTTGACAGTAGTATTAAAAGCAGAACTACACGGATGGTGGGGTCAGGTTAAATCTGTACCCCCACTTTCCCACTTCTCCTCTCTCCACCCCCACCTCCTGTGGCTATCATCACCACGATAGGCTCTGGAGGGAGGGAATGAGGTTCGGTGAGGTTTGGTTGCCAGGAAACCACACTACGTATATGATCAGTCTCTGAGTTCTCTCCGTCTTTCTCACCCTATCTATGAAATTCTTCACAGAAATTTAGTTTTTTGAATAAGTAACATATTCACATAGTTCAAACATCAAAAAGTACAAAAGGCCATAAAACAAAAAGATTCTCTGCCACCTATCCATCATCATTTAGTTCCTATCCCCAACAAGTAACTACTGTTCTTTCTTTTTTCTTTTTTGTTAACAACTATTTTAGATCCAGTTCTATATTCTTTCTTTCTTGTTTGTCCTTTTAGATTTTTTTATGAATAAGTAATTCATAAAGACATATTTAATTCTCCCTCACTTTTTCTACATATGTGGCTGTCTGCCTTACCCACGTGGATGTTATGTGTTTTGGTATTTGTATGCATGATTTCTTGTACTGATTCTTTAAGACTCTGTTTATTCTTTTATTGCAGCTAAAGATTCTTTCATTGTAAGTATTTACTACAGTTGATCAAATCAGTTCCCTTTTGATAGACATTTAAGGTTTTCCCAATCTGGCTATTCTGGACACTGTCTCATAAATAACCCTATGCAATGTGTTATTTCCCATGTGTGAGCATATCTAGAATACATATTCCTAGGATCAAAGGACATATATATTTGTACCTTGGATAGTGCTAAATTGCTCCTCACAGAAATTGAACCAATTTATACTCCCACCAACAATGTATGAGATTGAGTTTTTGCAGATAAGTGAAAAATGCTATTTCCTTGTAATTTTAATTTTCATTTTCTTATAATGGGCTTTTAAAAATTTTTAAAGAGCTAGTCATTGTTTCTCTTTAATAAACCCCTTTTTAAATGTCTGTACATTTTTCTATTGGGTTGTTAATATTTCTTATTGATTTGATTTTTGCCAATCTGTCATTTATCTTCTTACTTTGTTCATAATTTTTTGGGGGGGGAGAATGCATGTTTTAGAATTTTTAAATTTTTATTTTTATTTATTTATTTATTTTTTATTTTTGGAGACAGAGTCTCACTCTGTCGCCTAAGCTGGAGTGCAGTGGCGCTATCTTGGCTCACTGCAACCTCTGCCTCCCAGGTTCAAGCAATTCTCTTGCCTTAGCCTCCCGAGTAGCTGGGATTACAGGTGCACGCCGCCACGCCTGACTAATTTTTATATTTTTAGTAGAAAGGGGATTTCACCATGTTGGGCAGGCTGGTCTTGAATTCCTGACCTCAAGTGATCCGCCTGTCTTGGCCTCCCAAAGTGCTGGGATTACAGGCATGAGCCACTATGCCTGGCCTAGAATTTCTAATTTTTTTATATAGTTAAATTTGTTAATCTTTTCTTTTAAGATTTTAGGGTTTTGTGCTGTAGTTAGAAAGATTTTTGGATTTTGTAGTTAGAAAGACCTAATCTTTTTTTTTTTTTTGAGACAGGGTCTTGCCCTGTCACCTAGGCTGGAGTGCAGTGTTGTGATCATGGCTCACTGCAGCCTTGACCTCCTGAGTTCAAGTGGTCCTCCTGCCTAAGTCTCAAGAGTTCCTGGGACCGTAGGTGTTAATTAAAAATAATTTTTTTTTTGTAGAGATGGGGTCTCGCCATATTGCCCAGGCTGGTCTTGATCTCTTGGCTTCAAGTGATCCTCCTGCCTCGGCCTCCCAAAGGACTGGGATTACAGGCGTGAGCCATTGTGCCCATCCTATCCTAACATTTTAATATACTAATTTTTTAATAATGTTTTTATTTAGATGGTATTTATCCTGCGTAAATTTATCTTGTGTAAATTCCATCTAAATGAATGGAATGAAATGGAACAGATGCCTATCCAGTTGTCCTGGTAGCTGGTAGCTGGCTAGTCTCTTTTTTTTCTAAAGCATGACCTAGTGGAGGACACTCCCTTATTAATTGTGGCAGTCTCATTTCTGAGTAACATGGGGCCTGACAAGGGAAAGCCCCAAGGCACTCCTCCTATTTGCCTAATCACAGAGAAGAGCTCCTCCCATACATTCACACCTTCCTGCCTCAGAGAGTCTCCTGTCCAGGGATGCGCTCCAGTGTTGGCCACTCACCCCCACCACGCTCTGGCTCTGGCTCTACACAGGGAGTGCAGCAGCTCAGAACCACCACACTCAGGGGTGGAATTAGGCTTTGGGCTTGAATAAATAATTAGAAATTGGCTGCTGAGAGACGTCCCTGATGATTGCTTGCTCTGGAATTTTTCTGGGTGGCACACAGAGTTTTATTACCCAATTAAAATACAGCAGATTAAGTAGTGCAAAAGGAAGCTGGAGTGGGCAATAAATCTGCTGTGGAATGGGCTGTGGAAGGCCCACCCCTAAAGGCATGAATTTATGGTTCAGGGAGAATTGAGAAAAAGAGTAATCTGGTTTTGCCAAAAGGAATCACTCGTCAAGCATATTCTTCAAGGGAGACTTGGGGAGGAGGGATGGGGTAGGGGGTGGGGGATGTTGGAGGCATTGATAAGTTTTTCCAAGTTTTGAGTGAAAGTCCTGGTTGAAAGGGAAATGGAGGATGAGTGAAGGCAGCCATAGGTAATGCGAAGAAGCTCTCCTGGTGAATGACAGCCTTTTGTAACATGCTGAACACTGAAATCAGTATTTGGGGCTTTGGCAGTGCCCACCATGGCCCATTGCTACATAACCTGAAAGATCAGGTCAAAGTGAGTTTTGAAATAGCTATGAAGTAAGCTGAGGCGGGATTAGAGTATTAACTACACAGTGGAATGTACTTTTCTTGATCTATCAGTTTCCTAGGGCTGTCATAACAAAGTGCTGTGACTGGGTGGCTTCCATAACAGAAATGTGTTGTCTCAGTGTTCTGGAGGTAGAAGCCTGAGATCAAGGTGTTGGCAGGGCTTGTTCCTTCTGTGGGCTGTGAGGGAAGGATCTGTTCCAGGCCTCTGTCCTTAGTGTGTGCATGGCCACCTTCTCCCTGTGTCTCCTCACGTCATCTTTCCTCTATGTATGCCAGAGTCTAAATATCATCTTTTTATAAGGAAATTGGTCATATTGGATTTGGGCCTGCTCTGATGACCTTGTTTTAACTTCTTACCTTTGTAAGGATACCATCTCTAAATCAGGTCACATTCTGAGGAACACAGGGTTAGAAGTTCAACACATAAATGTTTTTGGTGTGTGGGGCGGGGGTGGCCATAATTCAATTCACAACATTTGATTATCTTGAAAAATAGCAATTTTCTTCTACAAATATATAATATATATGTATTATATATGCACACTCATACTTTTTTTTATGGAGACAGGGTCTTGCTCTGTCACCAAGGCTGGAGTGCAGTGGCACGATCACAGCCCACTGCAGCCTCTGCCTCCCGGGTTCAAGCAATCCTCCCACCTCAGCCTCCTGAGTAGCTGGGACCACAGGCGTGCACCACCATACCTGGCTAATTTTATTTATTTATTTATTGTAGAGATGGGGTCTCCTTATGTGTTGCTCAGGCTGGTCTCAAACTCCTGGGCTCAAGTGATCCTCCCACCTCAACCTCCCAAAGTGCTTGGATTACAGATGTGAGCCAACACACCTGGCTTATACTTTCATACATAAAACACACACACACACACACACACACACACACACACACACACACACAGCACACAAAACACAAGCAAGCAGAATTAACTGCGCTGTTTGTAGGGCCACTCAGTGAAATGTATCCTGTGTTCTATCGTCGTTCCCTTCAGGTATTTTAAGTTCAAAGCTGAGAAAAGCTCAATTTTCTTATGTGTGCAGCGCCCCCCTCACAGACCACCCAGCCACAGAGCTTATTGATCCCTCTTTCTCACAGTTCTCACCGTGCTCATTTTCAGGGCTGGGTTTCGGCTCCTGGTGAGGCCCTGTAACTGCAGCATTAGGTACATTTGTTCCTGATTCACGGTGAAAGGGGTAAACATTGCTTGTTCTTACCTTGAGAGTGCAGAGGTAAACATTTCTCCCCAGAAAAGATGAAGAGACCCCTGAGGTTCCCCCTGGCTTTCCTTTCCACCTTGCCTACTGCTGCCAGACACTGTGTTGGAGTCCAGTTGCTTCGGCACTCAGACCTCCTGAAAGGAATTTATAAAACGTGTCCACACTTGAGTTTATCCCATATATCCAAGATTTTTGTTGAAACCATCCACTGCCCTCATCTGGCTTGGAGCTTGGGGCCTGCTGCATTTCCAGCCATCGAACAAAGAGAAGCACCAATGCTGTAGGAGTTGTCGTTGAATTGTGTCAACTTTAATGTCCTTGCCTTTGTCCTGCTGCAAAGCAGATTAATAATGAAGATAAAAGTCTGTGTGTCTGGTGCCCCGGAGCTTGACTCGGAGCCCCAGCTGGCATCTGTCATGGGGTAAGTCTAGCTCCTCACAGCCCAGCTCACAATGGCTGCTCCTGGCACTGGTAGGTCCCCGAGCCTTGAAGCCATCCTTGATTGCTTATTGGTATAAACCAATTATATTTATTTACTTATTTATTCATTCATCAAATACTTACTGCGCTGTTACACTGTGTTAGACACTCTTCCAAGTGATAGGAATAGAGTAGGGATCAAAACAGAGGTCACTGCCCTCATGCACTCACGAAGCTTACACTCTGGTTGGGCTAAACAATCAGCACCATTGATAAGGTGGTAAGTACTAAAAATAATAGAGCAGGGTAAGGGGGATCAGGAATGGGGGTTTTACAGGAGAGTGGCAATTATTTATTTATTTATTTATTTATTTTTGAGATGGAGTCTTGCTCTGTCACCCAGGCTGGAGTGCTGTGGCACGATCTCGGCTAACCACAACCTCCTCTGTCTCCCAGGTTCAAGTGATTTCTCTTGCCTCAGCCTCCCGAGTAGCTGGGATTACAGGGGCCCGCCACCACGCCAGGCTCATTCTTGTATTTTTGGTAGAGAGGGGGTTTCACCATGTTGGCCAGGCTGGTCTCAAACTCCTGGCCTCAAGTGATCCGCCTACCTTGGCTTCTCAATGTGCTGGGATTACAGGTGTGAGCCATCATGCCTGGCCGAGACAGTGGCAAATTTTTAAAGCAGTACATCTCATTAGGAAGGTGACATTTGAGCAGACTTGAAAGCGTAGGAGCAAAGGGAAACCTTCCCCATCACCCTCTGAAGGCTCATTGAAAATCACTGACAAAAGGCAGATTAATTGGAAAAAAGGCATACAAATTTATTTGATCATAGTTTTATGTGACATGGGAGTCTTCAGAACGAAGACCCAAAGATATGGGGAAACTGTCTATGTTTATTTATAGGTTCAAACAAAGTGTGGACAACTATGTAGAAATATGATTGAACAAAAAAAGTATGACCTAATGGTAATAGACTGGGTCGGGAAACAGAGCAAGGCTTGTCTGTTCAGATTATTCTTGGCCTCTTTGTGTAGCATTCCTGACTTTTGGGTATGGGGCAGGGCCCTCTCTGGAATAGGGGTCTTATGACCTACAGTCTAACAAGGTAGGTGAGATCATTTCTTTATGGCCAGTTTTTAAACAGAAAGGTGGGGGAGGTGTTAGAATGATATTTTTAGGTTTTATGGCTGGCTTTGGGAAAAGGGGTTCAGTCTCTATGACCTGCCTTGGGAAAGAAGGATTCTAGTTTCTTTGGCTGGCCTTGGGGAGGATGAGGGACCAGGGACAGGAGGGCAGCAGAAGGTTAGAGAGACTCTTGTTTCTGAGGGCTTCATTTTGGGGTATGATTTTCTGAGGCCCTACAAAGGAGAGGAGGAAGTTAGCCTTGAGGCTATTAAGGCTATTGAGCCTTAAGGCTACTAAGTCCCTAAGCTGGAGCATACTCAGTGAGGGTGTGAAAGACTGAGGAGGCCATTGTGGCCAAAGGGTAGTCATCCCAAAGGAGAGTAGTGAATGAAGCAAGATGGGTGGGGAAAGACATATCCTGCTAGGCTGTTAAAAGGATGTTGGCTTTTATCTTAAGAGAAAGGAACACTATTGCAGTGTTTTGAGCTTACGAGGAAAATGTGCTAACTTACTATTAGAAAGATCATTCTGGCTGCTGTATTGAGAATAGTAGGAAGGCAAAGGTGGATGCAGGGGGGGCAGGTTGGGAGGCCTAATATTACTATTACCCAAGACCATGGAGGCTCACATGGGGAGGAGCCCTGGTGGTGGTGAGAAGTGGTCAGATTCTGGATATATTTGCAAGGTAGGGCCTACAGGATTTCCTGATGAATTTGATGTTGGAATGAAGGCAGATGTCATGGAGAATATCACGGGTTTTGGCTTAAGTGTCTGGAAGGTTGAAGTTGTCATCGTCTGAGGAGGGGTGGCTGTGGGTAGAGCAGATTGTGGAGGAAGATCAGAAGTTCATTTGTGGACACAGTGAGTGGGAGACACACATCTGTTCTCATGAGAACCAAGCAGAGGTGTCTAGGTATGCTGTGTGACTTCAGCATTCAGTCCCGGAAAAAAATGTCACGTTTAAATAAGTGTGGTCCCAAAAGGCAAAGAAGATAGATAGACAGATAGATACATATGTGCTTATTTTCTTCATTTAGTTCTCTTCAGGTTGATAAAGAAGACTGTCATACTCCCTAGCAGCCCTTCTCAGGTCCCCGTTTTTTTGTTCCACAAGCTGTGTCATAACCCACACTTCCAGCTTCTTTTTGGCCACCATATTACCTCAAACACTCTCTCTCCAGCCTGAGTGTATTCGCTCCTAGCTGTGGGATCTCTTCAAGATGTGGCTTGACTAAATCTCTTTAAACTTGGAGGGTAGCAGAATATGCCACCCCAAAATATGCCATGTTGGCATAAGGATTATTTTGAGTTAAAAGCGATAGAAAAGATCCAGATACAAGAAAAGCTCTACACTCCCCCTATTTTCATAAAAGCAGGACATACATTTGGAAAGGTGCCCCACCTCCCCTCTCTCCCAGGAAAGACAGAAGTTATATACCGAAGACAATTCTAGACCTTTCAGCCGAGAGAGAGCACAGGAGAAATCTACATAACAAGCCTTACTAATTAGTCTTTATCTTTCATTAGTTCCCCCAGATATCTGCCTGTCCATAATTTTCCACCTTTAGAAACTCAAAAGTTCTTTTCCTTTGTCTTGTCCCTTCTCTAAACATGTATGGTTCTTTTGTTAAGATGCTGTCTAAACCCAAGTTCCAACCACCCCTTTGAGTTACTCATCACTGAGTTCTCCCATGTGTGTGTCCGATGCATGCATTTACATAACTTCTGTTTGGCTACTGTTGTTAATCTGTCTTTTGTCAGTCTAATTTATAAGCCCCCAGCTGGAGAACCCAGGAGGGTAGAGGAAAAACGGTTTTTTTCTTCCCTACAAACTCTTCCTCCTCCTTTGACTTCCTTTTCATATAAACTTCAGGAGGAACTGCGCAGAGTGGCCTCTCCTCAGAGGCTGGGTGTCGCTGGAAGGAAGGGAAGTTGGACCAGAAATTTTGGGATCCTCTTTGGTGAATGAAAGGAGCAGACAAGTTGATGAATACACCAATGTTAATACATTTTGTTTTGCTATATGCATACATGTAGATGAGTGGCGGCCTTTGATCTGTTGAGGCTCTCACCATGCCTGGGCCATCCCAGGTCACCACTATGGCCACTATCTGGATAAGATCAGGAGAAGTGTTCACAGAGTACCTAAGTGTAAACTATTTTACATGTTTGCACTTAAGAATAATACCTTTAAGCTCCCCCACCCCCACTTTCTACCAGTAATGAATAATCATTCTCACTAATTTGTCATTATTTAGATTCACAGAGTGAATTTCACGTATCCTCATAGAAGGCAAGGATGTGCCATCTGTTACCCATCAGAAAACAATTCACCACTGTATTAGGCCATTCTTGCATTGCTATAAAGAAATATCAGAGGCTGGATAATTTATAGTGAAAGAGGGTTATTTGGCTCATGGTTCTGCAGGCTTTCAGAAAGCATGGTGCTGGCATCTGCTCAGCTTCTAGGGAGGCCTCAGGAAACTTACAGTCATGGTGGAAGGCAAAGGTGGAGCAGGCATGTTGCATGAGGAAAGCAGGAGCAAGCAAGTGAAAGTGAGGGGCAGGTGCCACACACTTTTAAATGATCAGATCTCATGAGAACTCACTATCACAAAAACAAAACCAAGCCATGGGGGATCTACCCCCATGATCCAAACACCTCCAACCAGGACCCACCTGTAGCATTGGGAATTACAATTCAATATGAAATTTGGGTGGGGCAAAATAGCCAAACTATATCATTCTGTCCCTGGCCCCTCTCAAATTGCATGTTTTTCTTACATTGTAAAATCCAATCATGCCTTCCCAATAATCCCTGAAAGTTGTAACTCATTCCAGCATTAACTTAAAAGTCCAAAGTTTCACCTGAGACAAGGCAAATCTCTTCTACTCATGAGCCTGTAAAATGAAAAAACAAGTTGGTTACTTCCAAGATACAATGGGAGTATAAGCATTGGGCAAACATTTCCATTTTAAAAGGGAAAAATTGGCTAAAAGAGAGGGGCTACATGCCCCAAACAAATTTAAAACCCAGCAGTGTAGTCATTAAATCTTAAAGCTCCAAAATAATCTCCTTTGTCCTACATCCAGGGCATACTGATAAGAAGGGTGGGCTCCCAAGGCCTTGGACAGCTCTACCACTGTGGCTTTTCAGGGTTTAGCCCCTAAAGCTGCTCTCAAAGGCTGGAGAGGAGTGCTCGTGGCTATTCCACGCACAGGGTGCAAGCTGTCAGTGACTCTACATTCTGAAGTCTAGAGGACGATGGCCCCCTTCTCATAGCTCCACTAGGAAGTGCACCAGTGGGAAATCTGTGTGGGGCCCCCAACCCCACATTTCCCCTCTGCACTGCTGTGGTAGAGGCTCTCTGTGAGAGCTCCACCTCTGCAGTGGGCTTCTGCCTGAACACCCAGGCATTTCTATACATCCTCTGAAATCTAGGCAGAGGCTGCCAAGAATCCACCACTTTGTATTATGTGTACCTGTAGGCTGAACACCACATGGAAGCCACCAAGGCCTATGGCTTGTGCCCTCCAAAGTAGCAGCCTGAGCTGTAACTTGGCCCCTTTGAGCCCTAGCTTGAGGGGTGTGACCTGGATATGGGGAGCAGTGTCCCAAGGCTGCACAGGGCAGTAGAACTCTGGGTCTGGCCCACACAACCATTCAGCCCTCTTAGACCCTAGGGCCTGTGATTGGAGGGGCTGTCATGAAGATTTCTGAAATGCCTTTGAGGCCTTTTCCCCATTGTCTTGGATATTAGCACTTGGATCCCTTTTAGTTATGCAAGTATCTCTAGCAAGTGGTTGTTCCACAGCCTGCTTGAATTCCCCTCATAAAAAAGCTTGTTTTTCTTTGCCACATGGCTATGCTGCAAATTTTCCAAACTTTCATGCTCTGCTGCCTGTTTAAATAGAAGTTCCAACTTTAAGTCATTGCTTGGCTCCTGCATCTGAAATTAGGTTGTTAGAAGCAGCCAGGCCGCATCTTGAACACTTTGTTGCTTTTCTTCTGCCAGATACCCTGGTTCATCACTCTTAGATTCAAACTTCCACAGATCCCTAGGGCACGAACAGAATGCAGCCAAGTCCTTCGCTAAGGTATGAAACATGTAACCTTTGCCCCAGTTCCCAATAATTTTATCATTTCCACCTGAGACCTCCTCAGCCTGGACTTCACTGTCCATTTCACTATCAGCATTTTGGTTATAACCATTTAATCAGTCTCTAAGGAGTTCCAAACTTTCCCTCATGTTCCTGTCTTCTTCTGAGCCCTCCACACTCTTCCAACCTCTACCTGTTACCCAGGTCCAAAGTTGCTTCCACATTTTCATGTATCTTTATAGTAATGCCCCATTCCTTGGTACCAATTTTCTGTGTTATGCTGTTCTTTCATTGTTATAAAGAAATACCTGAGACCTCCAGCACTGGGGATTACAATTCAACGTGAGATTTGGGTGAGGACAAATATCCAAACTATATCAACCACACATTTATTAAATATATTATTTGAGCCAGGCCCTGAAAGGACTAGATGAACTGGACACATGGTCTCAGCTCTCCAGGGGGAGGGAGCAGATAATTTCAGTATCCAATAGGAAGGCTATTGTAAGGGATCTGTTCCCCTAGCCAAACAGGGAACCAATGAGATTTACATGGAAATTTGCAACTAAAAAATATTACGAAAGGATAAGAAATTCTAAGTAAATTTATCAGGACATTGTCCAAAAAGGCTGTTCACTACTTCCAGCTGCCCCCTTTTCTGCTCTCAGGGTTCCATGTACCCACTAATTGTAATCATTTATAGTGGCTGTAGACTACATATGTGTCTTTGCTGCCCAAATTTAAATTTATATGTTAAAACCTAATCCCCACTGTGATGGTATTTGAAGGTGGGGCCTTAGGAAGAAGATTAGGTCATGTGGGCAGAGCACACATGAAAGGGATTAGTGTTCTTTTAAAAGAGACCCCCAGGCTGGGTGTGGTGGCTCATGCCTGTGATCCCAGCACTTTTGGAGGCTGAGGCAGGTAGATCACTTGAAGTCAGGAGTTCAAGACTAGCCTGGCCAATGTGGTGAAACTGTCTCTACTAAACCTACAGAAATTAGCTGGGCATGGTGGCGGATGCATTGCACTCCAACCTGGGTATCAGGATGAGACTCTGTCTCAATAAATAAGTAAATAAATAAATAAATTAAAGAGACCCCCGAGAGGTCCCTTGCCCCTTTGTCCATGTGAGAAACTAACAGTGAGAAGTCGGCCCTCCATCTATGAACTAGGAAGTGAGCCCTCACCAGACACTGAATCTGGTGCCTTGATCTTGGACTTCTCAGCCTCTAGAACTGTGAGCAATAACTTTCTGTTGTCCATTGGCTGCCTGCTCTATGGCAGTCTGTTACAGCAGCCTGGACGGACTGAGGCAGCGACCTGCTTGCTTCAGAGTGGAAAGATGGCCTGTCTTGTACACCAGGGCTTCTCCAGGACACCAGCAGATCAGGAATTGGGTGACCTGTTGATTGGATGGACAGGTGGGAGGATGAGACCTTTATTAACAGAAACTATGCTATCTGTTGAGTATATCTGTAAGTTTTAAAAGTACTGTAAGATCACTACTGAGAGTTTTCTTTCTTATTCAACTCTTTTAAAACTTAGTTTAGTGAGGGATTTTTTTTTTCCCAATGGGACCACATTATTTATTTTATAGTGAGAGTTGATAGGAAATAAGTTCTGTATCAGAGAAATATTCCTTATAGCTATTTTTTGGGAAAAAGTATTGTGTCAAACTAGGGCTACTCTATTTTCACATTGATCCAAAGACACGCATAACATTTTTAAAAGAGAAAGGTAATTTCTGTATTTTTATTTTAAACATTTTATTTAACAAGGTAATTGTATTTTTAATTTATGAATATTATATAACTCATGTAGGAATTAAAAAAGAAAACTATTTTGATGCATTTTCTTCCAATAATTTTTCTATGTCTAGATTTTGTTTTGCTTTTAACTATGCTCATTTTAAATACAATTCTTAAGTGTGAAGATTAAAACCCTGGAAACCAGCCTGATCACTCTCTAAAATGCCTTCTTAAGATTTTGAAAGATTTATCCAAAGAAAAAAGTTAGGCAATATAATTAAATGTGCATAGTAACTGGGTCGATTCATGGTGATAAAATCCTCCACACGGTGGGAATAAAGCCTAAAGTGATACTCAACAAATAGAACATAAACTTAGGGAGTTATGGCTGATACTAGGAGGTGAAGAAGAAACAAGAAGCCCCACTGGACCTCTTAAGTGTACCAAAAGTTAGAGCCACCCTCGTTAATCTGTGAGAATCGGCAAGATTCCCAGGTAGTTAAGGGAAGCATCCAGAGAAAAAGGTATGGTGGAAGAGTTAATGATGTCTTTGCATCAAATTAATATATAAAATGGAATTAAAATAAGTCTCCAAGACTGGCAGCCTTTATTTGAGTGTCAGCAAGAAGTCAGAGAGCCAAGAATCTAAATTATTCCCCAAATGAAGACACTCATCATGGAAAACAGACTGCTATACATTTGGTCGGGTCTGCACCTTCCTTTGTCAGCTGATGTTGAGAAAAATCCAGGTAGATGTATGATAGCAAATCTTCTGAAAAAGAAAGGAAAATTCCATTTTGGTGGCAATCATCTTTGGAGTCATCCCAAATGGACTTTATTAGGGACAGTTGATGATCCACACAAGACTGTTTCTTCAATTACAGCCTAACTATGGGCAACTCAGGTGGGTTCTAGAGTGGGTGCAGACGGTGATGTTAATGATTGGAGGTGGGGATACAAGGAAGTCACCTGAAAGTTCACCCTGGGCTCCTCTCCTAATTGGCTGTTATCACATGGGGGCTGCTTGCACTTGGTGTTCAGAGGTCTGAGCCTGCAGGAAATTTTCCTGGGTTCCACCAACTCTACCTCTGTTGACAGGTGTGGCCACTAGCCTTAATATTTGTGGCTATCTGTACTCATTCCTCCACTACCATAGAACTTGCTCATCTCCTTCTGCGAGGGAATGCAAACTTTATCCACCTCATAACTAAAAAAAAAAAAAAAAATTTCTATAGACTTCATGGCAAACATGTTCACAGAAAGCAGTTTTCTTCCTGATAAACAAAAACATTCTCCTAAATAACCATAACACAACCATCAACATCAGGAAATTAACACTGATAGGTTATGTTGGGAGAAAAATTTTTCCTCTAACGTCTTAGGTTTGGATCATGGGGGCCCCCACAAATTAACTAACAATAGACAGAAGAACCAGAGAAAAGTTTATTTACACATGTAGGAGTTTTCAGATGAAGCTAGAGAACAGCTAGAGAGAGGGGTGTGTATATCTACTTACTAGGAAGTAGTGTTTACAGCTTCAAAAGATGGAAGGTTTGGATGAGGCTTGTTTACACAATCCTCTGGAATGACCAGTGCTCAAGGTCAGTTCTCCTGGATTGTAGGTGCGGGAGGCGGAGGAGCTGTGGCATTTGACCTTCCTAAAGCTCTCATAAGGAAAGGCCAGATAAGATGTCTTTCTGCATTTGTTGTAGCTCAGATTTTTTTCACTTTGAAGAAATCTTCAGATCACTCAGGCGTGTTGTCGGTCCCCACAGTTACTGCCGTCTAATCCTGAGTCTCCGTTCAAGTTTTGCCAATTGCCTCAATAGCATCCTTTAGTGCAAAAGGATCCAATCTAGGATCGCTCATGGCAGTTAATTTCGGTTTTCTTCAATCGAGGAGTTCCTTTGTTTTGGACTTTCAGGATCTTGACACTTTTGAAGAGTACAGGCTTATTAAGGCAAAACTTAGTGTGTTTTCATTCATCTATTTGTTAATTCATTCATTCAGGATAGATATTAATTGATCATTTATTAATACTATATGCTGAGCCCGGTCAGGCATTGAGGTGTACAGTGTATGAGATGGAGGTGGGCTTTCCCTTAGGAGAGGCACCTAAAGCCTTTTTTTTTTTTTTTTTTTTTGAGATGAGGTCTCACTCTGTCACCCAAGCTGGAGTGCAGTGGTGCCATCTCGGCTCACTGCAGCCACTGTCTCCCTGGCTCAAGGTGTGGAGAACTCTTGCCTCAGCCTCCTGAGTAGCTGAGACTACAGATGCATGCCACCACACCCGGCTAATTTTTTTGCATTTTTAGTAGAGACGGTGTTTCACCATGTTGCCCAGGTTGGTCTTGGACTCCTGAGCTCAAGTGATCCACCACCCACCTCGGCCTCCCGAAGTGCTGGGCTTACAGGTGTGAGCCACTGCACCTAGCCCTCGAATCTTCTCTTTCTTTTCTTTTTTTTTTTTTTTTTTGAGACCAAGTCTTGCTCTGTCACCTAGGCTGTAGTGCAGTGGCATGATCTCAGCTCACTGCAACTTCCGCCTGCCGGGTTCAAGTGATTCTCCTGCCTCAACCTCCTGAGTAGCTGGGATTACAGGCACCCACCACCACACCTGGCTAATTTTTGTATTTTGAGTAGAGACGGGGTTGGTCTCAAACTCCTGACCTCAGGTGATCCACCCTTCTTGGCCTCCCAAAATGTTAGGATTATAGGCATGAGCCACCTCGCCCGGCCTCAAATCTTCTATAGTGTGTTCAGATATAGAATATCTAGGTTCAGTTTCCAGCTCTATTACCTACTTCATTAGGTCTTGGGCATGCTATTTAACCTTTCTATGCCTTACAAAAAGCGGGAAGGTGAATGAGAATACCCACCACACAAGATAGAGGTTTGTTTGGAATGAGTTAATACCAGCATCTCTTTTAAAATATCAGTACTCTATGTCTGAAAATTAGACATTTTGTGCTATTTGGCCTCTATTTCATGTTACTTTAAAAGAAAAAAATTATAATACATTACACATCAACCCCAAATCCCCAACCAAGTTTCTAAAGGACACTAAGACACCTGAAGGGAATCAGGATATGCCATCCCAAAGTATGCCATTTTCAGCATAAGAGTTATTTTGAGCTGAAGGAATTTCATTTCCTGAAATCTCTTCTCTGCCTAAAAGCAGAGCCTCCCAGAAGAACACAATTGTCATAAATCCCCTTTCCAGGAGCAACTCTAATCTTCCTTCTGTGGGCCAAGAAGTTGGTACCATACCTGGGCAGACATTGGTACAAACTATCATATCTCTCATCTATTCTAAGGGGCCACTTAGCTTTCAAAAAAGTCATTGTATTTCTATAAGTGCCCTTCTTTCTACCTCCCTCTTCTACAAACTCATTTGTTCTCCGAGGAGTATTCCCTGCTCCTCCCTATCCCCTATTAATATGTATATAAGCCCCAAATTCTAACTGCCTCTTTGAGTCATATTTTTCTGTGACCTCCCACATACTTACTTGAATAAAAATCGATCTCTTCTCTTGCTAATCTGTCTTTTGTGAGTTTAATTCGCAGGCCCCAATCAGTAAGCGTAAAAGGTTACAGAAGGCTGGGCAGGGTGGCTCATGCCTGTAATCCTAGCACTTCGGGAGGCCAAGAGGCAGATCACTTGAGCTCAGGAGTTTAAGACCAGCCTGGGCAACATAACGAAACCCTGTCTCTACAAAAAATATAAAAATTAGCCAGGTGCGGTGGCGTGTGCCTGTAGTCCCAGCTCCTCAGGAGGCTGAGGCAGGAGGACTGCTTGAGCCTGGGAGGTGGAGGCTGCCATGAGTTGAGATCATGCTACAGCACTCCAGCCTGGGTGACAGAGGGAGACCCTATCTTTAAAAAAAAAAAAGGCTATAGAAAGTGTTTTCCCCCACCCACACGCCTATGTATTAGAAACAATGATTACATTAGAATGTAAAATGTTTAAAACATTAAACATCAGAAAATTAAAACAGTTGCTTTATGTGTATTACCATATCTTCCATTGTAATCACTATTCTTATTTTTTTAATTCCTTATCCATAATTCTTTTCAAAGCTATCAACTTTTCTGGTACTCATTGTACAGCTCTAGGCAGAACAATGGCTCAAAATGGAAGGCACCAGGAAATGTTTTCAAGACAAGCACCTGTGCATAGCCTAGTATGACTCACGCTGAGCATGAGGCTCTGCAGTCACTCTTAGCAACAGCAGTATCTAAAGATTACAACATAACATGTGTGTTCCTCTGGTGACTTTTGGGATCATAGCTACTGTATAAACAAGTGAATTCTGTATCGAGAGATACATACATTCTATGAAGTTTGGGTATTAAAAGCAAAAGGTGTTTCTGGGAGATACTTGGCAGGCTATATTTGTGCTTAACACAGTATCTGGTGCAAAGAAAGTATTTGTTATTGCTGGGCATGGTGGCTTACACCTGTAATCCCAGCACTTTGGGAGGCCAAGGCAGGTGGATCACCTGAGGTCAGGAGTTCAAGATCAGCCTGGCCAACACAGTGAAACCCTGTCTCTACTAAAAATATAAAAAAATTAGCTAGGCGTGGTGGCTCGTGCCTGTAATCCCAGATACTTGGGAGGCTGAGGCAGGAGAATTGCTTGAGCCCGGGAGGTTGAGGTTGCAGTGAGCAGAGATCATACCATTGCACTTCAGCCTGGAGGACAGAGTGAGACTCTGTCACAAAAAACAAAGAAAGTATTCATTATTGTTATTTTACCTTTAGGAATATTACATTCCAGTGGGGAAGGTAAGCAAATAAACACAAGATGGATAAGATTATTGCAGATTAGTAAATTTTCATTTATTTATTTATTATTTTTTAAAATTTTACTTTAAGTTCTGGAATACATGTGCTGAACTTGCAGGTTTGTTACATAGATATACATGTGCCATTGTGGTCTGCTGCACCTATCAACCCGTCAACTAGATTTTAAGCCCTGCATGCATTAGGTATTTGTCCTAATTCTCTCCCTCCCCTTTCCTCCCACCCGCCGACAGGCCCCAGTGTGTGATGTTCCCCTCTCTGTGTCCATGCGTTCTCATTGTTCAATCCCACTTATGATGAGAACATGTGGTGTTTAGTTTTCTGTTCCTGTGTTGGTTTGCTGAGAATGATGGCTTCTAGCTTCATCCACGTCACTGCAAAGGACATGAACTCATTCTTTTTTATGGCTGCACAGACTGGTAAGTTTTCTGAAGAGATTGAATATCATGACAGAGAATAATGGGTAAGGGAACTTCTTCAGGTATGGTGGTCAGGATGACTGCCTTAGAGGGGTGACATCTAAATATAATCCTGAGGGATGAGAAGCTGGCCATGAGGGGAGACAGGACAAAGCATTTCAGACACAGGTAAGAATAAATACAGAGGCAAAGATGAGAGAAAGTTGCTGAGGGGACAGTGATTGGAAAGTGGGGAGCAGGGAAAACTCTGTGAGATGAGGCAAGAGAGATAGGCAGGGCCAGGTCATATGGAATATTGGAGACCACCATACAGAGTTTGGATTCCATTCTAGGTGCAATAAGAAACCATTTATAAATTTTATGTGGAAGCCTGATACGGTTTGGCTCTGTGTCCCCACCCAAACCTCATGTTGAATTGTAATCCTGTGTTGGGGGAGAGACTTGATGGGAGGTGATTGGATCAGGGAGGTGATTTCTAATGGTTTAGCATCATCTCCCTAGTATTGTCTCATGATTGAGCTCTCACGAGATCTGGTTGTTTAAAAGTGTATAGCACCCCACTCCACTTCACTCTGTCTTCCTCCTGCTCCGGCCATGTAGGACTTGCCAGCTTCCTCTTCACCTTCTGCCATGATTGTAAGTTTCCTGAGGCTTCCCTAGCCATGATTCCTGTACAGCCTGTGGAACTGTGAGCCAATCAAACCTCTTTCCTTATGAATTACCCAGTGTCAGGTAGTTCTTTATAGCAATGTGAGAACAGACAAAGCCTGAGCAACGTAGTGAGACCATGTCTCTATTTAAAAAAAAAAATAGCTGGTTTTGGTGGTATGCGCCAGTGGTCCCAGCTACTTGGGAGGCTGAGGTAGGAGGATTGTTTGAGCCCAGAAAGTTGGAGCTGCAGTGAGCTGTGATTTCTCCACTGCATTCTTGCCTGGGCAGCAGAGCAAGACCCTGTCTCAAAAACAAAACAAAACAAAACCAAACAACTAAAAATAATTTTAAGTGAAGAAATGACATGATCTGACTTATGTTTTTAGATCCCTTTTGTTGAGGAGATTGGACTAGCAGAGATTTCAAGTGAAAGCCAGGTGACCAGTTAATAGTATACTCCATTAACTCAGGAAAGAGATGAGGTGATATTGAAGATGGAGAGGAAAAGCCTGGAATGAAGATTATTTTGGAGGAAGAATTATTGGACCTGATATTGGGTGAAAGAAATGGATAAGTCAGGGACGATGCTCAGGTTTCTGGTTTTCATTACTGGGTAGATGATGGTGCCATCTATATAGAGAGGGAAGGATAGATATAAGGAAGTGTGCACAGGTATTTCTAAAGCCTGGACATGTACACACACACACGTAAATGGAGAATTATGTTTCTCATGTCTTTTGGGTGGTATCATTATTTATAGATGGGAGTGGGGCTGCAACATGTTGAGGTGGTTTTGAGGTTCTAACCCACATGGTACTAGAAAGGGCTGAATTCTGATTATTTGCTTCCACCCATTATAGTACATGATGAATTTTGCTCTGGTCTCTCTTTATAGTCCTTGTTGTGATACATGGCTTTTTGTTTATTTAGCCATCGTGGTTGGAAGCATGAGACTTGTGAGATATTCTGGCTCTATAAGCTGAATATCAGAGAGGTCTGATATTATTCCCCATTATGATATCTCCCATCATGACCTCATAGCTACAGTGTGTCTCTTATTGCATGTTTTAAAAAAATTATTTATTTATTTATTTATTTATTTATTTATTTATTTATTTATTTTTGAGATGGAGTATCGCACTGTTGCTGGGGCTGGAGTGCAGTGGTGTGATCTTGGCTCACTCCAACCTCCACCTACTGGGTCCAAGCAATTCTCCTGCCTCAGCCTCTCGGGTAGCTGGGAGGTGCCCGCCACCATGCCTGGCTAATTATTTGTATTTTTAGTAGAGACGGGGGTTTCACTATGTTGGTCAGGCTGGTCTCGAACTCCTGACCTTGTGATCTGCCCACCTTGGCCTCCCAAAGTGCTGGGATTACAGGTGTGAGTCACCTCACCCAGCCCTTATTGCATGTTAAACAGAGTAGTGGCAGATAAGAATAAATGACCTTTCCAAAGAGATTAAGTGTATGATACTTTGGGATGAATGGTCCACTGGGGGTTGTAGACCACTACTGAAGGGTAACAGAATATGACACCTTAGCCTAAGGATTATTTTTAGCTGAAGGCAATTAAGAGGAAACAAATATATGGAAAACTCTTTGCTCCCCCAGTTCACCTAAAAGCAGAACATAAATTCATAAAGATAGTCTCCCTTTCTTCTCTCCTAGGAAGGACAAAGGTTAATCACTAGAGGCAACTGTAGACCCTTATCAGCCCAGAGAAGTTGGTAAGGGATCAGAAGAAGCTATATAACTCAACTTACTAACTATCCCTTATCATCCATTAGTTTCCCCCACATAT
The DNA here is from genome assembly GCF_000001405.40 of Homo sapiens. Taxonomy (NCBI): domain Eukaryota; kingdom Metazoa; phylum Chordata; class Mammalia; order Primates; family Hominidae; genus Homo; species Homo sapiens. The sequence goes on along the minus strand of NC_000006.12, from coordinate 106,891,689 downwards.
TAGTGTCCCACAATTTGTCATTCTAGAAGCTCAAAATCCCTTTCTTTGCCTTGCCAGTTCTGTACATACGTATTGTTTTTTTTTCTTTTCTTTTCTTTTTTTTTTTTTTTCTTGAGATGGAGTCTTGCTCTGTCGCCCAGGCTGGAGTGCAGTGGTGTGATCTTGGCTCACCGCAACCTCCACCTGCTGGGTTCAAGTGATTCTGCTGCCTCAGCCTCCCGAGTAGCTGGGATTACAGGTGTGCACCACCATGCCTGGCTAATTTTTGTTTGTATTTTTAGTAGAGACGGGGTTTTACCGTGTTAGCCAGGATGGCCTTGATCTCCTGACCTCGTGATCCACCCGCCTCAGCCTCCCAAAGTGCTGAGATTATAGGCGTGAGCCACCGCGCCCAGACCTGTTGTTTTGTTAAAATGCTGTATGTGTCCAAGTTCTAAACACTAAGTACTCATCTCTGAGTCCTCTCATGTATATATATGATGTGTTAATAAACTTTGTTTTTCTCTTGTTAGTCTGTCTTTTGTCAGTTTAATCTACAGGGTCCCAGCTGGAGAACTTAGGAGGGCTCTTTTTCCTCTTCTACACAGAAAGTTTACACAAAAGAGCACTAGCAACAGGGTAGTTATGATGTAGAGAGAACCGAGGAGTGGCTCACTTACTAGGTGTGCTAGCTTAGCCAGGTTAGTAGCTTCACTGACTGGCTTCTCCATCTGTGAAATATTTTTGGGGCGGCATGGAGGAGCAGAACAAGAATTAAATAAGAGTATAATAATAGAATATTCTAGGTTGTGTTACAGAGCTAAATAACTCTGAAATTCAGTGGCTTCAATGGCTTGGTACAACCAAAGTTGATTGATGCGTGGGCCAATGGGGATTCTCTTTCTGGAGACCCTGGGATCCAGGTTCCATCTTCTTGTGATGTAACCTCAATATGTGACCTCCAAGATTGTTGAGGAAAGCAAAGAGAGGATGAGGACTGCATGATATCTTTTTAATGTTCAGACCTGGGAGTGACTTATGTCATTTCCACCCATCCCCCACTAGCCAGTACTGAGTCACATGGCCTCAGTAAAACTGCAAGATGAGCTGGAAAATGTAGTTTCCCAAGTGCCCAGTAAGAGAAAAATAAAATGATTTTTGGTGAAATAATGATACTTCATCAAATGTATGTAAATGTATTTTATAAAATATTATCTCCAACTTTCTCTGATAATGATACTTCGAAATGACCAAAATGGGAAAAGAAGTTAGTAGGCAAAGAGTATAAATGAACCACAAGATGGATAGCCTCCCTCTGAACAATGGAAAAATAATTTTTCTTTCTAGAAGGCACAGAAAAGAGGCCTGTAGGGTGGAAGGTGGAGGATTGAGGGACTAAGAATTGGAATGAGATAAAATATTGTAGGGAAAGAAAAATGTTTCTTTTACCCTCTTGAGCCTGTGAATTAAAATGGCGAAAGACAGATTAACAGGAGACAAAGCATATAGATCTTATTTGATGTTAGTATTTTTACATGGCATGGGGGGCCTCATAGAAAAAAAGTGAAAACCCCCCAGAATTGGTTAGATTCAGGGGTTTATATACTATTTTAGCAAAGGGTGATACGTTTATATACTATTTTAGCAAAGGGTGATAAGTTGTGTGGAAGTCACTAGAAAAGAAAGAGGTTTGAGCTTCTGGGGCACTAAATTGTGGGAATGTGACTAGGAAATGTCTGGGGGAAACTAATGGAAGATAAGCTGTGTTTGTGCAGACTCACCTTGGCACCAACTTTTTATCTCTGGTGATAAGAATGTTCTCTTCCTAGTACTGGGAAGTTACTTTTCATGGGAAATGCATGTTCTGGTTTTAGGCAGAAAGAGGAAGGGCAAAGAGTACTTGTTTCTCAATTGCCTTCAGCTCAAAATAATCAAAAATAAAATAATAAAATAAAAATAAAATAAAATAAAAATAAAATTGTAATAAAAAATAAAATGCTAATAAAAAAAGACAAAGTGGTGTATTTTGGGATGGCACGTTCTGATCCCCTTCAATGTCTTAGTCGGTAAGGTTCACAATTGTGATGAAAGGCTGGAGAAGAAAGTTTTATGTCTGAACTAAAAGCAAATGCCATTTTTAAGAGCCAACAACTCTGTAGCCAACAGAAATGTAAAGTTTACAACATTCATCTGAAGGCAGGAAGTTCCAAACGAAGATCTTTTTTTTGCAAGTAAAAAGAAAGAACTATTGCTGGGAAGCATTTCCAAGTGAAATATTAAGGATGGAAAGTGGCAATAAATGGAGATTTGCAGGGTGACTTCTGCAAGTTAGAAAAATGAAGCAGTGTAAACAGTGTATTATCTTCTGTGATTTGAAGACATGGGTTTAAGCATTCTGGGCCCAGGGCTCTTCAGTAGGATGTGTCACCTTTCAAGATACAGCCATCTTGGCAATATGCCTTTAGGAAGGAGAAATCAGGGTCTATATATATAATATTATAATATATATAAATAAATGTTTATTTTAGCAAAATCAAAGTTTTACATGACACAGGAAACTTTAGAAATGAAAACCCAAAGCCCCAGGGAGAACTGTCTGTTTTTATGCTTAGGTTTCATGAAGAATAGACATCTTCATAGAAATGTGATTGGACAAAGGAGTGTGATCTAACTGTTATAAACTGAGGGCAGGGCAGCAAGGTCTGTCTGTTCAGGTTCTTCCTGACCTCTCTGTGTAGCTTTCCTTCCCCCTGGATATGGGGCAGGACCCCTCTGGAGTGAGGGCGTTAAGGGAGAAGGGAGAGAGTGACCTTTTCTAGGTTTTATGACTTGCTTTCGGGGAGAAAGGTTCTAGTTTCCATGACCCCTCCTTGGGGAAGAGAAATCATCTGGTTTCTATGACTTGCTTTGGGAGGATAAAGACAGGCAGAGGACAGGAGGACAGGAGAAGGTCAGAGAAACCTTGCTTCTGAGGCCTTCCAATCTTCTTTGGTTCCTAGTACTCAGCCCTCCAAAGCACCATACTTTTGTAACTGCCCAGTGGATTCACCTTGCCCACTGCCTAGACAGAACTGATTTATTAAGACACAGGAATTGCGATAGAGAGAGTAATTCACACAGAGCTGACTGTGCAGGAGACTGGAGTTTTGTTATTGTTCAAATCAGGCTCCCTGAGCATGCGGGGATCAGAGTTTTTAAGGATAATTTAGTGGGTGGGCGGCCAGTGAGTCAGGAGTGCTGATTGGTTGGGTCAGAGATGAGATCATAGGGAGTGGAAGCTGTCCTCTTGTGCTGAGTCAGTTCCTGGGTTGGGGCCACAAGACCAGATGAGCCAGTTTATCGATCTGGGTGGTGCCAGCTGATCCATCATGTGCAGGGCCTGCAAAATATTTCAAGCACTAATTTTTGGCTTTACGATAGTGATGTTATTCCCAGGAGCAATTTGGGGAGGGTCAGAATCTAGTAGCCTCCTGCTGCATGACTCCTAAACCATAATTTCTAATCTTTTGGCTAATTTGTTAGTTCTATCAAGGCAAGCCAGTCCCCAGGCAAAAAGGGGGTTTGTTTTGGGAAAGGGTTGTTATCATCTTTGTTTTAAAGTATAAACTAATCCCAGCATTTTGGGAGGCCAAGGCAGGGGCATCACTTGAGGTCAGGACATTGAGACCAGCCTGGCAAACATAGTGAAACCCCATCTCTACCAAAAATACAAAAGTTAGCCGGGCATGGTGGTGGGTGCCTGTAATCCCAGCTACTTGGGAGGCTGAGGCAGGAGAATTGCTTGAACCCTGGAGGCAGATGTTGCAGTGAGCCAAGATCGCACCACTGTACTCCAGCCTGGGTGACAGAGTGAGACTCTGTCTCAAAAAAAAAAAAAAAAAAAATTAAAAAAAAATATAAACTAATTTTCCCCAAAGTTAGTTTGGCCTATGGCCAGGAATGAATAAGGACGGTTTGGAGCACGCAAGATGGAGTTGGTTCGGTCAGATCTCTTTCACTGTCTCAGTTACAGTTTTGCAATGGCAGTTTTACTTTGGGGTATTGTTTTCTGAGCTCCAACAATGCAAGCATACTGTATAGTTTACTTTTTATAACGTTTACTGTTTGCCTTCTCCCGTTGGAATTCAAGCTCCATAAGGGCAGTGATTCTTTTGTTTTTTTTCCACTGATCTGTCCCAAGCTCTTAGTAGACTTACAAAGCATTCATTGAATGGAATCAAGCACACAAATTACTAACTAGCTCCTAATGGGTTAAGTGGCACAGAGGTTTGTTTTCCCCTAAAACAACTGCTGTGAACAGAGTTCTTGTGGAGCCAGGAAACCAAGATGAGGGGGAAATTAGTAGGAACATTTAACCGGTCTTTTTGCATTGCTGATTTTGTATTTCAAGTTATGATCAATGGTGTTAACATTAGTTAAACCATAATTTTTAGCTTCTAAAGTAATTTCTTTGAGGTGTTTTTCTTCCCTTTTAAAACAACTGAGCTCTGTAAAAAGCATAAGCTTCAGTTTCAACTTAACAGAAAAACCTTTAGGTAGAGATAAAATAGAAACCAGCACCTCCATTTGATCTTTCCCTGCCTGGTCTGTTTGAAGAGCGGCTGTGTTTGGACAATGGTGCGTAATGAGATCATTTCTGTTACTGCTTGTGAAGGACTTAGCTTTGCTGTGTTTTCCTTTGGGGTTTAAGAACCTGGACATTTTAGAATGCTTTTTAAAAATTAAATACAGAGTTTCAGTTGCTTTGATGGGGTTTAAAAGGGACAGCAAAAAAGGCCATTGAAGTAATTTTAGAGCTATACTTGAACAGCTACTGAATACTTGTGAAAACATAAATCCATATTAAAAGAGTCAACATTTTATACATAAACCATATTTTGACGGTTTTGTTGTGGTGGGGGTGGCGGTTGTTTTGAAACGTTACCTGTCCTCTAGAAGCACTAAACATTTTCTTTGAATGAATGCCCAAATGATCACCTTTGCCAGCTAGTCCAGGCATTTAGGGTGAAATGTGCATATGTTTAGCAACTCTTCACTTCCTCAGCATGAAAAAGAACACTTTTATCTTCTAAGTGTGGTTTACATTTTTGCATCCTTCAGGTGCATTCCAGAAGATTTGGGAGATATTGACTGAGAGATATGTGTTAGGCACAAGGGTCTAGTGCCTAAGGCTCTGAGTCCTTCTACCGCCCTGTTTTTCTGTTTTGGGCATAGCACACGGAGATGCAGCATTTAGACATTTAAGTGCCACTCTGTATTGGGCATTATATCAAAATTAATTGCATCACCAGGTCCTAGTCATCAATTTTAGTATATTCAAGCTCTGTGACTGTAGTGGGACATTTATTTATAATTTTGTTTCAAGTTGTAATTCTTTATCCAATAACACTGGTCGATTAGCCCCCTGCTGCTACTTGATTAGAATGTCAGCTGTAATAAATAGATCCTCCACTACGTAATTACTTTGCCCCAACAATCAGAATTTTAATGAGCAAATTGGTGAAAATGAGAATGAGATTTGTCATCGTAGGCTGAGCCTGATTATGTCGCCCACAGCTTTGGGTAGAATCACTCCCTTTTTCAACAATGTTAATGGGACTCTCATAAAAATATTCTATAACCTTGTGAACAGCAACCTTAAGGGGTTTTCCTTGAGGTGAGAGATCTGAAATTGGCCATTTGTGATGGTAGAAGTTACCTTGCATTCTAAATCTAATCAGATAAATTGTGCTGATTGCCTGAAACAGATGCCTTAGGCAGAAGTCTCAGAGCAGTACTTGAACCAACCTGCCTGTCATGCTAGAGGATTATTTCTGAAACGACTCTATCCCGTGTTTCTTTGAGTAACTCACTGCTGTGCAAATAGGAGCTGTGTTTTACGTTTGTGTTCTCAGCAATAAGAAAGAGCCCTACTTTGCTGGGTGGCTGACAGGCCTGGCGTGCTAGGTGGCTCATGACTCCCATGACAGAAAATTGTCAGTACATACTGGGAGAATTGTAAACAGGTTAACAGAAGGAAGGAGAAAACAAAGCAAAGTCAGATTAGCTTGAAAGGCAATTTAAAGGTTAAATTTTCACAGAAAAAAAAATTACAATCTTAAGCCCGGTAGAAAATTAGTATTTCCCGCCTGTAATCCCAGCACTTTGGGAGGCTGAGGCGGGCATATCACCTGAGGTCAGGAGTTCGAGACCAGCCGGACCAACATGGTGAAACTGTGTCTCTACTAAAAACACAAATTAGCCGGGCATGGTGGTGGGTGCCTGTAATCCCAGCTATTCAGTAGGCTGAGGCAGGAGAATCACTTGAACCTGGAAGGCAGCGGTTGCAGTGAGCTGAGATTGTGCCACTGTATTCTAGCCTGGGCGACAGAGTGAGACTCTGTTTCAAAAAAAAAAAAAAAAGAAAAAAGAAAATTAGTATTTTCCAATCCTGAAAGTTTCTAAAAATTTATCTTTCAGCAATTTCACATTTTATTGGTTAAATGGCAAAGAAGCCAGAACATGTGACAATTCAGTAGTATTTATTGTTCATAGAAACAAATGTTCTGTTTTAACAGATTTATCAGCTACCTGGAAGAAGTATCTAGTAACAGGGAAAGAAAACTCCGCAGGAGTTTCAGAAACCCTTCCTCCTTTAGCAACCATCATACTAAACATCATGCCACCAAAGTACATTTATTTAGCTTATGACAGAAATCGTGGGGGCAGATGATGAAAACAGTTAAGAATTGTTGACATCTGTCAATAAGGGGTCTTCTTCAGGACTCTATAATAACCTGACTGCACTGGGTCGTTCTACGGTTTTGGGTAATAATGGAATGGACCCCAGGATGTAGCTGGGACCTTCCATCTGGGATCCTTGAAGTCAGCTACAGGCCCATGTCGAGGTCGCCAGCAGCTGAGGCAGAGACAGAGAGAAAGAGAGAGAAAAAGAGACAGAGAGAAAGAGAGAGAGAGAAAGAGAGAGAGAAAGAGAAAGAGACAGAGAGAGAAAGAGAAAGAAGAGAGAGAAAGAGAAAAAAGGAGACAGAGAAAGAGAGAGAGATTTTGGAAGGGATATATTATTTTATATACAAATACAAAAGTGTTGATGTAGTCGTCGTAGGAAATATCAGATTTTTTGAACTCTTCTACATTTATTTATGGTTTTATTCTATTTTTATTTTGAATGACGTGGGTAGGGGATAGGAGGCAGCAATTTGCCCTCTAGATGAATCCTCATGGCTTTGCCCCACAAACTGATTATTGCTGATTTTATAGGGGCCACTCATTACAATGTAAGAGGGGCTATTTCCTTCTATTTTACTGTGCCTAATAGAGAGCGGTTCAAAAAGGCATGAGACTAAGCCAGCAACAAAATGCAATTCCTGAGACCTATATTTGGCAATAGTGAAAAGTCAACAAATGGGTAAAACCTACCCAATGGGTCTGTCCTGTTTCCACAGGGTAACCAGGGCAAACGTGAGACTGTACAGTTTACAACAAGATTGCAGGCTTCTCTTTTGGAATCACCACATCTTGGGTCTCCATTACCTTGAGTACTTTCTTGGTCTTTTTGAGCCTTCCCTGCTTATGTGCACACGTGATTGTTGTTAATGCTGCAACGCTGCCTCTTCTGGTAGTCTGGGATGTGTCAGATAACACCACCGATTTCTTTAATACAGTCCAGAGATGAGCCAATTTGGAAAATAATGAGCTAAATTGTAAGATGTAGTCATATCCCTTCTTAATTCTCTTAGATTTGATTTATTAATCCTTTTTGCATGCAGTATTTATGGGCTGATGAGGACCAGCTGGGCCAGCAGCTTCTCAGCCACAGGTTTCTCAGGCCCTGTGAATGAAGAAAATGGGCAACTGAGCAGTACTACACCCACCCTTGTGCTTGGAGCTCTCTCTGAGAGTTTAAAATCTGCTTACAGTTTCCATATTCTTACATGATGTTTGTTGGGACTCAGAAAATGATATCTTAAAGGCCTCAGAAGTAAAAGTTTTTCTCTGACCTTTTCCTGACCTCCTGTTTCTGGCTCCTCACTTTCCCCTAAGGCCAGCCATGGAAAGTAGAATTCCTCTTCCCCAAGGGGGGTCATAGAAACCAGAACTCCTTTTCCCCCAAAACCAGCCATAAGACCAAAAAATATTACTCTAATTCCGCCTCCCACCTTTTTGTATAAAAACTGGCCATAAAGAAATTATTTCGGCCAGATGCAGTGGCTCACGCCTATAATCCCAGCACTTCGGGAGGCCAAGGCGGGAGAATGGCTTGAAGTCAGGAGTTCAAGTCCAGCCTGGGTAACATAGTGACATTCTGTTCTTAAAAAAAACCAAATAAAAATTAGCAGGAGACTGAGGCAGGATGATTGTCTGAGCCCAGGCATTCGAGGTTGCCGTGAGCTACGTGCTTGTGCCATTGCACTCCAGCCTGGGCAACACAGCAAGATCCTGTCTCAAAAAAAAAAAAAAAAAAAAAAAAAAGAAAGAGAAAGAAATGATCTGACTTACCTTGTTTGACTGTAGGTTATAAAAACTCTATTCCAGAGAGGGTCCTGCCCATACCCAGAAGGCAGAAATCCTGGACAGAGGCCAAGAAGAACCTGAAAAGAGGTTTTGCTGGGTTTCCCCACTGAGTCTATTACCATTAGCTCATATCCTTTTTGCCCAATCATATTTCTACACATCTGTCCATGCTTTGTGGAACCTAAGCATAAAAGCAAACAGTTTCCCCTGTGTCTCTGGGTTTTCATTCTGAAGGCTCCCATGTCACATAAAACCATGATAAATAAATTCTATGCCTTTTCTCTGATTAATCTGATTTTTGTCAGTGATTTTCAGGGAAGTCTTCCCCTTTGCCCCTGTGTGTTTCATTCTAGGCTTTGCAGAGGTTGGAGCACTTCTATTTCCTGGGCCCAGTGCCATAGCTGTTAGTAATCGATTCTCTTTAGAACTGGAATTGTCAGGTTGTTTCAGGACTCTGGTTTGCTTGATTTCCTTCCTAGGACACTTGAGAGTTTTGATACAGAGGCTTCCTTTTCTCCAGTTTTCAGAAATAGAGAAGACCTTTCCAAGGAAACAGGGAGGAAAAAGGATAGAGAAGGCATTTAATTTAGAAGGATAAAATAGATCTTTCATCCATCAAAACACAAAATTACAACAAATGTAGTTTAATGATCTCAGTTGGCTTTATTGCTGTAAACCAAAAATAAAATTCTAAGCCCCCCAACCATTTGACTGGACCCCTCCTCTCAGCCAAAGTTAACCTGTAAAATTTATTCCAAAGTTAGCCTGTAAAACTTATTCCAAAATTAACCTGTAAAACTTATTCCAAAGTTAACCTGTAAAACTAGTTTAGGCCATGATGGGAAGGGGGAGTTGGATATGCCTCATTACCATTAACATCAACACAGACCTTGAGACTGATAGAACAGGCTCTTTAAGTCTGATAAAAAATATTTACAATCTATTCTTTCTGAAGCCTGCTACCTGGAAGCTTCAACTGCATAAAACCTTGGTTTCCACAACCCCTTATCATAACCCAGATATTCCTTTTTAAATAAAATTCCAGATTTTTTTTTTTTGAGACTGAGTTTCATTCTTGTCACCCGGCTGGAGTGCAATGATGTGAACTTGGCTCACTGCAACCTCCACCTCCTGGGTTCAAGAGATTCTCCTGCCTCAGACTCTGGAGTAGCTGGGATTACAGACACCCACCAACACACACGGTTAATTTTTGTACCTTCAGAAGAGATGGGGTTTCACCATGTTGGCTAGGCTGGTCTCGAACTCCTGACCTCAGGTGATCCGTCCACCTTGGCATCCCAAAGTGCTGGGATTACAGGTGTGAGCTACTGCACCCTGCTTAAATTCCAGATCTGTAAGTAGTAACTGAATGAACTGCCAATCAGAAAGTCTTTGAATCTGCGTATGACCTGGGACTCCCCACTTCCAGTTGTCACACCTTTCTGGACTGAACCAATGTACATCTTATGTGTATTGATTGATGTCTTATGTCTCCTTGCAAATGTATAAAATCAAGCTGCAGACTGACCACCGTAGCCACATGTCATCAGGACCTCGTGAGGTGTGTCATAGGCACGTCCTTAACCTTGGCAAAATAAACTACTAAATTAATTGAGACTTGTCTCAGATACTTTTTGATTTATGTCGTGATTCTAGAATCGAGGAATACTTCATCCTACAAAACAGAGTAAGTGTTCCAATGAGCTGAACAGTGGGGGTTGGCTTTATAGACAGAAAAGGCTGAAGAAAGCAGATTGGTCATTTCAAAGTTACTTTCCTTGTAAGGCAGAGACAAGAAAACAAAACAACAATAGAAGGATAACGGTTTAGTTAGCATCAGGTTACTTTTGTCTACCCTTTGTGTGTAAAGATTAAAGCAGAGGGAACTTATGATCATTATCATGCCAATTAAAGATTGAAACTGGCCTGTTTTGAAAAATGACTGTTATCCCTCTCTCCTGATTTCTTGAAGGTCAGATAACAACTTAGTTTAGCAACTTGGAAACACTGCATGAGTGACTCCATTTTGATTTTTACTCTGGTCTGTTGGGACCTAGCACAGGAGCTTAGCCCAAAACAGTAGCCTTCTCCTTTCGTAGTTCATAAGTGTGATGACTGGATGTTCGTGCTTGTGTGTGCGATGTGCCTCACTCTAAACCTTTCTGACAGGAAAAAGGAAAAAGAAAAGAAAAGAAAAAACTGATAAAGAAGAAAGGAAAATAAAACAATAGCCTCCTATAATTTTATTTAACAAATAGAAAGACAGGCCATGGAATGGGATAAAATATTTGCATAACACAGATCTGATAAAGGACTGGTATCCAAAATGGGCAAAAGACCTAAAAAGATGCCTCGCCAAGGAAAATATAGGCATACCTTATTTTATTGCACTTCACTTTATTGTGCTTCACAGATACTGCATTTTTTCTTTTTTTCCAAATTTAAGGTTTGTGGCAACCCTGCATTGAGCAAGTCTATTGGGCCTCGATTTTCCAACAGCATGTGCTCACTTCATGTCTTTGTGTCTCATTTTGATAGTCTTTGCAATATTTCAAACTTTATTATTATATCTATTATGGTGATCTGCAGTGAGTGATCCTTGATGTTACTATTGTCATTGTTTGGGGTCCACAAACCACACTCATGTAAGATTCTAAACTTAATTGATAAATGTTGTGTGTGTGCTGACTCCTCCACCAACTGGCCCTTTCCGTCTCTCTTCCTCTCCTCATGCCTCCCTCTTCCCTGAGACACAACAACATTGAAATCAGACCAGTTAATAACCCTACAATAGCCTCTAAGTATTCAAGTTAAAGGAAAAATCACACATCTCTGGCTTTAAATCAAAAGCTAGAAATGATTATGCTTAGTGAGAAAGGCATGTCAAAAGCTGAGATAGGCCGAAAGCTAGACTTCTTACACCAAATGGTTAGCTAAGTTGTTAATGCAAAGGAAAAGTTCTTGAAAGAAATGAAAAGCACTACTCCAGTAAACTCACAAATAATAAGAGAGCTAAATAGCCTTCTTGCTGATATGGAGAAAGTTTGGTGGTCTGGATAGAAGATAAAACCAGCCACAGCATTCCCTCAAGGCAAAGCCTAATCTAGAGAAAGGCCCTAACTCTTTTCAAGTCTACGAAGGCTGAGCGAGATGAAGAAGCTGCAGAAGAAAAGTGGGAAGCTAAGAGATTAAAGGAGAGAAGCCAACTTTAAAACCTAAAAGTGCAAGGTGAAGCAGCAAGTGCTGATGGAGAAGCTACACTAAGTTATACAGAAAACCTAGCTAAGATAATTGATGAAGGTGGCTACATTAAACAGATGTTCAATGTAGACGAACAGTCTTCTGTTAGAAGAGGATGCCATCTATGACTCTCATAGCTAGAGAGAAATCAATGCCTGGCTTCAAAGCTTTAAAGGACAGGCTGACTCTCTTATTAGGGGCTAATCACTTTAATGTGGCTGGTCACTCTAAGTTGAAGCCAATGCTCATTGACCATTCTGAAAACCCTAGGGCCCTTAAGCATTATGCTAAATCTTTAGCTGGGCATGGTGGCACATGCCTGTAGTCCCAGCTACATGGGAGACTGAGGCAGGAGGATCATTTGAGCCTGGGAGATCAAGGTTGCAGTGAGCTATGATCATGCCACTGCACTCCAGACAGGGAGACAGAGTGAGACCCTGTCTCAATTAAAAAATAAAATAAAATAAAAAGAATCTTGCAAAATCGACTCTGCTTATATTCTATATATGAAACAACAAAGCCTGGATGATCACGCATCTGTTGACAGCATGGTTTGCTGAATGTTTAGGCCCAGTACCAAGATCTACTACTCAGAAAAAAAAATTCTTTTAAAATATTTCTGCTCATTGACAATGTACCTAGTCACCCAAGACCTATACAAGGAGATTAATGTTGTTTTACGCCTGCTAACACAACATCCATTCCACAACCCATGGATCACTGAGTAATTTTGATTGTCAAGTTTATTTAAGAAATACATTTAGTAAGGCTATCACTGCTACAGACAGTGATTCCTCTGATGGATCTGGGCAAAGTAAACTGAAAACCTTCTGGAAAGGATTCTTCATTCTAGATGCCATTAAGAAAATTCATGATTCATGGGAGGAGGTAAAAATATCCACATTAATGGGAGTTTGGAAGAAGGTGATTCCAGTCCTAAAGGATGACTTTGTGGGGTTCAAGACATCAGTGGAGGAAGTCACTGCAGATGGTGGTGGAAATGGCAGAGAACTAGAATTAGAAGTAGAGACTGAAGATATGATTGAATTGCTGCAATCTCATGAACAAATTTGAAGGAATGAGGAATTGCTTCTTATGGATGAACAAAGAAAGTGTTTTTTTTTTTTGGATGGAATCTACTCCTGGTAAAGATGATGTGACCATTGTTGAAATGACAACAAAGAACTTAGAATATTACATGATCGTAGGTGATAAAGCAGTAGCACAGTTGGAGAGGATGAAAGAAGTTCTATTGTGGGTAAAATGCTAACAGACAGCATTGCATGCTACAGAGAAATCTTTTGTGAAAGGAAGTGTCAATTGATGCGGCAAACTTCAGTTTTCTCTCATTTTTTAAAATGTCAGAGCCATTCTACCTTCTAGCAACCACCACCCTGATCAGTCAGCAACTACCAACATCGAGGCAAAACCCTACACCAGCAACAAAATTATGACTCACTGAAGTCTCAGATGATTGTTACCATTTTTAGCAATGTTTTTAAATTAAGGTATGTACTTTAAAAAGATATGTAGTTCTATTGCACACTTAATAGACACTTATAGTGTAAACATAACTTTTATATGTGCTAGGAGACCAAAAAATTCATGTGACTTGCTTTATGGAGATATTCACTTTATTGTGGTGGTTGGTACTGAACCCACAATATCTCTGAGGTATGCCTGTATACCAATGGCAAATAAACAAATGAAAAGATGTTCCACATCATTTGTCATCAGGGAAATGCATATCCAAACAACAATGGGATACTGCTATACCCTACTAGAATGGGTAAAATACAAAACACTAACAATGCCAAATGCTGGCAAGAATGTGGAGCAACAGAAACTCTCATTCATTACTGGCAGGAATGCAGAATGGTACAACCACTTTCGAAGACAGTTTGGCAGTTTCTTAAAAAGTAAACATTCTCTTACCAAAGATCCAGCAATTGTACTCTTTGGTACTCCAAGATGAATTAAAAACATGTCCCCACCAAAACCAGCACATACTTTATTCACTATTGCCAAAACTTGGAAGCAATCAAAGTGTTTTCTAATAGGTTAATGGGTAAACAAACTGTGGTACATCCATACAACAGAATATTAGTACTAAAAGGCAATAAGCTACTAAACCATGAAAAGACATGGATGAACCTTAAATGCATATTGCTAGGTAAAAGAAGCCAATCTGAAAGGCTATATCTACATACTGTATCATTTTAATGATTAATATATAACATTGTGGAAAAGGCCAAATTATGGAGATAATAAAAAGAACAGTGGTTTCTAGGAGTTTGATGGAAGGGAAGAAGGGAAGGATGAATAGTTTGAACATGGGATTTTTAGGGCAGTGACATGATTTGGATCTGTGTCCCCACCCAAATCTCATGTTCAACTGTAATCCCCTATGCTAGAAGTGGGGCCTGCTTGGGGGTAATTAGATCATGGGGGCGGATTTCTCCCTCAGTGCTGCTCTCATCATAGTGAGTGCGTGCTCACGAGATCTGGTTGTTTAAAACCATCTGGTGTAGCACCTCCTGCCTCTCTCTGTATTGCTCCTTCTCTGGCCATGTGAAATGCTGCTCTCCCTTTACCTTCTACCATGATTGTAAGTTTCCTAAGTCCTCCTCAGAAGCAGAATCCACAATGCTTCCTGTACAGCCTGGAGAACTGCTAGCCAATTAAACTTCTTTCCTTTATAAATTACCAGTCTCAGGTATTTCTTTATAGCAATGTGAGAATGGACTAATACAGAAAATTGAAACCAAGGAGTGGAGCATTGCTGTAAAGATACCTGAAAATGTGGAAGTGACTTTGGAATTGGATAATGGATAGAGGTCAGAAGAGTGTGGAGGGCTCAGAAGAAGAGAGGAATATGAGGGAAAATTTGGAATTTCCTAGAGACTTGTTGAATAGTTGTGACCAAAGTGCCGATAGTGATATGGACAGTGAAGTCCAGACTGAGGAGGGCTCAGGTGGAAATGAGGAACTTATTGGGAACTGGAGCAAAGGTCACATGTGTTATATCTTAGCAAAGGACTTGGAGGCATTGTGCCCCTGTCCTAGGGATCTGTGGAACTTGGAACTTGAGAATGATGATTTAGGGTACCTGGTGGAAGAAATTTCTAAGCAGCAAAGTGTTCAAGAATCAGCCTGGCTGCTTCTTTTTTGTTTGTTTGTTTGTTTTGAGATGGAGTCTTGCTCTGTTGCCCAGGCTGGAGTGCAGTGGCGCAATCTCGGCTCACTGCAAGCTCTGCCTCCCGGATTCATGCCATTCTCCTGCCTCAGCCTCCTGAGTAGCTGGGACTACAGGCACCCGCTACCACGTCTGGCTAATTTTTTGTATATTTAGTAGAGATGGGGTTTCACCATGTTGGCCAGGA
The DNA here is from genome assembly GCF_000001405.40 of Homo sapiens. Taxonomy (NCBI): domain Eukaryota; kingdom Metazoa; phylum Chordata; class Mammalia; order Primates; family Hominidae; genus Homo; species Homo sapiens. Next base: position 106,876,573 of record NC_000006.12, on the reverse strand, counting down.
TGGTCTCGATCTCTTGACCTTGTGATCCACCCACCTCAGCCTCCCAAAGTGCTGGGATTACAGGCATGAGCCACCATGCCCAGCCAGCCTGGCTGCTTCTAACAACCCATACTCACATGTATGAGCAAATAAATGACCTGAAGCTGAAACTTATATTTAAAAGGGAAGCAGAGTGTAAAAGTTTGGAAAATTTGCAGCCTGGCCATATGGTATAAAAGAAAAACCCACTTTCAGGGGAGGAATTCAAGCAGGCTACTTGAATTGTATCTTAGAAATAACTAGAATAAATAACTTAGAAATTTGCATAATTAAAAAAAGAAATTTGCATAACTAAAAAGAAGGCAAATGCTGATAGCCAAGACAATGAGGGAAATGCCTCAAAAGTATTTCAGAGATCTTTGCTGCAGCCTCTCCCGTCACAGGCCCAGAGGCCTAGGAGAAAAGAATGGTTTCATGGGCCAGCCAGGCCCAGGGCCCTGCTGCACCGTGCAGCCTCAGGAGATGCAGCCCTGCATCCTAACTGCTCTAGCTCCAGATGTGCCTCAAGGACATGAAGCCCTGCATCCCAACTGCTCTAGCTCCGGATGGGCTCTAGGCCCAGGTACAGCTTAGTCATATGGTGCAAGCCATAAGCCTTGATGACTTCCACCTGGTGTTAAGCCTGTGAGTGCACAGAATACAAGACTTGAGGTTTGGGAGCCTCTGCCTAGATTTCAGAGGATGTATGGAAAAGGCTGGATGTCCAGGCAGAAGCCTGCTACAGGGGCAGAGCCCTCAAAGAGAATCTGTACGAGGGCAGTGCAGAGGGGAAATGTGGGGTTGGAGCCCCTGCACAGAGTTCCCAGTGGGACACTGCCTAGTGGAGCTGTGAGAAAAGGGCCATCATTCTCCAGACCCCAGAATGGTAGATTGACCAGCAGTTTGCAGCCTGCACCTGGAAAAATCACAAACGCTCAACACCAGCTCATGAGAGCAGCTGTAGGGGCTGAACCCTGCAAAGACCCAGGGGTGGAGCTGCCCAAGGCCTTGGGAGCCCATCCCTTATACCAGTGTGCCTTAGATGTGAGACATGCGGTCAAAGGAGATTATTTTGGAGCTTTAAGATTTAATGACTGCCCTGCTGGATTTTGGACTTCCATGGGGCCTATAGCCCCTTTCTTTTGTCCGATTTCTCCCTTTTGGAACAGGAGTATTTACCCAATGCCTGTACCCACATTGTATCTTAGAAATAACTAATTTATTTTTGATTTTACAGGCTCATGGGCAGACAGGACTAACCTTGTCTCAGATGAGACTTTGGACAGTGGACTTTGGAGTTAATGCTGGAATGAGTTAAAACTTTGAGGGACTCTTAGAAAGGCATAATTGTATTTTGCAGTGTAAGAGGAAAAGGAGATTTGGGAGGGGTTGGGGTGGGATGATATGGTTTGGATCTCTGTCCCCACCCACATCTCATGCTCAATTGTAATCCCCAATATTGGAGGTGGGGCCTGGTGGGAGGTGATTGGATCATGGGGGCAGATTTCCTCCTTAGTGCTGCTCTCATCACAGCGAGTGAGTGCTCGCGAGATCTGGCTGTTTAAAAGTGTGTGGCACCCTCCACCCTGCCCTTACTTCTTCTCTGGCCATGTGAAGTGCTGCTCTCTGCTTACCTTCCACTGGGATTGTAAGTTTCCTGAGGACTCCCCAGAAGCAGAAACTGCTATGTTTCCTGTAAAGCCAGCAGAACTGTGGGCCAATTAAACCTCTTTCTTTTATAAATTACCCAATCTCAGGTATTTCTTTATAGCAGTGGGAGAACAGGCTAACACAGGTAGTGAAACTATTCTGTATGACACTTGGATTAGTCCATTCTTGCACTGCTATAAAGAAATACCTGAGACTGGGTAATTTACAAAGAGAAGTTTAATTGGCTCATAATTCCTGCTGTACAGGAAGCACAGCAACTTCTGGAGAGGCCTCAGATAACTTTCAATCTTGGCAGAAAGCAAAGGGGAAGCAGGCACATTGGCAGAACAGAAGGAAGAGAATGGGAGGAGGGCCTACACACTTTTAAACAACCAGATCTCATGATAACTCTATTATGAGAACAGCACTAGGGGGATGATGCTAAACCATTAGAAACGGCCCCTGTGATCCAATCATCTCCCACCAGGCTCCACCTCCAGCATTAGGGATTACAATTCAGCATGAGATTTGGGTGGGGACATAGATCCAAACCACATCAATACTGTAATGGTGAATATATGCCATTCACCATTGTATGTATGTGTAAATTCATACATGTATAACACTAAGAGTGAACCCTAATGTGACCTATGGACTTTAGTTAATAATAATGTTTCACTATTGCCTTATCAATGATTACAAATGTCCCACACTAATGCACTAAGATGTTAACAATAAGGGAACTGGAAGGGGTCATGGGAGGGTTGCATGGGAACCCATAATTTCCACTCAGTTTTTCTGAAAAACTTTAAACTGCTCAAAACGTAAGTCTATTAATTAAAAGAAAACAAAAAGATCTGAAAAGAGTGTGGGAAGAAGGATGCCATGAGGGGAGACAGGGAAAGTATGACCAACACAAACATGAATCTTTCTAAGTAACCACATGACATATTTCTTTTTTTTTTTTTTAGACGGAGTGTCGCTCTGTTGCCCAGGCTGGAGTGCAGTGGCGTGATCTCGGCTCACTGCAAGCTCTGACTCCCGGGTTCACGCCATTCTCCTGCTTCAGCCTCCCAAGTAGCTAGGACTACTGGTGCCCACGACCACGCCTGGCTAATTTTTTTGTGTTTTTAGTAGAGACGGGGTTTCACCGTGTTAGCCAGGATGTTCTCGGTCTCCTGACCTTGCAAGCCGCCCGCCTTGGTCTCCCAAAGTGCTGGGATTACAGGCGTGAGCCACCACGCCCGGCCCCACATGGCATATTTCTGATGTGGTGTTTCCTAGCACCCAGGAGTCCAGCAGTTTAGTTTATATCATTAAACTTAAATGGATTTAAGTTACTGGTCAATTGAACAGCATTCTGGTGTTCACCATTTTAGAACTACTAATGGTATCACAGACTGCCCTCTAAGGGGGGTAGGGGAAGAAGAAAAGAAGTTTTCAACTGAGTTTATAGGCAAGGAATAGAAAAGCCCAGAAGCCTTTGTAGTTCATAGCACTTGAACAGCTCTTCAAATAAACCTTCTGAAGTTCTGGAGTTGTAGTTAGAGCTGTCAGACTTGAGCAACCTTGAAATAGAATGATTATGAGATTTAAGGTGGTGGTCTGTGCTGCATTCGCGATATTTATCCCACTCGTCTGTGTGCACGTGTGTATGTGTGTGTGTGTGCGTGTGTATGAGAGAGAGAGAGATGGGAGAGAGAGTGCCTGCCTGAGATCCAGAGAGACCAAAAGGAAGGATAGGTTATGTTCATCTTCACTAATTCCTTGAAGTGGCAGAGTCTTAACCTGACCTGGCTTTTCTTTTATATTTATTTGATGGAACTACCCATATCTCTTAATCAATATGTCTTTGTACTCATATTTTTTAAGGCCATTTCCTGCTTCTTCCCCTTTTCACAGTGCCATTTTTTTTTTTTTTTAAAGAAAATGCTGTTAATACATTCAAAATCTTTCCTCTGCTGCCATGTTGCAGTTACATTGCTTACTAATTTATTCTCCTCCTTCTTAATGGTATAGCTATCCTCTTCTGGATAAATGGAGTCTAATAACATTTCATCCTCTGCCATCTGGCTTATCACTGGCTTGGAGACACAGCTCTGGGATTTTAGGTAGCCTCAGTTTGAGATGACCCAAATATTGCAAGGGCAGTCAAAACAATAGACAGATCAATTTTCACAACTTTGTACCGGATAAGTTTAGAAGGCAACTGCTACTTTTTGAAGAACAGAAAACATGTGAATGTTGTCTCTTATGGAGAGCCAGAAGGCTAAGAGAGGATGTAGTTCTTGTCCCAGACAAATGTGTGATCTTGAGAAAAATTACTTAACTTGCCCAAGACTCAAAGGCTTTATATGTAAATTAAAGACTTTTTCCTGCTGAAAGGCAGAGGACTGGACCTTTGTTTCAACCAGATTTAAGGTTCTGTCAGTACTAGAATGTAAGAAACACTACCCACCTACACTGATAGATTTTAAACTTCTCCAAGGCAGAGTTGGGTCATATTTCCCTTGAATACCCCTACAGCTCATGGCACACTATTAGTCATCTTAACAGCCACCCTTTGCTGAACAATTTATGAGCCACGTACCTGCCTGGGGACTCAAACTTGTTCAGCAGTGGTTATTAGGAGAAGAGAAGGAAGGGAGTGGGCCACAGTGTGGGGCCTACAGCCTACCCAAGGGCCTCCAGCTCCTGAGAGCAGGCAGCTCTCCGGTGTTGGCATGCACTTCCCAGGATCTAAAGGAGAGATCTTTATCTCTTCTCAGGCCATGCACCGGCATATACACAGCTTCAGGGCAGAGACAGCTGGAAAAGTGTGTCCAGGGCAGAGGCAGCTGGAAAAAAAGTAAGTATTCATACTCCTTTTTTTTTTTTTTTTTTTTTTTTGAGACAGAGTCTCCCTTAGTTGCCGAGGCTGGACTGCGGTGGCACAATGCCGGCTCCCTCCCTCTGCCTTCCGGGTTCAAGCGATTCTCCTGCCTCAGCCTCCTGAGTAGCTGGGATTACAGGCATGTGCCACCACGCTCGGCTAATTTTTGTATTTTTAGTAGAGACGGAGTTTCATGTTGGCCAGGCTGGTCTTGAACTCCTGGCCTCAAGAGATCTGCCCGCCTTGGCCTCCCAAAGTGCTGTGATTACAAGCTCTATCCACTGAGCCTGGCCCATAAGTTTCTTCTAATACACAAACAAAGCTCAGCTGTTGGGCTGCACTGGGCTGCTTGGGTTGTGGATGGAGAAAAACATCAGAAAATTATCCAAATTAGGATGAAAAAGTTCAGTAAGAAGTGAGAGCAGAGGTGGAGAAGGCAAGAGTATGGGAGAAGATGAGAGGGACTTAGGGAAGCAGCTGTCTTCATGACAGGCCTAGGGGAGAAGATTTTCCAGCTAGGATTTGAGAGTGTTTCTCTGTGTGTTATAGGAGTGTAATTCCTCTTTCTGGGCTACAGCCCCCTGCCCTGAGACTTCCAGGAAATGTAAAATGACTCTTTAAGATGTTTTACATTCAGATTTTCTTTTTTCTGCCACCTGGTGCTAAAATGGGCCTAGGGAAGGCCCAGGCTTAGGTTGAACTGGCAGGAAAAGCTTTTCTCAATAACCAGAATCAAGTGGCTCTGCTGACAGCCCTCGGTTTTCAAAGGATCTTGCCAATGGGAAGGATTATGCATAGTGATAGGCAGAGTTAATATGTAGCAAAGTCTTGCAGATGGTTGGAAATGCAGGCCCAACAGATTCTTCCCTCATAAAAAGTGCCAACAGTTTCTTCCCTCATCTCTAATGAATGAGTAATTACAAAGCACCTTCCCATCCATTGTTCCACCTTTGTACCCACGATAACCTATTGAACTAGGCATGGTAAACTAATACAACTCCTACTTAGTAGACAATGTTCAGTGACCTGCCCAATTCACAGAGCTAAGAAGGGCCAGACCTGGGCAAGAATCCAGATCTTCTGACTCAATTTATCTTCATTTGTCTAGGCTCCTTGCCATCTCAGTCTGTCTACCGACAGTAGCACCCCTTCATTCTACCTCCCTGCACTCCCCTCCACCCCCTTGATCATCCCAGGCTTGAATATGGAAGTTGAGGTTTTAGGTCCAAGTGCAACAGAAAACATAATGGCTAAAAAGCCCAAGAGCCTTTTTGCATGTTGCATATATCTTAATGGGAGATATAGAGCTTTTTGTTATTAGTGGGACCTGGGCTCAGTAAATTTGGGGTGATATAACTTACCTATAAATTATAAAATCCAGGAAATAAACCACAAGATAAATACCTCACCCTTCTCCATGTGCCATGCCTTACAATCAACCTGTTGTGGGAAATAACTGGAAGTGAGGGATTAGTCCCCTGAATACATAGAACATTATCTTCTGTATTTTTATTTTTTAGAGACAGAGTCTGGCTCTGTCACCCAGGCTAGAGTGCAGTGGTGTGATCATAGTTCATTGTAACCTCAAACTCCTGGGCTCAACCATTCTTCCACCTCAGCTTCCTGAGTAGTTGGGACTACAGGCATGTGCCACCATGCCCGGCTACATTGAACATTATCTTGACAATGCTCCCTAACCATATAAAACAAAATACTTCAAAACCATCAAGGCATATTTGGAATTCTCCAAGCATACTCAAGGTAAGTATCTGCCTCAGGCCTGTTTAGTATTTCTATCAGCAGCTTGAAAAGTAATGTGAAAGGAATGTTCATAGATTGTTCATAAGGCCAAAGCTGAGAGAGATGGCTCATTTACTGTGTGTAGTTATGGGGAGGCAAAGCTGTAATGCCAGGAGGCCACATATTGAGCAGCTTCTGTGTTCATCCAAACATTTTCAGCTCTCAGGCCCTAGACCTGCTCATTTCCAAGCAGTTTCAACTTCTTGGATATCATGGCCACATCCTGGACCTTGCTATTACTCAGGACTGCTTCAGCTCATGCACTTCCAGCATCATGCTCTCTAAGCACAGTCTTTCAGCTCTTGTTTCTGACTCTCTATTTCACCTATTCTGAACGCATCCACTTCTTGTTGCTACCAACTTCCTTTCTTTCTACATTAGTGAGTCCCACCACTTCCTACCTAGCTTCAAGTCAGAAACTTGGATATTCCCCTCCTATTCCCCTTACTACCCCAGACTTGAATATTGAAGGAGTTCTGAATATACTACCTCACCCTTATGCCAATTTGTCATAAGGAGTGTTTTGCGCTGGAGGCAACTAAGAAGCAGCCAACGTAGGAAGAGCTTTTTGCCTTCCCCCTCTCTGTCTAAAAGCAGGACATAAATTTCCCTATGTGAAGGTGTTCCCCCTCCCCTTTCCCGTATCAGAGAAGAACAACCCTATCACTGCAGACAGAAAAATTGGCACTAAGATGGGACCGCACAAACAAACCTTACTAAAATAAAGCCCCAGCTGTCATTAGTTTCCCTCATATATTTACCTTTCAGCAATTCATCACCTCTAGAAGCCCAAACCCCCTTTCCTTCGTCTTGTCACTTCTTCACAACTTTATCACACTTTGTTAAAGTGGTATATAAACCCCTGGTCTAACTGCCTCTTTTGATCTTTTCTTTTTCTCCATGAAGACCTTTGCGCACCTAATAAAATTACACTATTTACATCAAATACAATTTGTAGCTAGGTATGGTGGCACGTACCTATAATCTTAGCTACTGGGGAGGGTGAGGTGGGAGGACTGAGGAGTTTGAGACCAGCCTGGGCAACATAGTGAGACCCTGTCTCTTAAAAAAGAAACACACACACACACACACACACACACACACACACACACACACACACACGTAAGCCATTTTTCTTGTTAATTTGTCTTTTCTCAGTTTAATTTATAGGTCCCACTCATTTAATATAAGAGGGTAGAGGAAAGTCCTTTTCCTTCCCTACAATATGAAATTTGAATTTATCAGATTTTTTGCTCCCTATATCAACTGCTTACCAGATTCTGTAGATAAGTCTATCCCCTATCCCTTGTTTCTATTCCCATAACTGCCCCCATGCCAACCGTTCCAATGTAATTGATGCACCTGCCAGGTCTGCTTGAGGATCTCACTAAAAGCCACCAGGAACATCTACATACTACTTTCAGAATCCCCTTGAGCTCCTTCCTGCTTTTTTGATTCCTCTGATCATCAGCCTTAATTGAGGCACTATATCTTCCACCCAACTTCTTGGAGTGGCCTTGGTATTCCTGGAGGGAAGAACATTGAACCCTCACTGGGCCTATCTAAGAATAAGTCTTTATCACATCTTGCAAAACTATGGCAAGCATTCTCAGACCTTCCTACCTGCCTCTTTTATTTCCTTTCTTTTCACCCAGGCTGGAGTGCAGTGGCATGATCATAGCTCACTGCATCCTCAAACTCCTGGGCCTAAGTGATCCTCCTACCTCACCCTACTAAGTAGCTGGGACTGCAGGCACACACCACCATGCCTGGCTAATTAAAAAAATTTGTTTTGTACAGATAGGGTCTCACTATGTTGCCCAGGCTGGTCTCAAAATCCTGGGCTGAAGCAATCCTTCTGCCTTGGCCTCCCAAAATGTCGGAATTACAGGCATGCACCACCACACCCAGCCTCTGGTTTTGATTACTTCACTCTCCTGCCTGAAACACTAGGAGATACTGAAGGTAGAGAAGCCAACTAAGTTGGAGCACCAAGTTCCACGTGTTGGGAATAATCAGAATAAAAAAAAAATCACAGAACAGGAGTCTGGCAATGGAGAGAGGAGTTTGAGTTAAAAAAAACATGGGAATCAAAACATTGCTGGAGTCAAGCCTCACAGGTGGGTCCACCTGGCTTCAAGGGCAGAGATGGCCTGAACCACTTGGAAATAGTAAGAAATGTTTTATTTTCCAGTATTTCTTTTACTTTTGGGACCTGTTTTGGAGAGGAATTGAGTGAATAAACAATGTGGGTCTCAGATAAAGAGCCATCTTGCACCCTGCCCCTCTCTGGGCTCAGCCTTCTTTGGAGGACCTATGAGAGAAATGGTTTTGTGATGTGTTGAGCTCGACAAGGCCTCAGTTGGTCTCCTAGCATTTCCATCACCACTTAAAAGAGGCATAGAAGACAGACAGATGAGGGATGTTGGGACTCAGAAACCAATATCCCAAAATATGTTCTCAAACTGATATTTCAAAATAAGTATGTTTACTTTGACATACTGAACTGATGAAGAATCCTCAAAGTCTCTCTAAGCCACCCCCCTCAACCCTCACCGACTCCCTCAAAGCGAGGCTAAAGTTCCTTTATCAGTCTAAAGTCTGTACCCACCAAAAAAAGAAACAAAAAACGAAAAACAAATTGTGTTTTTCTCCTCCTTCCTGTAACACCAAGAAGGTAACCACACCTAAACAGACGCTTTTACAGGATAGTGTCTGTCCCTTAGGCTCCACTCGAATTCCAAAGAGAACTATTTACATGTTAACTTGTGCCCCTGATCCATTAATCCTTTACTGCCTCTCAACAGAATTCCTCTTCTCCCACCTCCCATAACCTGTTTTGTCAGGATCCAAGGCCCCATTCTTTCTGTAACTTCAAGATGGCTATAAGCTTCTGACCCTCATTGAGTGGTGGATAACCACTCTGTGGTTCTCCCCATGTGCACGTTAATAAATCTGTATGCCTGTTCTCCAATTAATCTGCCTTCTTCTTCTTTTTTTTTCTTTGAGACAGTGACACAGGATCCTTTCGGTGCCACTTTGCCAGCCAGAAATCTCTGCAGCTGGTGGTGCCTCTGCCCGGGCTTCACTAGGGCCTGCTGGGGTTGTTCCGCCCCCTCAGCCTGGAGGGCTGCGCTCAGCTAGCACTACCCGCCTGGATCCCGCACCTGCCACAGCTCTGCGCTCAGCCCACAACTGGTCCGGGCATGCCGTGACCAGCTTCTACCTTGGGCACTGGTGTCTGGATGAGGGGGACATGGTGGCACCCCAAAGCTCGGAAATGCCAGCAACCGTGGAGCCCCAAGTGGTGTTACAGCTTTTGCTCAGGGATTCCCAAGGTCTGAGCCCCTGGAAGTGTTACAGCTCTCATTTGGTCCCGCCACCTGCAGCTCAGTAAGTGGGGACATGTGGCACCCAGCAGCTTTTTCTTCACCATTGTTCGGCAAGTGGGAGGGAGGGTTACAGTGTTACATCTCTTTTTGCACCCACTATTTGGCAGGTTCCAGGTTCTTGTCCCATGATCAAGAGGAATGAGATTCATGGACACTGGAGAGTGAGAAAGGCAGAGAATGGTTTTACTGAATGACAGAAAAGCTCTTGACACAAGAGGGGACCCAAAGTGGGTAGCCCTCAGTGTGAGAGGGGGCCCCAAAGTGTGTAGCCATCAGTGAAGCTGAGTCCAGGGTTTTTATGGGGTCAGAACGGGGGTGTGAGTGCTGACTGGTCCATGGGCAGCCCCTGGAAAAAGCACCATTCCATTGGCTAAAAGGCATCAAGGAAGTTGTCACTCTGGTTGCGGACTCTACCCAGAACTGGCAACTTCGTTTTCAGCTTCAGGCTGTCTTTGGCTTGAAGATTAGGTTTCACCAGAGACCTGTCCCTGTCTGCTTAGGAATTTGTCTGCCTCCTGCCACTGTCAACAGGGTCTTGCTCCGTGACCCAGGCTAGAGTGCAGTGGCACAATCACAGCTCACTGCAGCCTTGACCTCCAGGCTCAAGCCATCCTCCCACCTCAGCCTCCTGCATAGCTGGGACTATGGGTGTGTGCAACCACACCTGGCTAATTTTTTGTAGAGATGGGGTTTCTCCCAGGCTGATCTCCAACTCCTGGGCTCAAGTTATCTGCCTGCCTCAGCCTCCCAAAGTGCTGGAATTACAGGTGTGAGCCACCCTGCCCGATCAAATCTACCTTTTGTAAGTTGATTTTTCAGCAAAATTTCAGAGGGCAAAGGGGAAGTTTTTCCCTTGTTCCCTACAGGAGAGGGGAAGAAGAAAGGATCCTAGATCTGAAAAGCCCTGTGGAAGCTGAGGAATAGAAGGATGGCTCAGCAGGTGCCAGAACCAGCCTATAAATGAGGACCAGGGCTGATGGCCCTCTCAGTAGAAGCAAGCATGCACAGATGACAGTGAGGTTCCGAGACCTCCTTCTCAATGCCTCTGGAAATACCCTGGAACCTAGACACAATCCCTCAGAAAGGGCAAGGGGAACCCAAAATGACTAAAATTAAGTTTCTGCCTCATCATAGGAATGGGGGCATCCCTACTAAAAATTAAATTAAGACCTCAAAAAACAAAGAACATTTTACTCTTTTGTTGTGGATAGAGCTTTATACTCACCCCAGTAACAATTAATTGACTGGCAATAAACTCCCACAGGGCAGCAACTGTGTATTACTTTCTTCATATGCCCAGCCCCCAGTGTAGTCCTGACTAGTGTCCTGACTTTTTCGCCATTTGAGAGAACTACCTTTCTTCCTATCTGTGTGTACTCTGGGCTGGTCTGACCACACCTGAGGTGCTGTATGTCCAGTTCTGAGCACCTTATTTTTAGAGGCTAAGAACATGGAGAGTGTTCAGAAAAGGGTAGTTAAGATATTGAGAGGTTATGAACATTTCCAACCCACACTTGTCCCTTGACCTCCAGAAACTGATATCCAACTGTCTTCTGGACAACTGATTTTGAATATCCTGCAGTTTCCTCCAACCTAAGATGTACAAAAATTAACTTATCACTTTCTCCCTAAGCCTGCTCCTCTCCTGAGTTCTTGTCTCGGTCAATGACTCTACCCTCCGCTTAGTAGCTCAGGCAGAACTCTGAGCATCATCCTGGATGCCTTGCTTTTGCATAGAGTTTACAATTGCACAGTAATAATAATTTAATCATCAAGGGTAATTTTCTGTGAGTCCTTATTATGTGCAGGTACCATTTTAAGAGCTTTATATGTATTAACCCATTTAATCCCTCAAGACCATTCTATGAGGTCATGTTATTATCCCCATTTGAAGGATGAAAAAAATCAAAGTCAAGAGAGATTAAATAATTCAAAGGCACACAGCTAGTGGGTGGTCGAGATGGGAATAGAATCTACACAGTACAACTCTATATCCCATGCTCTGTCTTCAGTCCTCATCGCCATTTTGTTGCACATGTACCAGAAAGGTTTTTCCTTATCTTTTCTCCTGTAATGTTGAAATTCACAGAGCTGAGATTTCCTTGTTTATTGTTATATCCCCAAGTGACTGGTCCAAAGTAGGTTCCTAATAAGTAGATGAATATATATATATGTATATTCCCCCCCACAAATTCAGTGATAGCCGCAGCAGCGGCCACTGCCAAGATGCTGGCTGCAGTGGGGAAGCAGGCTTAGGTCTCCCACTCGATGGAGCAAGCAGGAACCTCTCCCTCCCTGGGTGCCTCTGCAGCTGCCCTGCTGTGGCTCCAGACCCAGGCATCTCTGTGCTCTTTGGGGCCCAGGAAGGCCCCCCTGTCCCCTAAAGGCTTGGAGTGCCTGTTCCTGCTGCCTGGCTTCTCCCCACTGCTGGCGCTTGCTCTGATCTTGGAGGCATGGCCAGGGCTGCATGCTCCATGGAGCTGATGGGAGCTGGGGATAAGTGGGAGCCCTGCCACTTCCGAGTTGGTGGGGCAGGAGCTCCCCGCAGGTGCAGCCACACCTGCTCAAGCCCAGCTGTGGACTCAGGCATCTTCGTGCTCTGGGAGGCCCGGGAAGGCCTCCCTGCCCACCTCAGGCTCAGAAGTGCCTGCTCCTGCTGCCTGGCCTCTCCCTTCTCCTGACCCACTCTGATTGTGGAGCAAGGTTGGGCCAAACCTGGGTGCTGCCGCAACCCCACTGGGTGGGCACACACTTGGGGCAGCACTGACATGCCAGCCCTCTGTTTCCTCAACCCCCTCTGGTCTTTGGGTACTGACAAGCATGGGAGAGAAGTCGAGGTGGGGCTGAAGGCAGCTCAGCGCAGGCCTGCAGGCGCTTCTTGGCATAAACAGCCTGGGCACCATGAATGGTGGCAGGAGGCAGACAGGCTCCTGGGCAGGAGGAGTAGATCCCCAGTTGTATTAGTCTGTTTTCAGGCTGCTGATAAAGACACACCCAAGATTGGGCAATTTACAAAATAAAAGGTTTATTGGACTTACAGTTCCACATGGCTGGGGAGGCCTCACAATCATGGCGGAAGGTGAAAGGCACATCTCACATGGCGGCAGACAAGAGCAAAGAGCTTGTGTAGGGAAACTCCCGTTTTTAAAACCATCAGATCTCATGAAACTTATTCACTATCATGAGAACAGCATGGGAAAGACCTGCCCCCATGATTCAATTACCTCCCACCAGGTCCCTCTCATATCCAGGTCACACTGATGCAAGAGGTGGGCTCCCATGGCTTTGAGCAGCTCTGCCCCTGTGGCTTTGCAGGGTACCCCCTCCCTCTTGGCTGCTTTCATCAGCTAGTGTTGAGTGTCTGTGGCTTTTCCAGGCACATGGTGCAAGCTGTTGGTGGATCTGCCATCCTGGAGTCTGGAGGACAGTGGCTGTCTTCTCACAGTAGGGACTCTTGTGTGGGGGCTCCAACCCCATATTTCCCTTCTGCACTGCCCTAGAAGAGGTTCTCCATGAAAGCCCTGCCCCTGCAGCGAACTTTTGCCTGGGCATCCAGGCGTTTCCATACATCTTCTGAAATCTAGGCAGAGGGTCCCAAACCTCAATTCTTGACTTTTGTGCATCCACAGGCTCAACAGCATCTGGAAGCTGCCAAGGCTTGGGGCTTGAACCCTCTGAAGCCACAGCCCAAGCCCTATGTTGGCCCCTTTCAGCCTCACCTGGAGTGGCTGGGACACAGGGCACCAATTCCCTAGTCTTCACACAGCACAGGGACCCTGGGCCTGGCCCACGAAGCCACTTTTTCCTCCTAGGCCTCCAGGCCTGTGATGGGAGGGGCCGCTGTGAAGACCTCTGACATGCCTTGAAGACATTTTCCCCATTGCCTTGGGGATTAATGTTCGGCTCCTTGTTACTGCAAATTTCTGCAGCCGGCTTGAATTTCACCTGAGAAAATGGGATTTTCTTTTCTGTTGCATTGCCAGGCTGCAAAATTTCTGAACTTTTATGCTCTGTTTCCCTTTTAAAACTGAATGCCTTTAACAGCACCAAAGTCATCTCTCGAATGCTTTGCTTCTTAGAAATTTCTTCTGCCAGATACCCTAAATCATCTCTCTCAAGTTCAAATTTCCACATATCTCTAGGGCAAGGGCAAAATGCTGCCAGTCTCTTTGCTAAAACGTAACAAGGTCATCTTTGCTCCAGGTCCCAACAAGTTTCTAATCTCCATCTGAGACTACCTCAGCCTGGACCTTATTGTCCATATTGCTATTAGGATTTTTGTCAAAGCTATTCAACAAATCTCTAGGAAGTTCCAAACTTTCCCACATTTTCCTGTCTTCTTCTGAGCCCTCTAAACTGTTTCAACCTCTGCCTGTTACCCAGTTCCAAAGCTGCTTCCACATTTTTGGGTATCTTATCAGCAGCACCCCACTCTACTGGTACCAATTTACTGTATTAGTCTGTTTTTATGCTACTAATAAAGACATACCCAAGACTGGGCAATTTACAAAAGAAAGAGGCATATTGGATTTACAGTTCCACCTGGCTGGGGAGGCCTCACAATCATGGCGGAAGGTGAAAGGCACATCTCACATGGCAGCAGACAAGAGAAGAGAGCTTGTGCAGTGAAACTCCCTATTTATATATTTATTTATTTTTGTGATGGAGTTTCTCTCTTGTTGCCCAGGCTGGAGTGCAATGGTGCAATCTTGGCTCACCGCAACCTCTGCCTCCCGGGTTCAAGTAATTCTCCTACCTCAGCCTCCCAAGTAGCTGGGATTACAGGCATGCGCCACCACGCCTGGCTAATTTTGTATTTTTAGTAGAGATGGGGTTTCTCCATGTTGGTCAGGCTGGTCTTGAACTCCTGACCTCAGGTGATCTGCATGCCTTGGCCTCCCAAAGTGCTGGGATTACAGGCGTGACCCACTGCCCCTGACCTTGGAAACTCCCATTTTTAAAACTATCAGATCTCATGAGACTTATTCACAGTCATGAGAACAACACAGGAAAGACCTGCCCTCAAGATTCAATTACCTTCCACCAGGTCCCTCCCACAACATGTGGGAATTCAAGATGAGATCTGGAGGCCGGGCACAGTGGCTCACACCTGTAATACCAGCACTTTGGAAGACTGAGGTGGGCAGATCACCTGAGTTCAGGAGTTCTATACCAGTCTGACCAACATGGTGAAACCCCGTCTCTAATAAAAATACAAAAAATTATCTGGGTGAGGTGGCAGGTCCCTGTAATCCTAGCTACTCAGGAGGCTGAGGCAGGAGAATTGCTTGAACCCTGGAGGAAGAGGTTACAGTGAGCCAAGATTGTACCATTGCACTCCAGCCTGAGCGACAGAGCGAGATTCCATCTAAAAAAAAAACAAAAAAGATGAGATTTGGGTGGGGGCACAGCCAAACCATATCATCAGTGAAGCCCCACCTTCAGGCTTCAGTGAAGCCTGGAGGCCAGGCTGCCAGTCCTGGGGAATGGAGGGGGATCTCTTGGTGCTTTTTCTGGGGCCTGGCCATGGCTGCCCACGGGACCAATCAGCATGGTTTTGAAGACCATAAAAACCCTGGACTCAGCCAGAGCAGGCGAGACGTCAGGATGACTAGCTGCAGAGAGGAGCTATCCTCTTCAGGGCCTCCCCTCTGCTGAAAGCAGGAGATGTCAGGTTGACCAGCTGCAGAAAGGAGCTACCCTCTCCAGGGCCTCCTTTCTGCTGAGAGCTGTAGACAACAGGATAAGCAGCTGCAGAGAGGAGCTACCTTCTCTGCTGAGAGCTGAATACTCATCAGGTTGACCTGCTGCAGAGAAGACTACCCTACTGCAGGTTTCCCCTGAGCTGTTGTAATGCTCAATAAAGCTCCTCTTTGTCTTGTTCGCCCTCCACTTGTCTGCATACCTCATTCTTCCTGGACACGGGAAAAGAACTTTGGCAAAAGTGCCACTAGCACTTTTTTCCAGCCAGAGAAGCAACACCCCAAAGATCCCATAACATCAGGAACCTGATTAATAAATATACGATGATTGAATAAATGTTTGAAACAATGTCACAGGAAGACAATCAAGGAATCTCCTAGTATAATTGAATTGTATAGCAGGGCAGGAAGAGTTTTTCTAGTCCTGAGGATTTTGGCCTGGAGAAAAGAAGATTTAGGGAGGACAGAAAAAGTGTCTGCAAGCATTTGAAAAGCTGCCATGTAGAGGAAGGGAGGCATGTTTTCTGGTGCTCCTGAGCAATGAACCTCAACAACAGTTTGGGAAAGGTGGCAGGAGACAATGTGTGTAGTTGGAAAAAGTTGCAGAGCAACTTACAAAAAAGAAAATGCACAAATCTTTTTGTCTAGTGGGAGTTGGTGGGTGTCAGAGTGAAAATGGCACAGTTTGGTAAGGTGGGAAAAACTCTGAGTCATAGGAAGGCTAGTGTTGGTTGACAATAAGGAAGTATATTCCATCCTCCAGGGAAGAGGGTCACTCAACACAACAGAGACTGCATTTTTTTTTCCTGGTTTTGGACAGAGTCCCATGTAGGGTTGTGAGATTGGATCAAAGGTCTCTGAAACCCCTTTATGCTTTCAGAGCCAGATCTGTCTTCTCTGATCACTCTGTCTCTCCCTTACCTCCAGTTCTCTCTCCAGAGTCAGTCGATCTCTTGTTTCTGGGCCTCTGAAGTCCTTCCCCTGTTTAGATGACATGGCCACTGATCATGGGTGCTGGGTCATCTAAAAGCAAAACACGGCCTTGAAAAAAAGACTGCACTATTAAACATAAAAATCACCTTTTTGAAGAAAAGATAAAACAGATATAACTTGGATAAACTATCATAGTATCATATTTGACAAGTGTGTACTCACATTTTTATAGATATGTTGTACTTTAGAGTTTATAACATGGCCACTGATCATGGGTGCCACTCAGCTCTCCCTTCTGGCCATAGACGTTCACCTTTCCCCAGCTCCAGCTGCAGTGGTGTTGACTGTGGCCGAAGGCTCATGGCTGGGCTCACAGCTGAGTCCCTCTCCAGAATTTGCCTCTGTGGAAGGAAGCTGCCTCACTCAACCCAAACTTTCTCCCCTCCACCAAGGGCAGCTCTCATCCAATGACAGATCTATGCTGGAGGAAGAAAAGCCCCTTGCCTCCATTTGGGACATTTCCACAGGGTCTTCATATGGGTTCTGAACCCACTGTTGCCAACTGCATCACCATTCAACTTCTCCCTCTGCCTAGTTTGGCTTCTCTCCCTCCCTCCCCAATATGTGTAGTTCCTGGGAGCAAGACTCAACATTATTCCTTTCTAATGGTGCCTTAGCAAAGTACCACAAGCTGGGTGCCTTAAAACAACAGAAACATTATAGTACAGTTCTGGAGGTTAGAAGTCTCAAATCAAGTCACTGGCAGGGCCATGCTCTCTCTGAAGGCTCTGGGGGAGAATCTTCTCCATGCCTGTCTACCAGCTTCTCATGTTTCCAGCAAGCCTTGGTGTTCCTTGGCTTGTAGATTCATCACTCTAACCTCTGCCTGCATTGTCACATGATGTCCCCTATGTATATGTGTCTGTATCCACATTTCCTTCTTATAAGGATATCAGTCAGCCCACCCTAACCTGGTATGAATGCATCTTAAGTACATCTGCAAAGAGTTTGTTTCCAAATAAGGCCACAGTCACAGGGATGGGAGTTAGGACTTCAACCTCTTACCAGAAAGAAGGGAACTGTAGCCACCCAACAGGTTCACCTCGCCCACGGCCTAGACAAAACTGAATTGTCAAAACAAGGAAATTGCAATAGAGAAAGAGTAATTCATGCAGAGGTGACTGTGCAGGAGACTGGAGTTTTATTCTTTCTCAAATCAGTTTCCTGGAGCACTCAAGGATCAGAGCTTTTAAGGATAATTTGCTGGGTCGTGGGGCCAGTGAGTCGGGAGTGCTGATTGGTTGGGTCAGAGATGAAGTCATAGGGAGTGGAAGCTGTCTTCTTGTGCTGAGTCAGTTCCTGGGTGAGGGCCACAAGACCAGATGAGCTAGTTTATCAATGTGGGTGGTGCCAGATGATCCATCATGTTTAGAGTCTGCAAAATATCTCAAGCACTGACCTTAGGCTTTACAATAGTGATGTTATGCCAAGGAGCAATTTGAGGTGGGTCAGACTCCAGACTCTTGTAACCGCCAGCTGTATGACTCCTAAACCATAATTTCTCATCTTTTGGATAATTTGTTAGTCCTACCAAGGCAGTCTAGTCCCCAGGCAGGAAGGGGGTTTGTTTTGGGAAAAGGCTGTTATTGTCTTTGTTTTAAAGTTTAACTATAAACTAAGTTCCTCCCAAAGTTAGTTCAGCCTATGCCCAGGAGTGAACATGGACAGCTTGGAAGTTAGAAACAAGATGAAGTTGTTTAGGTTAGATCTCTTTCACTGTCTCAGTTATAATTTTGCAATGGCAGTTTCAGGATCCTTGGTTTTTAGTCTTACTTGGAAGAAAGAATTCTGCCAAGCAACTAATTTACTCAAAAAAAGAGAATTTACTGAAGGAAAATAGAGAGCAGAGAGTTTATTTAGAGAGCCAGGACACTCTGAAAGATAAGCCCGAGCAGGCTGCTGAAAGAGAGTGGGCCAGCAGCAGCCCGAGAACTCTGCGCTGGGTTTTTATGATGTTGATTTTTTTTTTCTTGGCGTTCCCACCTCTGTCTTAAGTCTCTGCCTTTTTTCTTTGTCTAATTTTCCTGCTTCTGCCTTAAGTCCCTACCTTTTTCATACCTAGTTCCCACCCCAGGCTTGTGGGACCCTCCCTTACTAATGGTGCACACGTGTGGGTTCCGTGTTGAATATGGATTCTACCTAATGGCTGCATTGCTCATTACTGCCACTCAAGGAATGTTGTACAGTGGTCAAATCTTATTGTGCCTGCATTTCTCTTCGGAATTTCTCCTTTGCCCTATTAGCATGTAGCTAGCGACAATGTGACAGGTGAACTGCAGAGTGAGCAATTACTGGGGTCTTAAGAGGCGTTCCTTTCTGCCAAGGTATTTTCCCTCCTCTCTGCTCACATCTCACATGCAGGTTTTGGGTGATCTCTGGGGTGTGAGATTTTCCAGGCCTCCCTTTTCTCAGGGGCTGCCCCACCTGCTCATGTCTAGCTATCTGCCTACTTTAACAAATCTATCTTTTGAGAGGGTACCATTCAACCCACAACACCAACAAATTATCTATTTGCAGATCTCCCTCTCAGAATCTGTTTTCCAGGAAATCTGATCTATGACACCACTCAAACCCTAGTTTTCTTGTGATTCTGGATTCTAGACCCACAGCCATGACTAACCTTTAGCCTGGAGGCTAAAGGAACTCCATCTTGGATGCTAATCTCCCATGTTGACTTTTTTTTTTTTTTTTTTTTGAGACACAGTCTCTCTCTGTTGCCCAGGCTGGAGTGCAGTGGCATGATATCTGCTCACTGCAACCTCTGCCTCCCAGGTTCAAGTGATTCTTCTGCCTCAGCCTCCCAAGTAGCTGGGACTATAGGCACGCGCCACCAGGCCCAGCTAATTTTTGTATTTTTAGTAGAGACGGGGTTTCACCATGTTGGCCAGGATGGTCTCGATCTCTTGACCTCATGATCTGCCTGCCTCAGCCTCCCAAAGTGCTGGGATTACAGGCGTGAACCACCGCACCTGGCCAGCTCATTTTTTTTTTTAAATCATAAAGGTAATTCATATTCATTAAAGGGAATTTAGAAAATAGAAAAGACCAGGTAGAAAAGAAGTCTTAATAATTTTGAGTATAGAATCCCTAGAAAATGGATATGCTGCAATTTATATAACCACTTATCTGTTGTTGGTCATTTAGGTTGTTTCTGTTTTTTCACTATTATGATGCTGCTGTGAATATCATTGTGCCGAAAAGGTTTTTTCTACATTTAGAATTTCGTTAAGATTGATGTCCACAAGTGTTAAAGGATATGAAGTTTGTCCCCCCAAAGTAACATTTTTTCTCATTATAAAATAGTACATGATTATTGCGCACACTGGGGGAAGGGGGGTGGACTTTCTTTTTATTTCCAGAAGCTGCCTTCAAGTTCTTTCGTGCCTCAGGGCCTTTGCACTAACATCTTTCAGACGTAGCTGCCACCTCCTCAGAGAGGTTTTCCTTGACCTGAAATTCAGAGGCACCAGTCAACTCTGTCTATCAAATTATTCTATTTAAAATTTCTTGGAATGATCAGCTTCTGAATTTTTTCTTGCTTATTTGGCTATTTTCTGTCTCTCCACGAGGCAACAAGAACCTATAGGGTCTGTCTTATGCAAAATCATAGCCTCAGCACCTGGCACTGTGCCTAGCATATAGTAGCTGCTTCATAAACGTTTGCAGAATGAATGACCTTTGGGTCACAGGTCCACCGGCGACTCACCAGGGGTTTGTGCCCCTTCCTTCTTTCCTTCTCAGTGGAGTTTGAAGCACTTACGGGTGTCAAGGAAGCAAGTCTTATCGCCCCTTTCCACCTTCTATGAGTTTTCTTTGGCCACTCAGAAGCTGACTCACTGTGGCTATAGGAGAAATAATACTGGATTTTCAGAATTTCACCCAGTGAAAAAGAAATGTAGAATATGAAGACTTGTTCAAGGTATTAGGTTGGTGCGAGTTTACTGACAAACTCAGTCAGTGTATGCTTTAAGATTGATTAAAAGTTTATTTGTAATTTTAATTAAAGGTTACCTAGTATTTTCCAGCAAGGTTTGGAGCTGGGGTCATTAATAAACAGGCTTTGTCTTTATTGATGCTTTGGTCAACACCTTTCCAGGTGTGCAGAATGATTTTTGGTCCAATTACACTAAAAATAAGAATTCTGAATTCAGCTATGACTATTTATGCTGTACTCAGTCTGTTCAAAGATAAATACTAAATGAGGTAAAGACTCAATTTTAACTGCTTAATAAATCTTTAAGTAGTATAATGGTATAATATTTACTAAAAGTGGCAAATATTGATGAGTGGTAAAGTAAATATTACTTAGATTAGCAGTATAGCTAGGCAGTCATGAGTTGAATAAAACAGACGGTGACTGCAGAAAGATTGAAGAGTACACAAGAAGACATTTAATAAACCTCCAACCTGAAAATTGACATCCATTGATTTTTTTATTAAAAATATATTTAGAGGGTTGGGTTTCATCCCTGGTTTTCTTTATCAGAAGGAGGACTTCAGGAAGGTTGTAGTGAAAATATCAATTTCCTTTCAAAATCCTCTAAGTGATAGTATCAGATAGGATAACTCTAATTTAGTACTTGTATAAAGTTTATAAAGTTATGTGACTCTCTTATACCCATATCTGGGGTCCCTTAATAGAAACCTTGTTTCCTTATTCAAAGTGTTCAGAGGAGTTTAGTACTAGGACTATTTTAAGAAATAACTCGGCTGAACATTGGAAAGTCAAATTGACTGCTGCTGTCATCAAAGATGAAGCTTGGCTGAAATCTCAGCATTTTGTTTGCCTTGAGATTTCATGAATTATGCCCACACTTGGCATAGTATCACAAACACACTAAGCATGCAAGAATACTTGTTGAATGAATAAAAGGTTTTATATCCACTCTGTATTGACGTCTGGCATATGGAATCATGCCATATTTTAAGGTTTTCATTTTGTAAACCGTTGCCATCCAGATTCTTCTCCGCCAGAGCCCTGTATTTGGTTGTGCTGGTCTACTTACTGCTTCTGAGGCATTATGCACACTCCCCCTCTGCTCCTTTGATCACACTGGACGCTCTTCCTATTTTCTTCTCTCTGTTTGCCTCAGTCTTATCCCCCTTCCAACATGGTAGGTCAAGCCTGAGATCTAATGAAACCCTCCTCAGCCCACAGTGATTTATACTCTTTATCCCTCCTTTGTTGCTTTTTCATTCCCTCACTGGCCTCCTTTTATGAATCAGAAGAATCACGTACCACCAATGTCAATCCAGCTTCTAATAATCCAGGAACACCTGCAAAGACTGGCTGTATTAATGTCCTAGGGAGGCTATAACAATGTACCACCACAAACCGGGCTTGTGGGATGGGAGCCCAGTTTGGGGTGGGAGGGGGCTTAACCAGAAGCAATTTATTGTCTCATAGCTCTGGAGACTGGAAGTCAGATCAAGGTGTTGGCAGGGTTGGTTCCTTCTGAGGGTTGTGAGGGGGAATCTGTTCTGTGTCTCACTCCTTACTTCTGGTGCTGGCCATCTCTGGCATTCCTTGGCTTGTGGAGAGATGGTCACCGCACTGGCTGTCTTCATCTTCACAGGGTGTTCTCCCTCCCTGTGTGCATGTTTGTCTCTGTGTCCAAATTTCCTCTTTTTAAACAGACACCAGTCATATTGGCCTAGGGCCCAATCTAATGACCTCATTTTCCAATTAGGTCTGTAAAGACTCTATTTTCCAATTAGGCCTGTAAAGACCCTAATTAGGTCGCATTTGAACTACTGGAGGTTAGGATTTCAGTATATCTTTTTTGGGAGTAGACAATTTGACCCATGACAGTGGCCCATGCAAGAAGGAGCTTCATTGCAAATTTATCCTGGTCCATCAAAGCCTTTGTTCTTGTGGTTTTTGGTTTGGGGCTCAAAGGTGAAACACTGTAGGTTTCTCTCTCTATGGCTCCTTCGTACCTATTGCCTGTGCTGCCCTGACAATGGTTTCATGTTTCAGCTGCTTTAGAGGATGAAAACCTACAGCATTAGGATGACCTTCCTGGGGCCCCAAAAGTGATTTTGCGTGCAAAATATTAATTTTATTTACAAAGATTACATTATTTATCATTAAAAATCTTTAATTGTAAAGATTTTAAGATGTTATAAGGTAACATCTTAGTTTTATTTATGAAGATTAACCACTATTAGTTGTTAGGCCATAGAATATAAATGCTAAGAGTGTGGGCTCTAGACAGCCCAGATTCAAATCCCTGCTCTGCCTCTTACTAGATGTGCAACCTCAGGCAAACTTCGTAAACTCCCTGTGCCTCAGTATCTCCATCTATGCAATGGAGATAATGCAAGCCCTAGCTTCATAAAACCGTTGTGCAGATTAAAAGATTGAGTACACATAAAGCTCATAGCACAATGTCTGGCACAGTGCTCAACAAACGGTAGCTACTGGCATACGCACCTTCTATATGTCCCTGCCTGTGCTCAGTGCTAGGTCTACAGAGGTGAAGACACAGTTTCTGTCCTTCCAGAGCTTGAATTATCAAGAATTTATAAATATATGGATTAAAAAACACTACAAAGTCCAGGCGCGGTGGCTCACGCCTACAATCCCAGCACTCAGAGAGGCCGAGGCAGTTGGATTGCTTGAGCTCTGGAGTTTGAGACCAGCCTGGTCAACATGGTGAAACCCTGTCGCTACAAAAAATATTTAAAAATTAGCTGGATATGGTGGTGCACACCTGTAGTCTCAGCTACTTGGGAGGCTGAGGCAGGAGGGTTGCTTGAGCCTGGGAAGCAGAGATTGCAGTGAGTTGAGATCGCACCACTGCACTCCAGCCTGGGTGACAGAGTGAGAGCCTGTCTCAGAAAACAGAACTAAACAACAACAACAACAACAACTACAAAAGCCAGAGCCATGTCAGGGAAGCACACAGAATGAAAACCTGCCTGTGTGGTCTACCAAGTGAGGTGGAGGCAAGGGTACATCACTCTTTCTAGAAACTTGGCAATGAAGAAAGAGAGATATGACTTCATTATTGGAAGAGGAAGAGTAGAGAAAGAATTCTTAAATCTATAATTTTCATTTAACATAGGGTCTGTATCTTTATATATTTATAGTCCCCCAAATATTAACAGGTTGAATTCAACATGGGTTAAATAGGTTGGGAATTGGGAATGCAATTTTTCACAAAACTGCCTTCCATAGCAAATGGAGAAACCCCACCAAAACCTACTTAACCTACATTGTATCTGTGGGGCAAGATAGTGCCAGTCTTACTGTAGAATCTCCCTCAGTGTGAAGCTCACTGGTATGTAGAATCTGTCACCAGAGAAGACCCATTACTTATTTCCATAAGGATCCTTAAGAGTATCATTATGGGGAATACCAAGCACAAACAGAACCCTTTACAGGTAGACTCATTCACTGTGCTGAACTCAATGTCATATAGAGTCTGCCAACATTTTCCTATAAGAAAATAACCTCTCAGCATTCCAACCAGCTGTTGACTGGAGCACATCTCCAACTCCTAGGTTCCAAGTGTTGCTTCCATGGACTTGTGTCCCTGGTGGGATTGTGCCTTCACAATGAGGAAGAGGAATGTAATTGCCCAACAGGTTCTTCTTGCCCATTGCACAGACAAAACCAATTCGCTGACACCATGGTAGTGCAGTAGAGAAAGAGTTTAATTAATGTGGAGCTAGCCAACTGGAAAGACTGGAGTTATTACTCAAATCAGTCTCTCTGAGAACTCAGAGGCTAGGGTTTTTATGGACAATTTGATGGGCAGGGGGCTAGAGAATGGGTGCTGCTGACTGGTTGGGGATGAAATCATACAGGTGTGGAAAATGGTCTTTATGCACTGAGTCTGCCTCTGGGTGAGGGCCACAGAACTTGTTGAGTCATGAATCACTGGTCCAAATGGGGTCAGCTGGTTGCCAGAATGCAAAAGTCTGAAAACCATCTCAAAGACCAACCTTAGGTCCTACAACAGTGATATTACCTATAGGAGCAACTGGGGAAGTCACAGATTTTGTGACCTCTGGCTGCAGGACTTCTGAGCAGTAAGGGATGATAGAAATCATGCCTACATTTTAGTAGAATTCAGACTCTTCCCACAGTTAGCTTTGCAAAGGTAGCTTCAGTCTCTGAACGAGGAGGGGATTAGTTTTTCTGTTTTTTTTTTCTTTTTTTGAGACGGAGTCTTACTCTGTCACCCAGGCTGGAGTGCAGTGGTGCAATCTCGGCTCACTGCAACCTCTGCCTCCCGGGTTCAAGCGATTCTCCTGCCTCAACCTCCTGAGTAGCTGGGATCACAGGCACCCGCCATTATGCTCCACTAATTTTTGTATTTTTTAGTAGAGACGGGGTTTCACCATAAAGGCCAGGCTGGTCTCAAACTCCTGACCTCAGGTGATCCACTTGCATCAGCCTCTCAAAGTGCTGGGATTACAAGCATGAGCCACCACACCTGGCCAAGGGAATTAGTTTTATGGAAGGACTATTAGCATCCTTGCTTCAAAGTTAAACTATAAACAAAATTCCTCCCATGGTTAGCCTGGCTTATGCCCAGGAATGAGCAAGGATAGCCAGCCTGTGAAGCAAGATGGAGTCAGCCATGCTAGATTCCTCTGACTGTCACAATCTTTGCAAAAGTAGTTTTAGGAATGAAAGTGCAACATGAGAAGACAAGAGGATGACGGAAGCAGGATTGATGTGTGTGTGTGTGTGTGTGTGTGTGTGTGTGTATATACATATATATATATATATATGTATATATATACACATACACATTTTATTTTAGACAGAGCCTTGCTTTTGTTGCCCAGGCTGCAGTGCAATGGCATGATCTTGGCTCACTGCAACTTCTCCTCCCTGGTTCAAGTGACTCTCCTGTCTCAGCCTCCCGAGTACCGAGTAGCTGGGATTACAGGCACGCGCCACGATGCCCGGCGAATTTTTTGTATTTTTTTTGAGATGGAGTCTCACTCTGTCACCCAGGTTGGAGTGCAGTGGTGCGATCTCGGCTCACTGCAAGCTCCACCTCCTGGGTTCAGGCCATTTTCCTGCCTCAGCCTCCCGAGTAGCTGGGACTACAGGCACCCACCACCACACCTGGCCAGTTTTTTTGTATTTTTAGTAGAGACGGGGTTTCACCACATTAGCCAGGATGGTCTCAATCTCCTGACCTTGTGATCCGCCCGCCTTGGCCTCCCAAAGTGCTGGGATTTCAGGCGTGAGCCACTGCGCCTGGCCCAAATTTTTTGTATTTTTAGTAGAGACGGAGTTTCACCATGTTGGCAGGCTGGTCTTGAACTCCTGATCTCAGGTGATCTACTGGCCTCGGCCTCCCAAAGTGCTGAGACTACAGACGTGAGTCACTGTGCCCAGCTTGATGTATATATTTTTAAATTATTATTATTGTTATTGTTTGAGACAGAATCTTACTATGTTGCCCAGGATGGTCTTGAACTCCTGACCACAAGTGATATTCCTGCCTCAGCCTCCCAAAGTACTAGGTCTCCCTCTCTTGCTCAGGCTGACATGCAGTGGCACGATCATAGCTCAGTGCAGCCTCACACTCTTGGGTTCTGGCAATCCTCCCACCTCAGCCTTCCAAATAGCTGAGACTACAGGCATGTGTCACCAGACTGGTTATTTTTAAAAATTTTTTGTAGAGACAGGGTCTTGCTATGTTGCTTAGGCTGGTCTTAAACTCCTGGGCTCAAGACATCTTCCCACCATGGCTTTCTCAAAGTGCTGGGATTACAGGCATGAGCCACTGCAACCAGTCAGGACTGACAAGGTTTGAAAATTTTATGTGCTTTGCACTTTGACTCTCATGATAATCTGGAGAAGTGGTTCTTATTTTACCATTTTTAACAACGAAGAAACTGAGGCATGGCTGCAAAATATTGGCCAATTGTAGATCCACTTACCAAAATAATAATACCTTATAATGAAAGCATTACAATTAGTGGTGTAAGGGAGCCAGCTCAATGCAGCTCACAAGACCTGACTGTGGTATCAGTTCCCAATCTGCATCTGGTGACATCATGTTGACAGCTTGAAATTGGCCACCATGAGAGCATTTACACCATGGAAATAGACACGTTACAAATGCTTTTTCTTCATAGAACCAATTGTTAAATGTCTGCTGGCACACTATTCGCTACCATCTAAATGCGGGGTGCAATGTTAATTAAATCTAATTGCTTATTGAAGAGATGGTGGCAACCCAGTTGGAGGCAGAGGGGCAGTGGGGATGGTGCAGAATTCCAATGGCCTGGGTTAGACAATGCTATCTAAGTCCGTCATTTGTAACTGCTAGGGGTGTAATTTCCTCTTTCATCTCCACTTCCTTCCCACTTTCCCCACATGCAGCTCAAGCTTATGGTGTGAGATGTGTGACTTCCTTAAGATAGGATCGAGAAAGTAGGCTGTTTGGGAAGCAGACTGGTGATCTGTTCTATGGAGAAGCTAAAGGGGTAGCCTGCTTAGAGACTGACAGCCATGGTCTCCATTAGAAAGGACTGAGTGGGACCTTTGTCCCAGGAAGAGACTAAACAAGGAATTAATATGTTCTCTCCATTTGGGGTCTAGACCTACAAAGGTTATTTATTTATTTATTATACCCAATTCTCTTACAAAAAGAGAAACTTCAGTCTCTCTTCTGCTGGATTCTGGATGCTGAAGAGTCTGTTGTTTTCTAGAAGGTGAGGAGGTGGATGATGATTTGTTAAGAGCCTTCTGTCCTCGCCAGCCCCGCTGCCTTGCTCTAGTCTAAACCTAGGAGTTCAGGTCAGACAGAAACAGCTTCAAGACTTATCTGTCCAGCAGCTCTGAGGGCAGAGAGCAGTCTGAATTGAGTTAGGAGGAAGCTGTGGGTTGCCATCACCAACAGTTTTCAGGTCTTTTGCAAAAGACTTAACTCTACCGTGCTTTCCAAAGACTTTAGTGTACTGTACATATTGTAACTTATGCAATAGCCTCTTCTTATGATCACTATTAACACAAGTGACTTCACTTATGGCCTTTTCTCTGGGCATGTGTGCTATTTATTGCTTTTTAATTGGGGAATTAGGATATGCTTTAAAATGCCAAGATTAAAAATTGGGGAAAGATATAGAGAAAATTGTCAGCAATGGACACTTATGGGATATTGGTCTAGAAATTCAATATGTTTTATATATTTGTACATTTCTAGATACTGTCAATATTATCTTTTCCCTTTCCTTTATTTCCTGGGTTAGTCATTTTAATACTGCAGCTAGTGTCTGGGAAGCCACCATTCAAAATAAAAGCTAAGATCTTTAAAATAATTTACATTTAACTACTTGGTTCCCTCACTCCTGCCTCATCCTCTGTCCACCCATGATCATCTTCCTCCTGAATTCCATGTTCCTCATACCCTTGCTTTCCTTTTTATAGAGTTTTATTGCACATATTCCTAAAAAGTGTATACTTTTATTGTAGTTATTCTAAATGTTGTGAAAAAGGTGTGGATAATATTGTATGTAATCTTTTGGCACTTTAGTTTTTAGTTACCATTTATTAAACTAATGAGATTTATCCAATTGTTTGGTTCATTCATTTTGCCTGCCATCTAAATGTTTTACCAAAAGTCTTTTGTACATTTTAATAACAAATAGTTTAGATTTTAAAAAGTAATGTAATTGTCGGAAGGAATATCACGTGTATTAGCAAATTTAAAAATAAGATTTGTATATTGCTTTGGTGGGAAGTAATATTGCCCCTCTCCTGTTAATGCCCAAATTTTCAAATCCTGAATTTTTGATGCCCAGTTGTATTAGTCTATTCTCATGCTGCTAGGAAGAAATATCCAAGACTGGGTAATTTATAAAGGAAAGAGGTTTAATTGACTCACAGTTCCACATGGCTGGGAAGGCCTCAGGAAATTTACAATCATGGCAGAAGGGGAAGCAAACATGTCCTTCTTCACATGGTTGCAAGAGAAAGAAATGCTGAGCGAAGTGGGGAAAAGCCCCTTATAAAACCATCAGATCTAATGAGAACTCACTCACTATCAGAAGAACAGCATGGGGGAACCGCTCCCATGATCTGATCCCTTCCCATGAGGTCCCTCCCACAACACGTGGGGATTACAATCTGGATTACAATTCAAGATGAGATTTGGGTAGGGAAACAGAGCCAGACCATATCACCTGTGTTAACACTTTAATGCGCTCCCTTTCCTCTTTGCTTTCTAATCAAGAAGTCAAGCTTAATGTAGGTATTTATGTAAAGTGTAACATACCAGAAATAACTTGAAGGGTAGTATAACAACATTCTGCATGATTTGTATAAAGTTTACATTTTAAAGCTACCAAGGAACCTTTCAACTTTCTATTTGATTATACTTTGCAAAACATTATACAGCTTAGAACAACTGAGCACCCAGTATTTTCTCTCACCTTAATCTACCATGGTCCTCCAACTCCCAACTAAAACTGTACTAATACATTAGGTCATTAAAATTTCTAAATCATCTTAACTCTTTTATTTGCCATTTTAAATATTTGTGTTTAGTAAGGTATACACATCTTCATTTGTAATTCAAAACGGCATTTTACAGAGTGCTTAAGCAAATCAGTGCTGAAAAAAATTTTCCTTATATCTATGGTAACCTGTGGAGAACTGTGTGAAAGGACTCTCTGGGGCCTCTAGGCTTTCCCAGAAACCCAGTTACTTTAGGTTGGCTGTCCTCGTCACCTCTGCCCAGGAAAGGCCCGAGGCCTGACTAGGCCCCCAAGGAGCCAGCCCCCTCCCGAGGCACCTCCCTCCCAAGGAGACACATCCACGTGGCATGGAAACTTTTCGGTAAACACTCAAAAGTGAGAGCTGGTTCCCTTACCTTGGAGGGGACATTCAGGGATGGTAAGAGATAAGACGTTTCTAGGAAGAAAAGAAAGGGGAAGTGAGAAGATAAAAGTCTTCACATAAGAGGCAAATGAGAAAAGCATTTTCTGCCAAATTGTGAAAAGTGAAAGAAATGAAAGCAAGCTTGCTTTGGAGACAGAAATAAACACTAGGCAAAAAGAAACAACTTTTCCATAAAGCGTTTTGTAACAGTTAGGAAAAACTCAAAGGTAATCCATGATATTGGTCCAGGGATGCCTAGAACAAGGTCTGCTTAGGTGACTGGAAAAGACACTTGCCCCTGTGAAGAAATTTCAGAGGTACCAGGAAAGTTCCCTGACCCCCAAATGCCTCAACTGTTTGGTTCATGACCCGCACAAAGGCCTGAGGCTGAGAGGCTTGTGGGATAGAGACCCAGCTTGCTCTCCACTAGTTAACCTGTGTCCTACGGCTGCTTTCAGCAGGAGGAGGGGGGACACCTGTGTCAAGTGCTGTGTGTGCCCAGATGAGGCCTCTTTCTAATCTCTGCAAAGCTCTCCAATTCCAGAAAGACAATTCATAAAGAATGGGTCATCCCACCCATTTATTCTGGGCAGAACCACGAGACCAGGTTGCTGAAGGGGATCTTGAATCTACTCTGCAATTTTGCCCAGGGTGGGCCTGGAGCAGAGAAATGAGGAGAGAAGTTAAGCAATGGAAGCAAGAGCAGCTGGGGCCTGCCAGGACTGAGCTGAGGATGTTCATGATTGGCTTCCATTTGGAACTCAGCAAATGACTGAGGCTGCCCATGGCTTACCATTGAGAGAAGGCCACACCAAGGCCTGGGAACAGCCAGCTATGGGCAGATCAGGCCAGCACCTCCTAAACCAGCCTGTACCTCCACTTCTCTGTGCTGATTTTCCTTCTACTCTCTCTAATGCTTATTAAAGTTTCCCCAAGACTCTACCAGTTCCACTTATCAGAGCAACAGTGGGTATTGGGTCATGGTGGAGGCAAGGGGACACAGGATGAATTGAGGCTTGTAGGTACTGCTGGCTTTCCCTACTTGCAGAAGTTCCTCTGGAAATCATCATTATCATTATTATTTTTGTTCTTTTTTTTTTTTTTTTTTTGGAGAAAGGGTTTTGCTCTGTAGCCCAGGCTGGAGTGCAGTGCTGCAAACATGGCTCACTGCAGGCTTGACCTTCTGGGCTCAAGGGATCCTCCTGCCTTAGCCTCCCAAGTAGCTGGGACCACAGTTGTCAGCCACTATACCTGGCTAATTTCTTTGATTTTTGTAGACGGGGTCTTGCCGTATTGCTCAGGCTGGCCTCCATCTCCTGGGCTCAGGCAATCCTCCTGAGGCCTTGTCCTCCCAAAGTGCTGGGATTACAGGCACTTTTTATTAAGGGAGAGGCTATTTCAGCTCTCTTTTCAGACTGGAGAATGCCTTTTTCAGGGCTTTTTGATGGTGCTGTGCCACTGAATACTTCCAACTTGGAATAATCGTTGAGTGATGACTTTCCTCAAAGGTTTAAGAAAAACTACATTAAAATAAATAAGCAGGCCATGTGCAGTGGCTCATGCCTATAAATCCCATCACTTTGGGAAGCCAAGGTGGGAGGATCGCTTGAGCCCAGGAGTTCAAGACCAGCCTGGGCAAAAAAGCAAGACTTTTTCTCCTCACAAAATTTAAAAATTAGCCAGATGTGGTGGCACTCACCTATAGTACTAGCTACCTGGGAGGCTGAGGCAGGAAGATGGCTTGAACCCAGGAGTTCAAGGCTGCAGTGAGCTGTGATCATGACACTGCACTGCAGCCTGGGCAACGGAGCAAGACCCCGCCTCAAACAAAACAAACAAAACAACAAAAAAAACAAAAACTGGTTGGGAATGCCTACAATATTAGAAATACAGGAGTTATTATTTCTAGGTTCCTGGGTTGTAAGGCTTTCAATTTTTTTTCTACATGCTTTTCTTCATTTTCTAAAATGTAAATTAAAGATGTTTCCAATTCACTTTTCTGTCAGATTAAAACCCCAAGTTTTGCCTTTAAGGTTTCATTTCTAGAAGTGGTTCAGAATATAATGCTGAAGTTAGCTCAGTTACAGTAACTGGGGATTTCCTCTAGTCTCTGGCTGTTCATGTGGAAGTTGTGTTGTCATTTCTTTCCTTTTCTTTTCTTTTCTTAAGCCATCACAGTGACACCTGGCTATCTTGGCAAAGAAGAATAACAGGACAACTATTGTCTATCAAGAATTTTAGCCAGGATTTCCCCAGTCTGCTCCTCATTTTTGTGATTTTGTTGGTTCCTTTGATGAGAACTTTTTCTTGAGGTTTTAGGCAGACTTAATTTAAAGCATTGATCTCATCACACTTTTTTAGCTTCTGGTTAAAAATAGAACATCTCACGTAATTTCCAAGGAAAATCAGTTCTGTCAAATCTCATTGCTAATTCATAAAGGGCATTTGACTGTTCAAATAGAAGAGTATGGGAATCCAATGGATATTTCCGAAGTTACCATTTTTTAAAGGAATTTAACACCCCATCTTGGTCAGCCATGTGGATCTGAATCAGTTAAATTTAATCCAATGGAGATAAATTTGATTTTGCATGAATTAGAGCAGCATTTGCAAAAAAGCTCTTGACAGAATGTTTTATTCATATTCAGTACCAGCATCTTTTGCTTTTCTTTTAAGGTTGGTAAGAAAAGGATTTCAATCACACATTGTAGGCAAATGTCTTATGTGCTTTAATGTGTAAGGAGCATAAGTTGTTATTATGATAATGTTAATAAGACTTTTCATGTAGTACATTTTGGTTGACATTTAATCCCAATTGAGAAAAACCTAAAATTAATTTTTGTAAGAAACAAGACCAGAGTGGCTCATCAGGCTTAGAAGTGGGACTAATGGTACTATAATCAGACTGATGAGCTGTTAAATATCTGATGTGAAAACCATATCATGAAATGATAGGAAAGAATCTGCACAAAAGTCCTTTTGAATTTGCTCCTTGTCCTTTATTTTGCAGTTTGTTCAAAAGGCTTATTACCTCGGCTTCAAAACACAGATCCAAGATACTTACCAGCTGGTAACTTTTATTTGTTAATCAACTCAGCTTTCCTCAGAAAGATCCAAAGGGAGGGGAAAAATCATTTTTTTTTTACCACCTATTCGTCCAGGGTAAGATATTGCTGGTTCTATTTGGGTAAATGGATGAGCCACAAGCCTGGTTGCCCAGGACAATGATGCTAAATTGGGGGGCTGAAGATCTCGCTGACTTGGATGATGTACAATTAATTTTCAAGTCTGTTTTTGGTTAAATTGTTGCTTATATGGGATGTGGCACAGAGACAGGGCAAAAATGGGATTGTGAATCTTGGCAGGGTAGGATAGGTTTGAGAATTAATTTTTCACTTAGGTTAAATTCCTCCCATCATCCCTGGGCCGGTAAAGCCTGTGCCTGTGTCCTTGTCAGCGCATTTAGTCCTCAGGATCTGTACGGGTTCCACGGAGATCATGCAGGACATAAAACGCTAATTCAATTTTTGCTTTTCTTGCTTAAGAGGCGGAAGTTAGAGCTAGGTATTTTATGGAAGGATTTCTTGAAATTCTATGAGAGACGATCTAAAAATCTCTAAGACTATCCAAACCCAGGAAAAGTTGGTCAATGTCATCAATTTGATGACACTGATGAGGTCCACAGCCATGTACTCACTGCTCCAGTCTTTGTTTAAGAACAAGGTATTGAAGTAAAGTGTTGTATCCTCAGATTTAAGTTGTAAAAGGATACTGAGGAAGAAAAAATCAAGAAACTCAACTTCATTAAAAAAAATTGTTTGCTCTGTGAAAGACACTGTCAAGAGAATAAAAAGATAAGCCATACACAGGGAGAAAATATTTGCAAAACACATATCTGTTAAAGGACTGTTATCCAAACTATACAAAGAACTCTTAAAACTCAACAAAAAGAAAACAAACAATTTGATTAAAAAATAGGTTCAGACCTAAACAGACACCTCATCAAAGAAGTATACAGATGACAAACATAGGAAAAGAAACTCCACATCATGTGTCATTAGGAAATTACAAACTAAAACGACTATGAGATATCAACACACACCTGTTAGAATGGCCAAAATCCAGAACACTGACAACACCAAACGATGGCAAGGATGTGGAGCAAAAGGAACTCTTGTACACTGCTGGTGGGAATGCAAAACGGTCTAGCCACTTTGTAAGACATTTTGGCAGCTTCTTACAAAAGTAAATCTTCTCTTACCGTACAACCCAGCAATCATGCTGTTTGGTATTTACCCAAAGAAATGAAAAACTTACGTCTCCATAAAAACTTGCAGATAAATATTTATAGCAATCTTATTCATAATTGCCAAAACTAGGAAACAACCAACATGTCCTTCAGCTGATAAATGAATAAATAAATTGTGGTACATGCAGACAATGACATGTTATTTAGTACCAAAAAGAACTGAGCTGTCAGGCCATAAAAAGACACGGAAGAAACTTAAATGCATATTACTAAGTAAAAGAAGCCAATATGAACAGACAACACACTGTACGATTAACTATATGACGTTCTGGAAAAGGCAAAACTATGTAGACAGTAAAAAGATCAGTGGTTGCCAGGGGTTAGGTAGGAAGAATGGAGGAATTAACTGGCAGAGAACAGAGCATTTTTAGGGCAGTGAAATGCCTCTGTATGATACTATGATGGTGAATACATGTCATTACGCATTTTCTCAAACCCGTAGAATGTACAACACCAGGAGTGAAACCTAATGTGAACTGTAGACTCTGGCCGGGCGCGGTGGCTCACGCCTGTAATCCCAGCACTTTGGGAGGCCGAGGCGGGTGGATCATGAGGTCAGGAGTTCGAGACCAGCCTGGCCAAGATGGTGAAACTCTGTCTCTACTAAAAATACAAAAATTAGCTGGGCGTGGGGGCACATGCCTGTAGTCCCAGCTACTTGGGAGGCTGAGGCAGAAGAATCGCTTGAACCCGGGAGGCAGAGGTTGCGGTGAGCCGAGATCATGACATTGCACTCCAGTCTGGGTGACAAGAGCAAAACTCCATCAAAAAACAAACAAAAACAAAAACAACAACAAAAAAAACCCTATAGACTTTGGTGATGATTTGATGATGATTTGTCAATGTAGATTCATCAGCTTTAATAAATGTACCATTCTGGTGGGGAAATGTTGATAAGGGGAGAGGCTCTGCAAGTGTGGGGAAGAGGGTATGTGGGAAATCTCTGTATGAAAAAAAAAAAAAGGATACTGAGGAGTAGGGTAACAAGGTACAAAGCTATCTAAACTATCCAGGCTCAATGTTTGGATGTGGAATTTGAGGCTGAAGATGGTGGAAGCAGTAGGTAGGGATCAGAGGTGGACTCAGACAAGAAGCAGGGTTGTCAAGGGAGTATAAACATAGGAAAGTCTAACTCAGAGGAGAATTTTTTGTATGTTTGTACATGCAAAATGTACATGCTGTAAACATCCAATGATGCTCGTGGCATGATAACTGATATTGCTCTTATTTGGGGAGTGGGAGAAAGGCATAGTTTAATTATATGTAATTAAACCAGGTAATTTCCATTCTCCTCTGCCCCCACCTTCCCAGCATAAAGGGCACAATTTAACCCAGAATTTTTATTTTATTTTATTCTATTCTATTAAATTAATTAATTAATTTTTTGAAACAGGGTCCTGCAGTGTTGCCAAGGCTGGAGTGCAGTGGTGCCTTCTCAGCTCACTACAACCTCCATCTCCTGGGCTCAAGCAATCCTCCTGCCTCAGCATTCTGAGTAGCTGGGACTACAAGCGTGCGTCACCATGCCCAGCTAGTTTTTTGTATGTTTTGTAGAGATGGGGTTTCACCATGTTGCCCAGGCTGGTCTTGAACTCCTGAGCTCAAGTGACCTGCCCACCTTGGCCTCCCAAAGTGCTGGGATTACAGTCGTGAGCCACCGTGCCCCATCTGAATGCAGAATTTTGAAAAGTGATTTAATGCACTGAAAATAATATCAACATCCATTGGCTGGACAGTGGGACCCCTGAGAATATTGCTCAGTCACCCACAGTCACTGGGGGCTAGAGTCGGAGATTTATCTCGTTCTCGTCACCTTGAACCTCTCTAAATGCTCCATGCTGGTGCATTTCTTAGCAAGAAACCTGCTGCATCCTAAGCTTCTCCAGCCTCCTGGAAGGGGAATCCCTCCCGTGAATACAGCCCAATTGCCCCCACTCCCCCCGCCCCCAGACCCACCTCCTCATCTGGGTTCTCACTTAGCCTGCTAGGTTGGTAAGCTCAAGAGGCTGCCTCATTCTACAAGGTGGAATTTTCACCTTGAAAGTCCTTCATTTTCTAGAGGCTCGTTCAAGACAGAGATGAAGAATCCCAGCAAAGATGCGGGTGTCTCTGGTTCTGACCTCACTGGCTGACCTTGAGTCTTTCACCACTCCCAGCTCCCTGCCAACCTACCAGGACAATCTTTCACACTGCCCTTCTGGCCCCCAACTCATACCACAACCTGAAGGGCAGGTCAGCAAAGGAACTTTACAATCATCCCTGCAAAAATAGGGGAGAGGAGCTGGTAGACAAGTCCACAGGGATGGCCTTCAGCAGAGACCGGAAGCTCTGGGTAGAGAATCTGAGACAATCTCGTCTGGTCAAACCCTCCTCCCCATGCATGGAGTATAATGACTCAATGTGGATTTTTAAAAATGTTTTAGGTTCCGGTGTGGTGGCTCATGCCTATAATCCCAGTACTTTGGGAGGCTGGGGCAGGAGGATTCTTTCAGCACAGGAGTTCGAGACCGTCTTTGGCAACATGGTGAGACCCTTTCTCTACAAAACGTTAAAATAAAATAAAGTAAAAATAAAAATGTTTTTGGCCAGGAGTTGTGGCTCACACCTGTAATCCAACAATTTGGGAGGCCAGAGCAGGGATCATTTGAGGCCAGGAGTTTGAGACCTCCTTGAGCAACATAGGGAGACTCTGTCTTTAGTTTAAAGAAATGTTTTAAAAACACTTAAAGAAAATAAGCCTAGGTGTGGTGGCTCATGCCTGTAGTCCCAGCACTCTGGGAGGCCAATGTGGGAGGATTGCTTGAGCCTAGGAGTTCTAGACCAGCCTGGGCAACATGGTGAGGCCCCTTCTCTACAAAAAATACAAAAATTTGGCTGGGCTCAGTAGCTCATGCCTGTAATCCCAGTACTTTGGGAGGCCGAGGTGGGCGGATCCTTTGAGCCCAGGAAGTCGAGACTGCAGTGAGCTATGATTGAGCCACTGCATTCTAGCCTGGGTGACAGAGTGAGACTCTTTCTCAAAAAAAAAAAAAAAAGGAAAAAAAAAAGAAAAAAGAAAAAGAAAATAAATATAGGCATACCTTGTTTCATTGCACCTAACTTTATTG
Organism: Homo sapiens; assembly: GCF_000001405.40. Lineage (NCBI taxonomy): Eukaryota > Metazoa > Chordata > Mammalia > Primates > Hominidae > Homo > Homo sapiens. The sequence goes on along the minus strand of NC_000006.12, from coordinate 106,839,871 downwards.
CACTTTACAGAAACTGCATTTTTTACAGATTGAAGGTTTGTGGCAACCCTACATCAAGCAAGTCTATCAGAGTTAAAAAAAAAAAACTAACGCAATGTTAAACACATGTAAAATAATACATTTAGTCTGGGTGCAGTGGCTGATGCCTGGGATCTCAGCACTTTGGGAGGCTGAGGTGGGAGGATCGCTTGGGCAACATAGAAAGACCCCGTCACTATTTTTTTTTATTTTTAAATTAAAAAATACATTTATATACATATAACTCAAAGAAGATTAAACATTTTTTATTTGACAATGTCTCCTGTGTAATTTAACATACCAAATAAGACTAATATATCTCTCTTGGACTTCCAAGGGCCCGTCTGTTGAATGTCAAAAAACTAGTTTGAGGCTAAAAAAACACTTAATTTAGAATACGAAATTTGATCTTGGGAAGGCTGTTAAGTGTAACAAAAGTTTAAAACACTTGATTAAAATAGAATCACAGATCACTGTAAAATAAAAGTCATTCATTTAGCCAAGTGATTACTAGAAGACGTCAGAAAATAAAAACCATTACTCTTTGATAGAGGGAAGACTCAATTTTCCAAACAAAAGATCTAATAAAGACAGCAGGAAGCAAACTCTCTTCCTTTTTTTTTCTTTCAGTTTACTCAAAAGGTGAACCAAAGTCTTTTATTGTCTCTTGTTAATATTACATAAAAATCTTATTCAAAAAAGAAAACCAAATTCTACCTCTGTATCAGTTATATTATTAACACTAAACAATTTCATTAAAACCTTATAAACAAATCTATCATATCCATCTAATCACAATTAGCTTTACCACACAATGTAAGATTTCTATAAACATTCTATAACCACTTATAAAATATTTCCCCTCGCTTTCTTTCCCCTGACTTTCTGTATCCATTCAGTTTATCTAGCTCATTTTTCCATTCTTTTATTTCTTCTGAAACAACTTTCAAATAACTTGTAAACTACACAAAATCACTTTTTAAAATAAAAACATATTCTCATACTTCATAATTTCCTTGATAAAACATGTCGTACTTTCCTTATATACTCTGTATACAGAATTATTTCCATTTTTATCTCATTTTACTAGTCAGAATTTTAATTATTAGTAACCTTAATTCATAGTGAAAACCTAAGAAGTAAGCAAGTTTTAACTGTCAGTCACATAATAACAATTTATGAATACACATTTTATGATTTTTAGAAACATAGGCTTTCTAATGGAACAATTTTTAAATGTGGAACAGAACATATTTACTAACAGATTTAACTATCTTTTGTTTTTCCAAAATAAAAAGCCTGCTGGGGGCTGTGGCTCATGCCTATAATCCCAGCATTTTGGGAGACCAAGGCAGGCAGATGACTTGAGGTCAGGAGCTTGAGACCAGCCTGGCTAACACGGTGAAACCCCATCTCTACTAAAAATACAAAAATTAGCCGGGCATGGTGGCATGTGCCTGTATTCCCAGCTATTCGGGAGGCTGAGGCAGGAGAATTGCTTGAACACGGGAGGTGGAGGTTGCAGTGAGCTGAGATCATGCCACTGTACTCCAGCACTCCAGCCTGGGTGACAGAGCAAAACTCTGTCTCACACACACACACAAAAGCCAAAAATATGTAAGCTTAAACCCATATTTAGTAATTAATAGCTTAACATTAGATCTTATTGGAAATAACCTAGAAATGAATATCCATCATTTAATTTTGCTTGGCAAAATTCTAAGCATATAGCTACCAAAAAGATTTGAGAAACCTTTTTAAGCAAACATATTAGAAAACATGATTATTATTAAAAAGTTCATTTTAAAACTTTTATCTCATGTACATCTATTTTATTTTAACAATTTAAATTTTATTTAATTTTAACAATTATGTTTGGAAGATTTTATGAGACATTGGACAAATCTAGCCATTATCTCAAGTTAAATCCTCTATTAACCATTTTATATTACTGTATGTTAGGCAAGTATCACAAAAGCAGAAACTTTAAAGTTAAATACACATATATTTTGCTAATAGCACAGAAGACAGAGTTATTTTTATTAAAGCAAACATATGGCCGGGCCTGGTGTCTCACAACTGTAATGCCAGCACTTTGAGAGACCAAGATGGGAAGATTACTTGAGCCCAGGAGTTCAAGACCAGCCTGGGCAACATAGTGAGACCCTGTCTCCACACACACACACACACACACACAATAATAATTAAAAAAAAAAAAAGCCAGGTGGTGGTACATGCCTGCAGTCCCAGCTACTTGGGAGGCTGAGGTAGGAGGATCCCTTGAGCCTGGGAGGTCGAGGCTACAGTGAGCCATGATCGAGACACTGCACTCCAGCTTGGGTGACAGAGAAAGACTCTGTCTCAAAAAAATTAACAAACAAACCAATCCAACAATATTAAACTAGTCTTATAAATCAAAAGACTTATTCAAGTCTTATGAACTTGAAAAACATTTGGGCTTATTTATTTATTTAATGAATGAGTACTCATTTATCTTTAAGTTAATTGGAACCATGTAGACAATATACAAATATATATAGACATATATATACATGTAGACACATCATATAACATATATGTCTATATGTATGCATCTAAAGGCCAAAGAGATCAAGGAGTTGAATGCAAAAGAGAGTAAAGCTTTAGACTTGAGAGAAATCTGTACACTTAGAATTCTTGGGGATCCATCAGGAAAGACAGAGCTTCCTCTCAAAAAGAGGAGTCTGTGGCATGTTTGCTGTTTTTCTCAAGTGGTTCCAGGGCATCTTCTCTGACCACAATGGAATAAAACTAGAAATCAATAACAAGAGGAATTTTGGAAGCTGTACAAATACATGGAAATTAAACAATATGCTCCTGACTAACCGTGGGTCAATGAAGAAATTAAGAAGAAAATTGAAAAATGTTTTGAAACAAATGATAATGGAAACACAACTATCAAAACCTATGGGATACAGCAAAAGCATTACTAAGAGGGAATTTTAGAGCTATAAGTGCCTACAACAAAAAAGAAGAAAAACTTCAAATGAACAACCTAACAATGCATCTCAAAGAACTAGAAAAGCAAGAGAAACTAAACCCAAAATTAGTTGAAGAAAAGAAATAATAAAGATCAGAGCAGAAATAAATGAAATAGAAATGAAGAAAACAATATAAAAGATCAATGAAATGACAAGTTGGCTTTTTAAAAAGATAAACAAAATTGACATTTAGCCAGACTGAGCAAAAGAGAGGGAAGACCAAAATAAATAAAAGCAGAAATGAAAAAGGAGACACTAAAACTGATATTACAGAAATTCAAAGGATCATTAGTGGCTACTATGAGCAACTATATGCCAATAAATTGGAAAATCTAGAAGAAATGGGTAAATGCCTAGACACATACAACCTACCAAGACTGAACCATGAAGAAATTCAAAACCTGAACAGATCAAAAACAAGTAATGAGATTAAAATCATAACAAAAAGTCTTGCAGCAAAGCCTGTGACCTGATGGCCCCACTGCTGAATCCTACCAAACCTTTAAAGAATGAATACCAATCCTACCCAAACTCTTCTGAAAAATAGAGGAGGAGGAAATACTTCCAAACTCATTCTATGAGGCCAGTATTATCCTGATGCCAAAACCAGACAAAGACAAATCAAAAAAAGAAAACTACAGGCTGTTATCCCTGATGAATATTCATACAAAAATCTTCAACAAAACGCTAGCAAACCAAATTCAATAACATATTAAAAAGAACATTCATGATGACCAAGTGGGATTTATCCCTGGGAAGCAAGGATGGTTCAACATATGCAAATCAATCAATGTGGTACATCATATCAACAGAATGGAGGACAAAAACCACATGATCCTTTCAACTGATTCTGAAAAAGCGTTTGATAAAATTTAACATCTTCTTGATTAAAAAAAAACCCTAAAAAAATCTGAGTACAGAAAGAACATATCTCAATAGAAGCCATAAATGACAGACCCACAGCTAATTTCTTGCTGAATGGGGAAAAACTGAAAGCCTTTCCTTTAAGACCTGGAACACGACAAGGATGCCCACTGTCACCCACTGTTACTCAACATAGTACTGGAAGTCCTAGCTAGAGCAATCAGACAAAAGAAAGAAATAAAGGGCATCCAAATTGGAAAGGAAGAAGTCAAATTATCCTTGTTTGCAGATGATATAATCTTACATTTGGAAAAACCTAAGGACTCCACCAAAAAAACTATTAGAACTAATAAACAAATTCAGTAAAGTTGCAGGATACAAAATAAACATACAAAAATCCATAGCATTTCTCTATGCCAACAGTGAACAATCTGAAAAAAAATCAAGAAAAGAGTCTCATTTACAATACCTATAAATAAAATTAAATACCTAGGAATTAACTTAACCAAAGAAGTGAAAGACCTCTGCAATGAAAACAGTAAATCACTGATGAAAGAAATTGAAGAGGACACACAAAAAAGAAAAGATATTCCATGTTCATGGATTGGAAGAATCAATATTGTTAAAATGTCCATACCACCCAAAGCAATCTACAGATTGAATGCAATCCCTGTCAAAATACCAGTGACTTTCTTCACTGAAATAGAAAAAACAACCCTAAAATTTATTCTAAATTACAAACGCCCAGAAGAGCCAAAGCTATCCTGAGCAAAAAGAACAAAACTGGAGGAATCCCAGTACCTGACTTCAAATTATACCACAGAGCATAATAATCAAAACAAAATAGTCCTGGCATAAAAACAGAGACACAGGCCAATGGAACAGAATAGAGAACCCAAAAATAAATCCATACATCTACAGTGAACTGATTTTTGACAAAGTTTCCAAAAATATACATTGGGGGAAAGGACGGTCTCTTCAATAAATGACGTTGCAGCTGGGTGTGGTGGCTCATGCCTGTAATCTCAGCACTTTGGGAGGCTGAGGCGGGCAGATCACTTGAGGTCAGGAGTTCAAGACCAGACTGGCCAACATGGAAAAACCCCATCTGTACTGAAAATATAAAAATTAGCTAGGCAGGGGTGGTGCACGCCTGTAGTCCCAGCTACTTGGGAGGCTGAGGCAGGAGCATCATTTGAACCCGGGAGGCGGAGGTTGCAGACTCCATCTCAAAAAAAAAATGATGCTAGGAAAACTGGATATCTATATGCAGAAGAATGAAATTAGACCCCTGTCTCTCACTATATGCAAAAATTAAATCCAAATGGATTAAAGGCCTAGATCTAAGACCTCAAACCGTGAAACTATTAATACTAAAAGAAAACATTGGGGAAACCCTCTAGGATACTGGACTAGGCAAAGATTTATTGAGTAATTCCTCCAAAGCACAGATAACCAAACCAAAAATGAACAGATGGGATTACATCAAGTTAAAAAGCTTCTGCACAGCAAAGGAAACAATCAACAAAGTGAAGAGACAACCCACAGAATGAGAGAAAATATTTGCAAGTTCCTTGTCTGACAAGAGATTAATAACCAGAATATATAAGGAGCTCAAATAACTTAGAAAAAAATGTAATAATTTGATTAAAATGTACAAAAGATTTGAATAGATATTTCTCAAAAGAAGACATACAAATGGCAAGCAGGTATATGAAAAGGTGCTCAACATCATTGATTATCAGAGAAATGTAAATAAAAACTACAATTAAATATTATCTCACCCCAGTTAAAATTTACATTCCCACCAACGGTGTACAGTTTTTTTTCCCACATCCTCACCAACATTTGTTGGTGATACCCCATTCTCCATGATGTGATTATTGCGCCTTTCATGCCTGTATCAAAAAATCTCATGTACCCCATAAAGATATATATCTGCTGTGCACCCACAAAAACTAAAAATAAATAAAATAAAACACATAGAAATAAAGTAAAAAGTGAACGTTTCCATTCCCTTTCTTTTTCATTCACCCTTGTCTTATTCCCGGAGGGAAATACTGCTGGCAGTTGAAATGAGTCCTTTCAGGGTTTTTTCTACGTAATATGAATGAATAGCAATTAGGTCTTTTCATGCTAGATTGTTATAACCACAAAATGGAATCCAGAAGCTTCTTGGACAACCAGAATATGCCACTGAATTATTAATAGCAAAGCCTGTAGATGTTGAGGCTCCGTTCTTTTCATTTTTTTCTGTCACTTCTCTATTCTATCTGAAAATGTAAAGTGCTAACAAATATGTGTATAGCGAATCTTCACTTGCTCTGAAACTCACACGTATCAAAATTCATAGCATTTAATGATCTCCTTTCCTCCTCCACAATTCCATCTGTATCTGTGCAGCCCTCTGTTTAAATGAACTCTTAGCCAAGATCATCAATATAAAGCTCTGGGTTTCTAATTTCAGCCTGCTTTGTGTGTTAGATGTGTACTTCTGTACACTTAAAAAAAATCCTAATTATTGAAAACAAGCAAACAGGTAGTAATCGTTCCCATGCTCCAAATTCCCAAAACTTCTTGTGAAATAACTGCTTTGAGAACTTCCTGATTTTGTTGCTTCAGGGTAGAAACAGCCATAACCTGGATTTTTTGCATTCTATACCCATTCCTTGGTCATGCAGGCTGCATCCAAGGTCCTCAGAAGAAGCCTGTTCCCGTTATCAAGAGATAGACTCAGCATTTCCTTTTTTCCAAGGGTCAAATTCCCTGCAGAGACCACATGCTTGTGTCTCAGTGTCTAGCATCTTGGCTGAAATGGGAACCTTATTAAGATTGGGGTGGCCATCTTAATGTACTGTTTCTTTCAAAGGAAAGACACGGGAAGGTGGGAGATTGCTGGTTTCATGAGAAATTTTTGAAGCGGCTTTTGAAAATGATGACAACACAAACAAGAGGCTTCCTTCTGCAGTCCTGATCTGAGGCCGCCAGAACAAAGCAAAGTCAAGGAACCCTTGGGGCATGAGCTTCAACTGGGAGATCTCATCAAAGATTCCATCGGAATTGAGAAATAAACCTTGGAAAGAGGCTCCAAGCCTCTTCTAGAATCTCAGTTATTATTATTGCTGAAGAAACCTTAGAGATTTTCTAGTGTAACTCTGATATTCCATAGGTAAGAAAGGGAAGACCCCAAGATGGGAGAAGACTTGTCAAAAGTCATGTTAACTGGAGCAAGAGCCCACAGCTCTTGCTTTCTATCCTGGTTGATTGGCTGCCTGTCTATTTATGATGCTTTCAAGTTCCTTCTCCTTTGAGTTTTTGCTTCAAGATTGGTGAAGGAAGTTGTATACATTGCTTCTCTTACATTAGTAACCATGCTCATTTTTGAGGTGATGTTTTGATTAGGAGTTTTATTTGTGGCTGCCAAATAGTACCTGGAGCCCCGCTAGGTTGGTGGTGTGGAGTGCCGACTAGGAGGAACACATGGGCACCTGAGGTGACTGCGCATTCAGAGGGAGGAGACCTAACCAGGAACACAGACGTGAATGTTAACACGTTCCTCGGAAGAGGTCAGCTTCACATCTGGGGGCACACGGCTGTTGTAGTGTGTGCAGTGTCTCAGGTTATAGGGTCCAATGTTGATGCTGTCTTAGAGCTGTGGCAAAGCCTATCAGAACTTGCTTTAGGCTGGGTGCTGTGGTTCACGTATGTGATCCCAGAACTTTGGGAGGCCGAGGTGGGTGGATCACTTGAGGTCAGGAGCTCTAGACCAGCCTGGCCAACATGATGAAACCCCCATCTCTAGTAAACATACAAAAAATTAGCCGGGCATGGTGGCACGTGCCTGTAATCCCAGGTACTCAGGAGGCTGAGGCAGGAGAATCACCTGAACCAGGGAGGCAGAAGTTGCAGTGAGCCAAGATCATGCCACTGCACTTCAGCCTGGGCGACAGAGCGAGACTCCGTCTCAAAAAACAAACAAACAAACAAATGAACAAACAAACAACTTGCTTCAAATCAGTGGGGGATACATAATTCAATAAATGGTGTTGGTTTAAATGACTATTCCATTGAAAAAAGTGTATCACTGATTTTTTTCCACCAGGCATGGTGGCTCATGCCTGTAATCCCAGCACATTGGGAGGCAGACGCGGGCAGCTTGCTTGAGCCCGGGAGTTCGAGGCCAGCCTGGGTAATGTGGTGAAAGTCTGTCTCTACAAAAAATACAAAAATTAGCAGGGCATGGTGACACATGCCTGTGGTCCCAGCTACTCAGGAGGCTGTGATGAGAGGATTGCTTGAGCCCAGGTATTTGAGGCTGCAGAATGAGCCATGATCATGCCACTGTACTCCAGCCTGGGTGACAGAGTGAGACCCTGTCTCAAAAACAAACAAAGAAGTATCATTTTTTTGTTTCTTATATCAAAATAAATTCCAATTGGATCACAAACTTAAGTGTGTCAAAAAACAAAATTACAATGAACTTAAAGATCTCGGCTGACTTTATTGCAATTCTAAACTCAAGCAACTCTTCTTTCCATAAACTAGAAAAAGTGTTCCAATGAGCTGAATAGAGGAGGTTGATTTTACAGACAGAAAAGGGCTGAAAAAAGCAGAAGCAAAGAACAAAACATAGATTGGTCATTTCAAAATTACTTTTCTTGTGGGGCAGGAACAGAAAAACAGAACAATAGAGAAATAACCGATTGGTTAACATTAGATTACTTCAGGTTACCTTTTGTTTTTTGGTAAGGATTAAAGCAGAGGGAACTTCATTATCCTGATTTCTTAGAAGGTCAGAGAACAACTCAGTTTCGGTTTAGTGATGTGGAACCTGAGCACAAGTGGCACCATTTTGATTTTTAGTCTGATTGGTTGGGGCCTATTAGAGGAGCTTAGTCCAAAACAATGGTCTCTGTGAAAGTTGCAGCTACTAGGGTGAAATCACCTCTGTGAGACCCAGACAAAATAGGGTCAGGAAGGCCCAAAGGAGAGTAGGCTCATATCCTACATGTCTGAGATAAGAACTATTTCCAAGGCCTTTCTAACCTTTTCATATTCTTCATGCATCTCCTGCTTTGATAAGGACTGCATTAACTCAGATGTCCCCAAAAGAGCACTCTCCCAGTGACTGCAACAACTGTGGCTTTGAATCTTTGGAACCAATCAATTCTGTTTCTAATCAGCATATGTAAATCTCTTTTTGCTAATTAAAGCTCCCTTTACTCTTCCCTCATCAAATGCACTGGTGGCTTGCCATTTCATGTGTTATGGATTATAACCCTTATTTCTACTCCTGAGAAAACCCCACATATTTAAAGATAATTTTCTCTAGTGTCTTTTGTGAGGTTGATACCTCTTACGGTTTTTATTTAACAAGGGTAAGATAGTTAAATGATTTTTTAAAATACTAGAAATAAACATGAAATAATTCCATATAATTTGATTATCTCAGTGGATCCTGACTTTCTTAGTCCATCTATGACAAAATTAGAAGCAGCAAAAGAAAAGACCAATAAGTTTAACTACGTAAAATATTTAGATTTCTGCATAGCAAAGAATTACCACAGAGATATTCAAAATACAAATAATTTTTTTTTTTTGAGACAGAGTCTTACTCTGTTGCCCAGGCTGCAGTGCAGTGGCGTGATCTTGGCTCACTGTAACCTCCACCTCTCAGGTTCAAGCGATCCTCCTGCCTCAGCCTCCCTAGTAGCTGGGACTACAGGTGTGTGCCACCATGCTGGGCTAATTTTTGTATATTTAGTAGAGACAGGGTTTCACCATGTTGGCCAAGCTGGTCTCCATCTCCTGACCTCAGGTGAACCACCCACCTTGGCCTCCCACAATGCTGGGATTACAGGTGTGAGCCACCATGCCTGGCACAAAATACAAATAAAAATCTAAGGAATATATTTTATACACATTATCAACTAAAGAATGATAAGGTTCATAAATTTGGAAAGGAGAGCTTCATTTCTCCTAAAGGTTTGCAGCTTGCAGTGTGGCCATTCTGACAGGCTGGGAAGCGTAGCCTCCGGTCAGAAGCCAGTAACAGGCACTTCATGGGAGGGGTAACAGGAATAGGAATTTATGCTGAGTGAGGTGGCTGGATATACATAATTAATAAGCTATCAGAGGAGTCATAAATATTTATTAAAGGAGAAACATGCACATGTGCAACTGAGCTTCGTGCCTCCTCATGGATCTGAGGGTGGGGTTTCTGGCCCTCTGACTTCAACAGGTGAAGTAGAGGACATGAAGGCCCTTTGTGTGCAGCCCCTGTAGACTGGCCAGAATCACTCCTTGGTCAGTGGTATCTTATCAGGAGAGAATGCTGGTCAGTTGTGTTGAGACCGCAAAAAGGGAGAGGCAGCATCAGGCAGTTGATTGATATCAGTTGCGGAGCCAGTCTTTCAAAAGGGCTGGTTTCTGTTTAACACTTAGGGAAGAAGCCTAATGGTGGTTGGCGAGGGAGAGAGTAGAATGAGTTGTTCTGATCTCCCACCCCATCATGGCTGGGAACTCGGTTTTCAAGGTTTCTCTGGTGTCCCAATGGCCAAGAGGGATCCATTCAGTTGGTTGAGGGGCTTAGGATTTTATTTTTATTTCTCCACCCTCTCACATGTACACACACATAAACTCATATGTATAGGAGACAGAGCTAATTTACTGAATATATTTTTAAAAGTTTTGCAATTCAATAAGAAAAGGACCTACAACGCAACAGGAAAAAGAACAGGGCAAAGAACAACTAGAGACAGAGAGATGATTTATAAGCATAAGGAGAAAATGGCCAGTCACATGAATAATTAAATAAATGCTAATTAAAACTTACCAGCAGGATAATATTTTTCACGTATTAGATTGTCAAAGATCACAGTTTTTATAATAAGCACTTTAGGCAAGGCCGCAGGGGAAGAGGCACTCTTAAACACAGTTGGGAGAGGTATAAGTTAGTGCAAGCTCTTTGGAAGGAAAATCGGCAATATTGACAAAAATTTAAATTTCAAATACATGTTGACCTAACGCTTTCTTTTTATGGAATTATTCTAAGAGATTTATGTACAAGGATGTTCATGCAGCAATGTTTGTTTCATAGAAATTGGAAATCACCTAAATGATTTTCAATATTGAGTTGGCTAAATAAATTATGCACTCCTCCTCCCCTCATAAGGAAATACTGCAGGATGTAGACATATACTTTGTGACAGGACATCTGCACAGGGATAGTCATGGAAGCATGTTTGTAAGTAGCAAGAGATGGAGGGACAACCCCAGTGTCCTTCAATGGGGGTCTGGTTAATTGGACTGTGGAATGAATTCGCAGTAATGGGGAGCAGCTGCCAAGATATGGTGCTGGAGGCAGATGATGGCAGGTATACGATGCAATGCTATTTGTGTGGCAAACACGGAGACATGTATATGTCTGCATGTTCTTTGACCACTCTCTTGGTCCACTTGGGAGGCTATAACAAAATACCAGAAACTAAGTGGCTTATAAACAACAGAAATTTATTTCTCAGAATTCTGGAGGTCACGAAGTCCAAGATCAAGGGGCCAACAGATCTGATGTCGGGTGATGGCCTGTTTCCTGCTTCATAGATGCCACCTTGACACTGGGTCCTCATATGGTCGAAGTGGCTAGCTAGCACTTTTGGGTCCCTTTTATAAGGGCACTAATCTCAATCATGAGAGGTCCACCCTCATGACCTAATCATTTCTCAAAGGGCCCATTTCCCAACACTATCATTACTTAGGGCTTTGGTTAGAATTTCAACATATGAATTTTGGGGGCATACATGCATTCAGATGATAGCAACCACGTTGGAGGGAAATCACAGGAAGAGGGTGACTGTGCCTGTCTCAGGAGAGAGGGCTACAGAACAGGGTAGAAGATCTGCTTTTCATTGTGTACTTATTTGTTCCTTTTAAATTTAGTGACGTATAATATGCATTACCTATTCAAAATAATGTATTAATTAATTTGTTAAAAAAAAAAAAAAAAAGCAAGGTGGCCGGACACTGTGGCTCACACCTGTAATCCCAGCACTTTGGGAGGCCGAGGTAGATGGATCACCTGAGGTCAGGAGTTCAAGACCAGACTGGCCAACATGGCAAAACCCTGTCTCTACTAAAAATACAAAAATTAGCTGGGCATGGTGGCAGGTGCCTGTAATCCCAGCTACTCGGGAGACTGAGGCAGAGAGAATTGCTTAAAACCCAGGAGGCAGAGGTTGCAGTGAACTGAGATCGTGCCACTGTACTTCAGCCCTGGACCATAGAGCGAAACTCCATCTCAAAAAAAAAAAAAAAAAAAAAAAAAGCAAGGTGTGGAATGATGTTTATTATATGGTCTTAGTACAAATTAGATGAGATATATGAAGTATATGCATACATACATATAAAGATTTTTCTGGAAGATGATACAAAATAATTAATAATGGTTGTATCTTGGGCAGTGGACTGGGGAATTGGGTGAGAAAAATTTCTTTTTGTTGTACACTGTTTTGTCTTGTTTGAATTTTTTTTTTACTTTATGAGAAAACTAGTTGCCTTTACAAAGAGTAATAGTACACTCAGACACTACACTTATTGGACTAATAGTCCAAATATATAGTATTCAATGAAAAAAGGAGTTGTGAAAGCACACGTGTGGTTGCTGCCTCAGGACCTTTGCACTTGCTTCCATAGATTTCCATATCTGGCTACTTACTGTCATCTGGCTTTCAGCCTAAACGTTACCTCTTTAGACAGGTTCATCATCCTTTCCTTAGTAATCCCCAAGTCACTCCTCAACTCATTTCCTTATTTAACTTACAAAAAAAATTGAGACAAGGTCTCGCTCTGTCACCTACACTGGAGTGCAGTGGTGCAATCATAGTTTGCTGCAGTCTCAAACTCCTGGGCTCAAGCGATCCTCCCACCTCAGCCTATCTAATTTTTAAAAATTTTTTGTAGGAATGGGTCTGCTATGTTGCTCAGGCTGGTCTTGAACTCTTGAGCTGAAGTGATCCTCTCACGTTGGCCTCCCAAAGCACTGGCATGGGCACCACACCCAGCCTTACCTTTCTTTAAAGTGCTTATAACCCTACCTGCTGATTCTTTCTCCTTCCTTCTGTCCCTCCCTCCCTCCCTCCCTCCTTCCTTCCTTGCTTCCTCCCTCCCTTCCTGCCTGCCTCCCTCCCCCCTCCCTCCCTTCCTTCCTCTCTTTTCTTTCCTTCTTTCTTTCTCTTTCTTTTTTCTTTCTTTCTTCTCTCTCTTTCTTTCTCTCTCTTTTTGCCTTACTTGAATGTGAGCCTCAGTAGGCAAGACTTTATAGTCTGTTACTACTGTACATAATAGAGAGGTGCTTAAGTGATGGGAGGAATAAATAGAATTATCCCATTTTTATAAACATTATTTTCTAATAACAGTGAATATAAGTATATGTAGACAAAAGTGAGAAAATGTACACCACATTGTTGATAACAGTTGTTAGTTGCCTATGAGGGATGGGAGGACAGGATGTATTACATTCTATTCTTTATGTTTCTATAATGTTGGGATTCTGAATAGTGAACATGTGTTGCTTTCATACGTTTATTTTAGTTTCAAAGCACATCTACCTACAAAGAGTGAGCAGGGTTTAAAGAGATAACGGTCTAGATACGCACTGCATATATATTAGCTAGTAGCCACATGTAGCTATTGAGCACTTGAAATGTGACTACTACAACCAATAAACTAAATTTCAAATTTAATTAGATTAAATTTGATAATTGATATCTAAATGCTTCATTCAGTTATTGGAACACTTCTAAATATGCTTGGAACAACTTGGGTGTGTGAATCTACCTTTTCAGGTATAAATTTCATAACATCTGTAGTCAGATCACGTTTTTCTTTTTTCTTTTCTGGTTTTTTTTTGAGACGGAGTCTTGCTCTGTCGCCCAGGCTGGAGTGCAGTGGCGCCATCTCGGCTCACTGCAAACTCCGCCCCCCGGGTTCACGCCATTCTCCTGCCTCAGCCACCCGAGTATCTGGCACTACAGGCGCCTGCCAAACACGCCCGGCTAATTTTTTGTATTTTTAGTAGAGACGGGGTTTCACTGTGTTAGCCAGGATGGTCTCGATCTCCTGACCTCGCAGATCACGTTTTTCTAATGAAAATGTAATGTCTAAATTGAGATGTATGGAAAATCTAAAATACACACTGGATTTCAAAGATTTAATACAAAAACGAATGTAAAATATTTCACTATTAATTGACATGATAACACTTTGGATAGATGGAGTTAAATAAAGGATGTTATTAAAATTAATTTCACCCATTTCTTAAAAATGTGCCTGCTAGAAAACTTTAAATCTCATGAGTGGCTCCCATTCTCTTTCTACTGGATGTTGCTGGTCTGGATGGTGGAGGAAGCTGGCAGAGGGAGAGGTTAGAGAAATGGAGTGGGAAAGGAAGGCTGACTACAGGGCAACCCCAGGCCTGGGGCTTTGGAATGTGTTGGATTGAGGCTCATCCCAAGGCCCTGCCCTCCAAATTCACAACTGCCAGAGAACCAGGAGCTTGTGAGGAGCCTGGGATTGACTCACCATGTGGCTTATGTATAAATGGCAAGGCACCTCCTTACCCCTCCTCCTGCCTTCACGTGGTGTTTCACTTGGCTGCTGGTGGATGAGTTGACTAGGCCGCCATTCTCTCCCCCACTCAGAAAGCAGTTCCCTGAGTGTAACCCAGCCTCCCTTCTCCAGGCTTGTGCTTTCTTGGCATGGAGCATTCAGAAGGTGAAGGAAATGGAACACTGATTACAATAGGTGGCTTTTTGCAGGGAGCAGAGGAACCATGTGGCCTCTACTAGGTTCATTGCTCCTCCAGGAGGCTGGGGGCCAAGGGCTAAGGACCTCATCAGAGCAGCCTCTTGGTCCCAGGACCCATTTTGGCTATTAAAAATTATTGCTGACCCCAGAGAGCTTCAGTTTATGTAGGTTCTATTGGTTGAGTTTTACCATATTAGAAATTGAAGCTGAGAAAATTTGAAAACACAAACACATTCCATCATTTGTCAGAGCACCGATGACATCAGAGCAGCATGGAGCCTCTGGAAAACTCCACTGGATACTAGTGAGAGACTAAGAGTTAAAAGAACAGGCCAGGTGTGGTGGCTCATGCCTGTAATCCCAGCACTTTGGGAGGCTGAGGCGGGCGGATCCTGAGGTCAGGAGTTCGAGACCAGTTTGACCAACATGGTGAAACCCCATCTCTACTAAAAATACAAAAATTAGCCAGGCATGGTGGCACGCACCTGTAATCCCAGCTACTGAGGAGGCTGAGGCAGGAGAATCACTTGAACCTGGGAGGCGGAGGTTGCAGTGAGCCGAGATCGCACCACTGCACTCTAGCCTGGGCGACAGAGCAAGACTCTGTCTCAAAAAAAAAAAAAAAAAAATTACAAATGACATCGTAGTATTCTTATGAAAGTAGTTTTGACCTTGCAATCTTCCTCCAGGGGTCCTTGGACCACACTTTCCGAAACTTTTAGAAACCCTGTTACAGATAATGAAATAGACAGTTGGCCACACTTTCAGAAACTTTTAGAAACCCTGTTACAGATAATGAAATAGACAGTTGATAGATTGTGACAAAACCAAGCACACAGACCTGGGCTCTTGACACCAAACCTGGGCCCTTTCTTTTAAAGCAGTCTGTGTCCCAGTGAAATGCTATCGCCTGGTGTCTCCTCTCCCCCTCCAGCCCCACCCCTCACTTCGCCAGCCTACCTACCTGGGCTGCCGTGCTTGTGTTTGACTGTAAATAGCCATTCAATCTTGGAATGTGTTTCACCCAGGCGCCTCATTTCCTGGCTTTGGAGGCAGGTATGTGATCACCTGGCTGAGCAGCGCTGACGGGATTTGTGGGAGCTGGCTTTAGAGCAGAGGCCACTTGGAAACGGGACTTTGGGCCTGAGACTCTTGAGAGGTTCTGCTTGGCAGCCTGGACAAGAAGTAGAGTTTAAGAAAAGCATCCTGCAGGGTTCACAGAAGGGCTCGGCCCCTGCCTATCACAAAGGCATGTAGTGGGTAGGGGCAGCGGGAGCCCAGCTAGGCTCCCTCAGCCTCTTGCTCTTACCTACCTTCAGCATCGCAGTTTCCACTGCAAGTTGGCAGCATTATAACTGGGGGAGAGGAAGCATCTCTAAAGTTCTGGACTACTGCTGAACTGACCCCCAGAACTACTCTTCCCCTACATAATGAGGGGGAAGTGCGTGGTGGCTCACACTTGGAAACCTAGCACTTTGGGAGACCAGGTGGGCAGATCTTTTGAGCCCAGGAGTTCGGGACCAGCCTGGACAACAGAAGGAGGCTCCATCTCTACAAACAATTTTTAAAAATTAGCTGAGAGTGGCGATGCATGTCTGTGGTCCCAGCTACTCAGGAGGCTAAGACAGGAGGATCACCTGAGCCTGAGAGGTCAAGGCTGCAGTGAGCTGTGATGGTGCCACTGCACTCCAGCCTGGGCAACAGAGTGAGACCCAGTCTCAAAAAAAAAAAAAAAAGTCTGGACTAAACTAAGTTTGGAGAAATGAGGCCCTAGTGAGGTGGGCTAGAAAGAAGCCTACCTTTGAATTTTACTCTGGGTACTTTGCACACGTTGGCTGACTTAAACCTCACAACACTGTGAGGTGGCTACTATCTCCGTTTTACAGCTGGGGTAATCGGGGCTCAGAGAGGTTAGCTCATCTGCCCATGGTCACACAGCTGCTAAGTTATGGAGCCACACTGTACTCCATCCGACTCAATGCCCACGAGCCCTCACCTAGAAGGCTCCTCCTGACTTTTGACTCCTTACCCCAACCAGTTTTGGAAGGAATCCTCCAGAGTTACCTAATCTCTTTGGAGATCTGACAGGTTAAAAAAAAATGTGATGGGTCAGGAGATGGGATTCATGGCTTTCTTTGAATTCTTGGTGAAGTTTTATTTGTAGGTAATTTTATACAATTTTTTTTTTTTTGAGATGGCGTCTCACTCTGTCACCCAGGCTGGAGTGGAGTGGCGTGATCTCTGCTCACTGCAACCTCGGCCTCCCGGGTTCAAGCAATTCTCCTGCCTCAGTCTCCTGAGTAGCTGGAACTACAGGCGCATGCCGCCACGCCTGGCTAATTTTTTGTATTTTAGTAGAGATGAGGTTTCACCATGTTGCCCAGGCTGGTCACGAACTCCTGAGCTCAGGCAATCCGCTCACCTCAGCCTCCCAAACTGTTGGGATTATAGGCGTGAGCCACTGTGCCCAGGCAATTTTATACAAAATTAATCTGACCCAGACTCATCACTCCCACCAGCACCTCTGGAGAACTAAGGAATTTAGTTCCTTACTAGATGTGGATACATTCAGGTCAGGGGCATGACTAAAAATGTTAAATTGACTGATCCTCAGGGTCTCTGGGACCATGTCTTGGCTCCAACTTGCTGTGTGACCTCAGCAAATCACTGATTCTGTGAATTTCAGTCAGTTCATCTGTAAAAAGGTTTGGACTGAGTTTATCTTCTTTTTTTTTTCCTTTTTGTGGAGAACGGAGTCTCGCTATATTGCCCAGGCAGGTCTCAAACTCCTGGGCTCAAGCTACCCTCCTGCCTCTGCCTCCCTGAGAGCTGGGATTATAGGCATGAGCCACAACGCCAGGCAGACTGAGTTTATTTTCTGCTTAAACAACAACAACAAAACTCCTGAATTAATTTTTTTTTTTTTTTGAGATGGAGTCTTGTTCTATCACCCAGGCTGGAGTACAGTGGTGCAATGTTGGCTCACCACAACCTCCTCCTCCTGGGTTCAAGCCATTCTCCTGCCTCAGCCTCCTGAGTAGCTGGGATTATAGGCGCATGCTAGCACGCCCGGCTAATTTTTGTATTTTGAGTAGAGATGGGGTTTCACCATGTTGGCCAGGCTGGTCTTGAACTCCTGACCTTGTGATCCACCTGCCTCTGCCTCCCAAAGTGCTGGGATTATAGGTTTGAGCCACCGTGCCTGGCCTGAATTAATTTTAAATTCCATATGAAAGCAGAAGTGAAGATCTGCCTTGGGCGAATCTGCCCCCCAACCTCCCCTCCCCACTTTTGGCAGATGAGAGCCACCCCTTCTGGCCTGACTTGCCTCCCTCTGTTGGCTTTTCTGGGTCAGATCACAAAAGCCAGAGCTATGGGTGCAGCCAATGTGCTGCGCACTTCTCTCCAGGGCTAGAAACTCTCATGAGCTGGTTTCAGGCACCAACTGCCTGGCAGAAGATGCGGTTGGGCAGGAGCAGACACAGATTAGGTTCATTTGAAAGAGTGGAAAGGGATATTCTGGGGAGGCGGGGAGAAGGGGGCAGGCCAGGAGAGGCCTCATTCACTGGGGGGCCGAAGCAGGAGGGTCAGGCCCCTGAAAAGACCCTGAGAGTTGGAGCTGACCTGGAGAAGAGATTGACAGAGAGATGTAGGTGTCCCTGGGCATTAAGAGGTCTCCCAGAGCTGCTTGTGGGAATTCCTCTTCTTTTCCAAGTAGACGGGTAGGTAGCACTGTTGATGGGTTTCCTGATTCAGTCACTCCCTGCTTCATTCCAGAGACGGTTATCAGTCCGCTGGGAATCAGCTAACGGGGCCGCGCTTGACTGTGGGAGTCAAGTTGACCTGGGCAAAACACTGGGTCATGCACTCCCCATATGTGTCCTCTGGGCCTCAGTTTCTCCACCTATAAAATCAAGCCCAAATGACATAGCTGGTCATGGAGCTCTAAAAACAAATGAGACATGGGAGGCCCTCATTATGTGGGGAAAGAGTAGTTCTGGGGGTCAGCTACTCACATGTATCCTCTTAAAAGGCAGACAACATGTCTCAGGAAATAGCGAGGAAAGGTTCCATTGGGGCTTTGTCTTGGAAAATAAAACTTTAGTTTCATGTTGTGTTTGTGTTACCCACCATGTGTTCTTGGGCTCTCCAGTTAACAGAAATTGACATGAGGCTGAAAGAGATTCCCAGACAAAGCTTCACTGGAGCTTATGCCTGGGCATAAGGGAGGCAGCAAGACAGAGAGAAAGAGAGAGAGAGAGAGAAGATTCCTTGACTGACTCCCCAGAAAGAGCCAGTATGGCTTTTTAATTAGGCACTATGCAGGAATTGACATCAGGGGTAGGGTATGTGTGGGCTGAGCTGGGCAAAGCACATGAGGGGTGGAGTTTGCAGAGCAGCATTATCTGGTTGTGATGATTATCTTGAGTAATGGACCACCTGGTGGTCTGGCCAGTGGCAACAAAGCTGTAAATCAGTTGTTCAGCATTTCTTCCAGAGATGGGACACTTCACAACCATGGTTATCTTCTAAGGCCAGTTCCTGGAATTCTTTAAGTAAAAGGCATGGTTAAACATTATGGTGGCAGTGATGTAGTGGTGTGGGGTTTGTGGTCAGCAGGAATGCTCTGTGGGGGGTGAGCTGAAGCCAAGTTCTGCCTCTCCTCTGCCTCATGCCACACTGAGACATTTTATCCTCCTTCTTCTTAAGGAAAAAGGGCAGCAGTCTAGTCTTCTGGAGCTACTTTCTGCTGAACAGGGTTGTCGTCCTCGCCCAACCCTAGAGGCCACAAAAATCTTTTGATTTAATGTTTTATAGGGGCTTGGCTCTTGCTGGGATGGGAGGGTTTGGAATCCTTGCACAACTATCAGCTTGACATGGAATGTTGAAGCCTGGAAGACACAAACTTTTATAACTGTCTGCATCCCTGTTGAATATAAGAAATAATTATTTAAAAATCAAATCCTATCCAGTGATAATTAATAAAACGCTAAAGCCCAGTTTAATAATGCTTATAAGAAGAGATCAGATGCCATTTGGAATTTAAGTGAATAGACTGGAAAACCAGTCTCCTGTTGTTTGAAATATAAGGCAAACAGACTTTTAATAAGTATTTCTATGGTAACAGAAGAAAAACAAACATTAATGGTGAGCATAATCTATCCAGATGTTAGACTCAAAGCATCTTTAGCTACAGAGAAGGAAGGTAGTGGTACTTGCACACATTCTTCTCAGCTATACCAACAGAAATAAGCTTAAGCTCATTGGACCTCGGGAAAAAGATAGTAGCAATCATATTATGCTGAAGTCAGAAAAATAGAAGAAAAATTTGAAAACATTACCTTGGAGACTTGTAACCTGGAAAGAATTTAAGATTCAATCCAACTTGTAGAAAATAATATTTGAAAACCTTCGAAAACAACAGACAAGACTGGAATCAAAAAACATGAGTACTCTAGCTTCTTTCTGAAATATAATTTTTCTTTCCCCAGTCCTCATTTTTATTAAAGACAAATCATAGTAGGACACACTTATTTGCAAAATAAGACTTAGTCTTAATATACTTGGGCTGATTATTTGCATAAAGTACAGCAAGAATAATTATAATTGTAAAGCGTTGTAAAGTTATCTTTTTTCTTTTTGAGACAGGGTCTTGCTCTGTTGTCCAGGCTGAAGTGCACTGATCCAATCAAGGCTCACTGCAGCCTTGACCTCCTGGGCTCAAGTGATTCTCCAGCCTCAGCCTCTGAGTGGCTGAGACTACAGATGCGCACCACCACACCCAGCTAATTTTTAAGTTTTTTGTAGAGACGGGGTCTCCCTACCCAGGCTGGTCTCAAACTCCTGGACCCAAGTGATCCTCCAGCTTCGGCTTCCCAAAGTATTGAGATTACAGGTGTGAGCCATTGCACCCAGCCCTATAATTTTTTTTTTTTAATTAGAGAGCAGATTAATGCTCCACAAAAACACTGTTATTTAGACACAGGGGCCCAGATTCTGGCCCAGCATCAGTGTGCTTTTTGTCTTAATGTTCAGTCCACAGAAAAACTAAATAATCCCCTTCAAATTGGCCAATTTGTTCACACATAGAAATTTCCTTACAAGATTAATATTTTACAAATCTTTTACAACTTTTTAAACCTTCAGTTTTATTCTCTTTTAACCTAAAACAATCTTTAAACCCTCTAAATTAGACAAAATTACTTTCTCTTAAAAGCAACCATATATATTTCCATGCCTTTTTACCAAAAACACATGATTTTTATTTTTAGATAATTACAATTATCTAAATTACAATTACAATACATAATTGTAATTATGTATCAGGTGCAGAGTCTAGGACACAGGACAGAACCACAGATAATGTCTGACTCTTTCTAGCATAGCTAGGGGACATGTCTAACTCCACATGTCCCCAGGCCTTCCTTAGAATCAAATGGCTCTAAAGCAGGCAAGTTGAACAATTGTCGAAAGTCAGAGAAGCAGTTCATGACTTTAAAGCATCTAGTAAAGACAGTATCTGATCGCTCTAATTTAGACCAAATGCCTAGATTTTGGTTTTCTTTTCTTTCTTTCTTTTTTGTCTTTTCTACCCTAATAGAAGCAGACATTGCAGAACGAATACCTAGATTTTGAAGACATTTTTATTTTATTTTATATTTATTTATTTATTTTGAGATGGAATTTCACTCCTGTTGCCCAGGCTGGAGTGCAATGGTGCTATCTCGGCTCACTGCAACCTCTGGCTCCCGGGTTCAAGAGGTTCTCCTGCCTCAGCCTCCCGAGTAGCTGGGATTACAGGTGCCTGCCACCATGCCCGGCTAACTTTTTGTATTTTTAGTAGAGATAGGATTTCACCATGTTGGCCAGGCTGGTCTTGAACTCCTGACCTCAGGTGATCCACCCGACTTGGCCTCCCAAAGTGCTGGGATTACAGGAGTGAGCCATCGAGCCCAGCCTATTTTATCTTATTAATAATCGTTAAAACTGTCTTTACCAAAGATTACTAACATCAAGTGAACTAAAAGACATTAAAGTTTTTAATTTTTTTGGCAAAATATTTTATTTGAGTACTTATTTTGCTTTAAGCCAATTAATTAGAGCTTTTATGTAAACTTCACACGCACAACACATATAAATACACAGACAGACAGATCTTCTCCTTCTATCATTTGCCAGTTTTTAAGCTTCTCTTTTTCGTTTGAGATCACCAGTCTCTTGATTACCTGTTCCCTGCCCTAAACAGTTGTCAGCTTGGCAACTCTAAACTTGGATTTTTAAAGGGACAACTCTGAGGTGAAACAAGGTGGAGAATTCATATTTTCTCCAACCAAGGAAAAATGCTGTGAGTAAAAGTTTAGTTAAGATGGCCAGGAAAAGCAACTACACTTACATATGGAGAGTTCCTTCTGCAACCTCCACCTCCTGGGTTCAAGCAATTCTCCTGCCTCAGCCTCCCGAATAGCTGGGACTACAGGCATGCACCACCATGCCCAGCTAATTTTTGTATTTTTAGTATAGATGGGGTTTCACCATGTTGGCCAGGATGGTCTCGATCCCTTGACCTGGTGATCCGCCCACCTTGCCCTCCCAAAGTGCTGGGATTACAGGTGAGCCACCTCACCCAGCCCAAGATGAAAATTTTTTAATTGGATTATTGGCTTTAGGGTGGAGCCTTTTAAGGAAAAAGGGCAAGAAAGTCAATTTCTAGGGCCTAATAAGCAAGCACAGCTGGAAGGTAAAACAGATCCCCAGGGATTAAAAATCCCAGTTTTACCTCGAATCCTGGGTCCCTGAAAAGAGGGAAACACTGCAAGAGGGAGACAGTGCAGTGCTTCTGAGAGCTGACAGCATGCTGGCAGTCCTCAGAGTCCTCGCTTGCTCTCGGCACCTCCCCTGCCTGGGCTCCCACTTTGGTGGCATTTGAGGAACCCTTCAGCCCCCCCCCACTGCACTGCGGGAGCCCTTTTCTGGGCTGGCCAAGGCTGGAGCCCACTCCGTCAGCTTGCAGGGAGGTGTGGAGGGAGAGGCACGAGCGGGAACCGGGACTGCGTGCAGCGCTTGCGGGCCAGCTGGAGTTCCGGGTGGGCGTGGGCTTGGTGGGCCCCGCACTCGGAGCAGCCAGCCAGCCCTGCTGGCCCCGGGCAATGGGGGACTTAGCACCCGGGCCAGTGGCTGCGGAGGGTGTACTGAGTCCCCCAGCAGTGCTGGCCCACCGGCGCTGAGCTCGATTTCTCGCCGGGCCTTAGCTGCCTTCCCGCGGGGCAGGGCTGGGGACCTGCAGCCCGCCATGCCTGAGCCTCCCACCCACTCCATGGGCTCCTGTGCGGCCCGAGCCTCCCCGACGAGCACCACCCCCTGCTCCACGGCGCCCAGTCCCATCGACCACCCAAGGGCTGAGGAATGCGAGCGCACGGCGCAGGACTGGCAAGCAGCTCCACCTGCAGCCCTGGTGCGGGATCCACTAGGTGAAGCCAGCTGGGCTCCTGAGTCTGGTGGGGACGTGGAGAGTCTTTATATCTAGCTCAGGGATTGTAAATACACCAATCAGCACCCTGTGTTTAGCTCAAGGTTTGTGAGTGCACAAATTGACACTCTGTATCTAGCTGCTCTGGTGAGGACGTGGAGAGTCTTTATATCTAGCTCACGGATTGTAAATACACCAATCAGCACCCTGTGTTTAGCTCAAGGTTTGTGAGTGCACAAATTGACACTCTGTATCTAGTTGCTCTGGTGGGGACCTGGAGAGTCTTTATATCTAGCTCACGGATTGTAAATACACCAATCAGCACCCTGTGTTTAGCTCAAGGTTTGTGAGTGCACAAATCGACACTCTGTATCTAGCTGCTCTGGTGAGGACGTGGAGAGTCTTTATGTCTAGCTCAGGGATTGTAAATACACCAGTCGGCACTCTGTATCTAGCTCAAGGTTTGTAAATACACCAGTCAGCACCCTGTGTTTAGCTCAAGGTTTGTGAATGCACCAATTGACACTCTGTATCTAGCTGCTCTGGTGGGGCCCTGGAGAAACTGTGTGTGGAAACTCTGTATCCAACTAATCTGATGGGGAGGTGGAGAACCTTTGTATCTAGCTCAGGGATTGTAAATGCACCAATCAGCGCCCTGACAAAACAGGCCACTCAGCTCTACCAATCAGCAGGATGTGGGTGGGGCCAGATAAGAGAATAAAAGCAGGCTGTCCAAGCCAGCATTGGCAACCCGGGTCCCCTTCCACACTGTGGAAGCTTTGTTTTTTCGGTCTTTGCAATAAAAGTTGCTACTGCTCACTCTTTGGGCCCACGCTGCTTTTATGAGCTGTAACACTCACCGCGAAGATCTGCAGCTTCACTCCTGAGCCCAGCAAGACCACGAGCCCACCGGGATGGAACAAACAACTCCAGACGCGCCACCTTAAGAGCTGTAACACTCACCGCGAGGGTCCGCGGCTTCATTCTTGAAGTCAGTGAGACCAAGAACCCACCAATTCCGGACACACTTCCATGGTGTAGCTCATTGCAAGGACTTTTCTCCCAGGCTGGTGGGCAATCCAGTGCCAATCAGCCCACTCTGTAGTCAGCCCATTCCCCATACCATACCTTCTTGGTGTCCAAGAGCATGCTTTTCTTATCTAAATGTGCAAAGAAAGGAGTATCACCCTCTAGTAATAACCGTTCACTTTAAGCAATCGTCATTAGCCATCCCTGAAAGTGTATTTCCTACGTAGCTATTACACATCAAGGCAAAAGTTTTCTCACAATGCAAAGTAATTTTGATGCCTCCAAAAGTAAAAAAGGTCAGGTAATGCAATGCAAAACAGAGCTAAGTCTGAGATTTTAAGAGGGATCTGTCCATATATAATTCTTGGGGTTCCACAAGAAAAAGGGACCTTTCTCCCACAATGGGGTCTGTGGCACCTCCTGTTTCTCCCAAGGAGTCTTAGGCCATCAGAAATTGCCTGAGGTCCTCTCTTGTGGGCATCAAAGGTGGCAAGAAGTCAGAAAGAAGTAAATAGAGAAACAATTCAGTGAACTGAGAAGAAAAAATACTTTTTTTTCCACAAAATAAGATCCAAGAAGAGAAAAAAACCATAAAGTCCTTTCAGAATTACGCTGACTTATATACAGAGCTCTTTAAAAAAATCTTTTAAAATCTTTTATTACCAGACTTTAGCTGGACAGACACCATTGCCTTTTAAGCCTTCCCCCACACCCCCGAAGGTATTTTCCAAGTGAAAGCAATAAGCCTTAACTAAGGTTATGACTTAACCATGGTTATACAAGTTGTCTCCAAAGAGATGGCAAGTGTTGTTACAAGATTTAGAATTGCCCCTAAGGTAGCTCGGAGAAAAGAATATTCAAGACAGGGAATCAGAAGCTGTCCATGGAGGGAAAAAGAATTAATATATTCTTTAATTTTTTGTATATGGTATAAGGAAGGGGTCCAGTTTCATTCTTCTGCATTTGGCTAGCCAGTTATCCCAGCACCATTTATTGAATAGGGAGTCCTTTTTCCATTGCCTGTTTTTGTCAACTTTATTGAAGATCAGATAGTTGTAGGTGTGCGGCCTTATTTCTGGGCTCTCTATTCTGTTCCATTGGTTTATGCGTCTATGTTTCTACAAGAACCATGCTGTTTTGGTTACTGTAGACCTGTAGTATAGTTTGAAGTCTGGTAGCATGATGTCTCCAGCTTTGTTCTTTTTGCTTAGGATTGCCTTAGTTATTTGGGCTTTTTTTGTGGTTCCATATGAATTTTTATTTATTTATTTATTTTGAGACAGGGTCTCACTCTATTGCCCAGGCTGGAGTACAGTGGTGCAATCTTGGCTCACTGCAGCCTTGAGCACCTGGTCTCAAGTGAGCCTCCCACCTTAGCCTCCCCAGTAGCTGGGACTAGAGGCACATGCCACCATGCCTGGCTAATTTTTGTGTTTTTTTTTTTTGTAGAGACAGAGTTTCACCATGTTGCCCATGCTGGTCTCAAACTCCTGAGCTCAAGAGATCTGCCTACCTTGGTCTCCCAAATTGCTGGGATTACGGGTGAGAGCCACAGTGCCCAGCCCAGTTCCATATGAATTTTAAAATAGTTTTTTCTATTCTGTGAAGAATGTCATTGGTAGTTTGATAGGAATTCCATTGACTCTATAAATTGCTTTGGGCAGTGTGGCCATTTTACCCATATTGATTCTTCCTATCCATGAGCATGGAATGTTTTTCCATTTGTTTGTGTCATCTCTGATTTCTTTGAGCAGTGTTTTACAGTTCTTTTAGAGATCTTTCACCTCCCTGGTTAGCAACATTCCTAATTATTTTATTCTTTTTGTAAAAATTGTGAATGGAATTGTGTTCTTGATTTGACTCAGCTTGACTGTTGGTGGTGGTGTATTGGAATGCTAGTGATTTTTGTACATTGATTTTTGTATCCTGAGACTTTGCTGAAGTTGTTAATCAAAGGAGCTTTTTGGCCAACACTATGGGGTTTTCCAGATGTAGGATCATGTCGCCTACAAACAGGGATAGTTTGACTTCCTTTCTTCCTACTTGGATGCCCTTTACTTCTTTCTCTTGCCTGATTGCCCTGGCCAGAACTTCCAATACTATGATGAATAGGAGTGGTGAGAGAGGGCATCCTTGTCTTGAACCAGTTTTCAAGGGGAATGTTTGCAGCTTTTGCCCATTTAGTGTGATGCTGGCTGTAGGTTTGTCATAGATGGCTCTTATTATTTTGAGGTATGTTCCTTCAATACCTAGTTTATTGAGAGTTTTTAATATAAAGAGGTGTTGAATTTTATTGAAAGCCTTTTCTGCATCCATTGAGATAATCATGTGTTTTTTTGTCTTTATTTCTGTTTATGTGATGAATCACATTTATTGATTTGTGTATGTTGAACCAACCTTGCATCCCAGAGATAAAGCCTACTTGATTGTGGTGGATAAGCTTTTTGATGTGCTGCTGGATTTGATTTGCCAGTATTTTGTTGAGGATTTTTGCATCAATGTTTACCAAGGATATTGGCCTGATGTTTTCCTTTTTTGTTGTGTCTCTGCCAGGTTTTGGTTTCAGGATAATGCTGGTCTCATAGAATGAGTTAGGGAGGAGTCCTCCCTCTTCAATTTTTTGGAATAGTATCAATAGGAATGATACCAACTCTTCTTTGTACATCTGGTAGAATTCAGCTGTGAATCCATCTGCTCCTGGACTTTTTTTGGTTGGTAGGCTATTTATTACTGCCTCAATTTTGGAGCTCATTATTGGTCTGTTTAGGGATTCAGTTTCTTCCTGCCTCACTGTTGGGAGGGTGTATGAGCCTAAGAATTTATCTACTTCCTCTAGATTTTCTAGTTTATGTGCATAGAGGTGTTCGTAATATTCTCTGATGGTTATTTGCACTTCTGTGGGGTCAGTGGTAATATTCTCTTTGTCACTTCTAATTGTGTTTATTTGGATCTTCTCTATTTTCTTCTTTATTAGTCTAGCTAGTGGTCTATTTTATTAACTTTTTCAAAAAACCTGGATTTGTCAATCTTTCAAATGTTTTTTTGTGTGTGTGTCTCTGTCTCCTTCAGTTCAGCTCTGATTTTGATTATTTATTGTCTTCTGCTAGCTTTGGGATTTGTTTGTTCTTGGTTCTCTAGTTCTTCTAGTTGTGATGTTAGGTTGTTAAATTGAGATCTTTGTAACTTTTTGATGTGAACATTTAGTGCTATAAATTTCTCTCCTAACACTGTCTTAGCTGTGTCCCAGAGATTCTGGCATGTTGTGTGTTTGTTCTCATTAGTTTCAAGAAACTTCTTGATTTCTGCCTCAATTTCATTATTTACCCCCAAAGTCATTCAGGAACAAGTTATTCAATTTATATGTAATTGTATGGTTTTGAGTGAATTTCTTAGTCTTGATTTCTAATTTGATTGCTCTGTGGTCTGACAGAGTGGTTGTTATGATTTCAGTACTTTTGCCTTTGCTGAGGAGTGTTTTGTGTCCATTTATGTGATTTATTTTAGCATATGTGCCATGCAACGATGAGAAGAATTTATCTTCTGTTGCTTTTGGGTGGAGACTTCTGTAGATGTCTATCAGGTTCCTTTGATCCTGATATGGTTTGGCTGTTTTCCCACCCAAATCTCAACTTGAATTGTATCTCCCAGAATTCCCACGTGTTGTGGGAGGGACCCAGCGGGAGGTAATTGAATCATGGGGGCAGGTCTTTCCCATGCTATTCTTGTGATAGTAAATAAGTCTCATGAGATCTTATGGGTTTATCAGGGGTTTCCACTTTTGCTTCCTCCTCATTTTCTCTTGCTGCCACCATGTAAGAAGTACCTTTTGCCTCCCACCATGATTCTGAGGCCTCCCCAGCCATGTGGAACTCTAAGTCCAATTAAACCTCTTTTTCTTCCCAATCTCAGGTATGTCTTTATCAGCAGTGTGAAAACGGACTAATACAGATCCAGTGCTGAGCTCAGGTCCTGAATATCTTTGTTAATTTTCTGTCTCAATGATCTAATATTGTCCGTGGGGTATTAAATTATCTCACTATTATTGTGTGGAAGTCTAAGTCTTTTTGAAGGTCTTTAAGAACTTGCTTTATGAATCTGGTGCTCCTGTGTTGGATGCGTATGTATTTAGGACAGTTAGATTTCTTTGTTGAATTTAACCCTTTACCATTATTAATGCCCCTCTTTGTCTTTTTAATTTTTGCTGGTTTAGTCTGCTTTGTCTAAAATTAGGATTGCAACTCCTGCTTTTTTCTGTTTTCCATTTACTTGGTAGATTTTACTCCATTCCATTATTTTGAGCCTATGTGTATCATTGCATGTGAGATGGGTCTCTTGAAGACAGCATACCAATGGGTCTTGGTTCTTTATCCAGCTTGCCACTCTGCCTTTTAACTGGGGCATTGTACCTTTTAATTAGCCCGTTTATATCCAAGGTTAGTATTGATATGTGTGGATTTGAGACTGTCATCATGATGTTAGCTGGTTATTATGCAAACTTATTTGTGTGATAGCTTTATAGTGTCACTGGTCTGTGTACTCAAGTGTATTTTTGTAGTGGCTGATAAGTCTTTCATTTCCATATTTAGCTTCCTTCATGAACTCTTGTAAGGCAGGTCTGGTGGTAACAAATTCCCTCAGCATTTGCTTATCTGAAAAGGATCTTAATTCTCCTTTGCTTCTGAAGTTTAGTTTGGCTAGATATAAAATTTGGGGTTGGAATTTTTTTTTAAGAATGTTGCATATTGACCTCCAATCTCTTCTGGTTTCTGCTGAAAGGTTCACTGCTAGTCTGATGGGCTTTCCTTTGTAGGTGACCTAATCTTTCTCTCTAGCTGCCTTTAATATTTTTTCTTTCATTTTGACCTTGGAGAATCTGATGATTATGTGTCTTGGCAATGTTCTTCTTGTGAAATGTTTTACTGGGGTTCTTTGCATTTTCTGAATTTGAATGCTGGCCTCTCTAGCTAAATTGGGGAAGTTCTCATTGATGATATCCTGAAATATGTTTTCTAAGCTGCTTATACTCTCCCCATCTCTTTCAGGGACACCAGTGTGTTGTATATTTGGTCTCTTTACATAATTCTATATTTCTTAGAGGTTTTATTTGTTCCTTTTCATTTTTTCTTTTTTTTTTTCTATTCAGTCTGACTGTCTTATTTCAGAAGGCCTGCCTTCAAGCTCTGAGATTTTTACCACTGCTTGGTCTATTCTGCTATTAATACTTCTGATTGCATTATGAAATTCTTGTATGTTTTTCAGCTGTATCAGGTTGGTTACATTCTTTTCCATACCAGCTATTTTTTCTGTCAGCTCCTGTATCATTTTATTGTGATTCTTAGCTTCCTTGGATTGGGTTTCAAGGTACTATTTTATCTAAGTGATCTTCATTCCTTTCCAAATTCTGAATTCTATTTCTGTCATTTCAGCTATTTCAGCCCAGTTAGACCCTTGCTGGAAAGGTGGTGTAGTCATTTGGAGGAAAAAAGGCACTCTGGCTTTTTGAGTTGTCAGAGTCCTTGTGTTAGTTCTTTCTCATATTTGTGTGCTAATGTTTCTTCAGTCTTTGAAGTTCAAGATAATTTTTAAGGCTAACCATGGCATTAGTATGCCTCTTTTTAAAATTTAAACTTTTAAAAAAATTGTTGAGAATAAGATATCTCTAAAGTCCCATTTCTTTTAATGGTGTTCTTAGTTCCTATAATGACTCATTCCAAAATCTTTTAAAGCCCAATGATAATTTTTTAGGTTTTAAAAATCATATAAGCAAGAGGTATTTCTAGAGAGAGGATAGAGGAGGCATCTCCATGACCCCCAAGAATTCACTCTCAGAAATGGGCATAAGATGGAAGAAGATGAAAAAGCCCCTAAGGCAATACTCACCCTATGGCTTGACACATTTGGACCAACAGTGTGCTGATGAGTCTCAGAATCCTGATCTTTTATGACCAGCCACCTGACATGACCCCAGAAATTCTCACTCTCTGGATGGCAAAGACCAAGGATACCTCACATGGTCATATCATGTTCCCAAGGACATGAAACAAGACAAGTCGGAAACCTCATCCAGTTTTTGTTTCAGAGACCTGCAGTAAAGCTTATAACTGACCAGTCTGCTGGGCAGCCTCAAATAGTGGGTTTATAGAAGTCCTAGGCCTGTGTTCTATCCTGTAGTACCCCTCTCCATGACAGAATGACACAGACAAATCCTTTTTCCCATTAATCAAAACTTTACAGAGGAGACAAACAATAATTTTCCTCATTCATTTAACTGGTTTGTGCAGAGAGACAGGCCAGAAGCCTGGCTGGTAAGAAATTCTTTTGCCAGCATGCCAGGAGTTTGGGTTTCCTTTCACTGAGTCACTGTGGTGACCCTGTTCACTGTGACATAGCTGTGGGGGCCAAGCCATGTTACCAAAAAAAAAGGAAAAAAAACACACAAAAAATCTTTTCCATTATGGAAACATAGGCAAAATCCTCTCAAATTACTCTGCTTAACATTATAGTTGCAGATTAACCATTTGAGCTCTAAACTTTTCTTATTGTACAATAAGAAACCAATATTGATGGTCACATTCAGGTGTCCTTGGTGCCTTCCTGAAGGCCAGCTGGGCATCCTCAGCACCCTGTCTGAGACAGTCTCCCCAAACTGACAGGACTACACATTCAGACAGACAGACTCCCTAAAACATTACAGGCCTCCCTTCCCCACCAGAAGTGAAAAAGGGAAGTGAAGTAATGATGGGTTTGGAATAGAGAGGGCCAGGGTGCCAGAGAGAGGAGAGAGAGAGAGGAAAAGAGAGAGGGACATTTTTTTTTTATGGTACTCAAAACCAAACCAACTTAGGCCAGAAGAGGGGTGTGATCCATTCCAATGCCCATAGGATTGATCAGACCCAATAGTCAACCATTTTAATCCATCCTGCAAGGATGTTATTCAGGCAGCCAAAAGCAGTAAGGATTTGGAGAAGAGAGGCAAAGCAACTGGGTGACAGAAAAGATAGAAGGGGAAAGGAGAAAAAGAGAGAGCAGGGGGAAAAGGGAAGGGAGGAAAGCATTTCCTGATGGAAAGGTGAGGAAGTCCAGGAGGCCGGAGAAAGACTCATGGTGACACTGAGTCAGTAGTTCAGGCAGCTGCTTGTCAGCTGCGAAGGGATCTTGTCCAGCAGTTCTCTCAGCTCACAAGTCTTCCCCTTGGGATGAGAAAGGCTCCATACATCCTGTGATCCTGGATGAGCCCCCAAAGAATATGTTATCCATTATGGGTTCTTGGGCTCTTAATGCAATAGAAATTTATGCCTGAACATAAAGGAGGCAGTGAGAGAGAGAGAGAGAGAGAGAGATTCCCTGACTGACTCCCCTGAAAAGAGCCAATCGGGCTTTTTTATTAGGCAAAGTGCAGGAATTGACATCAGGGGTAGGGTACGTGCGCTGAGCTGGGCAAAGCACATGAGGGGTGGGGTATGCAGGGCAGCATTATCTGTTTGTGATGATTATCTTCAGTAGTGGGCCACCTGGTGGTTTGGCTGGTGGCAACAAGGCTGTAAATCAATTGTTCAGCATTCCTTCCCAAGATGGGACACTCCACAGCCTTGGTTATCTTCTAAGTCCAGTTTCTGGATATTTTTTTTTCTTTTTGAGACAGGGTCTTGCTCTGTCACCCAGGCTGGAGGGCAGTGGTGTGAACATAGCTCACTGGAGCTTCAACCTCCTGGGCTCAAGCAATCCTCCCTTCCCTCCTGAGTAGCTGGGACCTCAGGTGTGCACCACCATGACCAGCTAATGTTTCTATTTGTAGAGACAGAGTCTCACTCTATTACCTAGGCTGGTCTCGAACTCCTGGGTTCAAGCAATCCTCCTGCCTTGGACTCCCAAGGTGCTTGGATTACAGGTGTTAGCCACTGTGCTTGGACATGGAATTCTTTAAGTAAAAGGCATGGTTGAACATTATGGCATCAGAGAGGTAGTGGTGTGGGTTTTGTGATCAGTGGCAATCCTCTAGTGGGAGTGAGCTGAAGCTAAGCCCAATCTCTCCTCTGTCTCATTTGGAAATAACTTCTTTCCCCAACTATTAAACTAAAATATGTTACAGTCACAACTTGCTCTGATTCTTTAAATAAACCAAAAATGTTGACTATTGGAGTTTTGTTTCTCCTGTAATAATTATTTTTTGGCAAATTCGTATAGGGGTATGGTACATTCTTTAACTGTGTGTTTGATTTCCACAGTACATTCATAAAAAGGTCATTTCTTTGCAAAAATATTCCAGAGCTTTATTAGTTTTCCCAAGGATTCAGCTCAATCCTTTGATATTCAAATGATGTCTTTTGAAGCACATATCTTGTCATCACCCTGGAATTTTCTCATCTCCAGTTGTTAACCGGTATAACTTTCCCAGATTCTCATTTGTCAATGGCTTCCAGTGTCTGATTTGAGCAATTTGCCAATAACACTTTCACCTACTTTATAAAAAATTTGTATTTCCCAAGATTTGCCATTATTTGCATTTGTGCATGTATACTATGCAAAACAGCTGACAAAGAGCATAACTCATTATTACTGAAGGGGTAATGGCTACTGTTAAAAGGGAGGAAGGGGTGGCAGAGTAGAGATGAAATAGAAAAGTGGTCAACTCCTTTAGTGAATATTTTTACGTTACACTGACTTTTGCTTTCTCTGGGTAATGTTATAACTGAAACTTAGGTAGGAATGCTCATATTGTGTCCGGAATTGGTGGGTTCTTGGTCTCACTAACTTCAAGAATGAAGCTGTGGACCCTTGCGGTGAGCGTTACAGCTCTTAAGGTGGCGCGTCTGGAGTTTGTTCCTTCTGATATTCGGATGTGTTCAGAGTTTCTTCCTTGTGGTGGGTTCGTGGTCTCGCTGGCTCAGGAGTGAAGCTGCAGACCTTCGTGGTGAGCGTTACAGCTCTTAAGGCGGCATGTCTGGAGTTGTTCACTCCTCCCGGTGGGCTCGTTGTCTCGCTGGCTTCAGGAGTGAAGCTGCAGACCTTTGTGGTGAGTGTTACAGCTCATAAAAGCAGTGTGGACCCAAAGAGTGAGCAGTAGCAAGATTTATTGCAAAGAGCAAAAGAACAAAGCTTCCACAGCGTGGAAGGGGACCCCAGCGGGTTGCCACTGCTGGCTCAGGCAGCCTGCTTTTATTCTCTTATCTGGTCCCACCCACATCCTGCTGATTGGTAGAGCCGAGTGGTCTGTTTTGACAGGGTGCTGATTGGTGCGTTTACAAACCTTGAGCTAGACACAGAGTGCTGATTGGTGTATTTACAATCCTTGAGCTAGACATAAAGGTTCTCTAAGGCCCCACCAGAGCAGCTAGATACAGAGTGTCAACTGGTGCACTCACAAACCCTGAGCTAGACACAGGGTGCTGATTGGTGTGTTTACAATCCCTGAGCTAGACATAAAGACTCTCCACCTCCCCACCAGACTCAGGAGTCCAGCTGGCTTCACCCAGTGGGTCCCGCACCGGGGCTGCAGGTGGAGCTGCCTGCCAGTCCTGCGCCATGCACTCGCACTCCTCAGCCCGTGGGCAGTTGATGGGACTGGGTGCCATGGAGCAGGGGGCGTCATTCGTGGGGGAGGCTCGGGCTGCACAGGAACCCGCGGAGGTGGGGGGAAGGCTCAGGCATGGCGGGCTGCAGTCCCTACGCCTGCCCCGCGGGAAGGCAGCTAAGGCCCGGTGAGAAATCGAGCACAGCGCCGGTGGGCTGGCACTGCTGGGGGACCCAGTACACCCTCAGCAGCCGTTGGCCCGGGTGCTAAGCGCCTCACTGCCCGGTGCAGGCCGGCCGCTCCGAGTGCAGGGTCCACCAAGCCCATGCCCACCCAGAACTCCAGCTGGCCCGCAAGAACTGCGTGCTGCCCCAGTTCCCGCTGGCGCCTCTCCCTCCACACCTCCCTGCAAGCTGAGGGAGCCGGCTCTGGCCTTGGCCGGCCCAGAAAGGGGCTCCCACAGTGCAGCGGCGGGCCAAAGGGCTCCTCAAGTGCCGCCAAAGTGGGAACCCAGGGAGAGGAGGCGCTGAGAGCAAGCGAGGGCTCTGAGGACTGCCAGCACGCTGTCACCTCTCAATATCATAAGGGCCATGAGAAGGTATCCAGTCAATAATTTAGATAAGGAAGAGTAAATAGGTTTCACCTAGTGTACCAACTCTGATTGGTTGATAGTAGCTGACTAAAGTATTATGTTGAGA
Organism: Homo sapiens; assembly: GCF_000001405.40. Taxonomy (NCBI): domain Eukaryota; kingdom Metazoa; phylum Chordata; class Mammalia; order Primates; family Hominidae; genus Homo; species Homo sapiens. The sequence continues at coordinate 106,805,461 of NC_000006.12, read as the reverse complement.
AGGATGCTGAGGCTCTTTCTGGCCTTAACTAGGGAAGAGCACTATGATTGATTACTGATGCCTGTTGGAATGTTGAAGAGGTAAGTGACAGTCTCTGTGCTACATAGCTGACATAGCTTATAATATATATTCAGCAAGTGCCAATTTTTCTCTCTTATAATGTGGCAGCATTGAGAGGGATATAAAAATGGAAAAATATGATCATTTCTCAGAAGGAGTTCACAGTCTGAGGAAAGAGAAAGAAGCCAGAGTTGGTTGAATCATCTGGTGGTGACTGCTTGGCCGTTGGGCCAGCCAGATGGTCAAAAAGAAGCCTAGTGGTTACTGGGGACATATATGACATTTTTGTTGTGATGATGTTTGCATCTCTCTGCTGCCCTGCAGTTATGGAACTGTAGATATAAAACAAGGAAGTAGGATAAGGCAGAAATGTTACCTCTTGTGATAGCTCTGGAGTCAGACAGATTTGGGTTTAATTCTAGCCCCAATATTTATTGTGTGTTATTGGAAAAGTTGCTAAGTCTCTGTAGACCATAGTTTCCTCATCCACAAAATGGGCATAATTACAGCAGCTGCTACATTAGATTGTTTTAAGGGCTGTGTGTGTGCAGCAATTTCCTCCTTCCTAAAATGGGTATGGCTATTTCTCTCCCGGAAAAGAAGTGTGCCGTATAGTTAAGGTAATGCATGCAAAGTGCTAGGAGCTTGCCTGTCACCTAACCGTGGGGTCACCATGGAGCCACAGAGGGAATTTACAAATGCAAAAGAAGCTGATTGGCCACTGGGGTTAATGCTCAGGATTCTCGGCTCTGTCCTTCCTGTTTCTCTCCAGGAATGCGGTAGTTGTTCAAGCAATAATACTCCCATCTCCATTAATTATCTTAAAAGCTAATCAGAAGATACCAGGAAATGCAGCATTCTCTGCGTGCCTAACCTTTGCTGAACTCTTAAATGCTTTTGTTTGAGAGAAAGTTGTATTAACTCAAATCTATTCAGTCTTCCAGTTTCTACCTTCTCTGTTTCACCAGAGAGTATAATTATTCTCCAGCCTGGGAGGGAGCACTTGAAAAAAGCTGGGAGAGGGGGATGGGGAATAGGGAGACTGAGGGAGAGGGTTAGTTATTTAATAGTCTGAAAGTCAATGGAATGTTTGTTTTACCATCTCATTTTGAGATTTTTCTTGTTGACATGAAGAGTTAGATTTTTTGAGGATGAAACAACAAAATTATTTAGAAGCAAAGGAGAGCAAAGACTGAGCAGGCCACGATTTAGAATATTAGCAATGACTTTTGAAGTCAGAAGGGTAGTAAGATAAATGAAGGTAGTAAGATGACTGCCTTTGTAAATCTGGCTCACTTGCAATTCTGTCTTAAACTGTGAGAACATCAGTTATGCAGCAGAGTTGAAGGCACTGGAAGGGAGTAAGGCCTTGGGCCCATGGAAGCAATGGTATCAGGTTTAACTGTCTTCTGGGCTCTTGAGGCCAATAGACCTGGCACCTACCAGTCTGGGCTCTGCCACTTTCTAGTTGTATGACATTGAGCTATATCTCTCAAAGCTTTAGTCTCCTTGACATAATAATGGTGCTATTAGTCAAGCCAGGCTAAGCCATGCTGCTATATTTCCACTCAATAATGAATAATTAATTGTAAATTCATTCAGCATTTTAGAGTTTACTATCTGAATTTCAGGAAATAATCCAAACCAGGATTCAAGCACAGGTTTGTCTACTCAAAATCCCTTTGTTGTTGTATTACATCTCACTGATCTTACAGAGGAAGTCATAGGTACCATAAACAGCTGCTGCTCAACCAGACTGAAGGCAAAGTAATTATCTTGGATAGTTCTGGTGCAGCCTTTTTGGAAAAATAAACAAAAGAAAATTTACTTATGTGACATATCCTACCAAGCACAATTTCTGGAAAGTGCTCATTACCCTTTGCTAATTGGAAAAAAAAAATCATTTTTTTTTTTTACATTGCTTAGACTTATTTTGCATAATCTAGACTCATATGGGCCTTGGGCTTGTAAAGATAAAGGCTGAGAATGTATAAGAGCACCTAAGTGGGAGGGGCACCTGGGTTCTTTCGGTCATGCAGCAGAAGCCTGGCCCTCTTCCTCTGCACCCTGCATTACTATCTAAACCCTCTCACTGTGGCCACAGGGGCCATTGCCTAGTGAGTAGAAGTGGGCACTGATCTGGCTATAGTATTGCTAAGCCAGATCTTAGCTACCCAACCCTTCTCAGCTCTTCTTTTTGCCTAACCTGCTCCAAGGCAGTGCTTTTTAGACTTTAATGTTTGTGCAGAGCTTCCAGGGATCTCGTTAAAGTGCAGATTCTGATTCAGCAGGTCTGGATTTGGGTCTGAGATTCTGAAATTGTATCAGGCTCCTGGGAGGTGCCAATGCAGCTGGTCCTCAGACCACATTTTGATTACAAAATAACATTTATCAGCTTTTCAATCCAGAGCAAATGGAGCATCTTGAAGTCTTACAGTTCTAAAAGAGACTTTAAAAAAATAATAATATAATGGCGCCAGGTGTGGTGGCTTATGTCTATAATCCCAGCACTTTGGGAGGCTAAGGTGGGTGGATCACTTGAGCCCAGGAGTTTGAGATGGGCTCGAGTGGGCAACATGATGAAACCCTGTCTCTACAAAAAATACCAAAAATTAGGAGGGTGTGGTGGTACACACTTGTCCCAGTTACTCGGGAGGCTGAGGTGAGAGGATTGCTTGAGCCTGGGAAGTCAAGGCTGCAGTGAGCCGTGATTGCACCACTGCACTCCAGCCTGGGCAATAGAGCAAGACCCTGTCTTAAAAAAAAAATAATAATACAATAATGAATTCTACCAGCCATGCACAAATAATTTACTTAAATAGTCTACTCTTTAAAGATACTCTTCTCCTCAGAGAGTGTCAGTGTACTGTGTCCTGTGCAGTCAGAGTCAGCTGCCATGCCAGGATTTTTTGCTGGACTCTTTTACCCTGTGTTTTATTTCCACATGTGCTTATATCAGTTTTTGCCTAGTGCTTCAAATGTAGGTCTCTTAGAGAGCAGTGCCTCTAATCTGATCTCCACGTTAACCCTCGGCTGCTGATGGATGGAAAATGAGCCTGGCGGAGCACTATGAGATGAAGGGCTGGTATTCTTCTGTCTGCCACTCACCGTGAGCTCTGGCCTTGGCAGCTGCCTGCAGTTGTAAAGTCTGGCTCATGAAACCATGGTTTCCTGACCAGGTCCCCTTTCCTTCACACTGGAAACAAGCTTCATCCAGCACCTGACGGGGCAGGATCTATTCACAGCTTCCTCTATCTGGTTGCTTCTGTGAGGCCATGGGCTTCAGCTGACAGCAGGCGCTCTGGAACTTTAGCCCCCCGGGTTTTCCATATTTTTGTTTCCTTCCCAGCAGAAGGCAGGAGGGCTGGATCAAGCAACCACTGTCCTACTCCTGTCAGTCAGACATTAACATCCCTTCACAGGCTAGTATGAGAAGTTCTTTTACCCACGTCCCCTTGTCCCCTCCACTTCCCCCCAGCTGTGAATAGCTGAAAGGCAGCCAGAAGTTAGAAGCCCCTCACAGAGAAATCTGCAAGATTGCTTTATGGACGTTACCCAGGTGTTACTTTCTTACTGAGTCTCAGAGCTGTAATCAAATGCCTTCTGATGATATTCATCGTGCAGATTCGGGAAGCTTTGTGGGTCTCACTGGTATCCCACAAAGGGATGGTAAAGGAAGGGTATGAAATGAATGTGCCATTTGGTCTTTATCCCCCTTGCTCGCATCTGGGTGCCATGGCAACCACCTCACTCTGGAGAGGGGTCTACCAGGGGCCTTCCTATACGTCAGCCACAGCCTTGAAGGGCTGCTTCAGGGACAAGACAATTTTAAAAGAGTTTCCCATCAATCACCAAGACCTGTCATTTTCTTCTTCAAAATGCTTTTTGCATGCAGCTCCTCCCCCGCTTTGCCCGCTTGCTGGCATCTCGATCCAGCCCTCTCACCCGCACCCCCTCTTCCTGTGCCTTGAGGCCTGCGCTCCTTCTGCACATGCTTGTAAGAAAGAGCTCCCTAAAGCATTGCTCTCCTTGGGCCGTTCCTCCACTTGGAAATCTAAAATAGCTTCACATTGCCTTGGAGATCCAGCAAGAATACTCCTGCTTGTTTCCAGGCGCTCTGCAATCTGGTGTTCCCATTGTCATTCACTTCCCATCTCTTCAGTGGTGGCTTGGGTCAGCCTGCCTTCCCTGCTCTCCTCTCCTTGAGGCGGGAATTCCAGGCCCAGGGGTGTTTCCTCACCCCGGTTTTGTTCTTCAGATACTCTCAAAGCACCTTTTCCTTGTCCTTCCTAGTGCCCTGCACAGCTGTCATGAATGTATGGGTTTCATAGGATTTTGTTTATTGTCTGGCCTCCTCAACACACTGGAGCCCTCGGAGGGCAAGGACGCTGTATGAATCTGCTTAAGGCCACCATGACAAATTCCACAGACCAGGGGGCTTTAACAGTAGAAATTAATTTTCTTGCAGTTCTGGAGGTGGGTAGTCTCAGATCAAAGGCTCAAGAAGCACGTTTGGCTTCTCCTGAGGTCTCTCTCTTTGGCTTGCAGGTGGCCTTTTCTCTGGTGTCTCTTTGTGTCTCCAAATCTCCTCTTATGATCACACCAGTTAGATTGGGTTAGGGCCGACACTAAAGGCCTCATTTTAATTTCACTGCCTCTTTAAAGGCCTTATCTCCAAATGCAGTCACATTCTGAGGTACTGGGTGATTTGGGCTTCAACATATGAATTTTGAGGAGACATAATTCGGCCCATAAGAGGCTCAATCCTCTCTGGCTCATGTACCTGCAGCACAGGTACATGTCTGGACATGGAAGGTAGGACTCAGCACAGGTTTGTGCCCGGAATGATGCCTGTCTCTGAGGTGTCCTGCTCCTCACCCGCCAGTCCTTCCAGGCTCAGGTCCAGCCCTGCCCCACATGAAAGCCCTTCTTAAGCCCTGGGCGACTTTCTTCTCAGAATTTCTCCAGTTTGCACATATGCAGTCTCATCTTGCTAACTCTTTCAGGAGTTTTAGCTTTGACCCCTTAACTAGCATAGACCACTGGGCTGTTCCTCCCACAGATCAGCCAACAAAGGGGCTGCTCTCAAACAAACTCCCCTCCCCCACGTGAATGATGCTTTTTCCCTTTGGAAGGATCTGGATCCATCATTGATTAAAATCTTCACGAGGAGGTCTTTGAGGGAGGACGGCCAGTTCCAGGGAGTGGCCCCTCTCAAAATCACCTGGCCTTCCGGAGTGAGCTGGAATCGAAGCTGAGAGTTTGGGTACTTGAATCCACAAACTATTAGGTTGGTGCAAAAGTAAATGTGGTTTTTGCATTAAGAGCAATGGCAAAGATGGCAATTACTTCTGTACCAACTTAATATGTTTCTTTTGTCCTAGAAATAATCACAGACCAAGATGAGAAACACAATCTGCTCATCAGCCTTTCCCAAATAATGGATTGAAACATTTTACTAGCTCAAAGCATTTCAAATCTGTATGGAGATTTTGTTTGGTTTCTAACCATTATTCTCTTGCCAGGCTGGGGAGCAAGTCTTCTGAGATTTAAAGAGTTAAGACTGGTTATGTCTACACATCCCCGGATAACTTAATTATTGACCCAGCTTGTAAATCATTCATAGCTTTCCAGAGATATCTATATACTTCTGCTGGCAGCAAATGAAATCCTGGGCTATTTGTGGAATGGTGGTTGGGGTCAGGGAGAGTGTGAAAAATTAAGAATAACAACACTTCCTTTCCTTCCTGAACTTTAATTGCCCCTTTAAATAAAGCCAAGGCTTTCTTCCTTTGCCACCTTCTCAGAGCACCTCAGTTAACTGCCAAGAAGGCTCTGGTTTCACTTGCCATTCTCCATGTCATGCCACTCAAGGATACTAGGTGACTTTGGTTTCATTTAGGAGTGAAGTCGCTGGGATCAGCCGTCTTGCCTGGAGTCCCCCTGGGTTACAGCCAGGGCTTTAGGAATGCAACATCTTACATTTTAGGTAACTCTTCTAATCCTGTCCCTAAGGGGCTGGATAAGAAATGATGGCTTTCAGCTGGCCTGCCAGTGAGGCATCTAGGCGGGTTTGTGGTTAACCAAGGCCACACACCCAGTGAGCAACAAGATGGGGTTTAATGGTAGCTGTGTCTGGTGGGGGCCACACCTCTGTGGTGTCTGGTGTCAGCCAGGCCTGCGTACTTTCAAATCAGAGGAGAGGTCCGGTCAGGGTTCCCAGGCTGCAGGGTCAGGTCCAACGCCTGTGAAAACAGACACCCAAATAATCAAAGACCTGCATTCCTGTGTCTAAATAGCAGCTAATCCTCACTCCTTTGAAGGAGCAGAAACCACAGGTGACAGTGAAGCCGTCAGTAGAATCAGCCACCTGGTTTGTTTGTCCCCAAGTCCTATAGTTCTCGGAGCCCAAAGGAACCTTAATAGCGTCTCAGTCCATTTTACAGACAAGAAAAATACAGGGTCAGAACACTTTTATTGCAAATTAATACAACCTGGAAAAAGGCTATTTTATTCAAACCAGAAAAGAAATTAATGTCAAGAGACTTTTTTTTTTTTTTTTTGGAGTTTCGCTCTTGTCAGCCAGGCTGGAGTGCAGCGGCGCAATCTCGGCTCACCGCAACCTCTGTCTCCCGGGTTTAAGTGATTCTCCTGTCTCAGCTTCCCAAATAGCTGGGATTACAGGCGCCCGCCACCACACCTGGCTAATTTTTGTATTTTTAGTAGAGATGGGGTTTCACTATGTTGGCTGGTCTCAAACTCCTGAACTCAGGTGATCCACTCACTTCGGGCTCCCAAAGTGCTGGGATTACGGGCATGAGCCACGGTGTCCGGCCGCAAGAGACTTTTTAAGGTAAACAGTTGAATATTTTAAATGCCAAAAGCTGATGTCGTAATTTATTAAAGCCAGAGGCAAATCTTTCTCAACTTGTTCAGTCAACACAGTCCAGTTTCTAGTCAGTTTCAGCTGAGTGTGTCTGGAAGCACATTTTCCCTCTGGGGAAAACTACTGGCCTAGCTGGGCCGCTCCTTAGGGCTTTAGAGTTGTCTCTTTGTTTTCCTTGAATGTGTAGTGGCTCATTGGTGTGGGGTGGGGAGGAATTCAGACGAGGAGATCTGCAGGGGAATTTTCAATAAGCTTTGAGTGTTTTATAGGCATCCTTGCAGACCACACTATAAGATGTGGCTTTGTGACCACCCATCCCCTTACAGAGGCTTCTAAGAGGCTGAGATTTCAAAATCAAACTTCACAGGCAGGCGGACTCAAAGCCTCGCATCAACCAGCCACACACCACCTTTCTCAACAACCTCATTTTGCACCTTTGGAGAACATCTGTTAGAATCAAGCAAACCCTTTTCCCAAATTCTACTCTTGCTTGTTACCATTTCTGGCCAGTTGTTTTTACATGTTATTTTATTTAATATTCATAAAAATCCTACAAGGTAGGTTTTATCATCTCCAATTTTCATATGAGGAAACTCAAGCTCTGCACAGGTGAGCAGCTTTCTCAAGCTGCATAATTAGTAGCATCACCAGTGTTGTCTTCATTCCATGATGCCATTTAGCAAAGCACAGTACCCTATAATTTTTAAAAAGACTCTCTTGACCCTAGTGTAGAACTCTGTTTGGATAAACAGATGACCAGAGAATGTGGCTTGTATCAGGAGACTTCACACTGCAATTTTAGAGTCCTGTACCTGTAACCTGTGTGTGCGTATGTGTATACACATTACTATTGCCATTTCTTCTTCTCATCAGTTTCCCACCAGGATGAAGTCTTTGTCTGGCTTGAGGATGAAGTCTCTATCTGAAGGCTGCAGAGCTTTGTCTGTTTGCTGGGGAGAGCTGTGGGCCTTTGAAGTATACCTCTGTGCTGAATTGTTTTGGGGCAGGGGTAGGCTTGTGGGGTAAGGGGAGAATCTTGTTTACTCACACTCACAGTCCCAGAGACTGTGCATCTTGCCCTGGCTCAACCAGTTCACAGAGGCCTGGATGAGCTTTATGCAAGAGAGGTCTTTATGGAAACACAGACGAAAAAAGCTGCCTGAACACATGCCAGAAATGCCACTTCAGGCTGTTAGGTTCTTGCTCTTCTCTCTCTGTGCGCCTTTTTGGCTTTGAGTAATTTGAAGGGGCTCCAAACCCCAGTTCCTTACCAGGCCTCTTTCCCCCACCAGTTTCAATGCTTCTGCCAAACTGAAAAGGTGAGCCCAGCAACCCTCTTTCCTCAAGCAGTCCTGCTCCATCCCAGCTACATTCTAGGTCAGGACACTAAAAACCCACCCCAGAGTGGATGTACAAGAACAATATTTTACTCAACATTTTGGCTTTTTAAAATTAAACTTAGATGAAAACTGGCTTTACAGATGTTGGAACACTGGTGTGGCCCTAAGAGCTGGCTTAGTTGGGGTTTATGAGGCTTATATGAGATGATGTTTTCCCATGCCTGAGTTAGGGTGTAGTCTTTACATGAGGGAAAAAATTCTTCTATCTGACCGTGCTGCAAATGATCTAACACTAAGTCTATTGTTCACACTGTCAAAATTAAGAAATATAATTGTATTCATGTTGGGATTTATAATTTATTATTTTATTGTTATTTTTGTTTGTCACATTTATTAATTCAAGTTTTATGTTGCCTCATCTTAACTTTAAAATGTGCTGTTGCTGGGCACAGTGGCTCACGCCTGTAATCCCAGCACTTTGGGAGGCCAATGCGGGTGGATCATCTGAGGTCAGGAGTTCGAGACTAGCCTGGTCAACATGGTGAAACCCCGTCTCTACTAAAAATACAAAAAAAATTAGTGCGCCATGGTGCTGGGCGCCTGTAATCCTAGCTACTCTGGAGGCTGAGGCAGGAGAATCGCTTGAACCCTCCGCCGGGAGGTGGAGGTTGCAGTGAGCCAAGATTGCGCCATTGCACTCCAGCCCGGGCAACAAGAGTGAAACTCTGTCCCAAAAAGACAAACTAACAAAAAATAACAAAAAATGTCCTGTTTAATAACTCATACTTACTCTCTTACGATAAGGAAATCATACGTCAACCAACAAAAGATGGTTGAAAGGTGAGTTGTTGTTTTTTTTATTTTTGTTTTTTTAGGAATGTGTGGCCGTATATTCATTTGAGCCTCTGAATTGGGCTCCCTATCCCTGGTTTTGGTGTAAATTAAGTTCCCTTATCACTGTCTGGCAGAGAGGGAGCTAAATGGAATAAAGATGGGAATGTCTGCTGGCTTCCTCCCTTTCCCAGATAACCAAAAACTCACGCTATAATGGTCTGCCAAATTTCCTCCCTTCTTTCCTCTCCCAAAGAGGACGTGTTTTTATTCCCTTTTTAATCACGGGGAGAGAGGCAATATCAACGACTATAGTCAAAGGATAGACATAAGAGAGGAAGTAAAGAGAGGAAAATGCAAGTGCGGAGCTCAGCCTAGAGAAAGCCTTCGGGAAATTGTGATGAGGGACACCTCAGAACAAATGCAGCACATATGAGTGAAATGGGTGCAGAAGAAAGGGAAATTCATAAGTGTTGCTGTATGCTCTATGTTTGCCTTCTCTTTGTGGTTTCCCAGAATCTCAAAATAAATAATTTGAGTCTTTGAAATTCCTTCTTGTGTCAGGCTGTATTCCTTGACTACCATCTTGAGACTGAACTATTTGGATCCTGCCTTTATACAGGTTATACCCCAGAAATATTCCTGTGTCCCCGCTTTTCTGAGGCTTTCTACTTCGCCCCATTCAGAGGTACAATATTATATTTCATGGCATCAGGATTTGGCTATCCTGCAGTAGATCACAGTAATTTGGATGGGTCTACAATAAGTCTAGACACAGTTCACCTCAGGGGTCACTTAATTAACCTGATGAATCCAAGAGGAACTGTTTTATTACCATGAATGAGAAATTTTCCAATTGGAGTTTGTTTAAATAATGAGGACATGTGGAATATATTCTAATTGTATTGGCTAGCTAATATCTATTAGATGAGCTTCAAAATATTTCAGGTTTGGGGGCTCGGCATGGTGGCTCATGCCTGCAATCCCAGCACTTTGGGAGGCTGAGGCAGGTGGATCACCTGAGGTCAGGAGTTTGAGACCAGCCTGGCCAACATGGCAAAACCCTGTCTCTACCAAAAATACAAAAATTAGCCAGGCATGGTGGCACATGCCTGTAATCCCAGCTACTTGGGAGGCTGAGGCAGGAGAGTCGCTTGAACCTGGGAGGCGGAGGTTACAGTGAGCGGAGATCGTGCCACTGCACTCCAGCCCGGGCGACAGAGCAAGACTCCATCTCAAAAACAAACAAACAACCCCAAATATTTCAGGTTTGTTCCATCCTCCTGTCCAGAGAATCCTAAGAAGCCTACGCTTGTCTTGTAGAAATGTAGTTAGAATTGTCTTTTAGAGGGAACAGTGATTTTGCTGGTGGCCTTTCAAATTGAATTTTTTATTAGAAGAATCTCCAATGCCATAAGCTGTCAAAAAGATGTGGCAGCATGTTTATCTATAACAGACATATCTTCAGTCATTTTTTCTCTGTGTGTTTAACTCGAGAAGTTGTATTATTTATGACTTTCAAAAATGTATTCTTGGGCAATGTTCACAGCTCAGTCGCCAAGAACATTCGTGGAGTCCCAGAGAGGTGTTCTGCTTCCCTGAGCTGCCAAAGCCTCAGAGTTGGGACTTCTCTCCCAGCCTTGTGGAAATGGTATGCTCTTAATTTCGGGGCAACTTACTAACATTTCATGATCATCCAGTTTTTCCTTTCATCCTCTCATTCACTGTTCAGATGTTTGTCACCCCAGCAAGCGGTTTGTGAATGACAAGTCTTAAGTCATGGATAAACTGGAGGCTTATTTGTGGTGGTTATAGTTTCCCTACTTCTTTTTGGACAGGAGATAGAAATTTATCTGTATTTCCTAATGTTTTCTCTGCACTCTTTTAACGATATAACTGAATTTTGTCTGTGCAAGGCCTCATGCTCCAATTCTTTGGCTTTCTCCATTATCCCTAGCATTTCCCCCTCCTACTTTCCCAACTCATCTCCTGGGGTTATATATAGCTGGGGTTATATATAGCTAGGGTTATGTTACATTTTTACCAGTCCCTCCAAAGGTCACCTAATCCAGGAAGACTCCCCTGATGACCTTAGTTTGGGTTAAAGGGATTATGCTTTTTTCCAGACTTCTTCGATGCTTATTTTGTATTCTGTGTATAACTCACTTCCCCCACCAGGTTGCAGGCTCTAGAGAGTGGTGTCTGGATGTCACCTATTCTCTTTCTCACTGGGAAGCACCATCCAGGTAGTCAAACGCAGGCGGTGACTTTGGTAGGAGCTGGGGCTGCAAGGTCCAGCCAAGATCAAGGGAGGTGACAGGGCCTGAAGGATCAAGTGAAGCCAGAGTCCACAAGGAGGACAAAGGATCAAATGCCAGGGTGTATATGGGTAGATGTGAAATCCAGGGGGCCCAAAGGCAGGGATTTGAGTCAGGTCTTCAGAACTTAGAGTCTGGAGTTTGGGAAATAAAATAAAAGTGAAAGGAGATTGGGATCAAGGCTCTGGAGGGAGGAAGGAAAATGCCTCAGCAATTTTCTTGAACCATCCTCAGTGTGTTGGAGTCCAGTTGTGGGGTAATGCATAGGACAGAGAGGTAAACAATGCATAGTTGGTTGAATAAATAAATGCTTAGACATTTACAAAGATGCTTCCTATTTGAAGAATAGGCAGGATATTTGAGTGTAAGAATTGAAGGTCAAAGTCACCTAGGATTTGTTTTCCAGGGCAGAGAATATATATTTCTGTGCACCCCCAAAGGGTATTTTAATTTCTTACTCATCATTCACCCCTTCAATCAATATGCAGTTAAAACTTGATCTTCTGTTCAATCAACAAATACAAAATTCAGTTGGTTATAGTGCCTCTGAGAAGTAATCACTACATAATTCTGTATCATTCAGGGTTTGATCAAAGATGCAGAACCAGTGTAAGTGATATAGAATAATGGATGGCAGAGTCCTAGTTTTGCCATGAGGGAGCTGGGGGGAGGCGATCTATGCCCATCATTGCCCCTGTGGTGTCTACTGTTGACCTGAAGTCCTATGGGTCAGATAGAGAGACAGTTGGAATGGGAGCTGGGTGTGGATAAGAAGAAGGACAAACACGACACCACAAAGACGAAATGGAACCCACGAAGATAATTAGAAACCACGAAGACAGACCAACTGGAACCAGGTATCCCTCTCCCATCCACTCCAGCCTCAATTCTGCATGACCTGCTGGAGAAGCTGGAGCCCTTCGCCATGGAGCTGCACTATCACCTGGCCCAGGACTCAGAGAAACAGATGGAGGAGATCTGGCAGGAGCTGGAGGAGCTGTGGGTCTGGGCACACACACCACATCAGTGACAACGTTTGCCAGCTGCCACAGCACCTGCTGCCCTGCTGCTACATTCAGGGCATAGGAAATATGGCCACTGCTCCATGCCCACCTTCCAAGTCTGATGGAAAATATGTCTTGTCGCCAACCATAACCTAGAACTACACAGGGAAGGGAATTCTTGAAAACACAGGTTTTGTTAAGCTCAGTTGTCATGGTACAAAGCCACCACAGTCTATTCCTTGTAAACTTGGCATTCACACGCACTTCTTTTAACCATGTTTAACTTCCCAATAAAGACAATAGCAACATTATGCTTTTGCCTAACATGATGCAACTCTCCTTGCACTGCCTAAAACATGATATTCTCTTCTGCAAAGAGGTTTTAAGTCTCTCTATCTATCTTTGGGTGATGTTAATCCTCCTGTAGCCAAGTCACATTTCCCCTTTGCTATTCTGTAACTTAAATACTGAGATACAGGTTAATTACCATGAACACATCTTATGTTAGATGGTAGGTGACTAAGAGAAGGTAATTACCTTCTTTAGACAATCAAATATTTTTGACCAAAGCTAGACTCAGTAAAACTTTTATTTTGAATTAAATTATGAACCTACAAACCTGAGGACTTCTTTCCTGAGAGCTTAGGTTGGCTATTTCATCTGTTTTTAATGCTGTCAAATTTATCCTGAGAGGAGTCAGGCACCTCAGCCAAGCCTAAACTGTGATCCTGCAATGTAGCTTGGTCTATCTGATGAGCTTATATGTGGTGAACCCCCTGTGCATCTGTTTATCCAGGAAAACCAAAATTGTGCTGAAGAAGCTTTGAACAAGATCGCACCACTGCACTCCAGCCTGGGTGACAGAGCAGGACTCCATCTCAAAAAAAAAAAAAAAAAAAAAAAGAAGCTTTGAACAGAGGCCCCAGGGGGACACAGGTTTAGAGATTAGGAGGAAAGACAATGTCTGCCCAGCCCAGTCCCAGGGTTTGGATCTGACCTTCGAAAACAAGGCAACTGCAGTCAGAACGGGTAGGGGATGTATGGTTTGGGCAGATGCAATCTGCTTTGGGTCTCATGTGGCCAAATGCAACATAGAGCTGGGGAATGGGCAGTCTCCCCATTTCTTACAGAACATCCTGTGTAATTGACACACACTGTAGCTCCATTTGGCATACCTGACGTGTCTCAGCTTCGCGGGAACGTGGAGGTAGTATCCTGGGCAGGAGGGCACAGGCCTTTAGGAGATTGATGACAAAGGGGCAGCCCCTGGCCTCCCTGGTGGCTTGCAGGAAGCAACAACGTCAAACAGGCTGGAGTGGGAAAACATGTCTGAGATTTCTCTGAGACACTTCGTGGGGACTAAAAATAACCGGGGGGCAAGGATAAAGGAGGGGCAAGAAGGGAGGTGAGGAAGCACAAGGACCTCGGTGCTGATGGAACCGTTCTGTATCGTGATTGTGGTGGTGGTCACACGCATCTACACAGGCGATAAAATGGTACAGGGACACACACACACAAACACACACACAAATGACAGCATGCAAAACTGATGAACTCTGTGGGTTGCACCAGTATCAATGTTCTGATTTTGTACTGGATGTTAGCATTGAGGGAAACTAAAAGTACACAGGACATTAAGTCAAGGAAAAACAATAATAGTAATTATTATTTTAATTAGTTAATAATTTAATTAATAACTAAAAATATTAATTCTATTAATATTTACTGAAAGCTAACAATACGTTAGGTCCTTCACTTTTTTTTCCTGTTTAATCCTTACGACACTCTTATGAAATAGATGTTGGTATTACCTATTTTTATAGACAAGGAAATTGAGTCCAAGTCATGTGAAGGTCACTCAACTAGGCTGTCTGAGTCAGAGCCCGGACTTCTAACATTGAAGTCCTCAAGGAAAAGGTTTAGATTGCAGTGACATGGGGGATAGGGTGGAATACAAAATTCAGCACGAAGGACTTCTGAGCAGTTCTGTGCGGGAGTGAGTGGAGCTTGCTGGCCGGGTGAAGTGCTCCACAGTGGGGCAGTTCTCAGAGCAGACTGGACAGACACGATCTGTCACGGCCCTGTCTTTTGGTTCCAGGCTACATCCACCTCTTAAATGACTTGGGCTTTCTCATCTGTACAAAGGGGAAAATAAGTTTTATCTCATGGGTTGTTGATAGAATTGCAAGAGGTATAACAAAGGGTTCCAAACCTTCAGCCTCCTGGAAGTCACACTTTCTTTAATATCCACATCGAATGGCTCAAGCCTCCATCCGAAATTACATGGGGAATCGCATTTCCCCTCAGCATTTTCAAAGATTCCCCAGGGCCTTCGCATTTGCAGAGCCTGCCTTTCCCTCCCATTCCTGCTCAGACCCAATTCTCGGTTGCCCAGTGTGGTCTTGGGCCCAGTGTTTGCCCATCAAAGCCACTGTCCTCTCTCCACACTGCTTCCTCCGTGCCGGACTTTGCTCCCTCCTTTTATTCTCCAAGCAACACCTACATCTGTTCACAAATGTTATGGTGGGTAGTGCTGGCACATTTGGCTGACTTTCACTGAAGATTTGGGGTAGCAGAAGAAAATTACAGTTCTACCTAATGCAGCACAAAAACATGCCAAGTCACACTAGACAAACTCTTACAAATTTCTAACAGGTTGTTTTAAGTACCAAAACCTCCTTCCTTTTTCTCTGGAAAGCCCCTTCTCTCTTCAATAACCATCCTCTTTCTTCAAGTGCTAGGGCCAATTTGGCAACCCTCCATCATTTTATTATGCTGAGTAGTCCAGCTCTTTTTAATTTTTTTTCTGTCTTCCAGACCAGGTCCTGGGGACCACCCTTCCTAAAGCAAAAGGGGAGGGATGCATCCGTCATTTTCCTCTGTGCTTTGGCCTGTGTGACCATGGGACAGTTATAGAGCCATGGTGAGCCTCCATTTACTTGTCTGCTATTTACTTGTCTACTTTGGAAGTGGAGAGTAACAGTACTTAAACCCCAGGATTATTGTAAAGATACAGTGAACATAAATCACTTAGACTGCACCAGAGCTTAGTGTCTGTTTATTCGTATGATTTCTCTGACTTTCACAACTTCTGGAGACATCCAACCTTGTTTCTCCTCTTGTTAGATAGTGAGAGTTTCTGCTGTTCCTGTCCTCCTGGACAGAGGGAGGTAAGTACTGTCCATCAGGGCACATTCTTGAAGTCTTTGCCTCTGCTGCGGGTGGTCCCTTTTTTTGATGTAGACGGCAGGAAAGAGTCTCAGTGTCCTGAAAGTGACCAGGCCTAGCCCTGCCCAGGACAAGAAGGTAGAAAGTGGAGGCCACAGTTGCTGTGGTCTGTTGATGAAGTGTTTGAATTGTATATTGACCCCACAGGAAATTAGATCATAGACAGTCACATGGCCCTGGAGACTTGGAGTAAGAACTGATGAGGGAGGCTCAAATGTTTGATGCATGGTTTCCTTTGAGAACAACTGGGAGGGAGTGGAAGGAATGGAATGGCATAGAAGCAAGGAAATGGATTTTAACAGTAGGATTTAAAGTGTCTATGACTATTGAAGTGTGTTGTGGATGAGATTTGGTGCATATGAATAAATACAAAGAGATGCTGTTCAGGGCCTTATGTAAGCAAGAATGGAACAGAGGGAGAGGGAGAGCTCAGCAGCCTTGCTGAGGCAATGGAGGCATGTGCACCAGAGCCAGGGCCAAGTGTGGCAAAATCTACTAAAGGTTCTTCAGAGGCTAGCCCACAATAGGATGGCCCCTGAAGTCCAGTAAATCTTGGTGTTCCACTCACCCCCTCCCCTGATGCGAGGTGCAGCTCCCTCTTTCCCCAGGGGCCCTTCCTCTTGACTGCCTCCCCCAGGATAGGGGGATGGCTATGCCCTGCTGGTTCCTGACCTTCTCCTGCTCCGTTGGAGACCATTATGCTTAAGCATTGATTATCTGTGTCCAGTCAGTGTTTTGCAGCATTCCTGGTGCAAATGGCCTGCCTGTGTGCTGAAGTGGAAGGAAAGGGCTCTTAGGGGCACATTCTGTGGTCCAGGAGGACACAGAGCTGACCTTATCTCTAGCTATTGGCCATCTGTGTTCCCTGGAGCAACAGAACACCAGGTGCAGAGCCCCAACATGGGGATGGAGCTTGGAAACCTGGCTGGAAACAGAAATGGAGCTACCCTGTTAGGTGGGGGACTTGGGCAGGAGAGTGAAAAGGCTCCTGTTTCTAGTGGGCGGAGAGTCTGGGGGTAGGGGTCTGGGTTCTCTCAGATGGCCTGTAGAAGAAGGGAAGATGCTGCAGAGAGGAAAAAGCCCCCATAAGGGACCAGATGCTGCACCCCCAGGTCCTATTTGATTTAGGGAATGAAGGAGGGAGGAGAAAAGAAAGAAGAAGAGGGGGAAGGAAGCTGCAGACTACTTGTTCTGGGCTAGACGCCATGCTGGGCTCCAAGAAGAGGTACAAAACACTGCATGGCACCCAGCACGTACAAGTCCCTTGGTCAGTACAGCTGTTATCATTACGAGTGACGTTACTGCTTAATTCTAACAACACCACCATAAGGCAGGTATTATTATACTATCTCTATTTTGTGGATGACAAAATTGAGGTTCAGAAAAGAGAAGCAATTGGTGTAGGGGGTTGAAAATTGAAACACAGCGTATCTGACTCCAACGCCTGTGTGTCCAAGCCCTGTGATAGGGAAAGATGTAGGTGTTCCACAGTACCTGGCAAGGCAACAACTGGCGATGGTAAAGGGCCAGTATGGAGTGGGGTTGGGTGAGGGTAGGGGAGTTAGGGAGGGAAAGAAGCCCTCTCCCTTGAAAAGTTCCCCAGGGCTGGGCTGCCGTGCAAAGCCACTCGCCAGGAAGTATGGGACCAACGGAGGCCAGAGGCAAGACTCTCCTGGCTGCCCCACAGGCTTAGAGCTGGGAGGCAGGTGCTGCGTGCCAGCAGGAAGAGCAGCCACTAGAAGAGAGAGAAGTAGCCCTGGCACCTGGGGGAGCCATACCTGGGATGGACAAAGGTAGGCATGGCTGCTGAGCCTGCACTGAGTAGATGGTCCTGGATGCTCCGGCAGGTGTGGTGCGGCTTGGTTTCCAGCAATCTTGCTGGTGGGTGTTCAGCCACTGACTGTATGTGTATATCTTTGTCATTGTTGTTATCAGTATTATGGTGATGACTTTCTCTGACTTTTATGCATTTAGGCTAAAGGAACCTGGAAAAACACATGAATCAAAATAAAAGTTGATTCACCTTTCCAGGGCAGAGTTACAAGCGTCAAAACTCTCAGGCGAGATCTGCCAGTGACGTTCTGACCGCATGCCTCTCTGCAAGGAAAGTGGTATGTGTTGTTTTTTCCAGCAGTGGAAATACAAATGATTAACTCTGGAAACCATGGCTGTTTCACTGATAACTAATTTGTTTGCTGATAAATGATTACCCAGGAGCCAGAATAGAGACCCAAAAGTCAAACTGCAAAAATTATTAAGTTCCCTCTGTATGCAGAATATTGTGCAACATGGTTATGGGTACTACAGTGGATGTGAGTGTGTAGACCTTGTACAATAGAGCTTATAGGCTAATGAGAAGACAGGAAGAAACAACAGGAACACATATAGCTGGAATGCAGATGGGATCTGTGCTACTTACGCTAGCCATGGGATGATTAGAACAAGATAAGAGACATGAGGAAGACTTCTTCAAGGAGGTGCTCAAGCCATGTTTTGGAAAAGAGAACTCAAGGTCTGGCAGGGAGAAAGGAGCAAGGTAACCAGGGGAAGTCTTGGAGGAGAGCAAGATGATGCTGAAACTGCCCTCACTGTTGGTTTTAATGTTGTTCTTGTCTTACTGGTCGATTCAGAGCATTCACGGTGCAAGAGAGATAGGGACATTTGATTTAAGAAATAGAGCAGAATCTCCTCAAATTAAATCAGAATTTTTGATGGAGTAGAGGTCAGAGCTATGTTTTGGAAGTGTTTGGGAAATTGTTAGTTTTGTTCCCAGGATCTGATGCTTTTGTGGTTGAATATTCCATGTGAATGTTTTCTCTGCCCATGCAAATAGTAGGTCTCCCAGACAAATATCTCAGTGGTGCCAGCACTTCATTTTCCAAATGTAGGAGGATCTTTCTAATACTTCCTTTGTGGGGAACATGAAACTGTTGGAGGCTTGTAATCATATCTATATTTTAAAGAAAGATTTTTTTTATCAACAGGCTATATGGAAATATATTCAAAACTGTTAGTATTATGGTTGGATATTAATTTTGAAGTATTATATAGTTTTTTTCCTCCTGTATTTCTTTCTTAACCCTCTCACCTACTTCTCTTCTTGTTTTTATTATTTATTTATTTATTTATTTTGAGGCAGAGTCTCACTCTGTTGCCCAGGCTGGAGTGCAGTGGCATGGTCTCCACTCACTGCAACCTCCATCTCCCAGGTTCAAGTGATTCTCTTGCCTCAGCCTCCCAAGTATTTGGGGTTACAGGCATGTGCCACCACACCCAGCTAATGTTTGTATTTTTAGTAGAGACAGGGTTTTGCCATGTTCTCCAGGCTGGTCTCGAATCCCTGACCTCAGGTGATCCCCCCGCCTCGGCCTCCCAAAGTACTTCTTGCTTTTTTGAGCAAGGTTACTCTGTCCTCATTGTCTTAGTGAAGGGATAGTCAACAGGGGACAGAGATATAGAAGCCCATTTTCCTGGCTTTTGAGTTTTTAAAGCCCTTGTGTGTAAAGGAAGGACTCTGACTTATACAAGAGATTTAGGAGAATATGTGGTGCTCCACTTGAAGCTCCCTGTCTCCAGTATCTGGGGACTTGGTGTGGGGGAGGTGGGTCACAGAGAAAGTAAGAACTGTATATTCATTAGGGAATTCTTGAATGTGGTATTGTGTGTCCTGGGTGAATGGGAATGGAACCCACTGATTAGCTTGTCGACATTTCTGTAGACTAAGATTTGTACCTGCAACTGTCTAGTGCTAAATGGTAAATATTTTTCTTCCAGTTGATTTGCCTGGGGTTCTCATTAACTTTCTAGAAGATTTTGGATAGAACTCTTGGATATTTAATGTCACAAATTTTAGTTTTGATCTTGCCTCTTGGGCTCAATGTTGCATTCCTGTAACTCTCCAAATTACCGAAAAACAATTATTGGAATAACCCAAGTTTACATGAAAAGTAAACACAGCAAAGAGCTGGAAAAACAGCATGTGATGGGTCATGGCCAGATTTGCCCATGGAAAGCCCCTAAGTGGATGTAAGTAGAAAATTCTTAGGTCCTGTAACATAAGTGCAGATAAAGGGAAGTTGCTTAATATGGAGCACCAGCACAGAAAAGAAGAATGATTTTACGTAAACATTGTGCAGTAAGTCTCTTAGAACCCCAAACCTGGGGCATAGGCCTAGGGGATGTGGTTTATTGGGTTAAAGAAGGATTGTCTGAAACGGTGATATACATCATCCTAGGGGCTGGCATGCCCTTTCTGGAGGGGAGAGGAGCCTTTGTTCTGGGCTTCTGGAGTCTTGTAGATTCCTCATCCTGAGAGCTGCTGCCCACAGCCACCACCCCACGTAGGTGTATCCAGTTTAGAAACAAAAGGGGGACTCTGGCAGGCTGGCTGCTATGCTGTATTTGTGGTCATTATTACTATTATTATTATTATTATTATTTTTTTTTTTTTGAGATGGAGTTTCGCTTTTGTTGGCCCAGGCTAGAGTGCAATGGTGCGATCTCAGTTCATCGCAACCGCTGCCTCCTGGGTTCAAGCAATTCATCTGCCTCAGCCTCCTGAGTACCTGGGATTACAGGCATGCGCCACCACGCCCCGCCAATTTTGTATTTTTAGTAGAGACGAGGTTTCTCCATGTTGGTCAGGCTGGTCTCGAACTCCCAATCTCAAGTGATCTGCCCACCTCAGCCTCCCAAAGTGCTGGGATTATAGGCATGAGCCACTGCACCCGGCCTTGTGGTCATTATTTTTAAATACTGTAGTATAAGTAATGGAATATGTGTGTAAACCAATTAATCCTAATCTGCTTTTACTCTTTAGGGTTGATTAATTAATGGATAACACAAAAAAGTGAACTCTAGTCTGTGTCAACAACTGAGTTTCCTTTATTTGCACACAAAAGTGTTAAAAGTAATTGTTGATTTGGCAAACCAGCAGATTTTTTTTTGTTTGGTTAGGAGTAATCTAATGGGACTAATTGTCTTGTGTGAATAAGGGATAAAAATGATCAAGCCCAATAATTATGCCATCTGTGTAGGGCTGGGAGTCTAGAGCCCACTGGTGTGACATCTCCAAGGATAAGACCACTCTCCCCTTGCCCCCCACCATCTAACCATAGGAAACCAGTCTTTGCGTTTGCTTCAAAAACTTGTCTCCAACATTTGCAGGCTGGGGCAAGAGTGCAAATGGAGACCCACATAGCATATGTTTAAACATCTAAAAGCTATAAATCCAGCTAAGAAACCATAATATAGAACATACTCTATCCTCTTGCCTTGAAAAATATATATTCAGAGGGACCTAGAATATCAAGTTTGGATATAGAATTCTTCAACTCAGAGTTCCATCTGCTTGTCCCAGTGTCTCCGTTCTCTGTCTGCTCCCAGCTCCATCCCTCATCCCATATTAAAGACACCCCAGTCTGCATAGCCCATTCTTTATAAATGGCTGCCTGGTGGCCTAGGGATGAGGACAGCCATGAGACAGATGATCCTCAGGACTCAGACCCCCTGAAGAGGCCTGAAGTGAGTTCAGGGCCCTTGGGATCCTGGGCACCAAAGAGTGGTTTAGGTGGGATATGGGATGGGCTTTCCACTGGTGATGAGTCACAGGTGCAGACACATTCCCTGAGCCCTGTGACTCATCACCTATGGAAAGAGGGTGCATAGGAGGGGCAGAAAGAGACCTTTTAAAGGACAGCAACTCTCTCTTGCCTGGGTATTTCTGCTGTTTTTTTTGGGGGGAGCCGGAGGTTGCAAGGAGAGAGATAGAGAGAGAGAGAGAGAGAGACCTCTCCTCTTAGCAAGGTTTTAAAAGATTAATATAATCTGGTATCTAACAAAGATCCCTGCATTTGATGAAATGTGGTCTGAGCTGAGACTTGCATTTATTGCAACAGCTCCACTTGGTAGCAAGCTAATCAGGGTGGGGACCTACAGTCTCTACTTGTGTCCAACCACAGGAGGTGACTGATATTTTTTATGGTGAGATCATGGCTTACTGATGCAGAATCAAGCATGCCCCAAGAGTTCTGTTTGCATCTGTTCACCTCCTCACTGGACCTGACACATGCTGAATGATTAGTTGGGTGTAGTAAGAGCGTCTGTTTCTCCTTGCACATTTGAAAATGAAGTTCTCAAGTAGGTAGTGTAAAGTCATGAATCTAATTCATAGTTCCTCTCTCTCAGTCTACCATGCACCCTTCAGCAAGCACTCTCTTCCCACTGGTCTTTGAGCCTCATTCAGCCCCAGCTGGTGAGTTGAGGAAATAAGCCTAGGTGAATGTGAGCTCTGATAATCCAAGGGCTTTCAGAAAACCACAACAAGCCAGGAAAACTACCAAGTTTTCCATGGAGGCAGCAGGGAAAGGGAGGAGGAGGGTCTGAGTGTCTGCCAGATTCTAGACTCAACTTTGCTGAGGATTTACCCGTGAATTTGTACAAATCTCTTCCGTCTTTCTTTCTCAGTTTCATCTGTCTAAAATGATGAGTGTGAATTAAATGGCCTAAAGTCCCTCCTAGTGCCAAAACTCTTGGGTTATTTGGCTCTCATTGGCTACAGTGCCTTCTAATGTAAGCAAATGTAAAATTCCCTCTTCCCTCTTCAGCGCAAATGGACTTCATTCTCAAGGCACAATGGGGAGCCTGTATCCTGGAGGGCCCTAAGAAAGGAGCCAAGTCCATTGGCTGTGAGTCGACAGGGACAGGAGTCCTTCTACCAATCTCTGTGTGGCTGGCCCAGACCGCCTGCTCAGCCAGGCAGTGCTCCTGTAAAAGCAGAATAATTTTCATTCCCCTCACATTAGTTTAAGCGAGG
Source organism: Homo sapiens (assembly GCF_000001405.40). Taxonomy (NCBI): domain Eukaryota; kingdom Metazoa; phylum Chordata; class Mammalia; order Primates; family Hominidae; genus Homo; species Homo sapiens. Next base: position 106,782,980 of record NC_000006.12, on the reverse strand, counting down.
ATTCACTTTTGTGTCTGCATGTCAGTTGATACTCAGCGGATCGCGTGGTTTATAGCTGGACTGATATCGTTTAAATCTGGAACTCTTTTCCTCTGGCCTCAATAACCCAAGCGACTTGTATGCTTTTCCTCAGCTCCCTCCCTTTTCAGGAAAAGTGATAAAGAGGTCAAAGAGAACACAGTGAGAGGGGGAAGTTGCTGGAGCAAGCTTTCCCCAGCTGTAATGTTCTCTCAGACGTCAAGGTTGTACCCTGTTCTTAGAGGTTGTTCCAGATCTTAGATAGTCACTATGCCCAGAGGTAAATACAGCTGGGGCAGCAGCCAGAGGGAATGATCCTCCAGCTGCCCGCTGCTGTCCTTAAGTGTGGCTGTCATGAGACGCACAAGTTTGCAGGGAAGACTGAGTGCCTAGATTGCGGGAAGAAAGATAAAATTCCTCAGCCTTGTTTACGTCCTAAATTGGTAGTCTGACTTGGTGAGCTATAGATTATAAGGAGGTTGCTTTGCAGACTGTGAGGAGTCACCGAGCAGCTATTCAATGGCAGAGGTGAGCCTGGCATCGTGGTGGCCCCTTCTCATCCAGGGGCTCGCCCACCTTCCTCTCTTCCTCATGTCCACTTTGGTTCTCCTGCCTGATGCTCTTTCCCTCCCTCGGCCGCCTAGGTCAGCTCAGGCCCCACAAGTGTTTCTCATCATGACACCTCTCTTCCCTGGAACCCACCCCTACGTTCCTGCTTCCTGCCTGTGAGTATGTTAGGGTGCTGTCAGCAGGACTGTGGGGTGGAGATGCCTGACGCCTCTCACCTGAAGATAAGAGGTGAGCAGGCAAAGTGCCTGAGTCTGTCTGTTCTGCTATAGCAAAATACCTGAGACTATATTGGGGTAAATTTTTTTTTTTTTTTTTTTACTTTTGGATAAAATGTTTGTGTAATATCAAGAAAAAATGGCCCTGCAGTGATTTGTCTTTGGGGGAGGAGGGGGAACTTGCAGGGGAGAAAGATTGTGGTTCAGAAGAAAATTATAGTGTTAGATTAACCTTGGATTCCTGGGTAGCCAGGTGTTCAGCCATGGTATGGAGCTGCCCACAATGCCCCTCCTCAGCATGAAGCAGCCAAAAAGATTGATGACCAGATTCCTCATGATGGAGAACTGAATTAATCTGTTTTCTCGCTGCTGATAAAGACATACCTGAGACTGAGAAATTTACAAAAGAAAGAGGTTTAAGAGACTTACAGTTCCACATGACTGGGAGGCTTCACAATCATGGCAGAAGGCAAGGAGGAGCAAGTCATGTCTTACATGGATGGCAGCAGGCAAAGAGAGAGTTTGTGCAAGGGAACTCCTCTTTATAAAACCATCATATCTCATGAGGCTTATTCACTATCATGAGAACAGCACGGGAAAGACTTGCCCCCATGATTCAGTTACCTTCCACTGGGTCCCTTCCACAACATGTGGGAATTCAAGATGAGATTTGGGTGGGTACACAGCCAAACCATATCATTCTGCACCTGGCCCCTCCCAAATCTCATGTCCTCACATTTCAAAACCAATCATGTCTTTCCAGCAGTCCCCCAGAGTCTTAACTCAGTTCAACATTAACTGAAAAGTCCACAGTCCAAAGTCTTATCCAAGACAAGGCAAGTCTCTTCCACTTATGAGCCTGTAAAATCAAAAGCAAGTTAGTTACTTCCTAGACACAATAGGGTAAAGGCATTGGGTAAATAAAGCCATTCCAAATGGGAGAAATTGGCCACAACAAAGGGGCTACAGGCCCCATACAAGTCTGAAATCCAGCGGGGCAGTTAAAGCTTAAAGTTTCAAAATGATCTCCTTTGACTCCACATCTCACATCCAGGGCATGCTGATGCAAGTGGTGGGTTCCCATGGTCTTGGGCAGCTCCACCCCTGGGGCTTTGCAGGGTACAGCCTCCCTCCTGGCTGCCTTCATGGCTGGCATTGGGTGTCTGCAGCTTTTCCAAGCACACGATGCAAACTGTCAGTGCAGCTACCATTCTGGGGTCTGGAGGATGGTGGCCCTCTTCTCACAGCTCCACTAGGCAGTGCCCCAGTAGGGACTCTGTGTGGGGACTCTGACCCCACATTTCCCTTCTATACTGCCCTAGCAGAGGTTCTCCATGAGGGCCCCACCTCTGCAGCAAACTACTGCCTGGGAACCCAGACATTTCCATACATTTCCTGAAATCTAGGCAGAAGTTCCCAAACCTCTGTTCTTGACTTCTGTGCACTTGCAGACTCAATACCACATGGAAGTTGCCAAGGCTTGGGGCTTGCACCCTCTGAAGCCATGGCCCGAGCTGTACATTGGCCCCTTTTAGTCATGGCTGGAGCAGCTGGGACACAGGCACCAAGTCCCTAGAATGCACACAGCAGAAGGACCCTGGGCCCAGACCATGAAACCATTTTTTCCTCATAAACCTCCAGGCCTGTGATGGGAGGGGCTGCTGCAAAGGTCTCTAACATGCCCTGGAGACATTTTTCCCATTGCCTTGGGGATTAACATTCGGCTCCTTGTTACTTATGCAAATTTCTGCAGCTGGCTTGAATTTCTTCTCACAAAATGGAATTATCTTTTCTATCGCATTGTTAGGCTGCAAATTTTCCAAACTTTTATGCTGTGCTTCCCTTATAAAACTAAATGCCTTTAATGCTACCCAAGTCACCTCTTGAAAGCTTTGCTGCTTAGAAATTTCTTCCACCAGGTGCCCTAAATCATCTCTCTCAAGTTTAAAGTTCCACAAATCTCTAGGGCAGGGGCAAGATGCCACCAGTCTCTTTGCTAAAACATAGCAAGAGTCACCTTTGCTCCAATTCCCAACAAGTTCCTTATCTCCATCTGAGACCACCTCAGCCTGGATTTCCTGTCCATATCATCAGCATTTTGGAAAAAGCCATTCAACAAGTCTCTAGGGAGTTTCAGACTTTCCTATATTTTCCTGTCTTCTTCTCCATACTGTGCCGACCTCTGTCAAAGTTGCTTCCATATTTTTCCAAAGTTGCTTCTATATTTTTGGGTATCTTTTCAACAGATCCCCACTCTATTGGTACCAATTTACTGTATTAGTCTGTTCTCACACTGCAGATAAAACATACCTGAGACTGAGCAATTTGCAAAAGAAAGAGGCTTAATGGACTTACAGTTCCACATGGCTGGGGAGGCCTCATGATCATGGCAGAAGGCAAGGAGGAGCAAGTCATGTCTTACATGGATGGCAGCAGGCAAAGAAAGAGAACTTATGCAGGGGAACTCCTCTTTATATACCCATCAGATCTTGTGAGGCTTATTCACTATCATGAGAACAGCATGGGAAAGACTTGCCCCCATGATTCAGTTATATCCCACTGGGTCCCTCCTGCAACATGTGGGAATTCAAGATGAGAGGTGGGGACACAGCCAAACCATATCAAGGACTGATAAGTAGAAAGAGGGGTGGAGGACTAAAACCAGCCCAATTGTCCCATAGAACTGATGTTTTTGGTTTCTTTGAATAAACATAGAAATTGATCCTCCCAGTCTTAAAACTTGAGAAAGTTACATTTGTCTTATATGAGTTTCTTTCTCAGGAAACCAACCATCAACCCTCCCAGATAGTGGCAAGGAACTAAAACTTACCAGATCATAGCATCTGGACAGTGAGACACCAGAGCCCCTCACCTATCATGACTGCCTAACTGGCCACCTGCTTCTTGTTGACCAACTCCTCTTCCTTACCCCTCTTGAGCTCCTATTTTCCCACACATGGCTTCATTTCTTCCCTGCTATATAAACTCTTCATTTTAGTCAGTCGGGGAAATGGATTTGAGACTGATCTCCCATCTCCTGGGCTGTAGCACCCAATTAAAGCCTTCTTCCCTGGCAATACTCTTTGTCTCAGCGATTGGCTTTTTGTGTGGCAAGCAGCAGGACCTAGACTGAACCTCTGGCATTTTGGTAACAGACATGGGTATATTATGTGATGCTGAGGTTTAGGGTATGATTGATTCCATCACCCAGGTAGTGAGCATATTACCCAATGGTTAGTTTTTCAACCCTTGTGGTCTCCCTTCCTTCTCCCACTAGTAGTCCTCGGTGTCTATTGTTGCCATCTTTGTGTCCATGAGAACCCAACGTTTAGCTCCCACTTACAAGTGAGGACATCAGTATTTGGTTTTCTATTCCTGCATTAATTTGCTTAGGATGATGGACTCCAGCTGTATCCATGTTGCTGTAAAGGACATAATTTCATTCTTTTTTATGGTTGTGCAAATATCACTTACAATTTGTAAATGAAGAAAATGGGCTGGGTGTGGTGGCTCACACCTGTAATCCCAACACTTTGGGAGCCCGAGGCAGGAGGATCGCTTCAGCCCAAAAGTTTGAGACCAGTCTGGGCAACATAGTGAGACCCCATCTCTAAAATAAATAAATAAACTAATAATGATTCCATACTCTGTCATGACAATTTAACTTAGCTAGGTCATCTTACACTAAATATGGACAATTTTAATGGTTATCTTGTATAACATTACTCACTAGCAGTTGATGCAGGTGGAGAATATTTAGCTGAAAGACTTAAAAATGCTTTATTCTTGGCTACTGAAAGTGTGGTTCATGTATCAACAGCATCAGCATCACCTGAGAGTTGTTAAAGTGCAGACTCTCAGATCCTACTCAGACCTGACAAATCAAAATCTGCATCCTAACCAGATTCCCCAGGTGATTTGTAGGCACATTGAAGTTTGAAAAGCAAATTGGCCACCTATCAGAATGACCTGATATACTTTAAAATCTAGTTACCTGGGCTCCATTCCCAAAGTTTGTTTCAACAAGTTTGAAGCAGAGCCCAGTGAACTATGTATTTTTAAAAAATATCCTCCAAAACAGACAAGTTTGGGAACCATCACTCTAGCCCTTCCTCTCTATTCTGCTGATGAAGAAAATGAGGCACAGTGTGGTGAAATGATCTCATCAAATAACAGCAGGTTAAAATCCAGGCTGGGCACAGTGGAGGATCACTTGAGCCTAGGAGTTCGAGGCCAGCCTGAGCAACATGGCAAGACCCCCATCTCTATTAAAAAAAAAAAAAAGCCAGGCATGGTGGTGCACACCTGTGGTCCCAGCTACTTGGGAGGCTGAGGTGGAAAGATTGCTTGAGCCCAGAACGTTGAGGCTGCACTGAGCCATGTTCATATCACTGTACTCCAGCCTGGGCAACAGAGCAAGACCATCTCAAAATAAAATAAAGTAAAATACTATAAAATACAGATCCCCTGACTATTAGACCAATTTAGCCTACACACACACACACACACACACACACACACACACACACAATCATCTTATTATATACAGTTGAAAAGACTGTGCTTATGGAATTTGTTCCAAGAAACAGAAGGGATTTTGCTTGACACAAACTGGAGCTTGGCAGCAATATGAAGAAATTTGAGGACTTGAGACTGGTTCTCAAGAAGCGTACATTCAATGGGGCAAAGAAGATACTGGGCAATCCAATAAATAAAAACAAATATAAGGAAAGGAACTCATGAATGCCTTTGCCACTCCACACTCATCTGTGTTGGAATTGTTTCCTTCTCTACAATCCCACAGAATTTTGTTTCTGTTTCCCCTGTGGACTACTTCCAGCCTCCATATCAAAATTCTTTATGTGTTGAGCTTTGTGCCTGGCCCATGAGTAACAAAGTACCAAACTCTTTCTTAAAGACCTTTGTCACCAGCCTATCAGTGCTTTGCACATAGTAGGACCTTATCAAGAGCATTTGGGGAGAGGATGGAGTGGTATTCACATAGTCATATGATCAATTACTTATTGTTCAATATGTATGCTATGGACTAAATGTTTGTGCCCTCCCCCAGAATTTATATGTTGAAGTCCTAATTCCCAATATGATAATATTTGCAGTTGGGGCCTTTGGGAGGCATTTAGGTTTAGATTAGGTCATGAGAGGTGGGGGCCGTATGATGGGATTCATGTCCTTATAAGAAGAAGAGACCAGAGCCCCCTCTCTCTGCCATGTAAGGGCCCTGCAAGAAGGCAGTTATCTGCACACCAGGAAGAGGGCCCTCACCAGACAATGAATCTACTGGCACCCCCTTAGGCTTCTCAGCTTCCAGAATGGTGAGAAATAAATGTTTGTTGTTTAAGCCGCTCAGTCAGTGGTATTTTGCTATGGCAGTCCAAACAGACTAAGATAATATGCATTACACTGAACTAAGTGGTGAGTAGAATACCAAGTTTATAAAACTCAGTCCCACCCTAAGGATACTTGTGTGTGTGTGTGTGTGTGTGTGTGTGTGTGTGTGTGTGTGTGTGTTAGAGGCAGGGTCTTGCTATGTTGCCCAGGCTTGTCTCAAATTCCTGGGCTCAAATGATCCACCCGCCTCAATCTCCCAAAGTGCTGAGATTACAGGCATGAGCCACTGCTCCCAGCCCCTAAGGATACTTATAATCTAGTAGGCAGATGATTCATGGTCTCTTAAAAATATATTCAAGATTACAAGACAATAAGTAACAAGAGCCATTTGAAGGATATACACACAAGCAACTTTCCCAACCTATAAAACCCTTTTTATTTTTATTATTATTATTTTTTGAGAGAGAGTCTCGCTCTGTCCCCCAGGCTGGAGTGCAATGGCATGATCTCAGCTCACTGCAACCTCTGCCTCCCAGGTTCAAGCAATTCTCCAGCCTCAGCCTCCTGAGTAGCTGGGATTACAGGTACCCACCACCACATCTGGCTAATTTTTGTATTTTTAATAGGGACGGGGTTTCACCATGTTGGTCAGGCTGGTCTCGAACTCCTGACTTCAGGTGATCCACCCACCTGAGCCTCCCAAAGTACTGGGATTACAGGTGTGAAACACTGCACCTGGCTCAAAACCCTTTTTATAACAAATAATTTCAAATGGTCTCTTAGTTTTTCTGAACTGGAATTCATGAATAATATAGTTAACTTACATATGAACGACATAACTCACTCAAAATCAGTGTAATAAATTCCTTAACTCTGATATAAAGAAGAAATAAAATAAAAGCAATTTATAACAAAAAAAGTCTGAGGTCGGGAGTTCGAGACCAGCCTGACCAACATGGAGAAACCCCATCTCTACTAAAAATACAAAATTAGCCAGGCATGGTGGCACATCCCTGTAATCCCAGCTACTCAGGAGGTTGAGGCAGGAGAATCGCTTGAACCCAGGAGGCAGAGGTTGCAGTGAGCCGAGATCGCACCGTTGCGTTCCAGTCTGGGCAACAAGAGCAAGACTCTGTCTCAAAAAAAAAAAAAAAAAGTGTTTCAACATATAAATGTTCAGGCACATTTACACCAAAAACCACAATGAAGTAGTCAGATACAAAACTGCTATGACTGGGATAGCTACAAATGCAAACTAATAGAGATATATTGTCCCGGAGATTGCACTGGGAGCAGCGTGACTGTGGATAATGTGTGTTTCCAAAGCAGTGACTAAAGGTAAGGTTCTGAACGAAGCAAAGAACGCTTTTCCCTGAATTTTCACAAAAGTTGAGTTCCTAGAAATCTGGTGTGTATTAAAACTGTGCAAACAATACTTTGGGTATAAAAAGGGGGCTGGGTGTGGTGGCTCATGCCTGTAATCCCAGCACTTTGGGAGGCCGAGATGGGTGGATCACTTAAGGTCAGGAGTTTAAGACCAGCCTGGTGACCAACATGGTGAAACTCCATCTCTACTAAAAATATAAAAATTAGCTGGGTATGGTGGCGGGTGCCTGTGATCCCAGCTACTAGGGAGGTTGAGGCAGGCAAATTGTTTGAACTGGGGAGGCGGAGGTTGCAGTGAGCCAAGATCATGCCACTGCACTCCAGCCTGGGTGACAGAGCAGACTCCGTCTCAAAAACAAACAAACAAACAAAAAACTCTGTGTGCAAACAGGAATTAGGTTCCAGGCTCAAATAATTAAAAATAGATTTTTTCACCCACCAGACTGCCTGGCAGCTCTTTAGAAAGTTGTGTGACGTATGAACCAGTTCTTCCCTATATGAGAGTGTACCGTACATCGCAGGCTGTCCAGCATCGACCCCACTGATGGATGCTAGTAGTCCTCCCCGCCAGCACTCAACATTGTGACAGTCAAAAACATCCTCTCTACATTTTCAATGCCCCTGTTGGGGTAGCAGGACTCCCACTGAGAGACCCCAGTAGAGATGGTAAGTGGAGGCAGAGCAGCACCTCTCACACTTCCATGTGCCCTTGAATGCCCCCACGGATCTTGCTAACATGCAGATTTAGGATGTCTGGGGTGGAGCCTGAGAATCTGCATTTCTACCAGCTGTTCTTGGACCCAGGCTGGCGAGATCAGAGGAAGAAGAAATGACCTTGGGTTTAGGTAGCAAAGACTTCACAGAAAAGAAGGGAACATAAACAAGGTTTTGAAGAATACATGGAGGTGGAGCTGATGACATCCCACGAGGTGCAGGCTGCTGGGAGGCAGGCACACTGGACCAGCGGAGAGGGATCCGTACGTAGCAAACTGTGCCCATAGTGAGCAAACAGCCTTGAGCCAACAGCAACAGCACTGCTGGGCACAGAGGGTAAAAATAACAACTCCCTACTGGGGTTGAGTCTGCCAGACCCTGGCAAAGTTCATTTCTTTCAATAAATCCAGCAGCGTCCCCTTTGATAAATACTGTCAAAGCTGGAACATGTGATGCTAACAAAATATGGTTTTAATTTGGGGCCCACTGCGCTCATGGTTAAATACTGCATGTGTGTATACACAAGCAGACTCACAGCGGGCCAAGTTAATATGCCTGGGCTGAGAATGGCTAAACCCATAAGGATTCAGTTATACAGATTTTGCTGCTCTGAAAAGCAACCTAATCACCACCATCAATTCTAATGCTCTAAGACTTGTTAGGAACATGGAAGCTTTTAAAGTTCAGCCATTTGTGCATTTGCATCCAGTGCAGACGCAGGGGCACATTTGTTTTCCTGATATTTTATGCCTACTTTATTGTCATATGTTGTCTGACATTCTGAAGATAACATGCTGTTTTAATCAACAGCTCAACACTGCATTAAAACTTGATGGTCCATAGCTTTGTAGCAAAGGGAGGTGGGGAGGAAATGAGAATCAGAGTTTAGCAACAGACCGAGGCTTGTTCTGGTGGGATTAATTCCTGGGAACACAGAAACTCTCAGAGTTTTTGTTAGTCTGTGTGTGTCAGTTTTGGAACAGCCCAGGGAAAGAAGGAAACTGGCTAAACAAGTTTCAGTCTGGCCTCTGCGGTGGATGCTGCTGGTAACTGGACCTCCAGGCCATCATGAATAATGAAGAAGTCTGCTTCTTCAAGAGTGCAGGTCACAGCAACTGCACCGAGGCAACTGCCCAGCAAACCAAAGATTACAGCACCTGTCCAGTAATCTTATGGGGGAAACAAACAAAGCTGGGGAATGCAGTGAGCAGCAGGTGTCCTCAGGGCGGTAGGAGGGCAGAGAAAGTGAAGAAGCCAGGTGGGTAGTGGGAGTGGGAACCTACCCGAAGTTCCCCAGTGCAGGACGCAGAACAGTTGGCCCTTCCAGAGACCAGCTCCTCAGGAAGGCGAAACTCAGGGAAGGGAGCTGGTTGTTTCATGAAACAAGCAAGGATCAGAATAATTTCCTGAAAGGACTAGAGGTTTATCACATGCGGAATACCAGTATGAAGGGAGCTGCAGGAATTCTTCATTCCAGGAGGCACCTGCCCTGTTGCATTTTGAAATTGGCTAAAAATGTATTTCTATTTTATTATTATTTATTCGTAGTGACAGAAAAAGCCTGAGATCCTGTGAGCAGCGACTTCCCAGTTAGTCACTGGTCAGCTAGAGACTAAGGTAGAAAAGCTTGATGGGAATACTTAAATTTTGCATACCCATGTTTATTTTTTGTGGCAAAAGTGAAGCCTGTTTACTGGAGAAAAATATAAGTCCCTAAACAGTGCAGACATTGTTTAAAAATCAGGGAGAGTCCTCCTAGTCATGAGGGGAAGTCCTTCTTTAGGCTACTCAAAACTTCAAAGTAGAAGGTGCTTAGGAGCAACCAATGAGGATTGAGTGAATTAGGGATTCCCAAGGTATTTTCCACTGGTCTCTAGGGTCCTCTATGTTTTCCCTGGTGTTCCGGAAGGAGAGAGAAAAGGCAATTCTCCCTACCCTAAAAGCTGTTAGTTGGTTTGTAGCCTTGGGGGATGCTGGTCAGATGCTGCCTAAGCCGAGTGAACATTCAGGGCATGGCTGCACTTGGCACTGGCTTCTTTTTTCCTTGGATTGCTTCCTCACTAATGGAAAGGATTGAGAGGAGGGCCTGGCAATTTTATCTGGAAAAATAATTCAGATTTCTAATGGTATAGAGATTATGTACCATTAGAAAGGGCAGGGGAAAGGAGGATTTGTTCCTGCGTATTCATTACGGTGTTGAAATGCTCTAGGGACAAGAGGTCAGTGGGCATTGAACCCAAACCAAATTTAGCAATGGAATAAGCCTCTAATTGGGGCCTGGATTCCACATTAAAAGCTATTCTCCACCTGATACCTTTTAAAGATACCGCTGCAGTGTGTAAATTTCATGGATTTCTCTCATTGCAGGTCCCCAAGCATGCTAACCATGAAGCAGTGATATCGCACAGCACCTGCTTCCAGCAGCCCGGAGCCAAGGGGCAAAATGGAAAGAGTCAGCATTTCTCTTTTAGGTTCTCTGCCTCTCTAGTGTGTAAGCTTTTAACCCCCACTACGCGTCTTCGTTCCATTCTCCTCCAGTACCCATTTTAGTGAGCTTCTGTTGTTTCTGCCCCAGGATATCTCTAACAAAGAACCAAGATATTTATCAGGAGAACTTCTCCCACTCTCCTCTCAGTCCTTGGGGATCTGATGAAATGACACTTCTTGGACTGTGGGGTGGAGCATGTGAGTCACACCTGGGCCAATCATTTTATCCTATTTCGTGACCACATGACCAATTCAGGGATGGGAACATGACCCAGGTGGAACCTATGAGAGGCAGTGAGATCTTTCCAGGTACTTCCAGGAAAGAGGGTCTCACTTTTCCCTCTATAATGTACACCAGAGAAGGTGTGTGGCTGAAGCTGCTACCATCCTCTTGTGGCTACAGGAAGCTGGGATTAATTGTAACAACGCAATTGGCAGATCTGAAAGCTGAGAACAAAAAAGCAAAAAACCTGTGTTCTAATAACACTATATATGAGCCCTAAATCCAGCTATGCCTGGAGCCAGTCTTACTGTGGAATTTTTAACCTAAGCTGGTTGATAAATTATCTTTTCATTTAAGACAAAGTCATGGCAGATTTTTTGCCACTTGTGAGAAGAAGACAGATACACCCAAGAAGCTCCTGTTCTTTCTCATTAACCCATATTAAAACCCACTTTCGGGAAAGGATTCTCCATTCTAAATTATTAATAACTGATAATGCTTCAAAGTCAAAGTATGACTCCTTCAAGAAAGTTTTCAGCTTTCAGGATTTGTTCAGCAAATACTGAGCCCCTTCTGATGCAAATAGACATGGCAGTGTATGCTAGGAGGAGAGTGTAGCCAAGTTTTCCCATCAAACTCGGTATTTCAGTGCCTAATTTTGGCCATTCAGATAAGTTTCAACTTCTAGTAATGGCCAAGTAAATTATATCTAACTAAACCTTCTGCCAAAGACAGTGGTAAATTCTGGACCCAAAACACAATGATAACAACAAAACCTGTTTGAAGGTTCTTGAAACTGGCCAACATGGTTTGGTTCTGCAGACAAAAACTGAAGACATGACCCTTGAAAAAAGGAAATCACATATGGTGAGATACACATTTATCAGGTTTTCCTTCAGCAGCGCTATCCATTTCCTGCAGTGGACGGAGGTAGAGCTCAGCAGAAAGTGGCTGTTCTACTGAGTTAAAAAGTTAGAGGTTAGAATTTGGGGCTTCCACAGTAGCAGGAGATTGGGAAGGAGGGAATCTCGCAAAGGAGGGAGTCTCAGATGGGGAGCTCCCAAATCTGTGTACAAACTTCTCTGATTCCTAAACTGTGCATCTGGGTGAGGTTCAAGGAGCTGAGGGAAAAATAACAGCTGGAAGGCTAAAAAGGTGTTGTCTTGTGTTGAGCAGATGGTGCTTAGGGTTTAGTTCTCACCAAGTTAGAGGACTCTGGAGAACACCTAAAGCTTTCTACTGAGACTACAGAAGGAGTAATGACTACTCCCCAGGACTAAAGCCTATGTCCTAGGAATAAAGGCAAAACCAAGATAGGCCCACCCTGACAAAGCCTAAAACCAACTCTTCATAGCCGCATTATGCAATATAGTAACTTCTAGGCACACATGGCATTTCAAATTTAATTAAAACTAAGTAAAATTTAACATGTAGTTCCTCAGACACACTAGCCACATTTCAAATGTTCACAGACACATGTAGTTAATGGCTATGATACTGGACTGCACAGACTACAGAATATTTCTATCATCATGGAAGTTCTATTGAATGGCATTGCTCTATAGGATCAAGACTATGCTAGTAATTTAACTGCTTGATAGAACAAATGTCAAATTTCTTCTAAGGAAGATAGTAGACTCCAAAGTCTTTTTAATATCATCCAAAATGCTCAGCATACAATTTTTAAAAATTACTAATTGTGCAAAGAATCAGGAAAATGTAACCTACAGTGAAGAGAAACAACAGGTGATAAACATAGACTCACAAGTGACCCAGATGTTAGAATTACAAAAGACTTAATAACTATAATAAGTTAAAGAGTCTATAGGAAAATATATCTGTAGTAGCTGAAGAGATGGAAAATTTTAAGAGAGCTATGGAAACTTTAAAAAAGAACCGAATGGAAATCCTGAAACTGAAAGATACAATATCTGACATTGAAAATGCATTAGTTTGGAATTAACAGCATAATGAACACAACATAAAAAATCAGTGAGGCTGGATGCGGTGGCTCACGCCTGTAATTCCAGCACTTTGGGAGGCCGAGGTGGGCAGGTCACTTGAGGTCAGGAGTTCAAGACCAGGCTGGCCAACATGGTGAAACCCCATCTCTACTAAAAATACAAAAATTGACCTGGCGTGGTGGTGGGCACCTGTAATCCCAGCTACTCAGGAGGCCGAGGCAGGAGAATTGCTGGAGCCAAGTAGGCAGAAGTTGCATGTGCTGAGATCACGCCACTGCACTCCAGCCTGGGTGACAGAGCAAGACTCTGCCTCAAAAAGAAACATTAAAAAAAAATTAATAAATAAATAAGAAATCATCAGTGAACTTGAAGACCAGTCAACGGATATTATTTAATCAGAAAGAAAAAAAGATTAGAATAAAAAGAAGAATAGGGCCTAAAAATCCTGTGGGATAATATCAAGCAGTCTAACATATGTATATTTAGAGCTCCAGAAAGAGAAGAGAAACAGAATGAAGTAGAAAAAGTATTTGAAGAAATATTGACTGGAAAGCCAGGCACAGTGGCTCACACCTATAATCTCAGCACTTTGGGAAGCCAAGATGGAAGGATTACTTGAGCCCAGGAGTTCGGGACCAGCCTGGGCAACATAGCAAGACCCAGTCTCTACAAAAAAATTAAAAAATTAGACAGGCATGGTGGTGTGTACTTGTAGTCCCACCTACTCAGGAGACTGAGGCAGGAGGATCACTTGAGCCCAGGGGGTCAAGGCTGTAGTGAGCCGTGATTGTACCACTGCCCTCCAGCCTGGGTGATGAGTGAGATGCTGTCTCAAAAAAAAAAAAAAAAAAAAAAAAAGAAAGAAAGAAAGAAAGAAAAGAAATATTGACAGGAAAATCTTCCGGTTTGATCAAAAACAGTAACCTCAGCAAACTCCCAGTAGAATTATTTCAGCCATTTAGATGTCTCTGACCCAAAACCCAGCCCCACCCAACTCACTGACAAGACACAAGGTAATATACAGACCAAGAATTTCTGCAAGGATAATAGGGCCTGAGATGAGGGTACAGATATTCAGAGGCAGTGCCGACACTGAAAAAATTCCACAGGTTTCTTCTCAGAATCTTGCTGACTCCAGAAAACAAGTCTAGAGTATACTTTTCCTACTGAAGGATCTGACAGTCCTCTTTCAGGCCACCCTGAGACGGGCTCCATAATATTTTGAAAGTATTAGGTTGATTTGACTTTAGCTTCAATTCTACTTAAAGGAAAGATATATTTAGATAGAGAATAGATTTCTGGGAGCTAGAGAAAATGAGGCAAAAAAGAGCTAGAGTAAAGCTAACCCAAAACATAGATAGCCCCTTATCAAGAATCGGGTTGAGTGGAATGAAGAAAAAGTTGGCAGGATTTACCCCCACAATGATGCACACATTCTTGGTGGGGGCCCTTAGTTACATGGGTCAGGAACTAATAAGTCCCTGTGGCACTTTTGATGCTTTCTGTGGCAAGTAACAACAACAACAATCATCACAATCATAACAACTTATCAAACTGACTTAAACATAAGGAAATTTGTTATTTCACAAAACTGAAATTTTAGGACTAAACTCAGGACTTTTAAGTTGCACCTTGAATAGCTAAACAGAGTGTTGAGTTGCACACTTGTCTGGCTGAACAAATCAGGAGCTGGTTGATTCAGAAGCCCAATGATGCCAACACAGACCCATGTCTTTCCTTCCCTCTTCTGCTCTTCTTGTCAAAGGTTTCACCTTAAGGTCAGTTCCCTTCAAGTGTCAAGTATACATGTGCATACCTGGTCATATCTAGCAGGAGAAAGAGAAAACAAGAAAACTCTTCCCTTGATCAAGGAGTGTAAGTCCTTCGCTTTAGCCTGATTTAACCAAATTAAGTTGTACCTATAAGGAAAAAGGTAATTTGTCTTAGGTAGTAGCAATGAGATTTTAGAACTGATACTGGTTGGGTACCTTCAAGTCTGTGTTTCTATACAATTTCTTAACATGGGCCTCTGATATTAGGGAGATTCTGGAGTTACATATCTTGATAATTTAGGAGTAAATTTCCCTTAGCAACAGTTAATTATGCCTTAATTTATTTTGTGTTGCTAAAGAGCAAATGATGAACCCATTGAGTTGCTGTTGAAGCTTTGATTTGAATTTAGTAATTCCTGATTGCCTGTATCATGGGACTTTCTCTAGTATTAGACAATCTTCCAGTTCCTCAAATGAGGCATGTTCTATTAGGCAGCAACTGGTGTGTTTGAGACCATTTGTAAGTATTTTAGGTGATAGACAATAATACACATAGTGCCAATGATAAAGTCAATCCAGTCACAGGACCACCCAGAAAATATTGGGGACTCTAACAAAAGGAGCAACAAAATCCAAAACAATCATAACAAAAAATGAAAGAGGGAACACTGAATTTGATGAATTAAAAATTATGAGAAGATTTTTGTTGGAAATATTCAGATGGCAGTAACTTCTAATGTGACTAAGCTATCCTGTTGCATAGTGAAACCAGTTTGCTAAGTACCTTTTGTTTTGTTTTGTTTTGTTTGAGGCAATGTCTTACTCTGTCACCCAGACTGGAGTGCAGTGGTGCTACTACAGTTCACTGCAGTCTCAATCTCTCAAGCTCAAGCGAGCCTCCTGCCTTAGCCTCCTGAGTAGCTGGGACCACAGGCACATGCCACCACAGGCACATGCCACCACACCCAGGTCATTTTTAAAAATTTTTGGTAGAGATGAAGCCTCACTGTATTGCCTAGGCTAATCTCGAACTCCTGTGCTCAAGCAATCCTCCCACCTTGGCCTCCCAAAGTGCTGGGATTACAGGTGTGAGCCACTGCACCAGGCCCAAAGTACATTTTTCACACCTGATTGGATTTTGTTCTAGTTGGCCTATCCACTATGTGGTATGAGTATACTTCCTGGGTAATGAGAATGGCAAACACTTGTGATTACCTAGTTGTCAAGATGATTACTAATTCTAACCTAGCATTCTAATCTAGAGTTCGTTTCTAGATTAGAATTAGTAATCAAGTCACAGTGAAAGAAAAAAAGAGTTTCTGGGAAGGCAGAAGGAAAAATTGGTAAATTCACTTTTACTGTTTACATATTGACTTGTTTTTCTTAATGTTAACTGCAGAATTTGTTTCGTCATCCAAGGTGCAAATAAAAGTCCTGAGAGTTTAGTTCTATGTCATCTCTTTTATAAATAACAGATGTCAGTTATACTGCCATGCACCTGTTAACCTCGGAGGCACCCTCACTGCCCACTAACCCCCTCCTTGCTCTAGAGGTGCCGAGAATGGGTGAAAGCAGAGGGGGGATACCCAAGCCAAAGTGAAGCAGAGGTAAAATGGCATGGAGAAAATCACTGCAGGACAATACAAAGTCAAGGTCAAATGATGGGATGAGACAGAGACATAGAGAAAACCATCCAGAGAACACTGGCCTAAAGCAATCCTTGGTGGTGGTGATGGGGGTGGGCGGGGGGTTCTTTTGAAACCATGGTGTTTGGTAAACTAGGAAATAAAGAGATGAAGGTAAATATCATGCCAGCCTCAGCAAACAGCAGCTGGAACGAAAGAAACTCAAGGACAGCCCTGAGCATGGAGAAAATAGTGCTGGGTAGGCATTGTTCTCCAGAGCCAGAGCACACACACAGAGGCCACCACTGAAAGTGAAGGACAACTGGAGTTGGGAGTACGTGTGCATCTTTGAAAAAGGCATAGCGCTTTCTGGAGACAGACACTGATTTTGAAATCATTTTAATGGCAATTCTTTTCACAAGCTGTGACCCAAACATACTCAAGTTGAAGTATCACCTCTTTTTCCCTGGTTACTTCTGCTGCCTTGGCTTATCTCAGGAGACCTTGGTATCTCAACCCTGATATTTTCTCCTCCATCTCCTTGCCTGAATTAAAACTCTTCTTTACCCAGAGAGCACTGCTTTTCTTGCAGCCCTCTGGAGTCCTTTTCCACACCCTAGATATCCTAGATTAGGATGTGGATGTGGCTGCCCCCTCATTCCCTAATGCAGCCCCCAAGCATTCCTGTAAAAATGGCTGCTCCTCTGAAGTTCAGGTAGTGTTGTTCTTGTCCACTGGTCTCCGGAAACTCCCTCTTGTTCCCCAAGGACTTTCCCTTCTTGCTTCTAGTATTCCCTCACACCTCAACCCTGTCATCCTCCGGAGAAGCGTTACTGTACCCATGGATGACCTAGTCAACACTCTGGCCTCTCAATGCCTTCATCTACTTCACTACCTCCAGCACCCACCTCTCAGTGGCACCTGGATCTTGTTACCTCTTCCATCTCCTTCTCTGATGACAGCTCCCTCATTCCAGTCCACTTGCACACCTGCTCTGCATCTCACCACACAAGGTCCTTAGACCCTGGCCACTCTACTTTTCCTTATCCATTAACCCACTCTGCCCTTGTTTCTCTTTGAAGCCACATTAAACTCCACAGTCCATTATCTTAGTCACTGTCTTGCCAATACCCTAAACTTACTGGCCTATTTTTTCCTTTCATCACGTCCACCTGGGCGGGGGGTATCCTAGAAGAACTCAACAGCATACTTTCTTATTTATGTCTCTCCCTAGGCAGCAAAGTATGACTAGAGAGAAATATCCCAGCCTACAGCCTGCACCCAGTCACCACCTTCCCTGATTCTCAAACCTCCCTCACCCCTAGGGAATCTCACCGTCCTCCTCTTGTCCCTCACCCTTCTGTCTCTGAAACGACCATTTTAAACTTTCTCCACTTCTCAAAGCTTTGAGCCCCCATCTCATCGCTCACTCCAGTAGATGTCTTTGTTCTTACTTCACAGAGGAAATAGATGCGCTCTGGTAGCAATTACCTCACTTCCTGCCACCGGCTCCTATAAACCAACCTGCACCTCTGCGCCCATCCTTTGCTCTTCCCATCTGGCAAAATGGAACTGATGTCTCTCCTCCTACAAAGGTCAAGTCTCTTCTTATGCCATGGATTCCAGCCTTCTTAGGAAAGGTACATTATAAATCCTCCCCTTTTTCTATCTTTGAATTGTTCCTCTCTAATGGGCCCTTTTCATCAGCATCTAAACATGTTCCAGTCACTCCCATTCTAAAAAATTCTATTCCTGGACTCCAAATTTCCTGTTCAGTTCTACTGTTTTTCTCCTCCCCTTCACTCCTAAACTGATTGGAAGAGTTGTGCACAATCATTGTTTGCCCTTATTCATTGCCTGTTTACTTATCAGCCTTCTCCAACTGGCTTCCTTCCCTATTCCTCTATTAGAACTTTTTTTTGCTGAAGGACCCAGTGACCTCCATGGCCCGAAATCCCATGGGTACTCCTTGGTCTTTGTATTATATGACCTCTCAGCCTACTTCAACAAAGTTGACCCTCCCTTCTTTTGGAAAAAGCTATTTTTCTTGGTATCCAAACTACCACACTCTCCTGGAAGACACCCAGCTGTGTCTCTCTCTGGCTCTCTTTCTCTGTCCCTTTGCCAGCTTTTCCTCTTCTACCTGACCTTTACACATTGGAACTCCTCAGGTTCAACCTTAGATCCTCTTCTCCCACCCTAGCTGCTTAAATCATCTCAACCACCCATATTGCCTTGCCTCTATGCTGAGAGCTTTCAGATTTATACGACAGCCCAGAATTTCCTCCAATCTCCTGAGCCATGTAAGTACCTGCTTTGCACAAGCACCTCATACTAAGGTTGTTTAGAACATCACTGCCTTTCCTAATGTGTTTGAGATTTTTGCATTTTCCCTTCCAGATCCACTCTCTACCCAGGAGGCTGACATAGTTGACTACATCCACTGGCTCCCTTGCCTCTAGCTTTGCCCTGGGTATGGCCACTGGGGATCCCTGGCAGGAGACTGGAAATTAGGGAAAGGGTGAAGTCAAGGTGATTTTTCCCTCAGCGCTGTTTCTGTGAGGTTGCCACAGGCTGTCTGAGTCTCTGGACTGAAGGTCACTGCCTCTCTTTTCTTTATGCTCCACTGCTAGCTCTTGGTTATCACCCTCTCTCTTGGGATTTCCCTGTGCCCCATCTACACCACTGTAAACACCTCCCTCTTTCAATCATCCTAGTTTGAATGTACCACCTGTTTCTTGCTGGCAATGAGACTGATACAGTAACTGATACTAGAATTTTCACTAGGAAATAGAGCCTCAAAATGGGATTTGGGATTGGGTTGATCATGTATGAGGAGCTGAAATATAACCTTGTGGGAAGTGGGGGGGTTTGAAGGATAAACATGAATGCTAGTAATCTGCCTGCAGTAGCATTATGCACATTATCAGTGGTCATAGCATGGATGGAGAGTAAAGGGAGGGCAAGTATTTCAGAAAACCATCAAGCTGGGTTTTTCCTCTGCTCTCTCACCACAACACAACAATCAGTACAGAAGAAGACTTCTGTGACCAAATGTGGGAGGGGATGGGTTCCTCACATATCAGTAGTAGACAGCAGCTGGGTGTCTTCCAGTTAAATCTGACACTACCTGGAAATAGTGTCAGATCCCACAGGTTGAGGGCTCAGTCCCCAAGACTGCAACTTCCCTCCCATCTCCCCACATACTGGCCACAAGTCCTGACCTCCAAAACTTCTGAATAACTGGCTTCAAGTTGAGATTCCCAAGAACCCCCCTTTGGTTTCCATTAATTTGCTGGAATGGCTCACAGAACTCAGGGAAACAACACACTTACCAGTTTATTACAAAGGATATTATAAAGGATGCAGATGAGGAGATGTGTAGGGCAAGGTATGAGGGAAGGGACATGGAGCTTCTACGCCCTCCCTGGGCACACTGCCTTCCAGGAACCTTAATGTGTTCAGCTATCTGGAAGCTCTCCAAACTCTGTCCTCTCGGGTTGTTATGGAGGCTTCATTACGTAGGCATGATTGACAACTGTGTAGAAATGTGATTGGACAAAAAGTGCATTATCTAAACCCCACAAAGCCCATCTGTTTAGACTTTACTTGGCCTCTCTGTGTACCATTCCTTCCTCTAGGGTATGGGGCAGGACTCTCTCTGGAATGAAGGTTTTTTGACCCACAATCAGATTACAGTCCTGCCTTGGGCAGGTGAAAGAAGGAGAGGAGAAGGTCAGAGAGAGAGATTCTGTTTCCTGAGGTCTAAAGTGCCCCAACATTATAAAAGGACTATGGGAGTTAGGAGCCAGGAACTATGGATGAAAACCAACATCTGTATCATAATATCATAACAAGACACTGGGAGATGAAGTGACTGTGGCTGTTTTTGTTCATCTTTTGCTATCGTAACAGAACACCACAGACTAGGTAATTTAAAAAGAATAGAAGTGGCCGGGCGCAGTGGCTCACGCCTGTAATCCCCGCACTTTGGGAGGCCGAGGTGGACGGATCACAAGGTCAGGAGATTGAGACCATCCTGGCTAACACCGTGAAACCCCGTCTCTACTAAAAAATACAAAAAATTAGTCGGGTGTGGTGGCGGGCGCCTGTAGTCCCAGCTACTTGGGAGGCTGAGGCAGGAGAATGGCATGAACTCGGGAGGCGGAGCTTGCAGTGAGATAAGATCACGCCACTGCACTCCAGCCTGGGCGACAGAACGAGACTCCATCTCAAAAAAAAAAAAAAAAAGAAGAATAGAAGTTTATCTGGCTCATGGTTCTGGAGGCTGGGAAGTCCAAGATTGAAAGGGCTGCATCTGATGAAGGCCTTCTTTCTGTGTCATAACAAATTGGAAGGCATTAGAGGGCACCCAAGAGAGGGCAGGAGAAGAAACCAAATTTTCAAGATAACTAACCCACTTCTGTGATAACTGCATTAATCCATTCATTAGGTTGGGGCCCTCATGATCTAATTACCTCTTAAAAGTCTCACCTCTTAATACTGTCACAATGGCAATTAAATTACAACATGAGTTTTGGAGGGGACATTCAAACCATAGCAGTGACACTTCATTGTTCTGTCAAAAGTAGTGATTTTAAAGATTATGGAGCCAGCTGGCTATGTCTTATAGTTATGGAGAGCATATATAGACAAAAAGATAAATTAAGAGCTATAGCTATATATTGAAGAATACTTGTGTGTAGAGTCAAGCCTCTGTGGAAACCTTGAGGGGATCGCAGCAATCTATTGGTGTTGCACTTCACAGTCAAGCCCTGGGCCTCATTGCAAGGTTTGCAGAATTTCTGCAGTAATTAAAGGTTCAACCTTGCCAGGTCTCTAGTGCTAATGAAACGCACTAGTGGGACATAGATGAGGGTGAGAACTTTGAAACCTAAATTTCCCGAAGACCTCTTTCTGGAAAAAAATACTTTTCAGTGACTACACCTGGAACCGTTGCCTCAGGAAGTGATGCCTAGTCTCAGACCCACTCCCTCTCTTCTTTTTGCCTCTGGTTCTATAACAAGAATTAGATTCCAACATAGCCCACAAAAAGAGATATATAAGACCTGCTCCAGAGTGATAGAGACTATCCACTGAAAGAGTTACAAGATCTTGACAAATGGGAGCCAGAGGAGTACATGTAATGGGGAGGTTTCTGGGGGTGTTAGAACAAGGGGGAAACTATGTAAGGCTCTGTCAGGCTAAGTTTATGGACATGGGACATCATCTAGGATTCACAAGTTGCTCAAGCACCAGGAAGTTGTGTTTTTAGTCTGCTAGATTGGCTCAAAGCCTGGAGTCAATGATGGCCTATGGTTATTTGTGTTGAAATTGTATAACTTCAGTGAAACCGCCCACGTAATTTCCTGCCATAGATTTTTTTTTTTTTTTTTTTTGAGACAGGGTCTTTCTGTGTCACTCAGGCTGAAGGGCATTGGTGTAATCATAGCTCACTGTAGCCTCAAACTCTGGGCTCAAGGGAGCCTCCCACCTCAGCCTCCCGAGTAGCTGAGACTACAGGTGTGCACCACCATGCCTGGCTAATTTTTTATTTTTTGTAGAAACAAGGTCTTACTATATTGCTCACACTGGTCTCGAACTCCTGGACTCAAGGGATCCTCCTGCCTTGGCCTCCTAAGTGCGGGGATTACAGATATGAACCACCACGCCTGGCCTCTGTCCTAGATTGTATAGTGTAAGGAGACATACTCAGTAACTGTCTGAACCCCCATGTTGGTTCCGTGAGGACTATTATGGTAGGAAGGACCAAAAGAAAGCCCCAGATACTAGCCACCACTTCTCTGCCTCCACTCCCAAAAGAAAATCGAAGCAATATTGTATTTTTGTCGCCATTAGATAGCCCAAAAAGCATACCTTTCCAGCTTCCCTCTTACCTTCAACCCTTGATATACCTTCCTCAAACTCTTCATAGGATACTTTCCTGAGAGCCCTGTTCTGCCGCAGATTCCACTCCCCTGTCTACAGCCTTCTGCTGTCTTTACAGAAACTTGCCTCTCCCTGATCCCAGCTCGCTTGAGACACTGCTCATTATCCCATAATCTAGAGAGATTTGTAATCAACCATTATTGGCATATTTCGTTTATCCTTAAAATGAAAACATTTTTAGAAATCATGATAGAAAGACATGTTGTTGTAAACCATTGCAACAATACAGAATAATATAGAGCAAAAACTAAGTTTCTTTTCCCTTTCTCTTCTCCAGAGATAACCACCATTTTCTATTTATTTGCTCACATACAATCTGATATAGGGCTTTGTTTATTACAAATATAATCACACTCTGCTCCTATTTTTTTGTGAGATGTTTTTCTCATGCAACAGTATATCATAGACCTCATAGTATGTTATATAGATCCACCTTATATATGTTTCTTAAACTTTTTACTTTGAGGCAATGGTAGGATCACATGCAGTTGTAAGAAACGATTAGCACTGTATGATGATGTGTACCTGTAGTCCTAATGATGTAGGACAATTGCTTGAGACCAAGAGTTTGAATCCAGCCTAGGCAATGTAGAGAGACCCTTATACGTATTTTTAAAAAATGTTGCACAGAGATCCCCTGTTCCCTTTACCAATTTTCTCCCATGGTAATATCTTGCAAAATTATGGTACAATACCAAAACTAGGATATTGACATTGATACAATCCATCAATCTTCTTCAAACTTTCCCAGTTTTCTCTGTACTTATTTGTGTGTTAGTTCTATCCAATTGTATCCTGAGTGTGGGTTCATGTATCGACCATCATAGTCAAGATACAGAGCAGTTCCATCACCAGGAGAATTTGTCCTGTTATCCTTTTATGGCCACACCCTCTTCCGTCTTGCCCCTTCCCCACATCTCTAACCCCTGACAACCACTCATCTGTTCTCCATTTGTGTACTTTGGTCATTTCAGAAATGTTATATAAATGGGGCCAGGCATGGTGGCTCATGCCCATAATCCCAACACTTTGGGAGGCTGAGGCGTGTGGATCACTTGAGGCCAGGAGTTTGAGACCAGCCTGGCCAACATGGTGAAACCCCATCTCTATTAAAACTACAAAAATTAGCCAGGCATGGTGGTGTGTACCTGTAATCCCAGATACTTGGGAGACTGAGGCACAATAATCGCTTGAACCTGGGAGGCAGAGGTTGCAGGGAGCCAAGATCATGCCACTGCACTCCCGCCTGGGCAACAGAGTGAGGATCTGTCTCAAAAAAAAAAAACAACTATATAAATGGAATCATTTAGTTTGATTTGGTTTGTAGCCTTTTGGGATTGCTCTTTTCAGTCAGCATAACTTCTTGGGGATTCATCCAAGTTGGTATGTGTATCACCTTTTTATTGCTAAGTAGTATTCCACGATTTGGATATACCACAGTTTGTTTAACCAGCATTCAAGAACATCTGGATTGTTTTCAATCTTTGGCCATTATAAATAAAGTTGCTATGAATATTTATGTATAGTTTTTATGTGAACATAAGTTGTTGTTTTTTTTTTCCCCTGGGATAATTGCCCAAGGGTACAATTACTGGGATGTATAGTAATTGCATGTTTAGGGGAAAATGGTCATACGCATATTCTGCAGATGTAACTATAATGTAGGGCAATATTTTAGGAAAGTAAATTGGCAGTATTAAGCCAGGCATGGTGGCTCACGTCTTTCGTTTAGGAGGCCAAGGCAAGAGGGTCGCTCAAGCCCAGAAGTTTGAGACCAGCCTGGGCAATGCATTGAGACATTGTCTCTATAAAAAAAATTTTTAGCCAGGCATGGTGGCACCCCCCTATAGTCCCAGCTACTCAGGCATGGCAGTGTGGAGGGTGGGGAGCAGTGGGAAGATTGCTTGAGCCCAGGAAGTCGAGGATGTTGTGAGCCGTGATGGTGCCACAGCACTTCAGCCTGGGTGACAAAGTGAGACCCTCTCTAAAAAATAAAACAACAACAACAAAAAAACCTGGCAGTTTGTATCAATTTTTAAATTGCATATAAAGTTTAATTCAATTTTGCTGTTAGAAACCTATTTTATAGAAATATTTATGTATTTGCTAAGAAATATATGTACGAGGATGTTCATTGCAGCATCATTTGCACTAAAAAATTTTTAAACAACCAAAAGATTCATATAAAACTACATGCTACTGCTCTTTTTATTTTTATATTTATTTATTTATTATTTTTTGCCACTCAGCTGAGTGAAAACTGTCATCTTGTTTTAATTTGAAACTCCTGGCCGGGTGTGGTGGCTCACGTCTGTAATCCCAGCACTTTGGGAGGCCAAGGTGGGCGGATCACATGAGATCAGGAGTTAAGAGACCAGCTTGACCAACACGGGGAAATCCCATCTCAACTAGCTGGGCGTAGTGGTGCACGCCTGTAGTCCCAGCTACTTGAGAGGTTGAGGCGGGAGAATCACTTGAAGCTGGGAGGCAGAGGCTTCAGTGAGCCGAGATCGCGCCACTGCACTCTATCCAGCCTGGACAACAGAGCGAGACTTGTAAAAGAAAGAGAGAGAGAGAGAGAGACCGAGAGAGAAAGAAAGAAAGAAAAGAAACTCCTTCCGTAGGAGCTAGAATTACACCTTTTTTTCTATAAGACTTTTCGCTATTTGTATTTCTTCTGGACCTAATCATCATGTTCTCCGCACAAAACATTTGAGTGGTTGGCCTTCTATGGCCAACCATAACCATTTTACAGGCAGTTTTACACAGTTGTGGGTATTACCCTTTATCTGTTGTTCTGCTGCTTGATCTTTGCAACACAGAACTGTTAGATTTCTGTGTAATCACATCTGTCACATTTTCCTTTAAGTCTTCCTGTCGTGTTTGGGAAGAGCTTTTCTACTTCCCATCCTGGTTTTATTCTTATTTTATTAGAATTGGGCTATACATATTAGTTTGTAAGTTGCTTCAAATTCTTTTTGAAAGAAGCAAGGGATACATAGATCCTATAAATAAATAAAAATGCTTGTGAGACATGAGAAATCATTTTTATTTATTCATAACCATCACATTTCTTGAAAAATATAATTCTTGCTGTGCTGTATATATTTTCAAGTGATGCTGGAAGGAGTATTACATTATAACCTTAAAGGATTATGAACACCAAAGGGAAAGGTGCTGTTTAAACACATTGCTAATAATATGTTTACACATTTTGAAACTGCTCAAATTACATTCACGTGGATCAGCAGCATGACTTGTATGACTTGTGTTGGCTTCCTCTGAGAAGGACGGAGAGTGAGAGGAGTTCAGATTATTATTGCCTGAGAAGTTGGTTAGGCAAGGAAGTCATTTACCTTGCTGTGGACAGAATAAAGAACTCACCATCCAGCAATTTATAGTTGATCACAGTTGTGTTGCCTAGTGGTGGGGTGCAAAAGGATGCAACGTATTTGGTTAAAAGACAAGCACAAATATCAGAGTATTTAGTAAGATCCAAAATTTAAGTTGATTTAGCATTCACAACAAAAATGAAGTCATTTGGAAAAAACAAAAATGAACAAAGAAATAAAAATGGAGATTTAGTCCACATGTCGTGGGTTGATGTTTCCTTGAAAAGAGTGGTCAGAATTTTTGAGCCTAAAGCAACCACGTATTAAAGTAATTTAACTAATGTAGACATGTTATCCGCTTACCACAAAGAAAATAAATTATAGCGGGCTCTAGACTGATGGCTAAAAAGCCAATTCTCCTAAAATGGAAGGATATTGATGGTGCTCACATTATGTAATCGGTACAGTATGTCAGTCCTAGTGGTCTGGCTAACCAAGGAAGGCTCTGGTTTCAAATGAAAGCACATTTAGTAAAATTCGGTATAATTTTTTCCTAGAACTACTTTGCTCAATTATGGCAAGATAGATTCTACTAATCACAGGCTGCAGAGACTTGGAGATTGAGCATGGTTTTTTGGATTGAAATACTTTTTATTTTGTGTTTGGTCTTCTGCAGTGCCTTAGGGGAGATGTGTCAGAGAGACTAACGTGGTTTCTTTCTTCTTTTATTTAAGAATTTAAGTGATCATGGAACTGGAACAAACTTCAGTGCCCATTTAGTCAATTGCCTTCATTTTATAGAAGAGGAAATTGAAGAATAAAGGTTGTGATTTTCCTAAGGTCATGTAATGAGTTCATGACAAAGCCTGGATTATACTTAGGTCTTCTGATAACCAGACCAGTTTTCTTTCCTTTGTAGAAAAATGCATGCTCCAGAAGTCCAGGCTGACCCAATACCGGGTAACTCAGACATTTTCATAATTTTTCTAGATATAAAGCTATGTTGAGTTATTTCCATTGAACAATGGAAATACTCTTCCGGGTAAATAATGGATCCAAAAACTAGATGTCTGAACCATGTGGTTAAGGTTTTTGCTATTTTTTTTCTTTTCTAGAGTAGACTTTGAGTCTTTGCTTCAGATGCAGATCAAGATGTGGCAACCTGTTGTGGAGAACTGGGTCCCTTGAGCCTGTGCTGTCTCTTTTTTTCTGGTGGCTTTGTCATTTGGAACAATGCATAATGGGCTGGAGGCTGAGAAACTCTGAGCTGAGGTAGGAGTGCCACCTAAGAGTGGGAAAGGTTGCCTAAATGCTGAATGGAGCACTTTAAAAGTTAGAATTTGCTATTTTCTTTTCTCTTATCTTTTTTTTTTTTTTTTTTTTGAGAGATGGAGTCTTGCTTTGTTGCCCAGGCTGCAGTGCAGTGGCACCATCATGGCTCACCGCAGCCTTGGCCTCGTGGGCTCAAGCTATTCTATTTCAGCCTCCCAAGTAGCTGGGAATACAGGTATGTGCCACCACCCTTGGCTATTTTTTTTTCTTTTTTTCGTTCTTGTTGCCCAGGCTGGAGTGCAATGGTGCGATCTCGGCTCACTGCAACCTCTGCCTCCCGGGTTCAAGTGATTCTCCTGCCTTAGCCTCCCAAGTAGCTGGGATTACAGACATGCGCCACCATGCCTGGCTAATTTTTTTTTTTTTTTTTTTTTTTTTTTTTTAGTAGAGACAGGGGTTTCTCCATGTTCGTCAGGCTGGTCTTGAACTCCTGACCTCAGGTGATCTGCCAGCCTCGGCCTCCCAAAGTGCTGGGATTACAGGTGTGAGCTACCGCGCCCAGCCTACCCTTGGCTATTTTTAAAGTTTTTTGTAGAGATGAGGTTTCACTATGTTGCCTGGGCTGGTCTTGAATTCCTGGCCCCAAGTGATCCTCCTGCCTCAGCCTCCCAAAGTGCTGAGATCATGGGTATTTTGATTTATGTATTTTGAAACCCATAATTTTTGTCCTCAAGTCTCAGACGTTTGCTTAGGCCTTTAGAAGCTCACACCTGAAAAAGAGTGCCATACCTGGGCTGTGATCTTCACCCCGTTCCACAGTCTCCACCTCCCACCACCTCCACCCAGGATCCCCTCACACAGGTTGTACCACACTGCAAGGGGATCCTAGAGTGATTCAGATATGCCAAAAATGACAAATTGAGAAATTTTGTGTGACCAGGTGTGGTGGCTCACACCTGTAATCCCAGCACTTTGAGAGGCCGAAGCAGGTGGGTCACAAGGTCAGGAGATTAAGACCATCCTGGCCAACATGGTGAAACCCCGTCTCTGCTAAAAAGATACAAAAATTAGCCGGGCGTGGTGGCACGTGCCTGTAGTCCCAGCTACTCGGGAGGCTGAGGCAAGAGAATCACTTGAACCCAGGAGGCAGAGAGGTTGCAGGGAGCCGAGATCGTGCCACTGCACTCCAGCCTGGGCGTGACAGAGTGAGACTCCATCTAAAAAAAATTTTAAAAAAAAGAAGAAATTTTGTGTCACGCAGTGTCATCTTATTCAAGTCCATTTGAGAAGCGGTGAGCAAATTGGCTAGGCCTTTATTGTTGATGTCAAATTCTCTTTCCTTGCTCACCCTATAGGTCCAGGCCAGTTTCCTTTCATCCTCCCAAAGCTATTAACACGATAGTGTGAATTTGATGCTGTTGAAGGCAGGCCTGTAGTGAACATGTGGCATTTCTTTGGCTACTCAACATCCATTCCTCCTTCCTGATGGCATCTCATTTCTTTTGGGGAATTACTTATTCCCATGGATGCAGCCTTAATGGGGTATAAATCCAGGCACCTGCTCCCCACCATGGAAGATTGTGAAGTGGCCAGATTCTGCTTCCTCCAGCCCTGAGGGTGGGCATGCGGCCTAAGCTCAACCAAATCTGATAAACACTTCTGGATCTTTGAACCTCGAACAGGTGACACAAGGATGACAGGAACAGTTATCAGGGAAGCACACTGATCGACTGAGCTGCCTGCTCCTGGCCTTCTGGATCCTCCTCAGTTCCTGCTTATCTCTAGGCCAGGCTCTCAACTCTGTCAATTCTGTGGGTACACAAATATCCTTTCATACGTTCCCACTTGATCATGCTATCAGGTTGGAGCAAAAGTAATTTCGAGTTTTGCCATTAGAAGGAATGGCATTACTTCTAATGGCAAAACCCACAATTACTTTTGCACCAACCTAATAGCTCAAGCTAGTCTCTATTACTGGCAACCAAGCATCCTGGTCTGAGCTCCCTTTCTGACTGGATCATCAGACATGGGCCTGCAGTATTGTCTTAACACCCTACTGGGAGTATTATCCTAGAATTAGCCTAAATTAGCCCTTTTCTCCACTGGTGACACCCTCCCACCACCCCCAGAATTGGCTTTCTTTTAGTTGGTACTGATACAAGATAAAACATATTTCTCTAGCTTTCTAGCCCCACAGTTTCTCGTTATTAAGATGAAACAAAACAAAAACTCATCAGAATTCTACTTCCACATCTGTCATGGATAGGAGGCCTCTATTCTCCTGCCGATGAGCCCCAGCTCAGGAATTTACCTCTCGTAGCAAAAGTACTGCAAAATTTTCTCTGCCAGAATAGCTAAAATTGAAAAGACTGACCCAATGTGGAGTGACTGCAACTGTCACGCATTTGCTGGTGGGAATGCAAAAGGATATAATCACTTTGAAAATCTATTTGGTGGTTTTTAAAAAAGTTATGTACATGTCTACTCTATGAAACAAGAATCCCACCGCTAGGTATAGTCCAAGAAAAATTAGTGCATATGTTCACAAAACCTTGTACAAGAATGTTCCAACAGATTTATTCAAAATAGGAAACAGCTTTTTGCAAAACTGGAAATAACTCAAGTGTTTATCAACAGAAAAATGGATTAAGACATTGTAGTAAATACATACCATGGAATACTAAGCAATAATAGAGAAGGACAGATGACTGATATGTGCAACAACATGCATGAATCTCAAAAATATTATATTGAGTCAAAAAGTCTGGGCTCCACATGGCTCCATTTACATGAAGCTCAAGAATAGGCAAAACTATTCTAGGGTAACAGAAGTCAGAAAAGTGGTTATTTTTGGAGTAATATTGACCAGAAAGAGATGCAGGGGCACTGGAAATATATTTAATCTAGGTGGTAGTTACATGAGTATATACATATGTAAAATGTATTAAGCTGTACATTTAAGATTTGTAGACTATTGTATGTATGTTTTAGTTAAATGAAGAAGATTAAAAAATGGAAAAATGACTATATGAACATCAGCAGTTCTATAATTTCAATGTATTTTGTTAATTCTCCACCCAGTCAAATTAGATTTATACTCCAACCCCATTGGGAAGGTTTGAAACCTTCGGCACTTTCCCCTCCATTCTTCGTTTGCATAGAGGCATTAGGAAGCAAATCTTTTCCCTTCTGGGAGTGCTTTTATGTTCAAAGGAAGACCATCAGGAAAAAGTAATGATTAACACAAAGGAATGACTAGGTTAATGGTAGGCTTTCAGGCACCAGTAGAGGAGGTATTTTGGGTCAAGGGAAGGGCAAGAGAATCTTCTGGAGTATGCCACACTAAATGGATAGAAATGAGTAGTAAGCTCTTAGTAGGCGCTGGATCCACTGGTACAACCAACAGCCTTTGCTGTTTCACTCCTGTGATGGAAAAATCAACCTACTTGTTTCCAACGGACAGGAGGAAGGGTTTGTCTTCTGGGACCAGTATTTCCCCTTAAAGCTGGCAGTGAGGATGAGAGAATTACCTGGGGCACAGCAAGCAGCTTTCCCCACCCCTCCCCACTACCCCCCCGCCACCCCGTGTTCAGTATCAGAGCAGAGAGTAGGAAAAGGAGAGGTGAGCTCAGGAAACACTGACGTAGGGTGCAAGTGGAAAAGTACAGGAGAAAAGGAATACAGGGAAGCACCCGAGGGGGAGCAGGCAGGAGACACAGCAGAGGGATGGAGAGTCCAGCGGAAAGCACCATGAAAACAGACAGAGGTTAGGGTTACCTAATAGAGATTTGAATGAATTACACCATCACCCTATGACTCTCATCAAGGACCCTGGTGCTGACAGAGAAAGTCTTCTCTTTTATTGTCCAAATCCTGGCCACCCTTCAAGACCCATTTCAAATACCACCTCAGGCTCAGGAATAAGGATTTCTGGTATTTTGGCGGCATCCCTGGTTTGTAGGGATGAGGAAGAATTTGGTACCAGAAGTTGACAGACCTTGGCCTGAGTGGGTGCGAGTGGTCCAAGGTCCAGTCTTCAGGGCCCACAGCAATCTGTCCCCCTGCTGGGGCATAGAGGCAGGCAGTTCCAGCAGCAAACAGTAGCTGAAACAGTATGAAAGCTTTTGTCAGGGTGGTTCTGGGCGACCACTCCTTTAGAGCAGGAACCTGCCTAGGGGTATGAAACTAGGTTCAGGTGCCTGAGGTAAGATGCAGACAAGAGAAAGGCAGGGTGTCAGGGCCCCAGCCTGGGTCAGGAATGTGAGTCAGATCCCAGTCACGCAGGCCAAGTCAATCCACCAGTCATGGCTGAGGGAAGGCAGGAATTCTGTGGGTCTCCAGGTGTTAGAGGCCCAGTGGATGATGCTGCATCCATGAACTATCAAAAAACGCTTGATTCAGCCTGACCAGCTGCTAGATTGGCAAGGCTAAAGTCATTCTGGCCAGAGCTCAAGAACTAGGTGTGGCTTAGCTTGAGGGCAAATGGTGCTGTGAGCTGCAGCTGCTCCTGGTTGGGGAGGCAGGGGCTGGACCTCCTCCTGCCCTCCCCATGATACGTGTTGGCACCTCTCCTCACTTAGTCTACATGCTTTTACTGTAAACCACCTCCGCAGCACGAAGCACAGGGCCAGGCACACGCAGGAAATGAGAATTCAGTTGGATGGATGCAATTGCATGTAGCTCCTTGGCAGTGCAGGCCTCGGTGTGCGCTAAGCTCTGTAACCCAGCCCTTTCCCATCGTACTGATAGCACTGATCAGGACCCCTTTTCCTCTGTGTGCAGTAGAAGGTAGAAACAGCCACTCTCCATTCTTGCTGGGAGGTAGCCTGGGACCAGTAAAGAAATGGAGGACAGTACTTTATAATCCACATGTACCTTCCCCTGCCATCTTAGCGTCTATTCCTTCTGTCTTTTTGCCCCCAACATCAGCGGAAAAACTTAATCTGGTTGCCATGGAGACCAGCCACCGACTCTAGAGTGCCTGTTTATTAAAGATGAAAGTAATATATGCCTGGTTAATCTGAGCAGCTGTCAGAGAGAGATTCGGCTATTAGTAAATGAAGGCACTAATTTTGAGGCATGATCACTCATTTAAGAGAGAGAGAGACAGGCTCTGCTCCATCTTCTGAGTGGAGCTGGGTAGTGGGGATAAGATCTGCCCTAGGCAAGCATTTCTTGTTCAGGTTTTTATGTTTATTTTATGATGATTATGGTAACTGTACTTCTTTTTCCCCTTATTTCCTACTGAAAATATATAGCCTTTCAGTAGTGTGATAGATTAATTAGGCTTTGTGGGCAGGCCCAGGAAACCCAAGCCCTCCTATGACGTCGTTTCCTTTGGAAAATGCATTCTGGATTCCAAGCCACCTACTTACAAATGAGGTTGTCTGTTTATTCATTCAACAGTCTCCACCAGGTGTGTGAGAGGAAAAGAGGTGGTGCTGAGCCACACGGAGGACTTGATGTGTTTTCTGTGTGCTTAGACAGGTGGGGGAGAAGCCGTCACCTTCCAAGGGAGTCCATCAGTTAGCTGGGAATGGTGATGACTTGTGTGATCTTTAAAAAATCAGTCCATTTGTTTTTAC
This sequence comes from Homo sapiens, assembly GCF_000001405.40. Taxonomy (NCBI): domain Eukaryota; kingdom Metazoa; phylum Chordata; class Mammalia; order Primates; family Hominidae; genus Homo; species Homo sapiens. The sequence goes on along the minus strand of NC_000006.12, from coordinate 106,750,519 downwards.
TTTTTGTTCTTTTCATTTGTTCAATAGTAAAATCTGAGAGAAAATGTGAATTCTGAGATTCATTATATTGATTCACCAAGTACTTTCTAAATTCAGCTAAGTAGCCTGCGTTAATCCCTGCTGGGTTATGAAGGAGAGCACACTCCTTCCCCGCACTGCAGTGCGTTGGGACGAGCAAACCACCTGGGAGTGGTGCAGGGAGGCTGCTGGCAGCTGGCCCTCAAGTGCAGAAACAAGGTTCCAGTCCCAGTGATCTCGTCATAGTCCAGCCAAGTCTCTCACCCTTTCTGACCTCAGTTTCCTCAACTGAAAATGAAGGAAAGAGCAAGCTAATCTTTTCCAATTCAAAATATTCTTTTGTTCTTGAAGGAGACTGTCAGTGCAGAAAGGGCTCCTAACCTGGAACAGCTGGGCAAGGGTTAACCCTGGTATAGGTTACCGTTAAGCAAGTACATCCTGTGCCTCTGGTCAAAGATGTCTCAGGCCAAAGCAGGTACTTGTCTCTAGTTAGTCTCTCTGCATCAGCACCAGGCCTTCACCCTAGTCCATGAGAAGGAAGACATATGCAGCTAAGGAATAGGAAGTGGATATTGTCAGTGCCTTCAAGACATGATGCATCCAGAACCCGGATCAGCCAGGAGCTGCAGAAAAGAAGCTTCAGGGCAGCAGGCCTCAGAACTGCTGCTAGCCAGTCCCCTGAAGCATTTGTTTCTCACCCTCTTCGTGCCTAGGGCAAGTAGAGCTGCAGCTGTCTGGCGCCACTGTAATGCTGTCTCCTCCTCTGAGTGAGTTCATCCTGGAAACATTTTCTCCCATAAGACATGCACAGGTCTTACGTTTACATGTTTCACTGAAAGAAATTTGATTCCACTGCTGGGATGACAAGGTAGGTCATAAATGAACACTTTTTAAGCACATCTTTAAAAAAATAATTTATTCCAATTGTACAAAACAATAGGGGAAAGGAAATAATATTGATTTGTTTATCCATTCATTGGTTTAACAATTACCTATTGTAGGCACTTACTATGAGCCAGGGATGGTTCTAAGTATAAACCTGCCCTGGAGGATCACATATTAATTTTTCTTACAACCAGCTTTATTGAGGTATACTTGCTATACAATAAAATTCACTCATTTTAAGTGTAAAGTTTGATGCATTTTGACAAATGCACGGGGTAGTATAACCACTACTAGGATCAAGATAGAGAATATTTACATCACCCTGAAAAGATTGCTTGCACTGCTTGTAGTCAATCTCCTACCCTCCCCCCAGCTACTGGCAACCACTGATCTGCTTTCTGTCACTATAGTTTTGCCTTTTCTAACATGTCATATAAGAAGCATATATTTTAGCAGTGAATACAACCAAATGAGTAAATAGACATTTGCATTCCCAAGTGAGGCAAGAGCTTTGAAATGGGACATACAGGCTGTGCTATGGAAGCATGTAAGCTAAGTTGGAAAGAGGCTTCTAAGCTGAGATCTGAAGGGGCAGTAGCAGTTTTCTAGGCGAAGAGTGAGAGTAAAGAGTGTTCCATGCTGTGAGGCTACTATATGCAAAGGCCAAGAGGAGACAGACCGCAAGGCAGATTCATCTGGGACCTACAAGTTTTCACAGCTCAAGGATGGAGTAGGAGAGGGTAGGAGTGGTTAGTCAAGACTTTGAAGAGATAAACCAGTTCAAACAAAGAAGTTCTTTCTAAGCATTGTTTGACCTTTATTCCCAGTAGGGAGCTATGGAAGGATCTTCAGCAGAAAACTGATGGGTTCAGATTTGCATTTTAGAAGGATCACTCTCTTGCATGTAGGGAACAGATGGAGGGCAAGGCAGGAGGTAGGGCCCCCCATTAAGAGGCTGGTGCAGTGATCCAGATGAGAGATGCTCAGAGCCGCCACCAGGGGAGGGCAGGCAGTGAAAATGAAGAGAAGTGGATAAATATTTGAGAAATGTAGGAAGCAGCAGTAACAGGAATTAGTAACTAACTGGATAGCGGAGAGGATGCGAGAGAAAGGCCTCACGGAGGATTCTTTGGTTTCTAGCTTGGACACCTGGGTGGAAGATGGTGGCATCAATAAGATAGCAACTTCAGTGGAGCAGGGTTGGAGGGGTAGGGAGAAGAGACAATAGGTTCTGTTTTAGACATGTTGAATTTGGGGGTGTCTAAGAAAATGATGTCCAGCAGACAGTTGGGTGTTCAGGTCTCAGGAAAGAGCTCTCCACGGAGCTTATTCTTTTCTAGTCTCTGTAAACAAGCTTCCAGGCTCTTTCATAAAATTTCCTTGCAAAAAAATCAAAGGATTTGTCCTGTCAAGTGGAATGTTTTTCATATGAAGGGGATTGGCTTCTTGTGTAGTTTAGTCTAGAGAGATTTGTTTCCATGCTACAAACCTTTGAAAAACCGGGAAAAAAGTAGTGATGTCCAACTTTAGTGACATCTCCTCTTCTTCCTCAATACAATCAATCCATTGACATAATAATGTTGAATATCTTGCAGATGAGGAAAGAAAAATGGAGTCAAATGAGCACACCGAGGCCAACCAGATCTGAGCTTTCTAATCTTAAATTGCCTGGGGGTGTGGATGTTATGTGTCTACTGACATGGACAGATTGTGTATGGTTGCCTTTATAAAATGAAGCCCATAGAAATGTTTCAGTAAATACAGTCCTCCAAGTGAACTAAATGTCAAAGGAAAATCTTTTCCTTGCCATCCTCCTTTTCTCTTTTAAACGGAAAGATCCTAAAGAAGCTGTATTAGTGCCCTCAAGAGAAACAGAAGCAATAGGATATATAGATCTATATATTGGATCCTATATCTAGGAATAGGATATATAGATGTATATATCCTATATATAGATCTGTCCTATTGATCTATAGATCTATATAGATATATATCTTATATCAATATATAGGATATATAGAGAGGTACACACATAGGCCTGATGTATATACATAGGTCTGATGTCTGAGGCCAGAAGATAGATGCCCCAGCTCAAGAAGGGAGCACATTCACCCTTACTCTGCCTTTTGACGCTACTTGGGTTCTCCATGGATTAGATGGTGCTCACCCACATTGGTGAGGGCAGGTGTTCTTTATGCAGCTACCCTCATGACACACCCAGAAATAATGTTTTACCAGCTGTCTGGGCAAGCCCTTGGCCCAGTCAAATTGACACATAAAGGTAGCCATCATAGAAACTCATTTCAATGTTGTTTTGTTTTATTACAGGAAGACTGAAGAAACCTAATCCTAGGTGCTGCCACTGGGACAAACAAGAAGCACCAGACACAGTGCTGTTTTAGGGTGGGGCAGAATTATGCTGAGGGAAAAGTTATTATCACTCTTTAAGGCCAAGGAAACCACAATTTTTAAAGAAGCTTCTAGAAATTCTACCCAGTAGAAAATAAAGATAAACTTCTGTAAGGAATTTCATTCTTTTCAGAATTCGCAATCTGAAATGTAGAAGCCCATTCCTTCATGGTTCTCATAGATATTTAGTGTGACTGAGGGGTCAGTGGACTCATAGCACTCAGGCCAGGCTTCTCCTGAGTCCCTTTCTTTGGCACAGAGGGAGTGATTCACAGATCCTCTACCCCCAAAGGCATTGTTTCCTCATCTCAACAAGAATCCAGCACCCGTCATTTTATCAGCACACGTCACTAGCTTCTCAAGTGAGACTACTCTGAAGTGATCTGTGTTTGAAGAATGCCTTTCCCTTTCCCTTACGTAACTAAGAGGATGAAAAAGGACACTCACTCCCTATATGAAAGCTGTGTATTGTAAGCAGTCATCTTGCCTGGCTGAGAACTCTAGGATCTTTTTCTCTGCTCTCCTTTAGGCTGACACTCATAGCCAGACCTTCTGTTTATTAGCCCCCTGAATCTATTTGAAAATATTTTTGCTTTCATTATAATATAAGTCACATTCTTCTTGCATCTGCCGCTGCATTTTCCAAAAGGGTTATGTCAAGGGAAATTCAACACTCACTTTTCTCATTATTTGCTTACCAGCTTGCTCACTCATCAAAATACCAGAGTTATTTGATACTTCAGAAGATTATTTCCCCCTTTAGATGATGTGTCAAGGGAAGGGGAGCTGGCCCCAGTATCAGGTGACAGAATTTTCTTCGCATTTCTACTGTTGACTCAATAAATGCCCTTGGGCAAGTCATGGAGCCTCTTCATACTTTGGTCTCTAGGGATAAAATCTGCCAACCGCAGCATGTGTATTTGAACCTCAGTGTCCTCTGGAATAAAAATAGGAGGGGACCAGGTGTCCATGTGACCCCAAGCTGATGGGAAGAGGATGACCATAGGACTTCAAAATGTCCTTGAGCTGTAAATTCTGTAATAGGGTCAGGCCCACCAGTGGCCTTCAGGCATTTGTCCAGTGGTGTATGGATAAGTTCTAGCACTTGAGTTTTTTCAGCACAAAGGAGGCACTATGTCAACCTCCCACCCATGGGTATTCTGTTTGCTCTGTGTCCCCGCTTCTCTGCATTTCCCTGCCATATTACTCACCACTGGTCGTAATTACTTGCTTGATCACTTGTCTCCTGGTCTGTAAGCTGTTTGAGGGAGGGGAGCACATCTGCCCTATGCAACACTGTACCCTCAGTGTGGTACACAGGAGCACATGCCTGACATATGGAAGTTATGTGAGAAACATTTGTGAAGTGGACAAATTAATAATGCTGCCTGGACTCTATAGAAATCCCTTTTCTGCATCATTAAGGTTCCCAAGCCTGGCCAAGAAGTAGTGGGATCTGATTAGCCTCATCTCCTCATAACCCTACTTCCTATAATATTATAATGAAAGCAGATCTCAGCCCAAATGCTGGCACACATACATATTTATCAGTAAGAAGATCCAAAATCGTTCATGCAGCTGGTTCTGTAAGCTTGGCAAATTTCCAGCCCTCTGAACTTTTCAGTGCTTTGTCCACACTCTACATGAAAGGGCCTCTTAAGAGTGACAGGGCAGTATTCTAAAGACCAGATTTTAATTGCACCAGGTAACTGAATTGTCTGAATTCACAGCTGAACACAGGACAAGGTCAGAATCATATTTCTTATGCCATTTAGAAAGGTGACAAGTGAAGGGCTGGCCAAAATCTTACACCCAGCTTACGTAAGAGTAGAGACTGTCCCTAATGCTTTCCCCAGTCCACTTGTCTCGAACACCATTAGGTTCAATAGTAAAAGCCCATTTCTCACTTGCTTCATGTTAATTGACTGATCACTAATTTTACCAATAAGAAGCCATTTTTATTATTTATCATTATGATTTTTATCATTTTGTTAATTAGCCAAGCTTCTGCTGTTGACTCCAGATAAAGAGAGTTAAAGCACTTGGGGTGACCACCTAAGTAGATTTTTTCATGGTGAACAAATGGAAGCAACAGAAACAGCTCAGACTTTTGAAAAGTGATGAAAAAGGCCCATGATGCCCTGCTCCTTGAAAATGAAGAAGAGGATGACTTAGCCCTGCAGGGCTCTTTTCTTTGCATGTTCTTACCAACCCTCAGGGGAGATTCAGTCTACTAGCTGGCTTCCCCACGTGGACCTCACTCTGTGGCAAGTAACTGGGAGTAATTTACCTTCTGGGTTCTCTTACAACCCCCTTAGCTATGTAGGTGATTTCAGGCCCAAGGGGGAAGATATCAGATAAGCCAGAACATTTTGATTCTACTGACCGAGTTTCCTCACCTCCCTCCCTTTGTTTCTGATAAATACATACGTTAAGGTCAGCTGAAGAGTTGTCTGTGATAATTGCCCTGAATCCTCACTCACTCCTCTGAATTTCTGTCTTCTGTAGCCTCTTAGCCATGTTGCAGGTGAAGGTCTCAAGTCATTTGCACCACTAGGAATCGTTTGTGTTATTGTGACTGATATATGTCCTCAGAGTTGTATCAGTGTTGTCCCCTACACACACATGCACATACATGCACCACACAATATGCACGTTCTATAAGACAGAGCCTCTATTTTTGGTGTCTGCTTAGCCCTCCAGTTTCCCATTGGGATTAGTTGTTTTCTCCAAGCTTCAGACAACTTGGAGATCCTGCCTAACTTTGGTTGCTCTTCCTTGTCAGACTGGAACTTACCCTCAGTATGGTACAACCAATCACTGGCTCTCAGGGAACTCATCACCCTGAACTATGCCTGACAGGACAGGAGCACCATCATCTCGGACAAACACTGCCACTTTAAGTTCCAGCTCCCTTTCTAGCCTCAGGCATTTCAAGAAAATCACTTGTCTTCTCATTACAAGCAGTCAGAAAGAGCAGACAGTAAAATACAGATAAGACGGGCACAGAGGGAAGTGGGAGGAAAGTCTCTTGGGTAACTGCCAAACTTCACCCTCATACAATGGGCCCCAGTAAAACAGTGGGCCTTAATAAGCACATTCCTTTCCTTTCAGGTGCACTAAGATAGGAAGGCTAAAGGCAGATTGGGGGGATATGCCTGCAGCTACAGAAAGATGTATGGGAACAGACACACAACTCTCCCTCCCAAATAAGCACAACAGAGAGACACAGAAGCAGTCCAAGCCTCTGATAAACTCTCCCACCCTGAATCTTTAAAAACTCTTAGTCTGCAAGAGAGTGTGGCTTCTGACCTAACTCGATCAGAAGTCCCTCCCAGGTTTAAAATAAACCTGTTAACTGTTGAGCCACCCTTCGTGTTTCTCTCCTCTTTCTTTAATTCTTACAATGCCTTCCTGATGGCTGACTGCCAGGAAACCCCTTGGATACAATAGCCTGAAGCTGCTTACTCCCCTGGGTGTTGCCCTCCTGGCTACCCATGGAAGAGCAAGCCCTGTTGACAAGAGCTTCCCCCAGCTCTAATCCTACCTGGTTATGGTTTATTTTCTTTCCCCACCATCTGGGCAGTTATGTTGGCCCAAGGAATTTGACTCAGTATTATCATAGCATAGAGCTAATTTTATATGTATTTATTTCCATGGTAAACAAGTTATTCCCATTGTCTGTCATTCCCACTAAGCCTGCTAGGGACAGCCCAAAGGAGCAGCTCTAAGTGAGGATACTTTGCCCTGTATGACCCCGTCCCTAGAGCAGATTGGTTCATGGTTGACACCTAACAAAAAGACAGCCAATCGATAGGTTGGTCAGCAACTTTTCTCATAACCTGACGCATACATAAAAGCTGGGTTAAACGCCATTTCTACCTTGGAAATTTAACCAAAGAAAGGTCAAGAAAAAGCGAAAAGACTTGGGAGGATGCTTTGAAATGAAAAGATAAGAATTGGAGCTACAGTAGGTTGTAAGAAGCCCCGGTTGCAAAATATTGAAACTATGAGCAAGCTGTAGTGATGGTGGAGAGAAGAGTTTCAGGCCAAGGGAAAGAAGCAGCTCAGAGGAGACTGAGCTAGGCCAGTGGACATGGCCCCCTAACTCCTGCCACAGAGCCCTGGAGTCTCCTGGAGCCAGAGTGGCTCCTCAGTCCCAGGGCAGTGAGGCCTATCCCTTCCAATGCCTCTTCCTTCCTTCTGTGGAAGACCAACTCCATTGATGTTCCATGTTTATCTCCCTCCTGAGCTAACCTAGCTGAGTCTGCTCCTTACAATCAAGAAAACCCACCCACTTTACTGGATTCTCTCTGTGTGCAGCGATGGTGGCATATATCTTTGTAGCTTTTTGCCTCTAATATAATGCATTATAAGGGTAAGTGATGAGTTCTCAGTAAATGAATGTTGAATAAACGAATTTTTGAAAGCGCAAAGGAACAGACAAGTTCATACACTTACTGTTATGTTGTAAAGTCTTCAGTTTGGCTTTCTCAAAGTTGAACAAAAGATGGCTACATTCCTAGCGTCCCCCCAAGCCTTTTCCTAGTCCATGAGTTTAGAGATGGACTGCAAATTTTAAACAATACAAATCTAGAATCAGATTCAAAATCTCCTTCAAGAGGACAAACACTCTACTCCTATTCTCAATCCAGTTTTTTGAACTGATCAGCCCACACACGCACGCACACACACACACACACTCAAAATTATTTTAATATATGGACAGTCCTCAGTGTTTTTGTTTGTTTGTTTGTTTGTTTTTTGAGATGGAGTCTCACTCTGTCGCCCAGGCTGGAGTGCAGTGGCGCAATCTCGGCTCACTGCGAGCTCTCCCTCCCGGGTTCACGCCACTCTCCTGCCTCAGCTGGGACTACAGGTGCCCGCCACCACGCCCAGCTAATTTTTTTGTATTTTTAGTACAGACGGGGTTTCACCGTGTCAGCCTGGATGGTTTGGGTCTCCTGACCTCGTGATCCGCCCACCTCAGCCTCCCAAAGTGCTGGGATTACAGGCGTGAGCCACCGCACCTGGCCATCTTCAGTGTTTTTAATACCTGAGTTTGTGGTTCTAATTGTCTGATTGAGCTAAAAATTAACAAGAACTGGTTTGAGAACATCTTCCTGCTTGGAAGTTATTTCACCAATTCATTCTTTTATAACACTGTAAAAAAGTAACTTATTACAAGGTAGTAGTAACCTTTTCTTCCAAAGAAATATAAAAAATCAATTTGGTTATGAAGAGAACTTTTGAACTTGGAGTTACTGAAAATTATTTACCATCAGAGGAATATGTACTGGTCCTAAGAACAATGATAAAAGCCACAGTCCCTACTCTGGCAGCTGCTGGGCTGGTGGCAGAAGTTGTCTCATCTGCTTTTCCCCACCATTCTGGGAGCACTAGTAGCTTTGACTATACACAGCTATCAGAAGAGGGAGAGTTCAGCCTAGACCAGGGGTTGGTCCACAAACCTTTATGGCAAAGGGCCGAACAGTAAATATTTTAGGTTTTGTGGGCCCCATAGTCTCCACTGCAAGTACTCCACTGTGCTATGGTCACACAAAAGCAGTCATAGACAATATGTGAAGGAATGAGTATGACTATGTTCCAATAAAAGTTTACAGGTGCAGAAATTTGAATTTTATATAATTTTCATGTGTCCCAAACTATTATTCTTCTTTTCAGCCATTTAAAAACATAAAAACCATCCTTGCATTGTGAGCTGTATCAAATCAGAGGATGAGAACATGGACGCAGGTTTGGGGTCCCTGCTTCCTACCCTAGCTGAGTGCTGGGGGAACAGGCTGTAGAATAGATGCCTCAGGTCAACATGGGGGGCTCCCAGGGTGGAAAGACTAGGGTCTCCCTTCCCAAGGTGAGTTCTGGAGTGACTGTGAGCCCTAGTGAAGCTTCATGTCCCCCATGGTACCAGAGCAGCAGAGCAACGGTGGCCAAGGGGCCTGGACAGAATACCCTGGAGCCAGCTTTGTGACAGGCCCCTACAAATGATAAGGACAAAGAGTCAAAGTTCCTGAGCCTCCATTTCAAAGGAGAGAAGAAGATGATGATGGCTGGCCAGCAAATTCAGAGAAGACTGGGTTGGAAGGCGAGATCTGCCTGGACTCTACAACCAGAGGCCATTACAAGATGGTGTCCCCTTGGCCAATACAGCAGGGGAAACAGCTGATGCCCAAAGACCGCATGGTTTGGAGGAGGCTCTCCTCAGAGAAGAAGTGGCCTGCCTCCACTCCTCTGGGTTCCCTAGAGCTGGTGAGGGGTAGGAGAGGGGGTCTCATTGTCTGTTTGTGCTAGAGGTACAGGGAGGGTTGTACACAGAAAACACTCCAAACTCCTCCAATGCCAGAACTAAAATGGAGTGCATCTTAGAAGCAGTATCTACCTTTCATTAGAGAACATTTTAGTCCATAAACAAGGGATATTTAAAAGCCACACAAGGCTGGGTGCTATGGCTCACGCCTGTAATCCCAATGCTTTGGGAGGTCCAGGAGTTTAAGACCAGCCTGGGCAACGTAGCAAGACCCCATCTCTTAAAATAAAAGCCACACCCATCTCTTCCCACTGGACCAGGGGTCTTCCCAGACCAGCTGCAGGATGCCTGACCTCCCGAGGGGCTGCACATTCTGTTTGAGTCAGGGCATCTCCAGGCAACAGCAGGAAACCCAGCCAGCCTCTGTGCTCTGGACACTTCTTGTGTGGCAATGACTTTACTCTGGAGAGAGGTGGCCACACTGAAGTGCTCCCCCTTCTGTAGGTCAGCTTCCACGAACTAGAAGAGCTCTGTGAGTAGGGCTGTGGTCTCAGGAGGATTATTCCAGAATCCCCTCAAAGTATTTGTTTAAGTTTAGAAACAGTGAGGCCTGGAAATGATAAAATTGTCCACATTTGTCTGCCATTAATTCACTTTTATGAGAAGCAAAGCCTTTGGTTTCTTTAAGCCTCAATTTCTTTCTTTCTTTTTTTTTTTAATTTATTTTTTTGAGACAGAGTCTCGCTCTGTCACCCAGGCTGGAGTGCAGTGGCACAATCTCAGCTCACTGCAATTTCCGCCTCCTGGGTTCAAGCCATTTTCTTGCCTCAGCCTCCCAAAGTTCTGGGATCACAAGTGTGAGCCACTGTGCCCGGCCTATGCCTCAATTTCTTCCTGCCTTACTATAGGTACATCATATTTATTTAATTCCCTAAGTCCCTCCTCAACAGATTTTATTCTACTACTGAAATCCAGTCTGCAGAAACTAAAAGTTGTATAGTGGATATGAAATTTATATAACCACCATAGTTCAGTATCTCAGGGGTAAAAATAAAATGTGACTATTTATTTCCACAAAACTGAACCTATCAATTCAAGATAACTTTTGCTTTAAAACTCACGACTCCTTGAATCAATAGTCAATTTCTGGATCTTTCTCCTCCTCCTAGGTCCTCTTCTCCCTGAAGGCTGTCACAGTTCCTGTGCAGAGAGAGAGGGCACTGCAGCACCCAGGCGCTGGTGAGAGGGAGTTTCTGGCTCACACTATTCTCTGCCTTCCATTGGCATTGACTCAGCTGAAACTTGGCACATCTTGTCCTCTTAGTCATGCGCTGGCATCTACCACTTGTGCCCAAATCCACCATGGCCTCACGTCACCAGGCCCACATATTACCAGGTTCCTTTGGCTCTGCAAGCCTGTGGTGCTTGGGCACGCTTGGCTGCTTTTTCTTCCCCCTGCTGGGTATTGGGGGGGCTTCTGAGACACTGACTTCCTTGGCCTCTCACTCAGTCCTTGCCAGATGGGGGCTTCTCCTATACGCTTGCAGAGCCCCTGGTTCACACCCAGGGAAGCGAAGCATAGTTCCCTCTGCACTCAGTTCTTCTTTGACTAAAATGGGTTTTTGTTGCCCAGCCCCCAAACTCAAGCAAGGCCAATGGTAAGGACAGGACTTGGGACCCTCTCCAAGACATTCGTTAATATCTATTTCAATCTCTTCTCACAATTCTCTCCCCTCAGACATGCCAGGTCTTAGATGACATGACTTAAATTATAAAGATGTCAAATATCCCCAAATTAACTTATAAATCTAGTGCAATCCCAGTTAAAATCCTAGTTGTAATTTTTTTATAGATACTTGATATGTTTGTTCTAAAATGTATAGGAGTTCTCACTGTGGTAGCACCTATACTAAAACTGGAATCATACGGAGAAGATTAGCATGGCCTCTGTGCAAAAATGGCATGCAAATTTGTGAAGCATTCCATATTTTAAAAATAAATAAATAAAATGTATAGGAAAAAATAAGTTCCACAAGGAGCTAAATCAAATGGTAGAATAAAGAGGGGAAATTGCCCACCAGATAGCAAGACACCCTACAAAGTTGTTTTGAATGTGGGAGTGGAGTGGAATAGACGGTTCACAGGTAGCTCTGCATTTACTTGTGAATTTCATACAATGCCGAGTTGGCTCCACAGTTTAATTAGGGGGTGGATGGAGTGTTTAGTATATGGTGATGGAAAAATAGGCAGAGAAAGAAAGGATAGAGAAAATTAAAGTAGGATCCATATCTAACCCCACATACAAAGGAGATCTCCAACAGACAAGAGACCTAAAGGTGAAAGATAAGATCATAAAGTTAACAGGAGAAAAGTATTGCAACCTGGAAGGGGTAAAGAAATCCTTAAACAAGACTTCGAAAGTGCAAGCCACAAGGCAAATTGGTAGATCGGATTACACCAAAATTAAGGATTTCTGTGAACAAGTGACATCGCAGTTGAACTGAAGAGATGATGACAGTTTGGGAAGAGATTATGAGGTCTAAAAGTGACAAAGGGGATGAATATCTAGAATATACAAAGAACTCTGGATAGTACCCCAAAAGAAAAATGGGTGTCATATTCAGACAATTTACAATAACTCAAGGCTGTATAAGGCTGTAAGGCTATTACACAGCTATTAGCCTAGAGAATTTAGAGAGCTTGAGAATGCCAATGCTGGCAGAGGTGTGGGAATAAGATTTTCCTGCTGCTCGTGGAAGCACAGGTTGGAGAATGATCTGGCATTAGCTAATCAAATTAAGTGTCTATTCGGGGCATAGGTCTCTTAGAAATTCTCACACAGGTCCATTAAAGGGATATGTAGAAGCAGGGGTCAATCCAGGATTTGTGGGGCTTGAAGTTTATATAATTTGGGGAACTCTGTTATGATATTATGGTATAATAAATAATACATATTTGGTCTCTGCTGCTGGTTCCTGACACCTGGCTCCTAAAACCTTTGGAATCTCTAAAGGGATAAGTGTCTTTTTGTAAGCAGATGAGATGACTGGTGGCTGGGAGCTCCTAGATAGCTTTGGGATGGAAGCTGGTCACCAAAAGACCAAGGCATGATTAGGGAATTGGGACTTTCAGCTCTAGCCCCCAATGTCTAGGTTGGGGAGAAGGACCGAAAGTTCAGGTGATCACCGATGGCCAATGATTTAATCAGTTATGTCCATATAATGACTCCTCCATGAAAAAAAACAAAAGGACAGGGCTTGGATGAGCTTTTGGATTACAAAACATGTGGAGGTACCTGGAGGGCATGCTCAGAAAGGGCATGGGAACTTTGTGCCCCTCCCCACATACCTTGCCCTGTGTGTCTCCTCCATCTGGCTGTTCATCTGTATCCTTCATGATATCCTTTATAATAAATGGATAAACATAAGTAAAGTGTTTCCCTGAATTCTGTTTGCCACTCTGGCAAATAAATCAAACCCAAGGAGGGAGTTGTGGGAACCCCAATTTATAGCTGGTGGTCAGAAGCACAGGTCACAATCTGGGGCTTGTCATGGGCATCTGAAGTTGGGGGTAGGGGTAAACTTGTGGGACTGAGCCCTTAACCAGTGGGATCTGATACTATCACCAGGTAGACAGTGTCAGAATTAAACTGAATTAGAGGACACCCAGCTGGTGTCTGCTGGAGAATTGCTTGGTATGTGGGGAAATATCTCATCAAAGAAACGTTCTATGTTGTGAGAGCATAGGAGGAGAAAACAGTTTGTCTCTTTTTCCCCTCAGACCTGTTTAAGAAAAAGAACACAAATTATGAATACACAATTAGGTATGGAGCTTTGGAAGAAGCTTGTACAAGTGAGGAGCCCCAACAATGAAGCTTTATCAGCCTGTCTGTGGATTAGCCTCCATTTATGGGGAGGTTCTCGGCAATGTTGTATGCAGAGTGAGGAGTTGAAAGTTTTTAAGCCTGTTTGGTTATCACACCTCTTGGGCTCATTGGGATAGATAATTGATGATACTATCTCAGCACTCTCTTTAATACTAAAACATATACCTAAACTTAAAAAATTGTCCTCAAATAATGGGCACCCAGATAGCCAAACTGGCTCAGGTAATCTCCCATCACTAAGACTAAGGGCTGCTGGGTGTAAACATGCCAGACCCGTGGAGATAAGGTTAGGAAGTCCTCACGCCTCTGGCAAGGCAAGATCATTCAGTTATACTTGTTGAGAGAAAATATTTTGCAATACTTTCAAGTTTGTTTATATATTTTTAGACATGCCTGTCTACTAAGGAGAGTGTTTGAAAAAAGAAGCTCCATGAAATCTTCTGGATGGGCTGGGGCTTGCTCCACTCTGTGAACTGTGCCCCCAGGGCATGTGCTGAGTTCACCTGCCCCAGCCAGTTTTTTGGGAGGGGATCTCCAACCTATTTCTAATGAGGGGCAGTGAAAGCTGGAAACACTGGGCTTCCCTATGAAGTAAGGGACTCAGAGAAGAGGAAGAAGCTAAAGGAGCATTAGTCTCTCCTGAGTGGAGCTAGCTCTAGAGATGGCTACTGTAGGGGATCAGAATATGCCACCCTAAAATTTGTACTTTGGCGTAAGGATTATTTGAAGCTGAAGACAATTGAAAACAGTGGACACCAAAAAAACACTCTCCTCTCCTTCCCCCACCATTTGCCTAGAAGTAGGTTCAGATGCTTAATCACCAGACTTTTTTTTTTTTTTTAGCTCAGTGACAGCATGAGGGGAATCTATACCACAAACCTTACTAAGACAATCCTGACTTTCTATTAGTTTCCCTCATATATTTATCTTCCCACAGTTTTCTGCCCTTGTGTCTTAGTCTGTTTCCTGCTGCTATAACAGAAGCCACAGATTGCATAATTTGTAAAGAAAAGAGATTTATTTGGCTCATAGTTCTGGAGGCTGGGAAGTCCAAGGGCATGGCACCTGCATCTGTCAAGGCTCATTCCATGGTTAAAGAGAGGAAGGTGGAAGTGAGTCCATGAAACAGAGACAGAGGAAATCTGGCCAAACCCTTCCTTTTTATCAGGAACCCACTCTCAATAACTAACCTACTCTGTGATAACAGCATTAATCCATTCATGAGGGCCAAACTTTCATGACTTAATCACTCCTTAAAAGCTCCACCTCCTGCAATAAATTATTTTTAGAGATGGGGTCTTACTATGTTGCCTAGGCTGGTCTTGAACTCCTGGGCTCAAGTGATCCTCCCACCTCAGCCTCTCAAAGTGCTGGGATTACAGGCATGAGCCACCATGCCTGGCCCTGCAATAAATTTCAACGTGAATCTTGGAAAGGGCATTGAAACCATAGCACCTTGGAAGGCTAAAATCCTTTCCTTTGTCTCATCACTTCTCTACAAATTTATTGTTCTTCGTTAAGGTGTTATATAAGCCCCAACCTCTAACCATCCCTTTGACTTGCTCATCACTGAGTTTTTCTGTGAGTATGTGCATTGCATATGTTAATAAACTCTGTTTTTCTCTTGCTTTTTAGACTGCCTTTTGTCAGTCTCATTTGCAGGCCCCCAGCTGGAGAACCCAGGAGGAAGAGGAAAAAAGTTTTTTCCTCCTCTACACTCCCCATGCATGACTAAAGAGTAGGAGGAGTCAGCAAGGTATGTGACCCCAACTGCAAGCAGAAACAGCAATGAAAGGACTGATGATCAAACAGGGACCAAGCTACATTTCTGCAGCTATGGTCAGTGTGTATCTGGCTTGTTTGATGCCCAGAATGAATTGATTTTTGTCGATCTTCATCTATACAACAAAATTATCTTCAGTAATAATCATAAAAATGGAATAGATAATAACAATGTCCAGGAAAAAAAGAGTCAGTAAATTTTAAAAATTGAACTTCATATATACTGTTATGCCAGAAAAAAAGAAAAAAGAAGTGAAATAAATATTATAGTAAAATAAAAAGAAATAGATTAAATATTTTATAACATTAATACGACTTTTGAAAACAGGGAAGACTTAAACCTACATGTTTGTTGTAGTATGAGATGATAAAATTACAGTTTATAACAAATAATAATAAAGAAAATTTCAAACTAAAAATATATTATGGCTGGGCATGGTGGCTCACACCTGTAATCCCAGCACTTTGGGAGTGTGAGGTGGGCAGATCACCTGAGGTCAGGAGTTCAAGACCAGCCTGGCCAACATGGTGAAACCCCGTCTCTACTAAAAATACAAAAAGATTAGCTGGGCGTAGTAATGGGCGCCTGTAATCCCAGTTACTCAGGAGGCTGAGGCACGAGAATCTCTGGAACCTGGGAGGCAGAGGTTGCAGTGAGCTGAGATGGCACCATTGCACTCCAGCCTGGGCAACAAGAAAGAAACACCGTCTCAAAAAAAAAAAAAAGAACAAAAATACATACATACATACATACATACATACATATATATATATATATGCATTTAAAAATTGGTAAAAAATTTCATGTGTGAACTAAAATTTGTACTTGCAACCAAAAATGGGGGTGAACAGGGAGTGACTGCATAATGGGCATGGAATCTTCTTTGGGAATGATGAAAAGTTTTGGAACTAGACAGAGGTGATGGTTGTACAACATTGTGAATTTACTAAATGCCACGGAATGTACACTTTAAAACTGTTATTTTTATGTTCTATAAATTTCACCTCCATTCTAAAAAAGTTTAAAAAATACCATACCTTGAAGTGCATGCTCTGTTTCACTACTACATTTTTTAAAATACAAATAAAAACTACAAGTGGCTACGTGGAATGGCAGTATTGAAGCAACTGAAGTTCTATTTCTTTATCTTTACAATCATTGTTTTCTCTTTGTTTCAAATGCATTATGTAAAGGCAGACATATATAGTACCCAGGAGGTGGACAAACAACTGCCTTGGTGGAAACTCTGTCCTTTCTGGACTTATCCTGGTGCCACTGAGACTGTGCAGGTGAGTCTGTGTGTATTAGGAGACAGTATGACTAACAGGGAGTTCCAAAATTCGCTTTCATGTAGAGAACAATGCATATCAACGGATAAGTAATACAATTTGCTAATTTGAAGCATACATGTATTTAGCTAAAACTCACAGAAATTGTTTAGAATTTAAACCCAAAAACTACTTTGCGAGGAAGGTGTTTTATCACAGCCATTATGTAGAATTGCCCATTTGTGGGCAATTGCCAGTTCATAGGCTTTTCATAAAAAGTGAATTACCTTTTATTTGGTTTTATTATTGCTTATAAACCTCTACTGTCTGCACCTATAGCAAGCCATGTATCTGGCTCCCCTCCCACCTTCTCACCTTGGAACACCACCAGCTGTAGGCATCTACATGCAGCAGGAAGCATCACTGAGTAAGTTCGACTACACATCAAGGGTAGACACCACACTGTCCATCCAGCCTGCTCTGAACTGGCCCTGGGAAGGCGTGTCTGGAGAAGCTGTGTTGGAAGGATTAGAATAATACACATCTCCACACTTACCCACTCTGCATGGGCTGCCTGAGAAAACTGTGTACCAGAATGTGTTAAGAGTTGGAGAGGACAGATGCAGGTTTTAAGAGCCTGTTTTTTGTGCCCTCTTCAGGAAGATTAAGTGGATCCTCCTATAGAAAGGTGTATTCATGAAGGCTGCCTGCAGTGGACTGAGTGGTCATTCCACTTGGGGTCAAGATGGGGTTCATGACAAAGCATGTAACAGAGCACCAAGGAGGTGCCCTGGCCATATTGGATGGAGTTCAGGACAGAATCCAGTCCTGAACAAGGAGGAATGGAGTACCTGGTCAGTGCTCAAGACAAGAGTCTCATCCTTTTCTTTTCTTTACTTTTCTTTTTCTTTTTTTTTTTTTGAGACAGTCTCACTCTGTCATCCAGGCTGGAGTGTAATGGCGCGATCTCGGCTTACTGCAACCTCTGCCTCCCGGGCTCAAGCGATTCTCCTTCCTCAGCCTCTGGAGTAGCTGGGATTACAGGCGCCCACCACCATGCCTGGCTAATTATTATTATTTTTTTTTTGGTATTTTTAGTAGAGACAGGGTTTCACCATGTTGGTCAGGCTAGTTTCAAACTCCTGACCTCAAGTGATCTGCCTGCCTCGGCCTGCCAAAGTGCTGGGGTTATAGGCGTGAGTCACCGCGCCCTGCCAGCCCATCCTTATAACGTGCCCATCATGCCAACATGATGGCATGTTGTAAGTCCATGTTATGCGTGTGCCTGGTGTGTGTGTGTGTGTGTGTGTGTGTGTGTGTATGATGTGTTGGGGGTGTGGCATTGCTGCTTCAGCTCCCTAGGTTCACCCCAGTCTCAGAGCACCAGGTTAAAAACAACTCAAAAAATTCTAGCCACCATCTGCTGGAGCAGCTGAGGCTTCTGGTCATGGGCTCAGTCTGCAACAAAGGAGCAGCTGAGCAGAACTGGACCAAGTTACCAGCCCCTACAGAAGCAATGAATTCTGGCTCAGGAGCTGAGAGCTATTTACTGGTAACATTTTACCTGGTCTTACAATTGAAGTTCGCCTATCAGGTATAGAAAAGGAGAAAACCTCATGAGCCAATGTGGAAAAGAGACATTTTGTGGCCCCTTTGGGGAACTCTTGACTGTGGCATGGATTTATGGCCTGAAACGGTAGAAGAAGAACATAAAGGAGAAATTTGGCATCAGGTTGGCAAGAGTCTTGAATGCTTGCCACAGAGTTGGGGCAATGGGGAACAATAGAAGGTTTGTAAGCAGAATAAAGGGGGAATGAAGTGTTTTAGAGATACAACTCTGGAGGCAGTGAAAAGGAAGAACTGGGAAGGGGAGATGTTGATTGGAAGCATCAAGACCTGTTATGAAGGTGCCTGCAGAAGTCCTGGAATAGATAACAAGGGCCTGGGTTGGGGGTACAAGGATGAAAGGCCCAGACAGATCTCCACTAAACCTAGTGTGAAGCTAAACAGATCAACGCACTCATCAGATACAGCCATGGCAGGGACTATGGCAAGGGATAGACAAGCACTTCAGCCAGAGCATGATGGTCAGGGATGTCATATAGAAATGCTCCCTGAACTGCATTCTGAAGGATGATCCAGTGAGCCAGGCAGGAAGGCACCAGGCAGAGGGAGCAGCACGTGCAAAGGCACGGAGGCCCAGGAGAGCATGGGGCCTTTGACTTGCAAGAGATTTCCTGTGTGTGATTGCTATATGGGGTAGGTATGGGTAGGGGAGTGTCAGCAGGAGGCTGATTCACAAGGGGCTTGGTTGGTTTACTGTTGGTTTGTTTACCCATGCTGATTAGTTTACTAAGGGCAAAAAGGAGCCATTGAAAGTGAAGGTTGAAATATGGTTCTGGAGCCTACAAGACAAGGTGGGGCAGTAGATACAGGATGGAAGGTCTTTATATGTGAATCTGGTTTGGAATAGCTGGAAGAACACGCCCAGATTTCTTCTCTTTGTGCTCTATTCTTTAAATTGTATTTTATGTGGCAATCGATTTACTGGTACTTTTCCCCCAGTCTAGATAATTATTAACTGTATGGATTTTGCCAGTAAGAAATTAATCTGCTCTGTGGAGCAAATTGTTTGGACAGAACAACCTTCAAACTTTGTTTCTGCCCTGGCAGCCAGAAGGTTGCAATGTGAGCTGAATTTGGCCCTAAACTAAGTCCTGGTGGCTAATGAGCCATGAGCCAAGGCTGAGAAGTGGGGTGGCTTGTGCCCTGCAGTCGTGAGAAAAGGCACAGGGCAGCTCTACGTGGACTTGGGCTTAGCATCTCTGGGTTGCTCAGAGGGCAAAGTGTCCTGAGGGAGGTAAATTGTGGTAAAACAGTTTAAAAAGTGAGAGGAATGGGAGAGGTGAAGCTTAATTCCTGCTGGTTCCACGGTGATGCTATAATGCTTAGGAGTTGAAAAACGATTTCTCTAGCCCATAGGAACTCAAACTCACTGAAAGAGAAAAAACTTGGCATTGCTTTAGCAAAATTCAAGTAGATGCTACATTCCACTGGAATAATCTAGAATGCATGTGCTAGTTTCTTCTATACTGCAGGTCGCATTCTCTGGCAGGCCTGCTTCACTTGGCAGCAACACTTTTAAAGAGAAACGGCTACATCTCCAGGTTCTGTGCCCCGGGCTTGCAGAGAAAAGGAATAAAATTAAAACAGTATTTGAACTTTTAAAAATATTTAAATTGCTGGCTCATTTCAGACTGGCGTTTCTTAAAATAATGGTCTCTACTCACCAAGCCACTGCCAAGGGACCCACGGTGGCTGTCCTGTATCCTTGGGTTCAATTAGAAGAACTCTCCTTGCTCATCAAGGCTTTTCATAGCTGTCTTTCCCATTTATCCTCCACACCTGTGAACTTCTGTCATAAGTTCTAGTCCAGCCCATCATCTCGCTGGTTCCACTGGACACCAGGCACTATACTTACCTTTTCTTTTCTTTTCTTTCCTTTTCTTTTCTTTCTTTATTTTCTTTCTTTCTTTCTCTCTCTTTTTCTTTCTCTCTCTCCCTTCCTTCCCTCCTTCTTTCCTTCTTTTTTTTTTTTTTTGAGATGGGCCCTCACTCTGTTGCACAGGCTGGTCTCAAACTTCTGGGCTCAAGTGATCCTTCTGCCTCAGTCTCTTATGTAGCTGGGACCACAGGTCCAAAGGCATATGCCATCACATCTGGCTAACTTTTTGCTTTTGTGTAGAGACGGACTCTCACTTTGTTGCCCAGGCTGGTCTCGAACTTTCAAGCCATCCTCCCACCTCGGCTTCCCAAAGTGCTGGGATTGTAGGCGTGAGCCACCATGCTCTACCTGTACTTGCTTCTATTTTTGCATTCTGTTAGATTGTGTCCTTCATGACGTAAAGAATGCACACCCAGTAGAATGCATTTCTATTCTTGCATGCTACTTTGCATTCTTGTTTACAAAGCTTCCCCTAACTTCCTCCCTCCTTCTCCACCTGCTCAAATATGTCAATATTCAGACTTGGACCCAGCCCTTCTGTTGCTGACTGTTCTGGTGGCAGGCCCTTCTCCCTGCCAAACAGGACCTCAGTGCTGTTTAGGGGTCCAGCTCTCTCCAGCTAAGGGGAAGGTGACCTGGCCACAGCTCAAGATAATTTCCAACTTCTAAGTCAATTATCATGGTCCCATCCCCTGACCATGACTAGCTGGGGTGGGCAGGCTGGTTGGTTTGTAGAACATCCTTCAATTTCCAACTTCCAATTCAATTTGCCTGGTTGTTTCCTCATTCCTCGTGATTAGATTCAGCTTAAACAATTTGAGGTCGGAATATGAATAATCTCTTGATTAACCGAGAGGGTAACTGGTATTTATAATTCCTGAATCCTTTAAAGTGTGAGGAGAGCCATAGAATCCATGTCCTTGGGGACATCTTGTTTATTTTTATTTTTACTTTTATTTTAGGTTGGAGGGTACACATGCAGGCTTGTTACATACGTAAACTCGTGTCACGAGGGTTTGCGCTACTGGTTGTTTCGTCACCCAAGTATGGAGCCTAGTACCCAATAGTTATCTTTTCTGATCCTTTCCCTCCTTCCATGTTCTACCCTCAAATAAGCCCCAGTGTGTGTTGTTCCCCTCTACGTGTGCATGTGTTTTCATCATTTAGCTCCCATTTATAAGTGAGAATATGTGGTATTTGGTTTTCTGTTCCTGCATTAGTTTGCTAAGGATAATGACCTCCAGCTCCATCCATGTTCCTTCAAAAGACCTGATCTCATTCTTTTTTTGTAGCTTCATAGTATTCCATGCCGTGTGTATATGCACCACATTTTCTTTATCCAATCTGTCACTGATGGACATTTAGGTTGATTCTATGTCTTAGCTATTATAAATAGTGCTGCAACAAACTTTTGAGTGAGTATGTCTTTATGGCAGAATGATTTATATTCCTTTCGGTATACACCCAGTAATGAATGGGACTGCTGGGTTGAATGGTAGTTCTGTTTTTAGCTCTTTGATGAATGACCACACTGCTTTCCACAATGGCTGAACCAATTTACACTCCCACCAACAATGTATAAGCATTTGCTTTTCTCTGCAACCTTGCCAGCATGTTATTCTTTGACTTTTTAATAAAAACCTAACATTCCAACAGGTGTGAGATAGTATCTCATTGTGGTTTTGATTTGCATTTCTCTAATGACAATGATGTTGAGCTTTTTTTCATATACTTGTTGGTAGCATGTATGTCTTCTTTGGTAAAATGTCTGTTCATGTCCTCTGGGGGCATCTTTTTTATAAGCGAGTTTCTCAAATATATACCAGACATGGGAATCCTGTGATTTTGTGTTTCTCGTCCAAACTAGTGAAGCCACTTGCATTAAGAGAGGCCCTTACCTCTCCAGGCCCTTGGCAGTCCTGCATTATCCACACATTGCCCAACCCGGGGCCCCACAGTTAGGCCTGTGCTGCTGCCAGGGATTGCTGTGGGTGGAGATGGCAAGGGCCTGACAGATGCCTACGTTATTGCCACCACCCCCAGGGCAAGTTTCTCCAGGGATTCAGCAGAGGCTCAGCTTGTAGCCTCAAGGGCTCTCTGGCTCTACCTCCTTTCTGCCTGGAGGATCGTAGCCCTGGCCCTCAAAAGGCTGAATGTGGAGGGGAATGGGGCCAGGCACTTTTATAGTACATCACATAGGCACAGGATAAATGTTTTGAGGGAATCAGGAGTAAGGAGGTAGAAAGAGCTTTAGTGATAATTGACTGTTTTTCAGATCAATGCCATGAAATAATACAAACAGCAAGAGGATATCTCATTGTTATTATTTTGCTTACCAATATTCTAGAGCTTTAGGCAAAATTGCAAAGGAGCTATTATTTTTCTTTGGTGTCTTCAAGCCTCCCCTTCTAGTCCCTCACTATTGTCCTTCCTTAGACTTCTAGAGCTCAAAATGGCTTCTATCAGGAATTAGCTTCGGTTTCTTTGTTCACACCAAAGTGTATATGGCTAATAACATTTTAAAGTGTTACTTCTATGGAGATGTTGGCATTTTGCCAGGTTCAACAGCCAATAGAAGAAATGCAGCTTAAAATTCCTTGCATCTGCCAGATGGGGAAAATATGTGACTCTGTATATGGATCTCCCCTAAAATTCATTTATTTGTTCAATAAATATTTATTGAGGCCTATTATAGCAAAACCTTAGGGAAATAAGGAATGCATATTAAAGTACACAGAAAAGAATTTACGCGAATGGGCAAAATGAGGCAGGCAGTGTTACATGTCTTGTCTGAGATTACCAAATTTACTTCTGACAATCAATCCATAAATCACTCAAGAAACAGAGGAAATACTGGAGAACTGTTACTCAGTCTGTGATCTGCATTTATAGTGTAGTTTGGGTAGCAAGAATAATATGCATGAAGCAATTAGCCAGTTGTTATGGATTGAATGTGTCCCCCCAGCAAATTCCCATGTTGAAGCCTTGACTCCCAGTTTGATAGCATTTGAAGATGGGGCCTTTGGGAGGTAATTAGGGCTAGATGGGGTCATGAGGGTGGGCCCTTGTAGGGCATTAGGGCCCTCGTAAGAAGAGAAATCAGGCCGAGTGCAGTGGCTCACGCCTGTAATCCCAGCACTTTGGAGGCTGAGGCGGGCGGATCACCTGAGGTCAGGAGTTTGAGACCAGCCTGGCCAACATGGTGAAACCCCGTCTCTACTAAAAATACAAAAAAATTAGCTGGACGTGGTGGCGGGCAGGCGCCTGTAATCCCAGCTGCTTGGGAGGCTGAGGCAGGAGAATCTCTTGAACCCGGAGGCTGAGGTTGCAGTGAGCCGAGATCATGCCATTGCACTCCAGCCTAGGCAACAAGAGAGAAACTCCATCTCAAAAACAAAACAACACAAAACAAAAAAAGAAGAGAAATCAAAGCTTGTTCCCTGTCTCTCTCTCTCCACATGTGAGCACACAAAGAGGTCACGTGAACACACAATGAGAAGGAGGCTGCCTGCAAGTTAAGAGAAGAGGCCTCAGCATGAAACCTGCCTTACTGGCACTTTGGTCTTGAACTTCCCAGCCTCTAAAACTGTGAGAAATAAGTTTCTGTTGTTCAAGCCACCCAGTCTATGGTATTCTGTATGGCAGCCAGAATTAAGACACCAGTGAAGCAAGATAATCAGTAACTGGATACTTAACTGTGTGGTATAAAACATAGGGGCTTTAGTAGAGAAGAAAATTGGACTTTGTTGGGGACATCCTTACTACTTCTGCTCATGTATCATGCTTTAGCTTGTTTCTGTCTTTGGAGGAGGCTGCATATTTTTAAAATACCCCCAAAAGTACAAAGACTAATGTTATAGCCCCTGTGTTCTCATTATCCAGGCTTAATAAATGTTGGCCATTTTCCACTTTTGTTTCATATATAAGTTTCTACAAAATGACAACACCTTAGATAAAGCTGAAGTTCATGTTTCATTCTGCATCCCTTCCCCCAAGGGCTTCTTTTGCTCAATATGGGACTCATGAGAGTCATCGGTGTTGTGTGAGGCAGCTGTTTGTTGATTTTCTGGACCAAATAATGTTCCACCGTGTGACTGGACATACCTTAGTCTATCCATTCTACCACTGATGAGCATGTAAGCTGTTACTATTTTTAACTATTACAAATTATCTTGCTAACACATTTTTGTGCATGTCTTTTGGTGACCAAATGGACTCATTTCTCTCAGGTATGTATCTCAGAGTGAAACTGTTTTATCACAGTGTATGCTTTATATTTAGTGCTTTCCAATTCCTGATTAAGAAATCTTTGCCTGCTCCTAAGGATGTAAAATTATTCTCTTATGGCCTGGCTCAGTGGCTCATGCCTGTAATCCCAGCATTTTGGGAGGCCAAGGTGGGAGGATTGCTTGAGGCCAGGAGTTCAAGACCAGCCTGGGCAACATACTGAGACCCTCATCTCTACAAAAAAAAAAATTTGTTTAATTAGCTGAGCTTGGTGGTATGCACCTATAGTCCTAGCTACTCAGGAGGCTGAGGCAGGAGGATCGCTTGAGCCCAGGAATTCAGAGATGCAGTAAGCTATGATCATGCCACTGTATTACAGCCTGGGTGATAGGGTGAGACCCTGTCTCTAAAAAGATACATCTATTAAAAATAATATTATTTTATTTTATTTTATTTTATTTTATTATTATACTTTAAGTTTTAGGGTACATGTGCACATTGTGCAGGTTAGTTACATATGTATACATGTGCCATGCTGGTGCACTGCACCCACTAACTCGTCATCTAGCATTAGGTATATCTCCCAGTGCTATCCCTCCCCCCTCCCCCGACCCCACAACAGTCCCCAGAGTGTGATGTTCCCCTTCCTGTGTCCATGTGATCTCATTGTTCAATTCCCACCTATGAGTGAGAATATGCGGTGTTTGGTTTTTTGTTCTTGCGATAGTTTACTGAGAATGATGATTTCCAATTTCATCCATGTCCCTACAAAGGACATGAACTCATCATTTTTTATGGCTGCATAGTAAAAATACATTTTAAAAAATAATAAATTATTCTCTTATGTTATTGTCTAGAATCTTCATTATTTTACCTTTCAGATTTAGATCTACAATCCACCTGGAATTGATTTTTGTATATGGAGTGAGGTAGAGGTCAAGTTTTGCTTTTTCCCGTTTGACTGTCTTATTAACTTAACATCATTGATGTAAATGACCACTCTTTTCCTACTATGCTTCAGTGCCACCTTTGTCATAATCAAGTGTTCCTTCAAGTATGCATCTGCTTCTGACTCTCTCCCTTCTGTTCCTTTGAGCTATTTGTCCTGGGCCTTTACTGCACATCTCAGATTTGTCCCAACAAGGATTGAAGAAGCTGGGTTATTCATCCACCAATTCCTATTACTCATTGGTGAAAAGTTGCTCCTGGGGACATGAACTCCCTTGCACTTCTGCCGTGCTCTGGGAACAAGCCAGAAATAGTCCTATGACCAGGGAAAGTCTCCAGGATCTACTTCTCCACTTACACAATTGTTGGCAGCATCCAGTTCCTTGTAGTTATGGGACTGAGAGCTTCAGATTTTTGTTGATTGTTGGCCAGAGACCACCCTCAGCTCGCAGAGGACACCCCCAGTTCTTTGCCATTTAGGACTGCCCAACATGGCTACTTGCTTCCGCGTAGTCAGCAAGAGAAAGACTAGCATGGTGGGCACTACACTCCTATGGAATGTAATCACGTAATCATGTATACATAATCACATGTATCTTACCCACATGTATCCACATGTACCCACATCTTATCACATGTATCTTATTCCATTTGTGTCACAGGTCCCACACTTACAGGGAAAGCATCACCCGAAAGTGAGAATGCCTAGAGGCAGGAATCATGGAGGCTTCCTTAACCGTCTGTCTGCAACAGCAGGTATGTAAGCAATCTGTCAAGCTGTCAAGGTAACTGCCAGGGTGTGCCACATAGAGACTGGCAAGACACCGTCAGGGCCTGCTGTATGTCTGTATTCCAAACCCCTCTTGAATTTCAGACTCATATATACAATGGGCTATGAAACATCTCTTAGACAGCTAATAAGCATCTTGTTTTTGGCATGTCCCGAGCTAAACTAATCCACTCTTCCCCACCTCAGTAACAGAAAAAATCCATCACTCTTCCAGTTGTAAAAACCATGGAGGTGTCTTTGACTCCCCTCTTTGTCTCATAACTCTGTTGGTTCTGTTTTCAAGATAGATCCAGAAACAGAAACTGACCACTTTTTACCCCCTCTACAAACTGCCAACCTGGTGTAAACCACCATCATCTCTGGCCTGTTTCTGTACTCTAATCTCCTCTATAGTCAGTAGCCAGAGAGAATCTGTTTCAATAAAAGTCAGAAAATGGCAGTTCTCAGGTCAAAAATCCTCCAGTGGTTTCCCAAGTTCCTCAGAGTTCAAGCCAAAGATCTTCCATGCCTGCAAGCCCTACACGTCCCCAGCCCCAAGCCCTCTAGCCCATCCCCACCCTTCTCCCCTCTTCACTCTACTCCAGCCACACTGGTTGCCTTGCTGTTCCTTGACCATGCGGAGCACATTCCCACCTCAGGGGCTCTGCACTTGCCATTCCCTCTGCTGGAATACCCCTCACCCAGTGAACACAGGGTTCACTCTTTCAGCTCTTCCTGGTCTCTGATTAAATGCCCCCTTGTTGGCGAGGTCTTCCCTTTCCATCCAACATAGCACCAGACCCTATTCCCCTTACTCCGCTTTATTTCCCTCCATAGCAGTTATCACATAATGTGATATATTATGTATTTATTTCCTTTTTCTTTCTCTTCTTTGTGGAGATGGGGTCTTGCTATTTTGCCCAGGCTGGTCTCAAACTTTGGCCTCTTGCCTTGGCCTCCTGAAATGCTAGGATTACAGGTATGAGTCACCATGCCTGGCCTATATTTATTTTCTTACTTATTGTTTTTCTTCCCCTCCTAGAATGTGGGTTCCCTGAGGTTAAGGACTTCATCTCCTTTATTCACTACTGCATTCTCCAGATACAGCCTAGAGCAATACTTCACATGCAGGAGATGCTCAATGAGTAACTGTTGAAGGAATGGATGCTGTGTCCCAGAAGAGACCTTAGAGGTCGGACCTGGTCTGGTCTCAATTCAGAGAAGGACCAGGCTGTCATCACACATTAAGTGAGTGGTGGAGCTGGGACAAGAATCTAGGTCTCCTTTTTCTTGTCCACTGCTCTTCCCACTCTTCTCCGTTCTGTGCATAGGTGAAAGCTCAACACCATCAATTGATAATTAAGTAAAATAATGGGGAATAGGATTGAATGTGTTCCTGAAGGTTTTGCTAAATAAAACGATACTGCTCTTTTAATCTATGAATTGATTATCCAAAGCAAATGTCAACGGTGAGTAGAAGGCAGCAAGGCATGAGTTATTGTAACTGATAAAGCAGGGGTGGCGCAGTGCGGGGTTGGTGGGGAGGTGGTTTAAAATTGGCTAAACACACTCTCTGGTGTAGATATTTATAAGAATATTTATAAAGCTTACATAACCACTTCTAGATCATGGTTTCCTAATTAGGTTCTTTCAAATGCTGTCCATGCTGCCTAGAGTGATATTAAACTACACAGAGGTATATCATAGTGGTTATGCAGAATTATTTTATTTTATTATTATTTTTTTTTTTGAGATGGAGTCTCACTCTGTTGCCCAGGCTGGAGGGCAGTGGTGAGATCTCGGCTCACTGCAACCACCACCTCCCGGTTCAAGTGATTCTCCTGCCTCCGCCTCCCGATTAGCTGGGATCACAGGTGCTCGCCACAATACCCGGCTAATTTTTTGTATTTTTAGTAGAGACAGGGTTTCACCATGTTGGCCAGGCTGGTCTCGAACTCCTGACCTCAGGTAATCCACCAGCCTCGGCCTCCCAAAATGCTGGGATTACAGGTGTGAGCCACTGTGCCGGCCCAGAATTATTTTAAATTAGAGATATAACTTTCTGACATATCCTGCCTATACATTTGACATCTTTGTACAACATGGTAACTATAGTTAATAACAATGTATTGTATTGTATTCTGAAAATCACTAAGAGTAGATTTTAAGTGTTCTCACCACAAAAAAAATAAGTATGTGAGGCAATGCATATGATAATTAGCTTAGTTTAGCCATTTTACAATGTATACATATTTCAAAACATTATGTTATATATGATAAATATATACAGTTTTGTCAATTAAATATTAATTTTTTAAAATTAACCTCTTAAACCCCTCTATCATTCCAATCTATCATATTGCTGGAGAAATTGTGGAAATATGCAAATAAAATAACACAATTTTTGTTTTAGTTTGCCTACCATCTCAATGTCCAGCCATTACAGAAAATATATTTGAATAGCGTACAGAGAAAGGAAAGCACATGAAAACAAGGTGGCAAAAGAAATGACCTGGGGCCGGGCGCAGTGGCTCACGCCTGTAATCCCAGCATTTGGAAGGCTGAAGTCACTTGAAGTCAGTAGTTCAAGATCAGCCTGGCCAATAAGGTGAAACCCCATCTCTACTAAAAATACAAAAATTAGCTGGGCATTGTGGCACATGCCTGTAGTCCCAGCTACTAGGGAGGCTGAGGCAGAAGAATTGCTTGAACCCAGGAGGCAGAGGTTGCAGTGAGCTGAGATTGCGCCACTGCACTCCAGCCTGAGTGACAGAGCAAGACTCCATCTCAAAAAAAGAAAGAAAGAAAGAAATGATCTGGGAACCTAGGGAGTTGTTTTAGCTTAATTAAATTATTTTAGCAGAGCAGAGTTTACTAAAAAGCATGGTGAGGGATGGAACAAGGAAAGGGATGGAAGAAGATGTGGGTGGAGAGCATTCTTCTCTACATGCATTCTCTCTGCAAAAGGAGCCTAAGCCCCTTCACAGAAGAGAGATTTACTTTCTGGGCTTTGTAGGTTAGACACTGGCTTTATTAAGAGTGGCTCTTGGAGCCACTGCTCAGGTAAAGAACACAATGAAAGGGGCCATTGAGCAGAGCTGCTAGGACCAACCCTCCCCTGTTAATCAAAGGAACAAACTGAGTTATTTACCAGAGTCATTTACCTTGCAGACAACTCAGACCATTGTTCCCTGGGGCAGGATGATGACTCACTTGATCAATCACCTCCCCACCAACCCCGCACTGCGCCACCCCTGCTTTATCAGTTACAATAACTCATGCCTTGCTGCCTTCTACTCACCGTTGACATTTGCTTTGGATAATCAATTCATAGATTAAAAGAGCAGTATCGTTTTATTTAGCAAAACCTTCAGGAACACATTCAATCCTATTCCCCATTATTTTACTTAATTATCAATTGATGGTGTTGAGCTTTCACCTATGCACAGAACGGAGAAGAGTGGGAAGAGCAGTGGACAAGAAAAAGGAGACCTAGATTCTTGTCCCAGCTCCACCACTCACTTAATGTGTGATGACAGCCTGGTCCTTCTCTGAATTGAGACCAGACCAGGTCCGACCTCTAAGGTCTCTTCTGGGACACAGCATCCATTCCTTCAACAGTTACTCATTGAGCATCTCCTGCATGTGAAGTATTGCTCTAGGCTGTATCTGGAGAATGCAGTAGTGAATAAAGGAGATGAAGTCCTTAACCTCAGGGAACCCACATTCTAGGAGGGGAAGAAAAACAATAAGTAAGAAAATAAATATAGGCCAGGCATGGTGACTCATACCTGTAATCCTAGCATTTCAGGAGGCCAAGGCGAGGCCAAAGTTTGAGACCAGCCTGGGCAAAATAGCAAGACCCCATCTCCACAATTGGGGGGACTTAGAACCAAGACTAGAAGAAGGGTTCCATGATGATTCGGGGGCCTGCTTGCTAATAAAGCTTTGTAAGTTTGTCAGAAACTGGCCTAAGACTAGCTTTCATCATAATGAACCACCTGGGAGCAAGGATATATATATATATATGTGTGTGTGTATATATATATGTGTGTATATATATATATACATATATACACACACGTATATATGTGTATATATACACATATGTGTGTATACACACATACATGCATATGTGTGTATACACACATACATGCATATGTGTGTATACACACATACATGCATGTGTGTGTATACACACATACATGCATGTGTGTGTATACACACATACATGCATGTGTGTGTATACACACATACATGTATATGTGTGTGTATACACACATACATGTATATGTGTGTGTATACACACATACATGTATATGTGTGTATACACACATACATGTATATGTGTGTGTATACACATACATGTATATGTGTGTGTATACACATATGTATATGTATGTATACACACACATATGTATATGTATATATACACACACATATGTATATATACACACATATATACGTATGTGTGTGTGTGTGTATATATATATATATATATATTTTTTTTTTTTTTGAGACAGACCCTCACTCTGTCACCCAGGCTGGATTGCAGGGGCGCAATTTGGCTCACTGCAACATCCACCTCCCAGGTTGGAGTGATAAATTGGCTCAGGTCAATTTGCAACCCATATATTCAGCCATATATATATATATATATATATATATATATATATATATATATATATATTTTTTTTTTTTTTTTTTTTTTTTTTTTTTTTTTTTTGAGACAGAGTCTTGCTCTGTCACCCAGGCTGGAGTGCAGCAACACGATCTCTGCTCACTGTAGCCTCTGCTTCCTGTGTTCAAGCGATTCTTGTGCCTCAGCCTCCCGAGTGGTTGGGACTACAGGTGCATACCACCATACCCGGCTAATTTTTGTATTTTTAGTAGAGACGGGGTTTCACCATGTTGGTCAGGCTGGTCTCGAACTCCTGGCCTCCAGTGATCCATCCACCTCGGCTTCCCAAAGTGCTGGGATTATAAGCATGAGCCACCGTGCCCAGCTGTATATTTTATTTTTATTGTTCTTGATGAAGAGTAAAAAACGAATAAGCCCTAGTTGTTAGTGGAGAGTGGCAAGAGGTAAGATTTTCCTTCAAATTTGTCTTTCGATCCACTTAAGGATTCTAACGTTCTGGAATTCTTGATGCCTGTTGCTTCCCTCATCTGGGAACATGACAGACCCAAATGGTGGAACTTGGGTTTTCTCAGGTAATATTTATTTAGGAGAATCATTTCAATGGTAGTTGAAAGTCAGGCCTGGAGAGAATCTAAGCCAAATAATCAAAATATAATTTTCACCTGTGATTTTGGCATAGAGACCATGGGTACCTGAGGCCAGGATGGGGTTACAGAAGAAAGAGAATGAGAAGAACATCATCACAAAAAATGTTTCTCCTGGGCAAGTTATCCCCTGAGTAGAGAGGCTGGGGCATCCTTCTGCTGGAAGGGTTTGGGCTGATGAAAGCTGATTCCCAGAAAATAAGTGATGACCAATCAGGAGGGGTCAGGTTTCTAAGGGCCAGATGCAGGAGGGCGTCCTCACTTATAAGACTGAGGAAGTGGTGTACGTGCAGACTGACTTAGAAAATTTTACTGAGCCAGTCAGCTCCAAAACACAAAGAGATACACTTTTGCCCTTATACTTTTAGGGTGGGTAGGCCTCCCGCAAAGCACACACTTGGAGACCATGCCTCCAGCCATTCTGTCTTTTGGCCTGGTGTGTATATGAAGGAAGAGGCAGCTACAGGCAGGCTTTGTTTTCCTTTTTTCAGTTTGGAACATTTAGAAGCAGATAAATTGGCATAAAGCAAACATAATTACATGTTAACTTCAAAGAGGGAAAATATCACGTACATTAAATTCCGTAACCTGCCATGAAGGAAATTATTCATGTTGACCTAATTTTATTTCTGATCTACCTACCATAGTTTAGAATAAAAATGTTGGTTGATTTTATAACTCAATGCTTTTATTGGAAAACAAGGTTTTTAAGTGGCAATATACTTCTGAATAGAATATGCATTGTCCCAACAGTGTATTTTACAAGTAACTGATAGCTATGGATAATGAGTGGCCACTTTGGAAGGGCATTTAACATCTTCTTAAAAAGTAAAACTATAGGCTCATTCATTTTTGTCTTTATTTAATTTTTTATATTTTATTGTTATTATTATTCATTTATTATTATTAATCATGGTTTCTTTACCTTCTTGTTTTCATGCATTTACTCAATCAAGTATCTCAGTTTCTGGTTAGAGCAATATTATTTTCACTCTTTCATTAATTTCTGGTTTATTTTATTTTAGGTGCTAGAGATGACACTGCAGAGTAGAGAACAAAGGAATCTTAGTAATTGTTCAATCCAATCTCCACACTTTAAAGATGAAGAAACTGGTATTGAGAAAAATACACAGCTTATCCAAGGTTGCACTGCTGGTTGGTAGCTGAGATGAATTTAGAACCCACATCTGATGACTACACCATATTGCTCCCAGTTTTCCTGTCTGTTCCACATGTAAAAGTCTGACTCTTCACTTCTCCTTTGAGTATATAGACTTTTAACATTTTTGTATGTCAAGATGGACTTTTCCTCATACCCAGCCCCTGCCTTTTCTCCTCCCTTCATACCTTGCAGGATCTTTAACAGAATTTAAAAGGAGTTTTTTGTTTTGTTTTGATGTATCTAATAAAAGTCAAGGGAGGGAGAGGGCCAGTATAAGCAAGAGTACAGTTTCCTAGTTTGTAGATGCGGTAGTCTGAGGAATCAGAAACACACAAAGGTTTGGAGAACTGGTACATGCTCCCAGGTGGGAAGCCAGGACTCTTGGTAGGATCTTGAGGACAAGGCAAAGGACAATAAGAGAGCGAGGGGATCCTAGAGGTGGAATCAAGGAAGAGAAACTAGAGAGAGAAAAAGGAACTGGCTATCCATCCATGATGGATCCTGTGTGGACTGATGGGTGGCTTGGCATCATCCTTTAGTAGACTTCATGTGGTTGAATAATTGGCCAATGGAAGGAATTTCTTTTTTGGTAACAGACTCTGTGTGTACAGTTATGGGTCTTAATTTATAATAAAAGGTTACATTGAAAATTGAGCATATTGGCAACTTTGGGCTTTAATATTACTACTGTGCTATTTAGGTCCCAACCATCCTAGCTAATCTGGGCATTCTTGAAACAGCTCTCATTATTGGTATGTCAAACCGTCTCATAGGGCATGTACTTAACAAAAGTGGAGTGAAGGGTTCAGGATGCATAAATGGGGTGAAGCTCGTGGTATTCCATTCCTTTTTACTGAAGCCACTCCTACCAGCTGCCTTCTAGATTGTTCACCTTATATGAGCATGGTGCAGTATAGAAGTTGTAGACTTTGGCCTCAGACAGATCTAAATTCTAATCTCAGATCACTACTTCCTGGTTGAGGACAAGATTTCTTTAACCACCCCAAGTCCCAATTTTCTCATGTCTAAAATGGCAGAAATAATGTGTACTTTGCAGGGTTGTTGTGAGAGTTAAGTAATATGGGTAATGCACTTGGGACAGTGCTTCACACAAAATTGTCAGTAAATGGTGATCTTTCTTTTCCTGGCACTACAAAGCTGAGGAGAGGAGGGAGGGAGGGAGATGAATGTCTGGAGGAAGAAAGGGCAGGAGTTTCTTCATCTTTGAGTGAAGGAGCATTGAGGGTTAGCAGGGATATAGGAATAGTGAGTTGGCTGGGAAGAAAAAAAGGATTAAAAGAGGAAAAGAATAGGAAAAAAGAAGGATACCATGGAGAAAATGGGCAACGGCCCCAGAAAGAAGAGCAAGAATGGCAGTGATGGTGAGCATTGCTGGAATGATGGAAGGTTCTCCGGCCCCGGTGATGCGTGGGCACCACCGGAGAGCTTGTTAGAAATGCAGAGTCTCTGTCCCTCCCCAGACCCTCTGAATCATAATTTGCAATTTAATGAGAGGTCCCCAGGTGATTCCCATATCCATTAATTCTGCAGAGTTGATGTTTTCATCTGCGGTGGCGGGGGGCGGGGGGGGGGGGTGCGGTGGGGGTGCGGCAGGTGTTCAGCAGATTCAAATCAAGAGGAAGTCCCCAAGGGCTTTAGGTTATCTCTAAATTTATCAGGAAGACTTCCCATCGAAGTGGGTTGAGATCCAGGATGTGTCACTTTCCTTTGTATTCTGATCTGGCTGGTCTGGACAGAGGTTCTGCAAACCAGAGTCATGCTGTGGACTCAGGGATTCTTGGAACTTCTCGTCTGAATCCAAAGTAGCAGGTGTGAAGGAACAAGGAAGTGGAGTGGTGAACATTATTTGTCTATAGAGGAAACAGGAAGAGAATGGGGATTCTTCTTTTAGACACATCTGGCAAGTGAGGCAGTCATCCTGCACCGCACCCTCCTCCCTGCGCCTTCAGCTCCCGGTGCCCTACCTTTTCTCTGAGCAACAGAAGCACTTTTGTCTGCATTTAGGTTGCTCATCACTGGTGCATTGGAAAGAACACTGGGCTAATGCCTTCGGGCAAGCCACTTCACCACCCTGGCTCCAGTCTCCTCATATGCAAGAAGGGCTTAAAATTGTGATGGTAGGTGCCCAGGGTTTCCCAGTGCAGTGGGGACTGGAACTGTGGTCTTCTGGTGACTGTTTCTACCTTATGGTACTCTCAAGTCAGCAGGTAGCCAGGTGATAAAAGGGAAAGAAGCTGCTGGGTGTAAAATTAAAAAGCGGCCCTCCCCTGGGGCCAGCGGGAGCGCAGAAACAGTTGCTGTTCAGTCTTGCCACTTGTCAGCATGAGGGAATTTGGGCCCAGGATAGCCAGACAATCTTTTTTTCCAAGAAAAACTAGAAGTCCAGACTTTTCTGTTAGATTTTCTTAGTTTTTTTTAGAGACTCTGAATTCATTAAACACACACACACACACACACACACACACACACACACACACACACAAAATGAGAAAACCTGCTGCTCATACAAAACAAATCTGAGGGCAGAGTTTTGAAGACTGGCAGTGAATTCATTGAAAAAAACAAAAACAAAAACACAATGAAAAAACCTGCTGCTCATACAAAACAAATCTGAGGGCTGCAGCAGCTCACAGGATGCCAGTGTGTGACGTCTTTCCTAAGTCTTTTAAAAGAGAATTGACATTTTCATTAGACTTGAAATAGGTAAACAGGACAAAGACTCTGGAGTAGCTGCTTACCCCAGTATGGCAGGCCCTGGCAATGCCTCCCCCAGGGATATAAAAACATGGATTTCGCTGGTTGTGGTGGCTCACCCCTGTAATCCCAACACTCTGGGAGGCCTAGTCGGGTGGATCATCTGAGGTCAGGAGTTTGAGACCAGCCTGGCCAACACGGTGAAATCCCGTCTCTACTAAAAATACAAAAAAATTAGCCAGGCATGGTGGTGCACGCCTATAATCCCAGCTACTCAGGAGGCTGAGGCAGGAGAATCGCTTGTATCTGGGAGGCGAAGGTTGCAGTGACCCAAGATCGCGCAATTGCACTCCAGCCTGGGCAAGAGGAGCGAAACTCTGTCTCAAAAAAAACAAAAACAAAAACAAAATCACACATACATACGGATTTGCCCTTCTTGATGGACACAGTTTGAATAAAATATAGTTGCCATACCCTTTCCATTGCAACTAAACATAAAAATACAAGAATATTCAATAAGTCATACACTATGGGATGAAAAGAGCATGTCATAATTAGCTGATTAACCACTGTCATCCTCTTGTCATATGCTGATACATGAGTAATGTATGTTTGGATTATTGATTGCATCCAAGCTAGGATTCCTTTGTGGCATCAGCAGAAGGACACGGTGACCACAGAGGTCCACCTCAAGTTACTACCTTTTGTGAAGTGATAATGGGGTGCACAGCCAGGTGTAATTCAAGCACATCTTCCTACAGGCAGTGGGTGGTTATGGCTGCACTGCTGTCGCTGTATTGCTTGCAGCCTTAATGGGAATCTTTATTGAAACGGAAATCTAATTCCATTTAGGTTAATAATATGCTCACTCAATCTTCCTTCCCAGAACTAGCCTGATCTTTACACCTTCTGAGGGGAAACTGGCAGTGATTCCTCACTGCAGGTGGATATCTCATCAGATAAAGCAGGGTTAGGAAAAATTTACATTTTTACTCCAAGCCATTTTGGTTGCTTTTTTTCATAATGAAAGTGCAGTAACTCTCTCTTATCTCTGCATGCAGTGGTGGTAAAAATGTGTAGGACCACAGTAGTTGGCATTTGTCTCCCAGATAGGCCAGCCTGAAACTTGGGAGTGGAATGAGCTTGTATTCAAGCTGTTGTTAACCAGGACTGTAGCTATTCATTCCAGCTCTACTCTTTTCATCCAGGCTATTGCATGATCAATGGCTATGGGAATAACTTACAGGGCCAAAAGAGGGTTCTGGGAATGTGATAATTTGGATGCAATTTCTATCTTTCCCACCTCCGACTCCAAAAGTTCTTCCTTCTGGACTCAAACAGCTGCTAACTCCTGTGGATGGCTGGGTGCCAGTGAGGCCTCAGGCTTTGGTGGGTTCCAAGCATACAGAATTGTAAGCTTCCTTCTTCCAGTGGGCTGGGCAGGTGCCTAGAGAATAATGTCAAAGGTGAACAAGGGAAGACAGTCAATCCTGAGTGGAGAGGGGCTGTCAGGGCTAATGTCAACACAAGCCTAGTGTGACTGTGCTGGGTTTTCCTAGCTGAAGGGGCCAAGGAGGAGCTGAATGGGAGACTGAGTCCTCTACCTGGAAGCTGGGGCAGTGTGAGAAGTTTGGGGAGTTTCCTACAGGTGATTAGCAGGGGGCTGGCGGCTTCTACAATTCAGTCTGTGGGGACCTTCTGCCACCCATGGGGCTCCCGCCACTTAGAACACACAAGCCACCAAACCCTGAGACCTATGAGCCCACAGAAAAAAATAACAACCCATTTTAAAAAGGGCCAGCAGCCAGAGAGAGAGGAGAATCAGTTAGAAAAGCAGAACACACTCCCAGCAAGCTAAAGCTTGGAGAGGAGTGTCTGAGTCGGGGAGGGGTGGGGATAGGAGCTTAAATGAGAAAATAGCAACTTTTGGTGGGTGGAAGGAGAGGGAGAAATAAGATTCTAAGGGGCTAATGAGGGGAGGAGAGAGAAAGTAAAATGATCCTAAAGCTCTCATCTTGTTAGAGTGAAGGGATCAGGAGGAAGCAGAAGCATCTCAGTGGGGTAAAAGATGAGTATTGGTGAGGATAATAGTGTCTTGTTTTCAAATGCTGGTAGAGGAGTATGTGTCAGAATGCAACCAGGAAAGAATAATTTGTTCAGGCAAGCTAATATAAAGGAAAGAGAGAAAAAAACACTAAAAATAAATTACAGAAAAAGTAAGCTGGGGTGGGCATGGTGGCTCACGCCTGTAATCTTAGCACTTTGGGAGGCCGAGGCGGGTGGATCACTTGAGGTCAGGAGTTCCAGACCAAACTGGCCAACATGGTGAAACCCTATCTCTACTAAAAATACAAAATTAGCCGGGCGTGGTGGTGCATGCCTATAATCCTAGCTACTCAGGAGGCCGAGGCAGGAGAATCGCTTGAACCCAGGAGGCAGAGGTTGCAGTGAGCCGAGATCATGCTACTGCACTCCAGCCTGGGCGGCAGAGTGAGACCTTGTCTCAATTAAAAAAAAAATTAAAAAAAAAGTAAGTTGTAAGAAATAAAATCAAGTACTATATCAGTCACACACAAAATGTGAAGACTAAATTCTTTCTTTAAAAGACAAACTATTCCACTGGATTAAAAAAGCAAAACCTATTTATATAAGAAACACAATTAAAATATAGTAATAAAAAAGGCTGAAAATCAAAGAGTAGGCAAATGCAAACAAAAAGAAAGAAGTAGAAATGTTAATGCCTAGTGGAATTTTAGAAGAAAAGCACTACAAGGGGTGACTATGTAATGATAATATAAGAAATACTATCATTAAGGAAAATATAACAGTGAAAAGCCTTTAGGTACCAAACAATATAGAAGCCAAACCTAAAGCAAAAACAATCAGAAATGCAACAACAACCCAACAAAACTGTACAATGAAGGTGAGGGACTTCAACATATTCTCTCATAAGTGAACAGGTCTAATAGATAAACAATAATTAAGGACAGAAAGGAATTGACTAATATGATCAATAATATTGACTTAATGGCTATATGTAGACATTATATCCCTCAAATAGAGAGTATCATATTTTGCTGTGTTTATGAAACACGAAAAAGAATAAAAAATTCTGTATTTGATCATAAAGAAAATACATTTTTAAAAAGTGAGATCTAGCAGATCACATGATCACAATTCAATGAATTGAGACACAAATAATGTAATTAAAAGATTCTCAATGACATGGAAATTGAGAAATGTGCTACTAGATAGCAGGTGGATCAAAGAGAAAATTTAAAGGAAAATTACAAACTATAAAGCAAGGAAAAGAATAACTTATACCAAACCTATGGGACACAGTGGAGGTTTACTCAGAGGAACGTTTATAGCTTTATATTTTTTTAAGGAAGAAGATGAGAAATAAAGAAACTAAATATTCATCTTAAGATATTAGAAAAAGAGCAATAACCAAAAGGAAAAGGAAATTAACAAAGATAAAATCTTCATAGAAAGCAAACCAAAAAATATATATAGAGAAAGTATAAATCAAAACATGGCTCTTCAAAAAGACTAATAAGATAGATAAATTCCTCAAAAGCCTGATAAGAAAAAGGAGTAAGAAGAAAAATATGAAAGAATTAGAATGAGAAAGGAGATATCATTCAAATAAAGACTAACAAAATCATCAGAGACTACTATAAGAAACTTGGGGCAACAAGTATAAAAACCTAATGAAAATGAATGATTTTCTAGCAAAATATGAATTAACAAAATGAATCCACGGAAATGTGGGAAACTTGAACAGATTAATTATCATAGAAGAGATTGGAAATGCAACTAAAAAATCTACCATTGCAAAAAGAAGGCCAGGTGCGGTGGCTCATGATCGTAATCTCAGTACTTTGGGAGGCCAAGGTGGGCAGATCACTTGAGCCCAGGAGTTTGAGACCAGCCTGGACAACATGGTGAAACCCCATCTGTACAAAAAATACAAAAATTAGCTGTGCATGGTGGCGTGTACCTATGGTCCCAGCTACTCAGGGGGCTAAGGCGGGAGGATCGCTGGAGCCCGGGAAGTCAAAGCTGAGTGAGCTGTGATTGTGCCACTGCACCCCAGCCCGGGCTATAGAGTGAGACCCAGTCTTGAAGGGAAGGAAAGGGAAAAGGAAAGGGGAAAGGAAAGGGGAAGGGGAATGGGATGGGAAAGAAGAAGGGGCAGGGGAAGGGGACTGGATGACTTCATAGCCATGTTTTATCTAATCTTTAACACAGATAATTCCATGTTATTTAAATTACTCCAGGCCATAGAAAAGGATGAAAAGGTAACTACTTTGTGGGCCAGCAAATCTGTAATACAAAAGCCTGATAAAAGATATTAAAAGAATAGAAGATTATAAAGTAATCTTACTTATGAATGGATGCAAGTTTCTAAATGAAATACCAGCCACCACCTCTGGTTAAGCTTCATGTAGTGAACAGAAGTATTTGCTACTGTTCTTTCCCAAAATTCTGATAAAATGACAGTAAAATGATTTGAGAGGCATAAACTTGAAGGACAAAAAGAATAGGAGAGGAGGCAATAGCAACAAAATTTTGCAAGTTTGGAAACACATGTACAAGTGGTAACTGACTTAGCAGATCACAGAAAGCTGAAACCCAAGCCAGAAGTAAGTTTGCCCCCAGAAATGTTCAGGAACTGGAAGAATCAAGTACCTCTGAAAATGGGGGATCTAAGAGGAGTG
Organism: Homo sapiens; assembly: GCF_000001405.40. Lineage (NCBI taxonomy): Eukaryota > Metazoa > Chordata > Mammalia > Primates > Hominidae > Homo > Homo sapiens. The sequence continues at coordinate 106,710,666 of NC_000006.12, read as the reverse complement.
GAAAAAACAGGAAAATTAATTTAAAATCTACGTAAGGAATAGTCTCCCAGGTCACTTCCCTTGCCTTACACAGGATGAAGGGCCCTCTACTTCCTGTTGATGCAAGACTCTCTGAAGAGGTTGAGCCAGAGGGATTCTGAACTCAGGGACACCAGGCACACTGAGGCAGGGATCCCATGCTGAAAATGGGGATTAGGAGATTAGTTACAGAAAAGTGAGACCGCTTGGCCCTAGTCTTCCTCTAGACTTTACCTCCCAGAATGCTAACAGTCACGCTTCTCCCTTCCAGGAGGGAAATTAGAGGGTTTCTCTTTGGGAACCTGACCAGCTAAGGAGAGAAGACTTAAAGATATTGACAGAAGCCCCCAGTGAAACAGATAGTGGTACAGAGCCCAATCAATGAACAGGTTCCACCTACATCCCTGAACAACTCCCAAATAGCCATTTAGTGCATCACTCTTAAATATGAACAGAAGTATTTGCTACTGTTAAGAAAGGACCACCAGACATGTGAGGAAATCTAACATGAAAGGCAGAGACCAAAAAAAAAAAAAAAAAAAAAAAAAAAAAAAAGAGACAGAGCCAGAGAGAGAAAGTGGCAGCAGAAGGAAGCTTTTATTTATTTATTTTGCTATGTTGCTCAGGCTGATCCTGGAACTCCTGGGCTCAAGCTATTCACCTGCCTCAGTCTCCCAAGTACTGGTGTTATAGGCGTAAGCCACCACTCCCAGACAGAAGGAAGCTTCTTAAAAGCCCTCAATCTCTCTAGAGAGAAAAGAGAAGGTATCCTATTCAAGAAACAAAAGAGGCTATTATAATGAAACATTTAGAGAACAATTGAGAGATCTTGGAGATTAAAAAAGGGACCACATAAAGGAACAATTCAATAGTAAAGTTAGAAGTTTTGTCAAATTGGCCAGAGGACGGTGGCTCATGCCTGTAATCCAAGCACTTTGGGAGGCCAAGGTGGGTGGATCACTTGAAGTCAGGAATTTGAGACCAGCCTGGCCAGCATGGTGAAACCCTGTCTCTACCAAAAATACAAAAATTAGCCAGGCATGGTGGTGTGCACCTGTAATCCCAGCTACTAGGGAGGCTGAGGCAGGAGAATTGCTTGAACCCAGGAGGTGGAGGTTGCAGTGAGCTGAGATTGTGCCACTGCACTCCAGTCTGGATGATAGAGCGAGAATCCATCTCAAAAAAAAAAAAGTGTCAAATTTAGCAAAGAAAAGTTCAGGACTCTCCATTTAATTTGAATTTTATAAAAACAACAAATAAGGCCGGACGCGGTGGCTCACACCTGTAATCCCAGCACTTTGGGAGGCCGAGATGGGTGGATCACGAGGTCAGGGGATTGAGACCATCCTGGCTAACACGGTGAAACCCAGTCTCTACTAAAAATACAAAAAATTAGCCAGGTGTGGTGGTGGGTGCCTGTAGTCCCAGCTGCTCGGGAGGCTGAGGCAGGAGAACGGTGTGAACCCAGGAGGCGGAGCTTGCAGTGAGCCGAGATCATGCCACTGTACTCCAACCTGGGCAACAGAGTGAGACTCCATCTCAAAAAATAAATAAATAAATAAATAAATAAAATAAAAATAATAACTTTTTTGTATAAGTGTGTCCCATGTAAGATTTAGTTCGTCTGAAATTCAAATTTGCCTAGGTATCCTGTGTTTTATCGGGTAACCCTAGTTGGAAGATGAAGTCTCCAAGAAAGCAGAGAGAGAGAGAGAGAAAGAAAGAGAGAGAGAGAAATAAAGAGAGAAAAGATAAAATCCAAAAATCAAATCAGTTGAGGAAGTCCAATATTTGAATGACAAAGAGTTCCAGAAAGGGAAAACAGAGGAAATAAAATTATCAAGGAAATTTCCCAGAACAGAGTGAGTGTCTACCCAGAACCAAGCATCAAGGACAAAAAATACCCAACACCAAAGCACATCATTGTGATATTGTAGATCACTGATGACAAAACAGTGAAAGATCAAGCCAACACAGAGGATGAGGAATGAGAATGGTAACATTTCTCTGTATAAATAATCTATCTATGTATATCTATCTATCTATACACATACAGACACACACATCAGTGGCTCATGCCTGTAATCCCAACTACTCAGGAGGCTAAGGCAGGAGGATTGCTTGAGCCTAGGAGTTTGAGGCTGCAGTGAGCTATGATCACACCACTGCACTCCAGCCTGGGGACAGAGTGAGAACCTGTCTCTAAATAAATAAGCTAAATTTTAAGAAATGATCAAATTGATGCTGAAAATATTTTAAATAAATTTTAGCAGACCTTTCTAATAAAATTTCTAAGAAGAAACTATATGTATAAAATATATGTCAGGTTTGTCAAAGATCAGATGGTTGTAGATGTGTGGTGTTATTTCTGAGGCCTCTGTTCTGTTCCATTGGTCTGTATGTCTGTTTTGGTACCAGTACCATGGTGTTTTGGTTACTGTAGCCTTGTAGTAGAGTTTGAAGTCAGGTAGCATGATGCCTCCAGCTTTGTTTTTTGGCTTAGGATTGTCTTAGCTATATGGGCTCTTTTTTGGTTCCATATGAAATTTAAAGTAGTTTTCTTCTAATTCTGTGAAGAAAGTCAATGATAGTTTGATGGGAATAGCATCGAATCTATAAATTACTTTGGGCAGTATGGCCATTTTCATGATATTGATTCTTCCTATCCATAAGCACAAAATGTTTTTCCATTCGTTTGTGTCTTTTATTTCCTTGAGCAATGGTGTGTAGTTCTCCTTGAAGATGTCCTTCACGTCCCTTGTAAGCTGTATTCCTAGGTATTTTATTCTCTTTGTGGCAATTGTGAATGGGAGTTCATTCATGATTTGGCTCTCTGTTTGTCTATTGTTGGTGTATAGGAATGTTTGTGATTTTTGCACATTGATTTTGTATCCTCAGACTTTGCTTAAGTTGCTTATCAGCTTAAGGAGTTTTTGGGCTGAGACGATGGGGTTTTCTAAATATAGAATCATATCATTTGCAAACAGAGTGAATAGGCAACTTACAGAATGGGAGAAAATTTTTGCAATCTACTCATCTGACAAAGGTCTAATATCCAGAATCTACAAGGAACTTAAACAAATTTACAAGAAAAAAACCAACCCCATCAAAAAGTGGGCAAAGGATATGAGCAGGCACTTCTCAAAAGAAGACATTTATGTGGCCAACAAACATATGAAAAAAACTCATCATACTGATCATTAGAGAAATGCAAATCAAAACCACAATGAGATACCATCTCACGCCAGTCAGAATGGTGATTATTAAAAAGTCAGGAAACAACAGATGTTGGCAAGGATTTGGAGAAATAGGAACACTTTTACACTCTTGGTGGGAATGTAAATTAGTTCAACCATTGTGGAAGACAGTGTGGTGTTTCCTCAAGGATCTAGAACCAGAAATACCATTTGACCCAGCAATCCCATTACTGGGTATATACCCAAAGAAATATAATCATTCTACTATAAAGACACATGCACACGTATGTTTATTGCAGCACTATTTACAATAGCAAAGACATGGAACCAACCCAAATGCCCATCACTGATAGACTGGATAAAGAAAATGTGATACATATCCACCATGGAATACTATGCAGCCATAAAAAAGTATGAGATCATGTCCTTTGCAGGGACATGGATGAAGCTAGAAGCCATCATCCTCAGCAACCTAACAAAGGAACAGAAAACCAAATACTGCATGTTCTCACTCATAAGTGGGAGTTGAAAAAAGAGAACACATGGACACAGGAAGGGGAACAACACACACGGGGAGCCTGTTGGGGGGTGGGGGCAAGGTGAAGGAGAACATTAGGAAAAATACCTAATGCATGTGGGGCTTAAAACCTACATGACAGGTTGATAGGTGCAGCAAACCACCATGGCACATATATACCTATGTATAGGTATATACAAACCTGCATATATATATACAAACCTGCACATTCTGCACATGTATCCTAGAACTTAAAGTAAAATAAAATAAAATAAAATAAAATAAAATAAAATATGTAAAAGACTACCAAAAAAAAGAACAAATATTATTCTAAATGGCAAAAGGAGGCTGGTAAGAGATTGTTCTAGAGAAGTAGCAGCCCCTGCATCATGAAGAAACTTTTCCTGTGAAGTTAAGAAATTTAGGCCATATCCTTCCTATATTTCCAAAAATGTGAAGGACCACTTGCATTAGAAGCACTTGGAGTCCCCAAAATTGACATTTTAAACAGAACCCCAGGTAATTCCATTTTGGGGTAATTTTGAGAATGCCAACTTATACCAACAGTAATTACCAGAAGGGTTTGAACTAAGGAGCAATAAATCAGATTTCCAGAGACCCTTCCTTTCCATTCTGCCTCCAGCCCACCCTTCCCCGAGTCAGTCCAATGCAGGACCAGCAGGGTTGTTTCATAAGTCAACTGCACCATTTCCTATGGAAAAGTTAGGCCACTTGGCCTCTCAATGCTGGAAAGGTTACTGGAAGTGGCCCTGGTTCCTGGAGCATCATGCTCCATCTGATTCACAGAACATAGCAAGATAACATCATCCTGGGACAGGGAAAGGAATAAATTCTGGGTCTTGTCTGAAAACCTGAAGCTGGTTTTGAAAGTTTATTGTTTGTTGTTTTTGTTTAAATTCCATAATAACAACAATCAAAATAGTTCTCCAAGGTGATCAGGACCATTTTTGCAAATGCTGGAGGAAGTAACCAGGGTAGAGGAAATCCTCTGGGTGGGTCTCAGAGCCTACCTGGAGTTGTTTTCATTCAGAATTTGGTGACATCAATCTAGGGAGGGAGATGGGCTGTCTCTAGAGATCCTGGTGAGTAACAACCATACAGAGCCAGAGAGCATCTCAGGAAACTTAAAATAACAGCAATAAGAACAAAGTGTCCTTCTCATAACGTGGTTCTCAAATGGGCGCACTGGTTCCATAGAACTTATGTTTATGGTTTCTTTTGAATAAACACAGAAATTGATCCTCCCAATCTTAAAACTTGAGAAACTTACATTTGTCTAACCTGAGTTCTTTTTTCTCAGGACACCAGCCATCAGGCCTCCCAGATAGAGTCAAGGAATGGAAACTTACCCAGTCACCACATCTGGGAAACACCAGACCCCTTGCCCATCATGATTGCCTAACTGCTGCCTGTGGATCAGCTCTTCTTCCTTATCCCCTCCCTCATTCCTGTTTTCCCACACTTAGTTGCATTTCTTCCCTGCTATATAGACTCCGAATTTTAGTCAGCTGAGGAGACAAATTTGAAACTGATCTTCCATTCTCCATCGCTGCAGCACCTGAATAAAGCCTTCTTCCCTGGCAATACTCAGTGATTGGCTTTCTGTGCAGCGAGCAACAGGACCTAGACCAAATCCCTGGCGTTTCAGTAACTACTCCATAGAGGGCAAAGGAAATGACTGAGTGACATAATGAAGCTTCCCCCTGCCTTTGAGAACAGAGAAACTCTAGGCAGTCGTTCTTAAAGTTTAGCACACGTCAGAATCACCCAGTGTTTTAAACACTGATAGCCAAGCCCCATTCCAGAGTTTCTGATTCTGTAGATCTGGGTGCAGCTTGAGAATCTGCATTTCTAACAAGTTCCCAGGTGATGCTGATGCTGATGCTTAAGGGGCCACACTGTGAGAATGACTGCTCCGTGGTAGGTAAAGGAAATCCTCTCATCAACATATTTTTTGCGTGGGCAATGGCCTCATTACCTTTCTGATGGAGAAAAACTAGGAATGTTGATGGGATGGATGCTGGGATCACGCTGAACATTCTTCCTTTTTTGTTTGTTTGTTTGTTTGTTTGTTTTTTTAGACAGAGTCTCATTCTGTGGCCCAGGCTGGAGTGCAGTGGTGCGATCTCGGCTCACTGCAACCTCCGCCTCCTGGGTTCAAGCAATTCTCCTGCCCCAGCCTCCCAAGTAGCTGGGACTACAGGTGTGCGCCACCATGCATTGCTAATTTTTGTATTTTTAATAGAGATGGGATTTCACCATGTTGGCCACACATGGTGAACTCCTGACCTCAGGTGATCCACCCACCTTGGCTCCCAAAGTGCTGGGATTACAGGCATGAGCCACCACGCCCAGGCTTGAACACTCCTCTTGAAGCCAAGAAACAGACTTGGGCCTACTTAATCAGATAATTATGCACCTGTTTCTATGAATCAAACCATAAACAACTGATGAGTGACTCATAATTATAGCTACCACTTATTAAGTGCTATCTATATGCCAGGCACATCATGCACATTTAATCGTCACAGCAGCCTGCTACCCCCTCCACACTAATCTTCCCGGGCATATTCCCACCCCAGGACCTTGGCATAGGATGGCCCCTAGACCTATGTAGAGGAAAATAAATGTCTTTCCTTCCCATCTTAGGTTCACAGCTGAGGCCCCTATAATAGAAGACAGATTAATAAGAGAAAAGTATAAAAATGTATTTAGTATAAGTTTTACATGGCATGGGAGACTTCATAAGAAAATGAAGACCCAAAGAAACAGGTAAACCCGTGTGTTTTTTATGCTTAGTTTGATGGAGAAGTATGATTGGACAAAGGAAATATGACCTAATGCTAATAAACTGGGGGAAACTTAGCAAGGGTTCTTTGCTCAAATTTTTCCGTGTGTCCCTGGGTCTTCAGAGATAAGGATGTCCCTTTCCTCTGCGTATAGGAAGGGTACCTCTTGAATGAGGGTCTTATGACCTGCTTCAGGGGAAAGTCAGAAAAATCCTTCCTAGGTTTAATTTGACCTGCTTCAGGCGAGGTCTTCTGCTTCTGCTGTTTTCTTTAATTCCAAGGTTCATACTTTGGGAAAATATGTCCTGAAATCCATCACCTGGAACGTGCTTCCCCAACACATCTCTCTCCGGCTCTTCTTTAAGGGTCTTGCAGATACCATTTTGTCAGAGAGGACTTCCCCTTCCCTGGCCACCCCATCTAGAATCTCAGCCCCACCCCTGTCGCCAACCCACCATCACTGCTTTATTCTCTCTCCGGAGCATTTATCGCTAACATTCTATATGTTTTGCTTGTTTATTATCTGTCTTCCTTATTAGCAGATAAGCACAAGGGCAAGCATTGTGTCTGGTACATAGAGTCTAGAACTCTTTAGTACGTAGTTAGAGGCAATACTTATTGATAGAAAGAACAAACTAAACCTTTAGAGAGCCAAGCCTTACTTGGCAAGGATGTGCAGAATTTGGTAACATGATGATTAGAACCCATCAGTTGAAAAAGCAACACATCTGACATTATTTCCTTGGTGGGAGCTGTTTAAATATGTGGGAAGAAAATATTAATAAGTAGAAATTAAAACAGAGAGGATGAGAAGTAGGGGATGAGGAAGAAGCAGGATGGGCTAAGAGGAAGTCTGGGCCATGGCACTACTTACTTTGGTCCTGGGGGCACTTCTCCCTGAGTCTCCTGTCAAGGGTGGCTCTGGGCAGGTAGGTATGTCACCCTGGCTCTTACTGGGGACAGAAAACAGCTGCTGTAGTTAGCAAGCCTGGAGAACCCTGTCCAGCCCAAATGCTGGAAAGCAGGGTTCATTTCTGAAATGACAAAGAACGGTTCATTGAAGGAGTAGCTTTCAAATAGCCAAACCAGCTAACTCTGGAGGGAGCTAGAACTAGGTTTTCACCCAGAAGTAGCAGCGGTTTGGCAGAATGGCGGCATTGAAGATGCAGGGTCAGAGTGAGGGGATTGTGCAGAAGCTAGCTGCGAGCCAGCCACCAGACAGACTCTTGAGGCAAAAGGAAGACTCTGAACCTATGATTTAACTGCGAAAACAGACTCTGGTTGGAAACACTGTCTGACAGAGCCCATGCCACGTGGAAAATATTAAACATTTCCTCTCTTGGCACCTGTTTCTAACAGACTGGAGTGTTGACTATTTTGCAACGATACATAAATTCGGTTTGTTAGTGAACTCCATGGAGAGTCCACATGCCCTGGCCAACGTGGCTTATCTCTTATTTAAACATGAAAAGAAAAGAAAGTGACTGAAAGATTGAGTTCACGGTGCTGTGCACACACAGGCAGGTGCTCTGTCATGCTTCACAGCACAGCACACAGGAAGCAAGAGAAGAAGGAACATAAAATACTGTAAAAAGCAACCAACAGACTTCACCCACAGTGATCAGCTGACCACCACTGGATTCATCTTAATTCCATAAACAGCAGTTGTAGAAATCAATTTAGAATACAAACTTACTCTTTAAATAAAAGCTAAGAAGTGAGAGTGATGATTGGGCTTACAATGGTTAAAGTCCCCAAATTGTAGAGTAGGTAATATGGCAAACCTTACTTCGTACTCCATCAAGAAATTGGTGAGGACCTAGTATGGGCTGCTGAGTAAAGACCGTATGTTGTGTGACAGTAGTCACAAAGCTAAGAGGCAGGCAGCTGCAGTCAGCCCAAAAGGGAGTAGCTATCAGGCTAAGGGCTCAGGCTAGGGTAGTGGAATTGTTAAGAGAGGTTACTCCACAATCAAAAAAGTTTAGGACATAACGGGTTAAACAAAGTTAAATGGGTCTCTTCTTTTATAGGCTAGGAATCTATAAGAGAAGATAACAGTACGGAGGGTTTCTCAAATATTTGACTGTAGCAGGTTTTTATTACAGAGCCCACGTTAGAAAAAACTGCTCTAAACTTCTTTATTTCATCTGCACCTACGTTGGGGAAGAAGGCTGTGGTCTCAGTGTGATTGTTTATAAGCAAACTTGGTTAGATTGGTAGGAAAAAGTTTGGTCACAACTAGATTAGTGAGTTTCTGAAATGGAAATTAAATTTCCTCAAGCCCTAAAACTGACTGTGACAAATGGTGACCTAGAGAGGATGCCCCTCCAGATGGGACTCAGGGTTGACCTTTTCTGGATATGCCTCACGCTGCAGGGCTTTAGACAAGACAAGATCTACCATCAGATACTAGTGTGTTTGTTTGTTTATTTGTTTTGTTTTTAAAGTGCTGTTTGCAACCTACCAAATTGATTTTATTAACCTTTAAGGGATTGCAATCTGTCATTTGAAAAACACTAAACTGTATCTAAACCTAAGCATATTGACATTCTTATACCCAGCCAGGCATGGTGGCTCATGCCTGTAATCCTAGCACTTTGGGAGGCTGAAGTGGGAGGATCACTTGAGCCCAGGAGCTTGAAACCAGCCTGGGAAACATAGGGAGACTTTGTCTCTACAAAAAAATTTAAACATTGGCCAATCATGGTGGTGCATGCCTGCAGTCCCAGCTATTCAAGAGGCTGAGGTGGCAGGATTGCGTGAGCCCAGGAGTTTGAGGCTGCAGTGAGCTGAGATCACACCACTGCACTCCAATCTGGGCGATAGAGCAAGAACTTGTCCCTAAAAAAAAAATTCTTAAATGCTTTTCCTCAAATAATTTGATGCTCGCTATTTTATGAGGTAAGAGAAGAGCAAAGGTGGGTTGGAGGAGCTTTAGTACCATGTCTTTCTTTCAGGAAAGGTAGTACCTAGGACCTTCTTCAGGCAATACAAGATCTGGACCAGACCCCTGGTTTTGAAAAAGAAGGGAGAACTGTGGTTAGAGTCGTTGCTAACATGTTGCTTTTAAATTTTAAATGTGATTTCATATTCTAATCTTATTCTGGAAGCAACTCACATCTATCTATTTCCTATGTTAGTTCTAATCAAGATCACAGATGAACTCCCAGATAACAGGATTGCTGTGGGTTTGGTCTGCAACACATTAGGTGGCTCTTAGGAGCAGGAAAAAGGAATATTTTTCTTTTCCATCTTGGATTAATGGCTGAGGCATTTATAACAAAAGACAGATTAACAAGAGAAAAGCATTAACATTTTCTGTGGCACAGCAGCCTTCAGGAATGAAGACCCAAAGAAAGGACTAAACCTGTGTATATTTTTTGTGTAAGTCATTGAAGAAGTGAATGCTTGTGGAGAAGTATGAATGGAAAAAGGGCATGTCCAATAGGAATTAACTGGGGAAAACTTAGTAAGGCCTGTTTGTTCAGATTCCTCTTTGTGTCCCTGTGTCTTCAGAAATAAGGAGCCTTCTTTGGTCTGGGTATGGGGAGGGCATCTCTGGAATGATGGCTTTATGACCTGCTTCAAGGGAGGTCATAAATACAGCAGGTAATTTGGCAAACCTTATTTCATATCTTCATCAACATTCAAGGGAGAAGGGCGAGGGGAAGGTGAGAGAGACCTTCCTGCTTCTGCCATTTTCTCCCATGCCAAGGTGCCATATTTGGGGCCAGTGTGTCCTGAACCCCATCACAGGCAATCACAGGGCAGGTAGGCTTATCTAAAGATGTTCTCTCCTTTCCCTCACAATTAGTGTCTTGATGTCAGCTCCTTGATACTGAGCCTGGCTGAGCTTCGGAAGAAAAGCAGACCCCCAGACCCAGGACCCCCATGGTCTCCTGCTGCATTGAGAAAGATTAATGGTTAAAAAATAGATGAAAAGATTCTCTTCATACCTTCCTACCATATCAGAGAGGCCTGAGCCTAAAAACCCTGGCCCCAACCCTGGGGTATGGTTTACAAGACCAGCCAGAGACCTTACCAGACCTCCTCATCCTCTGCTGTCCCAATGGCACTTCCAATGAATTTTTTTTTTAGCTAGCAATTGAATGTGATATTTTGCAAAGCACTGTGGTTTTTCAAACTTTATTTCAAGGGGTCTAGAAAATATTTTTATTTTCAGTTTTCTTTTTCCACTGTCTTTCTTCTCCGCTTGATTCACTTGATTTCCTTCTTAGTATTTTGTCCGTGAAATTCGTCAGTATTGTTCCTTGGATTAATATCTGAAATACAAAATGCAATCTTGTTTGGAAAATTAAAAGAAAACTATAAGTGTAGGTAATGGGGCTTGAGGAGCAGCGGGAGAGAAGAGGGGTAGCTGCAGGGGCTGGAGGGCCATAGTCCAGTGAGAATGGCAAATGATTTGATATAATTTCAAGACTAAAAAAATATAGATTTTTACCATCCTAAATCCATTTAACTGCTCAAATGATTATTGCTCCCCTGGTGTTTATAAAAAACATTGCAATGAAAGGAGACAGACTTACACAGACTTAAAGAGTTTTTAGAAACCATTAAACCCACTAAGTCTGTTTTTTTTTTTTTTTTTTCCCGATTGTTATGAATCCTAACTTAACCATTTCACTGTCTGCAGAAAAGGGACAGTGGCATTCTGTGGTCAAAGGGGTGGCTCTGGACACCACCTCTACATTCCTAGCTGTGCCAACAACTCTGTAGGTGATCAAGGGCAAGTCACCTCACCTTGCCAAGCCCGTTTCCTCCTTTTAAAATGGGAGGTCGGCCAGGCACGGTGGCTCATGCTTGTATCCCAGCACTTTGGGAGGCCGACGCGTGTGGATCACCTGAGGTCAGGAGTTCGAGACCAGCCTGGCCAACATGGTGAAACCCTGTCTCTACTAAAAATACAAAAATTAGCCGGGCATGGTGGCACACACCTGTAATCCCAGCTACTTGGGAGGCTGAGGCAGGAGAATTGCTTGGACCCGGGAGGCAGAGGCTGCAGTGAGCTGAGATCATGCCATTGCACTCTAGCCTGGGCAACAGAGCGAGATTTTGTCTCAAAAATAAATAAATAGGCTGGGCGCAGTGGTTCACACCTGTAATCCCAGCACTTTTGGAGGCCGAGCCCAGTGAATCACCTGAGGTTGGGAGTTTGAGACCAGCCTAACCAACACAGTGAAACCCCGTCTCTACTAAAAATAGAAAAAATTAGCCAGGCGTGGTGGCGCATGCCTGTAATCCCAGCTACTCGGGAGGCTGAGGCAGGAAAATCACTTGAACCTGGGAGGTGGAGAGCCAAGATCGCGCCACTGCACTCCAGCCTGCACAACAAGAGTGAAACTCCATCTCAAAAAAAAATAATAATAATAATAAATAAATAAATAAAAATAAAAAGTAAAATGGGGGATCATTCACAATTGTTCTCAGGGTATTGTCAGGATTAAATGAAACAATGTGTGATAAGCCCTCACTAAAAAGTCTGTCATATGGTGAATGCTCAATACATTTTATTTTGGAATGCTACATGAATAGAATTACTGCAAGTAAACCAAGATTCAGTCATTGGCAGAGAGTTGCATGAAAGCCCTGCAAGAGATGGAGATTGTAGGGGGAAAGTTCCCTGTAGGCCTTTTGCTCCATGTATTGAACACAGCAGATGTCAACCTGGAGTGATTTGCTCCCCAGGGGACATTTTCACACTAGTGTGTGTGTTGGTGGGAGTGGGAAGTGCTACTGGCATCTACTGGGTAGGGCCAGAGATGCTGCTTAACATCCTACATTGCACAGGACAGTCCCTGCAACAGAGTTATCTGGCCTCAAACGCCAACCGTGCAGAGGTGAGGACTAGCACAAGAGAACTAGCACAGTCCCTTTAGCCTCTTAGCTCCAGGAGTAATGCTTTCCTTTATGGCTAAAAAAAAAGTTGTAAATGGAGTTGAAACCTCCCTTGCAAAGATAATGACAATGAGAGAAGTCTAGCATGCCACCTCCATCTTGCTTCTAGACTCACAGGCTGGCTATCCTTGCTTAGTTGTGGGCACAGGCCAGGCTAACCACGGGAAGAATTTAGTTTATAATTTAACTTTGAAGCAAGGATGATAACAGTTCCTTCCTTAAACTGATCCCCTCCTTGTTCCGGGGCTGAAACCATCTTTGGTAAGACTAATGAAAGACCACAAGATTAGGATTATGAAGTTGAAACATTTCAAAATGATACAAAAATTGAATAGCCTTCTTGGTTTGGGGAGGGGGCGATGGCAGTATACAGAATACACTGACCTTGCCACTTTATGAGCAAAAGGTAGTTGTGGCTTACAAAAAAATGTTTCATAATATCCACAGGAAGTGAATAAAGATTCCCCTGCTGTCCCATTTGAATGCTATGCCACAGTTAGGAAGGTCAAAAAGTTTGATTATATGGCCACCTTTGTGGTAAGAATAGAGGTTCCAGTAAACTTCATAAAGTTGGTAGAAGTGGGTTCCATAAAATGTTTCAAAGTTGGAATGCCCCTCAGAGCACTGAAAATTTTGGTCATAGAGGGGAAACATCTGCAAGCACATGACTTTATGATGAGCATTATATTTTTCATGATCAGCATTATATTTTGAAGAGCTCCCCAACTGACCATGATATAATAACGATGTCTATCTTCAAAACACTTAGCACTAGAGAGAGACTTTAATGGAACCTGAAGACCTGTACAGCCAGAAAGAAATCTCCTTGACATCCACATGAGTGAAAAAGACAGCATGGAATAATGCTCAGTGTTGGGGAGAGCACTGATCCAGGAACCTGAAGATCCGACCAGCTTCTGACCGACTACATATGTGATCTCGGGCAGTCATCAAGCCCTTTAGTTCAGTCCCGTCAGTAAAATGAGGATGGATGTTGGCATCTGCTCTGTGTACCCCAGTGGGCTGTGAACATTTGCGAAAGCTTCACGAATCACTGACTAAACAACCAGTGTCTTACTATTCTTGTCAAAAGGTAATGAGAGTTAGAATCAAATTGTATCCTATTAAGGAAATATGTTTATAACCAAATTATTTCCTAAGAACTTCATGTTTCCTGGCATAGTCTTTCATTTCTCTCCTAACATAAAATCTGTCAGGAAATCTATGTTTCACTGGGTAGAAAGCTGCATATCCAGTAAACATATTTTATAATGTCTTATTTTATGGCCATCTCCTCTGGTCATCTAGACAGGATCTTTTGGAGGCGACCCTAGCCAGAAATCTTTTCATGGCAATGGAGAGAAACCCATCCAAGTTAGTACAAATGAAAGCTTGTTACAAAAACTAAATAGAAAGCAGCAGGTCATCTCACATGCATCCCAATCAAAGTAGAACCACTCTTCATATAAATCTCATCCCAAACCCACAAATGACAAAATCATCCCAGTCAATTCCCCCAAGCCCATATGACCTTACTGCTCCAGTACTCATCACTGATGTACTACAATTTCTTTCTTTTTTCTTTTTCTTTTTTTGAGATGTAGTCTTGCTCTGTCGCCCAGGCTGGAGTGCAGTGGCGCGATCTCAGCTCACTGCAACCTCCACCTCCTGGGTTCAAGCGATTCTCCTACCTCAGCTGCCTGAGTAGCTGGGATTACAGGCAGGCGCCATCATGCCTGGCTAATTTTTGTATTTTTAGTAGAGACAGGGTTTCACCATGTTGGTCAGGCTGGTCTGGAACTTCTCACCTCGTGATCCGCCCGCATCGGCTTCCCAAAGGGCTGGGTTTACAGGCATGAGCCACCACACCTGGCTGATATACTATAATTTCTGCATCTCTTAGTTTAACCTCTGTCCTTCCTTTATCTTCTTGCCTGCAAAACAGATGCCATTCTGTTGTCTCCACATCAGCTTCCTTTTTAGCACTTCAAGTTCAAAGTGCATATCACCAAAGCAATAGAGGGACAAGGACATTGGGAAGGGTACTTATACAGAACCACCTTTGGATAGGGTGCTTAACCGCTCAGTGCCGCAGTTTCCTCATCTGTAAAATAGGAATAACATTATTCCCAGCCACAGTGCCTGATCCATGATGCTCAGCATTGGCCATTGTCATTATTAATTTTAGGGATAGGTAAATGTATGAAACTGACCAAAAGCAGGCATAGAACTGCATAATCCAAACTACCAAATTCTAAAATAAGATGAGCTGTATTGAGCTTGTCAGGTACGTTTCCAATGTAGGTGACTTGGCCTCCGTCTTGAAGGAAGTGATGGAAATGACTTGGTGGAGAGAGGTGTTTTGGTTTTCAATGGCTATGTAACAACTCATCCCAAAATATAGTGGCTTAAAACAATAGTAATTATTTATTTACTCACAATTCTGCAATTGGGCAGGGCTTGGCAGGAATGGCTCACCTCTGCTGTACATGGCATCTATGAGCTGGACCATCCAAGGTGGACTTTTTACTTACATGATGGCATATCAGGTAACAGCTGGCCAGGCATCTCTTTCTGTGTGATCTCTCCACCTGGCTAGCTTGGGTTTTCTGTCATCATGACAGTCTCAGCATAGTCCGACTTCTTACAATGTGGCCAGCTTCCCCTAAATACAAGAGGAGAAGCTTCCTGATCTTGGTGCCTGGACTCAGGAGTCCCAGAAATAATTTTCACCACATTGTATGCATTGCTCAAAACAGTCACAGGGCCAGCCCAGCTTCAAGAGGAGAAGACTGTACAAGCGCATGAGTCTCAGGAGGTGTGGCTTACTGGGCTGCCCATGAAAGAGACGATGACAGGAGGTTAACACAGAAGCTTAGCTGCAGGAGATGGTACATGTGAAAATCAAAGCAAAGAAAACACACCAGGATCAGCCAAGATGAGCATGAGAATTGTGAAAAAGACTGCCCTGGCTGTTGTTTTGAGGGGTAGAAATAGAATCTGAGGGTTTATTCGAATCTAAGAGAGTTCTATCGTATCCCCTGTACTATAAGATTTAAAGGTTCAAACTATGAAGTAACAGAAACCCCCACAAGTGTCCCTGGAAGCCATTGTCTTTTGGGAATTTGAATGTCTTCTTTCAACTCTAGGTCAAATTTATCTGTTGAACTCCTGTCAGTTTTTTAAACTGGGAGGCTCAGGAGCAGATACCAAGAGTCATAAAGGCCCTGGGTCAGGCCTCTAATAGGAAGTTCATTTCCATGGTCTCATTTTTTTCTTTTACTGTCTAGTACAGTACTTTTCCTATATAGTCTTTCCCTCTATTTCTCTGTCTCCTGAAGCAGTAAAACCCTTAGTTTTCTATGGGCTGATTATCTTCCATAGGTATAGATCTAGAACACTTCCCAAGGAAACAGCTCTGGGCTTGATTGATCCAGGGTGCTGTTTGGGGAGCTGCTCTCTGCCCCATGGTGTGGGTGTATGGCGTGGGTATAGGGGAAGATCTGAGGTAGGTGAAGGGGTAAGGGGAGTGGTATTCAGTGTGACTGCTGATCTGGGGCTTGCAATGTATGCACCAGTGCTTCTTTCTCCTGGCCGAGAAATAGCGAGCTTAGGCCTGCCTCCAAGAGTCACTTCTCTCCCCTAGAGGGCTGGCGGAGCCTGATACCAGCAAGGCGTGCCCGCCACAGAGAAGGCATCACAGCTACATGTTAATTAACCAAGAGGACATGGTCCAACCTCACATCTCATTGTCAGAAAACGTTTTTACCAGAGGAAGCCATGCCAGGAGCCCAGCATTTGTGCTGAGCTGCGACCTGCCCTGCAGTTACAGCTGAGAGAAGGTCAAGTCTTCCTCTTCCTTAGCCCCTGCCTCCTCTTGTCTCTGCCTTCTAAGGGAACTACTGCCTCACTCCACTCCTGCCTCTTAGCCCTCCAGAGAGTCCATCCCCTCTCCTCCTTTCCTCATTCTAATCACCAAACATCTCTATGGTGCCTTCAGAATGTGAGATTTTTTTTTTTTAATGCATGCAGTTTTGTTTTAAAGCAGCGTTAGTCTTAGGGTTCATTAATTAAAACATCACACTTAACTGGACCATTAACTCATTCATGGCTAACTTCTCATGGCTAGATCCCCTGCACCCACTCTTTCTGCCAGTTCCTAGGACTGTTGAAACAGGAATGAGCTGTAAACAGGTTTGAGAACGGTGCAGGGAGTTTCAAGATTAGCTTTCCTTTTTCTGTTCATCAGAAGGAAAAGAAATTAGATTTTGGAGTCATTTGACAAGGGTTAGGAGGGGGGCAAGGAAACTGTTACTTAATTATTAATAATCTTTTTAGAAGTCCCATAGGTTTATTACTGAGGAAAACCCATGGGAGGTCATATTACCGCCCTGGCACAGAGGAGGAGTTCCATCCACAGCTGTTGAATGATGTGTGAATATCGCCCTGCAAGGAATCACTCCCCTGCTTGGTATTTTATATTTTGTTCCCTAAGTTTGTCCCTTAGGATTCTTCTTCCATCACAGACTGTATCAATGGAAACAAGAGATGAGTTTCTTAGAAACAGCTTCTGTCAACAGTCCCTCCACCTCCCTCCACCTCCTCTGCCACAAGTGGTGAGGCTGTAAACAGCTTTTATCAGAACACTGGCACTTGGAAAAATATAAAACCAATTAGGGAGCTGTGAAATGACTCAAGAGAGCATGACTGGAGAGCTAGAAGGAAGAATACACACACACCAGACAAGAGCCTTTAAGATGTAACCTTTGGGAAGACAGCGTTGATTGTAAATAGTCAAGCTCTAAGTTTAATCATTTGGTAGTTACTGAACTTCTTTGGACACATTTGTGTGTGTGTGTGTGTGTGTGTGTGTGTGTGTGTGTGTGTGTGCTTTGTAAGGTTGCTGGACTGAGGAGATTCATCCAGGGGACAGTCTAGATAGTTCTTCAGGGAAACGTTTTAGGTGTCCTTTTGCCTTGTGTATTAATCTGCTCAGGCTGCCAGAACAAAGTACCAAAGACTGCATGGCTTAAACAACAGAAATGTATTTTCTTGCGGTCCTGGAGGGTGGACATCCAAGATCAAGGTGCCAGCAGAGTTGGATTCCCCTCAGGTCTCTTTCCTTGGCTTGCACATGGCTGCTCTCCTGCTGCCTCTTCACACAGTTATCCCTCTTCGGGTGTGGACCCCTGGTGCCTCTCCCTCTTCTTACAAGGAAATCAGTCAGATTACATTAGGGCCCCACCCAATGACCTCATTCAACCTAATTACCTCTTTTTAAAAAATTAAAAACAAATAGAGGTGGGGTTTCACTATGCTGTCCAAGTTAGTCTTGAATTCCTGGGCCCAAGTGATCCTCCCACCTCGGCCTCCCAAAGTGCTGGGATTACAGGTGTGAGCCACTGTGCCCGGCCACCTAATTACCTCTTTAAAGGCCCTTTGACATACAAATTTTGGAAGGACATAATTTCTTTCACAACATCTTGTTTGCTTGCACTGGGTGACAAGTAACACCCTTTCTTCCCTGCACCCTCTCTTTCTGCCAGTTCCTAGGATTGTTGAAATAAGAATGGGCTGTAAACAGGTGAGGGAATTGTACAGGGAGCTTTCGTAGCTTTCCTTTTTCTGTTTGTCAGAAGGAAAAGAAATTAGATTTCAGAGTCATTTGACAAGGGGTGGGAGGGGACAAGGAAATAATTAATTATTAGTAATCTTTTCAGAAGTTCTGTAAATTTATTATAGAGGAAAACCCGTGGGAGGTCACATTACAGTGTTTTCATTTGAATCTAGGACAAAGAATGGGCTTGGTAGCTATAGTTTCTCTCCAAGTCTAGGAATGCATAACATTTGTAGGTTTTAGTCTCCAAGGGTGTTTTGTGTAGCAGTAGAAGCCAAATTCATTACAAAGGAGAGGCTGGAGCAAGTTGTCATGTGATGCCGCCGACTTGGTGAGTCAGGACTTGCCACCGAAGCCCAACTGCCTGGCAGTCCCCTGCCAGGATAAACTCCAGCAAAAACCCTTTAATGACCTGCAGAAACCAGATGGCAGGCTTTGCTTTTCAAAGGAAAGAGATCATGTCAGGACCTCTGGAATTAAAAGTCCAGATTATTTTAAAAGGACTGGATATAATACTATTTGTGCAAAAGATTTTTTTTCTATATTATGTAAGTTTTTCAAGGTGCATACGATTATTCAGTAGTCTAGAAGAATATACACTATAGAAACAGATCAACCATGTTTCCTCTGGATGGTGGGATTACAGGCTCCTTCTTTTAATTTACTTGCATTTTCTAATTTTTTAATAAAGAGGTTGATATTCTTAATAATAAAAAAAGGTTTTTTTCAAAGATAGGAGCATTTTCAATTTGTTATTTTAGTCTTTCATTTACTCTACTAGCACTTGACAGCATAGAAATATCACCTTTGTTCAATGCCACAGATTAAAATGTGTTTAACTACCAATGTCTTAGATGAGAGTGACTGGAAGTGATGACTTTAGTGTGGCTCTGGGAGACATATCTTCTGTATGGCTATGGTTACTGGAACTCTATGTTTCACGTCCAGGAGAAACAGGTAGGTCTTCTAATCTCTCTGAAGGAAGAAATTTCCTGATAGCTTAAAACCTGATTTAACCTTAGCCAACCAAGATACTTTATTTGAAATGCAATTATGTTTACTTGCTTTCTTTATGAGAATGGGAAATGACATCAGAAAGAAATGATATCGTATGTTTTTGCCTTTACTTTTACGTCAAGGACTACTGAAATCATTTAGTTTCAGAAGCATTTTATCTATAATAAACACCATCATGAATGCAGGCTTACATTTCCTTTTTAGGCTGCCTAAATACTTTTCTCTTCAAATAATAGCAAATGGAACTATTTACACAATTGAAGCAATTCTTTAATATTGAATATGTAAATTTATCAAGTTTTCCTTATATAGGTATTTCTACTGTGTTTTTGAGAACCATAGAGGTTTTTCATGGAAAAGGACACATCCAGAGATACTGGGAGAGTATGTGTATGATTTTCAACCAAAGACTTAGCTTTTAACAAGGATAATTTTCTTAACTATATAAAAACCCTTATTGACCAAAAATAAGAAAAAGCTTGAGTTAAAATAAGAAAAAAAATCTTAGGGAATACACTTAAAAACTGCTCCTCGGAGCTGGGCCCGGTGTCTCACGCCTGTAATCCCAGCACTTTGGGAGGCCAAGGAGGGCGGATCACAAGGTCAGGAGATCGAGACCATCCTGGCTAACACAGTGAAACCCCCGTCTCTACTAAAAATACAAAAAATTAGCCGGGTATGGTGGAGGATACCTGTAGTCCCAGCTATTCGGGAGGCTGAGGCAGGAGAATGGTGTGAACTCGGGAGGTGGAGCTTGCAGTGAGCCGAGATGGTGCCACTGCACTCCAGCCAGGGCAACAGAGCAAGACTCCGTCTCAAAAAAAAAAACAAAAAGCTGCTCCTCAAAACTTTATTTTAACTTATATTTCATACATTTGATTTCACAAAAACTCACTGAGCTTATTTTGCAGAGGTATGCAAAAGTCATTCTTGTTAGCACAGTGATTGATTCTTTTACTTAATTTATTTTCCTTCATAGGGAATATATTAATTTCCCAAGTCCACTGGAAAACTAGCAATGATAAAACTACATCATTTAGCTGGGCGTGGTAGCTCACGCCTGTAATCCCACCACTTTGGGAGGCCGAGGCTGGCGGATCACCTGAGGTCAGGAGTTCAAGACCAGCTTGACCAATATGGAGAAACCCCGTGTACTAAAAATACAAAAAATCAGCCGGGCATGGTGGCGCATGCCTGTAATCCCAGCTACTTGGGAGGCTGAGTCAGGATAATAATTTGAACCCGGGAGGCAGAGTTGCAGTGAGCCGAGATCATGCCATTGCACTCCAGCTTGGGCAACAAGAGCGAAACTCTGTCTCAAATAAATAAATAAATAAAATACGAAAAATTAGCTGAACGTGGTGGCAGGCGCCTATAAATCCCAGCTACTCGGGAGGCTGAGGCAGGAGAATCTCTTGAACCCCGGCGGTGGAGGTTGCAGTTAGCCAAGATCGTGCCATTTGCACTCCAGCCTGGACAGCAAAAGCGAAATTCTGTCTCAAAAACAAAAACAACACAACAACAAAAAAGAACGACATCATTTTAAAGCTGTTTTCTAGTCCAGAGCAATTTCTAATTAGACTTTGTAAAAAGTTTTATTTTATTTAAATAAATAAGTGGGTTTATTAATTTGTCAAGGACCTCACGAAAGTGTTATACTTTTAAATGAGGTGCCAGAATAAAAGACCAAAACACTTAATATGCCCAATGCATGTTCACTGTTGGCACACGGAGCTTTCAGAGAATGACGAGTCCATGGTGTGGAGGGAATGGAGTCTCTGGGTACACACGAAAGAGTTCCCATTCTGTATTCTTACACTTAGTTACTTACAAACCTCTTTAGTGATGGCCTGCTGGGTTCCTGTCTTAAGATTCAGTGTAAATGCAGCAAGTCCTATGTTATCTAGTCTCAGCTTAAGCCAACACCACTGACCAGAGCAACCAATGGGAAATGCTAATGACTCTTAGGCACGCGTGGTAAGTTTAAACATAATGTATGGTTCGTGACTAGCCTGGGCAGCATGGTGAAACCCCATCTCTACAAAAAATACGAAAATTATCCAGGCGTGGTGGTATGTGCCTGTAGTCCCAGCTACTTGGGGTGGTGTGGGGCTGAGGTGGGAGGATTACTTGAGCCCTGGAGGTTGAGGCTGCTATGAGCTGAGATCACACCACTGCACTCCAGCCTGGGTGGCAGAGTGAGACCCTGTCTCAGACAAATTTAATTTAATTTAATTAACAAAAAAACCCCAGGCCGGGCGCGGTGACTCACGCCTGTAATCCCAGCACTTTGGGAGGCCGAGGTGGGAGATTCACAAGGTCAGGACATTGAGACTATCCTGGCTAACACGGTGAAACCCCGGCTCTACTAAAAATACAAAAAAATTAGCCAGGCGTGGTGGCGGGCGCCTGTAGTCCCAGCTACTCGGGAGGCTGAGGCAGGAGAATGGCGTGAATCCGGGAGGCGGAGCTTGTAGTGAGCCGAGATGGTGCCACTACACTCCAGCCTGGGAGACACAGTGAGACGCCATCTCAATTAAAAAAAAAACAAACAAAAAAAACCCCACAAACCCATAATGTATGTACGTGCAGGAGCCAAATGTCCTTCATAAAAATTCTGTTCAGCCCCTGTGAAAATAAAAAAGTATTTTTACATTTCGACTGCGAATGTACTGTTGTAGCCTGCAGCTTTTATTTCTGCATTTTTATTTTAAAAAATTAACGGCTTACCTTCAGAGCAATTGTATGTTACATAAGACACAAAGTCCCTTTCTAGCCGACTCCACATGCTTTCTGTTTCACTCCTGGGTTAACACATTCTTCCTAACACTGAACATTTGTCTATGCCGGTGTTTGAGACAGGAATTGAAACACTTTTGCAAATATGAATTCACATGCCACCACAGGAGTTCTGGTTAAATGTGCCAGTTAGACAATTATGTTTACTATCACTCCCTCTGGAAACAACTCCTAAATGACATTAAATAATTTTAAAAGGCAATGTGATTTTAAAAGTCAGAAAAACAGAGAACAAAAGAAAAAAATGAAGTAGCATAAAAAACTAGAAGCTGGAAGTGTTTGCACTAAATGATTTAGGGCAAGGTTTCTCAACCTTGGTATTATTGACATTTTGAGCCATAGAATGTTTCACTGTAGATGGCATCTGTAGCAGCATTCCTGGTCTCTACCCACTAGATGCCAGTAGCACCCCTCCCTAGTTGTGACAACCAAAAATGCCTCCAGTTATTGCCAAATGTTCCTGAGGGTAAAATTCCGCTGGCTGAGAACCACTGATTTGGGAAATAAGAAAAATCAAAATGTATCCCCAGGAAAAGTCTAGAACCAGGCTTACTCTGGCCAAAGGATGCCTCACTCACCTCACCCCCAACCTCCCAAAATAAAAAGCTCAGGAGCTAGAGGCACCAGGCAGAAAACAGCACTGGTTAAAAATCTGTAAAAGAGTTAGGTTGAATGCTCTGTATGTCCTCTGCTTTAAAGATTCATTCTTTAAAGAGGCTGAATCTTGGGGACTCCAGGGTTGACGACACCAGGCACAGCTGAGGGTGAAAGTTCCATACAGAATGTGGGCATTATATAGGAATCTACTAAACAGGTGTGGGATCCTAGCTCTTTGCTCAACTCAGCTCTACGAACACTGGCATCTAGGTACCTATTTTCTAGGGAGGAGACTGGAAGATTCTTCTGATAAAAACTGACCGAGCCATAAACAGAAAAAAAATCGATTGTCACTCAAATTTAATGAATTGGCCTGGCCAGATCACTCTAAAACCCTAAAGTAAAATCTACCAGTCAATGACCTCTCCCTCTCTTCTCCATACATATCTTCTAATCACAGGCTTTTCAATGCCTCACTCCCATGCAAATAGACAGCCAAGAATGGCCAAGCATTTAAAGAAAGCCTCCAGCATGGAAAAGAAAAAAAGAAACAAGAAGGAACTTAGAGAAAACAGAAATATTGGGGAGCAGATGCAAAGTTCAAAAATGTTTTAAGTGAAGCTTCCCTTCTCAGATCTTGGTTTCCAAATACCAAGGCGGGCCCCCACTGGACTGGGGGCACAGAAATATCCTCTTGTGTCAGAAAATGTAAAAATGTGCAAAGAATGATGAGGCGGTAAGACAGAACATAGAAGCTAGCTTGAAGCGGTATCCCCTGGCCAAAGGGAGGACAATTTGAGCATAAAAATAAATAAGAGTATAGAATTGTAAACCTTGATTACAATAGAAATCCATGAATCCATGATTATATAAACAAATAAGAGAAAGGGAAAACACTTCCTTTCAGTAGAATGCCAGCTAATAATTGTAGAAGGAATAATGGAAATAGATAATTACCATTTGGCAGCCCAATCTGTGGTAGCTGATAGAGACGAGGTCATCAATGGATGCTAAGGCTGGTAGGTAGAAGTTTGGTGAGGAACAGGTGTTGGCATAATCTCAGAATATTTCTGCACAAAATAACCAACCAAATGCAAAGGGAGGACTGGTGACTTTACAGTCGAGAAAACTGGCAGACTCCAAATACGAGTGATCAAGGGAAATGTCACCAGTGGTGGGACGGGTTGGCCTTGTATTCCTGATGCGATGGGCTAAGAAAGAGCACAGAATCACTGTTGCAGTATTCCTTCCAAGAATCTATGGCTCTAGTCTGGCCATGGGTAAACACTGGACACACCCAGGTGGATGATCATCCTACAAAATGAAAGGCCTATACTTTTAAACTGAAAGAGGGTGGACTGGGCACGGTGGCTCACGCCTGTAATCCCAGCACTTTGGGAGGCTGAGGCGGGCAGATCACCTGAGGTCGGGAGTTTGAGACCAGCCTGACCAACATGGAGAAATGCTGTCTCTACTAAAAATACAAAAAATTAGCCAGGCATGGTGGCACCTGCCTGTAATCTCAGCTACTCGGGAGGCTGAGGCAGGAGAATTGCTTAAACCCGGGAGGCGAAGGTTACAGTGAGCAAAGATCGTGCCATCATACTCCAGCCTGGGCAACAAGTGTTGCCGTCTCAAAAAAAAAAAAAAAAAAAAAAAAAGATATGAGAGAGGGTGAAACGCTGCAGAATTGTTCTGGACCGACACATAAGTGCAATGTATGTTTTCATATGGGATTCCTATACCTTAAAAGAAAAAGAGGCATTGTTTGGACAGTTGGTGAAATTTAAATGGGGTCTAGCAAAGATATCACATCTGGCCCAACAGCTGCAATCAGGGCTACTTCTTAGTCCACAGTTACCCTTCAAATTGTTTTTGTTTGTTTGTTTACAGGTGACAAAATGGTGAATTAAATGGAGACATGATGGGGTTCACCACCCCTGTATTCTTTATGTTTTTAAGGGTGGCACTCATTTCTGCCAGACCCTCTGTGATGCAATATTGTTTTTGCTTTACTATTTTGCGTGTGTGTGTGTGTGTGTGTGTGTAAGAGGGTACCAATTTCAGAGCTTTACGCTTGGCTGTATTCACCCTGATAGCTCTTACCCCACTGGCCAAAGAAGCAGTGTGGGGTTGTGTTAATTGCCAGGAATGTCTATTCCAAACATACATTCAGAGACTAGGAAATGACTATGGATGAGTGTGCAGACCCAATGAATTCACTGTAAGCCACACCTGAACCATAACTCCATTTATTACCAGGCCCCTCATATATTCCCCACCATGACCAACTGCATATATATTTTTTAAGGGGCCTAGCAGAAACTGAAAATACAGGACCCCTTGTTAAAAAAATTATTAAGAATTTCAAGCGGGTAACAGTAGAGCATTAAACCAATAATTAAACCACACATAGAACCTTCTAAATGCAAAGTCCTGTGTGGCTGCACACGTCGTACATCCACAAGGATGGCCCTGGCACCCGCTCTAACAGGGTCCCATGATGGTGGTTCAGGTCTCTGGGTATTACTGTCAACCTGGAGTCTGTGTCCAGCGGTCCTCAGAATGTTTGGATAGTCCCCTTTCTCCAGTGTGAAGTTACCAAATTAAATGGTTATTCACCTCTCTGAGGAAGAATCGGGAAATCAATACTGTGAATACTTGTGCCTTCCTGGGCACCCAGCCTCTCTTTCTGTCTTTTGTTTTTTGTTTGTCTGTTTGTTTGTTTTTGAGATGGAGTCTCGCTCTGTCACCCAGGCTGGAGTGCAGGTGTGATCTCGGCTCACTGCAACCTCTGCCTCTCAGGTTCAAGTGATTCTCCTGCCTCGGCCTCCCAAGTAGCTGGGACTATAGGTGTGCCACCACGCTTGGTTAAGTTTTTGTATTTTTAGTAGAGATGGGGTTTCACTATGTTGGCCAGGCTGGTCTCAAATTCCTGACCTCAGGTGATCAACCCACCTTGGCCTCCCAAAGTGTTGAGATTACAGGTGTGAGCCACTGCACCTGGCCCCAGAATCTCTTTCAATTCATGGGTTCTGGGACCCAAAACTGGCTCAGTTCTGAAAACTGGGCAAGACATCCTGACTTTTCATTGGAATGACTGTCCTGAACCTCCATCCTTGATTTGTTTGTACAGATTATGTAGTACTCTTTTTGTCTCCTCATGTGTTTTTCCCTAAGCACATTATATTCGTTAACCATCTCCATACCTCTCTGCAGGTCAGGCCTCTTGGCTGCCACTCCACCCTGCCAGTCATTACAATAATTGCATCCACCTGGCTACTGATGGTTAAGTACTCCCACTTGGCCTCTATGGAGGGTGTTTGTAGGGGGAAGTGGGAACTGTCCTATCATCCTCATTGCTACACAGTGAGCCCAGTCCTGTAAAGACAGACTGTTACCCTCTTGAAATTCTTAATAATTTTTTTTTTTTTTGAGATGGAGTCTTGCTCTGTCGCCCAGGCTGGAGTGCAGTGGCGCGATCTCGGCTCACTGCAAGCTCCGCCTCCCGGGTTCACGCCATTCTCCTGCCTCAGCCTCCAGAGTAGTTGGGACTACAGGCGCCCGCCACCATGCCTGGCTAATTTTTTGTATTTTTAGTGGAGAAGGGGTTTCACCGTGTTAGCCAGAATGGTCTTGATCTCCTGACCTTGTGATCCGCCCGCCTCAGCCTCCCAAAGTGCTGGGATTACAGGCGTGAGCCACCGCGCCCGGCCAAAATTCTTAGTAATTTTTTTTAACAAGGGATCCTGGCCTGCAGAGAGGAGCTACCACTGAATCCTTAGAGCTGTTGGTGCCCTCTCCCCAGCTGTTCCTTATTCCCTTGGCGAACTGTGTAGACTCTGGACTCTCCCGCGGAGCATAGTCATCCATGCCTTACATGGCACATCTATTCTGTTCTAGCATGTCCACTTCTGTGAGCCTTGTGATCCATCTGCCAAGGCAATTCTGGCATTTCAGTCACACTTAGCATGGACCATTGCTTTTCCCTGGCTTCCTAACAGCATGTTTGCACCATCTTCTGGGGCCTTGCCAGAGTGTTGAATCCTGTATGCCAGAGTGGTGCTCTCAATAAACACTTTCTTATTCAAAATAACATTTTGCCTGCCTTGATCCAGCACCCTCGGACATCCTGCCCCATGTCTTCTCCCCTGGCTCCTGCCTGTACTTGCTGACCGGGTCCTACAATTCCTTTTGTGTCTAGTCCCTTTCCTCCCCAGCTGAGTTATGTGGTGACTTAGACCTAGGGATTGGCCTAGTGGCCAGGATAGGAAGTTGGGACGGATCTAGGGGGCACATGTTGTTATGCAGGGGAGCAACGTCTGCATTGTCTTCAAGAAGAGGGGAATAGTAGCCCATAATGGGGGACGGATGGACCTCAGTTCTGTAGGTGCCTCAACCCAGATGCCCCCGTCCTACTGTCAGGCTCCTATTTTTTGTCAGTCAGAGCCCTGACCTTGGCAGAGCAAACCTGCCTAGGTTGAGAGATTAACCTTTAAAGCTACCTTCATGAGAAGTTCTGAGCTTGGTCCTCAGCTTTCTCTGCACCCCTATGGCAGGAGAAAAGAGATTCATCATATGCTACCAAGGAGGCCTTCTGGCTGCCACTCTTAGCTTTTGAAAGTTGATTAATCACTCTTAGTCTTTTGTTTTCTTTTTCCAAAGCACTGGTTGAGCATAGCGATAGCCACCTTTACTGTCCTTGTGGTGATTATTTCCTCTACACTGCTCAAATGCCTGGTACAATGCACCAGCCAGTACATTTGCCACCACAAATGAAAGTGGAGGTTTTTTTTTGTTTTGTTTTTTGAGATGGAGTCTCGCTCTGTTGCCCAGGCTGGAGTGCAGTGGGGTGATCTCAGCTCACTGCAACCTCCGCCTCCTGGGTTCAAGCAATTCTTCTGCCTCAGACTCCAGAGTAGCTGGGATTACAGGCATGTGCCATCATGCCCAGCTAATTTGCTATTTTTGTATTTTTAGTAGAGACAGGATTTCGCCATGTTGGCCAGGCTGGTCTTGAACTTCCGACCTCAGGTGATCCACACCCCCTTGGCCTCCCAAAGTGCTAGGATTACAGGCGTGAGCCACCGTGCCTGTAAAAGTTTTAACAATTGCACTGTTGCCTTGTGCTGTCTGTGCCTCTCCCACAACTGGCAATGGAGTTCTCAATGCCAACCAGATGGCATGTGATCCAGCTCCAAAATCCCATCTTAGCATTGCTTTCTCAGACCATTTCTGGTACGAAATTATCACAGATTGGGTTGCTCAGTATGCAGACTCAGAGACGGACTGGCAGGCAGAGGCTGACTAGGGAGGACTCTAGGGATCAATCCCTGTGGGAGGGAAGGAAAGGCAGGGAAGGGGATTGGGTATTTTGCACCTAGTTGTTACATTATCATTTTCCTGGACAGGAAATTAAACTACCAATTCAGTGCTCAACACTGCAACCCTAGTGTCAGTGAAGACAGATGAATTGGGCAATTTGGATGTATTTAGAAGGGACTAGTTGTCTCTTTTTAAATAAGTAATGATAATGGTCTATTTAAAATTGTAGGCCGGTCACGGTGGCTCATGCCTGCAATCCCAGCATTTTGGGAGGCTAAGCGGGGAAGATCGCATGAGCCCAGGAGTTTAGGACCAGCTTGGGCAACATAGCCAGACTCCATCTTTACAATTTTTTTTTATTAAATTAGCTGGGTGTGGTGGCACATGCCTGTAGTAGCCTCTAGTCCCAGCTACTCAGGAGGCTGAGGCAGGAGGATTGCTGGAACCCAGGAGGTTGAGAGGTTGAGGCTGCAGTGATCTGTGATTGTGCCACTGCACTCCAGCCTAGGTGACAGAGTGAGACCCTGTCTCAAAAAAAAAAAAAAAAAAAGATAAAATGGTTTGGCAACTTTCAAATTGCTTTCATGTCTTCAGTTCTCATGGTAATTCTCCACTGTCAATGGAGCAGATGTTATTACCCCTGTTAGATGGATGAGGAAACTGAGGCTCACAGGGGCTGGGTTTTACCATGAAATCTGTTGACAAATGCTGGACAATAAATTTAATTATCAATAGATTTCCTTTATGTTTCAGTTGGTTGTCTTTAATTTTAAAACAACTGCTGATAAAAAAGAAATTTGCCAAGCATGGTCCCAGCACTTTGGGAGGCCATGGCGGGTGGATCACAAGGTCAGGAGAGCCAGACCATCCTGGCCAATATGGTGAAACCCCGTGTCTACCAGAAATACAAAAATTAGTGGGGCGTGGTGGCATGTGCCTCTAGTCCCAGCTACTTGGGAGGCTGAGGCAGGAGAATTGCTTGAACCCAAGAGGCGGAGGTTGCAGTGAGCTGAGATCGCACCATTGCACTCCAGCCTAGCGACGGAGCGAGACTCTGTCTCAAAAAAAGAAAAAGAAAAAAAAGAAATTGCCTAAATATTAAATTGTGCTACATAGCAGATATTTTTTCTACCCAAGGGTTTTCTATGGTAGTCTTTCACAGACAATAAGCTTGTTCTAGAATAATTTCTTCAAGTTTCAAGAACATCATGTCAATGCCCAGTAAAACTTTCTGTACCTTGTAAAAGATTTAAATTGTCTGAGCTGTCAAACAGCTAATCTTGGAATTAGACAATTCCATTTCTATTGGCAAATGAGACATAAGTTATGCTTGGTGTAAGTTTAGAAAATGTAAAGCAAAATAGAAGTGTTTTGGGAGGTGGAGGAGACTCCCAAGGCTTAGCAGTCTCTTTTTAAAAAACTGATAAGTAATATTTTACATATTTATGGGATACATGTGATATTTTTTTACATGCATAGAATGTGTAATGATCAAGTCAGGGTATTTGAGGTATCATCATTTTGAGTATTTATCATTTCTATGTGTTGGGAACAATTCAAGTCCTCTCTTTTAAGTTACTTCGAAATATACAATATATTGTTACTTACTATTGTCACTCTACTCAGCTGTTGAACAACAGAGAGTTTATCTTTTATCTAACTGTATGTTTTTACCCATTAACCTTCTTCTTTTCATCCCCCCTCCCACCTGCACACCCTTCCTGGTCTCTAGCGTCTATTATTCTATTCTCTCTACCTTTGTAAAATCAACTTTTTTAGCTCTCACATATGAGTGAGAACATGTGATATTTGCCTTTCTGTGCCTGGCTTATTTCACTTAATATAATGACCTCCAGTTCCATCCATGTTGCTGTAAATGATATGATTTTATTCATTTTTCATGGCTGAATAATAGTCCATTGTGTAGATATACATTTCGTTTATCCATTCGTCCACTATTGGACACAGGTTGACTCCGTATCTTTGCTGTTGTGAACAGTGCTTAGCAGCATCTTAACGGTGGCAGTTGCATACAGTGCCACTTGGCTCCAGTCTATGAAGCACTCTTCTGATTAGAATTCTCTGAGCTCATTCAGCACCTCATCATTTAGTCCATTTATATGTTTACATCATGGAATGACTAGAGACCACTGGCCCTTCACTTTTGCTGTAAAACAAAGTACTTGTTTTTGTTTGCTGTTAAGTCTTCTTTAAATAATATAAAATTACATTTGAGCAAGTACTTACTGAGGGTATTAATATTACGTTCCCATTACTAGCTAAACACTTATTAAGTAAATTGTTAAATCTGAATCTTCTAGACAAGAGTTTACTGCACTGAAGCCTGAAATTGCTGCACATAGACTTTTTGAAGCTCTTATGTAAAGAACTGAAATAAATCTGGGGCAGGTGATACTAAAGTAAGGGAGATACAATATTTTTATAAATTTCAGGCCTTGGTTTTTATAATAAATTATGTTTATTTTAAAACATTAACTCATATATGTGTGTGTGTATATATATAGAGAGAGAGTACAAATTCAATGGTGCAAAAGAGTCATCAGTAAAAACCAAGTCTCCTTCCACCCATCCCAAAGCTACTTAGTTTTCCCCTCCAGAGGAAACGAATTTCCTGTATTCCCTACATGGACAAGCCTCTATATAGATTCTACACACACGGCAGCTTACTACATATACTCTTCTACAATAATAAAGCTACTAGGTTTCTTTCCCAGTGGCAAAATCATCTTAAATGTAATGGACATATCATACTGTATTTAACCATTAAAGGACATTTAGATTGCTTCCAATCTTTTGCTATATGAAGCAATGCTGTAATATAGTTTTATCTTATGTTTAAATCTTTGCTATGCTGAAATTTATTTTGGAATAAGAAGTAAAATAGGGATACAAATTTATTTTTTTCTAGATAGCCACCAAGTTATCCTAACATGATTTATGGAATCATTAATCTTTTACTACTATTTTGAAAGGCATTCTTTTTTTTTTTGAGATGGAGTCTCATTGTGTCACCCAGGCTGGAGTGCAGTAGCATGATCTCGGCTCACTGCAACCTCCGCCTACTGGTTCAAGGGATTCTCCTGCCTCAGCCTCCTGAGTAGCTGGGACTACAGGTGTGTACCACCATGCCTGGCTAATTTTTGTATTTTTAGTACAGATGGAGTTTCACCATGTTGGCCAGGCTGGTCTTGAACTCCGGACCTCAGGCGATCCATCTGCCTCAGCCTCCTAAAGTGCTGGGATTACAGGTGTGAACCACCTCCCTTTATAAGCAAAATTTATAAATGTATTAGAGTAAATTTTTATTGTTTTATTTCTATTTGTAAATGCAGACATTTTAGTTATTATTGCCTTAAAATGTGTTTTGAATATCTGATAGGGCTGTTTCTCATGATTATTGTTTTTCCAAAAGAATAATCTGGGCTTTCCAAAAGAATTTCTGGGCTTTTATTACTTATTTTTTTCAATGTGGTCTGTGGAAAGTAGTTCCAGAATTTCTATTTCTCCCCAAATTTCAAGTGACTATTGAGGATTTGATATGTGGCTAGTGTCATTAATGAACCAAATTTTAAGTTAATTTAAATTGCTACATGAGGCTATAGGCTACTGTGTTGCACAGTGCAGTTCCAACAGATCTGTTTTTATATAGAAAAGGCTATTGGTTTCTGAACACTAATTTTGTACCCACTCACCTTACTCAAGTCTTCTATTATTTGTGATATCTTTTTAGTTGATTCTCTTGGGTTTTCCAGGTATGCAATTGTATAATCAGAGGTGATCATTTTACCTCTCTCCTTCCAATTAATATAACTTCTATTTATTTTTGTCTTTTAGTTTTATGGAAACAGTGGTGCATTGACAACATAAGTGGTGTGTGTGTGTGTGATGAAAGGTGGAAGAGAAGATGTGGATTTCAGACAAAGAAGATAGCAAGTGATCTATATGTAAATATTTTAGTATTATTTTTCTTTTTGATTCATAATGTTTACTTTTTAGATATGGTATAGGCATTTGATCAAACATTTCTACAACATCATGATCTGATCAAGAATATTTTGAAACTACATTTGTCTTTGGCCACTGTGAGAGTTTTCATAAAAAATAGCACATGATAATAACAAAAACGATAGTTTCAACTAATGTTTAAGTCACCTGCCTATAATGGTTGCAGTGCAATTTAGCTTATAGACTGATTTCAAAGTCAATTTTATAGTAGCCTTAATTAATCATCTAGCCAAAACAAAATAAAAAAACAACCCAGTGTACATTGAAACTCTTTGATATGCGATGCTAATTATCTCTCTTTCTCTAATAACATCTGAGTCACGATTATTAAGCCTTAGTATTATAAAAGTTCTACGTCAAGACAGCAACTTGGCCAGGTGCGGTGGCTCACACCTGTAGTTCCAGCAATTCAGGAGGCTGAGGCAGGGAGATCACTCGAGTCCAGGAATTTGAGACCAGCCTAGGCAATAGGGCAAAAAAAAAAAGAAAGAAAGAAAGAAAGAAAACCCATCTCTACGAAAAATACAAAAAGAAAAAAAAAAAATTAGCCAGGCGCATTAGCATGTGCCTGTAGTCCCAGCTACTTGGGAGGCTGAGGTGAGAGGATCACTTGAGCCCAGGAGGCAGAGGTTGCTGTGGGCTGAGATTGTACCACTGCACTCTCTAGTCTGGGTGACAGAGTGGGACACTTTTTTTTTTTCAAAAGACAGTAATTTGTCAAATTTTATATACGCAATATTAATTTATTATAAAGTTTATACCAGTTTGCGGAGGCCTCAAAGTTCAGCGTACATGGGAAATGGACACAACGTGAATGTCAAGGGTTTTGTGAACGTCCATGAAATAGAAACATAAGAAGCCATGGAATGGATTGAAAATGATAAACAACTATCAAATTTGGTGACTTAATCTAATCTCACATTATTTTATAGTGATCTTTCTGGACTGTGTTGAAGGTTTTGCCCCATAACACAGACTGTCTTTTTCTCTGTAAATTGTTACCCATTCAATGTAACTAAGTCCATGTTTCTTTTACCTTTTAGGGAAATGTTAATTTCCCAGGCATTTCACTTTTTTGGGCACTCAGGCACTTCTGGAGCACACAACATCTATATATGGATGGTGGGCTTTCCCAAAATGTAGTTGAAGTTGTCATGCATATGAGAAGAGTGACTGAGGATGCAACTGTGAAATCATTTCCAGGCCAATTTCTTCATGTTCTACCTGAAACCCTTTACCTCTCATTCAAGAAAGCGTTACTGAAAAACCAGGGGTTTGGTCCTGCTGCTTGCCACACAGAAAGCCAATGACTGAGACAATGAGTACTGCCAATGAGGAAGTCTTTAATCGGGTGTGGCAGCCAAGGAAGTGGGAGCTGAGTCTAAAATCCATCTACCTGACCAGCTAAAACTAGAGGTTTATATAGCAGCGAAGAAATCTAACAGTGTGTAAGAAAACAGGAACTAGGGAGGGGCAAGGAAGCAATCACAATGAATGAGGGGTCCTGAGGGGTCTGGCATCTCATTGTCTGGATATGGTGATCTGGAGAGTTTCAGTTCTTTGAAACTTTTTTTTGAGAGGCCTGAAGGTGGTTACTGAGAAAGGGACTCAGATAAAACAAATATAAGTTTCAAGCTTTAAGGCCAGAAGGGTCAATTTCTATGTTCATTTAAAAAAACAAACAAAAAAACCCCCCAAAAAACCCAAAACTATCTATGGTACTATTGGGTTGGTTTGAAAAGCAGACCAGTGAATGAAAAGTCGGAAAGACAGTGACTGGTAGATGCTCAGGATGGGCCATGTTATGCTTCACTAACATTCCACCCCAAAATTCAGCAGCTTAAAACAACAAAAGTGGAAAAAGTTTTTTTTTTTTTTTTGAGACGGAGTCTCGCTCTGTCGCCCAGGTGGGACTGCGGACTGCAGTGGCGCAATCTCGGCTCACTGCAAGCTCTGCTTCCCGGGTTCACGCCATTCTCCTGCCTCAGCCTCCCGAGTAGCTGGGACTACAGGCGCCCGCCACCGCGCCCGGCTAATTTTTTTTGTATTTTTAGTAGAGACGGGGTTTCACCTTGTTAGCCAGGATGGTCTCGATCTCCTGACCTCATGATCCACCTGCCTCGGCCTCCCAAAGTGCTGGGATTACAGGCGTGAGCCACGGCGCCCGGCCGAAAAAGTTTTATTTTTTGCTTGTGCTACCCATCCATTAGGTTGACAGAGCTCTCTGACACTTAAGTCACTCAGGGACTTGGGCTGATAGAGCGGCCACCATTTTGAACATTGCTGGAGGGAGAAGAAAACCCTAGAGGATATCAACCTAGCAAACTCTGGCCCAGATACATGACACTTCCACTTACGATGCATTGGTTGGAACTAAACACAAGATCCCACCTAACCATAAGAGGGTCTGAAACTGGAGAGAACTGGAAATATTTGACTAACAAAACTAATGATTACCATGATTCTATTGAAAATGTGTTGAGGCCGGGCATGGTGGCTCACGCCTGTAATCCCAGCACTTTGGGAGGCTGAGGCGGGTGGATCACGAGGCCAGGAGTTCAAGACCAGCCTGGCTAAGTTGGTAAAACCCGGTCTCTACTAAAAATACAAAAAAAAAAAAAAAAAAAAAATTACCTGGGCACGGAGGCAGGCACCTGTAATCCCAGCTACTCAGGAGGCCGAGGCAGGAGAATTGCTTGAACCCGGACAGCAAAGGTTGCAGTGAGCCGAGATCGCACCACTGCACTCCAGCCTGAGCGACAGAGTGAGACTCTGTCTCAAAAAAAAAAAAAAAAAAAAAGTGTTGAAAGAGCAGTTTTGGCTCAGAACAGAGATGACCTCAACAGAAATGGAAACAGTGTGAACAAGGCTGGATCACAGTGTTGGCTACTCTATGATTATTCACATTTCTCCTCCCTAAAACTGATTTTCAATTTAATTTAATTTAACAGACATTGAATACATGCTTTAGACTGCAAGACACTTGTTTATACAAAGGTAGGGCAATAGCAAAACTGTAGGTATCACTGTTTCTTTTGAATGTTATAATCAGGCTACTTTGGGGTCACCTTAAGAAAAACCAACAAAGCTTCAACAATGGCCCTAAATCAGACCTGAGTGTATAGAAGCATTTAGACTAGAATAATAGTGTGGACAGGTGCTGGGTTACGTGGTATTTTTAATAAAGGTTAGGTCCCTTCCTCATATCATTTGCTAACAATTATTACAGATAGATTTGATATATGATATCAAAGGCAAAAGTCACAAAAGTAAAAACAGATAAATTGGACTTCATTAAACTGAAAAACTTTCCCCTGACAGTGTGTGGCAAAAAAATAATAATACAAAAAAGGAACACTTTCCTGCTCCTAAGAAAAGCATTAAGAAAGTGAAAAGGCAACTCATGGAATGCGAGAAAACAATTATAAATCAGATACCATCTGATAAGGGGCTTGTATCTAAAAGATGTGTTTCTTTAAAAACCTTTTAAACTCAACAATAAAAAGACGAATAACTCAATTTAAAATGAGCAAAGGATTTGAATAGAAGTTTCTCCTCCAAAGAATATATATAAATGATCAGTAAGCAGATGAAAATATACTCAATATTATTAGTCATTAGAAAAATGCAAATCAAAACCACAATGAAATACACTTCACATCTACTGAGATGGCAAAAATCAAAAAGAGAAAACAAAAATTGTTGGCAAGGATGTGAAGAAACTGAAACCCTCATGCATTGCTGGTGGGAATGTAAAATGGTGCAGCCACCTTGGAAAAGAGTTTGGCAGTTCCTCAAAAAGTTAAATAGTTACCTATGATTCAGTCTGTTTCTGTTACTATAACTGAATACCACACACTGGGTAATTTACAAAGAAAAGAAATTTATTTCTTATAATTCTGGAGGCTGGGAAGTCCAAGATTGAGGGATCACATCTGGTGAGGCTCTTTTAGACAGTGAGGACTCTCCATAGAGTGCTGAGGTGGGACAGGGCATCACATGGTGAGAGGGCCAAACAGGTTTTTATAACAGATCCACTCTCATGAAAACTAACCCATTAATCCACTAATCTATGAGTGGGTTAATCTATTCATGAGGGCAGAATTCTCATGACTTACTCACTTCCCCAAGGTCCCACATCTCAACACTGCTGTGTTGAGGACCAAGTTTCTAACATGAACTTTTGGGGGAATACATTCACACCACAGCACTGAGCAGTCCCAGACCTATGTATATATTCATGCAAAATGAAAATATGTTCACAGAAACACTTGTACATGAATGCTTATAGCAGCATTATTCATAATGGCAACAAAGTGGGAACAACCCAAATGTTCATCAATTAATGATGAATAAACAAAATGTAATGTATCTACCCATCGGAATATTAGTCATAAAAAGCAATGAAATATTGATAAATGCTCCAACATAGATAGACCTTGAAAACATTGTACTGAGTGAAAGAAGCCTGATGCAAAAGGTCACATACTGTATGATTCCATTTGTATGAAATGTCCAAAACAGGCAAATCCAGAGAGACAGAAAGTAAATTAGTGGTTGCCAGGAGCTGGGAGGAGTGGAATGGGGAGTGATTATTAATAAGTACAGTTTCTTTGTTGAAATAATGAGAAAGTTCTGGAATCAAGTGGTGATGCCTGCATAACTGTGTGAAGTATAACACCAATTTTGTTGTTGTTGTTGAGACGGAGTCTTGCTCTGTTGCCCAGGCTGGAGTGCAGTGGTGTGATCTTGGCTCACTGCAACCTCCGCCTCCCGGGTTCAAGTGATTCTCCTGCCTCAGCCTCCTGAGTAGTTGGGATTACAGGCACCCGCCACTGCGCCTGACTAATTTTTGTATTTTTAGTAGAGACGGGGTTTCACCATCTTGGCCAGGCTGGTCTCGAACTCCTGACCTTGTGATCCACCCGCCTTGGCCTTCCAAAGTGTTGGGATTACAGGCGTGAGCCACAGTGCCCAGCCACACCAATTTTATTAATAAAATACATATAATTACATAAGCATATACAAATTATTTAAGCAAAACAAGCAGGAAGCTATTTTCATGGGATTGCTTCTGTACCCAGAGCTCTTAAATAAGCACACAGGGACTTAACTTGCAAACATTTTTTGTAACTTATTTAATTTAAATAAATAATAAAAAAAGGCCACACGCGGTGGCTTACGCCTGTAATCCCAGCACTTTGAGAGGCCAAGGTGGGTGGATCATCTCAGGTCAGGAGTTCAAGACCAGCCTGGCCAACATGGTGAAACCCTATCTCTGCCAAAAATACAAAAATTAGCTGGGCGTGGTGGCAGGTGCCTGTAGTCCCAGCTACTCGGGAGGCTGAGGCAGGAGAATCTCTTGAACCCAGGAGGTAGAGGTTGTGGTGAGCCAAGATCGCGCCACTGCACTCCAGCCTGGGCGACAAGAGGCAAAACTCAGCCTCAAAAAAAAAAAAAAAAAAAAAAGCCTCAGCCAATCACAAACAGCCAACCAACCAACTGGTTATATGGTTAGGGACCTCTCACCAGACCATACCCAAATAAGGCAAATGGCTCATCATATGACGCCCCAATAAGGAAAACATCTAGCTGTAGCCAATCAGATGATTTCTCTACTTTGCTTCTGTATTCAGCCTATAAAAGCTCACTGCTCATGCTACTACTTAGAGTTCTCAGAACCTCTTCTGGCTCCAAATGCTCTTGATTCATGAATCATTTTTTGCTTAGATGAACTCCAACATATTTATTTTGTCTAAAGTTTTTAACAATATACATACTAGATGGTGAGTTGACAAGTGATTTTTTTTCTCTTATAGTGCTTTTCTTTTTCTTACAGAGAACATGCATTACCTTTGTAATTAGAAAAATAAAACCTGTTAAAATAGGTGGTGGGTATGTGGGTGTTCACTGCTGTATATATGCATGATAGGGGTATATACATCTAAATTATCCAAAACTGGTTTCAAGTCATTAACATACAAACTAAAAGGAAGTGAGGCTGGAATTAAGTTTGAAGACTTAGAATAATGAAGGATATTCTAATTCTAATACAGTACTCTATCAAAACAATTCTATAGACAAGCATGTAAGAAAAATCTATTTCTTCTAAAATTATGTGCAAATTATCTTCTTAGTGGTAACGCTTCATTTCTCCGTGGAAATGGCCACTAGGATACCAGGTAATTGGTGCAGAATAATAAAATAATAAAACATCAGAAAAAAAGGAAACAAATATAAAGACTTCATTATTTATGCTCTGACTCCCAAAACGCCATCTTACTTAATTGCCTCTTTTTCCCCTGCCTGTTAGGCCTCTCATTTGGCTGTAGAATTCTCCAGTCCCTACAAATTATTGTTGCTTTCCCTTTTTATTTAATGTGAATGGTAATACCATTCTTCCAGCTGCGAACATTTCATAGGATAAAAATAACTTTTCTTTCCCTCCATTCTCCCCTATCCTCTAATCCAATTAAGGTCTACATTCTTCTAATTTTCACTTTCTAGTGCTTCACTTCTTTTACCATTAGCACCACCTTAATTCTGCACCAATTACCTGGCATCCAAGTGGCCATTTCCACGGAGAAATGAAGTGCTATCGCTAAGAAGATAATTTGCACATAATTTGAAAAAAAATAGATTTTTTTCTTACATGCTTGTCTATAGAACTGTTCTGATAGAGCACCGTATTAGAATTAGAATATCCTTGGTTATTCTAAGTCTTCAAACTCTGAATTCCAGCCTCACTTCCTTTTAGTTGGTATGTTAATTACTTGAAAGCAGTTTTGGATAATTTAGATGTATATGCCCCCATCATAGATAACAGAAAGATAAGTATTCTAAACTATGACTGGCCTCTATAGACAATTGGCCCTGCTAAGTGAACTATGGTAAAATTGCCGATTATAATTTTGGCAGATATCTGCCACCAACTTTATCATATTATTCATTGACCTGCAGGCCCATTTTGCAACTAACTTATTATGGAAGATTCACCAAGGAGTGAAGTTGCTTACAATTAGATGACTCATGGGTCCTTCGTTAACTTATTTTCCCTGAGGAATGTACTAATTGGCTGCTGGTAACATTTACCTTAAAATTTTCCCATGTTAAAGGAATTGCACTGAAGATACAGTTATTTTGGAGCCTCGATTATGTCTATATGTTAGAATGGAACTGCTTTTTATGAGGAAGAATTTGGTTCTGTCAAAAACACTTTCCCCATAGGAATATGGGTTGACCATTTTGGGGGAACCTTCATTCTTTTTGTTTGTTTGTTTGTTTGTTTGTTTGTTTGAGATGGAGTCTCGCTCTGTCGCCCAGGCTGGAGTGCAGTGGCGCGATCCCGGCTCACTGCAAGCTCCGTCTCCCGGATTCATGCCATTCTCCTGCCTCAGGAGCCCGCCACCACGCCAGGCTAATTTTTTGTATTTTTAGTAGACACGGGGTTTCACCGTGTTAGACAGGATGGTCTCGATCTCCTGACCTCGTGATCCGCCCGCCTTGGCCTCCCAAAATGCTGGGAATACAGGCGTGAGCCACCGCGCCCGGCCCGGAACCTCCATTCTTTAAAACGCCTGTCAGCCCTGTTCTTCATTTGGTTCACACGTCACGAAGACTTTCAGGTTTTCTATCACTGGAATGGCCAATTCTTTATCAAAAACTCATGGAAATTGCTTATTTTAATTTTTTTGAGACAAGGTCTCACTTTTTTGCTCAGGCTGAGGTGCAGTGGTGCGATCACGGCTCATTGTAACCTCCACCTCCCAGGCTCAAGCGATCTTGATTACACACGTGCACCACCACGCCCAGCTCATTTTCTGTATTTTTAGTAGAGACGGGGTTTCACCATGTTGCCCAGGCTGGTCTCAAACTCCTGGACTCAAGTGATCCACCCACTTCGGCCTTCCAAAGTGCTGGGATTATGGGCATGAGCCACCTCGCCAAGCCTCTGGAAATTGCTGTTTAAATACGTAGTCTAGTGGCCGGGCGCCGGTGGCGCATGGCTGTAATCCCAGCACTTTAGGAGGCCGAGGCGGGCGGATCACGACGTCAGGAGATTGAGACCATCCTGGCCAACATGGTGAAACCCCGTCTCTACCAAATATACAAAAATTAGCTGGGCGTGGTGGCGCGTGCCTGTAGTCCCAGCTACTCGGAGGCCGAGGCAGGAGAACTGCTTGAACCCGGGAGGCGGAGGTTGCAGTTAGCCGAGATTGCCGCCACTGCACTCCAGCCTGGCAACAGAGTAAGACTCCATAAAAAAAAAAAAAATGTAGTCTATCAGTTCTTCCAGATATTTTAAACTTCATTCTCAGGGGAGGCCAGATCATCAGGGAAATATATAGCTGGTCTCTGGTATAAGCTTTCAGTAAATTATAATTTGGCCACATGCCAAATTGTGGCGTCTGTAAGAGTTTACTGTGAGGCCTCTATAAGAAAATGACTGAAATTCATGATTGCATGCATTTATTTATAGCTACAAAATATTGCGTGCTTATTCTGTCAGGTATCATGCTATGTGCTTTCAGTGTGTCACTTAAATTTAATCCCTCCGACTACCCCAAGGAGTGGATATTATCCCTATTTTACAGGTCAGGATACTGAAACTCAAGACAAGTTACGCGGCTCGGAAATGGCAGCAACAAGATTCAATTCAGGGTTGTCTGATTTTTAAATCTGGTGGCCTTACCCCACTAGGAAAGCTAATTTCCCACCATATCATATACTACCCAATATTAAGCATCTATATAGATACCCTGACAAGCATTTTTTGTTTTTAATCTATTTCTGGTTTTATTCTTCTTCCTCACTTTTATTATCACTTCATGGATTTCCTCAACTATTTACTTTTATACAATTGTAATAATATATTTTTAATAAACTGCCTAAAATATTTTTGGGTTTATATTCTATTGAGGTACAAAGAAAAATAAATAAAAAAGCTCCTCCGAAATCCTGTAGTAATTACTTTTACTTAATGTTGCCTTTGGTTTTTTTTTCGTGTTATTTGCCTTTATTAAATTTTCAGGTTTATGTTCTAGTGTACACATTGCTTAAGTTATTAAATAACTGAGGAAAGCCTTCTATTTTAAACTTCCTCTGGGTCCTTCTAAACACAACGGATATGTCTTTTCCTAGGCTTGTGCCTTGGTACAGATAACCAGATGTTTGAAGAAAGGGAGGGGGACTGGGCACGGTGGCTCACTCCTGTCATCCCAGCACTTCGAGAGGCCAAGGTGGGCAGATGGCTTGCGCCCAGGAGTTCAGGACCAGCCTGGGCAACATGGCAGGACCCTGACTCTACAAAAAATTAAAAAAATTAGCTGGGCCTGGTGGTGCCACACTTGGGAGACTGAGGTGGGAGGATTGCCTGGACCCAGGAGGTCAAGGCTGCAGTGAGCAGGACTGTGCCACTGTACTCCAGCCAGGGTGAGGGCAAGACCCTGTCTCAAAAAAAAAAAAAAAAAAAAATAATAATAATAAAAGGGAGGGGGATTAAAAGTAGTTAATGAATGAAAATTTATAATAAGAGATATTTTTAAAGTTCCATTATTTTACTCCCCTGCTTTTTATTTATTATTTATTTTTTAATTTTTTGAGATGGAGTCTCACTCTGTCGCCCAGGCTGGAGTGCAGTGGTGCACTCTCGGCTCACTGCAAGCTCTGCCTCCCAGGTTCATGCCATTATCCTGCCTCAACCTCCTGAGTAGCTGAGACTACAGGCGCCTGCCACCGCGCCTGGCTAATTTTTTGTATTTTTAGTAGAGATGGGGTTTCACCATGTTAGCCAGGATGGTCTCGATTTCCTGACCTCGTGATCCGCCCGCCTCGGCCTCCGTAAGTGCTGGGATTACAGGCGTGAGCCACCGCGCCTGGCCTACTCCCCTGCTTTGAATCAAATAAGGTATGGCACACGGCTTGCTGAATCCCGAGGTCTACTTATTAGTACCTGCTTATTTCTTTTCACTATCCTTCAGATTCTGTTTAAAATCCTAAAGTTACTTATTTACATTAGGAGGTGCAGCTATTTCCTAATAGGAATAAGCACTTTTTTTTGTCATTTTGCAAGCTCCTCTTCTATACCATGCCATCTTTAATTTTAAACAGCCCAGTCTGATGTCATCACAGAGGACCCGGTGTCAGCCACTCAAAGGGAACATTCTGCCTCCTGGGTTTCAGGTGCTTTTTTTGGTAACGCTAAGTGTGGGCCAGCGTGGAACAGTGGTTTTCCCGCTTGCTCCTTTGGCTCTCTGTGGTGGCAGAGCACCATGTTTTATGATCACATCATTTTTTCACTCTGACACGTGTTCAAACTTTTGCTTTGGTTTGGGTCTTTCAGGTGTTATCAAGGAACTCATCTTACACGTGTAGACATCTTCACCTTTCAAAAACACTCTGTTCTGGAAGTTCTGTTGCTAATAATTTTAGAGTTTAATTAGCTGAGACAAAGAAAGTATTTGCCACTTAAATTCCCAGACAGTGACTTGGCAAAATGAGACCTACTAGATTAAGAGTAAAAATGAAGAGAAAAGAAAAACAAATTAGGTATCATTTCATGGTAGTTGGGTATCAGTATATGAGAACGGTAAATGTTTCACTTTTTAATTTCCAGATTCAAATTATTAGTGCAGCTCATGTAGAGATACAGGAACAAGAGATTTAATATTATTTGAAATAATATTGAATACTGAATAATATCATTGAATATATAATATTGAATATTATTATTTCGGCCAGGTGTGGTGGCTCACGTCTTTAATCTCAGCACTTTGGGAGGCTGAGGGAGGCAGATCACTTGAGCCCAGGAGTTTGAGACTAGCCTGGGCAACACAGGGAGAGCCCATCTCTCTCTCTCTCTCTTTTTTTTTAAATTCATTACATAAAAACAGATTGGGGCAACGGTTTGTTTATTTACTTGCTTTTGACATCATATTTGCTCCTTCAACTAAAATGGTTTCCTCCATCTAGGATGTTGTGGTGTCTGAGCAATTAAAAAACTTAAAACGGTTTCCTCTTGCTATAAAGTAATGCAATTTTCTCTCATGGATTTCTTCCTCTTTCAGGGATTCAGAGTCAAAATCTATAGGAATATTACTAAGCCTGGCACATAAGACTTTTATGTGAAGTTAATCAGGTTGAGTATTTGGGAGCGGGAGGATCTCAGAGAGGACAGAAAACTGTTTATGAAAACTAACAGGTGACGATGAAACATTCCAGTGGTTCTGCAGATGATTCTGACTCATTATTTTCTCTTCATGAACGTCATATTTAGAAAACAATTTTTTTTTACTAAACAAAGTGAATTTATTAAGTAACAATTCAGCTTTCATTTATCAACAATATGTAAGTGCTAGATTAAAATACCTGATCAATATGAGATGACAATGGTGTTCTAGTGAAGACACAGAAATCCAGTGATGAAGCCTTATCATGAGTAAATGGATGGTTTCCATTAGATTTTGTCAAATATTGAATACAGATATCCATTAATATCTCTGGGCTCGAGGGTCCCAAATAAAAAACACTCGTAAAGACAGTCAAGAGGAAAAGGAAACCATGAGATATAGAGAATCTGGGGTAAGGCAAGTTCTTGCCATGCGCATCCCCTCTTCTGCTTCATCAGCAAATTATCTGCATGTTTTTCAGAGTGTATGTTACTTGTGTATTTTGAACCTTTTTCACTAATACCATGCTCTGCTATCTACCAAGTTTCCAATCT
The DNA here is from genome assembly GCF_000001405.40 of Homo sapiens. Taxonomy (NCBI): domain Eukaryota; kingdom Metazoa; phylum Chordata; class Mammalia; order Primates; family Hominidae; genus Homo; species Homo sapiens. The sequence continues at coordinate 106,667,105 of NC_000006.12, read as the reverse complement.
GTGATGGTCTGTTAGGTTACAATAAATGTTTCGATGACATTAATGAGCTCATTTGTGATCAGTAAATAGGAGCATGAACTCAGTGTAACATGGAGTTGTTCTGGCTTCTAGGCATGGGCTCCGGAATAGCAGAAGTAAAATTGTAACTCTAAGGAGGAAAGGAAAGTTCTCAGTCATTTCAGCTCTTTCTTAGGGAAATAAAAGGAGTCCCTGCAAGTGGAGCTCCTCCCCAGAGAGGCATACCCCTGAGATTTGCATGATTCTGGGCCCTGACTGGTTGCATTTCCTCCTGTGCTCAAAGTTCCTCTTCCACCTGCTCTGCTCAGCGCTCAGAAGCCAATAATCGCACTCAATTGTTTCTGTGCATTTTTAACAACCCCTGAGGCGGCCTTCACCACATGATAAGTTGCCTGCCTAGGCTATCCAAGTTACCTCTAGAAGGACTATTCATGTTTTTGTTAGTGCTTTAGTTACACAGATGTACAATTTTTGAGAAGTTTATCCCTAATCTTATTTTTACTGTAAACTCTTTAATGAACATTATGGCAGAATGCATTGTCTTTGAGGAACAGGTATCTTGTGTTATTGTAGAAGTATTGTACACTTAGTGGATGCTTACTAAATGCTGACACGTTATTTATTATTAATTGTCACAGGAATTTTAAAAAGTAATTCCATGGAATGACTGTATTAACAAGAACCTAATTACAAGAATTGAGCAAGACCATTTGACTCTCTAGAATATAGAATCTCTGTACGTCATTTTATTTTATTTTATTTATTTATTTTGAGACACAGTCTTGCTTTGTCACCCAGGCTGGAGTGCAGTGCAGTGGCATGATCTCGGCTCACTGCAACCTCCACCTCCAGGGTTCAAGTGATTCTCCTGCCTCAGCCTCCTGAGTAGCTGGGACTACAGATGCCCGCCACTAAGCCTGGCTAATTTTTGTATTTTTAGTAGAGACGGGGTTTCACCATGTTGACCAGGCTGTTCTAGATCTTCTGACCTCATGATCCGCTCGCCTTGGCCTCCCAAAGTGCTGGGATTACAGGTGTGAGCCACTGCACCCAGCCTAAAAGTCATTTTAATTTGTAAGATATGTTTACTGTTTTAGAGAGACAGAGGCTAACTTTTCATTTTCAAGGACTGCTGAACAATCATCCATGAGTTCTTGAAGTTGAATAACAGGAAACTGTACTTGTTTTTCAAACCATTTGGCTACTGTAAGAAGCTGCTGGTCACAAAACGCACGTCCAATAAACTGCAGTCCTATTGGCAACCCTTGGTTTGAGAGTGCAACAGGGATACTCACTGCTGGCAATCCTGGGAAAAGAAGGAAACCCAGTAGGTGATTAATTCTCCACCCTAATTAGCAGAGACCTCTTCCACTTTCCAGTGCTAATAAGTACAATACAGGATAAGGTTTAAAAAACAACCAAAAATATTATGCTATATAATGCTTTTGTACTATGTTTTGTTTACTTAACAATATATCTTGGAAATCATTCTGTATCAGTTCACAGAAACCTTCTTCATTCATTTCTTATTGCTGTATAGTACTCCATTACTTGGTTTTACCATAATTGAGTAAACCAGTCTTCTGTGGTTGGGTATTTAGATTGTTTTCAATATTTAGCTATTTTATACAATGCCCCAGAGAATTACTTTGTGTATGTATTTTTTTGGTATTCTTGAAATCTTCTTAGATGAGGAGGAGATTGCTTCATCAAACGACAAATGCATATGTAATTAGATATTGCAAAATTCCCCTGCAAAGAAGTTGTACCATTTTGAACTTCCACCTATAGCCTTGCAGACAGAGTGTGTTGTTCAGTTTTTGAATTTTTGGCAATCCATTAGATGAGAAATTAGCTCAGGGTAGTTTTAATTCCAGGTTTGGGCAGAGAAAGTACAAAATCCCAGACCATCTTGTTATACAATAAAACAAGTTTTCAAAAATTAAAATGGGGACAGTTTTAAAGGATACATATAACTTGAAGGGGCTCTTATTGGCCAAATTTAAGGCAATTTGACCATCAAAAACAATACTGACAGTAATTGCTTATAATACATTGAATTAAAGAAAAAAAGGAAGGCTCTTCTTTAGAGAATACTGCTAGCTAATAAATGTAGAAGGAATGACAGATTTAGTAAAGCCAGAATTTTGTAATTCTCTAGCTAATATTTCAAGGATGATCAATGAATGCTAAAACTGGGTTCAAGATAATTGGAAAATAGGATATTCACATGGTCTCAAAATATTACTCCAGAAATTGCTTAAAAAAATGATAAAAGGAAAAATGTACCTTTTTATAAGGAAACATCTAGCAGTTACTTCCTTAGCGAAGTGATCAACTTGGTTTCCAAAAGTGAGACAAACTGATATTAACTGTTTCCTGACATGAAGATTATGTAGTACTTCTACCAAAAATGTTTAACTCAACCCAATCATGAGGAAGCAATCTGACAAATCCTGATTATGGATGGGACATCTTACAGCACAAGTGGACTGGGCTCTTAACATTTTTTAAGTGCTAAAGATAAGAACTGTTGAACCAGAGTTCTACATCCAGCAAAAATAACCTTTAAAAATCAAAGGGAAATCAACACATTCTCAAAAGGAAAGCTATGATAATTTTTCATCAGCAGACCTACCCTAAAAGAAAGGCTAAAGAAATTTCTCTAAACAGAAGTGACAAAATAAAGAATCTTGGTACTTCAGGAAGGAAGAATGAACACAGTAAGCAAAAGTATAGGTAAATGTAATAGACTTTCCTTTTCCTCTTAAGTTTTCTACATTATGTTTGATGATTGAAACAAAAATTATAGCATAGCCTGATGTGGTTTTAAAGAAAAAAGAGAGGTGGGGTGATTGTTCTAGATTTTAAAAAGATACCATAAACCAATGTAATATATCAGGAGGAAAGACAACTTATAAAAGACACTTTTGGTAGAACTGAGAAAATTTGAATATAAACCATATTTAAATTATTCTTCAATCATGTTAGTTTTCTTAGGTATGACAATGGAATTGTGGTTCTGTAGGAAAATTTATCCTTATAAGATTTGTACAAAAGAATTTAGGGGTGAAGTGTCATGACATCTGAAACTTTCAAATGATTCAGGTAAAAACAAAGTTGTTTGTGTGGTGAGTGTGGGTGTGTAGAAAGAGGAAGAGAAGGGCAAAGCAAATATAATGTTAACAAGATTACATCCAGGTGAAGGGCATATCAGCATTCATTATACCACTTTTTCAGCTTTTCTGTGGGTTTAAAATTTTTCAAAATAAAAGTTAAAAAAAACTACTAAGTGTGTTGTGTTTGTGTGTGTGTGGTGAGAGTGCATGCAAGTGTACGGATATGGTTTGGATCTGTCTCCCCACACAAATCTCATGTTGAATTGTAATCCCCAATGTTGAAGGTGGGGCCTAGTGGAAGGCAACTGGATCATGGGGACGGTTTCTCATAAACGGTTTAACACCATTCCCCTTGGTGCTGTTCTCGTGATAGTGAGTGAGTTATCACAAGACCTGGTTGTTTTAAAAGTGTGTAGCACCTTCCCCCTTTCTCTCTTGCTTGGGCTGGGCCATGTAAGACATGGCTACTTCTCCTTCACCTTCCACTGTGAATTTAAGTTTCCTGAGGCATTCGCAGAAGTGGAAGCTGCTCAGCTTCCTGTACAGCCCGCAGAACTGTGAGCCAATTAAACCTCTTTTTTAAATTAAATTATCCAGTCTCAGGTATTTCTTTATAGCAGTGTGAGAACAGACTAATACATGTACACACACACTCACTCCTAAGCATTCCAAAAGGATAGACTTTTGCTTTTCGGAAACCATCTAGCTAGAATCTTAAGTTGAAGACCAGGGTACCTGCCTAAGAATTTGAAGAAAATCAGAATGTTCCTGAGGAATCCTCACCTGCCATATTTACAGCTTGTGTAAAAATATCATCCTGGGCACTTCGGGTTCTGTTGTCCTCTTTGATGAACTCCAAGTATGGTACTGCCTCACTCAAGGTGGTGGGAGTTAGCAAGACATCTACTCCAGAGTTAAAAGCATTTACAAAGTCATTAGCAATGAGGCGTCTCACTTTCTGTGCTTTGACAAAATAATTTTCATAGTTTCTGTGGGAAAAAAGTAGGTGATGTTTTTAAGGATTTTTTGTATTTTTCTTTTAATCAATTATCTTACATTAGGCTTGATAAAGAACCATTGGATTTCCATTTTCTGGCTGAATAAAAAGTTTGGCTTGCCTGTGTAATGCCCATTCCCTTCCCCCTGGCTCCCCAGTGGTGGGGCGTATATGAGAGAGGAGTGTTTTTCTATCATAGACGCCATAGGGGAAAGTTTGGGGATGAAGCAGAGCTTAAAGGCATTTCAATTAAGTTAGAAAACTGAAACAGACTGTTGAGAAATCTTTGCCACTTTTCCCACCCCAAAACAGCCTGGGGCCTGACATCTTCTGCCCTGGGCCCCTTTCTCTTGATGTGGAAAGTCTGAATGCAGTATTTATAGACTTCTAAGGTTTTAAAATCCTGCATCAGGAAGAAAACCAGAAATACTGGTTGGTTAAATAAAGAGTTTAGGCATTGTTTAGGGAAAAAAAAAAAAAAAGAACCACTGGATTCTTGGCTTTTATGAGGAGGCACCATTAAGATTCTTAACATAAAAATGAATTCTCTTCCACTGTGTTGCCACTCTAAAAGTTTGTATATATAAATTAATCAATCCGAATTCAGAATTCACTAGTAGATGCAATTCTACACTTATAATCTCAAAATATTAATAACTCCAGGGCCATCATTAAACCAGAATATTCATTGGTGAGGAAAGTAAAGTACACAGCAACAAATGGCTTTCTAAAGGTTACTAAGATAGACAGCGGTAGACTATGCAGTATTTGAATTTTGTATTTTACGGATAGGTATAGCCCAGGGGTAGAAATGTGAAATTCAAGAATGCTTATTTTACTAAAAAGACTAAAGAAAAAGCCAGACATAGGAGTAACCATAAATCAATGATACAAAGAAAAGGAAAAAAAATCCTTTAGATTCTTCTGAAGCTGTTAGGAGAGGCTAGCAAGAACTGTTCTAGGCCGGGCGCAGTGGCTCACGCCTGTAATCCCAGCACTTTGGGAGGCCGAGGTGGGTGGATCACCTGCGGCTGAGAGTTTAAGACCAGCCTGACCAACATGGAGAAACCCCATCTCTACTAAAAATACCAAATTAGCCGGGCGTGGTGGCTCATGCCTGTAATCCCAGCTACTCAGGAGGCTGAGGCAGGAGCATTGCTTGAACCTGGGAGGCGGAGGTTGTAGTGAGCTGGGATCGCTCCATTGCACTCCAGCGTGGAGAGCTGGAAACAAGAGCGGAACTCCGTCTCAAAAAAAAAAAAAAAAAAAAAAAAAAAAAAAAAAAGAACTAACCATTCTTTTCCACAACAGTTTCCACAACAGTAAAAATGGATATACCTGCTCCAGTTTTACTGAGGGCCAAATAAAATACGATAAAAACGTGAAATATGTTTTACTCTAAAAGAGTGGTACAGAAATATCATAGGTCCTTACTCTTATTTGACCACCAGGTCTACAGAGAGACCAATGCAGGCATCACATATAATTTACACACTGACAACACCTAAGTGGTTTAAACACCATATTCCAAAACCTGAATTTTATAAAGAACAAATACTGGCTGGGCCTGGTGGCTCATGTTGTAATCTCAGCACTTTGGGAGGCCGAGGCGTCGGATCACAAGGTCAGGAGTTCGAGACCAGCTTGACCAACATGGTGAAATCCTGACTCTACTAAAAATACAAAAAAATTTAGCCGGGCATGGTGGTGGGCGCCTGTAGTCCCAGCTACTGGGGAGGCTGAGGCAGGAGGAGAATCTCTTGAACCCAGGAGGTGGAGGATGCAGTGAGCCAAGATCGCGCCACTGCACTCCAGCCTGGCGACAGAGCAAGACTCCGTCTCAAAAAAAAACAAAACAAAACAAAACAAATACTTGTTTTCTATTAAATTTCTTCCTACTTTAAATATGGCTCAGAAGAAGAACTGCTTCCATCCAAGATAGAGTAATGGAGATGGGATTTACCCTGTGCTATGGTTTGAATGCTTGTCCCCTCCAAAACTCATGCTGAAATTTAACTGCCACTGAAACAGTATTAAGAGATGGGGCCTTTAAGAGGTGATTGGGCCATAACAACTCCACTCTTGAGTGGGATTGGTGCCATTCTAAGAGGGAAAGTTCAGCCCCCCATGTGCTTTCCCTTTCTCTCCCTCTTTTTCTCCCCACCCTTGCTTTCTGCCATGTGTGGACATAGCAAGAAGGCCCTCACCAGGTGCTGGCTTCTCAATGTTGGACCTCCCACCCAGCCTCCAGAACTGTGAGCCAGTAAATCTCCGTTCATTATAAATCACCCAGTCTCAGGCATTCTGTTATAGCAGCAAAAATGAACTAAGACTGCTTCTCAGAATAGGGGATTAAAAAAAAAAAAAGAACTAAGACACTCTGCCTTCTTAAACAACTAGAAAACTGGACAAAATATATGAAATGACCATTTTCAGGCATTAGGCAACAGACATTCAGGAGAAAAAGTTGTGAGAGAAGAGAAACAAATGAAGTAAGCCAGGCCAGGTGTGGTCCCTCATGCCTGTGGGGTGGCTGGGGGTAGGATTCCTTGAGCCCAGGAGCTTGAGACCAGCCTGGGCAACACAGGGAGATCCTGTCTCTACAAAAAAAACTACAGTAGTCCTAGCTTCACGGGGGGGGTGGGGAGTGTTGAGGGTTGCTGAGAAGAGCTTGAGCCTGGGAGGTCGAGGCTGCCAGTGAGCCATGGTCATGCCAATGCACTCCGGCTTGGGTGACCAAGTGAGGCCCTGTCTCCAAAAAAAGAAAAGAAAAGAAAATGAGATATGCCCTTTGATTTCCCCAGCTTAATGCCTAGGGGCAGTTTTCAGGCCTCATTCCAGAGAGGAAGCTAAACAGTATGTGGGGTGGGGGGTAAGTTAAAGGGACAGAGATCTGAAGTTCAAGGAGGCAAAGGCAGCTAGAATTTGCAAAGCAGGGTGCTGAATAGAAGGGAGTGGCACAAAGAGAGAGCTCAACAGATCTGCAGGGAGATTCCTTGAGTCTCTGGCTGAGTACTGATCTATGAGTGCATGAGAAGAAATTCCCAAGGCTGGGGAAACAATCCCCAAAGAGCAGTGGACTGAACAATTCCTAGAGCTCAAACAGGGACGGAAATAAGTTTGTGTTTCGAACAGCCAAAGCGAAAGACTCAAATATATGCAGCATCAAAGCATCACCTCAAAGTAAAGTAAAATTAGCCCTGGAATAAAGGCTGCTTTGGATTTATCTTAACAAAGCTTTAAAAGAAGCCTTGAAAAGAGCCAACAAATTCCAAGCACCTTTATTGCATCCTGGGAAAAAGCCCAACACTGTTTAAAGGAATATAACAAAAGTCTAGCAAATGACAATGTAAAATTCACAATATACAGACATGAAAAGCAGCAAAAAATATGACCCATAACCAGAGAGGGAAAAAGCATTAATACACACAGATGCAAAAATGATGGAATACTGAGTAGATAAGAACATTAAAACAGTTACTATAAATATGTTTTTTTTTTTTTTTGGAGACAGAGTCTCACTCCGTCACCCAGGCTGGGGTGCAGTGGCACAATCTTGGGTTACTGCAACCTCTGCCTCCCAGGTTCAAGTGATTCTTGTACCTTGGCCTCCCGAGTAGCTGGAATTACAGGCATACGCCTTCCCACCCAGCTAATTTTTGTATTTTTAGTAGAGACAGGGTCTTGTCATGTTGGCCAGGCTGGTCTCGAACTCCTGACCTCAAGTTATCCACCCGCCTTGGCCTCCCAAAGTGCTGGGATTACAGGTGTGAGCCACCGCACGCAGCCTAAATATGTTCTATATGTTCAAGAAGGTAGAAGAAAATATAAAATAATGAAGAAATTGAAGGGATAAGAAGACCTACATGGAACTTCTAGAGAAAAAAATATAATGTATAAAAAATGTACTGGAAAGAATCAACATAACAGAAAAAAAGATCAGTGATTCTGAAAACAGTAATGGAAACTAGCCAAAAGGAAGCAGAGAAGGAAAAAAGACTGGGGGAAAAAAAAAGAATGTAGTGTCTGTGAGCTGTGGGACAACATCAGGCAGATTAATATACATGTGAAGAGAGTCCCAGACAGATGGAGGACAGAAAAAATATTTGAGGAAATAATAGCCAAAATGTTCCAAATTTGATTAAAACTATAACCCAACAGATCAAAGCTGCTTAACAAACCCCTATGCAGAAGAAGAAATATGCAGAGAACCACACCAAGGCACATCACAGTCAAATTCCTGAAAACCAATGATAAAAAGAAAATCTTAAAATCAGAGGAAAAAAAGATACATCATATACAGAGGAATGACCATAAGAATGACAACAGACTTCTCAGAAACTATGTAAGCCAGAAGACAATGGACAAAACCTTTAAAGTACAGAAAGAAGAAGCAACCTATACTTTTTTTTTTTAAAGAGATGGGCTCTCGCTCTGTCGCTCAGGCTTAAGTGCAGCGGTGCGATTATAGCTCAGTGCAGGCTCTCACTCCTGGGCTCAAGCAATCCTCCCACCTCAGCCTCCTGAGTAGCTGTAACTACAGGAGTGTACCCTGTGCCCAGCTTAACCTACATTTTTAAACCCAGAGAAAATATCTTTCAAAATTAAAAGCAAAATAAAGAGTTCTACATATAAACCAAAGCTGAAAGAATTCACTGCCAACAGGACTACAAGAAATATTAAAGAAAGTTCTTCAAGTAAAAACAAAATTATACCAGATGGAAATTTATATCTCTAGAGCAGAGAGAAAAGCACCAGAAATACTAAATATGTAGGTAAATATAAATGACACTATTTTTCTCATTTTAGATCTTTTTAAGAGAAAAATTACTATTTAAAGAAAAAAAAGCAGAAGAAAAGGTTAAAAGAAAAAAGAACAGATGGGACAAACAGAAGATAAATAGCAAAAGGTAGATATAAATGTGTTACATAAGTAAATATTTATGTCAATTAAAAATAAACTCTTCCTGGCTGGGCATGGTGGCTCACGCCTGTAATCCCAGCACTTTGGGAGGCTGAGGTGGGCGGATCACGAGGTCAGGAGTTTGAGACCAGCCTGGCCAATATGGTGAAACCCCATCTCTACTAAAAATACAAAAATTAGCTGTGTGTGGTGGCGTGTGCCTGTAGTCCCAGCTACTCAGGATGCTGAGGCAGAAGAATTGCTTGAACCCAGGAGGCAGGGTTGCAGTGAGCTGAGATCGTGCCATTGCACTCCAGCCTGGGTGACAGAGTGAGACTCTGTCTCAAAAATAAATAAATAAACTCTTCCTGGCACATAAGTTGACTTTTTAAAATAAAAAAAGTATTCCGAATCCCATTTTTCCTATCACTTTTGTCTACCCAAGTTGACCCAACTTGGCACTGACTCAGGAGCTAGGGATACCAGCAGTAATTTTAACTTCCTTTTATCAGAACCCCCAAATGGTGATCATGAGGAATGCTTTCTGACTTCTCTCCTTCAATTTCTTTTTATGCTGTTACATTGACCTATATAATTCATCAACTTGTGCCCTGAGATAAACAATATGGTTCTAATCAGTAATATTTGGCAAAAGTAATATCTTTAGCTTAATAAATGTTTTCACTTAGAAAATTATTTCCTTTTGTTTTCCTACTCCAAAGTCATTACAAGCATCTGGTCAATATGGTAACAGTCTTTTAATCTGGAACATAACCAAATAGTATTCTTTTTTTTTTTTTGAGATGGAGTTTCACTCTGTTGCCCAGGCTAGAGTGCAGTGGCACGATCTTGGCTCACTGCAACCTCTGCCTCCCGGGTTCAAGTGATTCTCCTGCCTCAGTCTCTCGAGTTGCTGGGATTGCAGGTGCCCACCACCACGCCCAGCTAATTTTTGTATTTTTAGTAGAGACAGGCTTTCATCATGTTGGCCAGCTGGTCTCGAACTCCTAACCTCAGGTGATCTGCCCACCTCGGCCTTCCAAAGTGCTAGGATTACAGGCATGAGCCACTGGGCCCGGCCTCAAATAGTATTCTTAGAAAAAGTAATCCTGTGGCCTGGCATGGTGGCTCATGCCTGTAACACCTGCACTTTGGAGGTTGAGATGGGTGGATTGCTCGAACCCAGGAGTTGGAGATCAGCCTGGGCAACATGGCAGGATCCCGTCTCTACAGAAAATACAAAAATTAGCTGGGCATGGTGGTGCAAGCTTGTAGTTCCAGCTACTAGGGAGGCTGAGGTGGGAGGATCACTTAAGCTCAAGAGGTCAAGGCTGCGGTGAGCTGCGATCACTTCACTGCACTACAGCCTGGGTGACAGAGTGAGACCCTGTCTCAAAAATAAAAAGTAATTCTAACTATCGGCCCTGAGAGGATACGCAGATGAATAAAATGCCTTCTGCCCTTGAGGGCATGGAGAAAAACTCCAAGAAGCTCTTCATTACAATAACCAATCTTGCTTTTTCACACTTCTCATGTCCTCTTAGACACACTTGGTGGTATAGAAGATGAAGCCTGTTCACAAGATCGTGAATAAACTCATAATGAAGACAATTGAAGGAGGAGTCATAGTCATTCTGAATTCTTTTTTAGAGTAAAGACATACATAATACAAGGAAAAACTAAGTTGATTCAATACATTTTTCAAGAGACAATACAACTCTCTGCTTAAGGCTCTAACAGCAATAAACCAATGTGGTAATACCCAAAGGACATTTAATGAGATTAAAATCCTTAATGGCTTCCTACTTACATTCATTCCTTGGTGTCCGTTGGGGGTTTGGTACCAAGACCCCTGTGGATACCAAAATCTGAGGATATTCAAGTCTCATATAAAATGGTGTAGTATTTGCATAAAACCTATGCACACCTCCTGCACGTTTAAAATTATCCCTAGATTACTTGTAACATCTAATACAATGTAAATGCGAGGTAAATAGTTGTTACACTGTATTGCTTTTTAATTTGTATTACTTTTTATTGTTGGGTGTTATTTTTTATTTTTTGAATATTTTTGATTTGTGTTTGGTTGAATCCAAGGTTGCAAAACCCACAGATATGGAGGACTGCCTGTAATCTGTACCAATCATTTAGCTAAAGTACCAACATTTCTTTTGTTTTTGAATACCAGGACCCAAAAGTGCCATAAACAGGTCTTTTCTAATTCAAATCATAAAGATTTTGTTTCTTTACTAAATACCTTGACTTATAAGACCTGATAAGAGACATGTTACTTGAGGTTTCAAGAATGAAGAAAATTCCTAAATGAGTTGTCTTACTCTTTTAATAAGAAAAAGTTTCCTGAGAGAATTCTTCCTCTCACCACATCATTAAACCCTTCTCGTCTGGTTGCAGCATACATGGCTTCAGTGGACACATCAATGTCACATCTGTGACCTGAAAACAAGAAAAGGGTAAACATTACTTGAAAGGAAGTAAAGTCAGTAAAGTTTTGGCTAAAATCAGGCCTAGATTCACTTTTTTTTTTTTTTTTTTTGAGATGGAGTCTCACTCTGTCACCTAGGCTGGAGTGCAGTGGTGTAATCTCGGCTCACTGCAAGTTCTGCCTCCCTTGTCAAGTGATTCTCCTGCCTCGGCCTCCTGAGTAGCTTAGATTACAGGTATGCGCCACCATGCCTGGCTTATTTAGATTCACATTTTTGTCACCAATACTAAAGTTTAGGGAGTTGCCCTTAATGGTTTCTTTTCCCCATCTGCCTTTTGACTGATGGACTGGTCATGGAGAGAGAAGAAAAGAAAAGAACCAAGAAAGAAACTCCAATTGTTCACTCCCTCATTCATTCATTCAAACATTTATTGAGCTCTACATTAGCGGGACTGAGCATATGACAACAAGATACTATCCCTTCGAGTTATTCACAGTCCTGAGAAGCAAACCAAACATACACAAATATTTATGACAAATAGTGTAAGTACAAGTCTAAAATGACAAAGGTAAAATGATTCACTGATGAACTTTTCTGAATCACTAACATTATCTCAAGCATTAACTTTTTTGTCACTAATAAGTGAACTTTTCAAATGTTTGCGACAACTACCTTAAAAATAAAATAACCCAGCCATCTTACCATATTGTAGCCCATCAAATCTTGCCATATTCGATGCCACTTCTGATGTGCACAATACATGGTAGCAGACAATTGAATAACTGGTGTGAGGAAGGGATACTTCAATTACTTTGGCCCCCTCAGACTCAAAGAGGTCAGCAGCTTTGGACCAAAGAGACTGTACTTCACTTGATAATTCCGGTACAAGATATTCCTTATAGCAAAAAGTCAAGATACAAAATTGGAACTGTATAGATTATTTTATAAAAATTTGTACTTCATCTGTATAGATGATTTTATAAAAATCTGTACTTCAGGACCTTTGGTAATACATTAGAAAATAGGATAAAATTGCTGGTAGGTAGCTAGAAAGACTAAATCCATTTCAGAGTGTTTATGGTATGACAAAGCACAGTACTAGATATTATGATCTGGATATAACAACATTAAAGATTGGAGATCTGGTTGGGGAAAATATTTGTTAAATGCTCATTATGTATCAGGAACCTAACAGCATATCAGCATATATCAGCATATATGTTAAATGCTCATGTATCAGGTACCCTGTTAGATGATTTTCTTTTTTTTTTTTTTGAGACGGAGTCTCACTCTGTCGCCCAGGCTGGAGTGCAGTGGCGCAATCTCAGCTCACTGCAGGCTCCGCCTCCTGGGTTCACGCCATTCTCCTGCCTTAGCCTTCCGAGTAGCTGGGACTACAGGCACCCACAGCCACGCCCGGCTAATTTTTTGTATTTTTTTTAGTAGAGACGGGGTTTCACTGTGTTAGGATGGTCTCGATCTCCTGACCTCGTGATCTGCCCGCCTCGGCCTCCCAAAGTGCTGGGATTACAGGCGTGAGCCACCGTGCCCAGCCTGTTAGATGATTTTCAAAGATTCTCTCTCATCTCATGCTTTTAACAAGCCTGTGATGTAGGTATTATAATCCTTCATTTTGTTAATGAAAAATCTTGACATAAGAAGTTATTTTCCTAATGTTAAATAGCAGGTAAGTAGAGGGTCTAGGATTTCAAACTGGGTCTGTTTTAAAGCCTATGCTCTCTATAAATAAATGCTTAAAAAGAATGCACAGATATTGCCTTCTTTTTTTTTTTTTTTTTTTGAGATAGGGTCTTGCTCTGTCACCTAGGGTGGAGTGCAGTGGTGCAATCATGGCTCACGGCAGTCTCAACCTCCTGGACTCAAGCAATCCTCCCCCCTCAGCCTCCCAAACAGCTAGGACCACAGGTGCACACCACCACACCCCACAATTTTTTTAAAACTTTTTGTAGACATAGGGCTCTGTATGTTGCCCAGGCTGGTCTCAAACTCCTGATCTCAAGCGATCCTCCTGCCTTGGCTTCCCAAGGTGCTGGGATTACAGGTGTACGCACCTGGCCTTACATATATTACCTTAATGGAAGATTTTAAATAAGGTAGTATTTCTCTATAGCAGTGGTCTTACCTGGGGGTTACTTTTGTCTCCTTTTCCCTAACCAGGAGACACTTGACAATGTCTGCAGACATTTTTGGTTGTGGGATTGTGGTTTTGGTGGTGGGGTACTACTTGCATGTAGGGGTAGAGGCCAGGGATGCTACTAAACATCTTACAATGCACAGGACAGTCTCCCACAACAAACAATTACCAGCCCCAAACACCAACAGTGCTGAGGTTGTGAAACTTCATTATTCTGCAGGGTAACTTATCTTCCTAAAAGATTTAAAGTATTAATATATTGCAATGCTTAATATTTTTAAAAGGTTAGTAATTTAACATTATAACATTCATGTATTCATTACTCAATTGCTACTGTAATAGATGCAGTAGTAATAATAATAACAGTAAAGATGTTAACATTTTTTGAGGCATTACTATGCAAGTTGTGGCTTTGGGCTAAAGTCCTTTCTTTACATTAGGGATGGGCAAACTATGGCCCATAGGCCAGATGTGACAAGCCAGCTGGTTTTTGAAAATAAAGTTTTATTGGAACAGAGACACACTTTTTCATTTACATATTGTCTGTGGCTGCTTTCTCACTATAATGGCAGTTAAGCAGTTATGATAAAGACTGCATGGTCCACAAAATCTAAAATATTTGCTATCTTGCCCATTACAGAAACAATTTACAGACTTAACATGACTGTCTAATTGATCCTCACAAACCTCTCTGAAGTCAGTATTTTTATTATTCCTATTTTACAGATGGGGAAATTGAGCTAAAAGAGATTAAGTCACATACTCAACTCACATGATTAATAAAAGTGGCAGAGCAGAGATTCAAACCCACCCAATCCGCCTCCCAAGTCTGTGCTCTCTATTGGACTTGACAGTATTTCTGTAAAGTAATGAAAGGAAAAAGTTACCTTTGGAATTCCTATACATAGTTTGCTCACATCTGCCAAACTGGGAAGCATGAATGGTTTATTAATAGGTTCATGTACTGTGGTAGAGTCCCTGGGGTCAGGTCCGGCCAGTGCACCTGTAAGGAGCAATACTTATGAATGACAGATATATTGTTTTATAGAGAAGCTGTTGCAAATGATATAGAATTATATAAATACCCAACACAATTGCTGCATCATCCACACATCTGGTTAAGATTCCTGGCACATCCATCGAATTCACCAGGGGAATGAGACCATGACGGGAAACTAAGCCATAGCTTGGTTTGAAACCAACAAGCCCACAGTGGGCAGCAGGATTTCTGGTCGATCCTCCTGTATCTGATCCTAAAGCCCTGGAATTTAAATGGAATTATCTTTAGAAGAATGATATATCTCTAATTATATTTGGAATCTACCCTTTCAATTGTATATTTTTAAACTGTATTTTCCTCTGATTACACAAAAGTAACACATGTTCATCTCAGAGAATTCATAAAGTACAGAAAACTTTAGGTACTCAATATTCCAATACCCAGAGGAAAACACTGTTAACATTTTGGCATATTAAGTTCAAGTCTTTTTAAAAATGCATTTTTTTCACCGTTGAGATAATTCTGTAATCATGAGTTTCCATCCCTTTTTTAACATTAGCTTTTTACTATGTCATTAAAATTCCTGAAAATGTAAAGTATATGTAATATTCCATCATATAAATTCGTGATTCCTGGTATTTTAAAGTCCATTCTCCTTTCAATATACATATAAATCTTGCACTTTCTTCTGATGTTGATATTGAAAACAAATCAAATTAATGGCAATTTTGCAGTATGCTTTTACAGACTAAATACGCCCCTCCTAGAAATTCAGATACAGCCCTTTGCTACCCACCCCATTTAGAATCATGGATTGAGATGTTTAATAATTTAAACTCTTACGTTGTTTCTAACTAGAATAACTATTTAATAAATAACTTTGTTATGAAAATCTCTGAACATAAATTTTTGCTTATGTGTGAGTACTTTTTAGGCTAGCTTCCAAGAAGTAGACTTAGTGCACATAAGTTTCTGATATATGCTGTCAAATTACTTGTCAGAAAGATTATGCCAATTTATATCCCTAGTTGCAGTGAGTCAGATTGTGTTTTAAAGTTTCAGTACCGTCACTGAGTACTAGTAATTTTTAAAATTGTTAGTGTGATAACCAAAAAGTTTTTATTAATGTGCATTTTAAATAATTTTGCACACTTATTTATACATGCATTACTCAACTACAAAGTGACTGTTCATTTCTTTACCCAGTTACCTACAGAGTTTGTGTTGTTCTTATTTTAAAAAAACAAAAAACGGACCTGGAGGACATTATGCTAAATGAAATAAGCCAGTCACAGAAAGACAAATACTACATGACACCACGTACATGAGATAACTAGAGTAATCAAATTCATAAGACACAAAGTAGAAGGTGGTTACCAGGGCTGGGAGAGGGTTGAAGGGTACACAGTTTTAGCGTTGCAAGATGAAAAGTGTTCTGAAGACTGATTGCATGTTTTTAATACTTTTGAACTGTACTTTTAAAAATGGTTAGGCTGGTACATTTTATGTTATGTGCATTTTACCACAATTAAAAAACCATTTCAGGAAAACAGAAGTTGTGCTGTAGAACAGTACATATCTACTATAAAAATTAAAATATTATATAACTATATGATGTATAAAGTAAGATTACTCTTAGAATCACAGCCCCCACAATAACCGTTACCAGTTCTGACATGCATTCATCCAGACATGCAGTACTTCCATGCAATGACTGACATATATACCTATGCAATTGTTACTTTTAACAGAAATGGGTTCTGCAACTTATTTTTCACTTAACAATTTATCTTGGTTATTTTTCCATGTCATTGCATAGTGCTCTAACTTATTCTTTTTAGTGGCTGCACAGTACTCCAGGAATCTTCCTATTTTAAAAGCTATTGTAAAAGAAACAAATCAAAAAGGGGTAAACAAATCAAAAAGGGGTAAACAAATCAAAAATAAGGAAACAAAAGCAGAACACTTTACAGTTTGAGATACATTCAATCTGAAGTTATTTTTGGTCTGTACTTCTGTTGCTTATATTTAAAGTGAAGCTTTGGACTGAACAATGCTCCTAACAATAACATGGCACTTGTGCCCTACAGAAAATGCAAATTAGATTTCCTTTCTTACAGTGTCAAGTTAAGCTACAAAATCAGACTGTTGCTTTCACAATTTTAAAAGATACATTTTCTTATTAGCATTCACTGACGGCTATGTAAAAGTAAAACTTACATTTCCATAGGAATTATGTGTCAAAATGCCATCTACTAAAAAGCACATTCAGAAAGATGAACACTAAGTGGGATGATGAGGACAGAAAAAAAGCACCTAATCCTGCAGTCCTAACTTGTCAGAACTCACATTAATATTAATGCAATGCTATAAAATTTCACAGAGATAAAATGAAATGGTTTTACTTGTTAATAAGATTTTAGGAAAACTGAAAAAAAATCTGTAGAACTCACATCTCCATAGCTCTAAAAAAATATAAATGATTTATGGATTGCAATGTGTGTGAAAGAACTTAGTTTTAATGGATAATTAAGGGGAGATAAAATACAAAACTATTACTAAAGAAACACATTCATTTTGATTAAATTGAGACTGATAAACACAGCAACAGCCATATTTACTTTCTTTTCTTTGGGTAGTTAAGAAATGCTTTACAAATGGAACTGAAAATATGATCAATGGATTCTTACCAAATACAAAGTATGATAGATAAACAGAATCAGCACCTAACAAGCTTGAAAAAACTTTACTTACTGATGTACATTTTTAATTGCAGATTCCTGAAAACACTATTTAAAATATCTTATTAATACATATTAGCATTTTTTCTTTTTTTTCAAAAGATTGATCTTGCTGAAGGATAAACATTACCAACAGTTTAGTTCAGCAGCACTCAACTAAAGCCATTGTATGTTAGTCCCTAAATATTTGTATAATCAGTGAGCACACACTCAAATTATTTAAAAATGAAATGCAATGAAGTTCATTTATGTTCGATGCTTTATTCTGCAAGATCCACAAAATCATATTTTAAGAGAACCAGATACTATGGAGAAAAATTTGTTATTTTAAAGTTAAAAGTATTAAATATACATAGTGTACTGTACAGTTGAGTGCAACTCAAGATATAATTTTGATATACCTTTGAGCACATATAGCTCACTAGAAAGAAAAATACCAGGATATGAACTACTCTATTGCTGGATACAGTTTATGACTGTTTGTATTTGGGTGGGTTTTAAAATACAGATAGAGAAAAGCATCTTACGCGTAGCATGTGAACGCCGATACAGCAGCTGCACTCCCACCTGAGCTTCCTCCAGTTATCAGCCAGTCTGAATCTTCATTCTCGCTGTGGGGATTCTGCTTCCTCTTTTCTCTATATTGTTTTGAATAACTCCAGGGGTTTTTAACTGGTCCAAATACACCATCTGTGCTCCCAGATCTGATGACGAAGTGAAGCAAGATACCTTAGTAAAACTTTCATTTTATGTGAAAATTTCATCTTCTGAGTATATTATTTGCTTCTGACACTCATTGAGCATTTAAGAACCCACTGTAGCTTGAATTGAAAAAGGTGGGAAGCCTGTTCAGATGTAGCTTTCATTAATTGACAGTTGCGGAGGATGGGAAGGAAGAGCATTTGTGGTAGAAAATAGACAAAGCTAATCTGCTAAGAAAAGATTTTGCCTCTTTTGATCATCCAATTCAACTGAAGATGATTTCCCTTGTGAATCAAGGTCTTCCAGCTGAAAAGGGTTACATTCAAACAGTTAAGAACTTCTGAACCAGAAGTTCTATGAAAAACATTACAAGTGGAATGCTAATAACTTAAATTTTTGAAATGATTTTATTCTCAGATAAATTGCAAAAATAAAAATAACATATAAAGCACTTTATACCCTTTACCCAGACATACCTACGGTCAACATTTTATCCCTTTGCTTTACTACTTGTGTGCTCTGTGTACGTTTGTACATATGTACATATATACACAAAGTATGATAGAAACTTAAGGGTATCTTAAGGGTAACTTACATGTATATCATAGCCCTTTATCCCTAAATACTTTAGTGTGTATTTCCTAACAATAAGGATATCACATTATACAGTCACAGTATAGTTATCAATCTCAGTAACATTAATATCAATACAATAATTTTTTTTTTCTTTTTTGAGACGAGTCTCGCTCTACTGGCAGTCTGGAGTGCAGTGGCGCGATCTCGGCTCACTGCAACCTCCGCCTCCCAGATTCAAGCAATTCTCCTGCCTCAGCCTCCCGAGTAGCTGGGACTACAGGTGCGTGCCATCACGCCGGGCTAATTTTTGTATTTTCAGTAGAGACGGGGTTTCACCACGTTGGCCAGGATGGTCTCAATCTCTTGACCTCGTAATCCACCCGCCTTGGCCTCCCAAAGTGCTGGGATTACAGGGGTGAGCCACCACGCCCGGCCTACAATACTTTTATCGAATCTACTGTATGTAATTCAATTCTGTCAACTGATTCAATAATGTACTTTGGCTGGGTGCAGTGGCTCACGCCTGTAATCCCAGCACTTTGGGAGGCCGAGGAGGGCGGAACACGAGGTCAGGAGATCGAGACCATCCTGGATAACACGGTGAAACCCCATCTCTACTAAAAATACAAAAAATTAGCCGGGCGTGGTGGCGGGCGCCTGTAGTCCCAGCTACTCGGGAGGCTGAGGCAGAAGAATGGTGTGAACCCGGGAGGCGGAGCTTGCAGTGAGCCGAGATCGCGCCACTGCACTCTAGCCTGGGTGACAGAGCGAGACTCCATCTCAAAAAAAAAAAAAAAAAAAGTACTTTATGGCATTTTATCTCCTTCCTGGATCAAATCTAGAGTCAGGTCTTCCATTTAATTATCATTGTCTCTCTCTTTTTTTTTTTTTTTTGAGACAGTCTCGCTCTATTGCCCAGGCTGGAGTGCAGTGGCATGATCTTGGCTCACTGCAAGCTCCGCCTCCCGGTTTCAAGTGATCCAGGTTCAAGCGATTCTCATGCCTCTCGAGTAGCTGGGACTACAGGCATCCACTACCATGCCTTGGCCTCCCAAAGTGCTGAGATTACAGGTGTGGGCCACTGTGCCCAAGCTCACTGTGATTTTAATTTTGAATTCCACTAATGATCAACGATATTAAGCATTGTTTCATGTGTTTGTCAACTATGTTTTAATCTCTGATGAAACGTCTTCTTAAATCTTTTGTTCATTTTTTAAAAATAGGGTTGCTTGTTTTCTTATTGAGGTGTGAAATGTTCTATGTATTTTGGATATCGGTTCTTTCTGAGATACATGTTTTGCAAATATTTTTCTCTCAGTCTGTGGCTTGCGTTTTCACTTTTTTAGTAGCATATTTCAAAGTACAGAAGTTCTTAATTTTAATGAAGTCTATTAATTTTTTTTTTTTTTTTTTTTTTTTTTTTGAGAAGGAGTCTTGCTCTGTCACCCAGGCTGGAGTGCAGTGGCGTGATTTCGGCTCACTGCAACCTCTGCCTCCCGGGTTCATGCCATTCTCCTGCCTCAGCCTCCTGAGTAGCGGGGACTACAGGCGCTCGCCACCACGCCCGGCTAATTTTTTGTATTTTTAGTAGAGACAGGGTTTCACTGTGTTAGCCAGGATGGTCTCAATCTCCTGACCTTGTGATCCACCTGCCTCGGCCTCCCAAAGTGCTGGGATTACAGGTGTGAGCCACCGTGCCCGGCCAAGTCTATCAATTTTTTAAGTGGATTTGTGCTTCATGTGTCCTATCTAAAAGAACTCTGACTAATTCAAGGTCACTAATACTTTTCCCTGTTTTTTTTAATTTTTTTTTTCTGTAGAGACAGGGCCTCACTATGTTGCCCAGGCTGATCTAGGACTCCTGGGCTCAAGCAATCCTACTGCCTCAGTTTCCCACAGTGCTGAGATAACAGGCATGAGCCACCAGGCCCAGCATCCCCTACATTTTCTTGAGTTTTATGATGTTAGGTTTTACTTTCTTTATCTCTTATCCTGGAAGATTTTCACAGCCCTTTTTTTGTTTTCATATGATATTTTAATAGAATGGTTCTCATTTTGGATTTATCTTTTGTTTCCCCATTATTAGAGTCAGCTTACACATTCTCAGCTGGAATATTACATAGGTGATATTGTATCCTCAGACAATTACATCTGGAGGCACATAACGTCCACTTCACCCTCACTGGTGATGTTAATTTTGATCAGCTGATGAAGGCAATTTCCTGAAAGCCTTTGTTCAAATATACTCTCATGGATTAGTTCATTCAACATATATATAATGAATTCCAAGATATACCACTCTGAACTATACACGCAAGGACTCTTGTTTCTATGAAACAGAGAACAATGACCAAGCAAATATTACAAATGTGACAAGTGTCATAAAAGGGTAAGTATAAAGTACTTTTGGTGAAAGACTGCTGTTCCCTAAGATCAAGATCAAGGCAAGGAAATCTGCTCTCACCACTTCTATTCAACATTGCACCTAAGGCCCTCACTGGTGCAGTAAGGCAAGAAGAAGAAATAAGACTAACTCTATTTGTAGACTACACAATTTGCTACATAAAATATTCCACAGAATCCACAAAGATCAACTAGAACTAATAAGCAAGCTTTAACAAGGTCATGGGATAAAAGGTCAATATAGAAAAATCAATTATGTTTCAATGTACTAGCAATAAACAATTAGAAACTGAAAAAAATACAATTTTCTATAGCATTAAGAAACATGGCTGGGGGCGGTGGCTCACGCCTATAATCCCAACACTTTGGGAGGACGAGGCGGGCGGATCACAAGGTCAGGAGTTTGAGACCAGCCTGGCCAATATGGTGAAACACTGTCTCTACTAAAAATACAAAAATTAGCCGGGCGTGGTGGCATGTGCCTGTAGTCCCAGCTACTCAGGAGGCTGAGGCAGGAGAATCTCTTGAACCCAGGAGGCAGAGGTTGCAGTGAGCCGAGATTGCACCATTGCACTCCAGTCTGGGTGACAGAGTGAGATTCTGTCTCAAAAAAAAAAAGAAAAGAAACATAAAACACACGAATAAATCAAATTATATGTACAATTTATATGCAGGAAATCATAAAAACATTCCAGAGTAAAACAAAATGTATGAGAAGACATGTATTATGATGCCGATTCTTTCCAAGTTGATCTATAAATTCAACACAATCACAATCAAAATCCCATTAAACTTGTTTGTAGAAATTAGCAAGCTTATTCTAAAACATATCAGAATATAACAGATCTAGATTATGTAAAATGATTTTGAAAAAGAAGAACAAAGTTAGAAGACTCTTACTACATAATTTCAAGGCTTACTATAAAGCTATAATAATCAAGATGGTGTGACACTGGAATAAACAGAGATGCAACAGAGTCCAGAAACAGACCTACTGAATGTGCTTGATTCTTGACAAAAAAACCTAAGATCATTCAACAAGAAAAGGATAATCTTTTTTATTATTAGTGCTGGAGTTAATGGACATCCATATGTTGAATAAATGGACTTTATTCATACTATATACGAAAATCTAATTCGAAGTGAATAACAGATCTAAATGTAAGAGCTAAGACTATAAAACTTCTAGGAAAAAATTCTTTGTGACCTTTGTTAGGTAAAGATTTCTTGGCCAGGCACGATGGCTCACGTCTATGATCCCAGCACTTTGGGAGACCAGGCGGGCAGATCACCTGAGGTCAGGAGTTTGAGACCAGCCTGGCCAACGCGGTGAAACCCCATCTCTACTAAAAATACAAAATTAGCTGGGCCCGGTGGTGCGTGCCTGTAATCCCAACTACTCGGGAGGCTGAGGCAGGAGAATCGCTTGAACCTGGGAGGCGGAGGTTGTAGTGAGCCGAGATCGTGCCATTGCACTCCAAGCACTCCAGCCTGAGCAACAAGAGCACAACTGTGCTTCAAAAAACAAAAAACAAACAAACAAACAAAAAAGATTTCTTAGGACACATGAATCATAAAAGAAAAAAATTCAGCCAGGTGAGGTGATGTGTGCTTGCAGTCCCAGCTGCTCGGAAGGATGAGGTCAGAGGATCACTTGATGCCAGGAGTTCAAGACCAGCCTGGGTAACACAGATAAACCCCATCTTTAAAAAATAAAGGAAAAAATGGGCCTGGCACAGTTGCTTTTGCCTCCCAACACTTTGCTGGACCAAGCTGGGAGCACAGTTTGAGTCCAGGAGTTTGAGATCAGCCTGGGAAACCCAGTGAGACCCTGTCTATATGAAAGGAAGAAAACAAAAGGAAAGAAAGAAAAGAAGGCCGGGCGTGGTGGCACATGCCTGTAATCCCAGCACTTTGAGAGGCCAAGGCAGGTGGATCATCTGAGGTCAGGAGTTCAAGAGCACCCTGGCCAACATGGCGACACCCAATCTCTACTAAAAATACAAAACTTAGCTGGGAATGGTGGGGCATGCCTGTAGTCCCAGCTACTTGGGAGGCTGAGTCAGGAGAATCGCTTGAAGCTGGGAGGCGGAGGCTGCAGCGAGCCGAGATCGCACCATTGCATTCCAGCGTGGATGACAAGAGCAAAACTCTGTCTCAAAAAAAAAAAAGAATGAAAAGAAGAGAAAAAAGAAAAAAATTGATAAACTGGACTTTATCAAAATTAAGAACTTTTACTCTTTGAAAGGCATGTTCAGAGAATAAAAAGATAAACCAGAGACTTGAAGAAAATATTTGCAAATCAGCACCTATCTGATAATGGATTTGAATCCAAAATATATGAAAGAATTCTTTTTTTTTTTTTTTGAGACAGAGTTGCACTCTTGTAGCCCAGGCTGGAGTGCAATGGCGCGATCTCGGCTCACTGCAACCTCCGCCTCCCGGGTTCAAGCGATTCTCCCGCCTCAGCCTCCCAAGTAGCTGGGATTACAGGCATGCGCCACCACACCCAGGCAATTTTTGTGTTTTTAGTAGAGACGGGGTTTCTCCATGTTGGTCAGGTTGGCCTCGAACTCCCTACCTCAGTTGATCCACCTGCCTCGGACTCCCAAAGTGCTGCGATTACAGTCATGAGCCAGAAAGGATTCTTACAACTCAATAATAAGATGACCCAATTTCAAAAAATGGGCACAGAATTTGAAAAGCTACTTCACTGATGAAGACATAGGGATGGCAAAATAAACACATGAAAAGATGTTTAACATTATTAGTCATCAGGGAAATACAAGCCAAAAGCAAAATTAGAGATGACTATATATCTATTAAACAACATAACATAATCTCACAGAGGGACTAAGAAACTGGCATTAGATCCTCAATCCTTTTAGGTAACTACATTTAGTGAAAATAAAGGCACAGACAGAAGAAACTCAAGAGAAGATTTCAATTTTACTTACCCCATAGCAAACTCATCTAAATTTGTTTTTCCCATTAGTAGAGCTCCCTGATCCAACAACTTCTGAACTACTGTAGCATTATAAGGTGGTATATAACCTGAAAAAAATTTAGTTACTATTATTTTTTTTACAGTCCAGAAGTCTTTTATTTGTTTATACCTATTATGCCATGAATTCACAGGGAATAGGCTCCAACAGCTCAGGAGCCTTCCCATTGGTTCTCACACAGTGCGCTTCTCTGGGTGGAGCAGGCTGGCACGTCAGTTGAACCCAGGTACCTTTCTCTTTGGCTTCCTTCTTTTCCTCATCATTTTCCTCAATGCGTTTCAGGAAGCTATCTCGGCTCTTACAGTACTTACTGTGCTCAATATGCACATTCATTCTCTTGGCAAGAATCTTGCCCTTGTTTGTTTACAACAATGCCAACAGCATGCTGGGGAACACTGTGTACTCTCCAGTTTTGCCATGGTAACACTTGTGGGGCATTCCTTTTTGAACAATACCCATTCCCTTGATGTCCACATCACCTTTCTTATAGGTTCACATGTACATGGCAAACAACTCCCTGTTTTGTAAAAGGCCTAGAAAACACATATTGGGTGCCTCTCCTCTTTCCCTTTGTGTTCATCATTTTGGTGAATTACTGGATGATGGTGGTTCCCGCCAAAAGGCCAGTTACCTTTTTATAGGAAACAAAACAGCGAACATGTAAATCATATGTAAGAAACAAGAGTCGGCGGGGCGGGGTGGCTCACGCCTGTAATCCCAAAACTTTGGGAGGCCAAGACAGGCGGATCACCTGAGGTTAGGAGTTCGAGACCAGCCTGGCCAATGTGGAGAAACACTGTCTCTACTAAAAATATAAAATTTAGCTGGGTCTGGTGGTGCATGCCTGTAATTTCAGCTACTTAGGAGGTGAGACAGGAGAATCACTTGAACCCAGGAGGTGGAAGTTGCAGTGACCCGAGATCGCACCACTGCACTCCACTCTGGGTGACAGAGCAAGACTCCGTCTTAAACAAACAAACAAACAAACAAAAAACAAAAAATCAAGAGTCTAAACTGCAATTAAGCAATTCATAGTGATATGTATTAATTATTCCTAATTTAAATAATCAGTTGTACTTCCTTCCAGTAATTTTTTTCTACTGCTAATGTATGTTTTCCAAAGATAGTCTGTGCCTTCACTATTTTTATAATCTAAAAACACTGACTTTACCAGTTAGTTCTACAAAATATTGCATGATAGTCAGAGATGTACCCAGTATTTTTGAAATAGTAAATCTCTATTTTGCTCATTGTACTTGATTTTTTCTTCTCATGTTATACCACACAGTAATTTTTATGTATTTCCAGTAGAAATAGATCTTTATTTTCAACTAAAATTTTCTCTAGCTATTGAAAAGCTCTAGCGTATATTCCAAAATAATTAACAACAGTCTGCATATTAGAGGAAGGTGGGGCATATTCCTCATAGAATATTATTTTTAGCGTCTAGTACTCTGAATAACCTTTTTTCTATTTCTGTTTCTTCCTAGGATCCAAATATCTTGATAAACCTGCTTTCTTTTGACCAAACTCTAAAGAATAAATCTAAGCATTGCCATACTGTGCTACAAGAGATAGAGGAATCAGGAAATAAAAAATAACTGGTCAGTAGATGTTAATGAATCCTCACGTCATCCACAGAAGGGTATTGATGATAGCCAGTTCATACTTATTCCCATGTTATCAATGAGCTGAAGGTAGAGGTTATACAGTACGTTTATGGTAATCAGTTTTTTTATTTCGTTTTTTAGAGATGAGGTCTCACTATGTTGCCCAGGCTGGACTCAAACTCCTGAGCTCAAGTGATTCTCCCACCTCAGCCTCCCAAGTAGCTGGGACTACAGGTATGCACCCAGTTGGTAATTAGTTATTGAACTGAGTCTTCCTAAATATTAATAGAATTTTTGAAAACTTCTGAGATAGCATTCATTAAGCTGGCTGACCTCTAAAGAAAAATTCTGCATTCTAAAAGAGCAAATAGTAAAAAAACATGATATTATATTCTAAATATTTCCTTCAAAGATATAATTAGTCTGAGATTATCTTGGTACTTTATTATCCTTAAAGCGAAAAATACCTATTTTTATAAAATTATCAATGCTCTGATCAGTTAAACTTTACCTTTCAGCATATTTGATGCACATGTTGTCTCAATGCCAGAAGTGCTGAAATTGTCTTTTACTGCAATAGGAATTCCATCTAAATCCCCAAGTGACTGTCCTGCATTAAAAAGCCAAAAGAGTGATAAAGGAGATAGTTTAAAATATAAAGATACATGAATACATGTTATTACAGTAACTACTAGTTTTTGGCAAAGATACTTCTTCAGAAAACAAATTTATGGCAGAAATTAATACAGTTGGACATTATGAAGCATCACATAGCCATTACCCTCATTTTTATTATCCTCATGGCAAGTTCTTTAAATAAGGCTATGGTTTATGTTTAAAGCTTCACTTGCCAAATGGAGACTGCTACAAACAATTAAACTTCTCTGGAGATATAACAATTAAGTATAGTTAAAAGCAATTTACCATTCTTATATCTCTTTTCTGATTCTTCAGCTTGTTTTAAGGCCACCTCTTCTGACACAGTAATGTAGGCATTTAGAAACTTGGTCTTCTTGATAAGAGAGAGACATTTTTGACAGAGCTCTGTTGGTGTAATTTGGCCTTGTTTCAGTGCCGCAGAAACCTATAGTGTATACAATTCAAAAACCTTTTACTGAGTCTGCAGAAGTTTCAATTGTTATATTGGTGGGGGTGGGGGGAGATGGAGTGGCTAAGTATAACATTTTAAAGTGAGGCTTGGGTTCAAAATCAAGAGAACCTATTACCTCTACACTTAGTGTAGTGGATGAAGGGTGATGCACTGATCAGCTTGAGGACAGGTGGAGGACATGACATTCTTCTCCTTAGCCAACTTTTGGTTTCAAAGTCAGGCTGTACAAACAACGGCAGTAAGTTAGGTAAACCATCCTGTCCAGGGGGAGTTGAGGCCCAGCATGGGTGAAGGATGGCTGAGGGCAGATTCTGTACAGAGGGTAGCTTAGCTGCAACACAGGCAGTCCAGAGAGAAAAAAAGAGAAGTGAACTGGACGAGGCATTGCAGGATTTTTATGGCTCTCTAAATAAGATCTTTATACCTATTGTGGAGTTCGAGTAAGAGACACTATGAATTAAGAGAAATGCTTATAAAATACGGGTTCAAAGGCAAAGTAAAAACAAACTTTTCTGAAATTCTGTCTTTAGGGAAGACATTGGGAAGGCTGGTAAAGAAGGAGTTAAAAAAAAACTGCACCGAAAGTGACTGGGAAGTAGTGAATACCAGTGTATATTGACAGGAAGTAGGGCCTAAGATGGAGTGATGAGTGTCTAATATTTCCTGTAGGAAGTAATAATAACATGTACTTACTAATCAGATAAAAGGGATGAATAACAATAAGTAAAAGATGACACCAAAACTTTGGAGATTTTATGAAAAGATAATTGAATTAGATGGGAGCTGAGAGAAAAGGAGAATAGGGGAAGGAATAGTATTTACCGAGTATTTTCCAAGAGCCAGGCACTGTTGCTTTACATGCATTATTACTTCATTTAACCCTTAAAACAACCACACTGGCCGGGCGCAGTGGCTCATGCCTGTAATCCCAGCACTTTGGGAGGCCAAGGCGGGTAGATCACAAGGTCAGGAGATGGAGACCATCCTGGCCAACATGGTGAAACTCTGTCTCTACTAAAAATACAAAAATTAGCCAGGTGTGGTGGCACGTGCCTGTAGTCCCAGCTACTTGGGAGGCTGAGGCAGGAGAATCACTTGAACCTGGGAGGCGGAGGTTGCAGTGAGCCAAGATCGCGCCACTGCACTCCAGCCTGGTGACAGAGCCAGACTCTGTCAAAAAAAAAAAAAAAAAAAAAAAAAAACAACAAAACACACAAATAACCACACAAGTTAGGTACTGTTTATCTCATTTGACAGATAAAGAAACTGAAGCTCAGAAACCTTGAGTGATTTGCCCAAAGTCACACAAATAGTAAAGGACAAGGTGACCTCATAATATACAGTCTTCACCATTTCTATCTCTACTCTATTGGAAGCTTAGTTTGTCCTCCAAGTTGACAGTGTTTTCACGTGTTCCATAAAGCAACAGAAGTTTGCATTTGAGGGGAAAATCTCCAAATGATCTGCTCTTAGCTACTGAGTAAATCATCAACGCAATGGCATTCTTGGGGCTGAGGGTTTTAAATGCAACAAGCAGTGGGAAGAGGTCATCAAGAGGATCCCTAATGCTCACCGACAAGAGGAAAAGGACTTCCATGGGGAGGCTGCAGGACTGCTGCAGGGATAAGGAGGGCAGCAAGGTCCGATTTAAGGAAGTGACTTTTATAGTAACAAGAAGAGAGAGTTCGTCTAATGGTTTGTATGAAAGGTAAACCCTTGGCCAGGCACAGTGGTTCGCGCCTGTAATCCCAGCACTTTGGGAGGCCGAGATGGACAGACCACCTGAGGTTGGGAGTTCAAGACCAGCCTGACCAACATGGAGAAACCCTATCTCTACTAAAAATACGAAATTAGCCAGGCGTGGTGGTGCATGCCTGTAATCCCAGCTACTCGGGAGACCGAGGCAGAAGAATCGCTTGAACCCGGGAGGCAGAGGTTGCGGTGAGGTGAGATCGTGCCAATGCACTCCAACCCGGGCAACAAAAGCGAAACTCTGTCTCAAAAAAGAAAAAAAAAGAAATGTAAACCCTCTAGAAGAAAGAAGCTAGAAGGAATAAAAGAGAGCAGTGCGTTTTAACATCATGTATATGGAATGGGAAGAACAAAGATGGTAGTAGGCTGGGTGGAAGAGAGTTAGAACTAACAAAAACCCAGAGCTAGAGAGACAAATATACGTAGGCAGGCCCATCCCATGGCTAAGTTGTAACAATGAGGAAAACTGCATTTGCCACTTTCTCTCCTTCCTTGACTCCTCTCAAGTCCCCTAATGCCTACAATCCTCAAGCTGCTTCCAGACTGGTATAAGGATAAAAGCTAAGGTGTTACAATTGTGGTTGAACAGCAAGAAATAAGATTGTCTAGGATATTCACTTTAAATGGTGCCGATTTGCATTAAGACCATTTTTAGGAACTCTAGATTTGAGAAAAAAAATCAATAAGGGAAGTGGAGAAGAGAAGTGAAAACAAAGATGCTAATCAGCTAAATGGACTGAGCATAAGAAGCAGGAAACATAAATCACATATACAGTTCCCCAGGACAAAACTGCAGGTGTCAAATCTGAATATAAAACGAAGTTAACTTTTAAGTTTTCGTTAAAAGAAAAAAAATTCTCTCTCTGGCACATCTTTTCTCTAATGGAAACTAGGTCTTCCCTGGCAGCCGCTGCTTCTCCTGTTTAGTGCCTACCTACCACATACCACAGAGTCCAGAGTGGGAGAGGGGAAAGATGATCTCCTTGTTCCTCAATGCTTCTCTTCCCTCTTCTCTCAAACATTCCGCTCACCCAAAGCACATGCCTTGGGAGATGACACCACGCTCCCCAGTATGCTGACCTATAGCCTTCCTGGTACTACTTTTCATTCATTGACAATTTTGCTGGCTAGCACACTGTCATCTTTGTTACTATTGCTCCTATCCTCTCCCTTGTTCACATCATATTTCAAGTCCATGTACACCAACATCTGATTTTTCAGTTCTTTGATCTCACTTTGCACAAGCTTTTCCTTCACCTCACCCCAGTTGCCAACTCTCCTGGTCACTGTCTAGACTATATACATCATTACTAACATCCGTTTGATCTCCAAAATGTCAACTCCAGCCATCCCATGTCTCCAGCCCTTCAGCTCACTTACTTTACTATCCACACAGCCAGCAGAAAATCGGACCTTAGTTCCACAACCACAGGAAATGAATTCTGCCAGAAACCAACGAGGTCGAGAGGGCTGGAGCTCCAGATGGAACTCTAGCCCTAGCAACACCTTGCAGTGCAACTGCAGCACATGGATTTCAGCCTTGTGAGACCCTGAGTAGAGGACCCAGCTACTCCATGCCCTGACTTCTGACCCAGAAAACTGTGAGATCCTGAGATTATGTTATTTTAAGCCACAAAGTTTATAGTAATTTTTTATGCAGCCATAGACAACTAATATACCTCCTTAGAAAAATTTTAAAATCTTGCTCAGGAACCACTCTTCTTAGAAAGTAAAGGAAGGGAAAAATGCAAATACATATAATTTAGTAATTTTGTCCCTGTAACAAAATTAATGTTAATAATAGCTAGTACTTAGTTCTAGACATTGTCCTCAGTGCTTAATATATCATTTAATCTTTACATCCACACTGAGAAGCTATTATTATCTCCATTTACAGATAAAAAAACTGAAGTTCCTACCTGAGGTCACATAGCTAAAAAGCAGTAGAGCTGGCTGGGCGCGGTGGCTCATGCCTGTAATCCCAGCACTTTGGGAGGCCAAGGCGGGCAGATTACAAGGTCAAGAGATCAGGACCATCCTGGCCAACACGGTGAAACCCCGTCTCTACTAAAAATACAAAAATTAGCTGGGCGTGGTGGCGTGCATCTGTAGTTCCAGCTACTTGGGAGGCTAAGGCAGGAGAATCGCTTGAACCCGGGAGGCAGATGTTGCAGTGAGCCAAAATTGTGCCACTGTATTCCAGCCTGGAGACAGAGCGAGACTCCGTCTTAAAAAAAAAAAAAAAAAAAAAGTAGCAGAGCTGGGATTCAACCGAGGACTCATCTTGTTTCCAAAACTCATGCTCTGAACTACTTACTATACTACAGGGTGAGTATCCCTTATCCAAAATGCTTGGGACAAGAAGTGTTTAGATTTCGGATATTTTCAGACTTTGGAGTACTCTATGTGCACTATATACTTTCCAGTTGAGCATCCCTAACCCAAAAATCTCCAGTCTAAAATGCTCCAGTGAGCATCTCCTTTGAACACACCCTTTGAAAATCATGTTGGTGCTCAAAAAGTTTTGGATTTTGGAGCATTTCAGATTTTCAGATTAGGGATGTTCAACCTGTATAATTATTCTCTATGCAAGACATTTTGGCATTTATTTCTCTGTAATGAAGTGGAGACATTTTAATTAACTTAACAGACAGCATTAGAGGTACACTTAGGAAAAGAACTGTCTTTTTTTTTTTTTTGAAATGGAGTCTCGCTCTGTTGCCCAGGCTGGAGTGCAGTGGTGCGATCTCGGCTCACTGCAACCTTGGCCTCCCGGGTTCAAGCGATTCTCCTGCCTCAGCCTCCTGAGTAGCTGGGATTACAGGCGTGTGCCACCACCTGGATAATTTTTGTATTTTTAGTAGAGACGGGGTTTCACCATGTTGGTCAGGCTGGTCTTGAACTCCTGACCTCGTGATCTGCCCGCCTCAGCCTTCCAAAATGCTGGGATTATAGGCGAGAGCCACTGTGCCTAGCCAGAAAAGAATGGTCTTTAAAAAAAGTTTGCCTTGGTAAGTGCTGAAGGTACAGGAGAGCTCTTGAGGGCTGAGTGTTCCAGTGATGGGTACTCATCCTCTCTTTAACACAGTCCATTCATGCTTTTGCCTTCTTGCTTCTTGAAACTGCGTATCAAGATCACCAGCAAGCTCCACATAGCTAAACCCACTGGTCAGCACCAGCCCTCATTTTATAGTACTCCTTAGTAGCATTCAACACAAGTGACCACTCCCTCCTTGAAACACTTCTTCTCTGTGTTCAGGACACCATGCCATCCTGGTTTTCCTCCTGTCTCACTGGGCATTCTTTCAAGTCTCTTTTGCTGGCTTTACTTCCTATTGTTGACCTCCAAAATGTTGGAATTTTAGGTCTTCTTCTATTTTTACACTCAACTTCCCAGGTAATCTCATCTGGCCCTATAGCTTTAATTATCTTCTACACTCTGGCCAATGTATATCCTCTTACCTAGCCTCTTTTCTGAGCTCTGAACTCTTGTATCTAGTTGCTTAACTGATATCTTCACTTGGATATCTAGGAGGCATCTAAAAATTAACACATCCAGAACAAAACTCTTGATAACCTTCCCCTTCCAAACATGTTCCCTTTAAGGTTTTCCCATCTTGATGTCACATTTCCCCAACTGCCCTAGCCCAAAACCTAAGTATCCTCCTTGATTCTTCTCTTTTCCTCAAACCCCATATCCAAAACATCTGCAAACCCTGACTTAAAAAACAATATCCACTCCCATTATCTCGCCAATGCAACAGGCTTCTAATTGGTCTTCATGCTTTCTTGCTTTTTTTTTTTGAGACAGGGCCTTGCTCTGTTGCCAAACCTGGAGTGCACGGATGTGATCTCGCCTCACTGCAGCCTCAACCTCCGAGGCTCAAGTGATCCTCCCACCTCAGCCTCCTGAGCAGCTGGGACTAAAGGCATGCACCACCATGCCCAGCTAATTTTTGTATTTTTTGTAAAGACAGGGTTCGCCACATTGCCTAGGCTGGTCTTGAACTCCTGAGCTCAGACAATCAGCCTGCCTCAGCTTCCGAAAGTGTTGGGTTTAAAGGCGTGAGCCATTGCACCCGGTCAGTCTTTGTGCTTTATTACTTGCTTTTCTAAAGATCATGGTCCCTTAAGAGTCATCTGAAGGAGCTTTTAAAATTTTAACTCAGATCATGTCCACAGATTCAAAACTTTCCAGAAGATTCCCATTACACTTGGAATAAAATCCATACTCCCTACTGTGGCCTCAAAGGTTCTCCACAATTTGGCTCCTACCTGTCTCCCTAACCTCTTCTCTCATTGCTCTCCTCATTCACTTCTCTCCAGGCATATTGGCCCTTTTGCTATTCCTTGAACATGTTAAGCTTGCTCTTGTTTTAGGGTCTTTGTACTTACTGTTCCATCTGCCTGGAACACTATTCTCTCAGATCTGCCCAGTGTTCCCCCTTCATGCCCTTCTGGTCTCTATTAAGTATTATTCACTCAATCAGAGAAATCTTCCCTGACCACTCTAGCTAAAATGTCCAGCTCCCCCAACTAGTTCTCATACTATGATCTACTTAATTTTTCTCCATAGTACTCATACTACCTGAAATTATATCATTTACTTTTTTTTTTTTTTAAAGTGTTTAATGGCTGCGTTTCCACACAAAAAAGTTAGGTTTCAGGAAGCAGGAGCTTCTGTCCGTCTTTAATGCTACCCCCCAGTACTTGGAACACAGAGGTACTCACTAAATGTTAGTTGAATGAATAACAGTTGTTTAAAATTTAGAATCGATTTCCCTATAGAACAATGATTAGTTTTTCTAAAGTTGAAGCTCCAAGAAGCCAAATGAATATATCATTCTTTAAACTTTAGGATTAATAATATTAGCCTGGTGCCTCACTCCTAGAAACACTGGGATCATGCCACAAAAGACAAAGGTAAAAGTGAGATTTCCTCCCCCTTTCTGAATGTACTTGGGTAAAATTTACAAATGGGAATTTTACCTATTTGGCATTTTACCTCCTTTTTGTGCCTATTCCCAGGACTCCTGTTACCATAAGCTTCCACTCACATCCCCCAAATTGCTGCCATCATTTCCAGCCCTTCTCCCTAATTCCCCGCAAATTTCCCCCTCTTCAACTGATTATCTCAATTAAGGTATTATGAAGAAATTTGAACTGTTATAATTTACAACAATGGGTGGAAAAATTGTTCAACCTTCCCAGGCATCTGTACATATTTAAAAGAGAATTAAATTAAAAGATAATTTGTATGAATTAATTAATCTCTAATTGGTAGAATTTAGGGCAACAGTACAGTGATGTGGAAAAAATACAAAGTAGACAGAAGGTAGTTTTAGAGCTGGGGAAATAACCACCAAATATTTTGCATGCTAGGCATTAATCAGTATTTGTTAAAGGAGTGATAAAGTAAAAGCAATCATGCCAAGGCAACCTCTGGATTTTCCCCTGGGTCAGCTCTCCTAAATAGTTCTTTTCTCCCCCCATGCGGCAAAAGTTGTTTTTCACAATGGCTAACTCAATGACACCAGAGAGAAGTAGCACTAAAAAAGGTAGCACTTAAGGAGCTATGACAGTTGTCAAAATCAAAATAGAGTGACTTGTGTTAAAATCCTGACAAATGGAGCCAAGGAAGGTCAAGAAGAGAGGGTTCTCACGCATGAATGCCTGATAAGAAGAACTATCACACTCCAGCTGACAAGGGATTGATAACCGAAGTATATAAGGAGTTCAAACAACTCAACAGGAAAAAATCCAATAATCAAATTAAAAATGGGCAAAAGATTGGAATAGACATTTCTCAAAAGAAAGACATATAAATGGCAAACTGGTATATGAAAATGTGCTCAACATCACTGATCATCAGAGAATTGCAAATCAAAACTACAATGAGATATCATCTCACTCCAGTTAAAATAGCTTCTATCCAAAAGACAGGCAATAATGAATGCTGGTGAGGATGGAGAAAAGTTGGATGAAATGTAAATTACTACAGCCACTATGGAGAATAGTATGGAGGTGCCTTAAAAACCTAAAAATAGAACTACTGGTTGGGCACAGTGGCTCACACCTGTAATCCTAGCACTTTGGGAGGCTGAGGGAGGAGGATTGCTTGAAGCCAAGAATTCAAGACCAACCTGGCCAACATAGTGAGACCCCATCTCTAAAAAAAAAATAATTAAAAATAAATAAATAAAAATAGAACTACCATACGATCCAGCAATCCCACTGCTACGTATATATGCACCTAAAAGAAAGAAAATCAACATAGCAAAGACATATCTGCTCTCTCATGTTTATTGCAGCACTATTCACAATAGCCAAGATTTGAAAGCAAGCTAAGTATCTACCAACAGATGAATGGATAGAGAAAATGTCCTACATGTACACAATGGAGTACTATTCAGCCATAAAAAGAACGAGAGCTTGTCAATTGCAACAACATGGATGGAACTGGAGGGCATTATGTTAAGTGAAATAAGCCAGGCACAGAAAGACAAACTTCCCATGTTCTCACCTATTTGTGGGAGCTAAAAATGAAAACAATTGACCTCGTGGAGGTAGAGTAGAATGATGGTTACTAGAGGCCTGAAAGGGTAGTAGTAGGGGTGGGAAGTGGGGATGGGTAATGGGTACAAAATATAGTTAGACAGAATGAATAAGATACAGTATTTGATAGCACAGCAGGTGATTACAGTCAACAATAGTTTATTGTACGTTTAAAAATAACTAAAAGAGTATAACTGGAACGTTTGTAACACAAAGAAATGATAAATGCTTGAGGTGATGGATACACCATTTACTCTGATGTGATTATTATGCATTGTATGCCTGTATCAAAATATCTCATGTGCCCCATAAATACATACACCTACTATGTACCCATTAAAATTTTTTTTTAAAAACAATCATAAGACTGCAAAAAACACAACCTTGCACAAAGGCCATTGCAACCTTCCACACACACGAGTACTTCTGTAAGAATGTCTGTCCAGCAACTGGCCATCCAACCTTGGACTGATGCCACCTTTGTGACTGATCCTTGTGGCCAAGGATAACTGATTCAAAATAATTTAAGTAATCCTTCTCATTCTGTCTTTAAAAACATCCCTTGCCTCAACCTTCTTGAATAGGCACATAGTTTACAATATTACACATATTCCCATTGCATTGCTACTCCAAAATAAATATTTTCTTTAGAGTCTCTTTCTGTTACTTAGATTGACAGTGGAAAAGGCAGAAAAAGGAAATAACATATTTTTATAGGTTGTATTTAATTTTAAAACAAGTTTTGGGTGTTGTCTGTTTATTTATTTTTATTTTATTTATTTATTTTTTGAGACGGAGTCTTGCTCTGCCGCCCAGGCTGGAGTGCAGTGGCGTGATCTTGGCTCACTGCAAGCTCCGCCTCCCGGGTTCACGCCATTCTCCTGCCTCAGCCTCCCGAGTAGCTGGGACTACAGGCGCCCGCCACTACGCCCGGCTAATTTTTTGTATATTTAGTAGAAATGGGGTTTCACCGTGTTAGCCAGGATGGTCTCGATCTCCTGACCTCGTGATCCACCCGCCTCGGCCTCCCAAAGTGCTGGGATTACAGGCGTGAGCCACCGCGCCGGGCATATTTATTTTTTAAAGAACAAATTTGATTCGACGCAATTTAAAATGATAACATAATAATGTATTTTGGGGGAAGAACTATTATTTAAAGCCTGTGGATTTCAATTTCTCATTATATATTACAGCTATCTATAATTATAATTCCACGCTGCCAGCTGGGAAACAAACAAAACGACAACTTCTAGGGTGGAATAAAAAGGAAGATGGAAGGCAGTTTAGGTCATCAGCGCCTACTTCTTACCAGAAATCACCTGGAGCCTCCATTAAACCATACTCCCGAACTTACCACACAGCTCTAATTAAGTCTAGAGTGGGGCATAGTTTTAGTTTCAACAGGTGCTTTATGTGACTCTGATAGCAATGGGCCTGCAGACAGTTCTAAGGTTGAGTGACGTGAACCAGGAAGCAAAAAGACCCGAATTAAAGCTATAACAGCAGAAATAACGTAAGAGGGCAGATTCCAGCCATATCTGCAAGATAGAATGAAGAGGGCTTAGTGATTTATTGGATATGAAAGATGAGGAAGAATCTAAAGGCAAATGAGATAATAGTTGTGCCATTAAAAAGAGTCTATTAAGAATTCAGAAATACCAGAGCTTTTTTAAGACGGGGGTTGAGAGGTAAGTCCTGTTACAATGATTACTTCAACACCGATTAAAGTGAATTTGAGGGTGCTTATGTGACATTTAGAAGAACTGCCCAGAAAGCATTCACAAATACAGTCTAGAATTCAAACACGACGTCCAGGACATGGAGACACGGGTTAGGAAATCACTGGTATCTTAGTGGTAGGTAAATCCTAGAGAACGAATTCTTTGAAAAAAGCCAAAAATTACTCATTTGAATTTTGCAAACTACAGTTTCGCCGGGCTTCTTAGCGACAACTGCAGCTAAGTGTCGGGGACAGAAGAGAGACTGAAGTGGCCCCGCAAGCCCCCTTTGGCAAAGCCCACTCCGAGACCATCCGGATCCCGACCTACACCAGAGCAAATGTCTAATGGTGAGAAGCCGCTTCACCACCCTACAGATCCGCGGTGCAGAGATTTCCCTGCTAAGGTCCTAACTCCTGAATGGGTACGGCGAGTACACCCGAAGAATCGAAAGGTACTTATCCCCCACTCAGTTCTAGAGGAAGCAGCGAGGTGGGCCAAGATGCGTGGTAAGGCCCAGGGACTCTTTGTCAACGAAGTCCGTTAAACTTTCCGCCCTCCCGGGGGCCTCAGCGGGCCAATTCCACTCACTTCTCGGAGGCTCCGGCCCAGCATGGTCCTCGTGCCCAGCCTGCCACCACAGGAGCCAGGCAAGGGGGAAAAAGAGGTCACCGGTCGCTAGTGATGTTACATGGGCGCAGCCATCTTTAATTGTCACTGAGCCCTTCAACACCGAGTACTTGGATTGGTTGAATTGCAGCCCGAGGAAATGATCTTTGTAGGCGATTGGTTGGCGCCGCAAAGCCATCCCGGCGGCTAAGGAGAGCGGGCAGGCAAGGAGATTCCGGGCCAGGGTCGCGGCGGCAGTCGGCAAGCGTTCGATTCTCTGGCGTTGGATCGCGAGCGGTGTCTGCTTGTCCCGCCGAGGGCTCCCAGGACAGGGCAGGGATCTAGGGGGTTTGCGCACCTGCTTTTTAATGCCCCGCCCCCCCTTTTTTTTTTAAAGTGGAGGGGGTGAAAGTGAGGGAGGAGAATGGACAGAATACTGACTGGAACGTTAATTCGAGCATTTCATATGCGAAGAGCGGAATAACAGTTCCGTATTCTTCTTTCAGTTTCTCCATTAGATTAGCTTCATTTTCGAATGCTCCGTTTTGCATGCTTAATTTTGAAACTAGCCCGTGGTTTGGCAGAATTTGACTGAATTCAGGGGTGAGAGTTTGATCCAGTCCAAGTGTATTTGAATTTGAGCACGCAGTTCAACCAGTGTTTACAATGGAATTTCTGAAGACTTGTGTACTTAGAAGAAATGCATGCACTGCGGTTTGCTTCTGGAGAAGCAAAGTTGTCCAAAAGCCTTCAGTTAGAAGGATTAGTACTACCTCTCCTAGGAGCACTGTCATGCCTGCTTGGGTGATAGATAAATATGGGAAGAATGAAGTGCTTCGATTCACTCAGAACATGATGATGCCTATCATACACTATCCAAATGAAGTCATTGTCAAAGTTCACGCTGCCAGTGTAAATCCTATAGACGTTAATATGAGAAGTAAGTTTTCAAAAGACATTGTTACCTTTTTTAAAAAAATCACTTTCATAAGGTATGCCGTTTTAAAAAATTGACTACGCTTCTTTGGTTTACATAAATGAATCATTTAGGTTTTTAACAATACCTCTGCAAATATTTCCAAAATTTTTGAAATTGCAATGGCCAGGGAATCCTTCTGGCCATTTGTATTGACAAAATATAAGCTTGATTGTTTTCATGCGTCCTTAAATATGTAAGTTCAGACTTGAGAACTGTGTCTGTAGCTAACTTTTTTTTTTTTGAGACTGAGTCTCACTCTGTCACCCAGGCTAGAGTGCGGTGGCCTGATCTCAGCTCACTGCAACCTCCGCATCCTGGGTTCAAGCAATTTCTCCTGCCTCAGCCTCCCGAGTAGCTGGGATTACAGGCGCATGCCACCACACCGGGCTAATTTTTTGTATTTTTAGTAGAGATGGGGTTTCACTATGTTGGTCAGGCTGGTCTCGAACTCCTGACCTCAGGCGATCCTCTGCCTCCGCCCCCTAAGTGCTGGGATTACAGACGAGCCATTGCGCCCTGCCTATGTTTGTAGCTAAATTTCTGTCCAGGGAACTTTGTGGTATTCTGAGATCCGTCACAGGCTTCGGAAGTATAGTTGTTTCCTAGTCAGTTTAGAATTTATGGGGTTTTTTGTTTGTTTTTGAGACAGAGTCTCACTCTATCGGCAGGCTGGAGTGCAAGGGCGCTTTCCTGGCTCACTGCAACCTCCGCCTTCCGGGTTCAAGCGATTCTCCTGCTTCAGCCTCCCAAGTAGCTGGGACTACAGACATGCGCCGCCACACCCAGCTAATTTTTGTATTTTTATAGAAACG
The DNA here is from genome assembly GCF_000001405.40 of Homo sapiens. Lineage (NCBI taxonomy): Eukaryota > Metazoa > Chordata > Mammalia > Primates > Hominidae > Homo > Homo sapiens. Next base: position 106,627,896 of record NC_000006.12, on the reverse strand, counting down.
GGAGTTTCACTGTGTTGGTGGGAGGCTGAGGCAGGAGAATCGCTTGAATCCGGAAGGCGGAGGTTGCAGTGAGCCAAGAACGCGCCCTTGCACTCCAGCCTGCCGATAGAGTGAGACTCCATCTCAAAAAAAAAAAAAAAAAAAAAAAAAAAAGCATTGAAATGACTTTACTGTGATTGTCTCATGAAGTCTACGTTTGTATTCTTTGTTTTGAAGTAGTAATTGCTACTACCAGTTGGGCATGCCGTTTTCCTTTATTCTTTTTATATTAGGCTTGAAGAGAATTCAGTTTTTTATAAGATATGTCTTTTAGTGGTAAGTTTTACTCAATGATCAGCATGTTTTTTCATCTCCTTTGATTGTAAGTTCTTTCAAGATTGATCCCATGCTTTGTCAACCTGTTTCAGTGCTTCACATACGCAGTTGTCATTCAGTCACTATTTCTATGCCTTTTTATATTTTTGTTCTGACTTAAGATAACAAACTTAAATTAGCAGTATTTTATCTATGAGTAATTTTTACATTTTGTCTTCGTTTAGGTCTGTTAGCTTTTTATTTCTTTAAATGCACATGCGTAATTCATGCCGTGTACATTTTCATTTAAACAGAATGGCTGTATCTAGACTTTTCTTGGCTGCTGTTTAATAATATAACACTGTAAAACATTTTACTTTTATATAGTATTCTTGAAACATCTTAGTTTTTTATGACTTGAATGGGTAATATTATTCGCAAGTTATCCTCTTTTTTTTTTTCTCCTACCTTTTGAGGATATTTATTGTCATTGCAGAAGATATCTGAAACAGTAGCTTGGGGAAATAAAATAATGAGTAGAAGACTGTAAACTGTAGGAAGCAGTTATTTCCCTTGGCAAGAAAGCAAGAGACATGTCTATTTTATTTGAAAGATGAAGGCTGGCTGTTTTTCTGGAGACGGCCACTACTGTTGGACGTAAAATAATAAATCATAGAAATGGCTAAAGAAATGAAGAATTTTTACATGGGGAAAAAATGCAGCCAACAGCATCATACCAACAAAGTTTGGTGTCTTTAGATGGGATTAAAGTCTTTAAACTGATGACAGATTTAGGATTTTTCAAATTGGCCCAACTCTCTGAACAAGTCAAGGTGTCAACCCCTGTCAATAGGATGGAACACTTAAGGGCCCCATTCAGTCATCCGTGTCACCAAACAGGTTCTCAATTACTAACTGCCAGCTGACTACATTCTGGGTTCAGGGGCTTGTTAGATAGTAACAGTGAGCCAAGGCTACTCAGTTGATGTATTAGCATTATCAGGGGACCAAGAAAACTAAAAACAACCTTGGGCTGCAGGCTCTGTATCTCAAAGAGGACTGAAACCTTTCTGCAGCTCTTAAACAGCAGCTAAAGTTTGACACGACTAAATGTCCACTTCTGTTGTTCAAACCACATAGAAGTTTCAGTGAATAATTGTTTAATTATCTTTAGCAGTGGAAAAGGAATGTAAGGCAGGAAAAGTGAAGCACATGACTTTTGTGAATATTACAAGTGAAGTTGTTTTTTTTTTCCCTGACAGAGTATAATCCTGACTCCCCAGATGGCAAATGTTGTAATGTTGGTATAATGGCCATCAGCTTAGATTTTCTGGGACTTTCCCACCTTTCAAACACTTTATCCCATGTGTCTTGATTTTTTATTAGTAACACAACTCATGCAAGCTACCCACCTGTCAGCATCTCTCTCGGTATCTTCTACCTTCCCTCCTGCTGTATGGATTAGCTGTCACTGCTTTCACATAAGGCCAGCCCTCGGCTTGTGTTTCTGATCCCATCCCCCTCACCTACTCTGGGATATCATTCCGGCAGGTGTCTCCTGCATCATCAGTCTTTTCTTTTCTACTGGATCATCTCCATTAGTATACAGACTTGCTGTTATTTCTCCTTTCTTAAGAAGAAGGAAAAGGCTGGGCACAGTGGCTCACACCTGTAATTCCAGCACTTTGGGAGGCCGAGGCAGGTGGATCACCTGAGATCAGGAGTTCGAGACCATCCTGATCAACATGGAGAAACCCCGTCTCTACTAAAAATTAGCCAGGCGTGGTGGCGCATGCCTGTAATCCCAGCTACTCAGGAGGCTGAGACAGCAGAATCGCTTGAACCCGGGAGGCGGAAGTTGCAGTGAGCCGAGATCACGCCATTGCACTCCAGCCTGGGCAACAGAGCAAGACTCTGTCTCAAAAAAAAAAAAAAAAAAAAGAAAAAAAAGAAAAAAGCCACTCAAAAGTCCTCTGTCCATCCCAGTTCCCACTTCGAGCTACTGCTCCATTTCTCTGCTCCCTTTGCAACAAAACTGTTTTAAAGAGAGTTCAGTCTTCTCATGTCTCCAGTCCCTTATTTCCCATTCTCTCAAAAGTGCACTACACAGCAGTTGCTCCTGGCAGGGTTACCAAAGGTCTGTTAGATCCAGGCTTGTTTGTTTGTTTTAAAGCCTCTTAGCATCTTTGGACCTTATTTGAAAACCTGTCTCCCGTCAGCAGCATTGAATGTCTTTAAACTGCCGCCTTAGTCTCCTTTGCTGCTTTCTCCTCATCCCTAAGATCTAATGGATTGCCCACAGGAGTGGGTGCGGGGCAAGGGGAGACGTACAGAGTGGGTTAGTGACTGTGGAGCATGCGTTGTGGGGCAGGGAGTGAGTGGTACATGACACTGGAGAGGTAGGCAGGGTGCCTATCATGGAAAGCCTCACATGGCAGACAGGTTCTCAAAAAAAGGTCAAGCAGAAGAGAGAATAACAGATACTTTTGGGTCTGAGAAAAGTCACGTTGTATATGGAAGCCATGTAATAAATTACTCTGGATTATTATAGAGTAGCAAATTTACTTGAACCAAAAAATTAAAAGAATGTTTTCAGTTTTATTTAGCTGATATTTATATAAGTATTCTTTTTCTTTTTCTTTTTCTTTTTCTTTTTTTTTTTTTTTTGAGACAGAGCTTTGCTTTGTCACCTGGGCTGGAGTGCAGTGGTGTGATCATGGCTCACTGCAGTCTCAAACTCCTGGGCTCAAGCAATCCTCCTGCCTCAGCCTCCTGAGTAGCTGGGATTACAGGCATGTACCACTATGCCTGGCTAATTTTTAAAATTTTTAGTAGAGATGAGCTCTAGGCTGGTTTTGAACTCCTGAACTCAAGCAATCCTCCCACCTTGGTCTCCCAAAGTCCTGGGATTACAGATGTGAGCCACCACACCTGGCCTGTAAATAGTCTTAAAAATAAAAAGATATGGGCCAGGTGTGGTGGCTCACGCCTGTAATCCCAGCACTTTGGGAGGCAAGGTGGGTGGATCGCTTGAGCCTAGGAGTTTGAGACCAGCCTGGCCAACATGATGAATCCCTGTTTCTACAAAATTAGCCAGACGTGGCGCACACCTGTAATCCCAACTACTCCAGAGGTTGAGGCATGAGAATGGCTTGAACCCAGGAAGTGGAGGTTGTAGTGAGCCAAGATCACATCACTGCATTTGGGCAACAGAGTGAGGCTTCATCTCTTAAAAAAATAAATAAAATAGGCCGGGTGCAGTGGCTTACACCTGTAATCCCAGCACTTTGGGAGGCCGAGGCGGGCGGATCACGAGGTAGGGAGATTGAGACCATCTTGGCCAACATGGTGAAATCCCATCTCTACTAAAAATACAAAAATTAGGTGGCTGTGGTGGTGTGTGCCTGTAGTCCCAGCTACTCGGGAGGCTGAGGCAGGAGAATCACTTGAACCCTGGAGGCAGAGGTTGCAATGAGCCAAGATCATGCCACTGCACTCCAGCCTCATGACAGAGCGAGACCCTGTCTCAAAAAAATAAATAAAAAGATGTGAAATAAAACAACTTGATTTTACACATCAGAACAGATGCAGCCAAGAGGCTTTTTATCACTCAGGAATTTATTCCAATTTATTTCAAAGATGTTGTTCTAGAAACATGTTTAAGGATGTGGGGATCATTACTGGTAAACTGTTGTCAGCATCAAGTACTTTATATTCTTGCCTTATTTATATATTGACTTCAAACAGCTTAAACATTTGTCTTCACCAGACCTGGCACCAAATATTCTGTTGTTTAAAAAGTTTGTGAATGAGTACGTTAATAAAGACATGAATACGTTAATAAAGACATCATCTTCAAAGAACAAAGCAAAACTGTATAAAAGATAATACTAAAAGTTCTGAAGACAGTTTCAAAATTTGAATTTCAAAAATATTTTGAACAATGGTGGCTTTAGTTTAATAAGTGATTATCACTTTCCAAGTAAATTTTTTTTAAAGAAAATCTTTTTATGCTTTCCCATGTAATGGCAAAAAATTATAAGGTTGATTACTTTTTTAAAAAACTTTTAAGTTGAGAGGTACAAGTGCAGGTTTGTTACATAGGTGAGCTTGTGTCATGGGGGTTTGTTCTACAGAGTATTTCATCTCCCAAGTATTAAGTCTCATACCCACTAGTTATTTTTCTTGATCCTCTTCCTCTTCCCACCCTCCACCCTCTGAAAAACCCCAGTGTGTGTTGTTCCCCTCTATGTGTCCATGTGTTCTCATCATTTAGCTCCCACTTTAGTTTTCTGTTCCTGTGTTAATTTGCTAAGGATAATGGCCCCCAGTTCCATCCATATCCTTGGAAAGGACATGATCTCGTTCCTTTTTATGGCTGCATAGTATTCCATGGTGTGTATGTACCACAGTTTTTTTATCCAGTCTATCATTGATGGGTAGTTAGGTTGAGTCCATGTCTTTGCTGTTGTGAATAGTGTTGCAGTGAACATACACTTATGTGTCTTTGTAATGGAATGATTTATAATCTACATCTTGAAGACCTAAAATTGTACTGGACTATAACCCTGTAGTAGTTTTAAAAGCATTTCATACTTACATTTGGAGGAAACAGATAAATTGTATTTTACAGGTGGTTATGGAGCTACAGCTTTAAATATGAAGCGTGATCCTTTACACGTGAAAATCAAAGGAGAAGAATTTCCTCTGACTCTGGGTCGGGATGTCTCTGGCGTGGTGATGGAATGTGGGCTTGATGTGAAATACTTCAAGCCTGGAGATGAGGTGAGTTAGGGAATGCCACTATTCCTGCGGGGATCCAACCCACAGACCCTGATCCAGCGACGGATGAGAGACGCACACTGACACAGATACTTTGCCTGTCAGTGCAGCTAAGGGGCTTCTGCTCCCTGAATCTGCAGCATCTGCCCCCTAAACTGACAAAGTTTGCATTTATTTAGTACAGATTAAATGACGTAGGTCTCGAGTAAACACCACTAGAGGGTAATTAACATTGCCGACCGTGCCCTGCCTCTGCAGCAGTAGAGAGCAATCATGCATCCATGAAAGATCAAAGATTGGTCTTAGGACCACTTGAGTAAACAAACTATTTAGATAAACTCCCCCACATTCCCTAGTTATTTGCTCTATTGCTATCAACTCAAGGTAAAGAGAATTAGGCTGCTTTCAGCCAAATGTTTTACTAAAGCTGTGCAACACCCCCGGCCTTCCAAGTAGGTTTGTGTCTACTTCCTATAACTATCTTTATAATTTTTCCTCTTACAATTTTTCCCACCACCCTGACTGAACTCCCACATATTCCTTTACTAAATGTGCAAATTTCATTCTGTTTCAGAAGTATATTCTATGCTGTTGAACTTTTTTCTTCTTTTCAACAAATATACTGAGCTTTGACTAGAACCATCACTTTTTTGGTTCTGTTGTTACATTTTTTCACAAACAATTCCAAAATATCTTGACTGTACCTGAGTTTGTGTTTTCTAAGTTTAGTACTTAAGAAATGCAAGACTTTAAAATATATAGAATTAGGGTATTTTTTTTTTCCTTGAAAGGGCCTTTAAATGACAATTTCTGCCTTATGGATGAGATGGCTTTAAAATAGCTTAAGTTTGGTATAATCACCTGTCACTTGTCACTTTGAACTTTTGTACCAAGAAATGATAGTTCATAATCATAGCTAACACTGTTCTGGTTGCTTTTTATAAAATAAGTCATCTAATCCCTCTGAGGTAGATAAAGTTAGGCCCAGTTTACAGATGAGGAAGCCAAGCTATAAAGAGGTCTCATAGCTAATAAGTGGTGGAGCCAGGACTCAGACCCCAGAGATTGTGGTCTTATTGGGACTCGAAGTAGTCAGTAAATGCAGCAGGATATGCTGGCATCTGCTTCCAGCGTGGTTTGACTTGATAAATCTAGAATCATACTAAGTAATAAATTTATATCATGAAAATAACACTCCTGCTTGGTGTAGTGCTGACTTCTGTGTTTTTCACAGCACAGGGTATATATTAGGGAACACTTTCTTGCTTAGCTTCGGTCAAAAAATATCTGTGTTTCTAATGAAGCTGTCTGTCTGTGTGTGTTTCAGGTCTGGGCTGCAGTTCCTCCTTGGAAACAAGGCACTCTTTCAGAGTTTGTTGTAGTCAGTGGGAATGAGGTAACTTACCAACTCTGCTGAAATGCATTAGAAAGTTTAAACAAAGACTGGCAAATATCTGAAATAACTGGTGTTTTTCAGATCTAGTTTATGTTTGATGGGGCAGTTTATAAAAAGATAATATAGAATATAGGAATTTTTGAGAGATTAAAAAAGTATTTGATGCCATTCAGTAACACTGCCTGCTAACGTAGCTGTTTTTCTCTCATAGAGCAGGGATTTGGAATGAGACCTAGAACCCTGCTGTGTTGCTTGGTTTTACCCTAGATAAATAGTTGAAAACAGATATAGGCAGTAGAGAGGATGGATTAGTCATCAGTGGAGACATGGAAATATCCAGCGGTTTTGAATAACTTTAAAAACAGGAGTCTAATCAAATACAGTCAGGAGACCAACAAATTGAATAGAGAGAAAGGGGTTAACATTGAGGAAATTGGCTACAGAAGGGAGGGCAGGAAGGGGGAAAAGGTTATTACTGAGATTAGAGAAAACCTAGAAAGATTTCCTTTCCAGAAAATGAGAGTAAAGGAAACAGCTGATCTCAAAAACTAATTAGGACGTGTTTTTGAGAGTTCAAGGTTTATTTGGATTTACTTCACGACTAATGGGAATATTGATGTGGTCTTTTTATAAACAATGAAGTAGTTATATCTGATAATGTAGCCTACATAACATTACTGAACATCTGTGAGGCAGGTAGAGCTATTCTATACAATATTTATTAGGATAATCTTGGAGTAGGGTATGCATATTGCTTACCCTACTCCAAGATATGCAACAGATAGAGCTATGCAATATTTATTAAGGATAATCTTGGAGTAAGATATGCAACAAACATGAACTGGAATGATTTTATAGATTTATCTGTGAAAATACAGTTGACCCCTGAACAATGCAGGAGTTGGTGCACCTACCCCTGTGAGGTAGAAAATGCACCTACATCTTTTGACTCCCCTAAAACTTAACTGCTAATAGCCTACTGTTGCCCAGAAGCCTTACCGATAACATAAAAAGCCAACTAAGGCTGGGTGCAGTGGCTCACACCTGTAATCCCAGCATTTTGGGAGGCCGAGGTGCGTGGATCACAAGGTCAGGAGTTCGAGACCAGCCTGGCCAATATGGTAAAACCCTGTCTCTGCTAAAAATACAAAAATTAGCCGGGCATGGTGTTGGGCGCCTGTAGTCCCAGCTACTTGGGAGGCTGAGGCAGGAGAATCGCTTAAACCTGGGAGGCGGAGGTTGCAGTGAGCAGAGGTTGCAGTGAGCTGAGATTGCATCACTGCACTCCAGCCTGGGTGACAGAGCAAGACTCCATCTCAAAAAAGTCAACTAACACATATTTTATATGTTATGTATATTATATACTGTATTCTTAGAATAAAGGAAGCTAGAATATGTTATGTATATTATATACTGTATTCTTATAATAAGGGAAGCTAGAATATGTTATGTATATTATATACTGTATCCTTACAATAAAGGAAGCTAGAAAAAATGTTATTAAGAAAATCATAGGCCAGGCGCGGTGGCTTACGCCTGTAATCCCAGCACTTTGGGAGGCCGAGGCGGGCGGATCACGAGGTCAGGAGATCGAGACCATCTTGGCTAACACGGTGAAACCCTGTCTCTACTGAAAATACAAAAAATTAGCTGGGCGCAGTGGCGGGCGCCTGTAGTCCCAGCTACTCAGGAGGCTGAGGCAGGAGAATGGTGTGAACCCGGGAGGCGGAGCTTGCAGTGAGCCGAGATCACGCCACTGCAGTCCAGCCTGGGCGACAGAGCAAGTCTCCGTCTCAAAAAAAAAAAAAAAAAAAAAAATGAAGAAAAGTATACTTACTATTCATTAAGTGGATCATCATAAAGATTTTCATCCTTGTTGTGTTCAAGTTACTAGAAAGAGGAGGAGTAGGAAGAAGAAGGGTTGGTTTTGCTGGTCTCAGAGGTGGCAGAGGCAGGAAATCCACGTATAAGTGGACTTGCACAATTCAAACCCCTGTTGTTCAAGGGTCAGCTGGATTCCTGTGAAGGTAAATGTGCTTAATTGTGTTCATAGGTTTGCAAGTCATTGCTTATTTTTGACTGTTGTCTTCAAATGTAGGTCTCTCACAAACCCAAATCACTCACTCATACTCAAGCTGCCTCTTTGCCATATGTGGCTCTCACAGCCTGGTCTGCTATAAACAAAGTTGGTGGCCTGAATGACAAGAATTGCACAGGAAAACGGTAAGTGTATCAGTCAGTGGCAGCATCTAAACCTCTTTTCTTTCCTTCTGTGAGTTCCTTGCAGTAGATTTGTCAGAGCTTTGAAATTTAGTATCATTTACACGAACAGAGCTGTACTAACATTTGAAAACAATTTCCAAAGCATTCTATTTGTGTCAGTTTGCACTTTCTTAGCTTCATTCTGTGGATTCTCAGCCCAATCACTTGGGAATTTTTTAACTGAGATGTGTGGATGGAATGGACTTTAGGAGTCAGAACCTTCTAAAATAATGCAAAATATTATATGTGATTCTCTAGGAAGAAGATCCATATCTTTTTTTTAATGAAATTCCTAAAAAGGTTAAGAATCATCCCATACAGTTTCTAAAGAATGATGTCAAGGTTAAGATGTTTTTTCCCTACCTCTCCCAGGAGTTATTCTCACACTTGCATATTTCTATAAAGGGACTGCACAACTATTGAATATTCTTAAGTTCTCTCAGTCTCAATGCCTAATATCCATTAGGTCAATTCTGATTCCCCAATGCCTTGAGCGTGTACTCATTTGGGTTAGCAGCAACATGGTGACCAGAAATGTCTCAGATGTACTTGAGTTTATATGTAGATTCTGTTGCTTTCCAGTTGGGTGACCCACTCACTCACTTTTTAATGAGTTTTGTTTTGAAGGTTAAATGAGGTAATGCACATTAAACTGGTGACACAGTTTATGGCACGTGGGAGGCACTCAGTAAATGGTGGCTACTGTTGTTAGCAAGGAGGTTGTGGTGTTCCTTGTATTTTAGAAAGTTGCCATCATAGAGAAAACTGATGATTTTGTTTTTTGTTGAGAAAACTAGATACTAAGAACCGTTTAACAATTGTAAGGAAGGAAGGAGCTGTAGGTCAAACTATAATAAATTAAAATAACCTAGTTTTTTTTATTACTAAGGATTGTGTTGGTAACATAACTGAAGTCTGTGTGATTCTGTTCTATTGTTATGAAACATTGCACTTTACATTTAATGTGTTCGGTGATAGAGCATTAAATTTTATGAAAGTTTAATAGCTGTATTTTTGAAAACTTATGAAAGCTATACATCTAGTGAGGTACTACCCTTCCTTATCTTAGAATTCAAGGTAAATATTTATTCTAAAGGTCAACCCTGTTTACTTTTTAAGCTATTGTGGCTTATCTTTCTTGAAGTTGCCATTTTGGTCAACACTTTGTTTAAATTAAATTAGTTTTGACCACATAGATTTTTCTAATGGTTTCTCTTAGTTAATAACCTTGCAAAAACCTTATTGAAGATTTTTAGACCTGTATTGTAATTGTAGACTCTGCAACAGCATTGGTTTTATTGTTTTGTTTTTTCCTTTAAAAACATTATGTTTTCTATGCCTGCATGACTATATGTGCACTATTGTTAGAGAGCTCTCATTTCTTTTACTGGTTCAGGGCTCTGTGGACTTACTTTTAATATACTGTAAAAAACAATTTAGAAGATAAGAAAAAATTTAAAAATTTAGAGACAAAGATCTGTCTCTTCTTAGAGACATTGGTGTGAGTCCTCAGTTTGTTGTTGGCTTTGTGGGTAATTCTTTGGTACTCTGTTATCTTCTGTTTAAGCAACAATGGCCTGGAACTGGGAAGTTGGAGCCCTGGGTCCTGTTCTGCCATTAACTAACCAGGTGACCACATGCTATATATTTATGGTCTCTTTGTGGTTTCCTCTGAGTTTATGAGTATAGGACAGTGTAGGTTTTGAGGAGAGCTTTGAGAAATGGAAAGTTTTAGACCTTATTAGGTGATGATATCTTGTATTGAGTTGGGTCTGTTTATTGATTTAGCCAATGTTAACCAATCTAGAGTGAAACCCATTGCAAAGAGTCTCAACAATTCACATCATGGACTTCTGCTGCATTCACATGTTGTGATCTGTAGGACACATTTGTCCTGAGTGACTCAGTGAGCACAGTGAGACCTTGCTGTCTTAGTCTGTTCAGGCTATTATCACAAAATACCATAAACTGGTAGCTTAAAAACAAGAGAAATTTATTTCTCACAGTTGTGGAGGCTGGGAAGCCTGAGATCAAGGTGACATCAGGTTTTGTGTCTGGTGAGGACCAACTTTCTGGTTCTTTAACAGTGCTTTCTCGCTTGTCCTCATATTCTGGAAGGGGTGAGGATATCTCTGGGGTCTCTCTCTCTTATAAGAGCACAAATCCCATTCATGAGGGTTCCGCTTGCATGACCTAATCACCCCACCTCCTAATACCATCACCCTGGGGGTTAGGATTTCAACATACGAATTTTGGTGGGACACAAACATTACAAACATTCAGACCATAGCACTTGGTACTTGCTGCTCTCAGAAATTTCGGTTTACTGAAATTACCACACATGGGTTATAATAATGGCCTACCTCTTTTAACTGCTTATTTGTGAGAGTCACATGAGAGATGTGAGCACCTTAAAATACTGTAAAAATACTTTTAATGAAGAAATTCTATAATGAGATTTTATTGTACCTAAACTCAGAAGTTCCAGTGTCCAAAGTGGATTTTCCATTTGACTATTCATTGTGATTGATGGAGCATATTTTGGCTTCAATATGCTAAGCAATAACTGTTCTTTTTCTGTTAGCTATTAGCTATTGGCATTAAGGCATGCCTTAGTCTGCACAAAGCACATCAGTATTTGTTATCAAAGATGAATCATCTTTTTTTTCTAATCAGTTAATTAAAAAAAAACAAAATTAACAATGACAAAAACACCTATCAGCACCTTGGAAGATTTTATAGGATTTCTTTATAACAAACAGCTTATTTGAAATTAGGACAAATCTTTCTAAGGGTTCAATGATGTTTACCTTTTTCCCCCTTTGTTCTGTAGTTACTTTTCTGCAGCAGCTGAGTATCAGTGAACCAAGGAAATAGTTTATTCTTGATGTCATATAATACTGTCATTTTGTCCACACATTGATATCATTAGAAAATGTCAAGTGAGGCCAGGCGCGGCGGCTCATGCCTGTAATCCCAGCACTTTGGGAGGCCGAGGTGGGTGGATCAAGAGGTCAGGAGATCGAGACTATCCTGGCCAACATGGTGAAACCCCGTCGCTACTAAAAATACAAAAATTAGCTGGACGTGTTGGCACACACATGTAGTTCAAGCTACTCGGGAGCCTGAGGCAGGAGGATCATTTGAACCACAGAGTTGGAGGTTGTAGTGAGCTGAGATTGCGCAACGGTACTCCAGCCTGGTGACAGAGCAAGACTCCATCTCAAAACAAAAAAAAAGAAAAAGAAAATGTCAAGTGAAAATTATTTTCTTTTTATCAGCCCATCTATAGTTTCTTCATGATTTGTTCAGTAGGAACACATAGATAACTTAGGGCTCTCAAGATAAGTAGAAATTTTTTTAAAAAGTTGTTACAACCGGATATTTTTTGAATATGTTAAGATTTGATGGTTTTATTTATTGGTAGTGTCATTGGTGCACTTGAATATTTCATGCTCTGCCTGAAATTCATGTCTTGCCGGGAAAGTTGTACTTCATTCTGTTTGACAGAAGTATTAAAAGGTGTTAGGTGTAGTGTTGCGTGCCTGTAGTCCCAGCTACTCGGGAGGCTGAGGCAGGAGGATTGCTTGAACACGGGAGGCGGAGGTTACAGTGAGCTGAGATCATGCCACTGCACTCCATCCTGGGCAACAGAGTTAGGAATTGAACTATTCCTCCTCCACAAAATAAATTTCACTTTTAAATTGTGTATACTTGCAACTCAATGAAGTGAATTTAGGAATACTTTTTTTTTGATATTAGGTTTTATGGCAGTAAAATTTTGTCATGTAAGTGTAAATTAGGTGTCTGATTAATTCTGATATAGAATTATAGAATTAGGCCCAGAGTTAAAAACATTGGGTTTATTCCCTACCGATATGCTTATATTAAAATTAAAATGACAGCCTTCTTCTTTCAAATGCATTCTAAGGCCTTTTCTTCACCCCACCACCACCTGTTTCTTCCCACTCCCCAAGCCCATTACCCTTTTGGACTTTAAGTTTTCATTTGCACCTGACTGGGTTGTATTGTTAGGGGGGTAAGGGGAAGTAGAAAGAAACCCCAGCTGTTTTCTTGCATAAACAAAGTATGGGGTTGAGGAGGCAAGGAGAGTGAGAGTGGAGGCTCTGGCTTGGTCAGTGTGATGGAAATGAATCTTCCTTTGCTTCAGGTCTATTTTCCAGGGAGTCCTGGGTGGGGGGGTGGGGGCTGTGGGCACTTGAAAGAATAGCAGAAACCTCACTCCTGGAAATTTGTGTTTTATACAATAGCTTTCTAAGTGACTAGGTTAACTATCTCGTGAGGTTACAAGTCATTTACTCTTCAATGGACTGTAATCTAGCTTCTAGCCTTGCCTTTCAATTGCATCTGCCCTCACTGGGGTCGTAGCTAACTTAAGTGACTTAAGTTGCCAAGCCCAAAGACATTTTTCAGTTCTTATTTTAATTTGATCTCTCTGAAGTAGCTGGCATTGTTGAACACTTCCTAAATACTTACTTTTCGTATGGTTTCAGGGACATTAAGACTTTTAAGTTTTCTTTTTTTGTTGTTGACCATTTCTTGTCATTTTTAGAAGCCCCCACTTCTTCCTCCAGCCCTTTAAATGTGCTGTTTTCCCAGTATTCCACTCTATTCTTCCTTTTTGTTTCCCAGGGTTATCTCATCTACTCCCAGCTTCTACTTATAGTTTGGTAACTTACAGATCTGTATTTCTAACTCTGTCCTCTTACTGAGTTCCAGTCAGATGTTCTCTTTATATCTCAAACTCAACTTGAGCAAAACAACACTTACCAACTACCACCCCAACTCTTCCTCTGTAATCCTAATGTCAGTTAATTGTGGTTTACCCTAAGTCAAAACCTGACATTGTTCATAAACCCTGCTCTTTCACCTTCCTCAGCACTACTCATTATTGTTCGTGTCATGTAAAATATAAGATTGTTGCCAAATTTGGAACAATGTCTTCCAAGTTCCTTTTATATGCCAGCTATAAGATTTGTGAACCCAAAATATCTGAGACAGGTCTCAGTCAATTTAGAAAGTTTATTTTGGCAAGGTTAAGGACACGCCTGTGACACAGCCTCCGGATGACATGCACCCAAGGTGGTCAGGGTGCAACTTGCTTTTATATATTTTTGGAAGACAATACATCCATCAATACACATAAGATTTACATTGGTCTGATCTTGAAGGGTGAGACCTCTTGAAGAGGGGTGGGCTTCCAAGTGATAGGTAGATTTAAAAATTTTCCGATTGGCAGTTGGTTGAAAGATTTATTATAAGTGAAATGGAATGTCTGGGTTAAGATAAGGGGTTGTAGAGACCTAGGTTTTGTCATGCAGATGAAGCCTCCAAGTAGCCAGCTTTAGAGAGAATAGACTGTAAATGTTTCCTATCAGATTCAAGTTCTGTGTTGATGTTAATGCTGCAGGGGTATAATGAGGCCTGCAACCTCCTCTCTCATCATGAGCAGAACTAGATTTTCAGGGAACTCTGGAATGTCCTTGGCCAAGAAGAGGAGTCCATTCAGATGGCTGGGGCCTTAGAATTTTATTTTTGGTTTACAGATTTCAAGGCATTTCACGTTTTCTTGTGTAGTGAATAAGCCTAAAATACTGTTGTATTTTAATGAACAATCCTGATTAGTTTGTTGTTAACCTCTTCCATATAGTGTTGTCTTGTAAATTCTTACATTTTTTTAATTGGAGGAATTTTCCACAGACTAGCTTCTGGCTTTGTACATTTCAAACCTTGTTTAACTTTCTTTCTCCTTCACTACTCACATGACCCTGTGCTGGGTGCAGTGATACACAGCTTTAAGAAAATGTCATGTGGCTTAGGTGAGTTGACTTAATGAGAGGTAGGAAGAAATTCCTGGAAGGCATTTCTTAAACTAGGACAGCTAGGGATAACTTAACTTTACACAGAAGTGACTACGAACCACATCAGTATTTTCCACTAAACCCCAAACAAGTATATTTCCAATCAACTTCCCTTTAGCTAGATCTAGTATCACCTGAGAAAAAAGCAAGACTGATGAGTAAGAGTGAAAAAAGACCAATCTTAACTGATTGTGGTTAGCATATCTTTTACAAATTTTACAAAAACATGTCTGTTACATATAAAGTTTCGGCGCCACAAAAGAAATAGCACTTGAATATAAAATTTTCTTTTTAATTCTCAGCAAGGCCAGTTACTTCTATATAGAAGGGTGCGCCCTTACAGATGGAACAATGGCGAGCGCATGTTTGGACAAGGGAGGGGAAGGGGTTCTTATCCCTGATGCACGTGGCCCCTGCTACTCTGTCATTCCCCTATTGGCTAGGGTTAGCCCACACAGACTAAACTAATTCTGATTGGCTAATTTAAAGAGAATGATGGGGTGAGTGCTTTGGCGGGAGTCAGGGCAGAGCAGGTAGCAGGTAATCGGAATGAGTTATGGTGGAGCAGGTGATGGAATGAGTTAGGGTAGAGCAGGTGATTGGAATGAGTCAGGGTGGAGCAGGTAATTGTAAAAGGTTGCTTTATGAGGAAGTTTAAAAGTAGAAGGCAAAGAATTGAACATACTGACATATTAATTATTTGAAAAGAAATTTAGAACTCGTATCTAACATGTCTATGCAAAATATTGCTAGGGTTCCTCTCTGGGCCTTGTGTAAGTGAAGGGCTTCGGCTTCATTGGCTCCATGGTAAATCCTCTGACCTCACTACTTCTCTCTGTCTTATGCCCTATTGTCACCCATCACAAGCTTTTTTTTTTTTTTTTTTTTTTTTTTTTGACGGAGTCTTGCTCTGTCGCCCAGGTTGGTGTGCAGTGGTGTAATCTCGGTTCACTGCAACCTCCACCTCCCAGGTTCAAACGATTCTCCTGCATCAGCCTCCCGAGTAGCTGGGATTATAGGTGCCCGCCACCATGCCTGGCTAATTTTTATATTTTTAGTAGAGATGGGGTTTCACCATGTTGGCCAGGCTGGTCTCGAACACCTGACCTCAGGTGATCCACCTGCCTTGGCCTCCCAAAGTCCTGGGATTACAGGCGTGAGCCACCATGCCCTGCCCATCACAAGCATTTTTCCCTCTATCTGCTTCTGTATAAGATTGAAGGAACCAGTGATTTGGGATGGTTCCCACTGCCTATCCCATTTGGGGGGATACATTCCCAGTACCCCTGGTTGAAATTCTGAATACACTTCGGATAACAAAGCCATTGTTATCCTGTGTATAAAGTTCTTCGTCGATTATGGGTTAACTAAGTCTTCATAAATGGCTTACCCTGGCCACCTTACCAAGATATATAAATAGCTTTGTTTTCTTGGGAAAATGTGTTTAACTTTCTAAACATTTAATTCACACACAAACTCTTCTGTAAATTGGGGGATGTCAACATGCATTACAGAGGCTTAGAAGAAGAGGACACATAAATCTAGGCTATCTTGGTCTCCTTTGATTGATTTGTTTTGTAGCTATATTTTTCCACTTATTCAGATTAAGTTTCTCACTCACTTTAAGACAATAAACCTGGCGTATTATGCTAAGACACTTTGCTATCTTTTATCTGTTTTCCCCGTGATTTAAAAGTCATGTGTGTTTCAGAACCTCCACAAGGCTGAGAAAAAAAGTAGTTTGTGGAGGTGAAAGATGAGATACATTTTCAGCATAATCCTTATTTCTTAAAACCATTTGTTTCTACTGATGGTCGATTTCACCATATTTAAATCATCTTTGTTCATAAGTCATTAGGATTTAATAGATGACACTCTAATCTTATAATGTGGCTTTTTTCACTATAAATCTGGGGCAATTTTGAAGGCCATATATGTCTGTTTCAAAGGTGGAGAAACAAAATATAAGCTTAAATTAGATGGAAAGCACCTGTTCTTTTTCATTGACTCCCAGAGTACACTTCTGTCATCATCATTTTGTAGGTGACAGATCTGAGGGCCAGGGATTCCATTAGAGAGAGAGTTGAAACCTGAACCCGTGACTCTAGATACCCAGCCCTGGCATTCAGAGATTTTTGGGATCAAGTCAGAATATAGAAACTTGAAGATGATTTTCTACTTCTGGATGTCTTGCTGTTTTGTAGCATGTTTCGTGTTTTTGTTTTTTTTTTTGTAAGGCAGCTAAGGGGGTTGGCGCCCTACCTCATAAGATTACAATACTGAAAACTGTGATTGTAGAGGGCTTAGGTGCCCAAATGCCAAATAAAAAGTGACTCAGTCATGGAAAAGAAGCCAACATTGCTTCAGTGCCTTAATGTATGTTTAGGGAGAATTCAGAGATTAGGCAAAAAGGACAGAGCAAGTTAGATTTTAGGGTTTAAGAATGCCTAAGTAATGTAATACTGATTCATATTTTCTCCATATTTAAAAAATATCTGTCACTAGTACAATCCCTTCTGACTTCCAAAGAAGCTCTATATGTGTACTTAAGAAGTAATAGAGGCATGCAATTAAAAACCTTGGCGATTTTGAATAACAGTGCTTTTTTCAAGTAGAGTATTTCTGTACACACTTTATATAAACCAACAAATACAGCACACGTTTCTTCACTATCACAAATAGGCTTCTACTTCAGTGAGATTCGAATATATAGTGTGGCCATTACAGCAAGCTAGGTAAAAAGTATTCCCACTGTGTAGGACTTAAGTGAAGGGCCATTGGGAGGTCAGCAACAGCAGTTGCTTCCCTTTGCATTGAACGTGCTGTGAAGAATACAACAAGAATAATTAGTTGAGCCACAAGACTTCAGACTTTAGAAGACCGACCGGCTTATTGTTGGCTTGAAAATTTATTTTGCCGCCGGGTGCGGTGGCTCACACCTGTAATCCCAGCACTTTGGGAGGCTGAGGTGGGCGGATTGCCTGAGGTCAGGAGTTCGAGACCAGCCTGGCCAACATGGTGAAACCCCATCTCTACTAAATATACAAAAAAATTAGCCAGGTGTGGTGGTGGGCGCCTGTAGTCCCAGCTACTCAGGAGGCTGAGTCAGGAGAATCCCTTGAACACGGGAGGCGGAGGTTGCAGTGAGCTGAGATAGCACCATTGCACTCCAGCCTGGGCGACGGAGTGAGACTCCGTCTCAAAAAAAAAAAATTTATTTTGCCTACTCTCTTTTTGGGGACTTTGAAGAAAGATATGGTTGAAACCTGCACAAAATGTGGAGTTTACAGGACCAGAAAACGATGTGTCCTCAGGGCTCCTTTACAAGCTAACAGCGCTTCATTCATTGGACCTGCTCCTTGCTGCTTTTGCACTTGGGGTCGCCATCAGGTGGCAACACAAAGAATTGAAGCTGCTATTGCAGAACCACTCTTGCTAAGCCCTGCTGTGAAACACAGTTTTGCTTTTTTATTTGAGGGAATGAAGTTGCTTTGGATCAAGAGTTATAGGGAAGAGATGAACTGACAATAATGAGGTCGGAGATGTATTTGGCAGTTGGATCCTGAAGTAGCCATTATATTTAGTATCCAGCATTCACAGAGAGAGAATTAGAAATTATTTTCAAGCTTTTCTTTACTGGAAGAAACTTGAATGCAGTCTTTCAAGTAGCCAGGCGATCCCCTCACTTGAGGTAGTAGCAGTTGTTGCCTTGATTGTAGGACATAATGGTGATTGGATGATTTCTTTTTTTAGAGACAAGGTCTCACTCTGTCACCCAGGCTAGAGTACAGTGGCACAATCATTGCTCACTGCAGCCTCAAACTCCTGGGCTCAAGCCATCCTTCCACCTCAGCACCACCATACCTAGATAATTTATTTTTTATTTTTCGTAGAGATGTGATCTCATGATGTTGCCCAGGCTGATCTTCAACTCCTGGGCTCAAGCAATCCTCCCGCCTCAGCCTCCCAAAGTGCCGGATTACAGGCGTAAGCCACCATGTCTGGCCATGGATGATTTTGAAAGTCAAGAAACTTTGATCAGGCATCTGCTACATCCAGGGCACTGTGGCCAATGCAGGGCATAATATGAAGTCTCTGACCTTAAGAGCTTGCAGAATAAGTTGGGAAGTAGGATGTGTGGCATAGATAACAGGTTCCAGGCTATGTTAAGGGTATTGTAGAGGAAAACTGGGACTTGGTCCTTCAAGGGAAAGGAGACCTCAGCAGGTAATTATAGCATTCTAGAGCCTGGAGGAATGGACCAGTGTGTGTGCAATGTAGGGGGAAGAATTAGGGGAACAGAGTCTCAGAGGAAGAGTTCCATTCAGGAAATAGTGAGAGGAAAAGTTGGAGAGTGCAGGTAATATATTGTGAGGAACTTAAATGAGAATTTGACTAGCAACACTTCTATAAGAATGGACAAAAGTAAGAGGGTGAAATATTTCATGGGGGAATTAATTTTTGAATGTATTTTTGAAGCACTTTTCATACTTTTTTCCCTCATTTAGGAAGACTAAAGCTATGTTTGAATTGTCAGGGCAAAAGGTACTTTACCTCTGCCCTCTGAAGGTTCTATAACTGAGTCTGCTGAAATCAACTGATAATAGATTAATAGGAGAAAAGTTATACACATTATTTATTTCCTTTTAATGTTAGTTGATATGTAATGTACACATTTATGGGGCATAGTGTGATATTTCAATACATGGATACCATGTGTAATGATCAAATCAGAACAATCAGCATATCCTTCAAGTCAAACATTGATTATTTCTTTGTGTTGGGAACATTAAAAATCCTCTCTTTTAGTTTTTTGAAAGTATACAATAAATTATTATTAACTATATTCACCTTGTAGTGCTATAGAGTACTAGAACTTATTCTTCCTATCTAGCTGTAATTTTGTATTTGTTAACCAACCTCACCCTGTTCTTCCCTCCCTGCTACCCTTCCTGGCGACTGATAAACCACAGTTCTACTCACTGCTTCTGTGACTTCAACCTTGTCTAGCTCCCCCTTGAGTGAAAACGTGGTATTTATCTTCTTGTGCCTGACTTATTTCACTTAACATAATGTCCTCCAGGCTCATCCCTGTTGCCACAAATGACAGAATATCATTCTTTCTTTTTTATGGCTGAATAGTATTACCTTGTGTATACATACCACATTTTCTTTACCTGTTTATCTGTTAATGGACATTTAAGTTGATTCCATATCTTGGCTATTGCAAATAGTGTTGTATTAAACATGGGAGTGCAGATATCTCTTTGATATGACTGATTCTCCTTCCTCTGGATAAATACTCAGTAGTAGGATTGCTGGATCTTACGATAGTTTTACTTTTAGGGAAAACTTCATACCGTTTTCCATATTGGCTATACTAACTTATATTCCCACCAAAGGTGTATAAGAGTCCCCTTTTCTCTGCATCTTTTCCAATATTTATTTTTTTTTGTCTTTTTTCTATATGGAACACTTCACAAATTTGCATGTCATTCTTGCTCAGGGACCATGCTAATCTTTGTGTCATTCCAATTTTAGTATATGTGCTGCCTAAGTAAGCCCTGTTTTTTGTCTTTTTGGTAATAACCATTCTAACTAGGGTGAGAGATCTCATTGTGGTTTGAATTTGCATTTCCCTGATTATTAGTGATGTACAGCATATTTTGCCTATGCTTGATCATTTTTCTCTTTTTGAGAAATGTCTGTTCAGATCCTTTGCACGTTTTTAATTGGATTACTAGTTTTTTTGTTGTTGTTGAGTTTTTTGAGTTCCTTATATATTCTGGGTAGTAGTCCCTTGTTGGTTGTAGAGTTTGAATATACTTTCTCCCATTCTACAGGTTGTCTCTTCATTGGTTGTTTCATTTGCTGTACAGAGTTTTTTAGTTTGATATAGTCCTATTTATTAATGTTTTTGCTGCCTGTGCTTTTGAAGTCTTACCTATATCATTTTTGCCCGTATTCCCATATGCTTTCTTCTAATAGTTTTTTTTTGGGTCTTATGTTTAAGTCTTTAATTCATTTTGAGTTGGTTTTTATATATGGTGAGAGATGGGCATCTAGTTTCCATTTTTCTGCATATGGATATCCAATTTTCCCAGCACCATTTATTGAAGAAATTATCCTCTCACCAACATCAATTCTTGTTGCCTTTGTCATAAATCAGTTGGCTATAAATAGGTTGATTTATTTCTGGGTTCTTTATTCTGTTCCATTGGTCTATGTATCTGTTTTTATACCAGTACCATGTTGTTTTGGTTACTGTAGCTTTGTGGTATAGTTTGAAGTCAGGTAGGGTGATGCCTCCTGCTGTTTTATTTTTGTGCATATTGTTTTGGTTATTCAAGGTCTTTTGTGGTTCCATGCAAATTTTAGGATTTAAAAAATTTCTGTGAAGAATGTCATTGATATTTTGATAAGGCTTGAATTAAGTCTGTAGATTGCTTTGGGTGGTTTGTTCATTTTAACAACATTTATTTTTCCAATCCATGAGCATAGGATGTCCATTTTTTTGTGTTCTTTTCTATTTATTTATTTAATTTATATGTATGTTTTTGAGATAGGCTGGTCTTGAACTCCTGAGCTCAAGCGATCCTCCCCCACTTGGCATCCCAAAGTGCTGGGATTAGAGGTGTGAGCCACCGTGCCTAGCCCTCTTTGATTTCTTTTATCAGTGTTTCTAGTTTTCATTATATAAATCTTTCACCTCCTTGGTTAAATTTATTCCTAAGTGGTTTTTTTGTAGCTATTGTAAATGAAATTGATTTCTTTTTCAGCTAGTTCATTGTTGGTATATAGAAATGCCACTGATTTTTAAATTTTTATTTATATTTGTTTATTTAAAAAAATTTCTTTTTGGAGACAGAGTGTTGCTCTGTAACCCAGGCTGGAGGGCAGTGGCACGATCTTAGCTCACTGCAACCTCCGCCTTCCTGGGCTCAAGTGATCCTTCCACCTCAGCCTCCCAAATAGCTAGGACTACAAGCGTGTGCCACTGTGCCCAGCTAATTTTTGTATTTAGTAGAGATAGGTTTTGCTGTGTTGGCCAGGCTGGTCTTGAACTCCTGGACTCAAGCGATCTGCCTGCCTCAGCCTCCTGAAGTGTTGGGATTACAGGCGTGAGCCACTGCTCCTGGCTGCTACGGATTTTTGTATGTTGATTTTGTGCTACTTTAATGAGTTTGTTTATCAATTCTAAGAGGTTTTTGGTGGTCTTTTGTTTTTTCTATATGTAAGATCATGTCATCTGCAAAGAGGGACAATTTGACATCCTCTTTTCCAATTTGGATGCCTTTTATTTCTTTCTCTTGCTTAATTGCTCTGGCTAGTACTTCCAGTACTTTTTCCTGTAGATGTATCTATTGTGTTGTTTGAGTAGAGTGCTTTGGCTTTGTTCCTGGGTGAGCGCAGTAGTGTAGTCTCTGTATGATTTCTTTTTTTTTTTTTTTTTTTTTTTTTTTTGGGACAGAGTCTTGCTCTGTCGCCCAGGCTGGAGTGCAGTGGCGCGATCTCAGCTCACTGCAACCTCTGCCTCCCGGGTTCATGCTATTCTCCTGCCTCAGCCTCCCGAGTAGCTGGGACTACAGGCACCTGCCACCATGCCTGGCTAATTTTTTTGTATTTTTTTTAGTAGAGACAGGATTTCACCATGTTAGCCAGGATGGTCTCGATCTCCTGACCTCGTGATCTGCCCACCTCGGCCTCCCAAAGTGCTGGGATTACAGGCATGAGCCACTGCACCCAGCATCTTTGTATGATTTCTTTGGCTGTAATCACTATCAATCGTGTCAGTAATTCCTCAGTGGCTTACGCTGTAGTTTGTGGAGGCTGTTAGGCACTTTTTTTTTTTTTTTGAGACAGGGTCTCGCTCTGTTGCCAGGCTGGAGTGCAGTGGTGCCATCTCAGCTCACTGCAACCTCCACCTCTTGGGTTCAAACGATTCTCATGCCTCAGCCTCCTGGGACTACAGGAGTGTGCCACCGTGCCCAGCTAATTTTTGTATTTTTAATAGAGACGGGGTTTCACTATGTTGGCCAGGATGTTCTCGATCTCTTGCCCTCATGATCTGCCTGCCTCGGCTTCCCAATGTGCTGGGATTACAGGCATGAGCTACCGCGCTTGGCCTGTTGGGCACTTTTGTTGGACATAGGGGTGCCAGGCAGTCTGGTTCTCAGGTCACTAGGTGACACATACAGCTACATGGCATTCCTGCTGCTGGTGTGGATGGCAGGCTTTGGGTGGACTAGTCCTCAGCACTGTGGTCATTGTGCATGAGGGCCAGCAGTGGTAGTTGTGGGCCCCAGGTGAACTGGTCCTCTAGTCTCTGCACTGCATGCATGGCAGTGTGGCAGCTCTACTACTGGAGGGGTGGGGTCACTGTCAGTGTTGGTGGCAGCAGACCTGGGCAGGTAATAAGGTGCAGGTGCATGGAAGTCACACAAGGTACAAACCTCAAAGAAGGGCCAAATGGGTGATGCCTACATACCCTCTTCATAGGGTGGAGGGAAGGGGAGTATGTAGGCAATTTTAGAGGAAGAGCAAATTATTTTGAGGGGAGATGAATGGGCCCAAAGAACAGACAGTAGCCTAGGACAAAATTCATCTGGGCTGTGTGTGTGGCACCTACTCTAGTCTTCTTTCATGTGAGTTAATCTTCTGTGTTTGGTGAGATTATAGGGAGGGGGCCCAAGAAAATAGCATTCCTTCTGAGGGAACTTCAGAGAAATCGTCCCTTTGCACTTCAGGAGAGACAAAGGGAAGGGATGAGAGACCGTGGCCGGGATGGTGAGAGAAGGTCAGAGAGACCTTCGTTCTGAGGCTGCTTCTTTACTTCAAAGTACTCAGCATGTCAAAGTGACATACTCTGGGGTATTGTTTTCTGAACCCTAACAGGATCTTTAAAATTTCTTCTAGTCTTTATAATTTTGGAAATTATAAATCCTTCTAGAAGGAACACAATTTGGAAGGAGACTTGGCTTAATTACATTTAATGGTTTTAATTTCAAAGGGAACAACTGGCTCAAAAATTTTAGTAGTAACTGTTAAGCTATAAATAAGGGTGACAAACAGCCTTCTATGATTTGGGCAAGATAGAAAAAAATGAAATGAAACTAGGGTGAAGGTTATAGATAGAATGCGTGTTCCAAGATTTGGTGTACTTACTAGAGATAGGTGGCAAAATTCCCTGCACTTTCCAGCAGCCAAGGCAGTAGGGACCCACACTAGCAGTTACTCAATTTACGGTGATGTTAAATAGGACAGATACTGCCACCACTTAGTGTTCAGAAAAGTGTTTTTTTTGTAGGCCGTCATAAAGAGAATTCTCATGAATTCTGTCAACAATATCCCCTTAGCTAATACAGTATCAGATATCAAACAATCACTTTTTATAATGTCCCTCAGCCTCAATCAGTAGCATGACACCAAAGTACAGTACAAACAATTTTCTGGGACTTGAAACCATCCAGTCCAAGTAGGCAGTTCTCTGAAGCTCTACCTTAATTTAAGAATAAAATGTAAGAGCATGGAAAGCAGTTTTTTGACTGGTGATTCTCTTTTGGATTGCACACTTCTTTGGGAAATAGATGATAGGTCTAGATTCCTTTCCTTGTCAATAAGCATATGCATCATCGCACAAATTTTACATGTTATTTTAGGAAATTCACAATTTCAGAGAGTTCATAATCCCTTACCCTACCCCTCACCCCTTCACCCTTGTCCCGCCCCACCCTCCTGCCCTGACTGATCCAGGCTCAGCACCCTGGTCTTCAAGGCTATTGTGAGTTAACATGGTAAGAACATGCAGTATGAGGATGGTTGTGCTGGTTTGACAGATTCCTCTGCTTTAACAGGAAGCCACATCGAGGATGGGAATTGATTTTCATTTATGAAAGTTGATGAACTTGACATCTCTGAACAAAAGATGTTTATTTCGCTTTGGTGAGAATGTAGTCAGGAATGTGATTTTTCTTAGAGAACAGCTAAGCATAACAAATTAAAAAGGGCCCCAAATCTCCCTCTCATAGAGGAAGCTCTAACAATTTTAGCCTAGAAAAATTATAAGGCAGATATTACAAAGGACCATCTGAGCTATCTTAAACCAACAAATTATTGGTATTTTCGGTATTTGATATTCTTGGTACAGAGCTCATAGAATGTCTTTATTTTAAGCAACTGCAGTTTCTTGGTGAACCTAAAATAAAA
The DNA here is from genome assembly GCF_000001405.40 of Homo sapiens. Classification (NCBI taxonomy): domain Eukaryota; kingdom Metazoa; phylum Chordata; class Mammalia; order Primates; family Hominidae; genus Homo; species Homo sapiens. The sequence continues at coordinate 106,603,074 of NC_000006.12, read as the reverse complement.
ATCCTTGTGTAATATATCTTGGGAAGCTGAATAACTTTATTTTCTTTTAGAATTATTTATCATCTTATCATCAACCAGTTATTTGTTGAAAACGTTTATCCAGTTATATCTGCTTTAGATTCTCGTTAATTGTGGTTTCCTTTGCATTTCAGTGTTCTAATCTTAGGCGCTTCAGGCGGAGTTGGTACTTTTGCTATACAGGTAAAACCATTTTTTAATCTTGTGAATAGGAGGATTTTGTTTGCATGAATTTATAAATTAAGATACATTATTTCTCCTTAAAAGCTGAGAGAAAGGTAGGTCTGGTAAATGTACTGTAATTTCAGCTTGTTCTGTAAGAGGAAAATATTCTTTTTTTATTAGAAAAAATTATTTTTTAGAGATGGAGTCTTGCTGTGTCACCCAGGCTGGAGTGCAGTGGCACAATCATAGCTCACTGTAAGGAAAATATTCTAATGTAGAAGGAAGCATTAAGCTTTCTAGTAGTTTAATATGAGTGGGTGTGTGGATGTCCTTGATAACAGACGTAGGAAAGCTTTTAAGAAGGAAGACCATGGGCAGTGCAGGTAGATGGAAGTTAGCAATTTAATAGGAAACAGCCAATGTCAAAAACCAATACTAGTTTCCAAGCAGAATTTTTGCAGGCTAAAAAGCCTGCAAAATGTAGAAATTGGTAAGCTGATTCTAAAATTTATATAGAAATACAGTAGCCAAAATACCGTTAAGATGGCAATACTCCCCTGAAGTGATTTATAGATTCAGTACAATCCCTATCAAAATGCAACTGCTTTTTTTTTGCTTTTCATAAATGGACAAGTTGACCCCAAAATGCATGTGGAATCACAGGGGACCCCAAATAGCCAAACAATCTTAAAAAAGAATAAAGTTGGAGGACTCACACTTGCTGATTTCAAACTTACTACAGAGCTACAGTAATCAAAACATAAGGGTGAACTTATAGATCAATGGAATAGAATTGAGCATCCAGAAATAAACCCATACCTCTGTGGTCAATTGATCCTGACAAGAATGGCAAGACCATTAAATGGAGAAAATAATAGTTCCTTCAACAAATACTGCTGGAACAACTAGATATCCACATGCAAAAGAATGAAGTTGAGCCCCTACCTCACATCATATTAAAAAAAGAAAAACAACCCTCAAGGTCAGGCATGGTGGTTCACACCTATTATCCCTACACTTTGGGAGGCAAAGGTGGGTGGATCACTTGAGGTCGGGAGTTCAAGAACAGCCTGGCCAACATGGTGAAACCCTGTCTCTACTAAAAATACAAAAATTAGTTGGACATGGTGGCATGTGTCTGTAATTCCAGTTACTCAGGAGGCTGAGGCAGGAGAATTGCTTGAACCTGGAAGGCGGAGGTTTCAGTAAGCCTAGATCACGCCACTGCACTCCAGCCTGGGTGATGAGTGCAACTCTGTCTCAAAAAACAAAAACAAAAACAAAAAACTCAAAATGGATCAAAGATCTAAACATAAGAGCTAAAACTGTAAAACTCTTAGAAGAGTAGGCAGGGAAAGGGAAAAAAAGAGTCTTGGAAGGAAACATAAGACAAAATCTTCATGATTGTAGATTTGGCAACAGATTTTTAGATATGACACCCAAAGCACAAGCAACCAAAGAAAAAAATTCATCAAAATTAAAAAAACTTTTGTATGTCAAAGGGCACTATCAAGAAAATGAAAAGACAACCCACAGAATGGAAGAAAATATTTCCATATCATTTTCTGGTAAGAGTCTAGTATCCAGAATATATAAAGAACTCTTATAACTCAACAACAAAAAGACAGCACAGTATTTAATTAGCAAAGAACTTGAATTGACATTTCTCCGAAGAATATATACAAGTGGCCAGTAAGTCCATGTAAGGATGGTCAATATCTTTATTTATTAGAGAAATGCAAATCCAAACCACAGTGAGATACTGTGTCTTACAATAAAAAGCAAACACAGAAAATAAAAAATGTTAGCAAAGATGTAAATAAATTAGAACACTCATACATTGCTGGTGGGAAGTTAAAATGGTGCAGACATTGTGGGAGAGTTTCTTGGGTCCTCAAAATGTTAAACATAGAATTACCATATGACCCAGCAATTCCATTCTTAGGTATATACCCAAGAGAAATGAAAACATATATTTAAGCCTAATCTTATTCATGAATATTCATAGCAGTATTATTCATAATAGTGAAAAAAAGTGGAAATAACTATCAGTTGATGAATGGATAAACAAAATGTGGTATAGACATATAATGGAATATTATATATCTATATTATATATCAGCCATAAAAAGGAATAAAATATTGATGATGATACAGCATGGATGAATCTTCAAAACATGCTAAGTGAGAAAAATCCAGAAACAAAAGGTCCTACATATTGTATGATTCCATTTATATCGTATGTTTAGAATAGGCAAATCCACAGAGACAGAAAGCAGATTAGTGGTTGTCAGGGGCTGGGGGTAGATGGAGAAGGGAGTGGGGAATGACTACGTAATGAGTGTGAGGCTTATTCTTGGGGCACTTAAAATATTCTGGAATTAGTGGTGATGGTTGCACAACATTGTGAGTGTACTAGAGACTACTGTATACTTTAAATACTTTAAAATTGTGAAAATGGTGATATATATGAATTTTACCTCAAATAAAACAAAACAAACCAAAAGTTCCCCAAGCCTCCAGAAACATGATGGGGCCCAGTGACTGCTCCTGTTGTGGTCAGATGTGTAACTGACTGGCTCCTAGAAGAGGGAGCTTGATTAAGACTCTCTCAGGATGAGGGGAGAGATTCTTTTCCCCAGTAGGGGCCAGCGAGTAGCCTCAGAGGCTCTGCCACATTACTTTCCAGGAGGGAGGTTTGGGTGTTATAGACCACCCCAGACCCAGCTTAGACTTTTTGAGAACCCAGATGGTGCTGGAGGCTTCCTGTCTGTCTGCTGACTGAACTAGGTGAAGGAGGCGAGGATTCCTGGGATGCACACTTTAACTTCTTTTAACTCATCATTTGATAATCAGAATCCAATCCAGAGGCTCAGTAAATATGAGTTGAATACATAAATAAATAGAAGAAAGGAAAAGAGGGAGAGAGGCAAAAAGAAAAGAGAAATATCATACACAGTTGGTTAGAGTATAAATTGATACAGCCACTTAAGAAAACCATTTGGCATCTACTAAATGTCAATATAAATTGTAAAATTTCTAAAAAAAAAAAAAAGGACAGCACAAGAATTCCTATTTTAGGATTATAACCTATAGATAGATATACAAGTATGTTTACCAAAAGATATGTACCAGAATTTCAGAGCAGGGCTATTCCTGTTAAAATTCCCCAACTAGAAAAACCCAAATGTCCATCAACAGTAAAATGAGTAAGTAAATTGTGGTATATTCTTACATTGGAATATTATGCAGTCATGAAAAAACTATAATTGCACACAGTGAAGTGGATGAATACCACAACCGAGTGTTGAGTAAAAGAAATCAGATGCAAAAGTACATCCTATATCGTTCCATTTAATGACATTCAAGAACAAGTGAAACTAAGCAGTGGTGTTTAAGGGTGGTGTCTACTTAGTAAAACTTCTTAAAAAAAAAAAAAAGCAAAAAGGGTTACACTAAAGGTCCAGTTAGTAGTTACTTTTTAAGGGAGTTGAGGAGGTTTTAATTGGGAGGCTTAGGGACACAGGTGGTATTCTAATTCTTAATTTTGAATAGTGGTTATAATAATATTTGCTTTGTAATAATTTGTTAAGCTGTATATTTATATTCTGTATGCTTTTATTTGTATTATATTTTACAACAAAAAATTTTAATAAAATTAAAAAGTAATAGAAAAGCATCAAGGTTAAATCCCATACAAAGCTATTATAAGGAAAGGGAAAATAAGGTATAGAATAACATGCCCTATAATAAAAGCACATCAGAATACATGCCTACAGAACAGCCTGAAATGTCACCTACTATTTCAAAGCAAGTTAAAAGACATTAAAAATATAATACAAGATGTGAAAAAAACAAAATAAATCAGAATAGGAAAAAATCAGGAAAAAAGTAAAACTAAATGAAAAAATCATTTAGTAATAGAAGACTAAACTAAGAGGAACTCAATAGCAAGTAAACACAACACATAATGCTCCTTAATAGAAACAAAATGCATGGATCCCTTCCTTACACCTTATACAAAAATCAATTCAAGATGGATTAAAGATTTAAACGTTAGACCTAAAACCATAAAAACCCTAGAAGAAAACCTAGGCATTACCATTCAGGACATAGGCATGGGCAAGGACTTCATGTCCAAAACACCAAAAGCAATGGCAACAAAAGACAAAATTGACAAATGGGATCTAATTAAACTAAAGAGCTTCTGCACAGCAAAAGAAACTACCATCAGAGTGAACAGGCAGCCTACAACGTGGGAGAAAATTTTCGCAACCTACTCATCTGACAAAGGGCTAATATCCAGAATCTACAATGAACTCAAACAAATTTACAAGGAAAAAACAAACAACCCCATCAAAAAGTGGGCGAAGGACATGAACAGACACTTCTCAAAAGAAGACATTTATGCAGCCAAAAAACACATGAAAAAATGCTCATCATCACTGGCCATCAGAGAAATGCAAATCAAAACCACTATGAGATATCATCTCACACCAGTTAGAATGGCAATCATTAAAAAGTCAGGAAACAACAGGTGCTGGAGAAGATGTGGAGAAATAGGAACACTTTTACACTGTTGGTGGGACTGTAAACTAGTTCAACCATCGTGGAAGTCAGTGTGGCGATTCCTCAGGGATCTAGAGCTAGAAATACCATTTGACCCAGCCATCCCATTACTGGGTATATACCCAAATGACTATAAATCATGCTACTATAAAGACACATGCACACGTATGTTTATTGCGGCATTATTCACAATAGCAAAGACTTGGAACCAACCCAAATGTCCAACAATGATAGACTGGATTAAGAAAATTTGGCACATATACACCATGGAATACTATGCAGCCATAAAAAATGATGAGTTCATGCCCTTTGTAGGGACATGGATGAAATTGGAAATCATCATTCTCAGTAAACTATCGCAAGAACAGAAAACCAAACACCGCATATTCTCACTCATAGGTGGGAATTGAACAATGAGATCACATGGACACAGGAAGGGGAATATCACACTCTGGGGACTGTGGTGGGGTGCGGGGAGCGGGGAGGGATAGCGTTGGGAGATATACCTAATGCTAGATGACGAGTTAGTGGGTGCAGCGCACCAGAATGGCACATGTATACATATGTAACTAACCTGCACAATGTGCACATGTACCCTAAAACTTAAAGTATAATTAAAAAAAAAAAAAAAGAAACAAAATGCAGAAAAAAATTCAAATTACAAAAGAAACAAAAAGATAGGCTGGGCACAGTGGCTCACCCTGTAATCCCAGCACTTTGCTAGGCTGAGGAGGGCAGATTGCTTGAGCTCAGCGATTCAGGACCAGCCTGGGCAACATGGCAAAACCTCGTCTCTACAAAAAATACAAAAATTAGCTGGGCATGGTGGCTCATACCTGTAATCCCAGCTATGGAGAGGCTGAGGTGTGAGGATCACTTGAGCCCAGGAGGTCGAGGCTGCAGTGAGCTGTGATCACACCACTGCACTTCAGCCTGGACAGAGTGAGACCTATCTCAAAAAAACAGAAAAAGATAAAAACAGAGTCAAGAGAAAGTATCAAATATTGATGACAGGCAAGGAAAATTGATATATGGATACTAGGAGTCCTCGAAGGGGAAAACCAAAGCAAGGGAATTGAACCCATATTAAAACAATAATTAAAGAAACTTTCCTACTGTCCTGAAATTAAATGATTTGAAATTACATATTGAATAGACACATCACTTTTCTAAGGACATGGACCCAGACTGAGCAACACTAAGGAAAATTACTAATAAAAATGTGGAGAAAAATTATAGTGAAATTACTGGCCTTTAAAGAAAAAAGAAATAAGATCCTTTGGAAATCTAGACAAAATAGCACATGTGCTACTTATGTGTCCATATAAGAAAAAAGATGACGTGACTTATAAGAGAAATAAAATTAGACTATCATGAGACTTTTTGGCAGTAACACTTTTGGCAGAAAAAAATGGAGTAACATATTTAAGATACTCAAGGAAGAGTGCGCCAAGAATCTTTTATACAACAAAACAGGCCTTCAGGTATCATGGACACATACAGACTGTTATCAACATGAAGAACGTGGGGAATATTGTTCTTCTGATCCTTTTCTGAGGAATCTACTAGATAATGAGCTTCTGACTAGGAATGACTATGAAGACATTTTAAGGACTAGTGGTAAATGTTCAACACAATTACCTGTAGAACAAAACTAAATGAGGGCTTAGAAGGAGAGAGTGTAGGAACAGCCATATGTTCTGATAAGGTAAATACAGTGCAATAGTTGTCATTATTTTTGAGACAGTGTGTTGCTCTGTCATCCAGGCTGAGATGCAGTGACATGATCACAGCTCACTGCAACCTCAACCTCCTGGGCTCAATGATCCTCTCACCCCAAACTCCTGAGTAGGTAGAACTACAGGCACATGCCACCATGCCCAGCTAATTTTTTCACGTTTTTGTAGCGATGGGGTCTTGCTGTGTTGCCTGGGCTGGTCTCAAATTCCTGGCCTCAAGCAACCTTCCTGCCTCAGCCTCCCAAAGTGCTGGGATTTTGTAGTCTCAAATTAGAATTGGAAGTATCAATATGAACTCAAGAGATATTTTGTGTATGTGTGTATGTAAAGCCATCACTTGAAATATCATTTCTCACTGAAACAAGGCAGGGCTTCTTAGAGAAGTAGCTGATTTCAGATCTAGAGCACAAATATAAAGAATTAACCTGGAGTATATTAAATAGCAAGGAAGATATCAAAGACTAGTCAGGTCATGTCAAAAGACTCAAGAGCTAACTTGAAGAAATGCCCAAAGATGTAACAGTTTGAGCTTCAGTAATAATAATGACCATTACAATGGGTTGAAACCTTTTAAATATATTTAAATCCATGAGTTCATGATACTTTTTTCAAAAGAGGTCACTTTTGGAATTTGATAGGGAACCAATTTATTATCTTATAAACTGATAAAGAAAAACAGTTAAGCATTTGTCTTGCCTTTCCTACATTAACTGTATAATTGAGCAGACAAAATAATATGTGAGGGGCAGTGATATGAGGGGCAGTGTTATTTTGTGAAAGTATTCAGGCTGGACGCGTTGGCTCATGCCTGTAATCTCAGCACTTTGGGATGCCAAGGCGGGCAGATCACCTCAGGTCAAGGGTTCCAGACCAGCCTGGCCAACATGGCGAAACCCCTTCTCTAATAAAAATACAAGAATTAGCCGGGCGTGGTGGTGGGCACCTGTAATCTCAGCTACTCGGGAGGCTGAGGCAGGAGAATTGCTTGAACCTAGGAGGCAGAGGTTGCAGTGGGCAGAGATCACGCCACTGCACTCTAGCCTGGGACAGAGCGAGACTGTCCCCCACAAAAAAAAAAAAAAAGAAAGAAAGTATTCCAACTACTTAAATAAAAGAAGTAGAATTAGAAGATCACTATTTCGCAACCACCAATAAGCAGATATGGGTATTAAGCATTGACAGCTGCTAAGATAATAAAGAGAGCCTCAAGCAGACATGATGTGCCTCCTCTAGTTTTGCCAGACACTGTCCATAGTTTTGCTAAAGGGATTGAAATGGAATCAGATCTAGTCTCCAGATCCATCTGCCGAGTTGCAGAAAATACAGAGGACAGAGCGACGTGTGGAACTGTCCCGTGGGTGTGCAGTTAGAAATTCCAGACTGTGGGAAACTCCACAGATCAAATGGCCTAGATTCTTCCATAGATAAATTATAGGAAAGCAAAGGGATAGAACAGGAGCCTATGATTTAAAAGAGACTTAAGGCCGGGCACAGTGGCTCACACCTGTAATCCCAGCATTTTGGGAGGCCAAGGCGGGTGGATCACGTGAGCTCAGGAGTTCAAGACCAGCCTGGCCAACCTGGTGAAATCCCATATCTACTAAAAATACAAAAATTAGCCAGGCGTGGTGTGACGTGCCTGTAGTGCCAGCTACTCGGGAGGCTGAGGGCAGGAGAATCACCTGAACCTGGGAGGTGGAGGTTGCAGTGAGCCGAGATCATGCCACTGCACTCTAGCCTGGGCAACAGAGTGAGACTGTCTCAAATAAAAAACCAAAACAACCCAAAAATAAATAATAAAAAAAGAGATTTAAAAGATACCACGTTTTAAGAATGCACAAGACTATAGTGTCTAGAGACTGCATTGTTGGGTGATAAACTTTTTGAAATGCAAGGAGGTGATTACTATAAAAATCAGAATAATTATTTTGGGAAAGGGTAGGAGGGGCTTCTGTGGTTTGGGGCACATGGGAGAATTTTTGGCATAGCTTCCAGTGTGCTGCTGCTTTATCTGGGTGGTGTTCACCCTATAGCTGTTTTCTTTCTTTCTTTCTTTTTTTGTTTTTTGTTTTTTGAGACAGAATCTCACTCTGTCACCCAGGCTGGAGTGCAGTGGTACGACCTTGGCTTACTGCAACCTCCACCCCCGCCGGCTCAAGCGATCCTCCCACTTCAGCCTCCTGAGTAGCTGGGACCACAGGCATGCATCACCAGGCCCAGCTACTTTTTTGTATTTTTAGTAGAGACGGGGTTTCACTACGTTGCCTAGGCAGGTCTCAGACTCCTGAGCTCAAGTGATCCATCCATTTCAGCCTCCCAAAGTGCTGCGATTACAGGTATGAGCCACCACACCCCGTCTATAGGTGTTTTCTATAGTTGTGTTTTATATTACATGAAAAATTTTTATTAAGTAAAACTGTTTTTAAAACATTTTCATAATGTTCAAAGATAATAAATAGCTCTAAATGGGAAAGGAAAAACTAGAAATTTGAGGGGAAAAACCAGAAATTTGAGGAAAAAAACCTGTTTCAACATGTGACAGATTCTTCCTGAGGATTTAATACTGTTTAAAGAAAAACATGTATTAAATGTGGGTGCTTAGAACATACTTTTCTTTTTCCTCAATAGTTTCTTTTTTAATATAGGTATAGAGAAAGGATGGTCACAATGAGCTATTCATCTTGGATTATATTCTTCACATATTTGAATTTGATTTGGGACTTGCTGTGAAAAGCAACGTATCATTACACTCAAGTGTCTCTGTTTGCAGCCCATAAACAATAAATTGTATATCATATCACTCCTAAATATTTCAATTCCCCACAGATTTTCAGGATATATAAGTCTTTGGTCAATGTTGCTTTTTAAAAGTGAGAAATTGGGTAAGATTATGAATAAGTTAAAAACCCTTTATTTACATTTTGTATTTAACAGAAATTTACTAAGCACCTTTGTGTGCCATGGAGTAGGGATTCAATAGTGAACCAGACAAACACAGATCCCTTGTATTCTAGTGAGCCTTTATATCTTATATTAAGGAAGTTCAGGAAATTGATACTTAGGACAAGATTGAGAAAACAAGTGATCTCTTATGATCTATAATTATCTGCACAAAAATTTCTTAGTAATCTTCAAGTGGCTATTCTCAAATTAGCTGAAAATAGCCCCCTTTTAAGTCTATGAAATTAACATTATAGAAAAGAATTTTAGCAATTTTGGAGCAGAATGCTTTCTGGATACTTAATTCTGAATAACATTAGAATTTAGCTCTCCTTTTAATTTAAATCTAGTTATTCTTTATTATTTTAAAATATAAGGCATCTGCATTTTAAAACCTGGGTAACATTTATTTAGGTTTTCTTACTCCAAGGGAGAGGACCTGATCCAAGTTTTTAAGAAAAAATGATTATAGTTTCTTCCCCTTCTTTTTAAGAGAACCTTTTCATATGTTACCTATTACTTAATAGCTCATTACTTTGACACGCTTTCTGATTCAATATTGTGTTAACACTTATTAGAGATGCAAATGAAGATATGTGGCATTTTAATGTTCTGTATACATTTTAAATAGTCATTTTTCTGAAGACATACTATTTTTGGGCCATTTAACTTTGCTATCCTTGAAAGTGCTAAATTTGAGGCTTTTTTTTTTTTGAGATGAAGTCTCACTCTTGTACCCCAGGCTGGAGTGCGATGGCACGATCTTGGCTCACTGCAACCTCTGCCTCCGGGGTTCAAGCGATTCTCCTGCCTTGGCCACCCAAGTAGCTGGGATTACAGGTGCCCGCCCGCTACCATGTCCAGCTAATTTTTTATATTTTTAGTAGAGACGGGGTTTCACCATGTTGGCCAGGCTGGTCTCGAACTCCTGACCTCAGGTGATCCACCTGTCTCGGCCTCCCAAAGTGCTGGGATTACAGGCGTGAGCCACCGCACTTGGCAAATTTGAGGCTTTCAACTCCTGTCTTTTCTGTTACTGTTGAGGCACTGAGTCCCTCTCTAAGTGGATTAGTTATAACTTCATGACAATAAGGTGGCTGGCTGTCTCATGTAGGGAAAATGAGATCTCTTTCTTGGGATTTTCTTACTGAACAAAAGTTTGACCATTTTTACTAGTCTCTGACAGATGGCTTCCTATAGTTCTGGTTAAGATGACGTACTTAAAGTTCTCTAGAGATTAGTCTGATATATGTATACATGGTGCCAATGATTTTTTTTTCAATGCAGTCAGTTTTTCTAATCTCTCCCTTTTTTATTCTTTTTTTCTTTTTGGTGGGGGGCAGGTAATGAAAGCATGGGATGCTCATGTGACAGCAGTTTGCTCCCAAGATGCCAGTGAACTTGTAAGGAAGCTTGGTGCAGACGATGTAATTGATTACAAATCTGGAAGTGTGGAAGAGCAGTTGAAATCCTTAAAACCGTATGTATTAGAACAATGTTCACACTGGGAGTGGGAACAAGGACAGTTGATTATGCAGGTCTGAGATGGCTTGGTGGCTTTACAATCATGTTGGAATCTTGAGAAGGATCTATGAAAACATTCCATGTCACTAGAAGTTACTTAGGTTGGCTTCTGTTTTAATTCCAGATGTTAATACAACACAGTAACAGCATGTGGATAGGCACTGAGGAAGTTATTTTGCTTACATGGTCTTTGCTAATTTTTAAGTTAGCATGCTGGTTTGTAAGAGGCCTGAAGACAAAATTGGAAATGTGTTCCCTTCTGTGGCATCTGTCACCACAGGAAGAATATAGAGTAGTTCATGAAATACATGATTAGCCCAAAACATACTTTCGTGTTTTGGCTTAAAAAAGGCTTAAGAGAAACAGTGTAAGTCTAAATCTTGGTAATGGGAGCACTGTGGATGTTCCCAGTGTGTCTGAATGCCAGGCTGTGGTTTGGCCTGAGGTACCAAGCAGGAATGCATTCAGGAATTCTCTTGGGTCATGTTGATTCTGACTGTGACTCCAGCTTATTCATCTGACCTTTATCCAGCCAAGACCAAGCTGAAGCTGAGAGCAGAAATGAGGAGTATTTGGAAAGCTATTTTACTGCTTCTGTTTAAAAGGTTTTCCCTTTTTTGATTAGTTTTCAGAAGTCAACTACTCTTGACCACATTGAGTAGAAGTATATTTTTAAAGAGAAAGAAAAAAGAAAAAAAAGGGAGTCCTTATCTGACACCGCCCAGCCTTTCTCAGCCAGTGCCACCAACTTCTAGCAGTAGTTTGGTGGTGCACCCAGCAGCAGCCAGCCAACTCATCATTCCTTCAACTGTTCAGGGAGCTTCTACTCTTGCCAGGCAGGGTTCCAAACACCAGCTACAGTGGTGAACCAGACAAATGCCCACTTTCATGGAGCTTACATTCTTGTTTGGGCGGTTTTAGTGGTAGGTGCTCTGAAAAAAAATGAAAGGGAATAGATAGGGAGGAGGCTGTTATAAATAGCAAGGTTAAAGAATGCCTCACTGAGGAAGCAACATTTGAGTGGAGGCTTTAGTGAGCAAGTCAAATGAATGGGATTTGTGTGTTTGTGTGTTGCTCCCTGCTGTATCCCTCCAGCTGGAAGAGTGTAGTAGCATGTAGTAGGTGCTTAATAATATTTATTTAATTATTGAGGGAATCTAGGAGAACAATTGTTCCAGCTGGAAAGAACAGCAACCTAAAGCTCCCATGTCCGGAACATGCCTGGCATGTTTAAGGACTAACATTGTCCCTTTCAGAGATTTTGTCAGCTACCGTCTTGTCTGTGTGTCAGGGCCTAAGCCTCTTTGGGCGCCTTGAGAGTGACGACATGACAGGTCTCTGAGATCTGGCTTCTAGAAAGCAGTAGTTTAGGTTGATCTTGTATCTTTTTTTTTTTTTTTTTTTTGAGATGGATTCTCACTCTGTCGCCCAGGCTGGAGTGCAGTGGCACGATCTTGGCTCACTGCAACCTCTGCCTTCCGGTTTCAAGTGATTTTCCTGCCTCAGCCCCCCAAGTAGCTGGGATTACAGGTGTGCGCCACCACGCCTGGCTAATTTTTGTATTTTTAGTAGAGATGGGGTTTCACCATGTTGGCCAGGCTGGTCTCGAACTCCTGACCCCGTGATCCACCTGTCTCGGCCTTGCAAAGTGCTGGGATTACAGGCGTGAACCACCGCGCCCAGCCCGATCTTGTATCTTCTGATGCTTCTAGGAATAGCAACATGATACTGGGGCCAAGTTCTACCCATTCCCCTCTATCTACCTTAAGGGGTTTTGTTTTGTTTTTTTGTATTTGTTTTTGTTTGAGATGAAGTCTCACTCTGTTGCCCAGGCTGGAGTGCAATGGCGTGATCTTGGCACAACCTCTGCCTCCTGGATTCAAGTGATTCTTGTGCCTCAGCCTCCTGAGTAGCTGGGATTACAGGCACCCACCATCACACCCGGCTAATTTTTCAATTTTTTTTTTGTGGAGATAGTTTCACCATGTTGGCCGGGCTGGTCTTGAACCCCTGGCCTCAGGTGATCCGCCTTCCTTGGTCTCCCAAAGTGCTGGGATTACAGGCATGAGCCACTGCACCTGGCCTACCTTAAGTTTTATACATGTCTGGAATTTGTCACCAGAGAGTAGGAGAACTTGACAGACGGAAGGCTAGAGGACACTCAGTCTAGGCTCCCAAAGCGGTGCTATGCTTCCCTCCTTGGCATCTCTTCCTGGCAAGTGGTCTTGCTCCTTTCGCTTGTACTTTTCTAGTAGGGGGAACTTCGTGACTTATAAATGCATGCCGTTACTACTTCTTTTCTTTGATAGCTTTAGTTAAAATTGATCTTTGTAATTTCTGCCTGGAGTTTGACCTCTCAGTCTACCTAGGATAAATATGTTCCTCCTTCCAAATAGCAGCTTTTTAGGTATTTGAATCTTAGAGTTTTATAGCAAGAAGGGGCTTTGAAATCCTTCAGTCCAACCCTATGATGCTGTAGTTGAGAAAGTGAAGGGCAGAGGAGTTATGAGTTTTTGCATACTTGAGGTCATGCCACCAGTCATTTGTTGGGAGAGCTGGATCCACAACCTGGTCTCCAGATTTCTTTCTCAGACAATGCCTGTTCTATAATACCAGGCTGCCCTTAAGTTTTCTTTAAGTTAAGTATCCTCAGATTTGTTCATTCAAAACTTGGAAATGAAGTAGACACTTTTTTAGTGAAAAGAATGGTCATCTATTAAGGTCATCATGCTCCTGCATTTCATATCCTTAGATTTTAATTGCCTTTTTTCTTCTTCTTCTTCCTCTTCCTCTTCTTCCTCTTCCTCCTCCTCCTCCTCTTCTTCTTCTCTTTCTTCTTCTCCTTCTTCTTCTCCTTCTCCTCCTCCTTCTCCTCCTCCTCCCTCCCTCCTCCTCCCTCCTCCTCCCTCCTCCCCCTCCCTCCTCCTCCTCCCTCCTCCTCCTCCTCCACCGCCTCCTCCTCCTTCCTCTTCCTCTTCCTCTTCTTCTTCTTCCTCTTCTTCCTCTTCTTCTTCTGAGTTTCGCTCTTGTTGCCCAGGCTGGAGTGCAATGGCATGACCTCGGCTCACCACAACCTCTGCCTCCCGGGTTCAAGCGATTCTCCTGCCTCAGCCTCTTGAGTAGTTGGGATTACAGGCATGTGCCACCACATCTGGCTAATTTTGCAGTTTTAATAGAGACAGGGTTTCTCCATGTTGGTCAGGCTGGTCTCGAACTCCTGACCTCAGGTGATCCACCCGACTCGGCCTCCCAAAGTCCTGGGATTACAGGCATGAGCCACTGCACCCGGCCTTGCCCTTCTTTATTTTAGTTCTATAAGATACTCAAGATCCACAAAGTTGGCCAAAGTGGTTTTAGGAACTTTAATGTTTGACATCATCCAGATGAATTTGGGAGAAAAGATTTACCAAAAAGGAATTCATCAACTGATTTGCTCAGTTTATTTGCATGTATTCTCTATATAGATCTTTGTTTTCAAAATTATTTCAAAGCTTATTTTTATCCCTTTTCAATAGAATATAGTGATTACAGAAGTTTTAGTTTAGATGTAAGAAGTTGAATATCTGTCAGTTTCTGTGGATTCCATTATGGCTGAATTTTTTTGGCATGTTAGAACAGGCTGTTCATTTCTCCTTTTGCATTGTCCTGATGCTGTACCTGAAACCAAATGATAGAAAATTTCAGAAGGTGAAGAGGATGCTTCCATGAGCATTTCTGACTGTAAAGAGAATAAAAGCAAATCATTCTTGTAGGTGAAAATCTCATATTTTACTTTCAAGTATCCATGTGCACTAAAGAATACTTTATAGAGAATGGAAAGCTTTGCAGTTTTTTACAAAGCTTAATTAAGTCAGACTTTCTCAACCTTGGCAACCTTAGTTTCTCAACTATCGACATTTTGGGCTGGAAAATTTTTTAGCTTGTGAGGGGCTATTCTGTGCATTGTAGTGAGCCAAAACCACTCTCTTTTCAGAACTACTTGCTGAAGCCATTCTAAAGTACTAGAAAATGAAATGATTTTATGACAAAAATTAGTCACATTAAACTTACCTTGGAGAAAAGTCATAGATCCAGTGAATGAGTATGTCCTTCCATCTCCATCAAAGCAGCCACCCCTCTGCAGGATGGCGAGGTGCAGCACAGTTTAAGATTTGTCACTGAAATAAACCCTAAGCCAACTGGTACTGGAAGGGAAGGAGGATCAGAGTCCAGTGTAAAGCCTGACAACCATGTTTTGATTTGGTTCTTCCTCTCCAGATTTGATTTTATCCTTGATAATGTTGGCGGATCCACTGAAACATGGGCTCCAGATTTTCTCAAGAAATGGTCAGGAGCCACCTATGTGACTTTGGTGACTCCTTTCCTCCTGAACATGGACCGATTGGGCATAGCAGATGGCATGTTGCAGACAGGAGTCACTGTAGGTTCAAAGGCATTAAAGGTAGGAAGAAGGGTCTTGGTTGGTGACTGCAGGCAGCCTCCTGCTGCTAGAAATTGGTTTCCCACCTAGCCAGTTTCTCTTCTCTTGGAGGCCGCATAGCACGGTGGTTGCAAGCATGGACTCTGCAGTCACAGTGACTGGCTTCAAAATCTGACCTCTACTTAGTAGCTGTGTAACCCTGTGCAAGTTACTGAATGTCTCTAAGCCCCAATGTCTTCCCCTGTAAAATGAGGCTGTTAATAGATCTACCTTACTGCATTGTTGTAAGGATCAAATGAAGTAGTCCATATGGAGACATGGCATAATGCCTAGTACATAAAAAGCCCTTATTAAATGTTGCCTTTATTATTACTTATTGCCTCTCTTGATTACATCTGATGTACTGTCTGTGCTTCCTTCTTGTCTCTACCTGATGACCCTCTCTCTGTTTCATGTCTTAACACTTAAAGTCTCTTGTATATAAAGATGAAAACTTACAGCTGCTGTTTTCATTGTATTGGGATAGACCAGTGATTCCCAGACTGGGGCTTTCAGACATTTAGAGGTCTATGAGTAAAACAAGTTGTACTTTTACTTGAGTAAGCCTCCACTCATGCCTCTGCTGGGATTGTATCAACTTGTTCTAACACTGTGTATTCCGTGTAAATTTGAAACTCCAGCTATTAATGGCATGATGGGAGTTTCTGGGACTTGGTTAGTCAGCCTGACTCAGAAACAGGGCCACTTTTACCAGGGCTGTATGGAGCTCAAAACTGAATACATCTCACCCAAATTGCACACATCGGTGAGTGGCGGGCCTTGGAGACTAGGGCAGATGAGCCTCAGTTACAAGACTAATAGCAGAGCTTGAGCGTCTGCTCTCTACTTTACCTCGTAGCCTGTTGTCATCACAGTGGGGAGAGAGGCTTTTATAATTTCATGGGATAAACTGGTGGTAATTATAGATCATTGGTTTAAAATATGAATTGATGTTAAAATGGAATACATGATAGAAAAAATAAAGATAGGCTGGGCACGGTGTCTTATGCCTGTAATCCCATCATTTTGGGAGGTGGAGATGGGAGGATTGCTTAAGTCTGAGAAGTTTAAAACCAGCCTGGGCAACATAGTGAGAGCTTATCTCTACAAAACAATAAAAAAATTTGCCAGGTATGTTGGTGTATACCTGTAGTTCAGCTGCTCAGGAGGCTGAGGCCAGAGGATGGTTTGAGTCTGGGAGACAGAGGGTGTGAGCCATGATCGTGCCACTGTACTGCAGCCTGGGCAACAGAGGAAGACGTTGTCTCAAAAAAAAAACAAATTCTATTTTTTTAAATTAAGCAAAATACTTGAGACTCTGGAACAAGGCAGTAGAAAGTTCCTCAGTGGTAAAAAGGCTGTGAGTCGCTGTGTCAGTCCGACCAACGCTGACCCACGTTTGTGAGATGACTGGCTTGATAATTATCTTTAGCATTTTATTTATTCCAGATATTAATTTGGGACCTTTTATGGGGATGAAACTTAGGACTTTGGTCTCTTGAATTCTGTGTACTAAGTACTTAGAGGTCGTAACAAAGAGCTATGATGGAGGAGACCACGACTCAATTCTTATGAAATATTATGGGTAATAGAAATGAACAAACCAAGCGCTGCACTGTGGTGTTCTTTATTTTCATTTGATTCAGACAGTAGCCAGAAACAGTGTCCACAGGGTACTTTGTGGAGAAAGGGCTCTTAGCTGTCCCTTGTCTCTTCTTTCTCTTTCACAAAACCCAGATTTTCCAGTGCTTTAAAATGTAAGTTTAAGTTTTCTGTAAGATTTCAGTTTGTACTCCAGTGAGACCTCTTACAAGTTAACCTTCAGAGTTGTCCTCGGAGAGTAAAACAGGCACAGCTCTCTTCATTCTCTTTTCCTCCTACTTGAAAGATGATAGTGGTAATCTCATGTGAAAACCTTTTAAGTAGTTTTCAATGTCTTTCTGATTGTGCACGTAGTTAAAGCCTCATTGTCATGCTTCTGACTCTCCTACCTGCTTTGGTTTACTTTCTCTCCTATAGTGGCCTGGGTAGGGGGGGAATAACACAGACCTCTTATAGCAGAATATTAAAATTCTGCTATTACAGACCAAAAGTTTCACTTTACAGAGCCACATGCTGTGAAGAGTTACAGATGTGGCAGTTGTGACCATTTCTGTTCCTTCTTTAATACCCTAAACAATTACCAGAATGTTTTAATTGCAGTCTATGAAGCCAGACCTTAGGGAAAAGTATTTGAACAGATCTTCTGTGATTGTCATTTACTGGATCCACAGTAAGCTTGGGACATTCTCAGTGCTTCTGGCATTTAGCCACATAATTCTTCAAACAGCTTTTTTCTTTTTCTTGTTTTGTAGAGACAGAGTCTTGCTGTGTTGCCTAAGCTACTCTTGAACTCCTAGCCTCAAGCAATCCTCCCACCTTGGTCTCCCAAAGTGTTGGGATTATAGGTGTGAGCCAGTGTGCCTGGCCTCTTCTTTTTAAGTTAGTTGCATAAACCAGTGCATCTCAACATCTTTCATGCCATGACAGACATAGAAAATGATAGTATTTGAACAGCATGTAGAGGCTGCCTTGGGTAATAGAGATGAACAAACCAAGCCCTACTCCTCTAAGACCAGCCTATCTGGAGACTTCTACCAGCCCTGGCTTTGCCTGGCTATGCTGAGGGCTAAGGGGAGTCAATATCTCATCACACCAATTCTAGAGTAAGCTTGACTCTCTTTATATCTGTAGTCCTAGGGTAATTATTAATGATGAATCCTTTAGCTCTCACAGGTTTTCTGGGTTAGACGATAATCTATAGGGTCACTCACCCAGTAAGCCATCCTGGCACACCCAGTGGGAAGCTTTGCCTAGGCAACTGCTTAGTTTTTTCTTTCTTTCCACATTCTTAAACTGAATTGGTATTGTCTCAGTCTTTCCTCAGTAAGTTTCACTTTTAGCACTGGACAAGTATTGATAGAATACTTCCTATGTGTGAGGCATTTTGTATTCATTCTCATTTAATCCTTCCAACAATCCTGCAAGCTAGGTGGTGGTACCACCATTCTACAGGAAATGGGCTGAAAGAGGTAGCCTGACAAAAATAACATAACTAAAAAAAACAACAAAACAAAAATAATGCAACTAGTAAGTGCTGTTGTAGGGGGTTTCCATTGCATTTTTCAGCCTCACGCCATGGTAGTAGCTTATATCATACTGAGTGTAAGCTCAATGGCAAAGAAGTCTGAGCTCACCTCGCAGTTGTGGGTAGTTGTGGAGAGGGCAGCACTGTGGTACTGGCTGACCCTCTGCTACCTCACATTGCTCCCATCTGATGAAGGTTTGGTTGGGCAGGTCATTGAGGTATCATGGAGAACCTCAGCTCGTTTGCTGTTTCCGTAATGGCCTACCCTACCTTTGACATAAAGAATAACAATTACAGCCAGGCACAGTGGCTCACGCCTGTAATCCTAGCACTTTGGGAGGCTGAGGTGAGAGGATTGCTTGAGACCAGGAGTTCAAAACCAACCTGGGCAACATAGCAAGACCCTTTCTCAATTAAATAAACAAAGAATAACATTTATAAGTGGCAGTAGAGTGGTCATGAACCCTCTTGGTGTAAGATTTGTACTCATCTTCATTTGGAGGGTATTGCCCTGTAATAGATGAGATGGCTTTGTATTTGCCATAACCATAGGGAAAGATTCAGCCGTGATGTATAAGGAACTTTGCACTTTGTTTTCCCTTTAAAGCCACTTTATTCCTGTCAGAGCCAGAAAAAAAAATTGTGATTGGGCTTCTTGTCTAAGATCATATTTTGGTGACTTATTGTCCCCAAAACATTTTTGAATTTGGTGAAAACCTCTTTTCTAGTGCCTCTGGGCTTTATTCAAACCTTAGTAGGGAAAGCCTAGAGGTCTCAGCCCGATTCCTCATGGGGAGGAAACCCACTGTGGAAAACCATTTAGATGATCATTTTAAGGAAAGCTTTCCTGTGCTTACTTGTTCTTCAGTTACAGTTTAGAGAAGGAGCCTGAGTGACATGGATATGTCTTTGTTCAGTTATTTATTTATTAAACATTTATGGAGCATCCATTCTCTGTCAGTCATTGTGCCAAGGTGCTGTGCACACATTTTGTCAGCATGAAATGAGAAATCAGTTTGTTGTAGTCATCCAGAAAATGCTTTTCCCTAAATCTGCATTTAGTCAGATTTTATGTTTTTCTGTATTTGACATGTTTTGTTTTCTTCTTTTTAGCATTTCTGGAAAGGAGTCCATTATCGCTGGGCATTTTTCATGGCCAGTGGCCCATGTTTAGATGACATTGCAGAACTGGTGGATGCGGGAAAGGTACGTGCACCTGGAAACCTGGATTGGAAGCCTTTGTATTTCTACAGCACCTCCTGTAGACCTGCCCACTGAGCCTCGTTAGTAGGGACTCTACAGAGGTAGCCTGCTCACCTGACCTTGTGCTGCCTTACATGGCCAAGTTTACATGCTATGTCTTTGGTTCTGTCTCCATGGGAGGCATAGACACAGACTGCTCCATCTGCACAAGAGCTTCTCTCATCTAGTCAAACCGCCTTGGTTTAGTAGATGAAGAGGCGGGCCCAGGGAGGTTATAGGATTCCCCCAAAGACACTTGGTTAGGTCATAGCACAGCTGTGATCTACATTGGGCTGCTAATATTTTATCAGGTCCCCAGGTCTCCTGATTTCTAGGTGGGTATAATAAAATCAAGGGCAAATAAATAGTCCATCTGAGACAGTCAGTGGCCAGGGCTAGGGTGAGTGAGGATTGATGGGGATTTGGGTGAAGACAACTGGCTGGTGTACTCTGCCTACTAGTGTCTGTCCTGCCGTGGACTCTGTGGGAAAGGGGCTGTTGCTTATCATCTGGTCATCGTTTTTTGGATGTCAAAAGGTCTTTCAGGGATTCTGGGGATTGAAAGCCTCCTCAGCTGCCACCTGCTTATTTGGGTTTTTACATGGTCTAAACCACCTTGACATCCCATCTCTAGAGGAATAACCCAGAAGGTGGTATTCTGGTGCTGATATTTTTTATGTTATTGAGAGATTATATGGACTTATAGGATGGAGAACTTTTAGAGGGTTGTGTGAGATCATAGATAGGGTGATTCTCATTTTACAGGTGAAAAAGCCAACTTGCCAAGAAAAAGGGGCATGCTCAAACTTGCAGAAATGGAACCAAAACTCTTGTGCTTTTCCCTCTCCACCTTTCAGCTGTATTCTTAGTGCTTGAAGCTGATTTGAGACTTCAGCATACATTGTCTTATCTTTGTCACTTTGCAGTGGGCAGGGACTGGAGTTAGAGCAGGCTAGCATTAGCATTGTGTGAACCACTCTGAGACACTTGGACAGAGCCCCTGGAGGTGGGCTTTCTTATTCTGGCCCCTGCTCCTTGCTGGCATATTTCATCTTTCCGTTTCGATTTTGGAAAGGAATATTTTTGGGAACTAATGGCTGCTTTTTATGTATTTAAGGTTTTTCTTCTTTCACAGCCAAGGAACTATATAAGAGGATGGCCTGTTATTATTTCCCAAATATTTGGGTTCCAGGCTTATGTGTCTTTTCATGGACTTCTAAGTTTTGGTGTGTTCTGATAGGGACAGGGGCTCAGTGTTATTGTGACTGTGTAACTCCTCCTTTGTGGGGTTCTCCCACATCCCACAGGAATGCTTATTTTATTTCTAGGAAGAAGAGAATGAAGTATCATCAAGTAAGTGCTTCATGTGGTTGGAACCCTATTATTAGAGAGGTCTTTGTCCTCTAGAAGTCCACGATTGTGCTTGTCCTGCTATCTGCTCCAGGCTGTCCACATGCTTACCACTGCTCTTTTGTATTCAAAATATTGTGACTCTCTCTCTGCCTGGAAATTACTGTTTACCCAACAGAGATGAGAGGTGACTTGTATATATCTACCTATTACATTTGGCAGATAACTGGTAATGGCTAAAATAGGACATGATAAACAACAACAAAAAAAGATGTCCTTGAAGTATTCTCCAAGGAGGTTGAGTGAGCAAATGTGCCTTGTGCTTTGATTCTCCTCTCCTGCACAAGCTGTTTGGGCTTGGGAGTCATTTCTGGCAATGAGGGGTTCTGGGACTGTGAAGTTGGTATGTGGCACTGGATGCCTTGATGAGGCCAGCTCTCTTGTCGTGTCCTTGCTTCTGTGTGGATGTGAGAGGTCATTGCCTTTTTATCCTGGGAAATTAGAAGGAATGACACAGCAGATCTTACTTATGTGTTGTGTGGTTGGTAGAGATTTGTTAAATTGGAGGAGGACATTTAAATTCTTCCAAGCTTTGGCTGAGCGCTTCATGATTCTCATTAGCAGGTAACTGTTAGAAAAGCTACAGTTGTTTTTTGATCGTGAAAAGCTGTGAAACAACAGAGCCAACTCTTTTAAAATACTTGAACTTTGAAAAAATACATTCATAAGGTTCAAAAACCCTAAAGATGGAAAAAGTTATTTCAAGAAGTCTTCTTTTGACTGCTATATCTCAGTCACTGAGATTCTGCTTGTCAGATGCAACCAATATTACTAGTTTCTTGGGTATTCCAAAGATACTCTATCAAAACAGGAAAAATAATTTTTTTCCTCTCTCTCTCTTCTTTCTCTCCTAACAAAATGGATAACATACTGTGCTGCAACCTGCTTTTTTTTTTTTTTTAACAGCATATGTTCAAATTTGTTTTATGTCAGGATATAAAAGCTTTCTCATTCCTTTTTTGTTAACAGCTACATAGTATTTGTATGGGTGTACCATAATTTGTTTAATTTCAGTCTTTTGCAAACAGTGCTTCAGTGGATAACCCAATATTTATGTTTAGTACCTAATTGTATATATAACCATTTCTGTTTATGGAAATGGAATTGCTGAGTCAAAAGAGATATGCATTTATAATTTTGATCGTTTTTTTTTTTTTTTCTTTGAGACAGAGTCTTGCTCTGTCGCCGAGGCTGGAGTGCAGTGGTGTGATCTCAGCTCACTGCAACCTCCACTTCCCGGGTACAAGCGATTCTCCTGCCTCAGCCTCCTGAGTAGCTGGGATTACAGGTGCCCACCACCACACCTGGCTAATTTTTGTATTTTTAGTAGAGATGGGGTTTCGCCCTGTTGGCTGTACTGGTCTTGAACTCCTGACCTCAGATGATCCACCTGCCTTGGCCTCCCAAAGTGCTGGGATTACAGACATGAGCCACTGCACTTAGCCTTTAATAGATATTAAAATAGACAGCTTTTGAAAATCTAGTATATATATTTAGTGTCTGGAATTTATCTTGTGGCCTACCTTCTAGGCCCCTTCTCTCTTTACTTACCCATTATCTTACCCTCTGAACCATTTTACTTCATTAGAGACTTGTTTTTAAGAATGTGAAGAAGGTCTGGTTACTGGTCACTTGTGATTTAAACTATCTTTTTTTTTTTTTTTTTTTGAGACAGAGTCTTGCTCTGTCGCCCAGGCTGGAGTGCAGTGGCGCGATCTCAGCTCACTGCAAGCTCCGCCTCCCGGGTTCACACCATTCTCCTGCCTCAGCCTTCCAAGTAGCTGGGACTACAGGCGCCCGCCACCATGCCCGGCTAATTTTTTGTATCTTTAGTAGAGATGGGGTTTCACCGTGTTAGCCAGGATGGTTTCGATTTCCTGACCTCATGATCCACCCACTTCAGCCTCCCAAAGTGTTGGGATTACAGGCGTGAGCCACTGCGCCCGGCCTAAACTATCTTAATATCTGAGCTGGGCGTGGTGGCTCATGCCTGTGATCCCAGCTACTTAAAAGTTTGAGGTGGGAGGATCGCTTGGGCCCAGGAGTTCAAGACCAGCCTGGGCAACATAGGGCAATCCCATCTCAAGGAAAAAAAAAAAAGAATCTGGATTAATGAGTATTACTGATAGAGTCTAAATTCTGCTTGTTAGCCCTGCATGCCCCAGTAAAAATGGAGAAGCCACCGAGTTAATATCCACAATAATGAGCACTCTCTGTCAATCTGTTAATAGCATTGTCCTTCTACCTTCTTTATGAACAACAACCCTACCTTTGCTTTCTCCCAGTGCAGCACTCAGTAAATGTTTTGGTTTCCTGCCTTTAATGTGCTCACTATTGTCAGGCTCAAAAGTGAAGAGGAGCTGAAATTTCCTAAATATGTGGTGACCTCACAGTCTGTTTTTCCTGGAGATCCAGTCTTAGGCATTGTTTTCACATGACTGTCATCACGAAGCCTTATTGCAAGTCGTAGGACTCCATATTCATCCTATCTGGGCACAATTTCAGTTTGAATTTTAAGTTACCTAGTATTTTCATTATGTCTTAGATAAAGTGGTTGGCAAACTACAGCCTGTGGGCCACATTCAGTCTGAGGCCTGTTTTTGCACATCCTCTGAGCCAAGAATGGTTTTTACTTTTTTTTTTTTTTGAGATGTAGTCTTGCTCTGTCACCATGCTGGAGTGCAGTGGCACGATCTCGGCTCACTGCAACCTCCATCTCCTGGGTTCAAGCGATTCTTCTGCCTCAGCCTCCTGAGTAGCTGGGACTACAGGCGCCTGCCACCACGCCCGGCTAATTTTTTGCATTTTTAGTAGAGACAGGGTTTCACCATGTTGGCCAGGCTGGTCTCAATCTCTTGACCTCGTGATCCACCCACCTTGGCCTCCCAATGTGCTGGGATTACAGGCGTGAGCCACCACGCCCAGCTGGTTTTTATATTTTTAAAGATTTGTTAAAAAAAAAAAAAAGAAGAAGAAGAAGAACTTAGACCATGTGAAGCCTGCAAAGCCTAAGACATTCACTATTTAGGCCTTTACAGAAAAAGTTTGCCGATCCTTATCTTAAACTAGAAGTTAAATGTTTTTTAACTGAAACCCAGTCAGGCCAAGCTCCAGTTTACAGAATAGGCAGAGGAGGAGCTGCTCTGCTGGTGAAATGGTGGCAGGGAGTGACCTCCCCGACAAATGTTCTTTCCCCGCAGCTGCTCCACACAGCCAAGGAGCCCTGGGCTCTTGGACACTAGTTTGCAAACTGCTGTTCTGGGCATTCTCAAAAAGAATGATTTATAATTATCCCCTTAAGCGTACTGGGTTGGTACTGACGTGCCTCATGCCTACAGTTTATTGGCATTTTCTCCTAAGCACAAAAAACAGTTCCTGTTTTCATACTATTTAACACACTTACTTTTTGGTGGGAGGAGATATAGCAAAAATTCTATTCAGGTCACGCATATGCCATTGAATAGCATACTCACAGACTGGAAAGAGGAAAGCTTTGCACTTGTCTAGTTTACTGTCTTCATCCCTTTATCCCTCATCCTGCTGTGATGTCACATTTGAAGGGACAGAGGCCCTAAGAAATTAAATGATGTGTTCAAGGTCACATAGGCAGGGCCCAGGTCTCTTGACCCTTACGACAGTTCCTTCTACAGTCTTCATTGTTTTCTGCTTAAATAATCATCCAGACATTGTTACCTAGAGTTTGAGTTCTTGGTATTTTACTCTGTCATCTTGTATTTCTCAGTATCTTGCAGGACTGAGAGGAGGTGGTGGTGAGGCAGTCTTCAGATGATACCTGCTGCTAAGAAGGACTGTGTAACTGTGTTTTGAAGGAAAATATTTATACATATTTGCTTATATATGCATGCATTAGTTTCCTATTGCAGTAACAAATTACTATGAATGTGGTGGCTTAAGACAGCACAAATTTATTATCTTATAATAATAAGATTTTGGTCAGAAGTCCAAATGTATGGGCAGGGCTGCATTCCTCCTGGAAGCAGGCTATACGGGAGGATCTGTTTCCTTGCCTTCTCCAGCTTCTAGAGGCTGTACCTCCCTTGACTTGTGGCTACATCACTCCAACCTCTGCTTCTGTTAATCTTTGACCTCTAACCCTCCTGCCTTCCCCTTATAAGGACCCTGAGATTACACTGGGCCCACTTGGATAATCCAGGATAATCTCTGCATCTCAGGATCCTTAACTTAATCACACCAGCAAAGTCCTTTTGCCATGTAAGGTGCCATATTCACACATTTTGGGAATCAGGATGTGAACATCTTTGGGGGCCATTATTCTGCCTACCACAATGCATAAAATACTTCAAAAAGGTTATGAGAGCAACTAGAAACCTTGGTTGCTCCTGAGGTGGGAAACCAGATGGCTAGAAATCAAGTATGGGAGGAAGATCTTTTTTTTTTTTTTTTTTTTTTTTTGAGACAGGGTCTCACTTTGTCACCCAGGCTGGAGTGTAGTGGTGTGATCTCACCTCGCTGCAGCCTTGACCTCCTGGGCTGAAGTGATCCTCCCACCTCAGCCCCCCATATAGCACTACCCAGCACTACCTCTTGGACAGGAATGCCCCTGACCAGCTAAATTTTTTGTATTTTTTGTAGAGACAAGGTTTTGCCATGTTGCCCAAGCTGGTCTTGAACTCCTGAGCTCAGGCAATCTGCCTGCCTGGGCTTCCCAAAGTGCTAAGATTATAGGTGTGAGCCACTGCACACGGCCAGGAAGATATTTTTGAATGTTTATTGATACATGTATATTCTTCATCTAATTAGTAAGCCTTCTGATGTTAGGAGCTTAATGTTCACAGGTATATTCAAAATCTTAGATGCCAGCCAAGCATCTTGGTTGAACAGTGATATAGATTTCTCAGTTGATTTATTTTAGCCAGCATCAGAATAGTTCTTATGCACCATATTTGAGTTCAATTCAGAACACTTACTGAAGGCCCACTATCACTTACTTGACCCAGTAGATGGTGGAGAAATGTGTTGGTCACACTCAGTTACCTTTTGAGCAGCCTGTCCTCTAGAACTTTGTGCAGTGATAGAGATGTTCTCTGTCTGCAGTATTCACTTGGTGGCCACTAAGCCACTGAGCACTTGAAATGTAGCAAGTGCAACTTGAGAGACTGACTTTTTCATTTTATTTACTTACTTTTGATTAACGTAAATAGTCACGTGTCTAGAGGCTACCATATTGGACACTGCAGCTTTCGAGAAAAATGTAATGAGTTCTGAGGTAGGTGATTTCCCAGGTCCGTCTTGAATAGCTGGGCCCTCGTTTAGCAACGAAGTACATTCTAAACCTTAAGTTCTTTATTGCCACTGGATTTTGCTCCATAGAAAGAATGTAGTGATTAGGGACTGAATCCCTAGGACCACTGGAAGAGGGCTGCCTTGCCTGATGTGGCAAGTATCTCATGGATCCCATGGCCTCAATGCTTCTGAGGTTTTTCTGATGCTACTGAAATTGTTTCTATGAGGAAATTTATATGGGGTTTCTCCTCTCACCTTCTGGCTGTTGGAAGTGCATTTTTTAGGGGTACCTAGGGACAAGTCCTTGATGCTTTCCCAAATGGCACACTTACTCCCTTGGAGAGTTCCCCCATCTGCCATCCCCCTCCTGTCTCACCCCATCTTCCAGTTTTGAGTTTGCCATCTGGGGCAGGAAGTTTCCGAGAAACAGCAACTGAGAGCAAAATTCACCTCTTCCTTTTGTCTTCTTTTTGTCTAAAGGTAGACTGAGTTTAAGTCCCCTTCTTCCCCTTTACCCCAACCCAGGAAATACTGAACCTTTCACAGAGGTCAGGGGCATACCTGTCCAGGAGGTAGTGCTGGAACTGCGGTCCTGGTGCCTGTCCACAGGTGTGTGGATTTGGACTCAGACCAGGAGCCCTTAGGTCTTCCTTGGTGTTTGTCACCTGTCAGTGTCCCCTCACACACCTCACCCTCTGAGATCTGCAGCCTCTGTGCCTGGTGGAAGAAGAGGCCAAGGGTCTAGGAAAAGAAGTGGAATAGACTGTGACTTCCCAGATTACATCCATTCCATGCAGTAATGACATTAGGAGTCCTGGGTCCTTGTTTTGGCTCTGCTATTGACAGCTCTGACCTTGCACTTACCACTCAATCATTTGCACTTCAGTTTCCTAATCTATCAAAAGAGGCCCACTCGGATATGTTAACTCTACTGTTTTGTGATTCTCACTGGGAAAACGGGAATTGAGGGAAAACCTCTGCCTGCTGCCATGGCTGCCTAGACAGTGTCCTTCTCCACCAGCAGCTTCATGCTCTTGCAGTAGTGAGAGGTTTTCTGTACCGTCTTCCGAAGCCTCAAGTGTTAGAGAGGGTTTTTGCCTCAGCAGGAAGGAGGACTTGCCTAGCGTCTTGTAAGCAGCAATATTCCAAGGCCACATCCAGAGAGGTTAAGGTTCCCGTCGTCCCTACGTTCTCACAGAAGTGATGTCAGGCAGCGGGTGCCAAATCTTGGGGCTTGGCTTGGTTCAGCCTTTGTATCAGGGATGCGAGGCACAATCAGCACCCCACACATGAATCCAAGACTGAATGAGGGCTGCTGCTGTGAGCGTCCCTGGCCGGCTGTGAGCCTCGTGTGTCTGCGCAGTGGGAAGCATGGTGTTGAGCCTGCCCGCTTTATAACAGGGCTCCCTGTGCCAGGTGGACTATAGCAGCGTCATCACATAAACATCCCTACTTCACTGTGAGTAACCTTTCTTTCCCCCCTCTGTATTTTAACTCTGATCCCTTTGTCCTTAACAAACAAGTATTCTAGGCCTGATGTGAGGCTGTACATAGACACTGTCTCATTATCCAGTTAATCTCTGTTTGCTGTCACAGATTCAGCCAGCAGTGGCATTTGCCTGCCTTCAATTTGAAACCTTTTTTTCCATTGTCACTTACGGGAATTGCTGAATGACTCATTGTGCCGTGGTCAGCCCTCTCGGGTTATTTGCCACAATAGGCCTGACCAGCCAGATTAAAGTGGGCAGTAACTGTAAGCTGCCTGTGTCATCAGTTCAGGATCTGTGTCCCCGGTCAGAGCTCTAAATTGAACATTCAGTTCAGCCGGTTTTGGTTTAGTGCCTTAGGAGGCAGGCACTTTGTCAGTCTGTGGAATGGATGGGTATGTGCATGGTACAAGTTAGGGATTCCAGGAATAAGGCAAAGGGCTGGGTGAGTCCCACTTTAGGGTGCATACAGATCACTGGGGAAGCATTTTTCTGCCCCACCCCCTACAGGTTCTGATGTAGTTGTTCTAACAGGAGGCCTTGGACTCTGCATTTTAGGCATGCATTCAGGTGATTCCTTTTCCAGGTAAACAGCATCCTGAAAACAGCATCCCAGGGGCTTTGGAGGAGTGATAGGTTCAGGTTTCATGTGGGACATACAGGAAACAACTGGTTTTTTTTTTTTTGGAGACAGAGTCTCGCTCTGTTGCCCAGGCTGGAGTGCAGTGGCGCGATCTCAGTTCACTGCAACCTCCACCTCCCGGGTTCAAGTAATTCTCATGCCTCAGCCTCCCGAGTAGCTGGGATTACAGACACACACCACCACACCCAGCTAATTTTTGTATTTTTAGTGGAGATAGGTTTCACCATGTTGGCCAGGCTGTCTCAAACTCCTGACCTCAGGTGATTCGCCTGCCTCGGCTTCCCAAAGTGCTGGGATTACAGATGTGAGCCACTGCACTGGGCCGAGAAACATCAATGCATTCCATTCTGCAACATTAATGCAGTCCACCCTAAAGTGGGACTCACCACAGCCCTCTGCCTTATTCTTGGAGAGAATAGAAGACAAATAGGCTTCGTCTCACAAGCCAGCTCAGAGCAGTTAATAGTGGCTGCAGTGGTGAAGATTCTGAGGTCATGCTCAGCTTGTGGGGGATCAGCAATAGTGATGTCCTCCATAGGCGTGGATGGCACCCGTGTAGCACACATCTGTCATCTTGGTGGCCTGGACACAGGGTCGAGAGACCAGGTCCTCAGCTGGCACAAGGAAGGCAGGCCAACATGCAGGCTGTGATAAATCCTTACAGTCCTTGGCTACCTTTCCCTTCCTTTAAGGTTTTAGGGGTAGGTGTAGACAGCAGCAGATGCTATAGGAAAGGCTCAGTGCATAATGGTGATAGCAGATGATGGCATCAGATTGAATCCTGACTTGCTATTTATCAGAAGTGTGACATAGGGCAACTTATTTAACTCTGTTCCTTGATTTATTCATCTGTAAAATGGGAATAACAGTATTTACCCCAGAAAATGGTTATGGGGATTAAATGAGATGAAATCTCTAGAGCCCCTAAAACAGTGCCTGGCACATAGTGAGGCCAGTATGTGCCAGCTGTTGCTTTTATTATGAGCTTATTGTGATTTGTGGGTACAAAAGTATTTTCAGCTCTTTGGAGAAGGGAACTTTTGGAGTCTAAGATGCTCTTCTGGTGGCTTGGCTGTGAAATTCATCCAAGAGGAAGTTTCATCAGATGCATCTGAATGTCACGAAAACACTTCTTCCTCTTGTAAAAGGAAAGCGTAAAATGTATGAGTTGGCTTATGCCTTCTGATAACTTATGCCTGCCAGTGGAGCTATGGGAGGCAGGCCACTGAGATACCTGGTGGATAACTATTGATTTTTGCTTAAAGTTTTGAAAAGGAAGAATTCAGTTGGATTTTTGCATGGAGAGGATGTTACCTGGGACCTAGTTTCAGAAGGAGGTTGCTGGCATTACTGATAGTACAGTGAAAAGACCCAGCAGCATTGAAACATTTATGAGCTGGCTGGAATGACTTTCTTGTAAATTGTAACCGGCTGCACCGTTGTTTAGCAAAGCCTGCCAGGGCAGCTCCAGCCTGGGCCAAGTATTCTCGAAGCCCAGAAAGCTCACATGAGGTGCGTTTTTCCCACTTACCTTATTAGCTTTCACCTAAGTGACATTGATGAAGCTCCTACTGTATGTCTAGCATTATGCCTGGTGTTGTGGGGGATGCAAACAAAATGGCTTAGTCCCCTATCCCACAAGTACTTTATGCTCTGGTTGGGTAGATATGCCAAACACTTAACAAATTAAAAACAAAGAAAAAACAAAAAAAAAACTATTTCCATGCACTCTCTGTAAGGAGCCAAATGGATACATACAGCAAGGACCTTGGGATGTTCTCTTTGGTATTTACCACACAGCACAGAGTGGCTGAGATGTGTACTCAGCTGTAACAAGTACAGTCTGTGAGGAAGGCCACATGGTTCCTGTGGGAGTTGAAAGGGACAACACGTTGCAAACTGGGGCATGAGGACACACAGTGTGAGACCTGGGCGGGAAGGGCAGTGGAATTTTCAGAGAAGGATTTCTGGGCTTACTGACTCGTACCAGCAGAGGCATAAACATACCACGTGGAGAAAATGGCAGGTAGAGCGTTTTTGCAAAGCATGGAATCTGGATGAGGGCTGAGCTCAGGATGCTATTGGTCTTCGAATGCCGGAGTGGGAGCTGTTGAACGGTTCTAAGTAGGAGAGTGAAAGACCAGCATGGAGGAGAAGTAAGACTGGGCAGTGGGGTGGGAGGGGCCATAAAGAGAGAAGCAGCAGTGAGGCAGGAGTGGAGGCAGCATCATGGCCCTTGTGAGAGCCTGACCTGGGTCCACTGGAGAGACACTTGAGAGAGACTGTGGCTTGAGGGACACCGTCAAGAAACTAATTAGCAATGTCATCTGCCTTGAAAGATGTAGGCTTTTTTATCCACCGGTCAACCTCTTATGTTTTA
This sequence comes from Homo sapiens, assembly GCF_000001405.40. Taxonomy (NCBI): domain Eukaryota; kingdom Metazoa; phylum Chordata; class Mammalia; order Primates; family Hominidae; genus Homo; species Homo sapiens. The sequence goes on along the minus strand of NC_000006.12, from coordinate 106,572,106 downwards.
CAGATCCGGCCAGTTATTGAACAAACCTTTCCTTTTTCTAAAGTTCCAGAAGCCTTCCTGAAGGTGGAAAGAGGACACGCACGAGGAAAGACTGTAATTAATGTTGTTTAAATAAAAATGCAGTTTAGTGATTGTTGACGTTCTTATTTGGTGAGTGCCTGTGAGCCCAAATTTTTTTCTAGCCATCCCTTTCAAACATTTTTCCAGATTAGATTATACATTCCATGATACAAGCTTTAAAAAATAAACACACCATTTTGGCCAGTAATTGATATAAAAATATCAGCACTTGGATTTGTCTGTAGTCAGTAGAAATTCGAAGTTTTTTCAAGCTGTTCCTTCACACTGGCTTTGCAGGTTGTTGTGGCACCTTCTGTTTTACTAGCTTAAACTACTTTATTGTCTTTTTTGTTTTAGAGACAGGGTCTCGCTGTGTCACCCAGGCTGGAGTGCAGTGGCACAATCACAGCTCACTGCAGCCTTGACCTTAAGCGATTCTCCTGCTTCAGCCTCTCAAGTAGGTAGGACTACAGGTATGCATCACCACACCCAGCTAGTTTTTTTGTATTTTTAGTAGAGACAGTTTTGCCATGTTGCCCAGGCTGGTCTCAAACTCCTGGGCTTAAGTGATCCACCATGTCAGTCTCCCAAAGTTCTGGGATTACAGGCGTGAACCACCCTGCTGGGCCTGATCGTCTTAATGTACAATACTAAAACTTTCAGTGTATAGATGGATGTTGGCATGAAGAGATAATTTAAAGCTGGTTCCTTCTTGAATTCATCACTGAGCAGCTTTCTAACTGCCAAGGTTTCCTTTTTTGTTCCTCCACCATAATGTGGTCACCACAGCTCTTAAAGTTCTAAATCTCTTAGTGTCATATATAAAAATCTGCCTGGTGATTCATTTGTTTATGCTCTTAATATTGAAAGGTGAGAGCAGAGTTTCTAACTTTTTAAAACCCTTACATCTTGCATAAGGATTAGGCCTGTTTCGGCAATTGAAACATGCTTCTCTGAGGGCTTTTCCATGGAAATTGCAGCCTTCCAATGGAGCCCAAAGCTTGCCACTTTGATGTCAAATGTTTACATTTAGATATCTCTCCAATCAACCCATTGCAGTGTGCACTTCGAATATTCATTTACGGTAAGTGTTTTTACTTCCTAATATACTCATCCTCAGTATTGCACCTGATATGCTTGCTTGTAACTTTTGATGTAGACCTGTTTTGAGATTTCTGCTTGGTTTATTCCTGTTAGACACTCGTTTGGTAGCATGTATGTTAGATGTAGGCTTTTCTCTAAAATTGTTGGTCTGGTCTTACTACCGAGTTATTGCAAAAGAAAAAAAAATCTGATTTTCCAGGTGTAAATACCAGCTGCTCTTGACTTCCATCTGGAGCAGCCTCAGCTCTTTTCCTGGAGGGCTCCCAGGTGGTAGTGGGAGTAAAATACTTGAGCCAGGACCTCACTCATCCTCGTTTCCACTCAGAAACTATGGAGTTTGGAAAGAGAGTGGTCAGCAAATCTTTCTTGCTATTATACCAGCACCCCTCAAACCTGCTTCATCCTAATCAGACATTTGTTTCTAATCTGCTAGCTGACTCTCTTTGAAGGGTGAGATGAGGGCTACTGAATGGACTCTCAGATTTCATCAACATAGTTAACCAGAAGCAAGTTTATTTAAGAGATCAGTTCAGCACAGGCTACTGTAGAATGTCTTACCCCACCATATTGTAATGGTATGCACAAAAGGCCTAAAATCAGAGCTATATATCTAGGAACAAGACAGATATGTTGGATGCTGTTGTACATGCACCAATAATATTTTAAAACAAGACAAACTATTCCAGTGACCATAATTGCCTACCATAGACTCCAGAGAAGATCAGCATTTTAGAATTAGAAACACACTTGAATAGATGGAAAAGAAACAAGCTGTTCTACCTGTGACAAGAGCACCAGTATTGAGTGATGAGGACAAAAAGAGGAAGAATATATTCAAGGAAATGTTTAGCACTTTTGTTCAAAGCTAGAACCCACTGTTGGAAGAGCAGCGTATGGGCTGGTGTCTTGTCAGTTGTTAAGCAGTTTGTTTGCATTTTGAAATGCTTACTGCAGTTGAGGATTCCAAGATTGCTTGAAGATTGATTTGACTCCGGTCAAATCAAGACTTGACCAGCAACATCCCTAAAGGTCTCTTTTCCTTCACTTTCTGGGGATAATTAATTGCTGGTCATCCTCTTGAGCCTTTCACACCTCGTTTAGTGGCTATAGTGCCCCCAAGACCTGAGGCTGTCCACCAACAGCTATACCCTGAAGCATGGCTGCAGAACACTGCAGGGAAGGCAGCCCCATGCAGGCCATGTGTGGATGCAGGTGGATAGGAGGACAAGAAATTAGGCTAAAAAATCTGAGTTTAGCAAAAAAGTATGTAACATTGCTTCAGCACTTGTAGATGAGTAAGGATGGCTCATAAATTAGGTCATAATAGTGTTCCAGTAGCAGCTATAAGAAAGGCATTAAACAACCCTCATTTGTGACATTCTAGGGCAGCCCATGGATGAGTTAAAATAATTCAAATCCTGGCTGGGCGCAGTGGCTCAGGCCTGTAATCCCAGCATTTTGGGAGGCCGAGGCGAGTGAATTGCTTGAGCCCAGAGGTTCGAGATCAGCCTGGGCAACGTGATGAAACCCCATCTCTACAAAAAAAAAACAAAATTTGGCTGGGCTTGGTGATGTGTGCCTATAGTCCCAGCTACTTGGGAGGCTGAGGTGGGAGGATCACCTGAGCCTGGGGAGGTAGAGGCTGCAGTGAGCCGTGATTGTGCCACTGCACTCCAGCCTGAGATCCTGTCTCAAAAAATAATAACTCAAATCCTACTAACAAATGTTACCAGACTTTGACATTAAATTTTTAAAATGTATTAATTTTTAATATGAACTAAAGGAAAATAGTATTTTGTTTAGAGTTCCTTAAATGTGTGAATACCTAAGGCTTTCCCATTGTGCTATGCAGCATATTTAAAGGTTCCAGAAAGTGTTTAAGGCCAAGAACCAAAATTACAGGCCTAATAAAGTATTTCTTCTCAGATGCTAAACAGTTCTCTACCTTTCAAACTTAAGCCTTTGTCTTACCCTTTAAAGTGTAAGGGCTTTGTAGGTCCACAAAGTTGGTAAATTTGTTCCAGTTCTCTCCTGTCACTATCTTTGGAAATAATTTAAAATGTACACAGTCTTGAAATCTTGATATAACATTTTACAAAATCACCCAAAAGCTGCTAATTAGGCAACCTGTTTAAGCAGCTACCAAAAATGAAAGGCAAGAAATGAAAGGAGGACAAATTATTGGTTTAAAGCTATGATAGTCTTTTGAAACGATGAGTAAGTTCTCTGAGTCATGGCAGCATGATTTAAGGTTGAATTTAGAATCAATGAAGGAGGAGTCGATCCACTTTCCAGTCTGGTCTTCCATCAGCATTGTCCTTTTTAAGAAATAAGGTGGCTGGAAGGACCTCCAGAAGATTCTTCTTCCTTCTTTGTTCAGGTATATAGGACCATGGCTTCCCACACTTGTGTAAACTTCTCTTTGCTGACAGTGTTGAGGATAATGTGATTTTGATCATACTGTGTGCCCCCTAAAAGAAAGGAAAATAATAAAAGATGAATGTACCCATGGTGAAGGGTCTATAGCAGACACAATTCCCCTAACACCAGTACAGCAAAAGTAAGCAAGTAAACAAGGTGTAGAACTGCATGCCTCAAGGAGGCAAGGCAGGGAGGGAAGCCTGGGCCCCTGTGGGATGAGAGGGTCAACCTGCCATGGGTGAATCTGTCCAGATCCCACCATTGGGGCACCAGCACCTTCACACAGGACATCCCACCTCACGGGCTCCTTTTTCTACCCAGTTCTTAAGAGCTAGTCCACAGTCACTCTTACAATGTCTGAAATTCAAGGGAACTGGGAAAACCCGAGAGAAGGGAAAAGGAGTAAAGAGACTAACATATATTTGGTGGTGAGATGGTAGATTCGAGACACCAGCGAGGAAAGAGCAGGTAGTCCTGGCAGTGGTGGAAAGGTGGGAGGAATGGTTATCGAGGAACAGCACTTGCATGAACAATGAAAACGGGCTGTATTAGGTCAAAGGGGAGGTTTGGATGACACCCGGAAGTACATAAGGGGACGCGGTAGCATTGTCACTACTGGGGACTCAGTTGGTGGATAAAATTTCATAGCATTTAGGATGCTGAGTACCACAGTATTGTAAAACTATTATCATGAACTCTCTCCCTGTTACCAGAATGTTTGTAAGATTTTCCAAAGGTGCTTACTGGATGTTTCAGATACTTTAGTGCTAAAAACAGCCTCATGGCTTCTTTCTTTGGAGAAGTATCATTAACAAAAGGGTTATCTGATTTTTTTTTTTCCAGTGTAGAATAAAGATCCCTTCAGATGGCTTATCCTTTTTTTAGCATAAACCTCAGCACCAAGGATGTATCAACAAAGACCCCATCAAAGTAAAAATCTGTGCATTTTGATGCAGGGAGTGACTGGTATTGAAAGCATGCTTCCTCCTTGGATCAAGAAGAAATAAACATTCTTTTCACCTTTGAAGCATTTACAAAATATGAAAAAGGTTTGGGAATTTACACAATAAATCTAGGTATTATAGTTGAGGAAGGAAATCGTCTCTTCTCTTGTGAGACACTGATTTATCATCATTGGTAATCTACAGCCTCTACACAGCTAGATGTATGGCTAGATGTACTATAGAATACAAGGGTAAGGTGTTTTGGGCCTTTATGTGTAAGTTTGTAGCAGTAGGGAAAAAACTACCAGCAAACCCTACACTCTGCCGAGACAGAGACACACAGCATACTCCACTGAAATTTCAGGAAGTATTAAAGTCACAATGTCTCTTTTCATTCTTCATTATAGTATGTTAAAATACTTTTTGTATTTTAAGAGTATCTTTTGTATTTTAAAAGTAAAGTATCTTAAAATACTTTCATATAAATTCAACTAGAATCATGAAAACTAGAAAGTTCTTGAGAAATAATTTGATTCATTCTCTTGCCTTTGGAGAGTGTTTAAATTGTGCAGACTTCATGTTTTTTAAAGTGAACATGAATCAGCTTCCACTGTTGTTACAAGGTATGTGGTCTGGAATAATACATGAATGTCTACCAAAAGAACTCATTTCCCAAACACAAGAAGATGAGCTAGAAGACAGATGCATGATCTAATAATTCTTAGGGCAATTTTAATAGATAACAAATGGTTCAGTAGTTGTAGCTAATGGAAATCATGGTCTGCTAGTAAGTGCACCAACGAGAAGAGACGTGTTTATATTTTCCTTTGCATGGGGTGTGGGACGTGCGGCGCTGCTCTCTCATGTCCACAAGATGGCACCATTCTCCCAGTCTGAGAAAATTAAATTCAGTTTAACAAGGAATTAAAACTGTTGTAGCTAGCCGGGCGTGGTGGCAGGCACCTGTAATCCCAGCTACTCAGGAGGCTAAGGCAGGAGAATTGCTTGAACCCAGGAGGCGGAGGTTGCAGTGAGCCGAGATCGTGTCATTGCACTCCAGCCTGGACGACAGAGTGAGACTCCGTCTCAAAAAAAAAAAAAAAAAAAAAAAAAGACTGTTGTTGCTACCGTGCTAGATACTGAGATTTCACAAATATACGGGACATTATGCTTACTCAGCAGGCACTTGAGTAATTTATATAGTGTCATTTAGGAAGGGGCTCTGGAGCTTTAAAAAGAAGTCTTAAGAAACCTAGAGTCCCACGGTTCATGTCAGAGCCAAGACAAGGAGTGAGGTGTCCTTCCTTCTGGTCCGCTGCTAATGTAACAAGTCAGGGACATCCTGTGTGCCTAGCGCATCTAGAACGTAAACTGTCTGAAGCCAAGGAGGAGGCTTTTTTTTTTTTTTTTCACGCTGGTGCCCTCCGTGTCTAGCACCGAGCCTGGCACATAGTGTGTACCCCGTGAATACATGTTGAAAGAATAAGAGAAGAAAGCTCTAGCTAAGGATCATAGTGTTGTCCACCCTGGACATAGGAAGCAGATCACATTTGTAAAAAACAGGAAGGTTTGGTCAGATTTCCTTTGAGAACTACATACCCTACTTTCTCTAACATTGTGTCAAAAACTCCATTTTTTCCAATTGAGTCACATTTCTTTGGTGTCTCTGGAGATTTTGAAACTCTTGTCAACACTGAAGCACTCTAGTGCAATAAAGTTTATCAAAATAAGAATAAACAAAGATCTGCATAATTCTTAACTAGTTTGAACCTCAGGTTGATCATCTATAAAATGAGTATTTCACCTGTCTACATATTGACAAATCTGTTGTACCAAATGTAAGGTGAGGGAGCTGTACTATATGTTACTGTTTGGTTTCTGAATATTGCATTTATTTTCTTATATCCAAGGGTACTACTTGCATTTTATATGATCTTTGTGGTCTCCATCCAGCCTGTAGTTGCAGTGCTTAGTTTGTGTTCCCTAAGTGCCCCCTTTAATGAAGGCAAAGGCATTGTTTGCTTCTGAGCATCTTTCCAACTTCTCAGATTCTGTCTGATCCTAAGTCCATTGTTTTAAGTGGGTTGGCCAAGCTACCTACCTGGAGATCATTCAGAAGTGACAGCCACTTTTGCTCCCCATACAGTTACCAAAGCCCCTGATGAAAATGTCCAGATTCGTTCTCCATTATCCAGAAAAGTTGTTTTTTAAAAATCAGATTACAGCACTTTCTTGTCCCTACAACTTTTTTTTTTTTGAGACGAAGTCTTGCCCTGTCGCCTAGGCTGGAGTGCAGTGGCACAATCTCGGCTCAGTGCAACGTCCGCCTCCCGGGTTGACGCGATTCTCCTGCCTCAGCCTCCCAAATAGCTGGGACTACAGGCGCCCACCACCACACCCAGCTAATTTTTTTGTATTTTTTAGTAGAGACGGGGTTTCACCATGTTAGCCAGGATGGTCTCGATCTCCTGACCTCGTGATCCACCCACCAGGGCCTCCCAAAGTGCTGGGATTACAGGCGTGAGCCACGGCACCTGGCTCTTTACCCCTACATCATAAACTTTAATGACAGCATTGGCCTAAATCCCTGATTAAAGTAAAATTGAGTCATTTTGTAGTGATGATTTAAAATAGAGTATGTAATATACTCATAAAAATTTAAAAAAATTAATGGAGTATGTAGTATGGTTACATTATCACCAGTTCGCTACAAAACACAATTGTGCTGACTTTCCTGATAGGGAATAAAAAAGTGCCCATTAATTTAAAGCAGAATTACCCCAGATGACATGAACACACCATCTGCACCTGTCAATAGCAACACACTAGTTCACTGAGTTCCCACACAGAGGTTAGGTCATTCTTATGTTATTTTTAAATGACTATCAGTGGTTCTCCGGGTGTGGGCCTCAGACCAGCAGCATTGGCAACACCTGGGAACTTGTTAGAAAAGGAATTATCAGGCCCCACCCCAGACCTACAGACTCAGTCTCTGAGGATGTGGCCCCACAGTCTATTTTAACCCGCCCTCCAGGTGATTCTGATGCAAATAAAGTTTGAGGACAACCACGCTAAATTTATTCTCCCCCAAGCACCATCAGTTCACTCCCTATTAGCTTCATTGAACACATGTTGCATTGAAATCCTGTAGGCTGTGTTAATTCCTTTGAGATCTTAGATCTTTTCAATGAAAGGTCACGTGTATACATGAGAATCATCAACTCTACCGAACTAAGTGCAATCACGGCCTTTCAGCTTGTGATTTTTAGCCTAACACTATTATAATAAAATAAATGTTTGAAGTCAGCCTATGGCCAGATTCTGGTTCAGCAGTTACAGCTGTGAGATTGTGGCCAAACTGGCCAACCCCTTTGAGCTTCCGGGGTTTTGTTGTTGTTGTTGTTGTTGTTTTGTCTGTAAAACTGGGGAGAAAAGAGGGAGAGGGGATAATGTAGGCCTCATAGGGCGGCTGTGAAGATGACGGGACATGGTGTACTGAAAGTGGCTAGCACAGCAGCTGGCACACAGTAGGGGCTCTCTTACTGTTACTACTAATAATACATTCATCATTTTCAAAAGTTATGAATAGATTTTTCCTTAACTAAAAGACATACACATTACAATAAAGAAAATAAAGGAAGTGACCCTTACCTTTAATGTCTAAAACTAAATTTGGCTTCAACTTGCTGTAAATCCTGCCATCGGACTTCAAGCTCCAGAACTGGCTGTCAGCATTCTGGTCCAGGGCCAGGCCTAGCTTGGAGCCAGATGTTACCAGGCTGCCCACAATCGTCAGGCAGCAGTCTTCTGCTATCTGCTCAGTGGAAAAGACCAGATATCTTAAATATGTATCCAGCTGTAAGTCTCATAGCAATTATTTCTCTGGTTACATTGGGCTTTAAAATTATCTTAGTTCCTAGCTTCATTTACCCCACATGAGGCAGTTCAGCTCTTAGCCAACTAGAATCGGACAATAAATATTTATGCCATTTATTTCAGATGACACGAATGATGGGAAAATCTCAATGTTTGTGCATCGTCAGAGACTTCTGCCCTTTGCAAGACTATCTTACTAGTAGGGAAAGCCTCATAACATTAGAACTGCCCATCATATTTTTCCCTGTCATAAGTGACCATGATCCCAGGCAGGTTCTGTAGCTATATCTCCCTCTGACATCTCCACCTCTGCTTGGCCTGACCTTCCAGTATATGACTGCACCTCTAATTTTGTAGCACTGGGTGGCTAAAGGGCATTTTATCATTTTAAAACTCGGAATTGCATTTATTAGCATTTGTCTTTCCTTCATGAGAATTAAAATTTTCTAAACAGGCATGCTTTCCAGCTATGAAAACAGAAAAATGCAGACTCACTAGAGGGTGTTTTAATGCAAAGATTTTATGAGCCCTTCCCTGAAGTGAATCTACCCTTAATATATAAATAATGTATGGCAGTCATGTTCACATGCCATTAACAAAAATTACTGGCCAGGTACAGTGGCTCACAACTGTAATCCCAACTCTTTGGGAGGCCAAGGTGAGAGGATCACTTGTGAGACCCTATCTCTACAGAAAAGTTTTAAAAATTAGCCAGGTATAGTGGCATGCACTTGTGGGCCCCAGCTACTCAGGAGGCTGAGGTGGGAGGATCCCTTGAGCCCAGGAGGTCGAAGCTACAGTGAGCTGTGATTGCACCACTACACTCCAGCCTGGGCAACAGAGCTAGACTCTGTCTCAAACACAAAAACAAAACAATGTTGCTATAAAAATGCCTGTTAAAAGTGTATTATTGTAGGCCAGGCGCAGTGGCTTATGCCTGTAATCCCAGCACTTTGGGAGGCCAAGGCAGGTGGATCACGAGGTCAGGAGATCAAGACCATCCTGGCCAACATGGTGAAACCCCGTCTCTACTAAAAATACAAAAAAGTTAGCTGGGCGTGGTGGCACACGCCTGTAGTCCCAGCTACTCGAGAGGCTGAGGCAGGAGAATCGCGTGAACCCGGGAGGTACAGGTTGAAGTGAGCCGAGATAGTGCCACTGCACTCCAGCCTGGTGACAGAGCAAGACCCCGTCTAAAAAAAATTAAAGTATATTATTCTATATTGAGATGAAAGCACTGTGATAATCTAGGAGACTTTTTCTCATTGACCTATTGAATTCAAAGTTGTTAAATAACATCACTGAAATGTCTGTTAGAAATAACTGCTGAAAGACACCATTTTCTTGGATTAAGACAATTCAAAGGCAGAAAGCTTCTTTTCATGATTCCATATTACAACTACTTCTGTTCCTCCTGCTAGTTCTTCTATGCATGTCCAAACAGTACTTCTGTTTACTGAAAGAATTCCCCCTCCAGCACAACAGACCCAATTAACGAGTTGTACTCCTTTTCGCAAGGCTGTGTTCCTTCTGCTGACTCACGGGGCACCAGGTTTTTTTTGGTTTTTTGTTTTGTTTTGTTTTGTTTTTTTAAAGAAAATCAGGAGCCAACGGTCAAGCTCACAAAATCAAGGAGTAAAAAAGTTTTATCTACCATAGAAGCATGAGCTTCTTTCATAAAAATCTTACTACAGTCAGCTTTTAAGTGTCTGTTAATAGTAGGAATGATGCAGGAGGGACATGGGCCATTTTCTAATTTACAACGTATGACACTTAGGAAATGGACTGTGCAGCACACAGAGGGATCTCTTTACCCTTCATCCCGTTCTGTGGATTTCCCCAAAACAAACCAAGAGTGATTTTTGTTGACAGGGCTGGAGCTTATAGTTTGTTTCTGTAACAGTTACATTAAGGAAAAAGGGAAGAATAACACACTTCCTTTTTCTACTACTATATAAAAATCAAGCATAGAAATAAATATTCTATCTTGGATCAGTGCTATATTTACCTTTCATTTTAAGTTCCTAGACTGGTTCTATCAGAGCTAGGATATACTGTCATGAAAAAAACAAATTCATTTCTGAAAGTACTCCAGGAATTGTGAAATTGCATCTACTTGAAGAAAAGATCAAAAGCATATGAAAGGATGAGTCACCTCCTAGCAAAGCCATCACAGGCCCCCGTGGAATCCTAAAGCTCACCCTGCATTTGATACATCCTTCTTGATAGATCCAAATCTGATCATCGGCCCCGACATCCTCCATGACCTGTATCCTCAGAAGCTTCAGATCCTCTAAGTTTCCATTGGTTGACATGAATAACCCTGTTGCTTTGTTTCGAAGTCTGAAATAAATTCGCTTCTAGAAGACAAAACCCCCAGCAGTTGTTATACCAGATGTGCTGCTGGAAGCACTGAACAAGCATGAATATCAGGAAGAATCCAAAGTGAGATATGGATTAAGGGTAATTACCATACTCAAGAGTCTCAGAGGTTTTAAATTTTCTCAATGAGAAGAGTTTGACAAAATGTCAAAGCGCCTGAGGCAGGGTGCCTGCCTGTGGATAACTGCGTTTGATGTTCAGTTTGATGGCCTTCTGAAGCAGCCACACCTCTTAGCACCAGAAACTGAGCCCAGATTATTGGGGCAGGGAAGGAGTTTATAGGGTGAGGCCAGTTATAAACTTTGAATAAAAAAATTGGATAAAAAGTTGGATTGCATTTACAAAAAAATTTCAGAGAAGAGTCTATGCAGAGCATGGAGAGGAAGAAAATACCTGAACAAAAGGTCGTAGAGAACCTATTTGGCGACAGCCACTGAATTCATACCAATTAGGTACTTCTGCAGGTGACAATAGGAACTGTCGCCCTCTGTAACTGCCATATTCATAAGTAACCCATCTGAAAACAAAAATAACCACAGTAAGTGGCAATTTTCATTTGACAGTGGACCCCAATTACATTTATTTTTAGAATGCTTTCCATTTCTAGACTGAACTATATACTTTTAACATACATTGGGGGAAAAATGATCTTTTCTAGAACACTTAAAAGAAGTAATTTCTTGACAAATAGCAAATTTTTGTTACATGAGTACTTATGCCAAAAAGTTCCATTCTTGAAGAGAAATAGGTAAGTTTTTTCCTCCGTAAAGCAGTGAAATATTGTCTTTTAGTGGATTCCTCAGTTCTTCCTGGGAACTATTCATAAAATAGCTTCAGTTGTAATAATGGGTCTTTAAGTTGTTAATATTTCCAAAGCTCTTAGTAGGTGCTAAATAGGGTTAAATAAAAAGTTTTGTCTGCAGTGAGAGTAATCTTTGTTAAATCTAAAAAACTGCTAAGATACTCAGTTCCCTTCCGCTCAGATGCTACTGCTGCACACCTGAGGAAGTATGGGTTTAAGCGCAGACTGGCGTGGAAGCAGCCCAGCGCCCTCCTCTCTTGCATATTACATCAGGGAAGAATGCACTCTACTTTTAATCCTGGAACTTAAATCCTGGATAAAATTTTATCATTTTAGTCATCTTATCATAAAAACAAAATATTAAAACCTACTGCAAAAAAATCACCCATAATTCTACCACCCTAATATTCTATAATTTTTTTTTCCAGGTAGGTCTCACTCTGTTGCCCAGGCTGAAGGGCAGTGGCACGATCACAGCTCACTGCAGCCTCAACCTCCCAGACTCAAGTGATCTCCCACCTCAGCCTCCTGAGTAGCTGGGACTACAGGCGTGCACCACCACACCCGACTAATTTTTGTGTTTTCAATAGAGACAGGGTTTCAACATGTTGCCCAGGCTTGTCTGGAACTGCTGGGTTCCAGTGATCTGCCCACTTTGACCTCCCAAAGTGCTAGGGTTACAGACGTGAGTCACTGCGCCCAGCTTCTGTGATTTTTTTTATTTTCTTTTTTAGATGGAGTTTCACTCTTGTCACCCAGGCTGGAGTGCACTGGTGTGATCTCAGCTCACTGCAACCTCCACCTCCTGGGTTCAAGTGATTCTCCTGCCTCAGCCTCCTGAGTAGCTGGGATTACAGGGGCCCCACCACCACACCTGGCTAATTTTTGTATTTTTTAGTAGAGACAGGGTTTCACCACGTTGGCCAGGCTGGTCCTGAACTCCTGACCTCAGGTGATCCACCCGCTTTGCCCTCCCAAAGTGCTGGGATTACAGGCAGGAGCCACTGCACCCAGCCCGGCCTGATTATTTTTTAAATAGATGTAGTCCACCCCAACATCTGTTGTACACAGGTAGACCATACCTATTGTTTTTGTGAATAAAAGAAAAATACTTTCTTAAAAACATGTATTACATTGATGGTACTCATTCATTTTTATATCTTATTCAAAAGTATTCGAAGTTGAGGGGAAAAAAATCTTTCCAAGTTGACCTTTAATCATTTGTATAACATCTGCCAGTCATTCCCAGCTAAAGGAAAATCCCAACCCTGAGCTCCAAAATCAGAGGACTTGCTCTTTTTTAAAGGGATAAGTAAAGTCAGCTCTTTCTTACTTGCTAGACTATGAGAGGTGTTAAAGACAAAATCCTTACCTTAAATAAACTAAAAATCTGGATAATGAAATAAAAGATGCTTTACATATGACTTTTCCCAGTGGAAAAGTGTTCTACAAAGGTGCATAATTATTAACCCTTACAAAAAGAGAGGGTATATGTCAATTAGTTTAAGATAATATAAGAGAGGGAGAAATCTGATCAATTTTTTTTTTTTAAATTAAGATAGGGTCTTGCTTTGTCACTCAGACTGGAGTACAGTGGCGTGAACACGGCTCACTGCAGCCTCAACCTACTGTGCTCAAGTGATCCTTCGGCCTCAGCCTCCTACGTAGCTGGGGCCACAGGCATGTGCCACGACACCTGGCTAATTTTTAAATTTTTGGTAGAGATGGGGTCTCACTTTGTTGCCCAGGCTTTTCTTGAATCCCTGGATTCAAATGATCCTTCTACCTCGGCCTCCTAAAGTGTTGGGAATACAGGCGTGAGCCACTGTGCCCAGCCCAAACTTGATTTTTAAAATGATCTATTTTATTGAGTCAACAAGTAGGTAACTCACATGCCACCAATAACCTGAACAGAGCGTATTTGTGTGTTGAATCCCAGGGATCGGAGATTGACAGTTTCTGCATTAAGTTCAATCTTTTTTCCTTTGAAGTCTTCTCTTTCAAAGAGAATAATTGTTGGTTCAGAAAATTCCTGTTGAGGAACAAAAACAATGTTCTGTTATTCATCTTTGTTAATAATTCAAACTTATGTGAAAATCATCTTGTTACAAGGACAAAGCACAAAAAATCTGCTAGATTTGGCCTTTCCATAAACTCCTTTTCCAAGGGAGCCTGGATGTTTGTGTACTCCAAGCTAGAGAGAAAGCACAGAGGGGCAGTTAGTTTCTCCATTGCATAGGAAGGCAGGTAAATATAAATAGTTTGTAAAACAGGGGGAAAAAAAAAAGAGAAATGGGTATACGCTGGGAATATCAACACTTCTGATGGCATTTATTTTTGACTTAGCCATTTTCACTGGGACAAGGAGGGGCTGGAAAGTCATGGACATAATTGCCAAGGGTCAGAGGGCTGTGGCATCTGATGTTTAGTCACTTAGTGTACAGTGGTATTGCCTAATCAGGGAACCTTCCTCTTGTATGTATTTTCAAATGTCTTTTTTTTTTCTGTTCATCACTAAGACAATGATTCTGTGTACTCATGCTCCCAAACTTTCCTGTAGGAATCATTGTCAAGAGGAGAGAAAAAAAACAACAGGATGGAAGCTCTATGTTCAAACTGTCAATCATTTTAAAGAGGACAACAGCACAAACGTTCACTGTTCAGGAAAATGAAAAGTTGGCAGCTTATGCCTGTTTTTTCAAATTATAGACACTTTTGATTCTACATTAATCTCTAATGATAGTACTGCTAAGATCATAAATGATGCATTAAAAAGCATGTGGGAGGCCGGGCATGGTGGCTTACGCCTGTCATCCCAGCACTTTGGGAGGCCGAGGTGGACGGATCACTTGAGGTCAGGAGTTTGAGATCAGCCTGGCCAACAGGGTGAAACCCCATCTCTATTAAAAATACAAAAACAAACAAACAAACACAAAAAAATTAGCCGGGCATGGTGGTGCATGCTTGTAATCCCAGCTACTTTGGAGGCTGAGTGGGAGACTAGAGAATCACTTGAACCTGGGAGGCGGAGGTTGCAGTGAGTCAAGATCATGCCACTGCACTCCAGCCTGGGCAACTGAGTGAGACTCCATTTCAAAAAAAAAAAAAATAAAAGCATGTGGGGATTACAATTTTTTCCCTATCCTGCTTAAAGTTTGTGGAAAGGGTGCGGTACCTTACTGCTTCATTTATGTGGATGTGTCCTGACTGGTAAAAAGATTTTGTCCATCAGTAAACAGAGCATGTTAGTGTGTAGAAGTAGTTTGTGTGGTCTAGGAATTAGTTTATATAAAACATACATGGAGGAAAGAAGACAAAAATTATAGTAGTATTACTACTTTGCACTTTTATTGCACTTTTGAGATGGCAAGCCCAAAAATGTTCTAAACACTTTAGTATTAAAAAGCAATTAAATAATTTTGAAGTATTAAGTCACAAAGATATGTAGTCTTCATATGGGTAAAACATTCATTTCCTCACAATTAAAACATAAAAAGATGTCATCTATAGCCTCAGAGTGTTGTGAGCATATATGCCAAGTTCTGGTTGAGGGAAGGCATTGAAATTTTCAAATATATACTTGTAGGTAGCTTTTAGAATTCTAGGCAGAATAACAATCAAAGTCTTATTCATTACTTGTAAGCTAATGAATCTTACTACCTCATTTCATGTTTCTTTGTTACTATTTTCATGTCTCAGTAGCATTTTTGCTATTTAAACAGGCAGGCAGGGATGAGATGAAAACCAACTCACATACGTTCTTCCTACATTTAAAACTAAAATGAGCAATTACGTGTGTTTAAAGCTTTTTATGAGAAAGCAGTTACCAAAAACTAATAAAAATGTCAGAAACGACAGATACTTCCAGACTTTAATATCTCAACATGATCTTGCAGTTTTGTTCTATTGAATATTACTTCCACTACATCAAACTGAAAGACTTCTGTCCAAAAGAGGGCACTATAATCTGGATTAGCACATAGTGGCAAACTGGGAGAAGTCATTTGATTGCAAATCTCTAAAACACAGAATAATAATAGACTAAAAACCTATAAGGAATTTCTTCAATAATAACAACCAAAGGTAGAGGAAGCCAAATTGCAAAGGATACAATACACAATTCCTTGAATAGAAAATGCAAATTATAAATAAGAGATACCAGCCTCACTAATAGTGAAATACAAATTAACCCAATGACGACATACTGCTTTCTGCTCATTCTATCAAGTTGACAAAAATTAGAATGAGAGAATATTCAGTAATGGCAACAATGTGTACTGCTGGTGGGAGTCTCAAGTGGTGGGATCTGGCAGTACTGAATGAAACTGCCTGTTCTTACATGTGAAATCCAGTAATTCTACTCCTAATATATAGTCCAAGAGACTCCCACTCAGGTCCATAGGGATATGCATATGAGGATTAAGTGAGTAAAACAGGGTGGTGGAAAACGTGTACCAGTTAGAATCAATAAACTAGATGTACACAGAGCCAAATGGACAGTTCCATCTCCAAGCCCTTAACTAACTTTAAGAGCAGGTTCTACCGGCTGGTTACCTCACTCTGACCATCAGCTATATGAGGCATACATTTCTGCAACACTATTCACAATGACATACTTACAACATCTATAAAACGAAGAGACTTGAAAGTTGCTCCAGGCGGGCATCCCATTGCAGACAGACAAGGATAATGGCCTTCTTCCAACACGTATTGATTACCAGTGAAATTTTCTCCATCATATACAACCCAGCTACAATGGGAAAAACCACACACATGCACAGAATATGCAACTTGAGCACTCCTATTCAAGAAGTCTGATTTTTAGAGGTGGCCTGCTATAAAATAAACACAATGCTTCTGGCAAACAGAGTTCTTTCTTCAAAAATATTTGGATATATTTATTGCATTTCTGCTTGTGGCAAAATAATATTCATAATAAGTCAGTTAACTTTGCATTTGGGAAACAAACTTCTTTCTCCACGTTCTTTCTGACTTCCCCAGCCTCCAGCCTTCCTTGCTCTTCTCATGGGTGCCACCGTTTGCCCAGCCAGTGGAGCTTCAAGCCCTCAAGTCCTTTTTGAATAATCCTTCTTCAAGCTTTGTGACTAGTTAATCACCAAGGCCTATTGATTTGGTCTATTGATTTCCTTCCAAAATTTCTCGCACACTCCTCTATCCTCATTTCTAATACCTCTGCACTGGGCCAGGAGTCAAAATACTATATTGACTTAGACAAGTCACTTAGCCTCTCTGGTATCAACATTATTCATAAAATGGTGATTTGCCATGCTCCCCTAGAAGTTTGTGGGCCTTTTTTTTTTTTTTCCTTTTTTTCTTTTCTTTTGGTGGCGGGGGGACAGAATCTCGCTCTGTCACACAGGCTGGAGTGCAGTGGCATGATCTCGGCTCACTGCAACCTCTGCCTCCTGGGTTCAAGCAATTCTTCTGCCTCATCCTCCTGAGTAGCTGGGACTACAGGTGCATGCCACCACACCTGGCTAATTTTTGTATTTTTAGTAGAGACGGGGTTTCACCATATTGGCCAGACTGGTCTCGAAATCCTGACCTGGTGATCTGCCCACCTCGGCCTCCCAAAGTGCTGGGATTACAGGTGTGAGTCACCGTGCCTGGCCCTGTTGTTGTTGTTTTTAACCCAACAAATGCCTTTTGAGGATTATGTGTCAGGTACTTTTCTATTGCTGGGGATACAGCAGAGAACCAAAGTCCCTGCTCTCCTGAAGTTAATACTCTAGTGAGCTGAGACAGGTAATTTTAAACATGCACAGGACTGGAGGTAATAAATGAAGCAGGCAGGGGATAACGAGGAGTGGGGATGTGGTAGCAGTATGTCCAACAAACTAGGAAGCTTTACTATCCAACTATGTATTTGCCTTTTTTGTTTTTTCCTGAGACAGTCTTGCTCTGTTGCCCAGGCTAGAGTGCAGTGCTATGATCTCAACTTACTGCAACCTCTGCCTCCTGGGTTCACGCAATTCTCCTGCCTCAGCCTCCCAAGTAGCTGGGATTACAGGTGTGTCACCATGCCCGGCTAATTTTTGTATTTTTAGTAAAGACAGGGTTTTGCCATGATGGCCAGGCTGGTCTCGATCTCCTGACCTCAAGTGATCTGCCTGCCTTGGCTTCCCTAAGTGTTGGGATTACAGGCAGGAGCCACTGCACCCGGCCTCCATCTGTGTATTTGAATGCAAAGTCAGTGCTTTTTTGCTGTGCAATACTAAAGGACAGGATAGCATTATTTCAACCATAAAGAACCACGTGATTAAAGGCACTATTACTACTATTATTAAGAGACTTAAATCCTCAACACCTCTTGCACAGATTGCTCCAAGGCTTTCCTGACCGAGTTTCCCTGACCTTGGGCTCTCCCCTCTCCATGAAGCTTTTGTACAAGGATTGTTTCAGCATGAAACAATTGAGCCCATTGCCTTTGCCCTGGGTCTTGTGTTTCCTGTGGAAGCCATCTAAACTCAGTGTGCTCAGCTTTGCTTCTCCTCCCAGTACAAAGCCCTCCCAGCAAGCCGGACTGGTATGCTCCCTGATTCGCGTGTCCACCAGCTCCACTCCAGCGTGTACTTTCTACCTTCCTGTTAATGCAGAGTGCCGATCCTGTCCTTTGAACAATCCACCTTGGGAGGTACCTTGGATTAACTAGAGCCCAACTCTCCCTTTCTAGATGATGGGAAGACATACAGAGTAAAGAACCTGCTCTGAATTCCATTACACAATGAGATGATCTTCAGCTTCTCCAACCAACCTGAAGCCCGTGTCCTCTGGCGTCTGGTACTCAGATATCACGAAGCACGCCATTGGACTAAGATGGTGGTTTCGCATAGTGCCAAGCACCTAACAGGCATCACTATATACTTGCTGATGTGTGAATTCTGTTTTACTCCAGTGATTCAGCTCTGCCAGGCCTTTGTTTCACTTACCTGCCTCCTGAAACTCTGCAAGACTTGGTAGAAAATGAATCATCAATTTGACTTGTTGTTTCTTCAAAACTTTGACTGTGACCTTGAAACTGTGGTTCTGAAAACAAGTGAATCTTTGAAAAAGTAAACAGAAACACATAAAATTATTTTCCTAAACACATTAACTAATTTAGCCTTTGAAATGATGACCTAAACATGACCTGCTGACTTTTGTTACAGTAAACTGGTACGAATTTTAGAAATCCTTTAATTTTCCATGTCTACATTCATGATCAATTAGAAACATGTTAGCTGCGCCATTCGTGACTATTTATTTAATTCAGAGACATCAAAGTAAAATGCAACAACAAAGGTAACTTTCTATAGAACACCCTGTTGTGAAGCTGTGAGGTATTTTAAAGCTTTATTGTGGTCAGAAATCATTGTTCATCAGTTCTGACATTAACGACAAACAGTATTTTGGAAAGACATAGTGTAGTTTCCTTCCTTCTCAATGGAAGACACTTGCTGACTTATCGGAATCCTGTGAATGCCAATAAAGGAGGCTATAGTGGTGTTTGTTCCTCTATAATTATGGCTCTGTGAACACTTCCATTAAAAGGCCGAAATAACAAATGTACACCCCAGTTGATGTTAAGAATCAGCATTCAGAAAGCTTGAGTGAGACCATAAAAAATGTCTAGTGTCGACACAGCAAATATGAAAATTCATTTTACCATCACAATAACTAGATGCTATTGTTTGAAATATTAATCTCAATGTATTAATATAAACTGAGTCAATGTAATGATATAAAATTCAGCTTTATACAATAAGCATTTTATAAGAATTATTTAGACATGGGTCAGTACTGTCAATTAACCATTAAAGTAAACTTAAATCTTATTTTTTAAATACAATTATGCTTTCAGGCATAAAAATGAGTAAAACTAACAAAATGTCCCAAATGTCTGATTTTTTTTTTTTTTTTTTTTTTTTTTTTTTTGAGACAGAGTCTCTGTCACTCAGGCTGGAGTGCAGTGGTGCGATCTCGGCTCACTCCAACATCTGCCTCTTGGGGTTCAAGCAATTCTCCTGCCTCAGCTTCCTGAGTAGCTGAGCTTATAGACACAAGCCACCACACCCAGCTAATTTTTGTCTTTTTAGTAAAGACGGGGTTTCCCCATGTTGGTCAGGCTGGTCTTGAACTCCTGAGCTCAAGTGATCCACCTGCCTTGACCTCCCAAAGTGCTGGGATTACAGGCGTGAGCCACCACACCCGGCCCCAAATGTCTGACATTTGAAACATAAGTTCAGCTTTTCAATGGAAGGCCCTTTATATATTAATATAAAAGAATATTTTTAAAGTTACCTGATTTCGTCTCCTTGGGCCAGTGAAAGAATCCTAAAAATTTTTAAAGGAAGGAGAAAAGGAAATGAATAGAACAAACACATTGAAAAAGTTTTTTTCTTCTAGATTATTAGCAATTACTGCTAAAAATAAACTCAGAATATTTTCCATAGCAATTACTATTACATGAACCAGGAACACACATTAAGGAAATCCAGAATTCAGTTAAATATTCTCATACAAAAATATAACTCCTTACCAAACATATAGGTTGAACAGAAGAGATCTTACAATTTTTGCCTCCCCAGTCCTCAAAACTGGTATAAAATCCTTTATCCAGTATATACTGTTCTCCTGTGAAGTCAGGATTTTCATAGGCTACCCATCTAAGAAACAAAAGCAATCACTTGTTGGAGTTCATATTTTACATATAAAACGATCACATATTTGGATATCTATGTATCATACAGAAACTTTCATTTGTTTTGCCAATTGAAATTTTAATTTTTCTGATTCTCCATTAACCTTTAGAAGCAGATGGGTTTGTCTATAGGACAAATCAGAATGGTAAGCCAGCAGAGAAGAGGGAACATTTATACACTGCTGGTGGGAATGTAAATTAGTTTAGCTGCTGTGGAAAGCAGTTTGAAGATTTCTCAAAGAACTAAAGATAGAACTAGTATTCAACCCAGCAATCCCATTACTGGGATATACCCAGGGGAAAACGAATTATTCTACCAAAAAGATACTTGCACGTGTCTTGTTTACTGCCACACTATTCACAATATCAAGATGTGGAATCAACCTAGGTGTTCATTGATCAATGGTGGATTGGATAGAGAAAATGTGGTACATATAAACCATGGAATACTATACAGCCATAAAAAAGAATGAAATCAAGTCCTTTGCAGCAACTTGGATGCAACTGGAGGTCACTATCCTAAGCGAATTAACACAAACAGAAAATCAAATACCAAATATTTATGAGCAAGAACATATACTTATGAGCATGTTCTTGCCCATAAGTGGGAGCTAAACATTGGTCATGCATGGACATAAAGAAGAAAAAAAAATAGGCCCTGGGGACTACAAAAGGGGCCAGGAGGGAGGGGGGTTTGAAAAACTACCTGTTGCATGCTATGCTCAGGTTGACGGGTTCAACCGTACCCCAAACTTCAGGAAATCATGCAATATACCCATGTAACAAACCTGCACATGTACCCCCTGAATCTAAAATAAGAGTTGAAAAAAAACTTAATGCAAAAGAAATGGTAAGCGTAAGGGTATCTTGACATGAACTTTTTGGCGTTCTCGCTTATCAAATACTATTTCTTGAGAAAGCTACAAAGGCAATACTTCTCTGTGCTTTTTTTTTTCTAATTGTATTCTAAGGAAACAAAACAAACAGGACTTTCAAGAAGAACCTAGTTCTTTTAATAAGCAATCAATAAGTCCTTTCATTCTCAACCTTAAAATATTTTTGCAGAAAGATCTTAGGAAGCTGTGTCTATTACACAACAAACCACACTGAAAAAGAAGTTAACAGAAGAAATGCTTTTAAAAATGCAGAACAGAACTAAAATATTGTTTCCAACAGTGTTTCCAACATCACATAAATATGTAAAAATTAAATAAACAAAATTGAGCAAACTCATAGAAATACTAAAAATAAATCTCTTTTGGAATGTTTTTTTCTCTTTTAAGTGATCTACACCCAGAGGAAAATCAACAAAACCAATTTAATGATGCTATTTCCTATGCAAAGATAAAGTCTTTGAAAGGAAAAGGTTTTTCAGTTCTGTTATATTAAAGAGATACTTAATACCATTATATTGAAGACATTAAGTATCTTTTCAATTAATTCATCATTCTCATGATCCTCTCAAAGCTTAAAGGAATAATATCTATGTATGTATTATGTAGGGTGATCAGAACTTTGCAAAATGTTTCCACATCTGTTATCACATTTAATCTCCTAGGGAGGTATTGGTGTTCCCATTTTACAGATGGGAAAAACCTAAGACACAGTAAGTTAATTCATTTACCAGGTGCCAGGAACTAGACTGGCACTAGATATACAAAGATGAAAAAGACAAAATCTCTGTCCTCCAAAGCCCACAGATGGGTAAGCAGCATCACATGGAAGTATTTGTTGGTATTTGTTTTGAATGGGAAATGACTTGTCCAGGGTGACACAATCGACTATTGGCCAGAACGTGACTGAACCTACCTGTCCTGAGGCCCACCAGGCTCTCCTTGCTTTGTGACCCAACCTGCCATGTGCCCTGGAAAGTTCCCTTTCATTTACTGTTCTAGTAAACCATGCCTAAAACAGTCCACACACTTTATAATTAGAGCAGATTATGATTTTACTATCCAAAGGGCTGATTTAAACAAAAACTCAAGTACAGTAATTACTAGAATATGAACAGCCATCAAGGAAAAAAAGAACACTGCCAAAATCTCCAGTGAGAAGTAGCTAATAACAGCCAACATCTGTGCACTCACTCCCAGCCATCCAAATGGAGAAGCTGCTATATGCACCACTCAGTCTTTCAGGAAATACAGCCCCCTACCACCCCCCATCCCCCGATTTCAGAACCTCACTAGCAATTTTTAAAACCTGTTCTTTTTTATTTTTATTTATTTTTTATTTTTTTTAGTAGAGTCAGGATTTTACCATGTTGGCCAGGCTGGTCTCAAACTCCTGACTTCAAGTGATCCACCCACCTCAGCCTCCTAAAGTGCTAGGATTACAGGCGTGAGCACTGTTCCCGGCCTAAAAACCTATCCTTTATCACTGAGAGGTGAGGAGATAGGAGACCTGGCTCCACCTGTGGCCATGACATTAACTTTCAGATAACTTTGAAGAACTCACTTAACCTTTGTGAAAGTTTGTATTTTCAAGTGTAAGTAGGAGAGTGGGCCAAGGTCCCCGGGCTGACCAGGTGATGCTGTACAGCACACGGGTACCCGCATGTGCTGCCTCTGCCCACAGGGCCTCAGGCTTTACCCCCAGCATGAAAGGAAGCAACAGTAAAGCCAGAGCAGGGAGCACTGCTATGTGGGAGGAGTGTCTGCACATCAAGAAAATCTACATGACTGGATTAAGAAAATGTGGCACATATACACCATGGAATACTATGCAGCCATAAAAAATGATGAGTTCATGTCCTTTGTAGGGACATGGATGAAACTGGAAACCATCATTCTCAGCAAACGATCGCAAGGACAAAAAACCAAACACCGCATGTTCTCACTCATAGGTGGGAATTGAACAATGAGAACACATGGACACAGGAAGGGGAACATCACACACCGGGGACTGTTGTGGGGTGGGGGGAGGGGGGAGGGATAGCATTAGGAGATATACCTAATGCTAGATGACGAGTTAATGGGTGCAGCACACCAACATGGCACATGTATACATATGTAACTAACCTGCACGTTGTGCACATGTACCCTAAAACTTAAAGTATAATAATAATAAAATTTAAAAAAAAAGAAAATCTACGTTACAAACACTAGGACTTTAAAAAAACAACGAACAATTAAAGAAGTAGAGCCACATCAAAAAAAGGGTTCTCACCAGGGCTCCGAGTCTGTAACAAGTAGAGAGATAAGAGGGTTAAAGGCCTTTCTGTTTGACTTCAAGGTTTGGAGGGAAAAAAGACAGTGAGGTGGGAGGCTGAATGCCAAGGAGAGAGGACAGCCCTGGAAGCAGCTTTAGCCAGTACTCTGTTCTTTTTACTAACAAGTATGGGTACTGTATTTTCCTATGAAACTAAACTACTTGTAAGTAAATACCCAACACCCAGCTAAGCCTATCTCTAATTCACTGAAGCTGAAGCTGGAAAACAATTTATTAAGATGTTACTTGAACTGACAGTAGTGTTGTTTTCCCTCCAAGATACCTGATGAATCACCCATGAATGGGGGGAGTGGGGGAGGGGAGAAGCCGCAAAACCCAGATCTGAGATTCTCTGCTCTATGATCCGAGAGTCTACTTACAACTTACACTTGGGGCTCTTAAGAAAATCCCTCCCTGTCCTTGTCCAGATGTATTCTGTACACATGAATCAACACTCCTCTGTTTAAAGACTGGTGGGGAGACGGGGGAAAGGCATGTACACAAGTACTAGCAGGTCCCAGCCTGGTGGAATAATTGCTCAGAAGATAAGGGCAGCAGGGTAAACCTGCCCTTCCGTGGAAGGCCAAAGGAAAAAGAATTTAAAACAACAACACTTTTCGTTTTCATCTGAATACCAGAAATATTTCATTTTGCTCCTAGTTTTAAAAAACTAGCCCAGTTTCCACTATTTGAGCAAGAATATAGCATAGAACTAGAAACTGATAAGCAGGGAGTTTCTTTCGACATTTCCAGTAAGAATCAAATGCAGTTCCTAAAAACCTCAGTTGCTGGTTTCATGGGCATCCTTCCTGAAGGCTGTTCTCTGTTTCAGGACTAATGATGAGTTTACTGCCCAGGGGATGTATTACCCATGTGATGGTGAGCCTCCTGGGAGATACTTTCATGGAACAAGAACTTCAGAAGAGTTTTTTTCTGACAATGCATGCCATAATAAGAAATAAAGAACCAAGCTAAAATACTTAATTGCCAATAAAAATAAAGCCATTAAAATACAATAATTTTCCTTTGAAACTATTTAAAGTGAATAGGTAGTCCTCCTCCATCATCTTGGCTCATCTCAGCCTTCCTATCCTATCCCACAGGCCTAACTCCAATGCCACCTCCTCCACAAAGTCTTCCTTCCCTGTGTCCAGACTGGAAATTAATCTCTCTCTGCTGTGGATTCCCAGAGCATTTAATCTGTACCTCTTTTGTAGCAATAATTATGTTTTACATAAATACCGTAACTTCTTTGAGGACATAATACAATGCTTTGCACATAACAGACCGCAATAAATACTTGTCAAATGACAAATCGAACAAAATATGAGGAAGCACCTGGCCCTGGTAAATACAAAAGCCCTTCCATATGCAAAGAATTTCAAAGGAAGTGGTGTGTGTGTGTGTGTGTGTGTGTGTCCACGTATGTGTACGTAGCTCCCTTCAACTTCCCCCTTCTACCAAAACTTAACTGCTACAGCCAGAAAAAAGAAGCTTAAGCCAGGAAATGCAATTAGAAATGACTAAAAATAGAAACATATAATAGCAGCACTTTATAAAGGGAACTGATTTCAAGTAAGCAAGGCCTGGGTTAAAAAGGAAAGGAGATTGGCTCAAGGCACAATAATTCTACCTGTGTTAATAGCATCATCTACAAAATACCTAAGGGAATTCATTCTACCCAGCATCCTTTTGCTTCCTCTGCCAGGGTGGATGACTAGGCTCTGACTAATAGAACCAACACAACTGGTGAGTATCAAAATGTACAACTGTTTCACCAGACTAAGTTGGTCACTATGTTTTCCTCCTAAATAATTAGCTTTAAAGACAATCTAAAATACTGCAGAGCCCCAGCAACATTTCAGATAACTTGTACCTTATATTTCAGATGACTTCTGGCTTTTGCAAACAGGCTACTGATTCTAAAATGTTAGGGCTCCAGAATAGGACCCAAGAGTAGGCATTTCCTGCTGAGAATGGAATACCCGGAAATCACTGATACTCTGCCAAAATGGCACCACATGCAACGGCCTAGACAAGAACTTGTTGAACAAGGTTTTTTTTACTCTATTTACTAAGAGTAAAAGTTAAGCATGTTCATCAACTTTTAGTACATTGTACACACTTTTCAAATATCCAGGGCTATTGTGGGAGGCCCCATGAGATACAATGGGGTTGAGGCTAGGATGATTCAAATAGTCTATGTCACTATGACAACAAAAACCTAACACCAAACACTTTCAGCATAACCAATGTCACATTATTTCATGTAACTATTTGAGAATACTCTCACTTATAACAAATTAGAATAGACATTAGCCTGGATTACAAGAATAATTATGTAACTCCCTATAACAGCCATCTGCTGTTTTTGCCCATCTGGCATCTATCTCCCCACTCTTTCTGATGTCCCTGGGGAACCACCAACCCCATTCATATCTAAGTGGCTCCTATGGGATAGACCCTACATCTCAGCTCTGGAGATGGACACGTAGCCCAGACATGGCCGTCTCTGTGGCTACAGTGATTGGTTCAGGCATGTGCACATGACCCAAGCCTAGGAAAGCAAAGTCAAACATGGAACTTGTGAGAAAGAGAAGCTCTTTCCACTGCAAGAAATGAGCTGGGGCCAGGCATGGTGGCTCATGCCTGTAATCCCAGCACTTTGGGAGGCCAAGGCGGGTGGATCACCTGAGCTCAGGAGTTTGAGACCAGCCTGGGCAACATGGCAAAAACCTGTCTCTAAAAAAAAATACAAAAATTAGCCAGGCCTGGTGGCACACATCTGTGGTCCCAACTACTTGGGAGGCTGAAGCAGGAGGATCGCTTAAGCCCAGGAGGCAGAGGTTGCAGTGAGCTGAGATTTTGCCACTGCACTCCAGCCTGGGTGGCAGAGTGAAACTCTGCCTCAAAAAAAAAGAGTTAGGAGAACAAAAGCTGAATGTGGCCACAGGCCACCAAATGCAAAAGGCCTACCTAAAGTCAAGTTAACACAGAAAAAAGCCCAGTCAAGACACAGAGACTAAGTTCTGATAGTGTTTGATCCGCTGCATCTAGGCATGCCTGAAGCAAAATCTTCTCCAGGACTTTTTAGTTACTTAAGCCAGTAAGTTCCATTTTAATCCCTTGAGCCAATTTAGCTTGGCTTGCAGTCACTTCATCCCAAAGAATCTTGACTAAACATCTTTCAATAAAAACTTGCTTCACCACTAATAAAACAGTCAACTGCTAACTCCACGTACATAGAACAATTATTTTTATGTCAAACTAATAGTGAAGAAATATACTGGAACAGGTGTAGGACCACAGGAAAATCTACTGGGACTTTGACCCAGCCTCAGGTTTATGTTAGATTACTATTATTATTATTTGATCTCCATCATTTAAAAAATTCACTATCTTTCTGTGCAGAATGACAAGGGAAACAGATCTGTAGATTTCTATCATGATACCCAAAGCCTACCCCAAACGTAAAAAGAAGAGATGGTATGAGAACGATTTTTAAAGAGAGTTAACGAAAATATCATGACAGCAACTATTAAATGACTGATTTAATGTTAAGCTGTTGAGATATTTGTGTATTGAATGCCTACTCTGTGATAGACTCTTACCAGTTTAAAACAAACCAAGGTAAAACGCATGTTTAAAATTCCAACTGGATTATTTCACTTACACTCCACTCAGTACATTAATAGACTGTGTCTTCACTCCATATCCAGTCTCCTTTAAATTAGCAACAATTCCCAATACATCAATACTGGAACCTTTGGATCCAAAGTTTTTTTCACTGTACATTATCATGTGAGCATTTGAAAAATCCTATTGAGAAAAAAAATTCAAAATTCAAAGGCTAGCCATTTATTATCCAAAGAAGACCAAGTATTAGCCATTAGCTTGTCCTTTACTTACACCTAATATAGGTCGTAAAGACTGAAGCTCTCCATTGTAACCTCCCCAGGCTTTCCAGTCCCTGTATTCTCCTTCTTCTAGCAAATACTGATGACCGGTAAATCCAGGTTTCTCATATGCAACCCAACTGCAACATAAAGAACACGAGGAGTAGTCATTTCCAGACATGTTAACATTTTTTCAAGGTACATATCAATTTCATTGAAAAATACAAATAGTTATAAAGCTAGACATGACCTTCTGCTTTATTATCATTGGAATTCTTTAAAATTTAGGAGAATAACAGAATGGCCCCAAGAAAATAACCTAAGAGACATATATCAGAGTTGTATAAAAAAGGGAAGGGGAGCGTGTGTGTGAGTGGTGTGTATGTGTGTGTGTTTAATCAGGGCTGACTCAAAAGAACCTCAGCAAGCAAAACTGGATAAACTCACTTCAGATAGTAACAAAAATATTATGAATAGTTAGCGATTTACAAGAGCAACTTTAGTGTGCACTTCTATGGGAAATGTGCAAGATCTATAAGATGCAAAAATATAAAAATCAGAAAGCGAACTATCAAACTGTTCAATAGCTTGGAGCATAATTCTAATAAGCAAGGTTGTAGATTTGATCAACTTGAACAGGCCAATGTATCAGCCTTCCTTGACAGAGTTTCGCTCTTGTTGCCCAGGCTGGAGTGCAATGGTGCGATCTTGGCTCACCGCAGCCTTTGCCTCCTGAGTTCAAGCGATTCTCCTGCCTCAGCCTCCCAAGTAGCTGGGATCACAGGCATGTGACACCACGCTCAGCTAATTTTGTATTTTTTAGTAGACATGGGGTTTCCCCATGTTGGTCAGGCTGGTCTTGAACTCCTGACCTCAGGTGATCCGCCCGCCTTGGCCTCCCAAAGTGTTGGGATTACAGGTGTGAGCCACCACACCCAGCCTCAAACTGCTTTCTTAAATCCAGTCACTATAGGCTGAGGAGAATGTGGATATAACTGTCAAAATTCACCATACTATAGAATCAGGAATGTTGTTTTTAGGGGGGAAAGGGCACATTTATTACTTAATATTTCGGAAAAAAAAGAAATCCTAACAAGTCACCCATGTACTTACATGCCTCTTAGAACTTTCATAGACCCCACTGACGTAAACGGCAAATGATCGTCTCCAGTCGCCTCTTCTGTTTCACCTCCCTCCATGACAAAACTACACATTCCTGTTTCTAGTTCCACACATTTTCCTTCAAAGAAAGGCTTTTCATAAACAACTACCTACAATAGAAATGAGATATACCAGTAATCTGTAAGAAGTATCCCAACAGCTTAACATTAAATCAGTCATTTAATATCACTAAGTCCTGACACACAAATTAAAATTTTCTGACTGGGCGCGGTGGCTCACGCCTGTTATCCCAGCACTTTGCGAGGCTGAGGTAGGTGGATCACTTGAGGTCAGGAGTTCGAGACCAGCCTGGCCAATATGGTGAAACCCCGTCTCTGCTAAAAATACAAAAATTAGCTGGGCATAGTGATGCACACCTGTAATCTCAGCTACACAGGAGGCTGAGGCAGAACCGCTTGAACTCAGGAGGCAGAGGGTTAAGTGAGCCGAGATCACGTCACTGCACTCCAGCCTGGGTGACAGAGTGAAACTCTTGTCTCAATAAAATAAATAAAATAAAATAAAATTAAATTTAATTAAAATAAATAAAATAAAATAAAATAAAATAAAATGTTCTAATCATATTTTAAAAAATTAACTAGGCCAGGCACAGTGGCTCACACCTGTAATTCCAGCACTTTGGGAGGCCAAGGCAGGAGGATCACTTGAGCTCAGGAGTTTGAGACCAACCTGGGCAATATGGTGAAACCCCATCTCTGCTAAAAATACAAAAATTAGCTGGGCATAGTGATGCACACCTGTAATCTCAGCTACGCAGGAGGCTGAGGCAGAACCGCTTGAACTCAGGAGGCAGAGGGTTAAGTGAGCTGAGATCACGTCACTGCACTCCAACCTGGGTGACAGAGTGAAACTCTTGTCTCAAAATAAAATAAAATAAAATAAAATAAAATAAAATAAAATAAAATAAAATAAAATAAAATGTTCTAATCATATTTTAAAAAATTAACTAGGCCAGGCACAGTGGCTCACACCTGTAATTCCAGCACTTTGGGAGGCCAAGGCAGGAGGATCACTTGAGCTCAGGAGTTTGAGACCAACCTGGGCAATATGGTGAAACCTCATCTCTGCTAAAAAGAAAAAAAGTTGGGTGTAGTGGTACATGCCTATAGTCCCAGCTATTCAGGAGGCTGAGGCAAGAGGATGGCTTGAGCTGGAGAAATCGAGGCTTCAGTGAGCCGTGATGGTGCCACTGTATACCAGCCTGGGTGACAGAGCAAGGCCTGGTCTCCACAAAAAAAAAAAAAACCCTAAATAATGGCATCTGATAAGATAGTAAAAAGAAAAAAAAAAATCTGGCTTTTTTTTTTCCCTAATGTGGTATAGCCCAAAGCCATGGTTCCAAACAGTTTTAAAATAATTTATATACATATATATATAAAATAAATATATACACACACACATATATATGTATATATAAAACTGATATTTAGAACCACATAGAAGGAACCAGAGGATTCTAAAGTAGTGTTAAAATTGAAAATTGAAAAGTTATAGTGTGTGGCATCGATGTGGGAATTGGGAATAGCAGAAAGGGTATTTTGGAGTAGGGAAAGTTTGTCTTAAAAAAGTTTTTTCCTGGCTAATTGGCAAGCAGCAAGAAGCCCTGCAATTAGTAAATACAACTGCAAATTGTTAACTCAATATAACAATGACCCTTCTGAGCCATGGCTAAATGTACTCTTAGTGATAACCAGTGCCATTAGCATCATCTTCCACCCTGAAGGATGGCAAGTGTAAGTTGGCAACTTCCTTTGGCTGCATTTATGTGTGACAGAGGTTTAATATGAGAAGTCACATAAGCAATATCTTCATAGAGATGGAGTGGGAATAACATTAAGTACATATATATGTGTATATGTTTAAATAATTACATATACATACATACAAAAATACATATATATTTTTACCTTTGGATCTGTAGGGAATTCAACTTTACGGCCACCCTGAAAAAAACAACATAGTAAGAAAAATAGTTTTTCACTGATACATTACCATTTTATATTAGCCATAGCAGTTTACAGTAAAACATTGAATTTCAGTGTGACTATGTTCTGGTTTGTTTTAACTTACGTGAGATAGTTCTAAAATTACCAACAATACAGATGAAGACACGAGGAAGGCAGGCTAGAACGGAGCCTCGCACAAGCAGTCTATAAGCTGATCTGCGTTGTAGGAGTGTTTTTTGACCTAGCAAGTTTTTTTAACTTGGAAAATTTATCATAAAAATCCATACTTCTCTTGAAAAAGCAGTTCCAAGAGCTGACATCTCTGGACCCAGATTCTCCCAGGCCACTGTCTTCGGCTTCTGCATTTAACGATCCTGCCCTCAGTTCATCCTTCAGCTGGGCACAGGCCCGGGGTTGCCGTCTCTACCATTCCCTTCGGTTTAACTCTCAGCCATTTGTATTTGCTGCCTGGCCCCTGAAGGTATTTGATTTTGCAACCAGGGCTTACGAAACTATTATGTGTTGAAGTTCACATAATAAGATCTGGGGGACTCATGGAATAATTAGATAAACTGTTAAATAAAATTTAAAACATCCCAAAGGATGAGTCTATGAGGGGTTGTTATAAAATAGAAAGCTTTTTAAAAACAAAAAAACTCACTAAAATCAGAGAAATGGTATTACATTAAAAAGATATTGCACAAAAATATTAAATAGTTCAAGAGTTTAAATCAGCAATGGGAAAGTTGGATTTTTTTAAAATTAATATATCTTTAATAGCTTTTTAAAAAAAAGTACCACCAAGGATGCTCAAAGGCACCAAATGAACTATAATTATAAAAGAATGTGTTGGTTTCCTTAACTTTTATGAAAAAACAAGCAAAAAAAAAAAGGAAAAAGGAATGTGGCTGATATTATCAGCAAACCAGAGATTATACAACTAAGCACATGACCTTTTCAAAAGTAATCCTGTTTGAACACCATAGACTTTGGAGACTTTTCATCATCATTACAAACTGCTCCTAAAACCTGGATGAATTCTTTCATACATTCACAAAACTAACAAAACTTTGTTCTTTGAAAGTGAGTTTAATTTTAGAAACAAAAGCCCAAATCATTTGCATTAAGACCAGCAAACATACAGATAATTAAACCAAATACTTTGGAAGGATGGGTAAAATTAACATTAAAAAAATTGTCTTCCTAACTTTCTAATTTGTCTCAAACTGTCTCAGAAGACAACTGCGAAGTGCAGCTTCAAAAACATGTTTGTAATGGGAGCCTCATCTCACTGTGGGTATTTAGGGAACAACTTCCATGCTGCAGCACACACTGCGCTCAACACTGGGGACAAGACAGATGCGGCCTGCTTCCTCCCAAAGCTGACAGTCTAGCGGAAGAAACAAAGAACAAAGCAAGACACTGGGACAAGGGAGAGGAAGCACAAAGCTTCCACAGCAGATACTCAGGAGGACAACACTCATCTGGTCCAGCCCCAGAGACCCCCAAGACACCACCCACTCGTGTCACGGCAGCCGAGCCGGTCCTCAGCGTGCCCTGCTCTCTCTCAGGCTGCACCCTAGCTCACACAGTGCATTCACCGACAGCTCCATTTAAAAAATCATCCTGCTAATTTTTTAAGACTGAATTTAATTTAGCATGAAGCTTTCCTAATTATCCCTTTTCTGTCACATCACCCACAACTTGGAATTGTATGTATCTTTGTCCTGTTTTTCCACCAATGTTTAATTCTTCACTTTCCTCACTTGTTAAACCTACACTGCGCTGAAGCTTTGCGCACCCATCTGCAGCTCTGCAGGGCTGAGAATGCCTTAAAGACAAAGGACATAGTCTTACCTGCCTTTTTTTTTTTTTTTTTAATCTATAGCATCTAGCAAGTTATTCTTTCCATGATTTCTATTGAGCAATAGGTCCAATCTACTACAAATTTGTTTCTTAAAAGTCAGCTTTATTGCTTCAAAGTCACACCCTGTGAATTACCACGTCAAGCTGACAAAGAATCACCACAAGGACATTTGGATTTCATTTTTACCATTTTCAGAGGCCGCATGGATCCAATGTACGCTTCTTCTGTATCCCAGAAGGACAAGTCAGGGTATTCACCAGGTTCCAGGATGAAAGGAACACCCTGAAATCCAGGTTCTTCATAAATCAGCCACCTAAATAGCCACCATGGAAGGAAAGAAAGGGAGCCGACTCATCATTTGTTTCAGTTTTTCCTTCTGTCTGGTACCCAGGATGAGAGGAAAAGAACAGGAGAGGATACGGACCTACATAATGAATGGTTGGACTCAGGTGTTAGAATCACACTAGACTCAAGGAAAAATAAAGCCATTATATGCCCCTATTCTTGATCTTTTACTTTTCTCCTTGGCTGGCTTTGTCCCCTTATTTTAATTTGTATTATTAATTGCTCCAAAGTTCCATCTAATCATTTGTCATGGTGCCAAACATTAGTAACAGCTAACATCTCCCTAGAGCTTACAAGGAATGCCACTGAGAACTTCATCTAATCCTCACAACCATGCTATGAGGAAGAGAAGCTATTGTCCCCATTTTATAGATAAAGTTAAGTAAGTTGCCCAAGGCCACACAGCTATAAGTATGAAAGGCTGGAATGATTCAAGCCGATTCCAGAACCAGGTTCCTAATCAATTTTTTTTTTTTTTGACGGAGTCTTGTTCTGTCACCCAGGCTGGAGTACAGTGGCTTGCTCTCAGCTCACTGCAACCTCTGCCTCCTGGTTCAAGTGATTCTACTGCCTCAGCCTTCCAAGTAGCTGGGAGTACAGGCACACACCACCACATCCGACTAAGTTTTGCATTTTTTTTTTAGTAGAGGGGGTCTCACCATATTGGCCAGGCTGGTCTCAAACTCCTGGCCTCAGGTGATCCGCCCGCCTTGGCCTCCCAAAGGTGCTGGGATTACAGGTGTGAGCCACCATGCCCAGCCCTAATCATTTTTGTGATGGCAATTTTTCTCATTGCAGGAAGTGCATTGAACACAGTTTACTCTTTTCACAGTTACTCAGGATCATCACTGTGAGCATTATTTAATGCACAGTGGTGTCCTCAGGGGCTCTGAAGTTCTGTGGGGCTGCTTGTTCCCAGGCCACAAAGCTTTTTGAGTTCTTGGTTCTGATTGTTATGGCTTTTCAATACCACACCCTTCTATCAGCTTGTCAGCTGTCACTTCTGCTTCAGTTGGGGAACCAGCAGCCCCACCCTCCTCTAATGTGCCAGAAATCAGGAAACCAGAAAACCATGCCTACTAGCCCTGTCTCTAAACTTTACAAGGTCTTCTTGTAAACATCTTCGTTCCTGGGAAGGGTTCTGAGAAGGTGAGGATGCTGAAGAAGTGACTTTTCTATAAGAGAGGGGTTAATGTACCTGCTTCATAAACAAACATAGACTTCTTAGTGATCACTTACACTCATCAATTCGGTTAGTTTTGCTAAAATGTTTTAGCCGTGGTACTCCACCATGTTGTGTTCCCCAGAACACCATGCCAAGAAGAGAGTGGCTGTAAATGAAATCTTTTACCAACAAAACGGGTCTGACCCCTCCCTCTTTGCTTTTTTCTTCTTCCCAATTTTGGCCCAAGGCACATTTTTGGCGGTGGTTTTTGTGAAGATTCCGCTGGATAAACTGGTAACTTCTCTAGACTCTCTAATTATACAGAGATTTACAACCAGGCTCCTACTGATGATTTGACAACACACACATGAAAGAATGTTGGGAGGCCAGGTGTGGGATATGGGTAGGAGGTCAGAACTACAGTGTTAGAAGTCAGGATGATGGTTCCTGGGGAAGAGGGCGTGAGGACGCATGAAAGAAACGGGTTTCTGCGATGCTGGGAATGTTCTTTTTCTTGATCTGAATGGTGACTGCGCTTGTGTATTCACTTTGTGAAAATTCACTCAGCTTATATATTTAGGGTTTATGTACCTTTTTGTACAAATGTTATGCTTCAAAAAAAGTTACCTTAAGGAAAAAAAGAGGCTTATCTTTTAAATACTACTGTAATGCTTCTAAACCACAAGAAAACAGACGCTAAGAATAGGGTACTTTACACTTCCTTATGTTTAAAGCATGACAGCCAAGGATACGTTACATGTATTTTGGAGCTCAAAGCTATCACAGGCACAGTACCCATGGATTTTGTTCTCTAACAAAATAATGGCAGTTCTGTAACACATTATGGTATTAGGCTAACCAAGCAGGTCCCAAGTCTGACTTCTTTACAAGTGAACAGGTTTAATTTTTCAAAAACTGAATGTACGGCTCACGAGCAAGCGATCTGAGATTTTGAAATGATTCTTACCGAAGTACCCTTTTCATTAAGTCTTTCCTTCTATAGCTTGAGTTCAGAGGGGATTTATTCATCTAATACTAAACATTTCACTTCTGTTGAAGCATGTGGTTTAGTTGCATAACATTCATGGAAGGAAAGTCATTCTGGGTAGAGGGGAATTTGTGAAAAAACCGAAAACATGAATGAATGCATTTGAAAAGACTGCTGTTCTGAAAGTTCTCCCTTAGTAAATGAGTGCTGAAGGCCTGCTGGGTAATTCAAACAGACATTTATTAATGCTGGGTGGACTTTGAATTTGAAAACTCATATGCAGAGTATGATTCACTTTTTCTAAATTCTGTTCCAATAAGATACATTATTTATGAGGCCATCAGGAGAGGGGGAAACTATCTCCAGGCAGGGTTATTTCAGTTTCTAAAGGTAATCTTTTATTTTCCCATGTACTTGGGTCATAAGCTTTCGCCAATATAGATTAAAAAGTACAACTTTATTGTCGTACTTAACAAACAGTATGATTATAAAGCCCAAGCTTATTTTTTAAACAAACAAATGTATACCTACAAATGAATATTGTTAAAGTAATAACAATGGCCATCTATATGTTTATTTAAAATATTTGTCCAATTACTCTTTTAGAAATACCCTTTGAGTCACACAAGAAAAATCAGTCTTATCTTGTTCACTTGCTCTTAAACAAAAACAGCACTTCCAGATGGATCTTAAGTTGTGTTCCCTAGACATGGCTGTACATGAATATTGGCCATTCACAGAAACCAACTGGATACTTGAAAAATTAAATATGAAGGTACTGACTTTGAGGTTATTCACAAGAGAGGGGGCTATGAATGTCAAAGGGGAAAATGAACCTTTACAATGGAAAGATGGAGGAGGCACCACTTTAACCAAGCAATCAAACTTGGTATTGCTAAAGGGCAAGCTAGTTAGCACATGCCACCTGCTGTGATACAACATAAATATATGGCACTATCTATATGAAGTATCCGTGCC
Source organism: Homo sapiens (assembly GCF_000001405.40). NCBI lineage: Eukaryota > Metazoa > Chordata > Mammalia > Primates > Hominidae > Homo > Homo sapiens. The sequence goes on along the minus strand of NC_000006.12, from coordinate 106,536,239 downwards.
AAAACTGTTTGGCCTGAACCTAACCATACCTTAAGACCTAAGCCCTAGTAGATAGGAAATTCGGGCAACAGAAGAACATGCTAAATAGTAGCATGAGGGAACACTCAGACAAATCTAGAATGTGGCACACTCTCTAAGACAGCTGGCCTAAATCTTTTTAAAAGTTAGTGGCTCACGCCTGTAATCCCAGCACTTTGGGAGGCCGAGGCGGGTGGATCATGAGGTCAGGAGATCGAGACCATCCTGGCTAACAAGGTGAAACCCCGTCTCTACTAAAAATACAAAAAATTAGCCGGGCGCGGTGGCGGGCGCCTGTAGTCCCAGCTACTCGGGAGGCTGAGGCAGGAGAATGGCGTGAACCCGGGAAGCGGAGCTTGCAGTGAGCCGAGATTGCGCCACTGCAGTCCGCAGTCCGGCCTGGGCGACAGAGCGAGACTCCGTCTCAAAAAAAAAAAAAAAAAAAAAAAAAAAAAAAAAAAAAAGTTAGTGGCTTGGGAAACAAAGATGGGGTATTTTAGAGATCTTTAAAAAGAGACTTAAAAGAGACAGAACAATCAAACGCATTTATGTGAACCTTGATTGGATCCTGATTTGAAAATGCAAATCTATAAGAGACATTCCTGAAGCAATTGGGAAAATTTGGTGATGGACTATTGAACAGATATTATCATGGACACTTTGTGAATTTTCTCAAGTGTAATAATGATACTTATGCAGGGGAATACCATTAGAAAGAGAGTCAGGCTGAATCCTATGTGGAATGAAGGGTCATGATATCTCCAATGTACATTGAAGTGCTCAGAAAAATAACACAAATATGGTAAAATGATAACAATTATTGGGTCAAAGTGAATGGTACATTGGTGTTCACTGAACTATTCTTCCTACTTTTCTGTATGTTTGAAAACTTTTATAATAAAAAATTGGGCTCTGATATGGTATATTCCACAATGAAATATACAGTGACTATTACACAGCAATGAAAAAAATACATAGAGATGTACCCATCAATATGAGTAATCTTAGGAGTGTGGTTACATGTGTAACCACGGTGGGCAGCAATGTTGGTAATGGTCTAGGTTGTAAGTTGGATGGTGGGTCCACGGGGGATTGTTTTATTATTGGGCTTCATAGTTCACATATATACATATATTATTCTGTATATGTCAAATATTACACAGTACAAATGATCAAATAATGTTTGTCAATTAAAAAAGAAGTCCCTTGACTTTAGAACACCTGCATTCTAGTACACATTCTGCTAACAGCTAACCCTAGTCTGGAGAAAGTGACCAAAGCTTGTCTTCCTCAGTCAAATGATGGTGTTGGGCCAGATCATCTTTATACTCCCTTTGAAGTTCTAAACTTCTTTGCTTTTGTTCGTCATAAATATACCACCCCCCACTTCCACCCCTACACACACCCCGCCCCCAAAAAACCCAATATGCTTTCACCTCTGGGAGGATGGGTGCCAGGATTAGCCAGCTGCTTAAAAGAAAGATTTAAAAACAAATTACTCTCAACAGAATCTGAAAGGCAAGTTTAGTTAGAAATCACTCATTTCCTCAAACAAGAATTTGACCAGACAAGTAACACCCTTATTTTGTGTATGAGTAGAAGAGCTTAATCTAGAGTGAATGGGCCCTGGAATAAATCACCTAATGGATTCTTAAGGAGTTCCCTCTACAGCAAAGACTTCTTATCCCAGTTCAGGGGAACCAGTGCATCAACAGAAGCAAAATGAGCTTCAGTACTTACTATCAGTGACATCTTCTCAACCCCTTGAGACTTTCCTTTGAGATCTATAAAAGCACTAATGACCTGGTGTCTAAGCTCACCAACCAAGTTCAACGAGCCCAAACTTTGAATTAACATCTGAGGCAGTGTTCAACAGAAATGAACAGCCAGAAAAGAAGATGCTCACCATGACACAAACCTGTCATAAATTGTAAGCTGTGACAGGCTGGTAACTACCACCCAGGAGGCAAAGCTAAACTTACTGCAAAGGTAAGAAATATCATTTAAGGTAGATTAATGTGCTTCAACATAGCCAAGCCTGAGTCATGGCACCTTCCAGACACTGAGATTAAAATATGATAACAGATGCCTTTTTCATTCTTTTCTAAGGAAAGTGGTGTTTCTCAACCTGACACCAATTCTTTAAAAAAAAGTGTATAGACTTCTTTCATGTAAAAAAATTAAAGGCAGCAAGAGATGAAGGCATTTTCTTTTGCTTAGATTCCCACTTTTCTTCCCAGTCTCTAAATACAAAAGTGCCTTCTCTTCCCTTAACTACACCCACTCCCCTTTGGGACTGTGTCCTGTGCCTGGTTTAAATACATTCTCTTTGCCAGTGACTCCTAAATTTATGCCTCCAGCCTCTCCCCTGAACTCCAGCCTCACATAGTCACCTTCTTGCCCACTTACTTGAATTTGCAGTTGGCATCTCAGCCTTAACCTGTCCAAAACTGAGCTCCTGAATCTCACTCTCTCTCCTATCCTGCTCCTCCAAGTCTTTTTCGTCTCAATAAATGTTGGGGTTCCAAACCCTGGGCATGTCTTGGCCCCTCATACCCCACACACAATCTGTCAGAAATGCTGTTAGTTCTACCTTCAAAATGCATCCAAGATCTGACCATTTCCCACCACCACCATCGCACGTCTAAGCCACCATCTCTTCTTGGCTGTATGATTGCAAGTGCATCCTACGTGGTTTCTTGGCTTCCACCTTTGCCTCTTTACAGACTATTTTCTATACGAACAGACAGGCTGATCCTTCTATTAATAACACAAGTTAGATAAAAATTCGCCAATGATTCTCCATGCCACGTAGAGTAAATCTAAATCCTCCTCCCCAAGGCGTGAAAGGCCAGATGTGACCTGAGCCCTGTCTTATCCCTATCCTCCTACTTCACTCAGCTTCAGCCGCCTTGGCCTCTTAGCTATTGCCCAAGCATGCCCAGAAGGGCTTTTGCAAATGGTGTGCTTCCTCTCTGGGACAGGCTCCCTGCCCCTCTTCCCTCAGCTAGCTCCAGGGCAGACTCCCTCACTTCCTGCCGGTCCCTCCTTAAAATGTCACCAGAGTCCTTTACTAGCTACCCTATCTAAAATAGCAACATGCCTGCCCCTCTGTAATTTATGTTTCTTGTAGCCTTTGCCATCTGACACATTATATATGTATTTGTGTTGTTTATTCCTGCTAGACTGACAGCTCCAGGAGAATGGGGACATCATTTTATGTCTTCACTGCTGTATTCCCAGTGACTAGAAAAGCACCTGGCACATGGTAGATGCTTGATTAACAGATTTACTGAATATATTTAATACATCTCATAGACACTCTTTTGGGTTTATATTTGTTAAAGTCCCAATTTCTTGTCATATTTAGACAGGGTATGCAGAGGAAATAAAAGCCTTTCCTAATTTCTACTTCTAAACTAACCACCTTTAAAAATTTCAGAGCCTTTCAAGGACTACGGGGTACCAAATGATATAACTCAAAATGTACACAAAAAACAGTACATTTATTTAAAGAAGATATACAAATGGCCAAGAGGTATATGAAAAAATGTTCAACATCACTCAAGATCAGGGAAATGCAAATCAAAACCACAATGAGATACCACCTCACTCCAGTTAGAAAGGCTATTATCAAAAAGACACAATATAACAAGTATTGGTGAGGATGTGGAGCAAAGGGAACTCTTCCACACTATTGGTGGGAATATAAATTAGCACAGCCATTATGGAAAACAGTATAGAGGCTCCTCAAAAAATTAAAAATAGAACTCCTGTGTGATCTTGCAATCTCACTACTGAGTATATATCCAAAGGAAATGAAATCAAGTATGTCAAAGGATACCCGCACTTGCATGTTTCTTGCAGTGCTATTTGTAATAGCCAAGATACAGAATCAGCCTGAGTGTCCATCAACAGATGAATGAATAAAGAAAATGTGGTAAAAATATATAATAGAATAAGTTCTGGTGTTCTATTCCACAGTAGGGTAACTATGATTAACAATAATATATTTTATATTTCAAAATAGCTAGAAGAGAGGATTCTGAATGATCTTACCACAAAGAAATAATACGTGTTTGAGGTGATGGATTTGCTAACTTCCCTGATTTGATCATTATGCAATGTATACAGGTATCAAAACCTCACATTGTACCCCATAAATATGTGCAATTATTATGTGTCAATTAAAAATAATTTAAAAAGCAGTAAAATGTATACTATCCTTGGAAAATAACTTTATACATCAAGAGGAGATATTTAAATTAATATTGTTCTCTACACCCCAAATTCTGCCCTAGTAACTACACCTTTGTATATTGACGAACCATCACTATAGTCCTCCCTTGTTATTTTCTCACTCTTCTGGGAGAGGAAGGTTGTTTTCTGAGACGGGCTGCCATAGGGAAAGAATACCATCGGGCTTCTGGGGTGCTGGTAATGTTCCAGTTCTTGGCTCAAGTGGTGTCTACTTGGGTGCTCACTTTATTTGTTTAAGTGTACATTTACCTTCTGTGAACTTTTTTCTAGGTGTCTTATATTTCAAAATGTTAAAAGTAAATAAATAAATGAACAAACTGTCGTAAAGGAGGTACCTAACTCATACTTTCCTTTCCCTACAAAGCTCTGGATAAATTCTTGTCCATCCTCTACCTGAGTACTCCCTGCGATGAGAAACTCTTTACCTAACAAGGCAGCCCACTTCCATTTTAACTGTATTAACCATCAGAAAGTTCTTCCCTGGGTCAAGTCAAAATCCATCTCTCTAATTTCTACTGGTTTTTCCTGGGACCTCCTATGGAATAACAGAGAGCAAGTCTAATATCTCTTCTATATGACCACCTTCCAACTATTCAAGGATAGCTGCTACCAATTCTCAATAGCCACACTTCCTGTTAAGTTGCCTAGAAGTTTTTAGTTTCTCATTTCTGAGGATCAAAAATCAGATTCTATGATCTGTAATTTATCCTATTCCTACCTTTTACACAAGCAAATTATTTTTCTAAGATATGAACAATGGCAAACCAAGGCTTTTAGTAATAAATAGAATGCAAAAAGCATGATTAAGGAGTGCCTTATTGTTCACTGCAGAGATACTCCATACCACTTTAGGGACAGGCTGTAAACTTTTTTGACTGTATAAACCATTAGTAAAAACATTTGAGCATTCTCTGAATATATGAATATTTATAAATTATATACATTACCACTGAACTAATACATTATGCATATTAGAAAACATATACAAAAATAAAATCTTAAGAGGTGGAGACTTTAATCAAATAGAAAGAAGCTTTAGTGTTTTTTCCTGCATCTCAGTGAATGTCTTTCACATGCCTTGGGGCTTTGTGCTTCACTTTGGAGACCACATTCTTCAGTATTGCAGTCTATACTTTCTATCCTCATTTCTCCCCTATCTGAGGTATTCCCATTTCCTTCAAAATATTCTTGCTGTTTCCTGTGATTTGTGAAACCAACCTCCTAGGGGCTTTGAACCAGCATTGTGTGAAAATATTCAAGGAAGTACCATGTGTGTTGGCTTCCATCCCCCCCCAGAAATATCAGGGGCATGTGCTTTGAATTACCTCCTCTGAATCACCATGAAAATATAATCTGCTACTCAGCTTTGAATAAATCAGATTTCTCTGTGACAAGGAAAGCCTTACATTAAAAAATTCAATCCCCCCCCATTTCCTATAATAAATCGATACTGTTTTTAAGACAGATGAATCATAACATAGGTGCAAAAGAATCAGAATTTTACGTGCCTTATAAAAATATACCTTACAGTTAATAATTACTTAACAGGATGACAAATTAGAGTCAGAGTATCTTAAGTCCTCTTTTTCCAGTACTACACTCACAAAAAAACTTCATTAAAATTTGTTTGAAAAAAAAATACTTACGTGCCCCAATGTACTTTCATGGAACAAGTCTTCTGCATTACACCAAATCCCTGCATTTCTTCAGTATCATCAAAGTAGGAACTTAGGATTCCTAACCCTTCTGGTTCAGTAAATAAGTCAATGTGACTAACTCTGTAATCCTGAAAAAATATAGATGCATAGATAGTAAGAATTGCACCATGTATTTCACTCTCTAGTAAGCTCATTCTTCTTCTTCTTACAACTAATCAAAATGAGCTTTAAATTTACAAACACATTTCACAGAGCACCTGCCATTTTAGCCCTTTCCTGTTTTCATCCATGAATTAATAATACACCTATTTCGGGGCAGACACACTTGCTTTAGTTATATAACTCAGTGTTGCATTCAAGCAAAGATCATCAGAAATGTATTTTATTTGAGTTTTGGAATATATTTCTTTTTCTCATCCTCACTTGGTCCTCTTTGGTCTGGGGTTTTGGTTCCTTTGCTCTGATATAATTATCCAAGCACAGAGACTCTAGTCTGTAGAATGGCTGCTCTTGGAGTCTTCCTCAGCCACTGTTTTGTGTCCATAAGCCCTCTGTTGCTTTGTGGTAACTCTCCTTGACTGAGTAAACCTCTATGATATTGGTTTGATCTAAGTCGTAAAAGCAAAAGCACACATTCATAGTGATTTACAAATCTCTGTACTTTGGTCATTGTTCCATGCCCCGCATATCTGTGGTCCAAACAGTCTTCAAAAGGCCTCTTCTGGTCCAGTGCCTAAGCGTTAATGGAATATTTATTGAAACTCATCTATGCAGCTGAGTTGGGTGAACTGAGTGACAGAAGAAATATTAACACTTGAATAAGCTCAGATGAGGCTTTTCAAATATTATCAAAAGGAACAACTCTAATGAGCTAAAAAGGTAACCTTGAAAATATACGCTGTGACTTATGTTTTATGTTTCAAGAAACCATGCACACGATCTGTGAAGAAAATATAATCCATGACACACTGGGAGCCATGACATATCATAGCCCTTTAACATGACACCATTCAGAAAAATGTACCCCAAGGAAACAAATTAGAAAATTATAAATTACTGGCCGGGCACAGTGGCTCATGCCTGTAATCTCAGCCCTTTGGGAGGCCTAGGCGGGCAGATCACCTGAGGTCAGGCGTTCGAGAGCAGCCTGGCCAATATGGCAAAACCCCGTCTCTACTAAAAACACAAAAATTAGCCAGGTGTTGTGGCATGTGCCTGTAATCCCAGCTACTCTGGAGGCTGAGGCAGGAGGATCACTTGAACCCCTGGGAGGCAGAAGTTGCAGTGAGCTGAGATTGCACCACTGCACTCCAGCCTGGGCGACAGAGCAAGACTGTCTCAAAAAAAAAAAAAAGAAAATTATAAATTATTAAATGCACAAAAACATTCTCGTGGCATTACTTATAATAGTAAAAAACTAGAAACAACCTTAAGATTCACTGAAAGAAGAAATAATAAATAAATAATGGTACCTCATTTATGTACTAAACAATAAATAATGTATCATTTCAATGGAATATGATATTCAGCTAAACCCTAAACCTGTGGTAACATGAAAAGCATTTGCTACAGTAAGTCTGCTATTATCAGACAAAACAAGAGATCTCGTTTCCCTTCCCCATCTTCCTGAATGCACCCAAATCCTCACCCCACCAGATTCTGATACCTTCCCCAGTTGCCAATCACAAAGATGTTACCAAGGGGAGTGTGATTTTCAGGAAAGTGGTATAAAGAGAAAAAAAGGATTGAGAACCACAGTGTTAGGTGAGAAGGGTGGAACAGCATTGTACCTGTATTATGATTATTACTGCAGAAAAAGCAGACTAGAATATGGCCAACAAAGGGTAGAAAATTCAAAAAATAAAAGGGGAGGGGACACTTCATGATGGTGGGAATCAGATGATCTTTTTAAACATTGCTTTATTTCCAATATTATTTGAGCAGTAAATAAAAACTCTAGGCAAAATATTCCACTAATGAGGACATTTTGAAATAGGGTTTCTCAAGTCTTACTTAGTCTTCTCGTATTATATACTTAAAACAAATAAAAGATAAATCATTTAGCATACCAATTACCACCTAAGTTACTCAGAAATGTTGACTCAGGAAGTAAGCGATGCTTTCCTCTGCCAAAACTGTTACTCATCCTTACTCATTCTCATGTAAGAATGTTCCTTTTCTCTGTATTGCATCTTGACACTCGTCTCCATTAAAACTTGGGATTTTAATTTTCTACTTAGAAGACATCATTAATTGCATTTTTAAGGTAAAGAATCATCAAATCCTAAGAGCCACAAAGAAAGACTCTGACAACACTTTCCTCATCAAATAACAAGAAACCAAGAAATTTTACCTCACCCATAAAGTGGCCTCAAATAGAGTAAATAATATTTTGTTAAACCCACATGAAATCCCAGAGTTAATCAACCAAATTATTTTTGGATTATTTATTTTTCCAAAATAGAATTCCTATAAACCACTCAAAGTAATCAGAACTCATACAGCAAACAAAAACACTAAATAAATGAAAAACCTGTTCATAGAGGCAGAACTCATTTAAACCAAGTTACCAGGTAAAATATATTTGGAAGATGGGAATAGAAGGACAGGCATAAAAGATCTACCTAAAGGGTTTATTGTGAAAAATTATCTAACCAATTATGTTTCTTTTTAAATTATTTAAAGTGTACAAATACTTAAAATACAGAAAATATATCCATAAGGCACCAAATATGTTTCCCAATCACATATTTCGTAAAATGATCATTTCCCTTAAAGTAAGAATCCATAAATATTAGCTGAATAAATAAAATCCATATTTACCACAACCTACCTGAACCACATGTCTGATGGAACCAATCACCACTGGCTTATCAGACTCTGCTTCTTCGTGCCTTTCCAAAATGTCTTCTATACCCCAGAGACCAGAGAGTTCCAATTCTCCTTCTTCTAAGGGGATGGAGTGCCCTTCAAAATTTGGTTGCTCATACAAAATCCAACTAACAATAAAACACAGCAAAACCATTAGTCAGTCTTCGTGAGAGAGGTTTTGATTACTCAAATAACCTGGCTAATTGCCATTTTATATATATATATAGAATATTAGCAGCCAATTATCTAGCAATTAAAATAGCTTAAACTCTCCCTAACACTAATATTTTACTGGGTATAATTAAGCCTCTGATAACTCATGAACTATATCAGGATCTTAGAGAACTTTGGAGTTACCTATATGAATGCTATAGAGCTACTAATGTTCTAAGTAATTGCCAAGTGGTAGAGACTTATGATAATATGTCAGATAAATGGATGTTTACTGTACTAGGTTTTTTTTTTTTTGTCTCTTTTTTTTTTTTTTTTTTGGATACAGAGTCTTGCTCTGTTGCCCAGGCTAGAGTGCAGTGGTGCGATCTCGGCTCACTGCAACCTCCGCCTCCCTGGTTCAAGCAATTCTCCTGCCTCAGCTGCCCTAGTAGCTGGGATTACAGGAATGTGCCACCAAGCCTGGCTGATTTTTGTATTTTTAGTAGAGACTGAGTTTCCCCATGTTGGCCTGCTGATCTCGAACTCCTGGCCTCAAGTGATCTGCCCACCTCGGCCTCCCAACGTGCTGGAATTACAGGCATGAGCCACCATGTCTGGCCTTTTGTCTCCTTATATGTGTAGAAAACATTTCTCTTAGAGAGACTTTAACTTACATATTACAGTCATATCAATGAATATGTTGGCACAAAAGACTATAGATATGGTAATGGAAAGCATTTTAATAATATTCTTCCCAACAACAGCCAAACACTAAAGAAAAACCTCATGTCAATATATGGCAGTGTAAATGCTTATGCTTTCAAGAAAAAGAAGCCGACAAAAGTTGCAAAAGAAAGGAAAAAGTACTGTTCCATAAAAACAAAATTTGTGTAAAAAATTGCCACTATTATATATTGTATATTAGTGGCCAATTCTCTAGCAATTAAAATAGCATTTGTCTTCAAATTTAAGAATAAAAGCAAATCTTGTTTTTCTCATGACTATGTTGGATATATAGGAAAAAATATTAAAACACCTAAAAATCTAATAGGAAAGCTGCTGCATATTTAATCAAATGGAGACCAAAAGAAAAGCTTATGAATTTGTAAATCCATAAACATTCAGAGGTCTACCCTCTTTACTTCAAACAAGTTTACAAGTAGGCACCAAAAGATAACTATTATGCCAGATCAGCGATTTCTTTTTTTAAGCTGCCTTTCTCTACCCAACTTCCTGTGTATCTCCAAGAGGCAATGAAGCTGATAAAATGATTTCAGAAACTGTCAAAATATTTATTTTTTTCACCAGTTTCTTTACTTAGCCAAAACAATCTTTTGTGGAAATATTGGAAAGTAAATTAAATTTTAAGTTAGTGCTGCATTGAACTGTCATTAAAAAGTTAGAAAAATGCCTTTCTTTATAGATTATTTTTGTTTTACCTTATAGATTTTTTTTCCTTATTGTTTCTTTACTTTGCCTTTTCCTACGTGTTCTCAAGTTTCCTTATAGGTTTTTGAAAAGTCGTATCTGGCCTATCAACATAACTAGTGCAATTCTTATCAACCTCATTTAAAGGTCATCAACCAAGAGTATGTTATGGGCCCTGATATATGACTAGTCCAAAACAATATTATGGGGAAGCATGGGAAAAAGAAGCTTGTTCTACTGTATTGTTCTGATTTTTCTCCCATAAACATATATCACTGCTATAATCAGAAACATGATTTAAAATGACATTGTTAAGATATGAATCCCTTATCTTACCACGAGTAGTATTTCCTGTGCTTTTCATTGCTAAAGCCATAATTTTAAACTAGTAGTGAGGACTAAAAAGTTAATTAAGTATGTAAAACTCAAACACTTGACATCAGGAACTTAAAGTGCCATTCTTACCATCCTCTAACAACTTTTATGAGTATCACTGGAGAGAGGCTCCAAGAACTGCAATCCTGAATGTCACTGAAAACTTCAATGCACTTCTCAGAGACGTCGGGTTCACTATATATCACTACCTGCAAGAAAACGAAAGTGGTAGCACACTTTGTTGTACTCTGTCAGACCAAAATAGAATCAAGACTAGAAACAGAAAATAATCTTACCTTTCCAGGTCGGGGATTGAGTTTATTTTGGACACTTCCTCTAAGTGTCTGCAATCAGATGAACAAAAACACAACAAATAATTACAACTTCACATAACGATCCTCTTTTTCCACCCACGATCCTGTAGGTAGATCACACTTTTCCCACATTGTATCGATTTTGAAACCTCCACTCTAATGGATGCTAAAGTTGTATTAAAACTCTTTGAGTTTATGCTTTTAAATTGAGGTTTTTTCACCTCTAACTGAATTTGCCATTTCAATTTCTCCTAATTTAAATGTCTAGGCTATTTCCACCAATGCTAGAAAATTCAGGGCACATATGTTTCATGTCAGTTCACAGAATAGGAACTCAGCTAAGAGATTCTAATTCAAATAATATCAGTATCATCTCAAATAAAGATAAATTAGAATATATTAATCACTTACCTAGAAAGAGCTGAATCAATTTTGTGTTCATATACATACCCTATCTGAATCCATATAAATATTGTTTTCTCATAGTAAATCTACAATCATATAACAACCACTAGTCTAAATAGAAGTGTTTATGGTATATATGGTATATTTCATAATGTACATTGCACATAGTATATTTAATCCCCCTTTTTTTTCTTTTGAGATGGAGTCTGGCTCTGTCACCAGGCTGGAGTGCAGTGGCATCATCTTGGCTCACTGCAACCTCCGCCTGGGTTCAAGTGATTCTCCTGCCTCAGCCTCCCGAGTAGCTGGGACTACAGGCATGTGCCACCAGGCCCAGCTAATTTTTGTATTTTTCTTTTAGTAGAGATGGGGTTTCACCATGTTGGCTAGGATGGTCTCGATCTCTTGACCTCGTGATCCGCCTGCCTCAGCCTCCCAAAGTGCTGGGATTACAGGTGAGAGCCACCGTGCCCGGCCTAATCCCGCTTTTTTGATAGACAAAATACATTTCAATATGGCTCCAAAACTAATCATTTTCAAGACCATCTGACAAGACCAGTAAAACCAGAAATGCATAAGATAATAAAATAGTAATTATACATGTAAAAATATTACAAAACGTGAACTACTTTCAGTGCTGACCAGGATGCCTATTTTAGGAACTGCCTTTGCTCTGACTGCTCTTGCATCACACCAGAGTGTGATATGCCCAGAAGACCACAAAAGGCTGGGGCGCAGTGCCTCACACCTGTAATCCCAGCACTTTGGGAGGCTGAGGTGGGCAGATCACCTGAGGTCAGGAGTTCGAGACCAGCCTGGCCAACATGGCAAAACCCCGTCTCTACTAAAAATACATAAATTAGCTGGGCGTGGTGGCACTCACTTATAATCCCAGCTACTTGGGAGGCTGAGACATGAAAATCGCTTGAACCTGGAAGGCAGAGAGGTTGCAGTGAGCTGAGATCATGCCACTGCACTCCAGCTTGGGTGACAGAGCGAGATTCTGACTCTAAAAAAAAAAAAAAAGGCCATAAGGGCCCCCCTAGAGCCTTATCAGAAGCCAGATGGTATATACCTATTTATGTATATATACACATTAGAAGTAGATAAACTGAAGAAAAAGCCTAAAATTTAAAACAAAATTCAGGTAAAACCTTCATGATTGAATATACAATCAATAAAAGCCCAGGACCTAAAGAAAGACCATATTTTTTAATCATAAAAAGGCCTAGAAAAAGTATAAAGATTTTATTTTTCCTTTTTATGTCATTTGACTTGATTTTCATAGGGAAACTGTATATTCTGTTATCAACTTTGTCAGACTGTAGTTAAATAAGGAAAGCGATCTAAGAACAATTAAAAAGAACAAAGTAGTAATGAATGGGAAGTGGACCAGTGGAAATTTTGTGCTTGAGAGAAATAGTTAATATTTCTATTATATAACTATTAATAGAAATAGTTAGAATTTTATGATTTCTGAGTACCATAGGCTGATTCAGTCTTATTTGTTTATAGCAGTGGTTCTCAAAATGTGGTTCAGAGGCCACTGCGGGGGTCTCCAAGATACTTTCAGGTAGTCCATGGGGTCAAAACTATTTTCATAATAAGAAGAGGTCACCTGCCTTTTTCATCTCTGTCTCAAATGTCCAGCGGAGTACAAGGCTCCATGATGTGTGATGACATCGTTGCTCTGAGCACTGGTGCAGTGTGCACTTCTACTTTCTGGTGTTTTACAATTTTCTCAGCAATTATTTATAATATAATAAATTCTGATAGGCAGAACCCATACAAACAAAAGCTCGTTGGGGTTCTCAATCATTTTTAAACATAAAGGGTCCTAACACCAAACATCTGAAACCCAAACTTTATGAAAGTTTATGAAATCACATGAAAAAGGGATCTGCACCTCTGCTGGAAACCCAACCATATATTTTGAAAGAGCTTGCAACATCACATTCTCTGACAGGATTGTAGTAAAAGCCAATACAATACATTGAACCATGCTGCAGTACCCTGTACAGACGAGGAAAGGTGCAAGGTATTTTCTGCCTAGATAAACTGTGTTGGATTGAGGTCCACACTTGCCAGACAGCCGGGTTCACAGGATGGACCACCAGAATACAAACCCTACTCAGGTTTCTAGCCTGGCAGAGCTGATCACTAAACATATATTCCACCTTCCTCTCTCATAGTCCTTTCTCACCTTAAATAAGCTTGGTAACAAAAAGGCGCAATTCACATCAAAAACCGAGTAAAGTAAACATCTTCTGAAGTGAGATAAAAGAAGATGCAGAAATCAAAATTATTCCCCAAAATCATGTTTTGCTGTCTTCTCTCTAATATTTAAGAAAAGATCCAATGAAAACCAAAATTCTTTATTCCCCACAGCTTTGCAGGGTAAAAAAAATATTTCCCTAATGAAAACTAATTCCCAATAAAGACAAAATACTGTCTCAATTGCATAGGATAAACACCTATTGCTACTTATGGGAACAAAGAGTGAATCTCACAGAGAGAAGGATTAAGAAAAAGTTTCCCTGGCTGGGGACTTCCCAAATAGAGGAAGCTCCTTCACAAATCTTCAAAATTCTAAGTATAGCACTGAGCATTTTTACATAGAATAGGTAAGAAAAAGCAACTCATCTGTCTCTGAACTCTAAAAGCTTACCTATACCTTTCATAATACAACATATAAATTCACATGTGCCTTAAAAGATTTATTGCCAGCCAGTCAGGATGGCTCACACCTGTAATCGCAACACTCTGGGAGGCCGAGGCAGATGGATCACGAGGTCAGGAGTTCGAGACCAGCCCAGCCAATATGGTAAAACCCCCGTATTTGTATTTTCAGTCTTTACTAAAAATACAAAAATTAGCCAGGCGTGGTGGCACGCGCCTGCATTCCCTGCTACTAGGGAAGCCGAGGCAGAAGAATCGCTTGAACCCAGGAGGTGGAGGTTGCAGTGAGCTGAGATTGCACCACTGCACTCCAGCCTGGGCGACAGAGCGAGACTCTGTCTCAAAAAAAAAAAAAAAAAAAAAAAAAGATCATGTGCCTTAGAGCATTTGTAGCTTTATCTCCCTGCAAGACTACAGATGCCTTCAGTGAAGACTCTTAGTACATTTTTTTCTTGCACTCTAACGGTCCCTTGTACATTGCAGGTTTTCAAATATGTGATGAATGAATAAAAACTATAGCACATAAGCTTAACCATTTCTAAAAGAATAACATGAGTTGCTCATCATCCTTCTCTTCCCTTGCTTTAAAAATACCCCAAATAAATAATAACACATTGCTACTTACCATTGTGTCTGATAATGACATTCCAGAAAAAGAAATGCTTGGGTCATACCGGCTTGATTTGAAAAGACCCATGAAGTCGGTGTCACTGTTTGCACAGTTTGGCAAGTTTGATTTAATAACACTTTCAATATGATTAGCCTTTTCCATATCATCATTCTTCAGTTTTGACAATTCAGAAAATTTAGTTTCTGGCAAGTGTAGGTTGCTTCGTGAATCCAGATCTTCTTTGGTTTTCTCTTTTTGCGGGTATTTTTCCATGTGGCTTGGACTTTTCAAACTGGAGTGTGATGTACTTGACGAGTTGAAATTGAAGACCTTTAAGGAGTTGTCGGGCAGAAGATTTGACTGTTCTTTGTTCAAACCACAGGGCGGGGCACCCTCAGTCGTGGGCTGTGACACTGAAGACTGAGATAGGGAACCGTTCTGAGAAGTACTGAAAGCCGTGGTCATAGTGTTGACTGATGTCACAGAAGGAGAAAAGATTTTGTCTTGTGGTAAAGAAGATAACAAGCTTGAGAAAAGTGCACTTTTTTCTAGTCTCGATCTCTTAATGCCACCATTTGTGACGTCCCTGTTCTCTTTGTCATTGATTTCCGGCATCACCAGAGGCTCACTGTTCCCATTAGTGTTGGTGTGCAGGGACTTGAAGAGGACGCTCTGTTCAGCAGATGCACGTTTGGGTCTCAGTTTGGATTTTGTGTCAAGGTTCTGCATCAAATGTAAAGCCGGTGACATTTCTGGCTGACTTTCCTTCTTCTTCCCCAAACCAAAGGTAAACACTTTGGGATCAAACACCTTTTCTAAATGGTCTTCGTGAATAGGAGGCATGGCAAAGTGAGGAGCAGGAGAGTTTGGCATCCTGGCCTTCTTTCTTTTCATGGGCATACAAACTGCGCTATCCATCTGTTTTATAATTTCAGTGAATTTTTCCATATCAGAAGAAGAATCAAATACACTATCATCACTACCAGCAGAAATGTTCAAAAGGCTGGCAGGGCTATCCTGGCCATTTGTAACAGTCTGATCTGGCCTTTGAGGAGTGGCTAAGTGATTTCCGCTGCTGGGAGAGTTGGTGGGACTGGATTCAGCCATCAGGGGTGTTCTGCTGCCCTGACTTTGAGCCTGAATAGGCAGAGTTTTCTCTGATGCTGGCGGTATGACTTGTGGGCCAGATTTTGCCGCGAGCTCTGCTGTGCAATGAGAGTGTTCATTGCCCAGTACTTCCTCTTGTGGGGGAGCACAACTTGCAACGGAAACCACTTCAGGTTCATTACTGTGACAAGTTGGCAACTGCACTTCTCTAACTTCAGAGCTCTCTGGGATGACCTGGGAGCTCACATCCTGGGTGCTCTCCACGGGGAGCACGAAGGACCTGACCTGGACGAGGACTCTGGATGGACACTCACTTCCCACAGCTTCTGGACTACGCTCTGTGGACAAAGGAGGGGTTGTTTCTCCTCCAAGTTCTAAAAGTGGCATTTTCTCATTGTTCTGACGAGACACAGGCAAAACACATCCTTTATGGTTTTCTGACACTTTTAGATCAGTGCATGGGAAACTGCTTATGGGTGATTGAACACATGTGTCTTTGGGAACATCCCCAGGAGCGGGTGCAGACAGTGAAAGAGAAGGCCCAGGAGATGACTCAGCAGGGGACTGTGAGTCAGAAAATGTATGCTGTGGCTTTGGCATGGCCGTTGGAGGTAAATCTTTGGTATCCACAGTGGTGGGGATGTCTTGTGCTGTATCGGTTACATTTTCAAGTACAAGGCTTTTGCTGTCTGCAGCCTCTGAGTCCTCCTTCTCTAAGAGCTTATGATCCTTGACAGGAATCAGAGCAGAAGCCACTGGTTCTGAAAGGCAGCCAGCATCTGTTTGTACATCTGCTTTATCATCTTGGTTAGGCTGAGGACCAAGAGCTTGATTCTCAGAAGAGTCTCCATTCATTCCTCTGGTTGCTGGCAGAATCTCTTCTTCCGAGACGGTAACTTTGGTTTCTATAGCAGTTTCCTTAACCAGCACACCATTCTGGGGACTGTTTGGCATTACTTTCTTTTCAGGTTGCTCCATTTCTTTGGCTTTTTTGGCTAAATTCAGCTTTGCCCTCCCAACAAACGTTTTACTAGAGGCAGGAGTATTCCTTTGGCCTCGAATGTCAGTGTGTCTTGGGCTACTGTTTGTCCGTTTGTTTTCAAATAAGGAGATTTTGGTGGCAGTGTTGCCTTTGTGAACTGGCTGGCTAAATGGATTGTGCTCATTTCCCAAACTGTCAAGATTCTTAGGGGTTTTAAGATTTAGTTCCACATGTTTGGGCTTGGCAGGGCTGTGAGGAAAAAGCAGGAAGATAAAGTTATTGACCTAGTTTTAAAAAGTGAACACACAAACCAATTAATTATAAAACTATGAAAAGCCAACATCTCCCTGATATATAACATTTGGAGTGTGGTGTGTGTGTGTGTGTATGTGTGTGTGTGTGTGCGCACACATGTGTTTTTAAGACAAGGTCTTGCTCTGTCGCCAAGACTGGAGTACAGCAGTGTGATCATAGATTGCTGCAGCCTCGAACTCCTGGGCTCAGGCAATCCTCCTGCTTCAGCCTCCCAGGTAGCTGGGACTACAGGCACATATCACACACCCAACTAATTTTTTTATTTTTATTTTTTTGTAGAATGGGGTCTATGTCACCCAGGCTGGTCTCAAACTCCTGGCTTCAAGCAATCCTCCCATCTTGGCCTCCCCAAGTGCTGGGATTACAGGCATGAGCCACCATTCTCTGCCACATTTGTTTTTTAATGAAACTATTTTTAAATAGTCCTAAGTACACTACCAACTATTTTTAATGGGTGTTTTGCTTGCATATGAGGGATCGGAAGATTATATAGCCAAGAAACTCTAGGGATGAGGGATGAACTAATTTATTGAGTACGTAGCATGTATGCACAGTGCTTGGCACTAGAGTTGGAAGACATCTTAAGGCCTGAACAACATTAGAAGAAATTTAAATATTTAATGCATTCTCATGCTCCAACATCAATTATGTATTTTTATTTTAGCATAACTTTTTAAATATTATCTCAAAAGGATAGATTTTAAAAATTCATCTACTATTGACCGCTTTGGATATTTTATTCATCTCATCCTTCCCCCATAAGATTTTCTCTGATTATAAGTGTGTTCACTATAGCAACTTTGGATAATATTTAAAAATCACTGATAATCCTACCAGTCAGACAATATCCCTGTTAACATTTTTATATGTTTCTAATCTTTTTATATGCATAATTAAATATTTTGAATAGAATTGAGATTATTCTGTTCATATAATTTGATATCTTGCTTTTTCAAGAAATAAAATGACTTAACCTTATAGTTAACATTTTTCAGATTACCAAAAAATTTGTTTGAAAAGTTGTCTTAATGCTGCATGGAAGTCCATCATATGGATGTACCGTCATTTACTTATCAATTATGCAACTGTTGGTTTTGTCACCACTTCTTGGGCAAGAGAGTCTCCCCTCTCTCCGTCACATTTCTTGGGTATAATTACCCCCAGTGGAAATAATAAGTCTTTGAATGTACACAGTGCTTTCTTTCAGAGAAACAAAATGTGCTCTGTTTGGCATTCTCTGGCTCTGGTCCTGGCTTTTATGCTAATTATCTGTGTGAACCTGGTCAAGTTACTTTACCTCTCTGGACTCTAACTTCTTCATCTTTAAAAAAAATGAGATGGTTTAGAACAGAGTTGTTTTTATTTCCCCCAACTTATGGTTGAAGGAATCCCTGGGGTTCTCTTCAAGGGCTGCAGTTGGGGAAAGTAGGGATGAGGATGGGGCTGTCCACTCTCCTTTCAAGCAGAATCACTCCTAGTATCTGTTTTATTTATTGCTCCTATTTAAACTTTCTTAGAAGAAAGGATTCCAAAGCTTATATATATGTGTGTGTGTATATATATATATGTGTGTGTGTGTGTATATATATATGTGTGTGTGTATATATATATGTGTGTATATATATGTGTGTGTGTATATATATGTGTATATATGTGTGTGTGTATATATATATATGTGTGTATATGTGTGTGTGTATATATGTGTATATATATATGTGTGTGTATATATATATGTGTATATATATATGTGTGTGTGTGTGTATATATATATGTATATATATATTCCAGTACTTTGGGAGGTCAAGGAGGGAGGATTGCTTGAGCCAAGGGGTTCAAGACCAGCCTGGGCAACATACTGAGACCCAGTCTCTACAAAACAAACAAAAAAATTAGCCAGGTGAAGTGGTGCGTGCCTGTAGTCCCAGCTATTCCAAAGGCAGAGGTGGGAGATCACTTGAGTCCAGAAGATCAAGGCTGCAGTGAGCTATGGTCATGCCACTGCACTCCAGCTTGGGTGACAAAGTGAGACTCTGTCTCAAAAAAAAAAAAAAAAAAAAAGTCTAAACCATTAGTCCAGTGGTTTATAAAACGGGAGAGATAAAGCATAACCACTAACAATCAGTGATTGTCAAGCCCTTGACAAATGCTTCATCGGGCTTACTTAATTAATATACGACTTTATACATTCTATTTTTGGCTGAGGAAGTTGAAGTGTTGAGAAGTAACTCCCTGAGGTTATGCAGCTGATAAGTGACAGGGCCACAGTTTGAAGTGAGGTGCTCTGGCTTCAGATGCCATGCTCCCAACCACTATACTATTCTGGTTCCCCAGATAGGCTTGGACTATACCCGCCTGAATGAGCTCCTCTGGTTCTTTCCATCTTTATCATTTAAAGTCAGTGAATTATCATGAGATCCATAACATAACATAGACTTTAGAGGCCACTTTGATAATGAGAACACACAAGTGGAGACACTGAAATCCCATACTGCCTCTCCTTCATGGACTTGGCCTTCATGAAGCTTGAGCCTGGCTGGGTGTGGTGGCTCATGCTTGTAATCCCTACACTTTGGGAGGCCAAAGCGGGTGGATCACTTCAGGTCAGGAGTTCCAGACCAGCCTGGCCAACATGGTGAAACCCTGTCTCTACTAAAAATACAAAAATTAGCCAGGTGTGGTGGCACAGGCCTATAATCCCAGCTACTTGGGAGGCTGAGGCAGGAGAATTGCTTAAACCTGGGAGGTGGAGGTTGCAGTGAGCCAAGATTGTGCCACTACACTCCAGCCTGGGCGACAGAGTGAGACTCTGTCTAAAAAAAAAAAAAGAAGCTTGGGCCTAAGGAGCTTCTAGAAGGGACAGGCAGTATGACTGCTGGTGAGTCAACTTATCCTTCTGGATAAAATATTCTCTCCAAAAGCAGCACTGAGAATTCAGATTTTAATTTTTACAAATTTTACTTGATACTAAATTTGAGGCTGGGATCAGTGGCTGATGCCTGTAATCCTAGCACTTTGGGAGGCCGAGGCAGGTGGATCACTTGAACCCAGGAGTTTGAGACCAGCCCGGGGAACATGGCAAAATCCTGTCTCTAAAAAAATACAAAAATTAGCCAGACATGGTGGTGCGCCTGTAGTCCCTGCTACTAGGGAGGCTGAGGTGGGAGGATCACCTGAGCCGGGGGAGGTCGAGACTGCAGTGAGCCATGATCATGCCACTGCACTCCAGCCTGGGTAACAGAGTGAGATCCTGTCTCAAAAATAAATAAATAAATAAATAAATAAATAAATAAATAAATAAATAAATAAATTTGATCTCTGCTCATAAATTTCTCCCAGGCATTGCTTTCCCCAATATCTCCATAAGATACTTAGGCTCCCTTATTGCAGGCCCATACCTTAAATTTAAAAGGAAAATTAATTTATAAGCATTTCCTCAAAGATCAAATTATGAAACTAGTGAGATGATTAGAAATAGAGAGCTTCAATTTGCTATCAGTTAATGAGGGATGGTCACATACCAGAGAATATACTTTTTAAAAATTCTCACTAATCATTTCAAGGAAGGGTACTCAATTCAAACATCGAAGTATATCTTATGATGTAAATAGAAAACACTACAGGTTAGCCAACAGGCTACCTTAAGGACAGGAAACACGTATCTGCACATTAAAGATTTACACGAAGATCAGAATAAATTTTACAACCAAACTTTCTGTGCTATTAAGTTGTGCTACCAAGAGTTACTACAATTAACCTACTTCAGACTGATTAAAAGGAAGGCTCCTATAATTCATGTTGTAATGCCTTCATTATGAGACAGGGGAAAATAATTTGGAGTCCAAAAAGCCATAGTTATATTATAAGAGGAAAATTCTCCTTATTCTACATATACCATTTTAAGAATTTCAACATTCAGCACTTGGTAGAGAACTTGAAGTAATAATTTTTCTAACAGCATAAAGGAACATGCTACTTCAGTGTCATTTTTCAGGAAATACGAAATAGTTTTTCTTACTCTTCAGTCTCAAATTGTTTTAAAGAATAATCTGATTAACATCTTGCGATACGGTCATAGGAAGAATTAAAGGGTCTGAAAAAACCATCAGTCACAAAGAAATGGGTCAAAGGACTAGAAATACTTATTAATTTTTAAGTCAATAATTTGCCAAATGACCATGTGCAAGGCACTGCGCAAAACAAATACATTGAATGTCTGGTAAAGAAAATTTTTAGGTATAAATTAATCAGAACTGGGAAAGACATATTTGGTTTAGTTCTATTACAGAGAACAGCAAACGAAGAATTTCATTATAAGATCATCTTTCCTGTTTGTTTAGCCTACTATTTCACAGTGTAACATTTCTGGTTTTTCTACTGGTGTCTTCTAATTGGAAGACAGGTGAACCATCCTTCATAAGGTACACAGCAATGTTTCTCTAAGGCTCACATTTAGGAGGCTTTAGCATTCAATCACACTGGTCTTCTATAAATAATAGGCATCATTCACCCAGCTCATTTCTCTGATGCTACCTACCATCACAGAATAAATCACTGACTATATCAAAGGTCTCCAGGTTGGCAGTTGGTGAGGTAGTCAAGTTATTCATTACGCATACTTCCCTCTCAGAGTTCTCAGAGTTCTCCCAATCAGAACTCTCCTCCTCTTAAGCTTACTTATCCAAGAAATCAAATAGAATGAAAGAAACCATTAGGTTCAAGAATTATAATGATAATGTTGTTAAAATACCCACTCCTTGAACAAATATGTGAATGGAGGAAAAACTTAAGCACTTAATCATTATTCACCTGTGCTAAGTGGGAGTGGTGAGGGAGCAGAAGTGTGAGAAGGGAGGGTCTTATCAGTTTCATAGAGTACCTTCCCTATCCTGTCCACCTATACAAATTGCATTTATCATCAAGGCACAAGGCCCAGCTCCCCCAAAGCACCAGCAGTGATTTCTTGCTCGCTAGCACTTCCCCAGGATTTACAGATGGTAACATTCGTTTGGCAGTTTCATCAGATATCATCTTGTATTGTTATTTGATTTGTGTGCTTTTTGTGTGCCAGATGGGGCTATAAAAATTTCAGGGCAATATCCTGAGTCACAGTTGTAGGGTTTTTTTCCCCCACAGTGACTAGCACAATATCTTGCACAGAAAGTATTAAATAAATTACTTGTGAAATGAATAAACTTAACAGCAAGTAGTCACAGTTGTTTTGTGCTTTCATGCAGCACAAGGAGGAAG
Organism: Homo sapiens; assembly: GCF_000001405.40. Classification (NCBI taxonomy): domain Eukaryota; kingdom Metazoa; phylum Chordata; class Mammalia; order Primates; family Hominidae; genus Homo; species Homo sapiens. The sequence continues at coordinate 106,513,817 of NC_000006.12, read as the reverse complement.
AAGCAACCAAGATACATAAATTAGGGACTTTTTGAAAAAGGCTTAGGCCAATAATGCACTAAGTTCCATAAAATGTTTTGGAATTATCTTAAACTCACACCTGTCACAGCTGCTTTCATGTAGCAAATAATCTTCCAGTAAGAACACTGATCTTTATTTCAGTAACTGAAAACTACTTTTCAGCCTGGGTCCAAAAGTATCACCAGACTCCCTAACATTATAAAGGGGAAGAAGCAACCAAGATACTTGTATTAGGAACTTTTCTTGTGTGTTTTTAAGCTTTTTGCCAATAAATGCACTGAGTGCCATAAAAGGTTCTGCAAATTCTCTTAAAACTCACACATGTCAAAGCTACTGGATCGTATTTAACATGTTACTGTTTGCTCCATATTTTGAAATTCACAGCACATGCATTTTAAGAACATCCCACCTTGGAACACCCTTGTACATTTTGAATAAAGAATAGAATCAGCTCATGTCAGGCCATGAGGTCTTATCTCTCATCTACATAAACGTTGAGCTTCAACGGATATCCTATTTTTACATTCGTTAAACTTAAATCTTGTGTTAAAAAGGGAATTAACTGAGGAGGCTGCCACAGGTGTCATCTTAAATCTTGACTGTGTAAACTGGCCCTTCACTATCTTAAGTTCAGCATGGAGGGGAAAGTTCAGTGACCAGACGTTTCTTCCACAATGCAGATACCCCGAGCCTCTCAGAGCGGACCCCCAGCACGTGTGCGGACAGCAACTCGGCCGGGACTTGCGCGGCTACTTACAGGGTCACTTTAGTGGTCACTGTCGACCTGCCCACGCCGAAATGGTTCCTGGGCTTCAAGCCGTCGGCGTCAGAAGCTCCAGGCGCTCCGGCCGCTCTGCCCAGCTCTCTGCTTCGACCTCCCTCTGCCCGGCCGTTGAAGTGGTTGGGGAGCGGGCCCCTCTTGTGCTCGGGCTTGATCTCCGGCAGCAGCGAGCTGCTCTTGACCGGGAGCTCGCGGGGGATGGCCCGCGCCGCCTCCTCCCCGCTCTCGGCCGCAGTGCCCTTGGTGACTGGGCTGGGATCGGGCACCCTCTTGGGTGGGGACTCCTTGGCGGGAGCCCGGGGGCCGCTGGCGGGCGGGGCGGGCACGGCCTCGAGGGCACGGCTCCTGCCCTTCCTCTTCGTGGGGGACGAAGCCGGGGGTGGCTGTTTGCTCCGGTCCGACTCCCCTCGGAGCTGCCCTTTGGTACCGGGGCTGGGCTTGGACTCTGGGCTCGCAGCGGAGGCAACGCCCCCGTCGAGGGCTGCCCGCGGAGATTTCACTTTCTTTTCCGCCGAGGCGTTATCGCTGGCCGCGTTTGGCGCCACCTCGTCGTCGAACACCGCGTCGTCCCTGGCAGCGCTCTCAGGGAGCTCGGCGTCCGCGCCGGGGGAGTCGGTGGATTTCTGCGACCCCCTCCGCCTCCCCGACCTACGGCCGCTGGACCTCTTCTCCATGTCGTCCCAGTCACCGCAATCTTCCGCTCTGGGAGTAATCACGACCGGCTCGTCCACTTGTGCCCCCTCAGTCTTACTCAAGTAGATGTCCAAAGTTAGCACCTTAGCAGGGTGGGCGTGACCCTTGGGGCGGGCTGTGCAGTCTGCCTGCGCGGAGCTGGCCGTGTGCGCTGCGCCCTCGGCCGGAGGCTCACCTGGCAAATCAGACGCGCCCTTGGGGGGCTGGCTGCGGGCGTTGCGGGGCCCCAGGGAGCCTTCTTCGGCACACACACTGGGGGCTCCGTTAGGGGCCTCGCCTAGTCCTCCCGCGGGCCGCTCCTGGGTGGGCGACCCTGGCGCACCCCTCACACCCAGGAAAGCCTCCTGTTCGTGGCCAGCACCTGGTGAAGCGTCCTCCCCCGGACTGCGGGCGGGCGTCTCTGCGTTCTCTTGCCTGGAGGAATTTCCCGGCGAGGAATGCAGCTGCTTGGCAGTGGTGGTGGCATCTGGGAAAGGCTCTCCCTCTGCCTCCAGAGGTTCTAATTGGGGTGAATCATTTTCATGGCACTGCTGCACAGCCACAGCCGCTGCACTGCTGCTCCAGCGAGGTGACAGCTCGGCGTCAGGGGGGGCTGCGGGGCCACCGCTCTCGGGGAGCTCGCCCTCTGCCTCTCGGGGATTCTCCCGCGGGGAGCCCTCCTCGCTTGTGTCCGTTTGCTTCAGTTGGCTGCTCTGAGATCTGCTCCTCTCACTCTCTCTCTCTGGGAGCTTAGGAGAGGCTACCACATCTTTGGGAGAGAGTGGTTTGGCATTTGATCTGGTGGGACTCTCTAACCCGTTTCTACTGTTTCTTCTCCTTCCTGCAGTGAATAGAGTGCCAAGTTTCCCCAAAACTGGCTTCCTTCTGTTGTCTTCTGGAGGTTGTGCTCTGGACTGAAAAATAAAAGGGATGAGGAGGGAACATATGAGAATCTGGTGTTTTTCCCCTTAGACGTACATTACAGAACCACCAGCCAAAATGATAACAGACCAGAGTTTCTAATTGAAAATGATAAAGTTATGTTTATGTTACATTCATTCCAACAAAATAAACTCTGGTTTTACTTTTGAATTTTGCTTAAACACCTTAAGTTTCTGGCAGTAGTCAGAATAGCATTTTCTTTGAATTATAATTCTTGTTTTTTAAAGGAAAATTTGAACGGTCCAAATAATCACATATACAAAATAAATAGTTCCTTGCCCTCTCTAGGTTTTTTACCTTCTTCCTCAATAAAGATGCAATTTATAAACAGCCGTGCATGTGACCATGGGGCAGCAGTAAACACACTAAAGTATCCTAAGGCGGACTTTTTCCCGAAACACCGCCCATTCTTTTTGTAGGAGGGAAGGAGGACGAAGAAAAAAAACCAGTCCTAGCAGCCTTCTCCTCCAGAACAGTAAGAAGCCACCTGGGTTCAACATCTAGTACTTGCAACATGAAAACCTTAAGCAAGCTCGGAGGAAGCAAGCACCTGGGCCCCGCCTTAGCCGGAGCTCCAATGGGAGGAGCGCGCGAGCGTTCAAACACCCGAGTGATCCCGCGGCTGCAGAGCGCATCGGAAAGGCTTTTGCCTGTGGGAGTTCCTACCATGTGAACACGGAGGAGTGCGTGGGGGTAGCGGGCGAGGTTGCAGGGGTGACCGCCTTTGCTCACCGCCCCCTAGAGCCGAGGAGGTGTGGCTGAAGGATGCGCTTGGGACTCTGCCTACTCCGCCCCGGGACCCGTTCCTCGCCACACGTGTGGTTCCGGGGTCGCACGGCTGGAGCCCCAGGGGCCGGCCCACCTATGCGAGGGTGCCGGGCCGCCTGCGAATGATCCGCAGCGCTCCCAGGAAGGGGGAAAACCTGGGCTTCTTATATCTCCTGGAGCAAAACGGCTAGCATCCAGTGCCCGCGCCAGAAGGCGGGAGGGAGCGCAGAACAAACCAATAAAAGCAAACCCGCCAATGGGCGCGGTGGCGCTCCGGGGTTTGCCAGAGTGGGGACTGGGTAGGTGCGGGGCATAGAGGTGGGCAGGAAGAGGAGGAGGCGAGCCTGGGAAAGCGGGGGAGCAGGGGCGGCGAGCCCAGCCTGGCTCCTAGGAGAGGGAAGTGTATTTGCGTAAGGACTCCTCTGAAACCAGGCCAAACGTGCGGCTACTGTATTTCTTAAGAATCAACTTTTAAACATTCAAAACCTAGGTGCTAGCTTGAGTCCTGGCGACGCAGGAAAGAGCCCCACCTTTCCTGGAAAAGGAACATTCAGGACAGTACCGACTACGGGGAGGTTCCCCAATCACCCTTTGAAGCTCCATTGCGTTTGAGTTACATGCAGCAAATGGACTTTGGCGATGGGAAATAGGAAAGATAACGCATGAAATTAACAGGTCAACAAGCATTTGTTGAGACAGTCCTGGTACTGTAACATAGTGTCACCCCGCTACAGCCCAGTAAGGTCATGCTGTTACCACACAGATGAGGAAAGGAAGCTCAGCCAGCCTATAAAGAGACACAAAATTGGGGTGGGGGGGAGAGGCGGTCAGAGCAGTAAAGTCAGAATTCAAATCCAAGTCGCCTCCTGCCCACCCCATGCTCCTTCCATTCAGCCACAGGGGCCCCTTTCAGAGGCCGCGGAGGTTCTGCCGCCACCCGAGAACCACAGTCGGCCCAGAGGAACAGACTACGGGTCACCCACCCCCCAGAGTCAGCTCCCGGGGAAGTGCGCATGAATCAGATTTGCTCTCAAGGTTCTAAGACTCTCCTGGTCTTAGAAGCGCCTGGTGGGCGCTTTGGGACTAGACAGCTGCTGCTGCTGCGATGAACCAATGGTGCAGCCGCTCGGAGCTCTTGTACCCGACGTCATACGATTTTAAAATCTAACCAGATTTTGATTAATCCGATTCTTCAATGGTTATATAAATAATATAGGAAGAATTCGAAGTATGATTTAAGGGAAAAAATTAAAATATTGTAACTTCCTAAGGAAACATTTGGATTATTTTACAAGTCAAAGGTATGACATGATTTTTAAATCATAATACATGTTTACTGAGCTATCCTTATGGGTCAGGCCCTTGTGATTCACACACTTTCATTTTATCTTCCCAACAGCTAGGTAGGTAGTCTTTTTTTAGTGCCCGTTTGTCCAAGGTCCCACCACAGGTAAAGTCTGACTCTGACATAGAGCTCTGTGTCTCTGCTGTCTGGACAGGCCTTCAAACGTATCTTGAAGTAGTAGCCAGGGAAAATAGGTTTGAGTCTTGGCTTAATTCCATTCCCTGTCAAAATAAACCAACTAAGTATATGTATTACTCTGTCCTGCCAATGATGTTGCAATCTGCTTTTCCCATGCAGCAGACGCTTGATCAGCAAGCAGTCCTCTCTATGCTTAGTATAGGCATTAAAACAATTTTTTTTTTTTTTTTTTTGGCTATTAGATGCTTTTTACAAAACTGGTTGCTTGCTCTTCAACTTGGCTCAACTACTTGACTCCTCCCCCCCTCAGAGGGGCAGCCTGTTTATCACCAGCCAGACTGCTGAATTTCCTAAAAATACATGAATGTTCATAGTGGCTTCATTCATTCATAATAGCTAAAAACTGGAAACAGCTCAAAGTCACCGGACATGGCTTGTGAACAGATAAACAAATTGTGGTACATCTACACAGCAGAGTATTATTCAGCAATAAAAAAGGAACAGACTTCTGAAACATGTAAGGATATGGATGCTAAATGCTTTTGCAGACTCCAAATGTTACATACTGTATGGTTACATTTATATGACATTCTAGACAGTGCAAATCTAATCTATAATGATAGAAAGTAGGTCGGTGGTTGCCTGAGGGTGGGGTCAGTGGGTGGTAAGTGGTGGTGGTGCAACAGGGAAGAGGCACAAAGGAACGTTGAGGGTTAAAGTTCTATATCTTGATTGTGGTGATGGTTACACATGAGTACTTATCTTTCAAAACTCATCAAACTGTACATTTAAGATGGGTATATATAAATGAAGTTAAGATACAATCTCTTTAAAACAGAGTTTTCCCCCTGGGAAATAAAGAATAGAAATGCACTGTGTGGCACAATCCATCTGTCTTGGGTGCACATTTCACAGGGTCTCACTGTATTGACCAGCCTGGTGTGCAGTGGCACGATCACAGCTCACTGCAGCCTCAACCTCCTAGGCTCAAGTGATCCTTCCACCTCAGCTTCCCAAGTAGCTGAGACTATAGGCATGTGCCACCATGCCCAGCTAATTTTTAACTTTTTTGTAGAGAGTTTCACCATGTTGCCCAGGCTGGTATCAAAGTCTTGGGCTTAAGTGATCCTTCTGCCTCAGCCTTCCAAAGCGCTGGGATGATAGATGTGAGCCACCGTACCCAGCCACGTTATGCAGTTCTTAATGAGGGATCTCGTGTCATTTCAAATGATAGACTCGTTGACAGGGGAATGCAGTCTTCTCCCACGGGACCAGGTCCCTGTGGATATCCAAGATCATATCTCCAAACAGGATCATCTGAGCAGGGCTCAGAATGCCCCATACCTCCTGAGTAAAGTCCTCAGTCACATCTTTGAGGAACACCCCTTCCTAAATGCGATACGTATTTCTTTTCAACCAGGAATTGTTTCTTTCCATTGTTCAGGGGGAAACTAAGGCAAATGGAGACAAAAAACTAGCTGGCCTGGGAGTTGTCAGAGAGGGACCTTCTTAGGTTTGAGCCTTTGGGTCTGGGGTCTTAAACCTAGGATGGGAAGCCACAGACCCACCACCTTTCCAGGCTTGATGATAATTTGCTAGGAAGGGGAGTGTTTTGCAAAGAGGCCATGAGTGACCATCAAGTTTCTTCATGCTTCCTCAGATTCCTCTGCCCCTGACTTTCCCACAGGCCTGGGCAGGGTCCTGAGGGTTCCCAGGCTGGGTGTTCTCAGAGCACATGCAATCCTGGGTCCTCCTTTGTATTTACCTTTTTACTGTGTATTTTCTGCCCACCTTACTTAAGGCAGCCTGCACACCTTACAGTGCAGAACCTGCACTTGGCACCCTTCCATCATCCATGTCCAACTGGGACGGAGCAGTCCACAACAGGACTATTGTAGAGGTGGCACATGGGTTGTGTGCTACGACCTGCTTTAGAGTGTTCTTGTTGGCTAATATGAAATGTGGCTCATTAGGGGCACATGTAACCATCCACGAGATCATATTCCAGCAGCGTGTAGAGGCCCAGGCAGCACTAGCTGCAGTGCTGTTAGGTGATTCTCAACCTTCGTGGTGTGGCAGCGCCTACTATATATACTACTATATATTCCTACTATTACCACTTAGTAAATGTTACCTTGTAACATTTGCTACCCATTAGTTAAGGAGATAATGTAAATGGTAGAGTTTTTTTGAAACTGTTCTGGTTCTGAAGCTGGCCGAATCATGAATTTTTCTTTTTTTCCTTGCTTAAATAAATTCTGCTAAATTTGACTATCTAAGGGTTTTTCCTTTTTATAGTAACTATGGGAACAAAACTAAGTTTTTAAATTTTAATACAATTATGGGTCATTGACATTTGTTTTATGTTTATAATCTGTTTATATCTTTAAGAAATCTAGACTGGGTGCAGTGGCTCACACCTGTAATCCCAGCATTTTGGGAGGCCGAGGTGGGTGGATCACCTGAGGTCAGGAGTTCGAGACCAGCCTGGCCAATGTGGTGAAACCCCGTCTCTACTAAAAATACAAAAATTAGCTGGGCATGGTGGTGGTTGCTTGTAATCCCAGCTACTCAGGAGGCTGAAGCAGAAGAATTGCTTCAATCCAGGAGGCGGAGGTTGCAGTGAACTGAGATCACATCATTGTACTCCAGCCTGGCTGACGAGCGAAACTCCATCTCAAAAAAAAAAAAAAAAAAAAAAAAAGTGACAAGAAATCTAATAACATTTTGAGTAAAGTGATGTTTCTTATAAAAAATAAATAAATAAGTTTTCCTATGTTTCCCACCTTTTCATTCCCCAGTGAATGTAAGCTCCTTGAGAACAGGAAAAATGTTCTGTTGCCTTTCCAACAGCTAGCATGGGGGACTGACAGCTAGAGGTGGACATAAAGTATTTGCTGCTACTAAAGAATTAGTAACATCCCTCCTGCCTTTCAAAAAAGGAGTTGTCAATGCTCTTGGAGACAACTAGAAACATTGTTCTAAACAAATCAGAATGAAAATCTTATCTGCCTAAAACTTAGTGTGGTCAAGACTTGGCAGCTTTATTCTGCCAGAGTGAGGATTCCACGTGTTGATGGAGCTACCGGTGCACAGGTTTACTGCAGCCTCTCAGCCCAAATCTGACTCAGGAAAGTGGAACAAAATCTTGTTACATGTACTCACCTGTGCATCCTTCTAAAATGTGGTCATCAATGTACAAAAGTAACTTTTTTTTTTAAACACGTGTGATTCCCTAAGAGCTCTCACTTTGTTGATTTCTGAAAGATACCTTAGCTTTTCAATTCAGCCACATGGGAATGAGTCAACTGGATATTACTGTAAATGATAGGATTGGCCATGTTACTTGTTCACAACATATGCATATGTGTGTTTGTGCTAGTGAGCAACTTTTTTTCCTGAGCAGTTTTTTTGTAAAAAAAAAAAAATAGCATGAGTTGTGTGGCTTAAAAATATAGGAATTTGAGCTACTTTACACTTCAACTTTAAAAGTTAAAATAGGGGTTAGAAAATTCTGTTCAATAGAAGCAAGAAAGACTTTAGACTCGTGACAGCTAACTAAAGAACGAAGATGGGGAATGGGGAAGGGGGAGAAAAAGGAGAAACACACACAGAAAAACAAGGCCAGGCATGGTGGTTCACGCCTGTAATCCCAGCACTTTGGGGAGCTGAGGCCAGCGGATCACTTAAGGTCAGGAGTTCAAGACCAGACTGGCCAAGATGGTGAAACTTGTCCTACTAAGAAATACAAAAATTGGGCCGGGTGCGGTGGCTCATGCCTGTAATTCCAGCACTTTGGGAAGCCAAGGTGGGCAGATCCTGAGGTCAAGAGATCGAGACCATCCTGGCTAACATGATGAAACCCCGTCTCTACTAAAAATACAAAAAATTAGCCGGGTGTGGTGGCACGTGCCTGTAGTCCCAGCTACTTGGGAGGCTGAGGCAAGAGAATTGCTTGAACCCGGGAGGCGGAGGTTGCAGTAAGCTGAGATGGTGCCACTGCACTCCAGTCTGGCAGAGCAAGACTCTGTCTCAAAAAAAAAAAAAAAAGTTAGCCAGGTGAGGTGGGGCATGCCTGTTGTCCTGTGCCGGAGGATCACTTGAACCCAGGAGGTAGAGGTTGCAGTAGCCAAGATTGCACCACTGCACTCCAGTCCATCTTAAAGAAAGACTTTTATGAGACATGATTCTTTTTTTTTTTTAATAACTTCCAGGATATTCATTCTGAAGACTTTTAGAATTAAAGTTAAAATTGTATTTTCCCATGATAAGTGTATGGCAGAATATCATCTCAGTATCAGAAACACCAGGCAGATGAAGTTAAGTTTAAGGGAGGATCCACATACAGATCCCTGATACCACAGACATTGATTTGGAATAGGCATTAAAAATAAATTAACTATCCTCCCCACCTTTCCGTTTGTGTTTTCCTTTCTGATATTGATTGGGATAATATATGTGGCCTGTTCTATACACACACACACATATACACACACACAAACACACACACGCACAGCAAAAAGAATAAAGAAATGTTCACATAAATGAACTCTGATCTATTAAGCACAGAAGCTTTTCATTTTAACTTTTAAAATATTTTCTATTATATATGATTCAGTTACCTAAGAGTATACTAGATATAATTTAGCTACTTCTTTATGATTCTGGAGACAGAACTATGAACCTCTGTTACTACATTTGTGCTACAATAGTGATTTCTTCCAGGGCTGTTAGAAGGAGTGAAGACTACGGCTTACACTAAATGACCCACAGACTGTAACACTGTCTGGTAGTAAGCAGATCTCTTATGAAAAGGTATATGAAACTGTGACATTTGGCCATTTTTGATCTACAGTCCAATTTCATATGATATAACCAATAATCCTTGAGGTTAGGGCTTCAGAACCTTCTTCTCCGATGTCACTGCTCCCAGTCTCCCGGGGTGGAATGTCTGCTTGCCCCATGCTGCTTCTAATATTTGTCACCACTTCTAGTGCCCACCTCATCTCTGATGCTATTTTTCTTTTTTTAAAAAAATCTTTTTTCTGTCATTTCAACATAATGTAACACATACCTCTCTACTTACACCTCAATGGTTGTGGTTTTTTTTTTTTTTTTTTTCTAATGCTGTCACTTCAGGCCAAACAATAATATCATCCTGTTGGGTACAATCAAAGGTATACTATTGGGTGAAAGAATAGTGACAGACTTTTTAACTTCCAGATTAACCTGTGTCCTGAAAAAGAGGTGTCACTGAATACAAAAGCCATCAATTATAAAAGTTAATTTATAATTTATAATTATAATTTCATTCTCCCAAAAAGCTTCTTTTAAAAAGCAGACTCCCAGTTTCGGGTTGGTATTGTCTTTAAGTCATTTATACTTTGACAGAGACAAAGTGAAACCTAATTGTTTCAAGCCATCGACACATGATCAATCAGAAAGGAAGATAAAAGATAAGATCATGGAATGTCTGAATTGTAGGATCATTTACTCATTCATTCCACTGATAATTATTGAGTGTCTACGTTGTGCCAGAATTTTCTCCGCACCTTAAAGAGGCAACCTGTGGCCTGTAGAATCGAATTATTTTTTCTAAGACATAAGTCAGGCTTTCTAAAAGGTAGCTCAGTATTTTTTCTTGTTAGAAATTATAATGTATCATTAGAAAAATAAGACTTTACTAGAATGATTAATGTGTCACTTTTATGAAGGCATGGCTTACATGCTTTCTCCTAGGCCATGCAGTACAGCAATGGATGTGATAGCATAAACAGCCAATGAGCCCTCTCTTGTGATGGAGCTCTGTCTTTAGAATCCAGGTAATTGTAGATAGAGTGTGCTGGATCTTTCCGTAGGCTCACCCTCCCTCAGCCTTGTCTGCGCCCCAGGCTCCCAGTTATGATGGAAGGTAGAAACTGACTTTCTTGTCCTTAGGATTTGGTTAGGTTCAGCCAGTGGGAGGCCCTGATTTCCCCCCTAATCTCTCCATCTCTTAGTTGGGCTCTGGGTTGGGTGTGGCTGGGTGTGACCAGGGCTTCTGCCAGGCAGCCCACTTCCGCCGCTGTTCTCTCTCCCCATATTCCCGAGCCGCTTTCCCCTCTTGCTCCTTCAGGCCTAAGATGGGAAAGGACCTCACCAGGTGCCAGATGGGAAGGCTTCATTAGCTATTGCTTGAGGTAGAATGAAGTTTTGTGGGGCATGAGGCATATGTTATTTTGAGAGTTTTCTTTAAGACAAAGAACACAAAATTCTGGCTTATAGATTTTAAGGAGAGGGCCTTGGAAGAGGCCATGTGAAAGAAGAACCCTGAAGCCTAAGGTTTTTTTTAGCCCTTCTTGGCTTCCTTAAAACCTCGCCCACACTTTGTAAATAGTCCTTCACTACTTTCCTTAATTACACAACTTGAGTGTGCTATATGTTTCCTGTGCTGGGATCCTGACTAATTCTACTGTGTGCCTAATTATGACTAACAAGTACCCCAGAAGGTTTCTCTACCTGTACTTTGAATAGTCTCCCCAACATTCTCTTTTTCTCACAAAGCTATCCGGCTGAATTAATTTGCTTTACAGTTGAGATGTATTATCCTAATTCGGCGATTTTTTTTCTTATGCATAATGTGTAATTAAAAGGAGATAGAGTAGTTTGAAATTTATAGCAAAAGTATTTCTTATTCTACCTCCTGGATTATATGCATATCCTGATTAACATAATCAAATTACTGACAAGTTAGTTCCTAACTAAAATTTAGCCAAACTGGAAAATGGAAATGTGTTCCTTGTGAAGTCATCAAATCAGTTCCTTTTTATTAACTTGTAACCCAGAAAGTACATTCCTTATGCAATTTAAAAAGAATGACTTGTGCAATAATTCATGTCAAAGATCAAGAATGGTTACTTTAAAGCACTTAAAAGCCACTGGTGAGTCTCAGAATCTAAGTACTAAAGAACCAAGGACTAAACTTCAGTTGGGTCATCCATGTATAAATGATATGATGCAGGAGATGGTGATTAAGTTGGGGGAAAGAGGGTGAAGCGGCCCTTGGAGACAACTAACACAGCCTGCCTGCCCCGACCAGGCACAGCTACAGCCAAGTCAGAGGCCCTGGGGCTGACTGGGACCCAGAAGAGAAATGAGAGCTGGAGAAGAGGAACAGACAAGCCTCTCCAACACAGCACGGACTCTAGCTAGGCTGGCTCTGAGACTTCTAGTGACCTTGAGACCTCATAACTTCAGGTCAGTTTAGCCATGTTTGTAAGTGTGGATTTAATAGTGGATTTATTTCTAGAAAATGGAACAATCTTTATCTTTCCAATTAATATACACTGCCCAGAAATGTCTTAGTTTCCTGTAGTTTCTAGTGAGAATTGTTGACTTTCTACCAACACTTTGCAAATTAAGAAGTAGATTTCACACTTCTATGATCAGAACTCAGGAATACTACTAAATGGGATCAAATCACTTATTCTCTCAAAAGTTGCACATCTATCATACAGGGTACTGAGAAATTCATGTGAAATGATACATGTGAACATCTTTTGAAAAGCACAAAGTAGCCTATGACAGTGATGGCTGGCTTTATTAACAGTGCGATATTTTGCTGATGTTTTGCTCAAGTTAAAATTATAGAAACTAAGTAAGTAACACAATGAATTTATGGTTCTCAACTGGTGAGAAGGAGATGAAAATAACAGCTTTATCAGATGTAGTTTCTAACAGAGCTAATTTGTCTGCAGAACTTGGCATATCATTGCTCATGAGCACTCATCTTTAATGTGTCATGGCTAGAATAAAGAAAACAATATAAGCCTACTCTTTTTTTAATCTCTTTTTTGCAGCTCATAAGGTATGGAGGATATGCAAACTATGCAGGGTGAACACTTTTGAATCACCCTATGTAAAACAGCACCCTCACTTTCTATGATCTATTCTCCTTTATTTTTCTTCATAGCACTTAACATTACCTGAACCATATTGCATATATATTTGTATATTTCTTTATTGCTGTGTCTGCTTACAGAACATAAGCTTCGTGAGGAACAAGAACGTTATTTTGTTCACCTGTGTCCCTACCTCTTCATCAATGCTTGGTACCAATAGGCACTTAAATATTTACCAAATGTACATATTTTCCAGAAATCCTTTATCCTCCAGCCTATCAACAATCAAGAGTCAGACAACAGTGTATCATGGAATGGACAGTGGTTTGGGGCAATCACCTATCACCGAACCTGAGTAAGCAACTTTCAGATAGAAACAAAGGCCTGTCTCTAGCCTTATTCTCTTTCTCAAATGACTCCCCAAAATCTAGTTTCTAAAATATTCCTCCTCTGGATTATTTTAAGGATAAACTGAAATGTTTGTAAAATGCCCAATACAATCTCTGGGGAAGAGAAGGGAAATGGAAAAGAAAACCATGAAATAAATACATATTTGACCCAAAAGCACAGGCAATAAAAGCACAAAGTAGACAAATGGGATTGTATCAAACTAAAAAGCTTCTGCACAGGAAGGGAAACAAAAGAGTAAAGAGAAAATCTATAGATTGGGAGAAAATATGTGCAAATCATACATTGGATAAGGGATTAATATCCAAAATATACAAGGAATTCAGACATCTCAACAGCAAAAACAATCTGATTTAAAAAATGGAAAAAGGATCTGAACTGGCATTTCATAAAAGAAGACATGCAAATAGCCAAGAGGTTTTTTTTTTTGTTTTTTTTTTTAGTGCTCAACATCACTGTTCATCAGGGAAATGAAAATGAAAATTATAATGAACTATCACTTCACACCTGTTAGAATGGCTGTGATCAAAAAGGTGAAAGATAAGTGTTGATGAGGATGTGGAGAATGGGAATTCTTATACACTGTTGGTGGGAATATAAATTAGTATAGCCATTATGGAAAATAGTGTGGAGGTTCCTCAATAAAACAAAAATAGAACTGCCAGCAATCCTGCTTCTGGGTACATACCCAAAAGAAATGAAATCAGTATGTTGAAGAGATATCTGGCCCCCTGTGTTCATTGCAGCATTATTCACAATAGCCAAGATATGGAATCAACCTAAGTGTCCACCAGTGGATGAATGGATAAAGCAAATGGGGTATATATGCACAGTGGACTATAATTCAGCCTTAAAAAAGAAGGAAATTCTGTCATTGGGAACACTATAGATGAACCTGGAGGACACTGTGCTAAGTGAAATAAGCCAGGCACAGAAGGATAAATAACACATGATCTCACTTATATTTAGATTCTTAAAAAGTCAAACTTACAGAAGTAGAGAGTAGAATAGTGGTTACCAGAGGCTGTGAGTTGGGGGAAGTTTGGAGAGATGTTGGTCAAAGGATATATGGTTTCAATTAGGAGCAATAAGTTTTCAAGATCTATTGCACAGCATGGTGACCATAGTTAATACTAATGTATTACATATTTTAAAATTGCTAAAAGGATAGATTTTAAATGTTCTCATTACAAAAAATAAGTATCTGAGGTGATGGATATGTTAATTTTCTGGATACAATAATTTCAATGTATACATCCATGTATACAACACAATGTATACAATTACAACGTATACAACAATGTATACATCAAAACATCACATTATACCCCATATATAAAATTATTTGTCAATTAAACATTTAAATTTAAATTTAAAAATTTTTAAGTAAAAAAACACACACAGGCTGGGTGCGGTGGCTCACTCCTGTAATCCCAACACTTTGGGAGGCTGAGGCAGGTGGATCACCTGAGGTCAGGAGTTCGAGACCAGCCTGGCCAACATGGTGAAACCTCATCTCTACTAAAAAAAAAAAAAAAAAAAATTAGCCGGGTGTGGTGGCCGGCACCTGTAATCCCAGCTACTTGGGAGGCTGAGGCAGGAGAATTGCTTGAACCCGGGAGGCGGAAGTTGCGGTGAGCTGAGATCACGCCACTGCACTCCAGCCTGGGAGACAGAGAGAGACTCCGTCTCAAAAAAGCAAAAAACAAACAAACAAACAAACAAACAAAAAACAAAAAACACACAAACAAAAAAAAATGCAAAAAAAATTTACATTTGAAAGTCAGAATATATGAATAACTACAATGAAAAATATATAAATTATCCTTAATTTTTTCATCCCAAAATATCATTGTTACTATTTTTTTTCTTGGCTTATTTTTCCCCAGGGCATTACACAGTATCATTTTGTATATGTTGTTTGGTATATTGTCCTTTCACTGAGTTCGTGCCAATAAATATACCTCTATATTTATTTTTTTTCTTTTTGAGACGGGTCTCACTTTTTTTGCCCAGGCTGGAGTGCAGTGGCATGATCTTGGCTCACTGCAACCTCTGCCTCCTGAGTTCAAGCAATCCTCCTGCCTCAGCCTTCTGAGTAGCTGGGATTACAGGTGCTCACCATCACGCCTGGCTAATTTTGTATTTTTAGTAGAGATGGTCATTCACCATGTTGGCCAGGCTGGTCTCAAACTCTTAACCTCAAGTTATCTGCCCACCTCAGCCTCCCAAACTGCTAGGATTACAGGTGTGACCGATATTAATATTTCTGATGGTCACATTGAATTCCATTATGCTGATATACCACAATTGCTACAGTTGTTCATTTATATTATTTTTAACGTATCACAGGCTGCAGAAAATGTATTCCTGGCTTATCTCTACCCATATCATTAATTATTTCCATAAGATACATTCCTAATGGGATTGGATCACAACCCCATTCGGGATTATGGCGTTCCGGATTGTGTCTTTAGGGACTGTGATCAAAACCTGATCAGAGAGACCAACAGGAGGAGACTTAACGGGTGGCAGCAATATTCTATTTCTTGAATTATGTCTAGTAATACAGGTGTTTGCTTTATAATTAGTCATTATTTGTATGTTCATACACTTTTCTAGTGTAAGCTATATTTTGCAAAACTAGGTAGCTTGCATTTCTTTGGTTTCTAATGGCATTGACTATGTTTTATATACCTATTGGCCTTTCAGTTTTTCCTCTTTTGTGATTTATTTCAGCTGACTTTTTTTTTTTTTTTTTTAAGACGGAGTCTCGCTCTGTAGCCCAGGCTGGAGTGCAGTGGTGTGATCTTGGCTCAATGCAACCTCTGCCTCCTGGGTTCAAGCGATTCTCATGCCTCAGCCTCCTAAGCAGCTGGGACTACAGGCGTGCGCCACCACGCCCAGCTATTTTTAATTTTTTTTTGTATTTGTAGTAGAGACAGGGTTTCACCATGTTGCCCAGGCCACTCTAGAACTCCTGAGCTTAGGCAATCTGCCCACCTCGGCCTCCCAAAGTGCTGGGATTACAGGCATGAGCCACTGCGCCCAGCCTCAGCTGACAGTTCTTAAGAACCTGCATGTGCCAAGTACTTTATAACAGTCATGTGAGGTGATAATTGTTATCTTCATTTCACATTTGAAAAAACTGCAGGGTGAAAAGGGATTTGCCAACGGTCACACATAGCTGGTGGGACTAGAAGATGCCTAGTAATGTTTGTGCTCTTTCTCTTCTTCTATTGCTTGTTCTGTTCCTTTGGGCTGTATTTGACTATCACATACACGCACACATGTGTGCACACACACGTAAACATGAACAGGGATGAACAAGGCAGGTCCCCTCAGACACAGAAAGAGCTGGAAGCAGAGCCTGCTACTAAGGGGTGCAGGGGGAAGGCCGACAGGTGTAAAAGACAGGAAATAGACCATGGAGACCAAGGAGTATGAGCCATGAAGGACAGTTCCAGGAGAGCCCAAAAAGCCACATCGAACTGCTGAACTTGGAAGCAGTTCACACTTCCTCTCGTTGGGGTGAATATATTCTATAAAATTATCCTTGTAAGGGTTTTCATGCAACATCGAATGTCTTTTCCCACTCAGTTTCTTTCTACCTTCAGGAAGACCGGCCTGATTTCCCCTCGTATGGAATTTGGTTTTATTCTTCACCCATTCCATTAGATTCTGTCTTGGGCTGGTGTCATGGGGGGTGGGGAGGGTGGCAGAGGTTAGGACTATATGTGTCAGGAGTGGGCTGATGGTGAGAAATTTCCTGCTCTTTCGGTTTTGAAAAGTGAAATATTTCATCACCCTCTTACTACAGTGTTCCTGGCAGGCAGCGGGAGCCTCAGATGCCTTCTCTCTGCCTTGGCTTGTGCCTCTGGATTGCGTTTTGCAAACACTGCTCCTGTACAGGCTTGGGGTGGACAAGCCTGTGCGCCAGGCTCTCCTGCCCTGCTCTAGTCCTGATTACACCTGGAGGCACAGGCAGCAGGTTCCTGCCCATTTCAACACTTCGAATGAAAATTAAAATGTCGTCTCACTAGCCACTACGCTGTTAGTACCTGCAGCACTTGCCATGTATCTTTATCTTGTATCACAGAGAAACTCAAGAGACAAACAACCTTCAAAATGATCAGCCTGGCCAAAATACCTCCTCCTGCCATTCTCACCAACCTAAGTTTACCTATCAATGTACATAGGCTATAGTTAATCTGCTTAGTAGATTTTTAGATATTTATAATTAGTCTCTAATAAGATGGTTGACCAAAATATCAGAAATTTCAATTAAACTTAAAATTATTTTTGAAGGTTCATAGTCATGACGCTCTTAAACCTAGATTAAAAAAAAAAATTGGCAAATTGTTTCAAAAAAGGTTTTAAGTCACGAGGTATTAATTCTGTTACGATTTCTAGGGGAAGATGAAGAGCTTATACCTTAGTGTAAAGATGATTTGTCAGTGTAGTTATTAAGCCATTGTGTCTAAAATATCAAATGATAAGGAAAGTGTTAAGTATTAAACTATTAACAAAGAAAAGGAAGGCTAATAACGCCCAACATTTAATCGGGGCTTTATACTTATGCCTCTATGACCAAACTGGTGAAGCAAAGTTTAATAGGTCTTATGTAAACTTCTTTTTCTTAAAAGTTTACAGGATTGTTATTTCTTATAATTTATTTTAATCCCAACCACTTCTTAAATAGCAGGGTTGTAAGAAGCCCAGTGTCTCCAATAAATTTTTGTGTCCAAATAAAATCTTGTTTGGGGAAAGTATGTGCAATACATAATAACTTGTTATGGGGACAGGCTGATGAGGGCAGAAGGCCGTCAACACCCACTGGGAACACATTTGAAAGATAACCTACATTTTAAAAGAATGTGTAGTAGAGTTCTAACTTTGCCTACCATTAAGAAAAATAAAAATCAATCCTTACTCTCAAAGCAATATTTCCCTACTAGTCTTTTTCCAAGGAGTTGAATATCACTTTGCCTTTGAAATTTGAAAAGGGGGCAGGGGGGAAAGTTGTTTTTTTTTTTTTTTTTTACTCAAGGAAAAAAAGGATTAAATAAGTTATTTATAGTACACTCAACAATGGGTCTATAAAATAGATGCTGTAAGAATGACTGATGGAACTAACTCAAATATATTCAATGAGAGTAGCTTGTTAATGATTACCTGTAATATTTTAAAGAACCTAGAAAAGCACAGACAGCAGCAGATCCTATACTGGACATTTTTATTTCTGCTTCGAGCCAAAGTATCCAAGGGTACTCAGCCCCCCCACTATATTCCATATATTCACAAATGCTTCAGATTTTTGAGCCCCCCCAAAACTACCAGATCTAGACAATAAATACATTGTGAAGTTACTTGATGTTATTAATAATACTATATAAGTCCAAAACAAAGTCTTAGGCAATGAAAAGGAAAAACTTCAGTTAGTTTCTTACCATAGTGTTGCTTCTTTTTTGTTTTCTATAGATACACCAAGAGAATATGGGAAGTAAAATGTAGCCGTGTGTGCATTACCATATCAATCTTCTTACTTCTCAAATTACCCTTGTCTCATCCTCCTCCTTCCAGCATACCCTGGTGAGCTCTCATCAGCTCACCTTCGGCAGTGCTGCTCTCTCCCAGAGCCAGAGCCGGCTCTCTCCCAGAGCTGAATGACAGACACTGACTGTTGATGTGAAAAGCACATTTAATAAGGGTGTGTTTGATTCAAGAGTTGAAAGTGTTAAAGAGGTGTGCCCTTTTTTGGGTGTGACACTGAACCAAAATTGCTGAAAAGACAACAGAGGAAGTAGTAGGTAGTTTGTAGAAAGTTGCCCTGCATACATTAAATTGCATGAAAAACCTGATTATAGGATTATAGGTAGATAGGAAGTAGGTAGAGAAAGAAGGATATATGGTACCTTTGATTTTCCTTCTCTGGTGAACAAGGTCAATTTTATTTAATGTTGTGTGTTTTGTTTTGCTTTATTTTAATTCCAGCTTTTATTTACTTACACTTTTTTAAAAAACAAAAATATACATTATACACTACAAACTACATCCCATGTGCCATTACAAAAATGTGTCCAAGCATGCAACATAATAATTGAAAAGGCAAAAATTATGCTCACCTCATAATACTTAAATAATGGACACCTAAATTTATCAATATAATTAGATAATTATAAGTTATCATAACATTTAGTCTATAGTTTCTACTTGCTATATGTCTTATCAGAAGTTTTCAGTACTTGATAGCAAGTTACATTCTTCCACAAAATAATGACACTACTATCAGACCTCTTAATTACTTAAGTCTTTGATGTACATCAAGAAAAAATGTTCTCCTCTTTCTTTCATCATGACCACCAGTACTAGAAACATATATTAAGCATCTGCTGGCTCATGTCAGCGTATTGTTGATGGTGAATATGCATTTGAAATGCTATTCATTTTTTTAAATTTAACTGTGGTAGAAAGCACAAAACGTAAAATGTACCATCTTAACCATTTTTAAAGTGTAGTGTTCTATAGTGTTAACTATATGTACATTGCTGTAGAATAGATCTCCAGAACTTTTTCATCTTGAAAATCTGAAATCTATAATCATCCAGAAACTCCCATTCTCCTCTGCCCACCCCCTGCCACCCCCAGCCTCTGGCAACCACAATTTTACTTTCTGACTCTGAGTTTGACTACTTTAGGTATCTCGTCTAAATGGAATCATACATTTGTTTTTGGTGACTAGCTTCTTTCATATAGCATAATGTTTTCAAGGTTATCTATGTTGTATGCATATGTATGCAGACTGACACATGCATATTTATCAGTACTTCATTCTTTTTATGGCTGAATAATATACCATTGTATGCATATACCACATATTCTTTTTTTTCCCCTTTAACTTATATTTTAACTTCCAGGGTATATGTGCAGGATGTGCAGGTTTGTTACATGGGTAAACGTATGCCATGGTGGTTAGCTGCACAGATCAACCCATCACCTAGGTATTAAGCCCAGCATCCATTAGCTATTCTTCCTGATTCTCTCCCTTCCCCTCCCCTGCTGACAGGCCCCAGTGTGTGTTGTTCCCCCACCACGTGTCCATGTGTTCTCATCCCACTTATAAGTGAGAACATGCGGTGTTTGGTTTTCTGTTCCTGCATTAGTTTGCTGAGGATAATGGCTTCCAGCTCTATCCATGTCCCTGCAAAGGACATGATCTCGTTCCTTTTATTACAGCACATATTCTTTATCCATTTATCTGTTGATGGACATTTGGTTTCTTTCCTTCTCTTGACTATTGTGAATAATGCTGCAGAGAACATGGGTGTGTAAATATCTCTTTGAGATCCTGCTCTCAATGCTTTTGGATATATACACCCTGAGACTGGTAGATTATATGGTAAGTCTAGTTTTAACTTTTTGAGGAATTGCCATACTCTTTCCTATAGTAGCTGCACCATTTTATATTCCCAGTAACAGTGCATAAGAGTTCCAGTTTCCCAACATCTTCACCAACTTATTATTTTTTGATAGTGGCCATCCTCATGGATGTGAGGTGATATCTTATTGTGATTTTAATTTGCATTTCTCTAATGATTAATAATGTTGAGCATCTTTTCTTATGCATGTTAGCCATTTATTTATCTTTGGAGAAATGTCATTCAAGTCTTTTGCCCATTTTTTAAAGATTGTTTCTGTTTTTCAGAAGGGTTATACAAAAAAGATAGTGATATCTAATTTTACAAAAATATTACAAAATCCCCCAGGCTTGGCAAGAAATGATTCATTTTTTCCTGATCTAAACTCTTCTGTAATTTTCTCTGTAAGTCTATGTAAAAGGATAAAAATAGAATAGATTAACAGGCTCTCCTAAAAGTAAAAAAAAAAAAAATTAAAAATAGAAAAAGGTTAATTTGTGAAAAGACTCAATGGTCATTTGCCTACCATGACTATATTTACAGAATGTCACACTCATGGTTACATGAGTGCTCCCGTATTTCATTTATTCATTCAACAAGCATTTATTGGTTGCCAGCTTTGCAGATTCAGGGATTAAAGGACAAGTCTCTTACATTAAGAACTCAGTTTGAGGTAAAAGGGAAGGAAGAAGGATGGATATGTGAAGACAATACAAGGGGATATTGTTATAATATTTAGAGGTATGTATATGATAAGTGCCATATGATAATAACTACCATATATGGATGGCCTGCGTAGAAGAAGCAGTGCTTTGTTGAGAAGGTGGCGTTTGAATAAATACTTAAAATACAAGCACCCTAGCTCTGGGTCGGTCCTTCCTTCCTTCCTTCCTTTCCTTCCTTCTTCCCTTCCTTCTTTCCTTCCTCTCTTCCTCCCTCCCTCCCTCTCCCACTTCCTTCCTTTCTTCAGAAGTATTATGGCTAATAGCAGATAAAACCCTTATAATCTAATACTAATCTAATTCTCTAACAATCATTCATATTATAAACATTTGTTTGGTACTATTACTTTATAAGTACTTGAAAACATAATATGAAAATAGGAATTCTTCTATTAACCCAACCTGCACAGAAAAGATATGAAACAATTAGTATCTTCTATACAGCACCTACCATGTACTCAGTATGGAATGGATAGACAACATACGACTTATTTTGACATCTAGAAGCTTATAGGCTTGTCTATAAAACAACCACTAATGTGCAGACAGACATATAATTAGTTGCTAAAGTATGTAGTTGAGATATGCGTAATGCTTTAAGAGTTCAAAGAGAAAGAGATTAGTGAGGGTGTGCAGTCAGAAGACCACAGGAAGAACACAGTACTAGCCTTAAAGGATGGATTTAATAAGATGAGGGCCAAGAAAAGGCATTCTGGGTGAGGGGAACAGACTGAGGAAAGGCAACCAAATGACACCAGGCACAGGGGTCGAACTGGAGTTATAAGGCACGAAGAAGATTGGTGGAATGAATATATGGGAGGTTGAATAAGTATGATTGATCTCGTTTGGGGAAAGCCTTGAGAGGCAAGTCAAGAAGCTTAGGTGTGATGTCATGGGAAATATGAAAACTTTTAAGGTTTCTGAGCGGGGAGGCGACATGATCTGCAGCAGTGTTGGAGAAAGGAAAGCATTGCAGCCCCTGGTGGGTCCAAGTGGATGAGGACCTAGAGTCAGCAGTTCAGACGTAAGGTGTTAAGAGGCCTGAAGTGACCACCACATATGGAAATGGAGGGAGGAAAAGAAAGAACCAAAGGAAAGCAGACACTGAGAGAGAGAGATGAATCCAAAGGAACTCCATGACGCAGAGTCTCGAGGCCTGGAAGAGCACTGGAGAGCTCCGTCGGAGGGTAGGGAGTCCAGCTTGGGTCATGTTGAACTTAGGGGAAGTTAATATTTCTCAGTGGAAATGGCCACAAACCATGTAGGTTTCACTCTCAAAGTTATGCCTCTATGCTCTATCTCAGCCCTAAGTCAGTCTCATAGTAGATCACAATTTGGTAGGAAAAAATATAAGCTCCAGTTTGTAAATGGCATTATTAACTCTGTTATAGGGCAATGTTCCCTGTAAAAGACAAAAGACACATCTACCTGCCTTCAGCCTCCATCAGCATTTTCCAGTTTTTGATCAGGAGTCAGTCCTTTTGCATGCAGCCTCCACACAGGTGGCTCATGCTGAGGAGCCTTTGTACTGAGACCTTCATTAATAAGCATACGCAATAACTGCTCTGACACGACTTGTGAGTATTTCATCATTTTGTTTAAATAAAGTGTTTGAAAAAAGGGTAATGCTTTGTGGTTATCATAATGAATGAAATAAATATAGCAAGCCTGTAGTTTTGTTTTTAAACAAACCAATGAAATTCTCTTGCAAGAGGAGGCTTCGTTAAATTAATATCACACAGCAATTAGAGGAAGACCTGCCAGTTTTAGTTACTTTCCAGCCTTAATCAAGATATTATACTATATCATGAGGACACATTTTTTTGAAGTACAAGTTGAAAAATGATCAAGTGCTCATCAAGAGCAACAGGCCTTTTCACAGAGTGTGAGAAAGGGAATGGGAATTTGGCACACCTTCTACTTTCTGCTCCCTTAGCCAAATTTGCCAGGGGTCAATTCTAGCTTGAGGACTTTCCTCACATGCTCATTCTTTCTGTGAATCTGTATTCCTGCTCCTGACTCTATGACTGAGTTCTGCAATGCACAGAGGTGGGGCTAAATGCAAAGGAAAGCAAAATTGCCAGCACCTGATGTTCCTCCCACATTTGCTAGCCCTGCCCTTCCATATCATATTGGAAAAAAATTCATATAAACATATTTCAGCTACGAGTCACAGATGATGTACATGTGGATAAATGTAGAGAAAGTGTTCATAGGGCCCTACAAATCTTCTGAGTGTAAAAAATATGACATTTCTGAAAGATATAATCTTTAATTCACTATCCTTTATTTTAATCTCCTCAATCTATTTTATTAGGTTTCGATTAGTTCCTCTTTCATAGCCTACCTGGTGAACTGCTCCCCCCTAAACTAAGCTACAGAATTTTCTTTCTGTCCTTATTCCTTTAGCAAACCTCATGCCAGGCAAGCCTGGCTTAAAGATGGTTATGCCACAGTTGTTGCTTCCCCAAAGGGGAAATGCAGGGGAAACAGCCTGCATTCACACCAGGGTGAAGGAGGGATTCTCCTGGCTCTTTTAAGAAGCCAACAGCATTACATCACTCCAGCTTTGTAGATATATTTCACTAAACAGTAGGTAGACATTCTGAGAGGGAAATGACAACTGTAATGTGGACTAAGGACTCCCCTCTTTGGTTGGCTTTTCATGCCCTGCTGGAGTCATGAGTCTCTCCGTAGAAGACAAATTCTTCCTATAGTTCTTTATGTTTCTTCACCTATGCACATTTTAGACATTTTAGGCATTTAATCTCTGTTTCTCCAGATATTAATGAACAAACTCAATGCATCATTTACAGAGGATAATTTTGTGTTCTTATTTCTGGATAAAATAAAATGAACAGAAACTACAACCAAACTAAAATGATTCACAATTATCAATGTTTTCATTTTCTTTCTTTTTTTTTTTTTTTTTTTTGGACACAGAGTCTGTCACCCAGGCTGGAGTGCAGTGGCACAATCTTGTTTCACTGCATCAACATCCTGAGTAGCTGGGATTACAGGTGCATACTACCGCCCCCGGCTAATTTTTTTTTTTTTTGTATTTTTAGTAGAGACAGGGTTTCACCATGTTGGCCAGGCTGGTCTCAAACTCCTGACCTCAGGTGATCCACCCTCCTCGGCCTCCCAAAGTGCTGGGATTACATAGGTGAGCCACTGTGCCTGGCCAATGTTTTCTTTTTCAATCTACCAAAAAAATGACAAGGGAATTATATCTTTTCCTATATATTATATAAAGACTTTTACATTAAAAATAGTAATTGATTTTTTTCTATTTTGAAGCAATTTTTGGTCTTGTGACACAATCAAATCAACATTTTATCAAGACCTTGGCCCACTGAGAGTGACATCAGCAAGATGGCCAACTAGAGTTGCCTGGCTTTCATCCCCCTAACCCAAAGAAACCAAAACAATGAATAAACGGCTATATTCTGACTGGAGTGACTGAGGAAGTTGCTGGATAGCACCAGGAAAACCACAAAACCCCTGTGGATCACAGAAGCCTAGGACAGCTCACTCCATAGAAAGGGGAGTAAGGAATCCTGCCTCTGCCACACTGTCTCCTTGCTGGGATCAGGTCAGAGCTGGAGAGACCTTTCTTATGAGAAAAAGTAAGCTGCAGACCCTTGGCAGTCTCCACACTGCCACAGACTCTAGTAGTCATTGCTGCAGGAAGGCCCTAAGTCCAGTGTGAACAGTTGCTGGGAGTCTAAACAGCTGCGTTTGCATTTCCCAGAGCAAGAACTCCCTTGACACCTCCCATCCCCAGGATCTAAGCCACTACAGCACAACACCATCTTGAAACTGGACCCATATTTGGAGTGTACACTGCCTTCCACCAATCCATCCCTGACACCTTGCTTTCATTACACTAAATTCCCACAGGTGCCTACAATACCAGTACCCCAGCTACCCAGAACCTAGGCCCAAAGGAACAACTGGGACACCCACGCCAAAATTCATGAGGCACCTTATCACCCAGGGACACAAGCCAACTGTGCAGCAGTGGGAAGTCCATGAGCAGATATCAGGCCCACAGGCACCCACCCCCCTGCCTGACAGTTGGCCTAAAGTCAGCCCACCCCACCAGAGAGAGCTGCGTATAGCCTCTGGCCTGCAAGCACCTGCCCCAGGATTGACAACTGGTAAGGTGGCACCACCCCACCATAGAAGGTTACCAGCAGCAGCTACCCACATGTGCCTGCCCTTGGCCTTATAGCCAGCCCCACCTCACCAGAGAGAGTTGTGCACAACTGTTGGACATTTACCCAACCCTGGTTTGACAGCCAGCTTGGAGATGGCCCTGCACCACAGGAAGGGATCTTGTGCAGCAACCAGGCCATTTATGTCTTCCCTGGCCTGAGAGCAAGCCTGGAGGGGACCCTACACCACTGGAGAGAATGCCCACTCAGCTGCCTAACCTATACGCATCTGACCCAGACCTGACAGATAGCACAGTGGTGACCATGCCATTAAGGAGAGCCCACCACATAATCTGCTGGCCTGCCACATCTGCACATGTCCAGCAAACAACCAGCTTAGTGCCCCTGACCCCTGCAAAACCATACCACCACAGTCATAGACTGCAGTCTGGGACACTGAGCTAATCACAGGCATTGCAGGTAAGGATCACAGCTGAAGAATCTTTATGAAGACCACACTACTGAGTCTACTCACCCAGAACCAAAGTCAATGCACCATTCCCAACCAACACCCTAGACCCAGGTATAGGAAAAAGCCTCTTCCTATAGAAGCCACTCCATAAAATTGGAAAAAGCCACTGTATTACCAGATGGACAGATATCAATGTAGGGACACAAGAAGAAAAAAGCAAGAAAAGATGACACCTCCCCCAAAACACAATAAGTCTCCATTAACAGATCCTCCCAAAAATGATATTTATGAAATCCCTGAAAAAGAATTCAAAATGATGATCTTAAGGAAACTCAGTGAAATATAAGAATACAGACAATTCAATGAAAGCAGGAAATCAATTCATAATCTGTATGAGAAATTCAACAAAAAGATAGATATCATAAAAAAGAACCAAACAGAAATCTTGGAGCTGAAGAATTCAATGAACAAAATACAGTGAATAAAAAATACAGTAAACGTGGCTTCTGTTGAGGAATAAATAAACAAAAATAAAAAATACCATTGAGAGCTTCAACAACAGACTAGAAAGAGAAATAAAAGAACTTCTCAGACAAGCAAAAACTGAGAGAACTCATCACCAGTAGACCAGGCTTACAAAAATTGCTTAAAGGAATTTTACAATAGGAAAACAAATGGGTGATAATTAATATCATAAAAACACATGGAAGTACAAAACTCACCAATATAGGTAAATCCATAACCATGCTCAGAATACCCCAGTGCTGTAATGGTACCATGTAAATTCTTCAATTTAAAGTCAAAAAGGTAAAAAACATCAATAGTTAAGTGGCTAAAGAACACATAAAAGATAAAGATGTAAATTAAGCAACCAAAATGCAAAAAGGTTGGGGAGGAGCCTAGAGTATTTGTATGGAACCAAAGTTAAGTTGTTAACAGCTTAAAATAGTCTATTATAATTACAAGACTTGTTTTGTTAACCCCACGGTAATCACACACACACAAATTTCAATAGATACACAAACAACAAAGAGAAAGGAAACAAAGGTTGGTACTACAGAAAACCACCAAGTCACAGAGGTAAACAACAAAAAGAGAAAGAAAAGAATAAACAATCTACAAAAAAACCAGAAATCAATTAACAAAATGGCAGGAGTAAGTCCTTACCTATCAATAACAACCTTGAATGTAAATGGATTAAATTCTCCAGTTAAAAGATATAGAGTGACTGAATGGATAAAAAACAAGACCCAACTATAAGAGATGAACCTCACCATTAAAGGCAAACATATACTGAAAATAAAAGGATGGAAAAAGATTCCATGCAAATGGAAACCAAAAGTGAACAAGAGTAGCCATACTTATATCAGATAAATTACACTTTAAGTCAAAAACTGTGAAAGGAGGGAAAGATCATTATATAATGATAAAGGGACTGAGTCAACAAGAAGCTGTAACTATTGTAAATATATATATATCCAATACCAGAGCAAATATATAAAGCAAAGATTATTAGCTCTAAAGGAGAGATTGCAATACAGTAATCATAGTGGGCTTCAACACTACACTTTCAACAACGGACAGACCATCTAGACAGAAAAATCAACAAACTATGTCATAGACCAAATTGACCTAACAGACACTTACAGAACATTCCATCCAATAGCTGCAAAATACACATTCTTCTCAACCACACATAGAATATTCTTCAGGATAGATCTTCACATGTAAAGCCACAAAACAGGCCTTGAAAAATTTAAGAAGATAGAATATCTTTTCAGACCACAATGATATAAAACTAGAAATTAAGAAGAAAAACTTTGGAAACCTCAAAAATACATGAAAATTAAATAATATGTTCTTTGATAATCAATGGGTCAATGAAGAAATTAAGAAGGAAATTTAAAAGTTTCTTGAGACAAATGAGGATGGAAGCAGATCAAAGCAAAACCTGTGGGACACAACGAAAGCAGTTCTAAAAGGGAAGTTCATAGCAACAAACACCTACAACAAAAAAGAGGAAAGATTTCTAATAAATAACCTAACCATGTACCCCAGTGAACTAGAAGAACAGAACAAAATAAACCCAAAATTGGTAGAAGAAAGGAAATGAAGGCAGCATTACCCTGATTCAAAAACCAGACAAAAACACTGCAAAAAAAGTAAACTGCAGGTCAGTATCCCTGATGAATGCACATGCAAAAATTCTCAACAAGGTATTTGCAAACCAAATTCAACAGCAATTAAAAATATCATCCACTATGATCAAGTGGATTCATCCCAGGGATGCAAGGATAGTTCAACATACACAAATCAATAAATGCAACACACCACATTAACAAAAAGACAAAAACCATTTCAAGAGATTTAGAAAAAGCAGTTGATAAATTTAACATCCCTTCATGATACAAACTCTTAACAAATTAGATATAGAAGGTATGTACTGCAACACAATAAAGGCCATATATTACAAACCCACAGTTGACATCATACTGAATGTATGAAACAGTGATCACAAATAAGACAAGGGTGCCTACTTTCACCACTCTTACTGAACATAATACTGGAAGTCCTAGCTAGAGCAATTAGACAAGAGAAAGAAATACATCTAAATTGGAAAGGAGGAAGCTAAATTGTCTTTGTTTACAGATGATGTGATCTTATATTTAGAAAACCCTAATGAATCCACCAAAAAAACCTGTTAGAACTAATTATCTAATTCAGTAAAGTCATGGAACACAAAATCAACATAGAAAAATCAGTAGCATTTCTATTTAATATATGCCAACAGCAAGCTATCTGGAAAAGAAATCAAGAAAACAATTCTGTTTATAATAGCTACAAAAAATTAAGATATCTAGGAATAAATTTAACCAAGGAAGTAAAATCTCTCCACTGAAAACTATAAAACTTTGATTAAAGAAATTGAAGAAGAACACAAATGGAAATGGAAAGCTATCTTCTGTCCATGGATTGGAAGAAATAATATTGTTAAAATGGGCATACTACCCAAAGCAATCTACAGATTTAATGCAATCACTATTAAAATACCAATGACATTCACAGAAATAGAAAAAGAAATCCCCCCCACCTTTTTTTTTAAATAGGGTCTTGCTCTTTTGCCCAGGCTGGGGTACAGTAGCTCCATCATAGCTCACTGCAGGCTTGAACTGCTGGTCTCAAGCAATCCTCCTACCTCAGCCTCCTGAGTGGCCGGAACCAGAGGAACATACCACCACATCCAGCTAATATTTTTTTTTTCCATATTGTAGAGATGGGATGTCACTACATTGCCTAGGCTGGACTCAAACTCTAGGGCTCAAGTGATCCTCCCGTCTTGGCTTCCCAAAGTTCTAGGATTACAGTTATGAGCCACCACACCCAGCCAGAAAAAAAAAATTCTACAATTCATATGGAACCACAAAAGAACCTGAGTAGCCAAAGTAATCCTGAGCAAGGAGGACAAAGCTGGGCCAGGTGCTGTGGCTCACACCTGTAATCCCCAGACTTTGGGAGGCTAAGGCAGGAAGATCGCTCAAGGCCAGGAGTTTGAGACCAGCCTGGGCAACATGGCAAGACCCTGTCTCTACAAAAAAGAAAAAAATTAGCTGGGTGTGGGTGGGCACATGCCTATAGCTCCAGTTACTCGGGAGGCTGAGGTTGGAGGATTGCTTGAGGCTGAGGCTGGAGGATTGCTTGAGCCTGAGAGTTTGAGGCTACAGGGAGCTATGATCACGCTACTGCACTCTAGCCTGGGTGGCAAAGTGACACCTTGCCTCTAAACAAACAAACAAAGAACAAAGCTGGAGGCATCGCACTACCTGACTTCAAAATACAATACAAGGCTATGGTAGACAAAATAGCATGGTATTGGCATAAAAAATGACACATAAACCAATGGAACAAAATATAGTGCCCCCCCAAAATTTGTGCACTTATAGCCAACTGATTCTCAATAAAGGTGACAAGAACACACATTTGGAAAAAGTCTCTTCAATAAATGGTGCTGGAAAAATTGAACAGCCACATACAGAAAAATGAGACTAGATTCCTACCTCTCACAATATGCAAAAATCAACTCAAAATGGATTAGAGACTTAAATGTAAAACCCAAAACTATGAACCTACTAGAAGAAAATGTAGAGGAAATGCTTTACATCAGGCTGGGCAGAGATTTTTTTAAATAAGATTTGTAAAATACAAAACTTAACAACCAATAAACAAATCACCTGATTTTAAAATGGGCAAAAGACCTTAATAGGCATTTCTCAAAAGAAGACATACAAATGGCCAACAGGTTTATGAAAAAATGTTCAACATTGCTATTCATCAGAGAAATAGAAATCAAAACCACAATGAGTTATCACCTTATTCCAGTTGGAATGGCTATCATCAAAAAGATAAAAGAAAACAAGTGTTGTCAAGAATGTGGAGAAAAGGGAACACTTACACCCTGTTGATGGGATTATAAATTAGTACAGCCACTATGGAAAACAATATAGAGATTCCTCAAAAAGTTAAAAATAGAACTACCATATGATCCAGCAATCCCATTGCTGGGTATGTATTCCAAAGGAAATGAAATTGGTATCTGCACTCCCATGTTTATTGTAGCACTATTCACAACAGCCAAAATATGGAATCAATTCAATTGTCCAACAATAAATAAGTAGATAAAGAAAATGTTTTATATATATATCTATATATATATACACACACACACACACACACACAATGGAATACTATGCAGGCATAAAAAGAATGAAATCCTGTCATTTGAGGCAATATGGATGGACCCAGAAGATATCATATTAAGTGAAATAAGCCAAGTGCCAGGACAAATATCACATGACCTCACTTATATGGGAATCTAAAACAAACAAACAAAGAAGAGTAGATAACATAGAAGCAGAGAGTAGAACAGTGGCTGACAGAGATTGGAGGATTGGAGGTGAATGGGAAGAGGCTGGTCAACAGGTACAAAGTGACAATTAGATAGAAAGAGTAAGTTCTGATTTTCTATAACATCACAGTAAGGTGATGTTAACAGTAAGGTACTGTATATTACAAAATAGCTAGAAGAGAGGCTTTTGAATGTTCTCACCACAAAGAAATGATAAATGCATGAGGTGATGAATATGCTAAATACTCTGATTTGATTAGTATACAGCATACATTGAAACATCAAATTATACCCCATAAATATGTACAATTACAAGATGTCAATTAAAAAAATTTAAAGACTGTTGGCCCAAAAATATTTGTGGTAGGAAGAATTCTTTTTTTATTTTTACTTTTTTATGATTATTATTTTTTGAGATGGAGTCTCGCTCTGTCGCCCAGGCTGCAGTGCAGTGGCACGATTTCAGCTCACTGCAACCTCTGTCTCCCCGGTTCATGCCATTCTACTGCCTCAGCCTCCCAAGTAGCTGGGAATACAGGTGCCCGCCACCACGCCCAGCTAATTTTTTGTATTTTTAGTAGAGACGGGGTTTCACGGTGTTAGCCAGGATGGTCTCGATCTCCTGACCTTGTGATTCACCCCCCTCGGCCTCCCAAAGTGCTGGGATTATAGGCGTGAGCCACCATGCCTGGCCAGAAGAATTCTAAGATGACTCCCAGATTCCTGCTCTCTGGTGTACTTTCCCTGTGTAATTCCATCCCTTTACAGGACCTGTGAATAGGATGGATGACACTCCCATAATCAGATTACATTCCACTGCAAAGGTGTAGGGATTTTTGCAGATGAAATTATTCCCTAATGAGTTGACTTGGAGTACTCAAAAGGGAGATTATCCTGAGTAGGCCTGACCTAATTAGGTGAGCCCTTTGAAAGAGGTGAAGATTTGAAGCATCACAGGTTGTCTCTCTCAATGGCCTTCAAGAAGCAAGTTGCTATGAGTTCTACAACTTCAAGGAGATGAATTCTGCCAACAACTACGTGAGGTTGGAAGAGGACCCCAAGCCTCAGATGAAACTGCAGCCCCAGCTGACACCTTGACTGAAGCCTTGCAAGACCCTGTGCAGAGGACACAGCGAAAGTACACTAGACAGCAGGAACCTGGGAGTGTATCACGCACATAAATACCTGACTGGGAGAGAACGTGTATCAGTCAGGTCCTGTAAGTAAGAAAGTACAGAAATGGGTTGATCTGATGACAGTCTAATAAAGGGGCAAACGTGTGCACAAGACTTGGGGAACCCCCATGAGTAGTATCCTATCCCAGGACTAATGGCAGGCATGAAGGACAGGGAGAGAGCAGCTCCCAGGACAGGTACAGAGAGGGCTGTGCTGCAAGGACCCTGATGGGCCTGAGGGATAGGCCGGCCTTCAGTGGCCCCACAGGGAGGGAACCAGGAGTATGAATACCCCAGCCTCATTTCCCTCCCTTTTTCTTATCTCCTGCCAGGACTTCCCTTTGTTTGACCCCCAACAGGAAGCCTGCCGATCAATGAGAGAGAACTGGTTGATGCAGTCCATCTAGGACACAGTAGGATGCAGAAGGGTGGAGAGGGACGGAAGAACAAACAGAGGGTCTCCAGGAGAGAAGGTAAAGATATCGAGAGGGCTTCTCCCTCTCTTTCAGAGAGAGGAGATGCAGATGAGATTAGGGAAAGGAAGGGCTGAGACCTCAGTCACCATGAAGACCAGCATGGGGTGGCAAGTGTACCTTATCTACCTCTCATGATTTAATTCTATGGCTGGTAAGGTTTGGTAGTTGTTCTCTTTATAAATTTAGTTTGTCAGAATGACAGTAAGCTAAACTTTCACCTCCATTGGAGCAGCCAATTTTTTCTTTTCTTAAGACAGAGTCTCGGCCGGGCGCGGTGGCTCACGCCTGTAATCCCAGCACTTTGGGAGGCCGAGGCGGGCGGATCACGAGGTCAAGAGATCGAGACCATCCCGGCTAAAACGGTGAAACCCCGTCTCTACTAAAAATACAAAAAAATTAGCCGGGCGTGGTGGCGGGCGCCTGTAGTCCCAGCTACTTGGGAGGCTGAGGCAGGAGAATGGCGTGAACCCGGGAGGCGGAGCTTGCAGTGAGCCGAGATCCCGCCACTGCACTCCAGCCTGGGCGACAGAGCGAGACTCCGTCTAAAAAAAAAAAAAAAAAAAAAAAAGACAGAGTCTCACTCTGTCACCCAGGCTGGAGTGCAGTGGCATGATCTCAGCTCACTGCAACCTCCGCCTCCCAGGTTCAAGCGCTTCTCATGTCTCAGCCTTCCAAGCAGCTGGATTACAGGCATGCACCACCCTTCCTGGCTAAGTTTTGTGCTTTTAGTAGAGACAGGGCTTTGTCATGTTGGCCAGGCTGGTCTCAAACTACTGGCCTCAAGTGATCCACCCGCCTCAGCCTCCCAACATGCTGGGATTATAGGCGTGAGCTACCATGCAGAGGTGCCAAATTTTTTTTTTTCTTTTTGAGATGGAGTCTTGCTCTGTCACCCAGGCTGGAGTGCAGTGGTGCGATCTCAGCTCACTGCAACCTCCGCCTCCCGGGTTCAAGTGATTCTCCTGCCTCAGCCTGCTAAGTAGCTGGGACTACAGGTGCATGCCACCATGCCTGGCTAAATTTTTTTTTTTTTTTTTCAGTAGAGAAAAAAATACCGTGTTAGCCTGGATGGTCTCAATCTCCTGACGTCGTGATCTGCCTGCCTCGGCCTCCCAAAGTGCTGGGATTACAGGTGTGAGCCACCGCGCCCGGCCCACAATTTCTTTTAATATCCAAATCCTCTAAACTTCAGGCTACAGTGTGCAATCCTAACTTAGTCACAGGGCCAGCCAGCATCACTTTTCCCTATCATACTGCATCACTTTTATGGCCTGCATCACTTTTCCCTATCATACTGTGCCTAACCAGAACCACATAGCACTGGGCTTATGAACTTCATACTTAAGTCTTGACAATCAGTTCTGCAATTAATGTCTCCCCTGGCATCATGTCACTGAGAAACAGACTGTATTTCTAGCAAAAATGGTGGTGGCCCCTATCTCACCCCACATACAAAAAATAACTCAAAATGGATCAGAGACCTAAATGGAGGAGCTAAAACTATAAATAAAACAGAAGAAAACAGAGTTTTAATCTTTGTGACTTTGAATTTAACAATGGCTTCTTATGACACCTAAAGTACAACCAACCTGAAAAAAAAATAGATAAGTTAGATTTCATCTAAATTAAAAACTTTTGTGCTTCTAAGGACACTTTCAAGAAAATGCAAAGAGAATCCACAGAATGGAGGAAAATATTTGCAAATCATATATCTGATAGGGGTCTAGCATACAGAACTTTTACAGTTCAGCAATTAAAATACAAATAACCCTAATTAAAAATAAGCAAATAATTTCAATAGACATTTCTCCAAAGAAGATATACAAATAGCCAACAAGCATATAAAAAGATGCTCAATATCCCTAATCATTACAGAAATGCAAATCAAAACCACAATGAGATACTATTTCACACCCACTAGGATGGCTAAAATAAAAAAGACAACGAGTGTTGGTGAGGATGTAGGGAAAAAGGAACCCTTATACATTACTGGTGGGATTGTTAAATGATGCAGTCGCTTTGGAAAACAGTTTGGCCATTTCTCAAAATGTTAAATGTAGAATTGCCATACGATCCAGTTTTATGAGCTAATGTTTGTGTCACTCCAAAATTCTTATATTGAAGGCTTAACTCCCAGTGGGATGCTGTTTGGAGGTGGGGCCTTTGGGAGGTAATTAGGTTTGGAATAGGTCATGAGGGTTGTGCCCTTGTGATGGGACTGTAAGAAATAAATATCTGTTGTATAAGCCACTCAGCCTATGGTATTTTGCCATAGCAGCCCAAGCTAAGACACCCAGAAATTCCATTCTTAAATGTATACTCAAGAGAATTGAAAATATATGTCCATACAAAAACTTGTACATAAATGTTCGTAGCAGAATTATTCATAACAGTCAAAAATGGAAACAACCCGCATGTTCATCAACTAATGAATAAAAGGTGGCATTTTTTGGCAATAAAAAGGAATAAAGTACTGATACATGCTACAACATGGAAGAACCTTGAAAATGTTATACTAAGTGAAAGAAGCCAGACGCAAAAAGCTACACATTGTATAATTCCACTCAGAACCAGTGGAAGCCCTGAGTTTCTTTTCCTGCAACTAGACGGTCCCAGCTGGGGGTGATGGACAGTGGCAGATCATCAGACATTAGATTCTCTTAAGGAGCATGCAATCTAGATCCCTTGCACACACAGTTCACAACAGGGTTTGTGCTCCTATGAGAATCTAATGCCGCCACTGATCTGACAGGAGGTGGAGCTCCGGTGGTAATGCAAGTGATGGGGAATGGCTGTAAATACAGATGAAGCTTTGCTTGCATGCCCATCGCTCACCTCCTGCTGTGCAGCCCAGTTCCTAACAGGTCATGGACTGGTATTGGTCTATGGTCCAGGGGTCGGGGGCCCCTGATCTATGGCTCTGTGGTTGGTTTTCAAAGTAGAAGGTATGTGGCACTTACATGTGTTGTATAAAAATGGTATGTTGGGATACAAAATACCTTCGATGTGGACACACTTTCCATTGATTTGTGTGCTGCCAAATGTCACACTGTCTTTAGCAGGTGTGTAAGAGGAACAACCCAAACCTTCAGGCATTGTCCCACATGACAATTACTTTCAGCATAAGATTTTATAATTCAGTATATGCATCAGTTTCTAGATTGTAGCTGTCATCAGTCTGAGCCCAAACCAGAGCTTAACTCGCTTTGATTACAAACATAATTGGAATTAAGGTTTACAAGAAGAGATAAGATAGATCTAATCTTCAAACAAAAGGATAATACATACACACTCATTATTTTCTTTTTAATTTTTGTGCACCCTCATTATTGAACAGCTTTGATGTGGTGCGCGGATATAACCCAACAGGGTTGAAGGATACGAGGGATTATCCTGAAATCTTCCAAACCCAAAGGAGCAGTGGTGGAAACCAACATCCCTCCCCTAGCTGATCTCACCCACTCACATCCCAGCTTAGGGGCACAGTCTGGCACTTGTACTGACATTTGGCTCCTTGCCAGGGAGAACAACAGCCGTGCCCTCCTCCTTTGTACAGGGACAGGAACTTCTGCTGAGCTTTTCTCTGCCCTGTGGCAATGGAACTGGCGCCTTGGCACATGCCTCCAAAGCAGTCACAGCTCCGTGCTCCAGATCTTTCCATGGTGTGAGATCCTTTACACAGGAAGAAAACCTTCACACCCACTTCTGATGAACCCCACAAAAATGGTTCCTTCTCAGACTGAGAAACAGAGAGATAATTCAGGAAAACCTGGGTAGAAAGTCATTTGCCAACAGGGCAAGAGTCTGAAAGAAGAGTATGGGGCCACGAACGGAACCGTTGTCCATGGGTCTCCTTTTTTTTCTTCTTTGGCTATTTGGTCACAGCTCAGATCACCAGGGGTAACTCAGAGAGAGATGTTTTGCTAGGAGTTTTCTAAGGCTCAAATACATGAAGTTTAATTTGAAATAGTAATAGATAATTCATTAACTATGGGCTGAAGACCAACCTCAGTTTGTTAACTAAGATGAAGTAGACTGAATAAAACTATACTTAAAAACCCTGATGCATTGCTTCAGCTAAGCATGAAATTTTAGTCCCAGCAGAATTTTCCCCCACTAAACATCCTTTAAATGGATATTAACTATCTACTGAAAGCACAAAGCAAACGTAAGAACCACTTCCTTCATGTCTCTAAACTTCCTCTTCTGCCTCTAAACCTCCTCTTTCTGTACTTTTCTGTAGAACATTCCTCCTTAAAAGTATGTACCCCATACAGACTAAATATTTAATATATTTATCTTTAGTAAAATGCAAATAGGATGAAACAATGATTAAAACAACGTCATCTTTGTGGCTTTGGAATTACAATGGGACGAATACCAAAACACATCACCAAAACAGCTGAACTGATCTTGAAAAAGAAATGTTGGGTTCACATAATTATGCCTACAGCTCTGTATGCTAGGATGCCTTCCTAAATATTTTCTGGGGGTCCAATAATAATAACAATACCAAATACTTATGGTAGGTGGTATTTTAAGTACTTTACATGTAATAAACACATGTATCCTCACAATGACCTGATGAGGTAGATGAGTAAACTGAAGCACAGCAAGGTTTAGCAACTAGTCCAAGGTCACACAGCTATCAAGTGGCAGTGCTAGGATTTGAACCTGAGCAGATATGACTTTAAAATCTATGCTTTAAACCAATTTGCCATAGTCTTTCTTAGTCTTTTCCAAGGTGTGTGTGGTTCTACACTGGGAACTGGTCTTACTTCATGTCCCTCATGGGCAGTTCCTAAAAAGTTCACAAAAAGAATATGATCTATTGAATTATATCTATAAGCTAACCTATTTTTAATAGTGATTCATGGGGAGGAGGAATATAATTCACATACCAAATGACCGAATAACCTTGATACAAAATCAGCATTAAAAAAATCTCCACCTCAAGTTTCCCACAATTAATCATAGATAAGCCTATAGCTGTGTCATTCCTTAGTGTCATAGCTGCCAGGAAATTTAACCAAAGAGTATGAGTCAAAGTGTATTTAGAAATCTATTCCATTAAATGGTCTTTTGGTGTTAGATCTAACTTATATAATTATAGAATGTTAGAGCTGAAAAGGGCCTTGACGTTTATAGAATTTAATCTCCTTAAGTGAGGCTGTGAATGAGTTGCCCCAGATCCTAGAGCCAGTCAGAAGGATCATCCCGAGAACAAACTCACAGACTGTCCAGTGCCCAGTGCCTTTCTCCACCATGCTGCTCACCCCACCCGTGTGACATCTTCATATTAAAAATAACATGTTCTTGTTACCTGGGGCTAAAGACATGTCCCTGTGCTCTGTACGGACAAGGTTAAGATAATTATATTCCACAGGTTGAATTTTGGAAATATACTTTATCTACTTCCATATGAGTTAGGTGGGGCTTATCTTTCTTCATTTAGAGAAGTAACATCATCAAACACTAGGAGGACATGAAATATGAATGTGGTAAATGGTAAATGTGTATTACTTTTTATCCTACTTACACAGGTACTCATTTTCTATTCTATTCTGTCTCATCATCTATCATTTGTTCACAGTGGAAATTGTTGGTGATATCTCTGAAAACCACTAGACGGAGTTTTAAGTTCTGTGACAGAGGAAACGTGTATCTCTTTAAAATGTCAGATCCTTGGCCTCTTCTCTGGTCCATGAGCTCAGGAATCCCCTGGTCTGCCTGCCTCTTGTTTCCCTCTGCCAGTTCATCTAAACAAAGCCATTTGTTTGTTCTGTCCAAATCACAGATTTAATCCTACCATCTGTATCTCAGATACCTTCAGTGACTATCCACTTTCTTCAGGATAAAGCCCCGACTCTCAAAGCCTTAAACAGAGACAGCACTATATATCTTTCAAGTCATCCTGCTTTTATGTACCCGCACAGACCGTCCACTCTAACTAAATTAGTATGTTCACAGTTCCCCAAACACACGTAGTGCTTGCCTGTCTCTTTATCTTTGCCCACATGACTTTTCCTTCCCAAATATCACCTCATCTGCCTGTGACAATCCAACTCTGATTCACACAGCAAAGCCCAGCCCAGGAGCCCTCCCTGACTACCTAAGCTTACTGAAATCCTTCTCTTAAAGCATTTATCACTGGTAACACTGATTTCATATTTGCTGTTCTGTTTTAACTTTTTCGTGTACATTTGTCTTACCCTCCCATTCGGTTTATACATTCATTTAGAGCAAGGGACATTTCTTAGGCTAAAAATCTGCCCTCTGTGGCTCAAACACATAAATAAGTAAGTAAGTTTCAGTTAGCTGATTATTTAGTTATCCCTCTCCTCCCCCATATTCTCCTTGAAGATCTGGCATTTGAAACATTCGGGTGATTTTTATATATTTATTCTGAACACCTAAAAGTTTATGGAATATATCTTTAGGTAGAATCTTTCACCTATAATTCATGGTTAAATTCAAAGACAACGTTACAGAGTATTTATCAAAAGGTTAAAAGAATTAAGAAACTAGGAACATGTGAGTCCAATCTTTTTTGTTTTGTTTTTAAAAAATCTACCTGTTTTCCCCCAACATTGGTGGCAAAAGGGAAATAAGAACATAAGTGGAAGCTCACATACCATATGTTTAAATATTTTAAAATTTCAAATCAAGTTAACAAACTCAGTGTGTTCTAATTTCTCGCCTTTAAAAATTTACCTTCAGAATGAACTGAAACTCAGGTTTGCCTCCTTCTCTGCCCTCCCTTGTCTCCATTCCACACTACAAGTGACCTCCTACGCCTGCCCATGGACAACTCAGCTTGCACATCCAAGCTCTGGACACATTCCCTGCACACAGCCTCCCCTTGGTCACCTCTCTTGCCTAAGAGACACATCATCCTCTGCCCTCAGAGGGATAGACCGGAAGTACACATAGGCCTTTTAAAAGCGAAGACACTCTTGCGTGGATCTAAGGGAGATATTGAATCTACTCTTTTTCACTTCTTCATATAAATTACCATATTTAAAATACTAAATAAAAAGTAAAACCTTTATGACTTAAAAAATCAATTAAGCCTTTAAAAGAAGTTTCTTCTGAAAGCACATAAAAAGGAGAAACATAACTATACAAATATGCAGGTTATTATACACTATAACAATTCCCAACAAAATACTGATTATTATTATTATATTTTAGAGACCAGGTCTTTCTCTGTCATGCAAGCTGAGGTGTAAGCACATGATCATAGCTCACTGTAGCCTCGAACTCTTGGCTTCAAGCCATCCTCCCATCTCAGCCTCCTGAATAGCACACACCACCATGCCCAGCAAAATGCTGACATTTTAACAGCAAGATGGTTTATAGTAAAAACACACTGGCAAAAGTGTAACAGTCAGTGTTGACAATATCTGAACATACAGTTTTGTAAAAGGACTACAGATACATTGTGTAATCAACAAGATAGTTTCTTTTGTTTTTCCAATCCTACTCTAAGTTAGCTTCTGAGTCATAGTTTAGTTTGCCATAGTTTGGCAAATGTAGTCATATTCTCCAACCTAAGCAAGTAGTGTTCTTCTTATAAAGACATAATCATATGTAAACTCTATGCACTGGATTCCGGTGAGTAAGTAAATACATGTTTATCTCAGTTTATGTAGGACAAGTCTATTTCATGGTTAGCTCAGATGACAACAGACCAACATGTCTTGAAATTACATGTCCAGAAAATTATGTCATGTGCCACAGAAGTAAGAAAACAATTGAGAAAGAAGACTTACTCTTATCCTCATAGTTTAGAGTTGGCATTAAGAGTAGATCAGGAATATTACCGTATTTAAAATTCTTGCCATTCAAGAAAGGAATGGCAAAACAGATCATCTAGGTCAGTGGTTAACATCCCTGGGGCACAGAATATTGTTAGTGGCATTCTCTCTATAGTGTATAATGTCTTTTGCCCCCCTGTTGTCTCCTGTCTTTTTGATTCACTGTGTTGTGTCCATCGCCTGGTTCTCTCTTTAAGAGTATCACTGTTTCTAGGCCCTCTCAGCTGAGGGAGCAAGGAAATATATCTGTGTATACTAACCACTGTATAGACCAATATATCTCAATATTTCTATATGTAACTATCTGCATCTACATTAAATTAAACATGAGTTCATACCGATGCTAGAACTGGCTTTTAATCCAATTATGGAGTGATGTGGGATGAAAGAGTTGGGAAGGTAGAGAGGAAACAGGATTGCCCAGAAGTTGGTAGCTGTTGAAACTGGATGATGTGGAAAGTCAAGTGGAGTGGGGTGGTGGTTTATATTCTATTCTCTCTATTTTGTGTATGTTTTAAAGTTTCTATAATAATTAAGAAGAAAAAGAATAGTTAAAATTGGAGAGGGCATCTTGGCCTCACTCCAAGCCCATTTTATTCCTCCTTTATAGAACAATCTAATGAGCACTGTTAGCTAATTTCTAAACACAATACTAATCACAACCTCAAGATTTGAAAAGGTACGTGCTGACAAAAGTAAGAAATGACAGGTAACAAGAGAGAAACTTTAGAAAAAGCCTATTAAAAATAACACAGAAATGATAATTTACTGTAATAACAGAATATACTTTCTTTTTTTTTTTTTTTTAATTTTGAGACAGAGTCTTATTCTGTTGCCCAGCCTGGAGTGCAGTGGCACAATCTTGGCTCACTGTAGCCTCCACCTCCCAGGCTCAAGTGATTCTCTCACTTCAGCTTCCCGAGTAGCTGGGACTACAGGCACGTGCCACCACACCTGGCTAATTTTTTTTTTTTTTTAATATTTTGTGGAAATGAAGTTTCGCCTTGTTGGCCAGGCTGGTTTCAAACTCCTGGACTCAAGCAATCTGCCCGCCTTGGCCTTCCAAAGTGCTGGGATTACAGGCATGAGCCACTGTGCCTGGCCAGAATATACTTTTCAATAAGCTCTCAATAAACATTACTATAATTCCATAAAAAGCTTTTTCTATAATAATAATAATGATCATGAATCATCAAGAAAAAGCTAAAAAATGTTTAGTGTACTGTTTTTTAAAAAATAGAAAAATAAACAAACACATCTTTAGATAGTTTTTATTCAAAATGGTAAACATTTTAAAGTGTTTAACCTATCAAGATAAACACTATGTCATCTATAAAACTCAGTTGTTTTGAATAACTCATTTCCCAAGGTTCTAGACAGCCAAGTGTTATACTTTATCTATAGACATCCAATTCTCCAAAATATTTAATTTATATTTCCATGAAAAACATACACTTTGTGTTCATGAGAGTCTCAGATTTAACTTAGGAAAAAAATTCAACCAAATCAGTTCCTACTCTAATAGCTTTGTGAAGAAAAAATACTATATGAAATTTATTTTTCTAAATTCTACTTCTGATTAAAAACATAAAGCAGAAACAGTTTATATTTGCAAAAATTTTAATAGGATACTGTGATATTTTTCTCTCTGCAAAAGGGAAGCTAAAGCCATATTCATATGCATAACGCTCAGAGAGTAAGTATGTTTTGCTGAAAAATATATCTCAATCAGTGAAGTTTTTACTGGTCAGCTCAATCTGTTGAAAGAAATGTTTCCATAGTTACTATTAAACTTATCTCCCTAAATAAGACCAAAGATGAGAGATAGGGGGTAAAATATTCTATCTTTTCCTTTTTGTCTATAGTATGCCAATAAATAAGACTCTTAATTTTCTTCTTCTTTTTTTTTTTTTAACTGTCTGGCATAAAGAATGCTTAATAGAGCTAAAACACCCTTTGGAGTGGGGCTGGGGGGTAGGGGTGGGGAGGCCTGGAGAACTGACATAGCCCAGAGGCTGCCACGTCACTTCCAGGATGACCCACACTCCACCTGTCACCTTGTTGTTAGTGCTGCAGCCTGCTTGGGAGAGTAACTTGTACTTAAAAAATTGTACCAAGCACTGTCCTAAAAGTATTCTTCTTGGAGGGTAATGTTTCAGAAATTAATCCCCAGCCACTTCTTTACCCATCTGATACAGAAAGGCTTCTGGGCTCATTTGAATAATTTATAGAGGAGACTAAAATAGATATGATCCCGAATAGGAGAAACCAGACCAGCATTAGCTATCAGCAGACTAGGCAGCTGCCTCTGAAATGCTTGCAAAGAAGACCCACACATTGGTGTACATGTGCTCTATTTTCATAGATCTTCACATCCTTGTGCTGGAGTACTTCCTTTACAGATAAAACTTGTCTGCTCTTTTCTTCTGAGATTTACCAGGAGCATCCTGGAAGGGAAGGCCAAGTTGCATGGTCAGCCTGCAGACTAGAATCATTCTCAAGAAACCAAGCTTGGGTAGCCTTTCTAAAGACCAGAAATCATGCAATGAATTTCCCTTCCATTTCACCATGCCATCCTCCTCATTGAGCTCCACAGTCCATCTCCT
Source organism: Homo sapiens (assembly GCF_000001405.40). Taxonomy (NCBI): domain Eukaryota; kingdom Metazoa; phylum Chordata; class Mammalia; order Primates; family Hominidae; genus Homo; species Homo sapiens. Next base: position 106,471,110 of record NC_000006.12, on the reverse strand, counting down.
CCAGCCCTCAAACATGCCAAACAGACAGCAGTCTCCTTTCATGTAGAAAATTACAAGGGTGGGGCTGAAATACTGCAAGAACAATGTGTATTTGGGTTATTTCCACTTGGTTGTCTTCAATGATGTATTGACTCCACAGTGCAAAAAACCCAAGTTCAGGCTAAGAGTCAGAAATTCCAGGATTCTTTATTGAGCCCAGCCACACACTGCTTAGAGTCTAGGCACCAACACCCTTGATTTTCCTTGTTTGCAAAGCAGGGATAATGATACCTAACTCAGGGGCTCATGTAATTAATGACTGTACAGTGCCAACTCTAAAGATGCTTCATGGTACAGGCAGGCAATGTGGCCCTTTAAGAGTGATACACATTAATTATACTGTGTTAGAGCACAGGGCATCTGTGTCAATTACTTTGAGAAAGGCGGTCTAAGTAGATCTGCCTTACTTCATTTTTATGATTATATACTTGCTTTTGTGTTCCTGCTCTAGACTCATCTTTTTATAGTGCAGAAGTATTTATATATATAATTTTTTTTTTGAGATGAAGCCTTGCTCTGTCACCCAGGCTGGAATGCAGTGGTGCAATATTGGCTCACTGCAATCTCCACCTCCTGTGTTCAAGCAATTCCCTGCCTCAGCCTCCCAAGTAGCTGGGATTACAGGCACCCGCCATCACGCCCGGCTAATTTTTAATTTATATTTCTTTTCCTCCTTAGGTATAGCCAATTTTTTGTCAGTCCAATGAAGGAATGGTAGGCTGAGGGTTGTTCGTTTTGTTTTGTTTTGAGACAAGGTCTCCCTTTGTTGCCCAGGCTGGAGTGCAGTGGCGTGAACACAGCTCATTGCACCCTTGACCTCCTGGGGTTCAAGGGATCTTCCCTCCTCAGCCTCCCAAAGTGTTGGGATTACAGGAGTGAGCTACCACACCTGGCTCTGAGAATTATTTTAAATTCTTCTGGGTGTGTCACAGAACCTTGTGTTTACCAGCTTATTGCTGGGCAGACTGGAGAGGAGTGACTGCACCTACACCTCGGGGACCAAAGGGAGGAGGGAAGCGCCCTGTCCCCGAGGAAAAGTCAGGACTTGGCCTGGCAGCCTGAATGCTCAGCAGAGACACTGCACTCCCCACCCTCTACTCTGTCGGCACAAGTGACAGCCCCATAGCATAAATGAGATCTCCTACTCCTCTGCCTATAACTCTTCCAGGCCTTCCCATCACACTGAGTCTTCATGGGCCTTGGGGCAGAGTTGTCAAAGCTGTTGGTTACAAAACTGCTTCCTAACAAAAATAATGACTTTCTGTTATGTAAGATAGCTACAAAGAAAGTTCTTTTTTTTTCTTTTAATGCCATTAAGTGGGGCAGTGGATGGGAAGATTGTGGCACAAGGGAACAAAACAGGTTTTGGACTTGACTGCCCAGGGATGGTTAATATCAACGATTACAAAACTGTAGAAAAGAGAAGCAATGTTCTCTATTTACTGTGTCAACTGAAATCAATAAATCAAACCAAATCAAAAAATTGAACAAACTCCTGAATACCTACTAAGTATTAAGTAGTCCTTGAGAAATAAAATCATTAAGGAAATTAAGTTGAAAATAAAAGGTACAGAGAAAACATTTCTTCATTCAAGAAATATTTACCAAGCACCTAATATGTGCCAGACATAGTAGTAGGAATGGGGATAAAGCAATGAACAAAAGAGACAAAAATCTCTGCTTTGTGGAATTTATATTGTAGAAGAGAAAGACAACAAGCAAGCAGGAAAACATCGTACAGTAATATGTACTCTGCAAATAACTCATGTAGGTTGAGGCAGTCATGTCTGAGTGGCTTTTCTACAGAGGTGACTTTAAGCTAAGCTGTGACCAATAAGAAGGAATCAGTTCTGTGAGGACAGGGGCAAGTGCATTCTAGGCAGAGCCAATAGGTAATACCACATTCCTAAGGCAAGAAAGGGTTCTGTGTGTTCAAGTAACTGCTCCCATGTGGCTGAGGCAGAGTGAGGGGTGAGTGGTGGGGAGAGGGCCAGTGAGTTGGGCAGGGGCAGGAGCCAGGCCACGCAGGGCCTGTAAAACCACAGAGAAATGGAACGCTCTCTTCCAAGTGTGTGAAAGCACTGGGAAAGTTACATGCAGAGGAGTAGTTGGATCTGATTCATCCTGTAAAAAGATAAAAAGATGGCTGATCTGTGTACAAAGAAGCATAGGGAGTAAGAATACAAAAGAAGGGGGCAAGAAGACCAATTAGGAGACCCTTACAATGTCGTGTTTTGTCTTTAGATGGTTCTGGAATCACTACTTGCATATTATTGGGAAAAATAATGACAAATGATTTTTTGTGTGCATTTCATGTATCACATCTACATGTTTTCTGGGAGAGTAAAAATATGCCACTTTTAAATTTTATTATGATTTTTTGAGACAAAGTCTCACTCTATCACCCAGGCTGGAGTGCAATGGCACTATCATGGCTCACTGCAGCCTCCATCTAGTGGGTTCAATTGGTCTTCCTACCTCAGCCTCCCCAGTAGCTGAGACTACAGGCACACGCCATCATGCCCGGCTAATTCACATTTTTGTGGATTAGGAAATTTTAGATTGTGTTAAATAAGAAGATAGTCACGGCCAAATAGTACTTTGCACACATCTGGATTTTAGATTTATAGTGTTTAATTCATCCTGGGCCTTTGGACAGCCATCAATTTCCTGATGACTTCCCGCCAGCTTCTAAAACTGCCTAGTTTGTCCCATCTTAGTATGCAGCCCTTCCCTTAACTGTGCTACCCCTTTGACAGCCGTTAACCTTTCCCTTCCCAGGGTTTACCCCTCTTTCAACCTGTACGTAAAGCTCAGGCTCCTGCTCCAGTTCCTATTGCTTATCTTCCTCGACTCCCGAAACTGTCAAGAGCTGGACAGATTCAACAATATCCTTCTTCTTGCCAAATCCAAAATCCTCTTCATTAGCTATTTCTTTAATTTCCTCTTTTACTTTTTACTTTCTACTGGTGTGAGTATCATATTTGTCTTTTTTCAGTTTAATCATGTATTCCACTCTCACCATTTATTCAACACTTACAGATGACCCCCAGTTATGTGTGATTCTGTAAGACTCCCTCATTTAAGACACCCTCCCTGCCACTCTTTCTCTAAACCTACTTCAGGACCATAATCCCTGGTGAAAAGCTCACTGAGGCCAGAAGTACTTAAAAAGTAGGAATATTCAGATTTTGGAAATGTACTATATGCAAATATCATAATATGTCAATATTCCTGCAGCAAAAATGTATAACTGTTTACTCTTAGTGGGACAATTAAAGGCAATAAATTACCTCATATCAGTTCAGGTCAGATTTTGCTGGCAAATAAATTTTGATGTTAATTTACAAAAAAAAAAGTAAGAGAAAAAGCTTAGAAATTCTTCTCTTTCTAATTTGTTCTTATGATATTCTAAATATATTTCTCTGTACTGCTCTGTTAGTCTTAAAACTTTCTACCTGGTTTTCAAGTTACTACTTCAAAGTCAACATTTTCTTAAAAGAATAAATGGATTTGTCCTTGCAAGCAGGTTCCCTTTATGAAGAATTTATTTTCTCTTTCTTTCTCTCTTTTTGTTTTCTTTTCTTTTTTCTTTTCTTTGAGACAGGGTCTTACTCTGTTGCCCAGGCTGGAGTGCAATGGCCTGATCAGGGCTCACTGCAGCCTCAACTTTCTGGGCTCAAGCAATCCTCCTGCCTCAGCCTCCTGTGTAGCTGGGAACATAGGTACATACCACTACATCAGGCTAATTTTTTTAGTTTTTGGAGAGACAAGATCTCTCCAAAATCAGCATGTTGCTCATGCTGGTCTCGAATTCCTGAGTTCAAGCAATTCTCCTGCCTCAGCCTCCCAAAGTGCTGGGATTATAGACATAAGCCACCGTGCTCAGCCAAGAATTTCATCTGTTACCAGGAACACCATTTTTCTAGCTTCCTAAACTACTAAAATCTTTTTGTTCTATCCACTTTTGCTTCTACATGTAATTTATCATGAAATCTCTTGACTTCATCCCACTCAACAGCCTCTATCTTAATACAAGCCCATACTGTTTTAGCGGCCTCTCAGTCGGTTTCTGAGATTTCAGTTCCCATCTGCTTTCAAAGCTTTTTATTTCTCTATACCCAACTCCTCCATCATGTCAGAAATACTAATGCCATCTCTGAAATATTTCATTTATCACAAATATGTCTTTGCTCAAAATCTTACAGCAATTTCTTTGTCTGAATTTAAAGATTGGGCTCTACCCTACACTTATTCCTAAAAAAATTCTACTTCCTAAGGTTCCTTTCTGTACCATTCTCTGTAGCCAAACACATTCTACTTAACTTGTTCTCTTATGTCTTCAACTGATACCTTGATTCTGATACCTTTCCTAATTGTAAGACAGAAAGAACAACACAGTATTAAATGCAACTAAATACACTATCTTTTCCTTTATTCATAAATAAAATTAGTTTATTTTTCATTTCTAAAGGCTTGGTTTAGATTAAGTTGTCGGTAATGTATGTAACAAAGTTAGTTAATGTACTTCCAACAATTCCCTTTTCATTCCCTTCCATTTTTGCTGAAAGAAGAAACTCCCAAGACACCTCATTAACAGGCACGAAGTGAATAAATAAATAGCACATGTACCAAACATAAGGAACAAAGGATAAGCCACTGGCAGAATGTTAGCATTAAAATTGCAGAAGCACTAGGGACTTTCAGTGAGCTTTGAATGAATGTTGAGCACATGGGTACTTGAATCCCTCTCCTTATTTATATACTTTGACCTTCTGGTGCTCCTTTCTGTTTCTCCTGTAATCCACCTACTAATTCCTTCATTACTATTTATGCTGTGAAAACATGGCAGGCTGCACTTAGTACTTTGGGTGATAGCCATTGAATATTTACTCGTAACCTTGAAAATATTTGCTATTTCAAATATCCTTTTTTAAAGAATATGAAGGTAGAGAAGACAACTCATTTGCAAGATCAGCTAGCAACATAGGAAGGTCAGAATACTAGCTTGTTCAAATATCTGTGCCCCCAGTAATTTCAACTTGAATATCATTCTATTCAGTGACTTTACAAATGACTGGAAGGAAGGGATGAATCTAGATATTTAAGGTTGCTAATGCACAGATAGATAAGAATAAAATTCAAAACAATTCATTAAATTTGAGTGATTCTACAAACTAAAGAAAATCCAATAGGGATGGGCAACTTGCTCAGGTTTAAAGAGTAATTACAAGATATAAAAGACAAGCTGGCTAAGTAAAAATAGAGCAAAAAAAGACCTGTATTTGAGAGGGCAGGGTATAAATAACAAGTTAATGATAACAATGTGATACAGTTTCTTTTAAAAAGCAACATAATAATGAGATGAATTAATAAAACGGTTACATAAAATCTTAGATACTAGAGGTGGAAAAACATTATACATAATCTAGTCCAGTTGTTTTTAAGATTTTTTTCCAGCAGTACAACATTTTACTCCAAAGAAATCTACACGGATTCAGCGATCTGTCAAAACAGATAGAGATGAGCTTCTCTGAGTGAAGACATGGTATGGAGCTTGCAAGCCTGAGTTCCTCTCCCCTCAGCTTCCTCCTTCCTCCTGTTGCAGCCCTGAGGTACCTCAAAGGAATGCCTAGGGCTCCACAGAGCACTATCTAATCCAATTCCCATTCCCTCTTTTATAGATACAAAAGCTGATGCCCAGAAAGGATGAATGACTTAACCTAAGACATCACAGGCCGTCTGGAGAAGAGCTGAAATCGCAACTCTGGTCTTTTGGCCATATTCAGTGCTTTATACTTCAGTTTTACAGTCTTCTATATGCCAGGCACTGTAATAGGTGTCAATAAGATGTTAGTTCCCCGCCCTGGAGAGGCAAAAGGTCACGTGGAGAAGAGATGTAATTTCCGAATAATAATATGGATAAATTATTTGAGATATTACAAAATTCCATGAGAACATGGGAGATGTCAGACAATGCCAGCTGGGAATTAGGGGAACTTCGCAAATAAGATAATATTTAATCAGAGTTTTAAAGATGAATAAATATTGATCAGGTATATTTTTTGCATTCACAGATACTTACTGGATTACTATTGCCAGTTTAGATAAGTGCCATTTTAAAATAAAATAGAAAAGCAAAGAAGATGTTTTAAGGGTATTTTTTATTTTTATGATGCATATTGTCATTTTGTAAAATATCTGAACAAATTCAATATTTTGAATTAACATATATATTTTGGTGAAATATCACTTAATTCTCTAAACTCTTTGAAGTTAATTCTCGGAAGAAGTATTTTGATATTCTTTTTAGTTATTTAAGGCAAAGGTTATGAGCGAAAGCTAAGGGCAAAATCCTCTGCACTGGTTTTAATGGTACTGTCATCACTAGGGAAATGCTTTAAATTAGAAGTTATAGCATCAATGCTCAGAACAGTCCCTAATTCTCTCATTTTCTAAGTTGGAAATCTTCATTTTAAGATTCTAATGAAACAAAATCAAATAGGAAAAAGTTTCTCATTATTTAGGGATCTTATTCCATGAATAGCATGTTGACTTTCAGATTTTTTTTTTTTTTTTGAGACAAAGTCTCACTCTGTCGCCCAGGCTGAAATGCAGTGGCACAATCTTGGCTCACTGCAACCTCTGCCTCCCGGGTTCAAGCAATTCTCCTGCCTCAGCCTCCCAAGTAGCTGGGATTACAGGCGCGCACCAACATGCCCGGCTAATTTTTTGTATTTTTAGTAGAGATGGGTTTCATCATGTTGGTCAGGCTGGTCTTGAACTCCTGACCTTGTGATCCGCCCGCCTTGGCCTCCCAAAGTGCTGGGATGACAGGTGTGAGCCACTGCGCCTGGCCAACTTTTAGATTTCTAAGATCTTTGTTTGAAGTCAAGAAGAGCGTTCGATTAGACAGGCCCAGTGTCTACGGAGAAGACCCAGGTTGCCTTGCAGCTGCTCTTGCTGGTTGTGTTTGTCACATTGAGAGCTGTCCCACAACCACAAGTTGTCACAAAGGCTCTAAGCATTTAAATTACAGTTGTCCATTTGTCCTCCACTCACACATTTTGGTTTTTCCCCATGTTTTTCTGGGGATTTTCTTTCATGTGACTGGTTGAAAATTATTTAAAATATCTACTGGTAACTGATAATTAACCAATAATTAGCCATGGACATGAATCTACACACAGTGACTTTTTGGCCTCTCTGTAGCTGGTATTTGACTAAAGCTTCTAAAAGAGTCATTAGGCACAATGGCAGAGTGACATCAAAGGTCCACTAACAGAAAATGAGAGTAAAATCAGTAGTCATGGGAATAAACAGAATAATTAAAATACTAAATCCCTTTCCTGCAGTCTTAAATGCAAGAAACAACTAAAGGCTTTATCTGACTGATATGCTCAACAAACTGCCAACATCAAATGTTTTATTCCATCTCCAACTGTCACTTCAGCATTCAGATGTTTTTCAAAAGTGTGCTTCATACACACACATATCTATACACATACAAACACATATATTTAAAATCAATTACCTATTTCATTAAATTATGGGTTATATGATAATCAGCACCCTGAGAGGGAAAATAAAGAATAGATCATAAGTTTAAAGGGCATGCTTTTTCCTAGAACACATTACAAAACTAGGGTGACAAACATTCTACACATTCCATCCAATAGCTTCAAAGGCATCATGTGCAAAACAAAGCAAATGTATACTATTACAAGTAGAGAAGAGAAGGAAAAACAAGCATCAAAGGTGAGTTCAGGCTGGTGGTGATGGCCACCTCCCACTTTACAAAGTAGGACAGAAGTTGTTGTTTTTTTTTTTTTCTTTCCTGCCTCAGGTTTATTTGTACGAATAGCACAGGACAGAAGATTTAATACTAAAACAGCACACTGGCTTGTTTTGTTTTTTAGAGACAGGGTCTTTCTCTATCACCCAGGCTGGAGTGTACTGGTGCCATCCTAGCTGACTGCAACCTTGAACTCTCTGGCTCAAGAGATCCTCCCACCTGAGCCTCCCAAATAGCTAGGACTACAGGCATGGGCCACCTTACCTAGCTAATTTTAAAATTTTTTTGTAGAGATAGGGTCTTGCTTATTGCCCAGGCTGGTTTCAAACTCCTGGCCTCAAGCAATCCTCCCGCTTTGGTTTCCCAAACTGCTGGGATTACAGGTGTGAGCCACTGAGCCTGTCCACATTAGCTTTTACAAACAGGAATTGGGGATAATGAGTAAAGTCTGGGTTAAGATCTTGATTCGCCACTCAATCTTAAGACAACATCACCTGTCAAGTCCAGTATACACAAAGCAATTATGAGCTGTTGATGCAGAATCTTAAACTAATTATTCCACTTCTCAAAGCATCTTTGTGATTTATTACCATATGATTCAAATAAGAACTTGGTATGCTGCAAATGAGCCCAGCCCAAAGGAAAGTGGCTTTTGAGAGAATATAAAGTAGCTTGTTTCTTTCTCTAGCATTAGAGGTTCTGAAAAACTTGGTGTAAGGGCTAAGTCTCAGAGAACGTAACCCAGCAGGAACTACTTTTACTTACTTTGCTAGTTAAACTCTAACCAGCTGCAAAAACACTGTTTAAAACTCAGAAAAGGCCGGGCGCGGTGGCTCACGCCTGTAATCCCAGCACTTTGGGAGGCTGAGGTGGGCGGATCACGAGGTCAGGAGATCGAGACCACGGCGTAAACCCTGTCTCTACTAAAAATACAAAAAATTAGCTGGGCATGGTGGCGGGCGCCTGTAGTCCCAGCTACTCGGGAGGCTGAGGCGGGAGAATGGCGTGAACCCGGGAGGCGGAGCTTGCAGTGAGCCGAGATAGCGCCACTGCACTCCAGCCTGGGCGACAGAGCGAGACTCCGTCTCAAAACAAAACAAAACAAAACAAAAAAACAAAAAACAAACAAACAAAAAACTTCAGAAAAAAAAGAATAGCTAAATGAGTATCTTAATAGACAGTTGCCAGGATATTTTCAAATATATGAGACTGAAATACTTAGTTAGCCTTGCATAATATTAATACATGCTGATTGACAATCATCAATACTCAAACATCACTAAAGAAATATTGGACAAATCAATGCCTCAGAAGGATTTCCTCATCAAGGACTTACCTCAAGATCCCGGTCATAGTACCTGTTTCTGGGATTTTCATGTCGATTCCAGGAGTCAGGACGCCTATGCCGAGAGTCAATGTTCCTGCTGCGATTATTAGCACACCCATTGCACCTGCCACAGCCACACCCACAGCAGGTTGAACCCCCCATGGAGGCTCTGGATCGGATCAGCCTTCCTATTTTTCCCGAGAGAGAACAGGAAGTTTTGTAGGAGAGCTGGAGTGTCCGGAGCTACATGTGCACCCCAATATGGTGCCAATAGTCCCAAGTGAGTCACTGCAGCCAGTGGCCTTTTTTCTTGGCAATAGAAGGGAGTTCCCCCAGTGAGGGATTTCTGACCAAAACAAATATTCTATCACGATTAGGAAAGACCCTATAACAACTCAAAAGAAGACAAACCCCCAAGTTTTCATCTCTCCAGTCAAAATGATGATAAGATCCTCTCTCAATGGCCTCAGAAACACAAGTGAGCATCTCTGGCCAGTGACTCCTCTTTATTATGAGGATGATGTCACCAGAGCTTTAATTTTCTCCTGTACTACATTTGCTGGAAGGAACTCAGCTTGAAATGTAAGGATGTCAGAGAACAATAACAGTAATTACCACTTATATAAAGCTTTGTATTTGCCCCATGGTTTAGAATCATTAGCAATTCCTTACATGGGCAGCTGGTCAGGGTGATTACCACTCAAGTATTCCTGGAGGAAAGTCACCTGTCTTGATTAGAGATGGAAATAGGATCCCAAAGGATTTAACTTAAATGCTTTCAGTTCCTGATGCTTTAAATCAGAGGCAATTGTAAATATTTTTTCATGTTAAGAGCAAGAAATTTACTTTAACCAAAGGGATCAAAGGTCGGGCACGGTGGCTCACCCCTGTAATCCCAGCACTTTGGGAGGCTGAGGCAGGCATATCATGAGGTCAGGAGTTCAGGACCAGCCTAGCCAACATGGTGAAACCCTGTCTCTACTGAAAATACAAAAATTAGCTGGGCATGGTGGCAGGTGCCTGTAATTCCAGCTAATCTGGAGGCTGAAGCAAGAGAATCACTTGAACCTGGCAGGCAGAGGTTACAGTGAGCCAAGACCTAGCCTCTGCAATCCAGCCTGGGCAACAGAGTGAGACTGTCTCAAGAAAACAAAACAAAACAAAACAACAAAACAAAGGGATTGAAAGTCGCAGGAGCAGAACTGGAGTGAGTGAGAGGGAGGAGCATTTCAGTTACTCTTCTGAGACCTTCATCTAGTTTCATTGCATATGAGTGACCACAAAACATGATTTCAAAAGCCCCACTCCTGCTCCCCATCTCTGGATATCCTCTCTAGAGTAAGGGCAGGGCAGCGTTCTGGGTTTCTCATTACAATTTTTCCCCCTCACAATTCCCCACCCCCATAAACACACAACAAATTTAAACCCTGACTGGATAACAGCACACTAAGATATTTTCCAAAAAACTTACAAAGAAGATAAAAATGTCCCATATAAAAATATAATTTTGATCAGCTCTGAATACCAATGATTATCACTTTAGCACAATATCTTCAGCAAGGTAAACAACGCAATACAAAAATGAGCAAAGAATATGAAAGGATAATTCAGTGAAGAAATAATACAAGTGGCCAATAAGTGTACAAAAGAGCTCAGACTGGCTGGGCGCGGTGGCTCACGCCTGTAATCCCAGCACTTTGGGAGGCAGAGGCGGGCGGATCACGAGGTCAGGAGATCAAGACCATCCTGGCTAACATAGTGAAACCCCGTCTCTACTAAAAATACAAAAAAAAAAATTAGCCGGGCGTGGTGGCGGGCGCCTGTAGTCCCAGCTACTCGGGAGGCTGAGGCAGGAGAATGGCATGACCCCGGGAGGCAGAGCTTCCAGCCTGGGCGACTCTGTCTCAAAAAAACAAACAAACAAACAAACAAAAACAAAAGAGCTCAGACTCATTCTTAGTTGAAGAACTGCAAATTTAAACAATGAGGTACCAACAGGTTGGCAAAATGAAAATATTAGTATATATAACATTCATAAAGTGGTGGGAAAACAGACTTATTTACTGTTGGAAGTGTAAGTTGATAAACCTTTTTCAACGGACAATTTGATAGTATCTATTACATTTTTAAATATGCAAGCTTTTGATTCAGCAATTCCACTTCTAGGGAATTTATCCCGCAAAAATAACTGACCAAAAAAAGCATAGAGATGGTGTTGTTTATAAAAGAAAAAAAATGTAGAAGCAACTCAAATGTTCACAAATAAAGAGTGGTAAACTATGTGATAGTACATCCATCATATTCTACATATGGAACACTACTCAGCAATTCTAAAGAGGCATTTTTATAGAGACTGACATGGGAAGATGATCACAAAGATTTCTTAGTAAAAAAAAAAAAAAAACCCACAAATGGACTAACTCTGTTTAGTCCATTTAGACTTTTTTCTCTCCTTACCCTGAGAGGCATACCAAAATAGTTACCTCTCAGGGTGAGGAAAGAATTTAAGTCTTTATTTTATGAGTTTAGTATTCTTGGAATTTTTTTTTGCAGCAAGCTAATATAATATTTAGAAGAGAAATAACAAATATATTACCATGCTCTTCTTAAAAAAACACCCTACAACAGATAAAGCCTTCTAATTTGAGTTAATACAGGAAATGGACTGGCTGCTGTATATTTATATGTTTATTTATACATATGTAAATAAAGAGCACCCATAGTCAGTGCCTCAAAGAAGACAACACATTACTTGTGGTGGAAAGCAAAACACATCACTCACTGAGCTTTCCTGTTACATCCTGGTGACCATAATACCTTCAAATGGAAACATCACAAATAAATATAGATAACCTGGATTTTTCCAAAGCTGGCTATACATAGGCAACCAATCTTTTTCATACAATATAAGATATCTAGCTTTTATGAGATATAGTGTGCCATGAGATATAGTGTCCCAGTCTTTAATGCCATACTTAGGATACCAAAGCAACGTCCTCCAGCCTGGAGAATGCCCAACTTGTGAACCTGTGTGTGTACGGAAAGGCAGCTCTTGCTTGCTGCACTCAGTAATATCAGGTTTTTCTGGGGACAGTGAACTGCTTCCTATGCCACTGTGCTCTGTGTTCACCTGCATCTTGGCACCTCCACGTCCCATGTGCGGGAGGAGAAGGGTGGTATCATGCTCTGGAAACTACCTTATTCTCTTTCTGCTGCACGCAGCAGGCTTATGTGTTTGTATTTGGTGAGATTTCCTGCTCTACCTTCAAAAGCCTAAACAAAAGTAAAGTTCATACTAGAACTGAAATACTGTGCATTTGTTACAGCAGTATTTTCTACTTTTTAAAAAACTGTGAATATATGCATTTCATTCATGAAAAAAAATTTATAAATAATGTTCCAGTCATACAAATGCAGTCTGATCCTTAGGGCTTCCTAGTCTGACAAGGAAGGAGACTTGTAAATCAGTACAATAAGTACTGAGTTCAAGGTACATTCAAGGTAAGTGGCAACACAGGGGAAAATAAACAACTTTCCTGGGGCAGAGATCACAAAAAAGGAGCTGTTTGAGCAGGATCTTAAAGGACGAGTAGAAGACTGCAGCTGCATAAAAAATGGAAAAACTTTGTAGGCATGGGAAAGAGTCTGTGCAAAAAGAGTAGAATGGCCCAGTAAGGTAACTTGGAAACAACAGTAGCCTTCTGACAATGCAATCAGGATTGTTTGCATAGTTTACAGCACATCAGAAAATCATTAACAATTAGACATGGATACCTAAACCATTTCAATTTAACTTTAGTCACAATACAACTTAAACCACTCCTCCGTCTTCAGAAAATTTCTGCATAGGCAATACTTTCACATAGCTCAAAAATAAAAGTATTAAAAAGTACACAGTAAAAGGCTTGTGTTTCCTACATTTATTTCCCCCACCCTTATCACCTTACCACATGTAATTATTATTAGTTTTTAATGTATATTTCCATAGTTTATTAATGCATCTACATATATATGTATACACACACTATTCCCCCGTTTTGCACAAAATATAACATGCTATATACATTGCTCTCTATTTTCCATTTTTTCCCCTAAGTGTATTTGACCTGTTGGATCAGCACTGATAGAGCACATAGGGACTCCTACAAAGCAGACACTATGGAAAGGCAGAGAGATTTAAGCTAGGTACTAGATCTACCCATGTGGATAGAACAGGTTCCAGAGTGGGGTGGTGTGAAATGATGGCAAGATCTGACTGCTGATGAAAGCAGAAATTTGGGACAAGGTAGGTCCAAGGGCTCAGCAATCTCTAATCACACCAGATGGCACAAGTCATTTAAAATGACATCCCAATAGAAGTGCTGGGGTGTCCAGATGGATGACACTAGTAAGTCCTTTAAGTAAGTCACTATGGAGAAGTTCTAACCTTAGGTAGTGCTATGGTTTAAATATTTGTCCCCTACAAAACTCATGTGGAAATTTAAACCCCAGTGTGGCAATATTGAGAGGTGGGGCCTTTAAGAGGTGATTGGGTCATGAGGACTCTGCCCTTATGAATGGACTAATTCATTGATGGATTAATGAACTAATGAGTTAATGGGTTAATAAATTATCATGGGAGGGGAACCGGTGGCATTAAAAGAAAAGGCAGATAGACCTGAGCTAGCACATTAGCATGTTCGGTCACCTCTCCAAGTAATACTTTATACTGCCCTGGGACTCTGTAGAGAGTCCCTACCAGCAAGAAGGCTCTCACCAGATGTGGCCCCTCGACCTTGGATGTAGCCTCCAGAATTGTAAGAAATGAATTCCTTTTTCTTATAAATTAACCCATTTTAGATATTATTTAATAAGCAACAGAAAATAGACTAAAACAGTTAGTAAACCTCCTAATGGCAGGGTTGTGGGTTGGACTTCAAGATCTGGGGAGGTCTTACTTCTTGTAGGATGATTTGAGAACTGTGCTTGGTGAGATTAGCAGCCTAGGTGACTTGAGACACAATGTGGGTGCCCAGTGATAATGTTGATGTATTGTGTCCTAGGCCAGCCCAACAGTGGAGGAGTCACAAGATATGGCCCAGGGGATGGAGCAGGTTTGGGGTGAGGTCAATGAGTCTGAGGCCCCTTAAATACTTTATATTTTAGTTTTGGTTTAGTCTAAGAAACGAGGTGAGATTGGGTATTGGGCACTGAGAGAAACACCAGTGGACCTTTGTGGAACAGGCATAAAGAGAAAGAAGAGGAAATAACAGGAGTTAGAAGAGAAATGAAACAGAGGGATAGATCACCTCTCAAAGTGACCACCTACCTGGGAAACATGGAAAACAAAAGGATTAGAAAATGTTTTTTCCTCTCTGCTACCTCAACCAATGTTTGTTGAACTGAATTGCTCTGCTTATTGACTAAATTAGAATAACCAGGCTAGAAACTGGCAAACATACTACCTCTATAATTATAAGATTAACTGGGCAATGAAAAATGCTGTTAAGGCCAGGTGTAGTGGCTCATGCCTGTAATCCCAGCACTTTGGGAGGCTGAGGCAGGCAGATTATTTGAGGTTAGGAGTTCAAGACCAGCCTGGCCAATATGGTGAAACTCCATCACTACTAAAAATACAAAAAAAAAAAAAATAGCTGGGCATGGTAGCACATGTCTGTTATCCTAGCTAGTAGGGAGGCTGAGGCAGCAGAATTGTTTGAACCTGGGAGGCAGAGGTTGCAATAAGCCAAGATCACACCACTTCACTCCAGCCTGGGCGACAGAGTGAGACTCCGTCTCAAAAAACAAAAACAAAAACAAGCTGTCAAAAACAATAGTGGTTAGAACCACTGAGATAGTTGAGAATAAAGCAGATACTTCTTTGTTTTGGATGATTTGGGAGCATCACAATCTCAAGAGTGAGATTAAAGATTCACAGATGTTTCCTGAATGATGGGGCAGACAAGCATCACCAAGAACTAAGATTCAGACAAGTGACTTATAAAGGAGCAGCAGTGATTTAGCAATAGTCTATAGATTAGAGTTACTTTTGTTTTGAGGGGGAAGGAGAGGCTTAATTTTCTTCCTAAAAAGTACACACACAAACTTCTACACATGCACACACATGCACTAGTAGAAAATGGGAAACAGCAGCTTTATTCAGGCCACCAAGAAGGAAAAGATCCAAACGGTTAAAGCAAAAAACCTTTTTTTGCTTGAATTAATAAAATAATTACTGTTTATTCCATTTTACTTGTTTGAATGTGAGGCGAGAATAATTGAAAATATGACAATTTAATTTATAATCACTATAGTCACATATAATTTCTAGATGAAAATAAGTGATTAGAATTCAAGGAGGATTAAAATATTTTTATACTAGAAATCATTGAAATTCTCATTAAGGCAAGTACTCTCTTTGAAGATATTATATTTTAATTAATAATACATTACTCAATATTCTTGTTCCTTTTTTTTTTTAAAGAAACACTTTAATTCATAAAGGGTATCTCTTCATGTCCTGGAAATACCTCCTCATAGTGGAATCAAGACATTTGCACTTCCAAAATGAGTTAAGCAATAAATATAACATAATAAATATAAGTAGATATATGAAAATAAATACAAAAAACACATAATAATCTACAATGTTAATTCACTCTTATATGCAAAGAGTTATCCAATTCGTGTTTGTCACATAATACATGATATGTTTTTATTTAATGATACCACTTTCTTATGCTTTTCTCTCGTGAAAAAAATGGTCTGTTAGAAATATAAATATTTTAAATAAACATACCTTCTACGCTAAAGCCAACTAAATATTTAATGCAATTGTTTAAAGGAAAACTTGTTTTGTATAAATAAATATACAATCCCTGATGATTTTTCTAACTTAAGATTTAAATTCTAGCAATATTCTAATTTGTAGTTACACTTTTTCCTGTAGTTGTTGTATATGTAAATTTGAGAGGCAATATTGTATTTGTAACTATAAATCCGTATTTGTTTATACAAGCAGGTATAGTAAATGTCTTTTTCTTAAGGCTAGTCAAGTGAAGCAGTGGGAGTGGAGAAGGAACAAAGAAATCTGTAACTGGTTGTGATCAATTAGTTACAAACACCACTGCACTCGGACCAGCATGTTTTCTAATTTAATTGAAAGATTCAATACAATATTGTCTACTTTAAGAAATGTTGTTACAACGTGTTAAAAATAGTATACAAATACAATAACATAGAACATATGGAACAGTTATAAAAATGGGTAAATTCTGGTTGTTTTGGAAAATGTAAATTGCCTAGCTATAATGCAAATTAAAAATGTGAGCATTAGTTTGAGTAAATAGATATAATTTATTCTGCCTGGGAAAGAAGGTCATTGGTGGTCCTTGATATAACTCCCTCCGCAAACCTGCTGAATCTTGCAGGAAATGCTCAGGCTCACTGGGGAGAGTGGATTCAGAGAAGGGTAATTTGGAATGTATGGGAGGTGCCCCTGGCACCCTAGAACTCACTGTGAATATAAACTACCCAGAATCTAAATGGAGTCAACATTTGTTTCCCAGTAATATTGGCCAGGGAGGTGGTAGTGGGGTGTGTGTGTGGGTGGGTAGGTGGGGTCTTGCACTTCTGAGCTAATGGTTCAGTAAATCTCTCAGCCATGATCTCAAGAGACAGAGTTGAAAACACATCAGTGGGGAAGAGAAAGGCTGTTGTACTGCCTCTTGCCTCCTCCCGGCCCTGGTATGATATGCAGAGTGAGAAAGATTAAGACAGCCAGGGCCTAAGAGAGCAAGGGTGAAAAGAGAGAGGGGAGAAGGGATGATGGAGATGGGGAGAGAGGGAGACAACAGGCAGATGGTAAGTGGCTCCCAGAGCCAGTTCTTCTGTTGTAGAGATTTTGAGCCTCTCTGAGGTGGAGGGTGTGTTACAGTGAGTAGAGAGTAGAGACAGCGCCTGGCTGACCCCATTCCAGTGACACTTAGAGACAGGGTCGCCTGAACCACACTCTGCCTCTCCTTGCTCTCTCAAGTTCCTGCCCTTCTTCTCCCTGCTCCGGCTCCATCCCTACACTGGGATCCCAGTTCATCTGCGGCTTCAAGCCTCCGCCTCTCCCAGGTATACCAACTGGCCTCCTTCCTTCCCTGACATTTTTGGCTTGGCCTTGGGGCTGCTCCTGTGGGCAGCCCAATGCCCAGAGCTTTTTGCAAGGGAGGCCACAACAGACCCTTCCTTGCCACCTACCTCAAGGAACTTGTTTTTTGCCTCAATTCTGAACACTGCCACGAATTTTTTCCTGGACTTCAGCAGACATTATAGGATATGTAATTGCATTATGCTCAAATAATTATTTTTGTTTTATGTTATAAAAGGCATACTTACTGAAGGAAAAATATAGGAAACAACTTGAAACTCTGGCTAGGGCCAATGACTGGGTTTATCAGGGTTTTTTTTCCCCTAGTTAAAAATTATTTCTTATAAAGAGAAAAGAATAAAATGTGAAACCAACTTGAAAGTAAGTATAAAGTACGGTAAGCCAGTTTACTTAATTTTTTAAATTTAAATTTGGTTTTAAAATTCAATATCTTATAAAATGTTTTATATTTCTGGTACCCTTATTGATATTATGCTATTTTGAGTTACCAAGCATTCTGTATTGAATTTCACTACCTACTTTTGTCATGTTCTAATGAAATATAAAATATAAGCTAATAATCTCTTCATGTCCTTTTTACTGCTTTTCATCACTAAGTAAGCTTTAACATTTTTTAATTGTGGTAAAATACACATAACAAAATCTACCATCTTAACCATTTTTAACTATACAGAACTATGCAGATCAATATATTAACTACACTAACGGTAGTTTAAGTACATTCATATTGTTGTGCAGCCAATCTCCAGAACTCTTTCTATCTCATGCTAAGTAATTTTTTAAACCGTTAATATATGGTATTACTAAAGCAAATGTCTTTTGGGATGGAGGAGAGCATTTCTTTCATGACAAATATATTTCACTATTAACCCTCATTGATCTTATAATAAGTTATAACAAGAAATGTATTATACAACCTTCAGGCCTGGCAGCTAAACTAGCTCTCACTCACCCTGTGACTAAAGATATCATTCTACTTTCCCATCCTGCAGACAAGTAAGTGCATGAGTAATGTCTTTCTACAAGTGAAGGAATGCAGTTAACATGAGTACATTTCTCTATCTCCCACCTTGGAGAAAACTTTTCTTTTAAGGCAATATAATTAAGTCAGAACTTTCTGTACAAGCATCTAGATATTAAGAAGTAACTATTGATAAAATAACTGAAAATGCCTTACAGTAGAAAAAAGCATAAGTGCTTTTTATAGGAAAGAACAATTAATTCCAAATATTGACATCATATTAATCTGTATGCCTTTGCATTAAAGCCCAGTTTGTATAAAAGAAAAAAGGGCGCGCAAAAGGCACCTACAAGGAGGAAGACACCTGAAGGCAGCAAAAAGCAAAGAGTCAAGTTCATTTATTAAGCTCATTCTTTTTTTTTTTTTTTTTGAGACAGTCTCACTCTGTCACTCAGGCTGGAGTGCAGTGGCATGATCTCAGCTCCACCACAACCTCCACCTCCTGGGTTTAAGCGATTCTCCTGCCTCAGCCTCCTGAATACATGGGATTACAGGTGCCCGTCACCACACCCAGCTAATTTTTTTGTTTTTTTTTTTTTTTTTTTTTAGTAGAGTCTGGGTTTCATCATGTTGGTCAGGCTGGTCTCAAACTCCTGACCTCAAGTGATCCGCCTGCCTCTGCCTCCAAAAATGCTGGGATTACAGGCGTGAGCCACCAGGCCCGGCCAAGCTCATTCTTTATTATCATGGTGCTTTGATATATAATGTTATATATGATATATATAATAATTATATAAAAATAGATTACATAATAAATTATTATATTGTTAAATATAATTATATAGAAAATTACAGAATACATATTATATAACATATATTACATATGATATATATAATTTATGATATACAATATATACCATTACTTTTAAGTATGTGTTTCTTAGACAGGCTATCTTACAGTGCTTTAGCTCTTTAAAGGGTTTATTCTTGGGAGTCAAACATTAGAAATGAAGCATTACCTTTTTAAATATTCCAGACTCTAGAAGTAAGGAACCAAGCGCCTCACTGGTGGTGTGGAAGAACTGGGATTCCCCACAGTGCAGTGGAAATTCCTGGGAGTCTCGAACCACATATTTTCCATCGACTACATCCAAAGCTCTGCAAAGAACGGAACCACAGTCATGTCAATACACTATGAACAATGCCAAAATCTCAAGAAACCCAAAGGCATATTTCTCCATGTATTAATATATTTCCAGTCAGCCCAAATAATGAATCATTCTTCAAAACCTACACGGCGTTGTAGATAATTTGGCGCTCTCATAGCACATTTATAAATAAACCTGGATGACTTCACCCTGTGCCTAACTGAATTCTTTTAAATCCTATGCAGAAAACAAATTAGAGATAGATAGAGGTAGACAGAAACTAGATGGAGAGACAGATTTTGGCATGAAAGTAATCCAATTTCATTTTCCAGTTTCCTGGTTGTTCTATGTCGTGGCTTTTAAGAAATAACAAAAAGAAATTTGTAAGTTTCCTGAACACTGGAAATAAAGTGGGAACTGAATCCCAGTTAGAGAAACAATCTAGACTATGCCAGGAAATGGGAACTGTTCCTAGGATTATAATATTTATCAGATTCAAAAGGAATGGAAACTAATAAAGGCAGAAAGAATGTTTTACAGACTCTGATGGTTGCCTACCCCAAAGCCATTCCCTTTATCCAACCCTTCACTGTTCTCCCACCTCCCCCATACACACTGCCTTTGCTAATAATCCTAAATTTGTTCAGCAATTCATCCTCCATATGCCTCAGAGAAAGCTGCTCCCAGCCCCAGTAGTCAGTCGGGATTGCTCTAACCCTGGTGTCCAGTTTCCCTCACCAGTAACTGATTTAGGCAAATGCCCATATGTAACTGTCTTGCTTATGTTACCACATTGATTGATGTCTCCCTGACCCTCTAAAATGTTCATACTTTGCCCTGCTTCTCTGGCCCAGTCCTGACCAATGGGATGTGAGAGGCGTCTGCTGAAGAAATGGGGGAAAAGGTCTTCTACAAGAAGAGAAAGTTTCCCTTTCCTGCAGGCCAGTGTCATGCCTGCATGTGATGAATATGATAGAACATCTTGGGACCATGTGCAGGATTAGCCTAAGGAGACTAGATTGAGGAAAAAGCAGAGAGGAAATACCTATCTCTTGATTTCTTGAAATGAGAAGCAGAATTACCTATCTCTGGAGTTCTTGTTGTGTTAGATAATAAACGTCCTATTCTTCAAGCCATTTTGACTTGGGTGTTCCTTGCTGTCTGCAGTTGAGCATCATACCTGATCCAAGGTTTGGTAGATTTTGTAAGCACAGGAATAAAGATGCCAGAGCAGAATGACAGCTTTGAATGAAGAATGCCAGTAAAGTAGAAAGAGAACTAAAAATGCAAGACCTCAGCATTTCGCAACAGAAACGGAAGCTTTTGTGGGATTTCTACAATGTTGCAAGGATATAAAGAGGAATAGAGCAAAGTGTTAACACTTTAGAAGGGCAGGAAGATCTAATCAATATGGTAATATCAGCAAGGGAGATATAGATGGGCATAATTTGTGGAACTCTATTGTGTACTTTTTTTTTTTTTTTTTTGAGACAGAGTCTCACTCTGTCACCAGGCTGGAGTGCAGTGGCATGATCTCAGCTCACTGCAACCTCCACCTCCCGGGTTCAAGTGATGCTCCTGCCTCAGCAGCTGGGATTACAGGCATGTGCCACCACACCCAGCTAATTTTTTTGTATTTTTATTGGAGACAGGGTTTCACCATGTTAGCCAGGCTAATCTCGAACTCCTGACCTTAAGTGAGCCACCTGCCTCAGCCTCCCAAAGTGCCGGGATTACAGGCGTGAGCCACTGTGCCTGGCCCCTGTACATACTTTTTTAAAAAGTCACTATTGTTTGCATTATATAAAATGTAAAGGTACATTAGCAGCAATATATTTCTTTTTGTTTTTCCTTTAGTTTCATACTATGAAAGTAATACTTGTGTACAGTAAAGACAATATATTATGCCATATATAAACACATATAAAAATACATTTCTACCTGTGAGGCTAATATCTTCTTAGGAATTTAAATACAGTATTTTTGAAGGGAAAGAGAAACACATATAGCTCAGGAGAATTTAAGTAACAACTGAAAAATACCTTAAAGTTGAAATGCTGTCATCGTCTTACCATGAATGTGTCTTACATCAAGACCTATTTTTATTAATTGTTCCAGTACCCTAAGTTAGTGTTCACCTTGTCCTTCTGCTCACAAATATGCCAAAGAAGTAGCAAACAAGAGAAGACTCCTAGGACTTGAAAGCTTATTCCAACTGCTGTGGACTTACACATTGTCAGCCATTCAAGTACTAACCAGGCCCGACCCTGCTTAGCTTCTGACATCAGACAAGATCAGGTGCATTTAGGGTGGTGTGGCCATAGATTAGACTTACACATTGTGAAAAGTCAACCACAAATGTTAGGCAGTCTGCTCCCCTTAATAGTTTTCCTTTTTGGAAAAACATATGTGCCCATTGACTGACTCCAAGTGACAAGAGAGATAAAAGCAATCTACCTGTGCTTCCTAAGCTTTGTATTGTCGGAGACGGGCACTCCAAAAAAGACCTATCTCTTCTTCCTAGATACTTACGTATTACATAATTAAAAGCTGGCAAGTGTAGCCTTTTCTATGTATTTTGCTTGTGATACAATCCCTGCTTAAAACATAGGATCCTTTTGCCTGGAAATAACAGTCCAACTCACAGAAGCCTGATAAAAAACAAAATATATTATCACATATAAAACAAAAGGGGTAGACTGAGTTGGTTTAACTAGTGTATTCCTTTGCTACTGAATTTAGTCACTGCTACATTTCTAGCTGTCACATAGAGGTATGATAATTCCTTCCTGTGTAACTTGCTTAGAAGTGGGGGAAATCTCCTCTAGAAGCCACCTAGCAGGCTTCTTTTCATACCTGCACTAAACCGATCACTGGACCCAACCCTTTGAGGCTGAGACCTGAAGGACACTACTGTGCAGAAATTAGACACCTGAAGAAGCTGAGGTTCAATTAGGAAAAAAGGAGAAGGGAGAGGGTAGAAATGGATGTCGATGTGCATTCTATCCTCTCCCTAGCTTTGTCTTGAAATATGTTCCCCACACTTGCTACACTTTGGGAGAGGTAGAGATGACACATATTTAAGATGGAATTTGAGCTACCAGAGTAGGAACTTTCATAATTTGGGCCTTGTAGCGTGTTGAACCCTGTGAACCTGCCTGCTCTCCTGATTTGGGGGATAAACTAAGTCGACACAGTGTGCTATCCAAGAGTCAGTTCTCTATACTTGGGGTCATGATCTCCCAGATGGGAGGGTACACATGGCCCTGGGGGAAGGCTTAGTTTTTCAGTGGCTAGAGGAGGTGAGGACTATCACAGACAGTTCCAGGGACGGCCCTTGCTTCACCATCATTCTAAAACAGGAACTGCTGAGTGTGTGTGGTATACCCAATAACCTCTGCTTCCCCTTGAGAGGAGGAGAATGATGGGGTGTTGGCTAAATTCCCTTTCCTCGTGACCCAGATCCAGACAGTGCTGCTGTGCACCTGGCCATGGACGCCATGATTTCACAGTTTGCTCCAGGACTTGGTTGGAGGTGAGGCAAGGTCACAGGATGTGTGGGCTGAGTGGGCTTCGCAAACAGAACTCTGCTTCAGGGCAGCTTCTTGCCCAGCCCCGGAAACTCAGGCCGTCCCAGGAGCATGTTCTACTTCCTCTCTAGAGTCAGTCACAGGCCTTCTACTCCTAGCAAGCTTACTGGACAAGTTTGTCTCCTGAAACACAACCTTCACAATGTATTACACAGAAATAATACACTTGAAATCGTGCCAAGAGGTCTCTAAGACCTAAAGCAACTTTGTAACACTATCTAGCATTCATTCTTTCAGCATTTTCTAGATCTTCCATGACATGTCATATATCAAAGCACACAAAGGTGAACAATTCCACTCCCTGCCCTCAAGGATATTAAGGTCTAGTAGACATAGGGGCTTATCGAATGGGCAGAAATATTTTCAATTCCGAATAATGGTTACCTCTGGAACTACACATAGATAAGTCTCCCTAGCCTAAAAGCCAACCTTAATAAATGTTTGCAACAGGAAAGACCAATTGGAAAGTTTGTTAACTTTTCTTTTCCAAAGGGTAATGTTTTCATTATTATTATTTTAATTTTTGTGGGTACATAGTAGATATATATATATATATATATATATATTTATGAGGTACATGAGGTACAAGCATTCAAAGTGTAATAATCACATCATCAAGAATGGGGCATCCATCCCCTCAAGCATTTATCTTTTGTGTTACAAACAATCCAATTATATTCTTTTAGTTATTTTTAAGTGTACAATTACATTATTATCACTATAGTCACCCTGTTGTGCCATCAAATACTGAGTCTTATTCATTCTTTCTATTATTTTTGTACCCAAAGGGTTAATTTTAGTTTTACTCCTGATGAGTAGGGTGTAGGTGGTCATAACAGAGGCTAAGCTTGGCTCCCTGATGAGAAATTTATGTGCCAATGGAAGCACAGTTTCCTTTGTGAATAGTCACAACTGGTCATTTATTAACGACAATAACCTCTTGGGTAAATAACATAAAACAACCGCCAAATGCTATCATATTGGTCTGCAGTCTTAGCAGAGGATAATTTATTAACTTGCTAATTATACTCCTTTGTACCTCCCTTTTCTTTTTAGCACAGATGTTATACTGCCAGAGTGAAAGTTTCAGTGTTAAGTATGGTACTTGATTTTACTCAGACTTAGAAGTAAGTGGAACATTTGCCAATTCATTCAATTATGTTTCCTTTTTATTTGGCTTACTTTAAAAAACCAGATTGCCCCTCTCCCTGGAGATTAAGTTGGTAGCAAAATTAATAACGGCAAGACTGTTTTCCCTTTCCCAAGTTAAAAGAGCCGCATGGCTATTCTCAGACAAATCCCAGAATTGTGAGACCTAAAGCTTATATAAGAAGGGGGCGGGCCTCTTTAATAAAAAGAAAAGAGAATCTCTTACTTTCTCAAGATTGACAGTGCTAGGGCCTCTCCAAAGCCCTTGAAAGTGGCCCTGATAAATCTAGTTCGAGTTTTCCTAATGTTGGTCTACACCACCAAGTTGTTCCTTAAGCATTTAAATATGTGTAGCCTAATATAAGGCAAGTTAAATAAGTTTTTTAATAATTCTTGTTTTATAGTAATGTACATCCAAAATAATAAAATGTAGCATAAAAGTTTAGGTTTAACTATAGTTTATAAGTTATAAATTGATGCTGTACTGCCATCTATTGTCTATCCAAAGAATTATTACTGTGTTCAACTGAGCCTCAGAGTTGTGATTTCAAAGTTACCAAAAAGTGCTTCCACCTGCATTGAATTGAATTATTTCCTCAAGGGAACCTAAGACACCAGATACTAGAACCACTCTTCTGAATTAAGGCATTGGTTGTAACATGCATAAGTTTTCTGGCCACAAAGGAAGGAGAAAACTTAATTCACTAACAAATGGCACTAATAGTGTGCATGGTGTTTCTTTACTGCAACTGCTAAATGGTAGAGAGCAACCATTTACTGAGCAACCTCTTTCCTGCTAACATTAGACCCTGTATTAGATTACGGACACATACCATCAGATAATGCTAGACCTGAAAAAGTCCCTGGTGATTACCTGGTTCAGTCACTTTATTGCAGATTTGAAGAGACATTGTTCCTCAGAAACCATGTGACTGACTGACAGTGTTGTGCCTGCTGGTTACCCATGTACATGGTACTGGAAGCCCAGGCTCACAAAGAGGCATCTAATGACAGTGTGAGGATAGAGCCATGTAAATCTCTCCCATCTCCAGAAATAAAACAAAACCCCACAATCTATTTCCCTTGGAAAACCTAGAATTTTGGATTTACAGAATGGGTTTTTCCTTCAGAAGCAGTGTTGTCTTCAAATTTGTATTTTTTCTCAGCTGAATAAAGGATCAAATATAGCAATGTATACACACAGATTTCAGAGTCATACCAGCCTGGCCATTAGCTATATGATCTTGAGCTAGTTACTTCTTTAAGCCTCAGTTTCTTCATCTGCAAAATGGGAGTGATAAATTGTTAAGAGAATTAAATTAGGTAAAACTTGTAAAATGCTTAGCCTAGTACTGCCATATAGTAGGTTCTCAATAAGTATCAGCTATTGTAATTATGCATATGAATGTCAGTTGACATGTCCTGAATAATAATTTATAAGGAATTATATAGATGGTACTTTGAGCTAGCATATTTATCAGGCTCAGATATGAAAGGAGAATGTCTGGGTTGGAAGATCCCTTAGAGATAATCTAGTGACCCAACCATACCATTTTTCAGATGAGTTCATTGAGGCCCAGAGATATTCATTGTTCAAAGTCACACGGCTAATGACAGAGTTAGGAGTAGAGAACCCACCCAACTCCTCACTCAGAGACTAATTTTAAATTCTCAGTAGATGAGTTTCACGATCACAAAATTCCAAGTTGGATGGGGAAATGAAAATAATTTGCTATGCTCATTCGAGTTTTTAAAATACAAAGCATCCTCAAAGTTACAGGTATGTAAAGGATGCTACACCACTAACCCAAGTATTTCTTGTTGCCAATGGTAATAGAATGCAGAAACTCTGCCATCTAGTGGTTGCACAAGAATATCACTCCTCTACTCATCCTTTTTTGTCCAGTCAGCCTCTACTTCCTGATTGCATTCACCTTCCTGGGCACTTTGATGGTTTTTGTTTGTCTGTTTGTTTGTTTGTTTTGTTGGTTTTTGTAAAGACGGGGTCTCACTATGTTGCCTAAGCTGGTTTTGAACTCCTGGTCTCAAATGATTGTCTTGCCTCAGCCTCCCAAAGTGCCAGGATTACAGGTGTGAGCCACCAAGTCTTTCAAAATGGCAGCCTGAAGGCTGGGAGCCATCTCCCAATATGCTGTGTGGTGCAGAAATGTTTAAGTTCCCCCTCACACCTGACCAGTGGAATGCAAATCATCTCTCCAACAAAGGCTGGAAATGTTTGCCTTAATACTTCTATCTTGTGAAATCGAGGCTTTGGGTGCTACCGAGTCTGTGAAAGTTAAGCAAAATATCTCAGGACCACTAGTATGTTGATTTTGATGATTTCGGATCACTCCACATGATTAACGAACCATGAAACTCGCCCAGAACCAGGCTAGGTTCCACAAGGTTTGGCTTTATTAGCATTGGTCCCAGAGGAAGAAATGATTTCATTCTGGGCACAAGCAAAGAGAAGCCAAGGCCGAGGACCAAACAACCAGGAGAATTGTGCAAATCCCCAGGAGAACTGAGGAACCGAGGTCTGTGCCTCAAGGAACGGCTCGGTTTTATCAAGAGTATTGTGTTTCACGCGTGATTGCACATGCTCTGATTTAGAGAAGCTGAAGGTCATGGCATTTTTTTCAGCTTCTCTTTATAAGAGTCAAGTTGGACAAGTTTTGTTTTCAGTTGTCGAAATACAAAAGAAGATTTTTTTGATTGCTGGAATTTTCCTTTTAAGGCAATTCAAATTCTTATCATCTAATGGCAGAGAAGAGAAAATGTAGCTTTTATTTTGACAGTGTCAATACTCCCCAAAGAAAGACTAATGATCTTACTAAGCTCATGAATAACAAATTAATAATGCAAAAGAGGGTATTTTCAATTGTTAGCCTTTGTAGCACCAAACAAAGCTTCTGGTGATATTACCATGGAGCAGGCAAGGAGGAAAAAGCCTGGCAGAATATGGTTATATTAATGGATACAAAAATACAGTTAGATAGAATGAATAAGATCTAGTATTTCATAGCACAACAGGGTGACTACAGTCAACACTACTTTATTGTACATTAAAAAATAACTAAAAGAAAATAATTGGATTGTTTGTAACACAAAGGAAGGATAAATGCTTGAGGTGAAAGATACCCCATTTACCCTGATGCAATTATTACACATTATATGCCTGTATCAAAATATCTCATGTATTCTATAAATATATACACTTACTATGTACCCACAAAAACTAAAAATGAAAAAAAAATTATGTGGTTATAGGCACAAGGGTAGAGAAATAGTCCTAAAGTACCAGGGGCAACTCTGAGGAGTCATCTTTGAGCCCTCCTGCTCCAATCAATCCACCTCTGATCACTCATCAAGGGGTCCTTTGTCATCGCATTTGAACTTGCTTTGAGGGACACTATAAGATGCAGCCACGTAGAACTCTTGGTTGGACCTATTGCAGGGATGCCAAGAAGGATGTTAGGTACCATCTTACTTAATATCCTTTATATGGAGACTGAAGGGAAAGATTTCTCTCATTCTGAAATGCCAAGAAAAGCTTTTCTCTTTTTCACTCCTTGTCTTTTAGACAATGAGGTCCATGTACTTGATCATGAATCAATTTTAACAATTATATAAAACATTATGAATGTGTGTTTCTGTAAAGTAATTGTTTCTCTTATCACACTATCATTCTTTTAGTGTTCTGATCTGTATTTATTTGCATTGTCAATTGGATGCAAACTACTGTAAATCTTTTAGAGGAAGAAGTGACAGGGAGGCAGTTATAAATACAAGAAAACTGTTTCTTCCACCTCACCAGTATGACATCCATCTACTCTTGTGCATTCCAACCACTACTATCCTACTTCTAAACTTCATTATGTCTTCAGTTTAGTAAGATTCCAGTTATTCTCTGCTACTGAGTGTCTCCTGCAGCCTTTAACCTATTCTAACTTTACAAATAGATTGATCTTCCTGATGTACTGTCTGGTTTGAAAACCAACAGATAGCTCAGCACTGTCTACAGAATAAAGCCCTAACTTCATTGTCTGGTATTCAAGTGCTTTCACCTTCTGGACCCAGTCTAACTTTTCAAATGTAGCTCCCCTACACACCCTATATTCCAGGCAATTTTGTTATATTTTAGCTTACTTATCACTGATGGCTCTTTCTCTCATCTCATCTCTTTAAGGGGCTCCTGGGTATGAGTCCCTTTGTTTCTGCCGTGGCATATAATAACATCTGTCACATCACAGATGCTCTGTAAGAGTTTGCTGGCTGAGTGAATACAAAGCGCTTTCTGCAAAGGTGGTTTGATTCATGAAGATAGCAGCTGCTTGCAGAGCCTGTTGCTGTTTATGACTGTTTCAAATAATGTCAATATAAAGCTTTGGTTCAAAAGCACCTCCTCCTAACCACGATAGTTACATGCAAAACTGGTCTGTTGGTTATTATTTTCCAGAAGTCTGTGGTGATGGCACACACTTTGAAGTTAACTTTATAGCATCTTTAATATGCATCATCTGCCTATTTTGTTTACCTTTGCCCCACCTTAGCTCTCTAGTCCAAAACTCATGCCAGCAACAATTAGTAAGAGTCTCTTAAACTCTGGGGTCCCTAAACAACCTGGCACGAAACTCGTCTGCCTTAGTTAATCCTTCCAGGCACTCAAATAATTATCTTCATCAATCCTGAGCTTTGATGGCACTTACACTGCCGCAATCATCATTACTTCATGGCATTTCCAGAAGCAATAAAGTTTCAAGAGAAATTGTGTAACTCTTCCTTGTATCAAACATTTTTTAGCATTTATTGTATTTTCTGAACTCACAAACACCTACTTTTCTTATAGATCATATACTCTCAACTTTCTCACAGCTATAATTCAGAGGTTTCAAGGCTCTATTCAATATATTCTTTTATATGGTGGTCTATAAATCTTTATAAGAATTGAGTCTTTAAAGGTTACTTGCAAGACCTCTAAAACATTCCTACACATAATATGGTGCTTATAGTAAATGCCTTTTGATAATAATATAAAACTAAAAAAATCATTTTCAATATGAGAGAGATTTCCTTATATTTTTTAGTTTTTCAAAATAATTCTTATGGAGGTTCATTTTTTACATTAATTTTTATAACTGTCAGTTTCATCGTGTTCCACTTACTCAATTTCCAAGCACCTGCTAGTTGTCTGGTGATTAATACAAAATGATCAGTAATTAGTACATAATTCATAATTGTCTGAATCATATCTTTGGCTTCTCTCACTCACCTGCACCAGGTAGGTAAACTCCACAAGGGACCAAAGCTGCTTTAAGGCTTCCTAGACATATCCTTATGTAGCGACTAGAATTGTCATCAAATACCTAATGAATTAGTTCAATTAACTGGTGTTAATGTTTCAAAAGAGAACTCTAATTTAAAATCATTTCTCATGAAAAATCTTTATGTATTAGCAACACGTCAGGGATACAGTTTTGCTGACTGAAGACAATAGAATGGCTGTGAAGCTGAATCTGAGATGGACTGATATTTATCACCTCAGCTCTCATGAATAGAAATTCTCTAAGGTGCAGAGGCAAGCAGAGGGAAAAAGAGATTATCACAGTATCCCTGCTCTCCATCTATCCAAATAAAGTTGTCCTTGCAAAGATGCTAGTCACAAGCTCCAAATGTCAGCTTCAAATTCCCACCCTAAGGGTGTTCCAATACCACTCTAACCTCCTTCTCCCCTCCCTCCACCTCAGACTTCCAGCTGTGGTCAGACAGATTTGTTTGCCCTTCCCATACATACAACTTGCTTCATTATTTATATGTCTTTGCTTGGGTTTTCTATTAATGCTTTTGCCTCTCCTCTTTGTAATCTTTGGCTATCAAATTCCATCAAGTCTAATTTCAAAATTCACTTCCTCCAAGATTTCCCTGATTGTAATAAATCCTGTTTCATAAGCCCCTAAAAGTCAATTTCATGTAGCTGAAATATTACACTACAGCAAAAAGAAAAGGACATCGTTATAAATCACAGAATTGTTTCAATACTAGTTTTTAAAAAGAAAAAGAAAGCAATAAAATGGTGTGAGAAATAGTGTCTATTTTTCTCAAGTGTAGATTATTCTCTTTTTAAGAATAGGGATTATTGAGAAACATCAGTTTCATCAGAAAGAGATGGTGGGTGGAGAATTTTTCACAGGCTGTAACATGACTTTACAGAGCTTTTGTTGTTACCACATGTTGATGATTATTATTTCTAATTTCACATCAAGATTCATGGTTTTTCCCTTTCCGTCACACAAATGCATCACTAGCTTTACTTTTAGGCTTTACAGCCATCAACTGAGTGATAGTGATTAATAATGGAATGAAAGGGGAAACAAAGAATGGAAAGAAAAAAAGAAAGGGGCCGGGTGCAGTGGCTCACACCTGTAATCCCAGCACTTTGGGAGGCTGAGGCAGGTGGATCGCTTGAGATCAGGGGTTCGAGACCAGCCTGGGCAACATAGTGAAACCCTGCCTCTACCAAAAAAATACAAAAATTAGCTGGGCATGGTGGTGTGCGCCTACAGTCCCAGCTACTTGGGAGGTTGAGGCAGAAGACTTGCTTGAACCCAGGAGGTGGAGGTTGCAGTGAGCCAAGATCATGCCACTGCACTCCAGCCTGGGTGACAGAGAGAGACTCTGTCTCAAAAGAAAAAAAAAGAGAGAGAGAGAGAGAGAGAGAGAGGAAGAAAGGAAAGTGCTTCAAATAAGGTGAGGATGTGCTTTAAAGGAAGGAAAATTCTATATGTGGAAATAATGTAGCTGAGGGAGAGTAGAGGGCAGAAGAAGAGAGGCAGCACAGCAGGTGCACAGCCCTGGAAGGGGAAAGCCACCAGCCCCACGTCTTCCCTGGGCTGGGTGCTGGGACTGCCAGGCTTAACACAGGCTTCTTGTACAGCTCTTGACACAGAGAACTGAAGGATGTGCATAATGCAGGGGAGAGAAAGTAAGTGGTTTTGAACTTCGAGGTTCAACATTATGAAATACCATTTTTGTAGGTCAAAACCAGTCAAATATGGCAATTTCATATAGTTGCACCTAGTACTATTTAGTAAGTGTTCATCTAGGTTTTCCGGGAACATATATCAGTTTCTCAATTTAATCATAGGCTTTTTAGGAGCTAAGAACCATATCACCTTCTGTCTCTATAACCTGTACTCAGTGGGTATAAAACAAATGCTTTTTTTTTTTCAGTCAGGGATGATACAAAACAAGTTTTTTTCTTGTGCCACTGGTTGAGGCTTCCAGTACAGAGAGAGTTGAGTCACTAAACCACAAAGCATTCTGTCCCAAGAAAATATTTATTTTGTTTAACAATATTTTAAATTAGGGAGTGTTATCTCATCAGGTAGAATGATGAGGACTCTTGAGTCAACAATCTCTGCTCACAGGAGATTTTTATTCCTGCAGTCAAGACGAAGGTAGAAACTTTCACTTTGTGAAAATTGGGCACAATCTAACACAAAGAACCACTGTATTCATATTCTTCAGTTAAAATATCTTCATATTGTCTTTGTACCAAATTTTAAAGAATATTAACAATAATTCAAAAAGGAAACAAACTTATTTTTTATAAACTGAATAATGGTAGGACATATAAAGATGCTTCTAAAAATGAGAAATTCATAAAATTAAAAAGGAGATAATTAAATTTTATTAAAATTTTCTATTTCACACATTGTTTAAAAGGGAAGAATAAAGGCTATTGGTATTTTTCCCAGCTTTGATAGTTGCTTTTTACTGAAAAGGATCAAAATATTTTATTAGCAAAATTAATTTCCCAATCTGTCATCCGTTTTTTTCTTTAAAAGAAGAAAATCTTAGGTTTTCCTCACTTGGGAACCACTCAAAATATTTTTCTCTTTTTTTTTTTTTTTTCATTTTTTAAGTAAATTGATACCAGGTCTCACTATGTTTCCCAGGCTGGTTTCAAACTCCTGGGGTCAGGTGATCCTCCCACCTCAGCCTCCCAAAATTTTGGGATTACGGGCATGAGCCACTGCACCTGACCATATTTTTCTCTTGTTACCAAATTTAACAGTTACAATTTATGCTACTAGACTTTAAATATGAGAAAATCACATAACTGCAATTACTATTAACTCATTTATTTTTGAAAACCGAAAATATTTGACATCAAACCATTACATGAATCATTCCAATGGATTATTCATTTTGTCCTCTCACTTTCCTATCAATAGTTTATCTGTTTTACTAGTAGAAAAAGGAAGATATTGATCAACCGAAGAAATACCATGCAAAAACTTTGATTCTCTGCTTAAAATGTAAGCATGTTATGGGAAAGCAAACACATATGGATTATGGATTTACTATTTGCTTATAGACAGAGCCACACGCCTGTGACAATGCAGGAGGAGACTGGAGTGACGCAGTGGGAAGCCAACGAGAACACCAAGGATTGCCAGCAGCCATGGGAAGCTAGGAAGAGCAAGGAGGGATCCTTCCCTAGAGCCTTCAGAAGGAGCACGGTCCTGCTGAAACTTTGATTTTGGACTTCTAGCCCCCAGACTGTGAGAGAGAAAAAACTGTTAAGTGACCATGTTTACGGCAACTTGTTATAGCTACCCCAGGAAACTAATATACCACGCTACCCCAACGTGAATGTGCATTCTAAAAGACAGCTTGAGGAGAGGGCAACGTTT
Source organism: Homo sapiens (assembly GCF_000001405.40). NCBI lineage: Eukaryota > Metazoa > Chordata > Mammalia > Primates > Hominidae > Homo > Homo sapiens. The sequence goes on along the minus strand of NC_000006.12, from coordinate 106,438,265 downwards.
AACACAGAGATGAAATAACAGGTATTTCTGGCATCAGTAATAACTCAGAGGAAGAGATCTTTTTAGGGACGCTGGCCTTCAGAGTAGTTTTTAAATGAGGCTTGGCATGTGCCAGTCTCTTCCAGGGAGGTGTAGAATGGGCTGTCTCTTAGTAAAGCACTCTACTAAGCCCTGTGGAAGGAAGAAAGATAAATAAAAAGATGTACATGCCCTTTAAAGTCATCCAGGCACTCCAAAGACACCAAAAGTCCCAACATAAAAAGGTGCTGTCTCAGGAACTAAGAAACCTTGAAATAAAATCAAGAAGTACTGAGAGAGAATCTCTGAGCTAAAGAGAACTGTGTATCTCTATATCGTCCATTCCTTTAAATCCCAGCCAAGTTATACCATATCAAAGATAATTCCTGGTGGCTAAAGAATTAAATGCAGAAACATCAAATCATAAAGATTAGGAGCGTATTATGGCATATTAGAAGGGAAGGAAAACAACTTCCTACGATTAAAAGCAATGAGAGAAATAAAAAAGAAAGGCTAGGTGCAGTAGCTCATGCCTGTAATCCTAGGACTTTGGGAGGCCAAGGCAGGAGGATCAATTGAGCCCAAGAGTTCAAAACCGGCCTGGGCAACATAGCAACACCCTGTTTCTACGAAACAAACAAAAATCAGCTGAGTGTGATGGAGCTTGCCAGTAGTCCTAGCTACTCAGGAGGCTGGGGCAGGAGGATTGCTTGACCCCAGGAATTTGAGGTTACAGTGAGCAAACATTGTACCTCTGTACTCCAGCAGCCTGGGTGACAGAGTGAGATGCTATCTCTTAAAAAAAGAAGAAGAAAAAGAAAAGAAGAAGAAAAATATTGGTAGTTTTACTATGCAAAAATAAAAATTTCCATACATTAAAAAATTAAAGGCAATAACAAGCCAAGAAAATACTTTCAGCAAATATACCTGATGATTAGTTAAGAGCCATGCTAAAGAAACCATATAAATATATAAGAAAAATATTAGCAAACCCAATGAGATGAACAAGGGAAATGAAAAAAATAAAGCATTTGAAGAAATAAAGGGTTAATGAAAATATTTTCCCAACTTCAACTTCCCTATATGCAAATTAAAGTAACAATAGGATACAATTTTATTTGTTTTGTTTTTAGAGAAGTGGGTCTCTCTGTTGCCTAGGCTGGAGTGCTGTGGCTATTCATAGGTGCAATTATAGTACACTGCAGTCTCAAACGAATCTTGTGCCTCAGCCTCCCAAGTAGTTGGGACTACAGGTGTGCACCACTACACCTGGCTTGGGATACAATTTTAAAATTGATAATGTCCAATGGTTTAACATACTACTCGGGGGTGGGGGGGGTTATATTAATTGCTACAGTCTTTTAGTAAGCAATTTATTCATACTTATCAAGAGACTTAAAATGCTACTATACCTATCCCCTATAACTCTACTTTTAGGAAATGATTTGAAGGAAATAATTTTCAAAGCATTCAAAGATCTATTTATAATATGCTTATGGTAATATTATTTATGATAACAAAATTTGCAAAAAACCCATTCAGGTAATGACTAAGTAAATTATTGCATGTCCATATTATGGAATGCCATTTATCCTTTAAGTCATGGGGGCAAAGCTTGTGATATAATGGTAAGTAGAAAAGTAGAATAAGATTGCGGCCGGGCGCGTTGGCTCACGCCTTAATCTCAGCACTTTGGGAGGCCAAGGTGGGTGGATCACGAGGTCAGGAGATCGAGACCATCCTGGCTAACACGGTGAAACCCCGTCTCTACTAAAATTACAAAACAGTAGGGCGAGGTGGCGGCGCCTGTAGTCCCAGCAACTCGGGAGGCTGAGGCAGGAGAATGGAGTGAACCCGGGAGGCGGAGCCTGCAGTGGGCCGAGATCGCGCCGCTGCACTCCAGCCTAGGCAACAGAGCGAGACTCCGTCTCAAAAAAAAAAAAAAAAAAAAAGAGATTGCATGTCAACGATGTTACATATCTAAGAGCATACTGAAAGGAAATACACTAAAATCTGAACAGGAATTCTCTGGCTAGTTGGATCAGGACTGATTTCTGTTCTTTCTGTATTTTCCGAAATTGACATTCATTCTCTTATAATAAGAAAAACATTTAATAAAAATGTTTTAAAACTCCTAATAGGTTCCTCAGGGAAGCTTAAATAAAGATTTTGAGTGGCAGTAATAGAAGGTAAAACTCCGATGATGGAACAGACCTTTTTACATAATTTAATAAAATATTAATGCATAGATTTTGCCTGCCAGTCTCAATTTCTTTTTCCCAGTTTCTTAGGTCAATAATTCCCAATCTAGATCTTGGAATACTTCACTAATTTTTTCTTGGATGGTTTCCAAGACACGATTTGTTTTTAAAATTTGCAAGGGCTGGGCACCGTGGTTCACACCTGTAATCCCAGCACTTTGGGAGGCCAAAGTGCTTAAGGTCAAGAATTAGAGACCAGCCTGACCAACATAGTGAAACCCCATTTCTACGAAAAATACAAAAATTAGCTGGGCATGGTGGCAGACTGAGGCGGGAGAATCACTCAGACTCCTGGAGGTGGAGGTTGCAGTGGGCTAAGATCACGCCACTGCACTCCAGCCTGAGTGACAGCATGAGACTCCATCTCAAAAATAAATAAATATAATTAATTAATTAATTAAATTTGCAAGGAAAACAATACTGCAGAGAAATTCACCCTGTATGATGCAGCCAACATCTGTTTTGACACTTGTCAGATAATTAAAAAGCAGTCATTACAAATGATTGTAATGTAATTTTGTAGGTTGGGGACAGTGACTCATGTGTGTAATTCTAGAACTTTGGGAGGCCAAGGCAGGAGCATCATATCAGCCCAGGAGTTCAAGACCAACCTGGGCAACATAGTGAGGCCCTATTGCTACAAAAATTTAAAACATTAGTCAGGTGTGGCGGCCCCTGTAGTCCTGGCTACTTGGGAGGCTGAGGTGGGAGGAGGATGGCTTGAGCTGAGGAGTTTGAGGCTGTAGTAAGCTATGATCACACCATCCTGGTTGACAGAGGGAGACCTTGTCTCTAAAATAATAATAATAATAATGACTTTGTAGTGCTGGCAGCTAGATTGAGGAGTGGGACAGGAGAACACAGAAATTAACAGGAGAAGGTCTTTGTTTTGTTTTGTTTCCTGTTGTGCATCATTTCAAAATCATTTATTCTACCTAAACAGGGGACAGGGAACAAATAATGAAGGGGCACGCTGATTCCATTCATTGTTTGGTTTTTCAGTGATCTGTAACTCTTCATTTACCCTACAGCCTCTTTTTGTTATCCATACACATTTTGCAGAACAACTCAACAAATCCATAAACTGAAACTGGTAGAGACTTACAAGTAAATCTTTTCCCTTGCAAACTGATCCAGGATAAAATCTTCTGATTTATTATTCTCTAGTTTTTCTTTTACATCAGGGCTTAGCACACTAAGGCCTGCAGGCCAACTCTGGCACACCACCTGTTTTTGTAAATAGAGTTTTATTGGAAGAGCCACACAGCAATTGTAATACAGCCATGTCCATGGCTGCTTTACTGCTACAATGGGAGAAAGTTGAGCAGTTGCAATAGAGACTGTGTGGCTGACAGTGCCTAAAATACTTACTACCTAGACCTTTAGAGAGAAAGTTTGCCAACCTCTGTTTTAGGAGTCTAGAGGCTTGCTTGGCACAGTTTCTTCTTTTTGCACTTTTATAACCTTCATTGAAGAGGAATAAGCACTCCTAAAACTCTAATCAGTATTATCAGATAATTATATTACAACTCAAGGTCAAGTTTATCCAATCCTGGATAAACTTAAAGACAGGAAAAAATTGCCCACAGTCTTAAATGCAGTTCAAAATCTGAATAATCCTTAAATTTACTTAATTTTTTTGACTACTGTTGTAGCTATCCTCCAAAACATCCCACATGATCCTCACCTTCTGGTATTTACGCCCGTGTCCTCTCTTATACAGAAGTGGTGATACCTCACTTCCAAGACTAGGTAATAACAGTGTGTCCCTCTTTCTCCTTTCTCTCTCTTTCTTTCTCTCTCTTTCTGTCTCAATCTCTCTCTCTCTCTCTCTTTCTCTCTGATATATCATTTGCTCTGGGCCTCCAGCCAATAGCCATTGAGGAACTGAGGCCTTCTGATAACAGCCTCATGTGTGAACTTGGAAATGGATCTTCCAGTCCCAGTCAAACCTTTAGATGACTAGAGTCCTGGTTGACAGCTTGACGGCAACCTAAGAGAGAACCTGAGCTGCAACCAATCAGCTAAGCTGCTCCTAAATTCCCGATCTGCCCAAACTGAGAGATAATAAATGTTTGTTGTTTCAAGACACTAAATTTTGGGGTAATTTGTTACATGGCAATAGAAAATTCGTGTCTTTACCTCTGCCACTACTACTGCATATATATATTTATGTATGTATATGTATGTGTGTGTATGTTTATATATATATACATATATATATATACACATATATATATACATATATATGTATATATATATATATATTTCCCAGTTTCTAGCAATTAAAAGCAAACAAAAACTGTCAGATGCAATCTTTTCCTTCAAATGGACTGTAAATTAGATCTAGCCCAGGTCTCAAGCCCAGAAATATCATGAACTTCAAACCAACTGGAGACTTTCCTCTATACTATAACAATTCCAGTATCAGCCATTAAAGCAGGTTTCAATGACTCCACTCTTTTGCTATAGCGACACTAGTCAAAGAATTAAATCCCAGATAATATGGAGGCACTGGAATCAATAGAACATTCACCCCAGGAGGACTGATAACCCACGAGTACATATTGACAACCCAGATCCCAAAGCATAGGGAAACCAGAGCTCAAACTTCTCAGACTTCCAAACAGCTTCTAGTCTCCTTTCTCCTCCAGTTTGACCAGAAGAGGTGCACAGTATGAAGATTGTCTTATATTTGTGTAGCACTTTATACCTTGAAAAGCAGTGCTTTCATGTATATTATCTCTTTATCCTCACAGCAACCCTGACTTGCTGGTTTAAAATAAGAGTTGTTTTATTTTTTGTAAAAACAGAGAGCGATAATATTAGTGTAAGAACAGAAAATAGCGGCTGGGCATGGTGGCTCCTGCCTGTAATCCCAGCACTTTGGGAGGCCGAGGAGGGTGGATCATGAGGTCAGGAGTTTGAGACCAGCCTGACTAACATCGTGAAACCCCTTCTCTACTAAAAATATGAACAATTAGCTGGGTGTGGTGGCGCCTGCCTATAGTTCCAGCTACTCAGGAGTCTAAGGCAGGAGAATCGCCTGAACCCAGGAGACAGAGGTTGCAGTGAGCCGAGATGGCGTCACTGCACTCCAGCCTGGGCAACAGAGTGAGACTCTGTCTCAAAAAAAAAAAAAAAAAGAAAGAAAAGAAAAAGAAAATAGTATCTGATTATTTTTGTGACATATTAGGATGTTTTACAAAGAATGTGTAAAGCCCAGGGGTTTAATGGAGGGGCCTCAAAGGCCAAATCAAGGGTTAAGGAGGACAGGCGGAGGTGCACGTGGTGGGCACATTGCCAAGAGTCTACCAGAGAACTCCATTTTTTTGCACCTGTTTAGCAGAGCCCAGGTACACTTACCAGCATAACTCCTATGTTTCGGTTAGAGATTTGCACCCTTAACTCTCAATTGTTCAAGCCTTGCAATAACCTACTGATTTCCCTTGGAACATACTTAACTCCCTGGGGGGTAGGTACTGGGTCATCTTTCATCTTTGTACCTACCACAGCTTGTAGGACAATGAATTCACATGGAAGGCCCTCAACAGATGTCTGAGAAGGGATAGAAGGGAGGAAATGAGAAAGGGAGTGAAGAGCAGGTTAGAAGTACAATATGGTTTTCTTCAAACTATATAATCTTATTGTATTGCAAACTGTTTCAAACAAAGTTGTATAATTTCTCTTGATGGACCTCCTTCCATTGAAAATTTCTGAAGTGAGCAAAGTCATGCAGAAAGCATTAATGAAAGTACAAAGAAGGGTGGAAAACTCCTCTTCGCATTGACAGTGATTCATCTCCCAAGGAATCTAGGTTATGAGGTACAATTAAGAGTCGTTATTTGAATATTTCACTCTCAAAGAGCTTCAACAGACAAGAGGCATTTTGAAGACAGCAATGATTTTTGCCACGCTAGAATTAATATTCTGGTCATTAAGAACATAATCAGTTTTTAGATCATTGTTTTCACTAAAACAGGGTCCTACCCACAAGCACTTATAATCTGATGCCTAAGTAAACAATGTAAAGAAACCCCTCCATGTCAACATAGCCTTGTGGGTGGCAAATTCATCATGTCATTTGCATCTGATGACGATATCTGGTTCTGTGAAGCTAGAGTGGGCCCATATGAGATGTTAGCCTTGATAGAATTCCCAGGGAGCCAGCTGGCCCTCTGTAGGGTGGGTGCTGTAGGGTACGGAAACATTCCAAAGGGCCCCTTTGTCACTTCTGCAGGCAAGTCCCATGACAAACTACTTAGGGTGTTCAATAACAAAAATATAGCACACTACAAAACAGTGTGGCCATTTCTGTGTGTATTTTTCTCCCCTCATAGTGTAGTCTGTCCACCTACGGGTAGAATAATTAAGTCAATAAAACAGAACACAGTGATTTTTTTTCAGATTGGTGTATTTGTTTAACTGGAACAAGCAAGTTATTTGCCCATCTAGGTTTATAATCTCATCTTATTTTTTTTTCAACTTTTATTTTAGAACTGGGGGGCTTGAGCAGGCTTGTCCCAAAGGTATATCGCGTGATGCTGAATTATCTCCTTATCTTACAGTGTAACTCAGACATCATTCTCAAGATGGCTTAGAATCTAAATGCTTTAGTTTAGAAAGACTGTGTGAGGAAAGAATCTGCACTAAATGAAAGATTAAAGTGTCCAGCTAAGAATGTACTTATATCATACCTAAGCAGGTTGCTGACTATTTTGAGAGAGGTTTATTCCAAAGTGGGGTTTAGGAGACTACATGGCAGAGGACTAAATGAATTCATTTTTAGGAGGCTGTGGTAACTTGCCTCCAAAGACAGTCCCTACGCCGGGTGTGGTGGCTCAAGTCTGTAATCCCAGCACTTTGGGAGGCTGAGGCGGGTGGATCACTTGAGGTCAGGAGTTTGAGACCAGCCTGGCTGACATGGTGAAACCCCATCTCTACTAAAAACACAAAAATTAGCCAGGCATGGTGGTACACACCTGTAGTCCCAGCCACTCGGGAGGCTGAGGCATGAGAATCACTTGAACCCGGGAGGTGGTGGTTGCAGTGAGCCGAGATCACGCCACTGCACTGCAGCCTGGGTGACAGAGCGAGACTCCATCTCTAAACAAAAACAAAAACAAAGACAGTTCCGACAATTGCCCCCTCTCTGTACTGCATGCTGCTCTTCATGTTGAAGCATAGTTATTTTCCTCTCCTGAGCTGCTTGTAAGAGGTGCAGCTACCCGGCTACAGACGCCCCATGGAGAGGGAAAGGCCACGAGATAATATGGGAAGAAACTTTGAACCCAACAGACAACAAGAACTGAGGCCCCATACATGTGACCCCAGTGGAGTGGCTCAGCCAGCTGCCACTATTCAAGCCACCCTAGCTGACGCATCAGGCATGTGACTGTAGGAGCCATGTTACACGTTCCCACCTCAGAAAGTCCCAGATGCATGGAATCATTACAAACAATAAAGAATCATTATTTTAGTTCGCCAAATGTGGGGGTAGATGTTATGCAGCAATAGATAACCGAAGCAGGCTGAAGTCACATAGCCTTGTGCTAAAATCCTTTTTCTTTCTTTTTTTTTCTGTTTGAGACAGGTTCTTGCTCTGTTGCCCAGTCTGGAGTGTAGTGGCACCATCATGGCTTACTGCAGCCTCAGCCTCCCAAGTAGCTGGGATCACAGGCGTGAGCCACTGCATCCAGCTAATTTTTAAATTTTTTTGTAGAGATGGGGGTTTCGCTACGTTGCCTAGGCTGGTTTCAAACTCCTGGACTCAAGTGATCCTTCTGCCTTGGCCTCCCAAAGTGCTGGGAGTTATAAGCCTGAGCCACCATGCCCAGTCTAAAATCAATTTTTAATAAAAATATTATACTGGGTCATTTCTTATGAAAATCATCCATAGAAAATCCAGTTGTTCTAAGCATTTATTAGGAGAAACCTGAAATCTAAATATATTTTAGAAATGATGGATATATTCAAAGAGGATTTTTAAAAATAATATGTAATATATTTCTGAATTGATCTCTTACTATTTTAAATGAACAGGGCAGTAGGAGAGGACAAATAAAGAATCAACTCAATAGTACTAAGCACCTTGACAATTTTAGTTTAATAGTAATAACTACATTTTATCCAGTGATTGCTACAGCCCCAGCACTGTGCTAAGTATGCATTTTACATCTGTTACCTCATTTAATACTCACAACAAACCTGTGAGATAGGTGTTATTACTTGCATTTTATGCAGAGGAGGAAACTGAGACTAAAAGAGGTTAAGTAATGGGCCTACAGTCCACAGGAAGTTGTGGAGCTGGGATCTGAACCTGTCCGGCGTGATCTGAAAGCTGTTTAACTATTTACTGTACTATAAGGCCTCCACCTTTAATAATAAAATGGTTTCATCATTTGGTTACTTTCATGCTCAGAAAGGAATATATCCCACAGCAATAGCTAAAAATAAAAGCCATATTTTGGCCTAGAGTAAGTGACTTAAAGTATTTTGTATGCAATTTGGCATCCTTTTGCATTTAAACTATGGTGTTTGGCCAGTCTCATCTCATGCCACATAGTTCCTCTAGAATTATATATATATATATGGATGTGGGAGAAATTCCCACATACAGCATGGACATTTTCCTTTTGTTAGTTTATTTTATAGTCCCTAAAAGAGTATTTGTTTTATAAAAGGAAGAACTGAGGCACAACCATCTCATTCCAATGATTTATCCAGATCAACTCTCCCCCTACTCAAGCACATGTCATCCTTTCATTATTCAGAGAGGGCATAGCCCTGATTAGCAAGGCTAATAGGTGATATATTCCACATAGAGACGGAAAATAGAAGGAAATGAAAGGAAAATAATTTTGCCAAAGGTTAAAATGTTCAGGTCATCAACTCTGCCAGCCTTACAGATTAGTTTTATCCATTTCAAGGAGTCTAAAACACTGTAAAAATCTCCATAAAGAGAAGTTGTTCTAATACCAAGTGAACAGCAGCTTGGGTTGTTTCTAGAACTTCAATGAGCAATTTGCATTCTCAAAAGATCAAGGGAAAGGATACTCTGGTTTATCTGATAAAAAGTTGGAGAAGATGCCTCAACTGAGAACACCTGATCTCTTACTGCCACAAAGCTCCTTCACAGCCTCTTAGCTTTGCCAAATTGGGCTAGAATTTGGGGTGATGCTTTGATGCACAGAAATGACAATGAACTGAAGGACTGAAACACCTGCCTTATGCCAAATATTTTCTTTGTGTTCCTAGAGTAAAATAAGAATCTGATGTGGTATCAGAAGACCTTACATAAATGCCAACTCTGCCGTGTCTAACTGTATCACCTTAGGCAAGATACTTTCTCTCTCTGACTTTAAGATTCTTCACCTGTAGAATAAGGATGACCATACAACACAACACAGGGTTGTTAGAGGAATTAAATGGGATAGTACATGTGATTGCACTTTGTCAACTGCAAACCTCGTTACAAATTTTAATTCTTATAAGTTTCCCAGAAACATTTTACTATATATCACATGAGTATACTGCCTTCAACGTTCCAAAGAAAATATAGCAGATCTGAAAGTCTAAAGAAGTCAATTAAAAAAAAAGAAAAGTAAAATATACCAGATATTATTATCCATCATATTGGTTGTTTACATAAGACATAAAAAAGTGAGAAGAGTGGAGATAGTTAATTTTTAATGTCTGACCAATTTCTAATATACTATGTCCAATTCAATGGAAATATTCACTAATTCTTTCAACAAAAACATATTTTTGTGTGACTTACCACAGTGAATAAAATACCATCAGGGAGCTTACTTCTGAATGAGAGAGACACAGAATAAACACAAAAGAAAGCTAATATTAATTATAATGTCAGGTATTGATAAGTTCTACAAAGAAAAATGAAGTGGCTTCAGGCGATAAAGTGATGGAAGGTACTGTCTTAAGAGCAGATGAACAGAGGTCTCTCAGGAGGAAAATGTTTGAACAGAGACTTAAATAATGTGAGGGAGATGAGCCAAGCACACATCTGGGGAAGAGCATTACCATACAGAGGGAACAGCAAGCACAAAGGCTTGAGCTCGATGCGGTCCAGAAAGTGAAAAAGGCCAAGCGTGCCTGGGAGAGCTGCAAGAGGCAGACAGAGGCAGGAGGTGATGCAGTTTTAGGGACTAGGACATGAGCCAGGTAGTTCTGGATTTTATTCTGAGTGTAATGAGGAAGCACTGAAGGGTTTTGAGCAGGGGGAAAACACCATCACATTTAGGTTTTTCAAGAATCCCTCTGAGGAAAAAAATGTTTTTTAATTAAAAAAATAAAAGAATCTCTCTAATACATAGAGAACTGACTTCGGTGGAGACAGTAGGGCAGCGGGAGACAAAACAGGAAGACCACAAAGGCTGCTCTTTGAATAATCCAAGCTAGACATCACAGAAGAATGGACTAAGATGATAGCAGCTGGGAATGAGCTAAGAAGTGTGGTCAGATTCTAGACATATTTTAATGATAGAATGATACTGACAGAATGAAGGTGGGGTGTAAGAGGACGAAAGGTTTCCAGGATGATTCCAAGATTTGGGGGCCTGAAATACTGAATTATTTAGATTTACTGAGATAGGGAACAATCAGGAAGGAGCAGGTCTTGGGAGAGAATTAATCAATAGTTGGGTTTTAGACCTGTTATTTAATATATTACAAAAGCATATTAGACATTCAAGTCGAGAGGCTGGGAAGGCTGTTTGACACATGTGTCTGGGATGCAGACAGAGATGGATATTGGGGATATAAACGTGGAGTCAGAATCATACAGATGATCTAAAGCTGTAAGTCCAGAAAGCTCACCTAGAAAGTAAATGCAGAGAGAAAGGAGCTCCAAGAACTGAGCCCTGAGGCCCTTCCACATTTCAAAGTTGGGAAGAGGAGGAATAACCAGCAAAAGAGGCAAAAAGAGAGTTCATGGAGACAGGAGGAAAGTGAGAAGGGCCTAGTGTCATAGGACACCAGAGAAAAAAAAGGAAACCTGGAGGCGTTGCGAGATGTTGCTGATAATTTGAGTAAAATGAGGTCTAAGAATTAATTACTGAATTTGGCAGCATGGAAGTAAATGACAGCCCCTTAACCTGATGTTTCCTTCCATGTTGAAGGAATTCATTTAGGCAACTCTTAGTCCCTCTTCTCTCTCTGCCTCTGTGGAGACAGTGACTTCTCTGGTTCATAAATTTGGGTAGAATTAACGAGCATGCCTGGTGCATTCTTCCTCCTCTTAGGAGCCAGCTGCGTGCAGGGAACAGGCATTCTCCTCTGCTTCTCCAGGGGCAGACTCTGCCCACTGGGGACACCTGAGCTCTCCTAATCTGTCTAGAACCCAGGCAAGAAATAGTATTATTCTGATGTTGGCTGTGGGTTTGAAAAAAAGAAAAGAGTGTCATTAATTAGGCATCCATTTGAGACCTCAAGACCCTCATAGACTGTTTCAGAGGAGCCCAATTGGAGTGGGTTCCAATCAGAAAGGGGAAGAAAGTGGGATAAGAGGAAACGAAAATAGCAAGTATAAACACTCTTCTGTGGGTTTTTTCTCTGTAAAGAGGATCAGATAAATGAGTGGCTGTGGGGTCTAGGAAAGTGTGTGTGTGTGTTTAAGATATATGATGTTACAGCACATCTGTATGTTGATAGGAATGCCCCAGTAGAGAAAGGAAGAATAATGACTTGGGAAGGAGGGAACTTTGAGTAGGTGAGAGGGCATGGGGTCAGGAGCACGAGTGAAAGGCTTGACTTAGACATGAAGATGGACATCCATAACAATAGGAGAAAAGTTGAGGACACGGGTACAAATTAAGACAAGTTGGTGGTGGGTGTGGGATTCTATATGATATATTTAGTTTTCTCAGAATAAAAAGCAAGGGCATCAGCTGAGATGGGGAGTGATGTTTACAGTTTTGAGGAGAGATGAAGAGATGGGAGAATAAAAGATGTAAGGAAATACAGTAGGATTGCAAGGTCAGCACTTAGGGCCCATGCAGCATATGTGGTCATGAATTTAAAGTGAAACTGGCTGGGAGCGGTGGCTCACACCTGTAATCCCAGCACTTTGGGAGGCTGAGGCAGGTGGATCACCTGAGGTCCGGAGTTCAAGACCGGCCTGGCCAACTGGTGAAACCCTGTCTCTACTGAAAATATAAAAATTAGCCAGTAGCCAGGTGTGGTGGCACACACCTGTAATCCCAGCTACTCAGGAGGCTGAGGCAGGAGAATTGCTTGAACCTGGGAGGCGGAGGTTGCAGTGAGCCGAGATCACGCCATTGCACTCCAGCCTGAATGACAAGAGCGAAACTCTGTCTCATAAATAAATAAACAGATAAAGTGAAACCAGTCAACATAGCTGTGAACTTTTCTCCAGTCACATTGCGTTAGAAAGTGTATTTAGTTAGTGAACTGCATATGTCAGTATTGGAATTTTCCCAGATGACTGTAATAAGATAGGGGGTGAGGGAGCTGAGGCTGTATGCAAAGGCATGATGATAATGGACCAAAAACCCTACACTGAAGGGAGTTAACTGCAAGTATAGAATGTCAAGGAGTAGGATAAATTGAGGTTTTGGAGGTCATAAAATTGCTGGTAATGACAAGATAACAGTGAGTGTGGCGGAGGTGGGACAGGCAGCGAAACTGAGAAGCAAAGGTGCAAGGATGGGTCCTCTACTTGGATACTGAAATCACTTCCAACAGAGCTGGAAGGAGAGAGGGTGGCTCAGGTGTTACTCCTCATTGAATGAGGGGCAGCACTCAGGAGGACTAGAATGTAGCAAAGATGGCATGTATTCCCAAGGGGCTGAGGAAGTAGGCAGAATAAGGGTCTGGAAAGAGCCAGGAGGAGCAAGAAAAATACCTCTTTCTCCACTGGGTGACAGGTAGAGCTGAGAAAGGAAAGATGGTCAATGCTGGTGCTGACGAGGGAGGCAAGAAAGGTAACATCCTCAGGGGAGGTACAGGTTTTGCTCAGAGAAAGGAGGCACCTCAGAGAGTCTGCGGGATTTTTCTGATGATGCACTCCAAGTTCCAGAGGACACAGTGGAAGGACTTGAGGGTGAGGCAGAGGTGAGGAGTCTCCAGAAAGTATAGGGTGAAGATGCCAATGACAAGGAGTGCAGAGAGGCTGGACTTCTGTGGTGACGGGCAGACAGGACTGGTGGTGTTAGTCCTGATGGTCTCTTAAGAGGAGGTGGGTAGGCCGGGAACATTGGCTCATGCCTGTAATCTCAGCACTTTGGGAGGCTGAGGCAGGCGGATCGCCTGAGGTCAGGAGTTTGAGAGCAGCCTGGCAAACATGGTGAAACCCCGTCTCTACTAATAATACAAAAATTAGCTGGGCAAGGTGGTGGGTGCCTGTAATCTCAGCTACTCGGGAGGCTGAGGCAGGATAATCAGTTGAACCTGGGAGGCGGAGGTTGCAGTGAGCTGAGATTGCACCATTTCACTCCAGCCTGGGTGACAAGAGTAAAAATCATCTTAAAAAAAAGAGGTGGTGGGTAATCAGTTCTCACAGTAGCCTCCTTCTGGGGTTGGTCCTCCAGGCCATATGCAGTGGGAAGGGAGGATGAGTAAAATGGTCATGTCATGTAAGTAAAATGGTCTTGTGTAATCATTAGGTTTTTATTGAAATATACATTGTTAATAATGTTTGTATTTTTGTTTGAAAGCTTAGGAAAAGCCAATTGACTGATTATCCTTCAAAGAGGGTGCCAAATAGGAGAAAAAAATACATTTTATTGTGTTTTGTACTATGAGTTCCTAGAAACGTAGTTTGGATATGAAATTTTATAAACCAATTATTATGTATAGCTTGCTAGTTAAAAGAAGTTAAATTACTTCAAAAAGTGGAGACACTTTGTAATGCAAACAATCCTTTGCTTTGTTTCTAATATTTTGCCTTTTGCATATTAGGTTATCTTAAATCATGAGAGAGAGAGAAGGAAAGGAGGGAGAGGCTGGGCGCAGTGGCTCACACCTGTAATCCCAGCATTTTGGGAGGCCGAGGTGCGCAGATTGCTTGAGCCCAGGAGTTCGAGACCAGCCTGGGCAATGTGGCAAAGCCCCGTCTCTACAAAAAATACAAAAATTAGCCAGGCATGGTGGTGTGGGCCTGTAGTTCCAGCCACTGAGGGGCTGAGGCAGGAGGATCACTTGAACCCCGGAGACTGAGGCTGCAGTGAGCCGTGATCACACCATTGCACTCTAGCTTTGGTGACAGTGTGAGACCTTGTCTCAAAAAAAAAAAAAAAAAAAAAAAAAAAAGGGGAGGGAGAACTGAGGACTGGAGGGCTGGAGGAGAAGAGGAGATTTAAAAAGTAAAAGTGAATTAAATCCTTTAGTATTTAAAAAATAGTACCTCCACAGTTCAACTGGAAAAGTTCACTAGAGCCAAACTTATATCATTCTAGTGCTTCAATGCAGCTCTTGAACTGACATAAATAGCATAAATGTTATGCTTATATCTATAACACAGGTAAAAATGTTTCTGCTGCAGTTTTACATGGAAATTGCTCTACAGATCAAACTTTTTAATTTACAGAATTTAAGAAAGATAAAGGAATTTTTTTTTTTAATTCTGTGACTCTAGCCAATGCAAAGGAAGATTTTAAAGTTGAATGATTGAACTGTGGCCAGGAGGTAACTTAGCAAAATGTATTGGTTATGAAAGGTTTTATTGATAGCGAAAAAAAAAAAAAAAAAAAAAAACCAGCCAACTCTAGCACTTACTTTGATGAGGCAAGTTTCTTTTAGTCTGCAGGTAATATTAATCCTGCTACTATTTCAACCCAACTGTGATTCTCTGAAGTCAATTCATTATTTTCTGTAGATCAAGGGATCATTCATTAAAAGGTAAATGGATTCTTTCCATAACACCAAGAAGTAACTACATCAAGATAGCAAATTACCAAATGGTGGTCTGATATCCTCCAAGGCTTTGTGGAACTTATCTACGGGAGCAATTCACTTCCAGAGTATTTTAATCACTATCCATCTCTGAAGGCCTTTAAAAAGTAGCCACTTTTAATCTACTTCACTTCTAAAATGAAGCTCCTAAAAAGGGTGATAATGTGATTCACACTAGTTTTGGGCACCTAATCATGCTCCCATGGTGCCTTGTTGATAGCATTATCACTTCCTTATCCAGCTGTTGACTCAGTCCCCATTACTTGAAAAGAACCCCTTAAGGGCAGGAACCATCTTTCAACATCCCCCAAATAAACATTATGGAATGAGTGAGTAAATGAAGGCATGCAACATGAATTGTCCCAAGTCACAGTAGCAGAAGATGATGAAATATGTGTTTTAAAATTCTTGAACAAATAGGTCAGATGGGGTGGCCCACACCTATAATCCCAGCACTTTGGGAGGCTGGGAGGGGGGTGGATTACTTGAGGCCAGAAGTTCAATATCAGCCTGGGCAATATGGTGAAACACGCTCTCTAAAAAACAATACAAAAATTAGCTGGGCATGGTGGCTCAGGCCTGTGGTCCCAGCTACTCAGAGGCTGAGGTGGCAGGATCACCTGAGCTTGGGGAGGTCAAGACTGCAGTGAGACATGATGGTGCCACTGCATTCCAGCCTAGGTGACCAAGTGAGACCATGTCTCAAAAATAAATAAATAAATAAATAAATAACAAAACCCTATTGGGATTTTGATTAGAAAGGTATTAAACCAAGATCCCTGCACTCAAGAATTTAACAACTACTTGGTCATGTGAAGACTAAGTTCTAATAGGATTGTGGCCATAAAGGAAATATGTGTGGATAGGCTGCAGGAATCCAAAAGGGAGTCACCAATTCTAATGAGAAGAGGTCAGAAAAAACCCACAGACTGACATCAAGGCCCAGAACACTGAAAGAAAGCTGAATCTGGAGTTTATATGGTTTGGCTCTGTGTCCCCACCCAAATTTCATCTTGTAGCTCCCATGTGTTGTGGGAGGGACCTGGTGGGAGATGACTGAATCATGGAGGTGGGTCTTTCCCATGCTGTTCTCATGATAGTGAATGGGTCTCAGGAAATCTGATGGTTTTAAAAATGGGAGTTTCCTTGCACAAGCTCTTTTTTTTTGCCTGCTACCATCCACATAAGATGTGACTTGCTCCTCCTTGCCTTCCACCATGACTGTGAGGCTTCCCCAGCCAAGTGGAACTGTGAGTTCTCCATTAAATCTCTTTCCTTTGTAAATTGCCCAGTCTCAGGTTATGTCTTTATCAGCAGCGCAAAAATGGACTAATACAGCTGTGGATGCCAAAAATGGACAATGTGAGAGCAGAAAGAAACCACAGGAATGTTGAGATCCTAGCCCATAGATTAACAGGACAAGACTGAGTCACATCTGAGACAGGGTCCAAATGACATTCATGCAAAGCCCTCCCCTTTGGAGGGCCTCATGAAGAGACCCTACTCTCTAGGCTCAGCTCTAGTGGTACTAAAAGCCCTCCGAACCCAAATTCCTAAAGAGAGTATCCAGATAGGGACCTCAACCATCTTGAACTGAACATATATAAAACACTATGGTTTCTGCCACCCCATCTTCCCCACTGCCAAAAATGATTTTACATGAAGTTCTGTCAAGGGCATGGCAAGGGTAATGCATCACCCAGACTTGAAACCTTGGAACTGCTTTCCACTCTTCTATTCCCATGCCATTCACATCCAGCCAACTGCTGCCTCATCATGGTTCTCCCTCCATTCTTATGCTCATATCTGACTCTTACTTTCCACTGCCTTTGTTGCCTCTTAAATCCAGGATCTTATACCCTGAGGCCTAAATAGTAACAATCATCTCATCTGTTCACCTTCCTTGGCCTCAAGTGCACTGCACTCCAGATCTCCTAAGTGTGTTGATTGCCTCAGATTCTCAAAGTGGGATGGCTTCCTGTCCCCATTCCAGCACAGACCCATACCCTCAGGAATCCTCCCCACAATCGCAGGAAGCTCAGAGGTCTCTCCCATTTGAACAGGTCCAGGGTTCTTACTTTCCTCGCTGCTCTGTTGGCACATTTCACTCTTACCCTGACTCCTCTGGTATTTGGCATTATCAGCAATTGAGGCTCTACCCATACATGGAAGTACTAGAAAATAGAGGCTTACCAAAAATGTAACTTTACCAAAAAACACAACCTTTTTTTTCTAATTATTTTTTTTTAAGGCAAGTCAAGTGAAGCAGTAGGAGTGGGGAAGGAACAATGAAATCTGTAACTGGTTGTGATCAATTAGTTGTAAACACCACTGCACTCAGACCAGCCAGACACAACCATTTTGACAGAAATTTTTGCCAAAGGGATTATGTGCTTCTTTGCCCTCAGAGTATGTTGAAGGTACTTCATCTTTTCCTTCTGTGAAGAAAAATAGAATCTCAGGACCCCAAACTCACTATGCCAAAGGGAAGTTAAGCTTGGGAACTGAGGCATGCAAAATGTGCTTTGTTTTTGTTCCCAAACAGACAGATGTCATTTCACAACCTTGTGTCATGGCTTCATTTACTCTACTCCCTCTTTTCACATGTTTATCTTATGTAAAATGCAGACTTACTGAGCACAAGACAATGTGTAATTACTTTTTCCTCCATTCCTCTTTTTACATGTAAAATGTAGATTTACTGAGACTGATCAGAGCCTGCAAGAACGTAGCCATCTGCCTTATGACCCTCTCTTTTTTTCCCTCCAGATTGCTCTTTCCTCTTTAAATACTGAAGTTCCCAAAGCCCCGTTTAGAAAAAGCACAGGTCACCAATGCTCCTGTATGCTTATATTTTTTCCTGGGTGTGTCTTCAACCTTGGCTAAATAAACTTGTATTTGTTTTGAGACCTGCCTCAGTCACTTTTCAGTTTATACTTCAATACTTGGAGTGATATCAAAATGTACAAAATTACTGCATTGCACAGTCAGAGCCAGCTGGGAGGACTTCTGTGGGACTCATGCCTTGTTGTAAGTTGATGTTAAAGGTTTCTCATCTGCTAGATTCAGGAAGACCCACAGAGTAAATCAGAGAGCCAAGCTGATTAGATCAGTGACTTTATAGATACACAATTTGAAATCAATATCATCTGGCCTAGAGACAACTTCAGCTTTCTGTATGGAAAGGAATAGAGACTTCAAAAGAGTTATATTTGTCTGCTCAGATGATTTTTTTCCTGCCTCAAGATTCTTGATTATAAGTCAGAGTGGAGCTTGCTGGAGGCTATCTTTTGAGTGAGTGGCATAATAGAACATTTCTGTATTTAACTTCTCTGGTATGACCCCCTAATCACTTAAAAACTTGTAAGGAGGCCAGGTGGGGTGGCTCACGCCTGTAATCCCAGCACTTTGGTAGGCCAAGTTGGGAGGATTGCTTGAGCCCAAGAGTTTGAGACCAGCCTAGGCAACATAGTGAGACCCCATCTCTACAAAAAATTTTAACAATTCACCTGGCACAGTTGTGTGTGCCTGTAGTCCCAGCTACTCAGGGAGCTGAGGTAGGAAGACTGCTTGAGCCCAGGAGGTTGAAGCTGCAGTGAGCCGTGATCACACCATTGCACTCCAGCCTGGGTGACAGAGTGAGACCCTGTCTCAAAAACCAACAAGCAAAACTTGGAAGAGTTAGGTTTTATTCTTATATTTCTTTGTCTTTCTCATGGTGACATAGGAGTTAAAAAGAAGTTAGGCAGTTAGTAAGGGTACGAAAGTCCTTGGTAAGGTTTCCCTTTTAATGAAAAGCAGCCTCCAAATCATTTCTTTTCTAACAAAGAGCAGCCTGTAAAATTGAGCTGCAGACATAGATAAGCAAGGTGGAAGCTTGTACAGGTGAATGCCAGCAGCTGTTTCAATAGGAAAAATGCTACCTGGGAGCTAGGCATGTTCAACATGGCGGCTCCATCTTCCCTTTTCTTTGTCAACCATGTGTACAGTAAGGGGCAGACAACATGGCACTGGCCAGGAAAAAACCGATTTGCATAATAAAAGATTAGGGTAGGGTGGCCAGCTTATTCATGTACTATGTGAACATCATGCCTGGTCCAGCCAATCTTTAGGCCCTATGTAAATCAGACACTGCCTCCTCAAGCCAGTCTATAAAACCCCGTGCACTTTACCATGGGACCAGAAGACCCACTCGGGTGCCCCTCTCTGCAGGAGACAGAACTATTCTCTTTTCTCTGTCTTTCACTTATTAAACCTCTGCTCTTAACCTCATTCCACATGTGTGTCCATGTCCTTGATTTCCTTGGCATGAGGCAACAAACCTCGGATATTACCCCAGACGAATAACATTGCTTCAATGGTACAATGCTTACTCTATACATATAACAAATATCTACTGAATCTACAATTATGAACCTAAGTCATTGCCAAGACACCTGTCATGACGGCAAGTTAACAGGTTGGAAAAATAGTTGTAAGTTGATGGTGAGGTTGTTCAGGCTAAAACAATAGTGGAGTTTGAAAAGGAATTTAGAATTAAATTTTAGAGTTGTTAACAGTAAAGAACTGATAATGATAGCAACAAGAGTCAGCCAAATGCCTAGGCAGATAGGGGTGGGTCCCCGGTAAAACCCCACCTTCAAGCCAAAAAAACAGCCTGAAGCCTGAAAGATCAGACTGCTGGTCCCAGATGAAACCTGTGACACAGGGTGAGAACTTCTGTTCCTGTTTGCCTGCCCTTTCCCATTTGATTCTTTCTGAATAATGCCTTTTAACCAATTGAATGTTGCCTTTTCCAATACTAGCTATGGCCTGCCCTTCCCCTATTCTAAGCTCATAAAAGCTCCAGACTCAGCCACATTGGGGGGACTTTCCTGTCTTCAAGTAGGGGGACCACCCCTGTGTCCCCTCTCCACAGAAAGCTGTTTTGTCACTAGATGAAACTTCTGCTTTGCTCACTGTTTTATTGTCAGCATATCCTCATTCTTCTTGGATGCTGGACAAGAGCTCAGGACCCACTGAGTGCAGGTACACAGAAAGGCTGTCACACTGACCTTTTGCCCTCACCGGCAGAGAGTAGCCACTCCATGTGACAGGGCCAGGGGCCGACTGAGCTGCCAACACACTGCCATCCATTGAGCTGTGGACGGGGGAACTAAAAGAGCTCATTAGCACACTAACATCCCTTCTGGGGCTTCAGAGTTGCAGGCACCCTTGCCTGGGCAACAGCATGTTCCCCTCAAGGTGACACTCCTGGTCTGGCTGCAGGCCCCACATGGAGCTTACTCCTGTGTTGGCACCTGGAGTGGCCAGCTGGCTCCTGCACTCGCTCTCTCACATTCTCCCTCCCACAAGGGACTGAGTGTGGCAGGCCAAGTAGACAGGATGCACCTGCTGCGAGTCCAGCAAAGGGGCTGAGAGAAAATTCCTGTGTCAATAAGATATTCCTTTTATCCCTAACCTATGAAAGAAGATAAAGCGGAGAGCAAGGGTAAGTGCCTTGGTTATCTTTACAGAAACTAGACTTTAAGGGACATCCAAACCTTTATATCTACGGTGGTAATCTGTGGGGACAGAGTACTACCTTCCACGTTTCGTTCTTTTTGGTTTCTTTTCAACAAGGCTGGGAATAGGGTTAGTCAAGAGAGGCATGTAGGGTGCAAATGTAATACAGCCTTCACCCTCAGGCCACTTGCCTCAGGTCATTTGCACAACCTTGAGCGTTACATCTTATGCCCTAGATGCCTCTCTTGTCTCTCCCAGCTCAGCTGCCACATTTTCTTCCTCCCTCTTCGATAGCTTATCTGCCAGTCTGTAGCCCTGCTTTTTAAATTTTTTTAAATATAGAAATTAAATTTTAGTCAGACCCTGTCTTTTAAAAAAAAATAACTGAGCATGGTGGTACATGTCTGTAGTCTCAGCTACTCAGGAGGCTGAGGCAGGAGGATTGAGCCTGGGAGGTCAAGAGTGCAGTGAGCTGTAATTGTGCCAGTGCACTCCAGCCTGGGCAGCAGAGCAAGACCATATCTCAAAAAAAAAAAAAAAAAAAAAAAAGTAAATCCCATCATTGCCTTTGTTCTCAATTAATGTAAAAAAAACTCAATGTAAAACAATTCAAGAAACACAGAAATCAGCTGGAAAATAAAATCCCCATAATGTCACACCTAGAGATAACATATTTTTCAGTGACCCTTCCCATATGTTTTTCAACCAAAATGAGATTAGACTATACACTGTTCTTTTTAAAAAGTATTAACAGCATATCACAAGTGTCTTTTATGTCAACAAACACACAATGTGTATAATGAATACTACAATTTGTTTAGCAAATTCTTGACTGAAGGACTTTTAGGATGGTTCTAGTTTTTCACTTTTATAAATCACTGTGAGATAAACATTCATTCATTTATTCAAATATTTACACCTTTCCTCCTCATCTCAAAATTTCAGCCAAAGCTCTACATTGGAGAACATTGGGCAATATATTCTGAAGTAAGATATCGGAAAAATCTGTGCCAGAGGTACTAACATACAGCAGAACCAGCCTAGCAACTGTCAGGCCCCATTTTTAACCTCAGGCTTATATAAAATGAAACTAGAAATCTGAAAGACTGAAGAGTACCATCGAAGTAAAGCTCATGCTTGGGTGTCTCCCGTCTCCGATAGGGGGAACAGTGAATGCTTCTCTCCCTGCTGCTGTAAACCAAGTGAGGGAAGCCCCAAGAAAACCAAATACAGAAATTAGGAATACCTGCAAGAAGGAAAGACAGAACTTCCTCCCCATGCATGTTCATCACGCTATGGACTCTGGGCCCTGGAACTCCGTGGGTCCACAGTGGGAGTGGTATTGAGAGAGTTTGGCCAGTATGTTCTGGAATCTGGGGACAGAGATAGACACAGAGGGTAGTGCTGGCTTCCTGCCAGGAGAACTTTGAAAGCTGTGGGGCCAAGAAAGGGGGCAGCAGAGGGAACAGTCTTGGGTGGGGGGAACAGAGCAGATAAACTCTGCAGGAGTTTTCCAGATGGGCACCGCAAAGCTGGCAGGCTTATGCTTTCTTGATTGGGCTCCCCTAAGAGGACTGCTTGCTCGAGCAAGGGGAACTGGGCACTAAAAAAGAGGAATGGGGGGGACTGCCAGGCAGAGCTCAAGGAAGGCATCCGAAGAGGAGAAGCACATCGTTGCCCACATGAGGAAATGTTATAGGAGAAAAGTGCCTGTACCTCATCCCAAGAGAGAGACAGCCAGCATTTGAATGCCTGTCATATGTTCAGGTCAAGAGAAGCCAGTCAAAGTGCACCAACTAAGCAGAAAAACTTTTTTTTTTTTTGAGACAGGGTCTCACTCTGTCACCCAGGCTGGAGTGCAGTGGTATGATCATGGCTCACTGCAACCTCCGCCTCCCAGATTCAAGCAATCCTCCCATCTCAGTATCCTGAGTAGCTGGGTCTACAGGTATATACCACCATGCCTGGCTAATTTTCATTTTTTTTTTGTAGAGACGGGATTTTTCCACGTTACCCAGGCTTGTCTGAACTCCTAGGCTCAAGCGATCTGCCTGCCTCGGCCTCTCAAATTGCCGGGATTACAGGCATGAGCCTACTAAGTAGACCACCATGCCTGGCATACTAAGCAGAAGGACTTTTGTTCCATTTCCTGCAATTCCTCTCCTCCCTGCCCAACCTTGAGGGCAGAGGTAGAGAAAGAGCGCTGGAGATTACTTTTATATAAACAGACTTATTAAAGGCACTTTTTACACAGAATTACATAATCCACTATTATTTCTATGCAAAAGCAAAATAATGGCCACTTCCTGAAAACAAATACATCTAAAATGTATAAACATGTATCTTCATGAGAAACATATTATTTTATTCGAGTAAGAAGCTGAAATCACAAGACAGTCTTTGACATTCTGCCAGTTTTGACTTTGCATATTAATGACAACCACAAGTGAAAGCCTGGACTCAAAGATTGTAGGAGCAGGTAAAATCAGAGCTCCCATCTCTCACTTTGTCAGATTAAAGACACATTTATGTGAAAAAAAAGAAGAGGATTTCTTCAAAATCCTGCTAGTTGAATGCATTTGTATTATTTCTTTTGTTCTGAAGTTAATGAGGTCATCTTTAGCAGGGTTTGTGTCCCTGATGTAGCTTCTATCAGAAAAAAAGGGATTATAAATCTACTTTTAATTTTGAAGTCACATGGGTTGAAAAGTACCCTTCAAAGGAGTTTCATAGTGTTTCCAGGTGACTTTTGCCTGCAGAGAAAGTGATAAAAAGCCTGCCTCAACACCTCCTCCACTTCTGCAAAGTGCATATAGTTGTACTCCTCCAATTTCTTCTTCCACTCTCACCATGTTCCTCTCTGGTCCAGTTGCAGCATACTTAACATTGCCTGCAGTGTTTTGAATACTAAAGTTTGCATCATTGGTAAAGCCAAAAATATACACCAAGTAAGCCAAGACAAAAAATGACCACTCCCAGTCTACTCACTGAGTGGGCTCTTCTTATCTCTCTCTCAAACAGAAGGTGGACATTTTGAAGAACTCAAACTTGTCTTCTAGCATCATTGACCTCCTTTGTAGTAGAGAAAAACTTGATAGTCTGCCTCCAATTCTTGGGAGAACTTCTCAAAAAGGAGGTAATTCTAGGCTGTGGCTCTGCAGGAGTAGACAGCAGTAGACAAGGCTTCCTCTGGCCAAGGCCAATCCATGCTGATGCAAAAGTCAAGGAGCCATCTTCCTTGTGCAGCTTCTTTCTCCCAAAGGAGCAAACCAGATATGTTGCTAAGCATCAGAGGAGTTCTCCAGGTGCACAGAAGGTCAAGATTCACTTCCACTTGAAGCGTTGTTTGGAATGGTAATTTTTCACTCTTTCAAAGACAGCAGGAATCTTTGAAGTATCCAAAAGGGGCTCGCACAACAGAAATTCTTGTCAGGTGGAACCAGTTGCACTGGATGAAGGAAAACCAGGAGCTTGCTGTGCTGAGAGATGTCAGTAATTTCACTGAGTCGGATGCTAAAGGAAATGAAATAATTGTCCATTTCCTTAAAATCTGCTTTTAAAACTAGAAGAAACATCAGCAACTCTGGAATTAATGTAATATGACAGAGAGTCTGGTACAATTTGTTCCTTTGCAAGAAAACCTAAAACAGCCTGTAAAGTTTAGATCACACAGCTTTACCATCATCTGTCCAATTGTATGTGGTTTCTTTTACCCAGCAGGGCAATAAAAACTTTCAGAATGTTTAAAAACGAGGCTTTTGTGATGGAGCAAATCCAAATTTTGGTAGTTAAATCCTTCAAACATTCACCCTCTTCTCATGACAAAGATCTGCTTTGCCTGCAGTGAACATGTGTCCACTTTTTTTTTTTTGAGACAAAATCTCACCGTTGTCACCCAGGCTAGAGTGCAATGGTGCAATCTAGGCTCACTGCAACCGCTGCTTCCGAGGTTCAAGTGATTCTCCTGCCTCAGCCTCCCAGGTAGCTGGGATTACAGGTGCACACCACCACTCCAGGCTAATTTTTGTATGTTTAGTAGAGACAGGGTTTCACCATCTTGGCCAGACTGGTCTCAAACTCCTGACCTCAGGCGATCCACCCACCTCAGCCTCTCAAAGTGCTGGGATTACAGGTGTGAGCCACCATGCCTGGCCAACATCTGTCACTTTTGTTGTCCCAGAATTTCATTTCATCCACTTTTCTTCCAGTTACAGCACAGTGATTTTTCTTTGGGGAACCACTCCTACCTGCTCTGACTGTGTGATTCTGCTGGGACCAAACCAGTGCCCAGTGCCAGGGGTTGGCATAATCACTGTGGCCAGGAAGATGAAATATACTGATTTCACAAGCACAGACATGTAACCCAAACCAGGAAGTTTTCTTTCTGCAGGAATTGCTGGCTATGGGGGTGATGGAAGACTACAGTTGAGGAGGCCACTTCATGACAGAGGTTGGGAGCAGGGTTACCTGAGAATGTTGTTCTCACAGGAAAACAAAGCAGAAGATGACAAAATGAACCTCTGGACCCAGTCTTTCTTACAGCCAGAACCACCTCGAAATTTTCAGATATGTAATCCAAAAGCTCTTTTTTTTTTTTTTTTTTTTAAAGAATTTGTCTTGGATTTCTGTACTGACAGATGCCTGGGTAACCATGTCCAATGTTCAATTTACTTTCTGCTGGACAGATAGAAGGCTCTCCTGCAGCCTTTTCATCTTCAGGTGTCCGCTGGTAAGAAATCCGCCACACAAGAAAGCACTGACATTTGGAGCCTCATCAGGTTCAGAGTTGAAAGTGAAATAAAGGATAATAATCTTTGTCTTATTTTCTTTGTTTTAATGTTTCCCAACTTACGTTAGGACAATGTCAACAAAGACAGATGTCCCTAATAGTAATTGCAGGACATGTGTTTTCTCATTCCTATCAGTGACAAAGTACTCTAGACATCATAACCTGGCAACAATGACAAGCACACCACCCTTCAGTAACAATCCATGCCACCTTACACATGTGTGGGGTAAAACAGTAATGTAATAACATATGTTTTTCCTTAACAAAGTCAGATTTTTAAAGAAATAGAAAGGACTTTGGTTGAGATGATAAAATGAAGTATTCAAGAAGTCTCTCTGCTCTCCAAATACATAGAAAATCTGGATAAATTATAATAAAATATTTAAAATACATAATTACACTCAAAAGCAAGAAAGAGAATTTTAAAGTGGCAAAAGAAGAGGAAACTCAAGCCATCAGCATAAGCAGTGTGAGGCTGCCTGATGTAGTATTGGGAACAAATACATTCAATCAAGCTGGGTCTTTAATGTCAGCACCAGGGTGGTGCCCCACAGTGAGGAAGGTGAAACTGGGCTTCCTACACAAATGCCAGTGCTGAAAAAGCTGTCCTATCTGTGAATAACGATGTGATGGTTAATACCAGGTGTCAACTTGACTGGATTGAGAGAGGCCTAGATGGCTGGTGAAGCACTGTTTCTGGGTGTGTCTGTGAGAGGAGACTGACATTTCAGTCAGCCAACAGGGAGAAAAAGACCCACGCTCAATGCGGGTGGACACCATCCAATTGGCTGCCAGTCCGGCTAGAACAAAGCAGGTGAAAGAAGAGGGAGAAGCAGCTTGCTGGGACCTCTTGCTCTCTCTCTTTCTTCTTGTGCCAGATGCCTGCTTCCTCTCCTCCTGCCCTTGGACATCTGACTCCAGGTTCTTCAGACTTTGTACTCTGGGACTTGAATCAGCGGCCTCCCAGGGGCTCTCAGGCCTTTGGCAACAGACTGAAGGCTGCACTCTTGGCTTCCCTTGTTTTGAGGGTTTCAGATTGGACGGAGCCACTACCAGCTTCTCTCTCCCCAGCTTGTAGACAGCCTATTGTGGGACTTCACTGTGTAATCCAGTGAGCCAGTTCTCCCTAATAAACTCACTTTTATATATACATATATCCTATTGGTTCTGTCCCTCTGGAAAATCCTGACTAATAAAAAGGACTAGAAGAATTTCACCTGCTAGCCTGGTGACAAAGTGTGAAGAGTGACAAAAACAATAATTTAAAACTCAAGACCCAAAGTCTATGTAGATACAAATATGTGACTCTGAGCTAAGAAACTAAACTAATCAAAATTGCCGAGTCCTGAAGAAAACAGCAGGCAGAAGCTAAGCTGCCTCTAGGTTAACCCCTACAGAACAGGGTGCACATAGGACTCCCATGTAAATCAACCCCTGCTAAAGATAAGCTCGAATCAGACAAGTTTTCCCAATCAAAAGTAGGTCAATATTAGTCTAACATTTTATTATGGCCCCGAAAGCCAATTTCCTCTAGAAACCCAGCAGCTTGTGGTAGAAAGCATGTTTCAAATGCATTTTATTACCTTACTTCAGCATACCAGGTGCTTTCTGATCATGTACAAACATTACTTATTAACCACACTTTATCATTTTTTTAACCCAGTTCTTAAGATTAAAATCAATCTCCCAGGGGTTTTCTACCTTTAGCATTTTTATGATGAATACATTTTAAACTCTTTTTTTAAATTATTATACTTTAGGTTCTGGGATACATGTGCAGAACGTGCAGGTTTGTTACATAGGCATTATACATGTGCCATGGTGGTTTGCTGCACCCATCAACCCGTCATCTACATTAGGTATTTCTCCTAATGCTATCCCTCCCCTAGCCTCCCCACCCCACAACAGTCCCCAGTGTGTGATGTTTCCCTCCAGGTCCATGTGTTCTCATTGTTCAACTCCCACTTACGAGTGAGAATATGCGTGTTTGGTTTTCTGTTCCTGTGTCAGTTTGCTGAGAATCATGGTTTCCAGCTTCATCCATGTCCCTGCAAAAAACATGAACCCATCCTGCTTAGTATTCATGGTGTATATGTGGCATGTTTTCTTTATCCAGTCTATCATTGATGGGCATTGGGTTGGTTCCAAGTCTTTGCTATTGTGAATAGTGCTGCAATAAACATATGTGTGCATGTGTCTTTATAGTAAAATGATTTATAATCCTTTTGGTATATACCCAGTAATGGGATTGCTGGGTCAAATGGTATTTCTGGTTCAAGATCCTTGAGGAATCACCATACTGTCTTCCACAATGGTTGAACTAATTTACACTCCCACCAACTGTGTAAAAGTGTTCCTATTTCTCCACATCCTCTCCAGCATCTGTTGTTTCCTGACTCTTTAATGATCACCATTCTAACTGGCGTGAGATGGTATCTCATTGTGGGTTTGATTTGCATTTCTCTAATGACCAGTGATAATGAGCTTTTTTTCTTTCACATGTTTGTTGGCCACATAAATCTCTTATTTTGAGAAGTGTCTGTTCATATCCTTCACCCACTTTTTGATGGGGTTGTTTTTTTCTTGTGAATTTGTTTAAGTTCCTTTTAGATTCTGGATATTAGCCCTTTGTCAGATGGATAGATGGCAAAAATTTTCTCCCATTCTGTAGGTTGCCTGTTCACTCTGATGGTAGTATCTTTTGCTGTGCAGCAGTTCTTCAGTTTAATTAGAACCCATTTGTCAATTTTGGCTTTTGTTGCTATTGCTTTTGGTGTTTTAGTCATGAAGTCTTTGCCCATGCCTATGTCCCGATGGTATTGCCTAGGTTTTCTTCTGGGGTATCTATGGTTTTAGGTCTTACATTTAAGTCTTTAACCCATCTTGAGTTAATTTTTGTGTAAGGTGTAAGGAAGGGGTACAGATTCAGTTTTCTGCATATGGCTAGCCAGTTTTCCCAGCACCATTTATTAAATAGGGAATCCTTTCCCCATTGCTTGTTTTTGTCAGGTTTGTCAAAGATCAGATGGTTATAGATGTGAGGTGTTATTTCTGAGGCTTCTGTTCTGTTCCATTGGTCTATATATCTGTTTTGGTACCAGTACCATGGTGTTTTGGTTACTGTAGTCTTGTAGTATAGTTTGAAGTCAGGTAGCATGAAGCCTCCAGCTTTGTTTGTTTTGCTTAGGATTGTCTTGGCTACACGGGCTCTTTTTTTGGTTTTGTATGAAATTTAAAGTAGTTTTTTCTAATTCTGTGAAGAAAGTCAATGGTAACTTGATGGGAATAGCATTCAATCTATAAATTACTTTGGGAAGTATGGCCATTTTCACAATATTGATTCTTCCTATCCATGAGCGTGGAATGTTTTTCCATTTGTTTGTGCCCTCTCTTATTTCCTTGAGCAGTGGTTTGTAGTTCTCCTTGAAGAGGTCTTTCACATCCCTTGTAAGTTGTATTCATAGGTATTTTATTCTCTTTGTAGCAATTGTGAATGTGAGTTCACTCATGATCTGGCTCTCTGTTTGTCTACTATTGGTGTATAGGAATGCTTGTGATTTTTGCATTGATTTTGTATCCTGAGACTTTGCTGAAGTTGTTTATCAGCTTAAAAAGATTTTTGGGCTGAGACAATGGGGTTTTCTAAATATACAATCATGTCATTTGCAAACAGAGACGATTTGACTTCCCCTCTTCCTATTTGAATACACTTTATTTCTTTCTCTTGCCTGATTACCCTGGCCAGAACTTCCAACACTATGTTGAATAGGAGTGGTGGCAGAGGGCATCCCTGTCTTGTGCCAGTTTTCAAAGGGAATGCTTCCAGCTTTTGTCCATTCAGTATGATACTGGCTGTGGGTTTGTCATAAATAGCTCTTACTATTTTGAGATATGTTCCATCAATACCTAGTTTATTGAGAGTTTTTAGCATGAAAGGGTGTTGAATTTTATCTAAGGCCTTTTCTGCATCTATTGAGATAATCATGTGGTTTTTGTCATTGGTTCTGTTTATGTGATGGATTATGTTTATTGGTTTGCATATGCTGAAGCAGCCTTGCATCATCCCAGGGATGAAGCCAACTTGATCGTGGTGGATAAGCTTTTTGATGTGCTGCTGGATTCAGTTTGCCAGTATTTTCTTGAGGATTTTCACATCAATGTTCATCAGGGATATTGGCCTGAAATTTTCTTTTTTTGTGTCTCTGCCAGCTTTTGGTATCAGGATGATGCTGACCTCATAAAATGAGTTAGGGAGGAGTCCCTCTTTTTCTATTGATTGGAATAGTTTCAGAAGGAATGGTACCAGCTCCTCTTTGTACCTCTGGTAGAATTCGGCTGTGAATCTGCCTAGTCCTAGGCTTTTTTGGTTGGTAGGCTATTAATTGCTGCCTCAATTTCAGAACTTGTTATTGGTCTATTCAGGGATTCGACTTCTTCCTGGTTTAGTCTTGGTAGTGTGTTTGTGTCCAGGAATTTATCCATTTCTTCTAGATTTTCTAGTTAATTTGCATAGCAGTGTTTCTAATATTCTCTGACAGTAGTTTGTATTTCTGTGGGATCAGTGATGATACCCCTTCATCATTTTTTATTGTGTCTATTTGATTCTTCTCTTTTATCTTCTTTATTAGTCTGGCTAGCAGTCTATCTATTTTGTTAATCTTTTCAAAAAACCAGCTCCTGGATTCATTGATTTTCTGAAGGGTTTTTCCTGTCTCTATCTCCTTCAGTTCTGTTCTGATCTTAGTTATTTCTTGTCTTCTGCTAGCTTTTGAGTTTATTTGCCCTTGCTTTTCTGGTTCTTTTAATTGTGATGTTAGGGTGTTGATTTTAGATCTTTCTTGCTTTCTCTTGTGGGCATTTAGTGCTATAAATTTCCCTCTTGACACTGCTTTAGCTGTGTCCCAGAGATTCTGGTACATAGTGTCTTTGTTTTCATTGGTTTCAGAGAACTTATTTATTTCTGCCTTAATTTCATTATTTACCCAGTAGTCATTCAGGAGCAGGTTGTTCAGGTTCCATGTAGTTGTGTTTTTTAGAGTGAGTTTCTTAATCCTGAGTTCTAACTTGCACTGTGGTCTGAGAGACTGTTTGTTATGATTTCCATTCTTTTGCATTTGCTGAGGAGTGTTTTACTTCCAATTATGTGGTTAGTTTTAGAATAAGTGTGATGTGGTGCTGAGAAGAATGTATATTCTGTTGATTTGGGGTGGAGAGTTCTGTAGATGTCTATTAGGTCCAGAGCTGAGTTCGAGTCCTGAATATCCTTGTTAATTTTCTGTCTCGTTGATCTGTGTAATATTGACAGTGGGGTTTTAAAGTCTCCCACTATTATTGTATGGGAGTCAAAGTCTCTTTGTAGGTGTCTAAGAACTTGCTTTATGAATCTGGGTGCTCCTGTATTGGGTGCATATATATTTAGGATAGTTAGATCCTCTTATTGCATTGATCTCTTTACCATTATGTAGTGCTCTTTTTTGTCTTTTTTGATCTTTGTTGGCTTAAAGTTTGTTTTATCAGAGACTAGGATTGCAACCCCTGCTTTTTTTTTGCTTTCCATATTCTTGGTAAATATTCCTCCATCCCTTTATTTTGAGGCTATGTGTGTCTTTGCATGTGAGATGGGTCTCCTGAATACAGCACACTGATGGGTCTTGATTCTTTATTCAATTTGCCAGTCTGTGTCTTTTAACTGGGGGCACTTAGGCCATTTACATTTAAGGTTAATATTGTTATATGTGAATTTGATCCTGTCATTACAATGCTAGCTGGTTATTTTGCTGTTAGTTGATGCAGTTTCTTCATAGTGCCAATAGTCTTTACAATTTGGTATGTTTTTGCAGTGTCTGGTACTGGTTGTTCTTTTCCATATTTAGTGCTTCCTTCAGCTCTTATAAGGCAGGCCTGGTGGTGATAAAATATCTCGGCATTTGCTTGTCTGCAAAGGATTTTATTTCTCATTCACTTATGAAGCTTAGTTTGGCTGGATATGAAATTCTGGGTTGAAAATTCTTTTCTTCAAGAATGTTGAATATTGGCCTCCACTGTCCTCTGGCTTATAGGGTTTCTGCAGAGAGATCCACTGTTAGTCTGATGGGCTTCCCTTTGTTGGTAACCCGACCTTTCTCTCTGGCTGCCCTTAACATTTTTTCCTTCATTTCAACCTTGGTGAATCTGATGATTATGTGTCTTGGGGTTGCTGTTCTTGAGGAGTATCTTTGTGGTGTTCTCTGTATTTCCTGAATTTGAATGTTGGCCTGCCTTGCTAGGTTGGGGAAGTTCTCCTGGATAATATCCTGAAGAGTGTTTTAGTGTTTTCCAACTTGGTTCCATTCTCCTCATCACTTTCAGGTATACCAATCAAATGTACGTATGGTCTTTTCACATAGGCCCATACTTCTTGTAGGCTTTGTTCATTTCTTTTCATTTTTTTTCCCTCTAATCTTGTCTTCACACTTTATTTCATTAAGTCGATCTTCAATCTCTGATATCCTTTCTTCCACTTGATCGATTCGGCTATTTATACTTGTGTATGCTTCACGAAGTTCTCGCGTGTGTTTTTCAGCTCCATCAGGTTATTTATGTTCTTCTCTTAACTGGTTATTCTAGTTAACAATTCCTCTAACCTTTTTTCAAGGTTCTTAGCTTCCTTGCATTGGGTTAGAACATGCTCCTTTAGCTCAGAGGAGTTTGTTATTACCTGCCTTCTGAAGCCTACTTCTGTCAATTCGTCAAACTCATTCTCCATCCAGTTTTGTTCCCTTGCTGGCGAAGAGTTGTGATCCTTTGGAGGAGAAGAGCTGTCCTGGTTTTTGGAATTTTCAGCCTTTTTGCACTGATTTTTCCTCATCTTTGTGGATTTACCTACCTTTGCTCTTTGATGTTGGTGACCTTTGGATGGGGTTTTTGTGTGGACATCCTTTTTGATGACATTGATGCTACTCCTTTCTGTTTGTTAAGTTTCCTTCTAACAGTCAGGGCCTACTGCTGCACGTTTGCTGGAGGTCCACTTCAGACCCTGTTTGCCTGGGTATCACCAGTGGAGGCTGCAGAACAGCAAAGATTGCTGCCTGTTCCTTCTTCTGGAAGATTTGTCCCAGAGGGGCACCCGCCAGATGCCAGCCAGAGCTCTCCTGTATGAGGTGTCTGCTGACCCCTGCGGGAAGGTGTCTCCCTGTCAGGAGGCACGGGGGTCAGGGACCCACTTGAGGAGACAGTCTGTCCCTTAGCAGAGCTTGAGCACTGTGATAGGAGATCTGCTGCTCTCTTCAGAGCCAGCAGGCAGGAACGTTTAAGTCTGCTGAAGCTGCGCCCACAGCCGCCCCTTCCCCCAAGTGCTCTGTCCCAGGGAGATGGGAGTTTTATCTATAAGCCCCTGACTGGGGCTGCTGCCTTTCTTTCAGAGATGCCCTGCCCAGAGAGGAGGAATCTAGAGAGACAGTCCAGCTACAGTGGCTCTGCTGAGCTGCGGTGGGCTCCGCCTAGTTTGAACTTCCCAGCAGCTTTGTTTACACTGTGAGGGGAAAACTGCCTACTCATGCCTCAGCAATGGTGGACGCCCCTACCCCCACCAAGCTTGAGCATCCCAGGTTGACTTCAGACTGCTGTGCTGGCAGCGAGAATTTCAAGCCAGTGGTTCTTAGCTTGCTGGGCTCCATGGGGGTGGAATCTGCTGAGCTAGACCACTTGGCTCCCTGGTTTCAGTCCCCTTTCCAGGGGAGTGAACAGTTCTGTCTTACTGGCGTTCCAGACACCACTGGGGTATGAAAAAAAAAAAACTGCGGCTAGCTTGGTGTCTGCCCAAACAGCTGCCCAGTTTTGTGCTTGAAACCCAAGGTCCTGGTGGTGTAGGCACACGAAGGAATCTCCTGGTCTGTGGGTTGCGAAGACTGTGGAAAAAGTGTAGTACCTGGGCCAGAGTGCACCGTTCCTCACAGCACAGTCCCTCACAGCTTCCCTTGGGTTGGGGAGGGCGTTCCCCAACCCCTTGCGCTTCCTGGGTGAGGTGATGCCCCACACTGCTTCTGCTCACCCTCGGTGGGCCGCACCCACTCTCTAATCAGTCCCAGTGAGATAAGCCAGGTACCTCAGTTGGAAATGCAGAAATCACCCACCTTCTGTGTTGATCTCACTGAGAGCTGCAGACCGGAGCTGTTCCTATTTGGGCATCTTGCCAGCCCCCCACATTTCTAATTCTTACTCTCCCACTCTTTCAGCCAAGATATCAGTGAAGATATTATGTGACTGAGATTTGGATGTTCAGATAGAATATTTCTTTTTATGAAACAAATGAAATATTATGTTACTAGATTCCTGAAGAAATTCATACACCTCAATTTTAATTTTAATACCAAATCAATTAAATGATATTAGCAGCAGAACTCTTAGAATTCCAGCACAGAAATGTTTACATGCTGAAATGCTGTGTTGTCATTTTATAATCCTAATTAATTTTTCATGCACATGTATGAAACAGTGTAGTACAATGGGAAGATTGCCAGACCAGTGATGAGGAAGCCTGGAAGCCAGTCCTGGTCTGTCCTCTTCCTAGGCATCTAACCTCGCAGCAAGTCACCTCCCAACTTCACTTTCCAGATTTATAAGATGGTCATAACACCACCAAGCCAGTGTGCTCCATAGCTTGCTGTGAAAAGCACCAACAGCAGAGGCTGAAAGGAACCTAGGAAAGATCACAGATGTGTGAGAAATCTGGGCAGAGCCCTCTTCTGATAGGACTCCCATGTCCTCTGAGCAAGTTTACTTAACTTTGATACTTTTCAGCTGAATTCTAGAATGCCTAACATCCTTTCTACACTTCACATTCTCTCATGAGTTCCCCTTCTCAAATTCCTAGCATCTCTCTAGATTTCTGTTTTGCACATTGTTTTTAAGCTACCATGTTTTGACCTTTCTTAGATCACCTCAAGTTGCTATTTTTAATTATTTTAGGCACATAACCTTCATCATTAGGGTATCCATTCCTCATAGGAGTGTTTTTCACACCATACTTATGACTCATGAGTCATACTGATTTTGACCACTACTTTTTACAAATATCAAATAGGACAGAAAATAATGGAGCACATCACGCTTAGTAAGGCTACCCATTGTTCATAAAAAAGTATTTCAAGTGCGTGTGTGTATATGTGTGTTTTACTAGGTTACACTATAAAATGTGTTTCTTACTGTTGGTTACAATTAAAAAGGTAGAAAGTGGTGCTCCGCACTGTAGAACAAATCCAATTGCCATTCCCTTGCTTAGAATCCTTTAATGGTGACCCAATGAGAGGACAAAGCTCACTACCTTTAATGTGAACTACAGGGTCTTGCACAACCCATGATCCCACAACGCGGAATCATGTTATTCCACGCAGCCCCTTGCTCTCTGTGTTCCAGTCACAAGTGAACCTTTTATTTGTTTATTTATTTTTACTGAGACTGGGTCTTGCTCTGTCAGCCAGACTGGAGTGCAGTGGAACCATCATAGCTCACTGTAGCCTTGGGCTCAAGTAATCCTCCCACCTCAGCCTCCTGAGTAGCTGGGACTACAGGCACATGCTGCTGTGCCCAGTTTGTTTGTTTGTTTGTTTTTAAGAGAAGGCGTCTGGCTTTGTTGCCCAGGCTAGTCTCAAACTTCTGGCCTCAAGCAATCCTCCCCCGTCTTAGCCTCCCAAGGCGTGATTACAGGTGTGAGCCACTGCACCCAGCCAAAACCTTTTAAATTCCTCCTCAACAAACATCTTTTCATTAAGAAGCTGCTGTGCGTTAATGTTCTAGATACATGAGACGGTCCTGAGAACAAAACAGACCAGTTTCCTGCCCTCACAGAGCTTACATTTCAGTCCTTAAATCCAGCATGTGCCATGCCATCGGAGGTTGTGCTCATCACATGGCTGCATTCTTCCCCCACCCTCCCCTCACTCATCCTGCACACTGTTGAGCTAATTATCATTCCTTCAGGCCATAGATCAAGGGCTCGGTGGTCATTTCCTCAGGGTCACCCTTCCTGACATGTCTCCACCATTCTCTGAATGATCCGGAGTGACTCTTAAAGAATCATTCATCTAGGGTTTTTATGGTTTTAGGTCTAACGTTTAAATCTTTAATCCATCTTGAATTGATTTTTGTATAAGGTGTAAGGAAGGGATCCAGTTTCAGCTTTCTACATATGGCTAGCCAGTTTTCCCAGCACCATTTATTAAATAGGGAATCCTTTCCCCATTGCTTGTTTTTCTCAGGTTTGTCAAAGATCAGATAGTTGTAGATATGTGGCATTATTTCTGAGGGCTCTGTTCTGTTCCATTGATCTATATCTCTGTTTTGGTACCAGTACCATGCTGTTTTGGTTACTGTAGCCTTGTAGTATAGTTTGAAGTCAGGTAGTGTGATGCCTCCAGCTTTGTTCTTTTGGCTTAGGATTGACTTGGTGATGCGGGCTCTTTTTTGGTTCCATATGAACTTTAAAGTAGTTTTTTCCAATTCTGTGAAGAAAGTCATTGGTAGCTTGATGGGGATGGCATTGAATCCGTAAATTACCTTGGGCAGTATGGCCATTTTCACGATATTGATTCTTCCTACCCATGAGCATGGAATGTTCTTCCATTTGTTTGTGTCCTCTTTTATTTCCTTGAGCAGTGGTTTGTAGTTCTCCTTGAAGAGGTCCTTCACATCCCTTGTAAGTTGGATTCCTAGGTATTTTATTCTCTTTGAAGCAATTGTGAATGGGAGTTCACTCATGATTTGGCTCTCTGTTTGTCTGTTGTTGGTGTATAAGAATGCTTGTGATTTTTGTACATTGATTTTGTATCCTGAGACTTTGCTGACCCAGCCATCCCATTACTGGGTATATACCCAAAGGACTATAAATCATGCTGTTATAAAGACACATGCACACGTATGTTTATTGCGGCACTATTCACAATAGCAAAGACTTGGAACCAACCCAAATGTCCAACAATGATAGACTGGATTAAGAAAATGTGGCACATATACACCATGGAATACTATGCAGCCATAAAAAATGATGAGTTCATGTCCTTTGTAGGGACATGGATGAAATTGGAAACCATCATTCTCAGTAAACTATCGCAAGAACAAAAAACCAAACACCGCATATTCTCACTCATAGGTGGGAATTGAACAATGAGATCACTTGGACACAGGAAGGGGAATATCACACTCTGGGGACTGTGGTGGGGTCGGGGGAGGGGGGAGGGATAGCATTGGGAGATATACCTAATGCTAGATGACACGTTAGTGGGTGCAGCGCACCAGCATGGCACATGTATACATATGTAACTAACCTGCACAATGTGCACATGTACCCTAAAACTTAGAGTATAATAAAAAAAGAAAATTAAAAAAAAAAAAAAGAATCATTCAGCAAACAAGAAAATAAAGATATCACTAATAATAGAAAATATGACGAGAAATTCTCAGAATCTGAATGAAGGTTATACCCTCTCTGTAGTAGATAATCCGTACAAAATATAAGTAAAGTCCAAAGCATTCACCAGTCCTTACTTAAGAGTCACTCATTAAAAAATGAATCCAACTCTATTATTTGCTCTGTAGGTTGAAAACGGGTAAGAGGATCTTCATAATTTTAGATTTAGTATCAAGAAGAATGACAATCTTCCTTTTGCACTTCCTTTTATGTGAAAATTCAATTATGACCCAAAAGCCATTGGATGATGTAGGAGCTTGCAGGAGGAAATATAGTGTCTGCTGGACACTGTCTCATCAGAGCATAGCACACTAGGCCACTGACAGTATCTCAACTAGCTGGCAAGAAAGACGGCTCCCCAAAGCCCGTGCACTTTCATTGCTCTGGTCACATTGCTTTCTTTGCTTGAAATGCTCTTCCTCTTACCCTTCTCTACGATCTTGCACCTACTTTGCGACTTAGTTCACATGTGTCTTTTGTGAAACCTCTGACTTTCCTTTAAAGAACTGATCACCCTCCTCTCTGTCCCCATTGACACTGTAGGTGCTGTAATTTTCTTCTGGCATTATAAATAGTGTCTGTCTATCTCACTATATTATGAGGTCCAAGTAGGCAGGAATTGTATCATATTCATTTTTTCTTACTTCTGGTATAGTGCCTGATACTTACTAGGGTTTATTCTGTATACTATGAAGATTTACTGAATATTTATAGAGTCTCCCTTTAAAAGGCTGTTAAGTCATTCAGTTTCCTCCAACACCAAGGCAAATCTTTCCATAACACTTACAAATTTTCTGCCTAGTCTCTGACCAGGCTTCTGTTGTTTGTTTCTATTCCTATCCTTCTGAAATATTTTCTTCATCCATTGCTAAGATCCAATAAAGTAAAAGAAAAGATGAAGAAAACATAAGCACAATTACACTAATATTAAAGATAAAGAAAAAAGGGCATTGTCTCAAGTAAGATTTGACAATGTCTATCATTATATGTGCAAGTGAACATATTTAATTAATATTGCATCTTAAAGGGCAGATCTGGGTGGGGCATGGTGGCTCATGCCTGTCTTCTCAATACTTTGGAAGGCCAAGGTGGGAGCATTACTCGAGCCCAGGAGTTTGAGACCAGCCTGAGCAACATGGGGAGACCTTTTCTCTCTCTCTTTTTTTTTTTTTTTTTTTTTGAGATGGAGTCTCACTCTTGTCACCCAGGCTGGAGTGCAGTGCCACGAACTCAGCTCACTGCAAACTCTGCCTCTTGGGTTCAAGCGATTCTCCCACCTCAGCCTCCCGAGTAGCTGGGCTTCAGGTATGTGCCACCACGCCTGGCTAATTTTTATATTTTTAGTATAGACGGGGTTTCACCATGTTGGTCAGGCTGGTCTCAAACTCCTGACCTCAGGTGATCTGCCTGCCTTGGCTTCCCAAAGTGCTGGGATTACAGGTGTGAGCCACCGCACCCGGCCGGAGATATTTTCTCTACAAAAGGTAAAAGAATTAGCTGGGCATGGCGGTGCATGCCTACGGTCCCATCTACTCGGGAGGCTGAGGTGGCAGGATGCCTTGAGCCCAGGAGTTTGAGGCTACAGTAAGCTGTGTTCACACCACTGCACTCCAGGCTAGGTAACAGAGTGAGACCCTGTCTCAAGAAAAAAAAAAAAAGAAAGAAAAACTAAAAAAAAGGACCGATCGGAAAACCCAGACTGAAGTTATCACACAGAAAAGTTCTTACTAAGCCATAAGAGAATACTGCAAGTTTCCTTCACTAGGTCCATATGGCCTTTAACGTTTTTAACATACCTATGTCACGCATCCAGAAAGTTGTTCAAATGGATATTCTTGGCAAGTTCAACACTAACAGAGATGTGAACTAAGTTATTGACATTTAATGATTGGGATATAACAAGGGCATCAAATAAGTTATAAAGTAGTGAGTTATCTTTTTGCTGTAGAAAGTTAGAAGGGCAAACTAAAGCATGAGATAAATGATAACTTATATGATTAAAGGGTGGAAAGTTGAAATTTATTTTATGCAATTTGAAAAAACTGACTATACTGTTGGATTTAGTGGCTTATGTCAGGATTTTCTGCATACAAAATTAACAAAGGGCTGACCAAAAGGTTTTTCTGAGGTGAAGCAGTTTTGACAGGAAGTGGGATTCATCAGGCTTCTTCAATGGCTGAAATTAAATTGGAATTTTCAAGTACTGGTATATATTTGTTACCTTCTACTATGCAAAATAAACTGGCTCTCTGGGCAAACTTCCTCACTGAGAAGGTTTAATGGAAAGGTAAACTGTAGTTCTTAATAGCATGTTGGTTAAAAAGCACTTAAGGCATATTTCACCAGAGGACTACTTCCCAGCCTTCATTTATTTACTCGACAAATCTTTATGGGAAACATACTATGTGTCACATGTCATGTGAGGCATCAGGGATAAAAGGATGGCACTTGTCTTTAAGGAACTTAGGCTTTGGTGGAGAGAAACAGGCCTATAAACAAACATGAAAGAAAGCATTGTGGGAGTTGTGACAGAGGGACTAAGAAGATATGAAAAAGAGAAGAAGGGGGTTGATTTTGATTGGAGCAAACGAAAAAGATTTCATAGAAAAGATCACATTGAAAAGATAACATTCCAGCACTGAGAAGCTGGAGAAGGAAATGAATGAATAAGAGTTCAAGACAGCGTAGAGGTCAGAAAAAAGGCCTCCTAACAGAAGTGTTTGAATACTTGGGGGACCTTCTAGTTCAAAAGAATGTACTTCCTGTATATTTTATAGAATAGATTTTTGCTACCAATTACTGAATTGGCTTCTGGTTCACCGGTTGTTGGTTTATTGGATTTTATTATTTATTTATTTATTTATTTATTTTTTGAGACAAGGTCTGGCTCTGTCATCCAGGCTGGAGTACAGTAGCACGATCTCAGCCCACTGCAACCTCTGCCTCCCAGGCTGAAGCGATCTTCCCATCTCAGCCTCCTTGCCATGTTGCCCAGGTTGATCTTGAACTCATGAGCTCAAGCCATCCTCCCACCTTGGACTCCTAATGTGCTGGGATTACAGGCGTGAGCCAACGTACCTGGCCGGTTTGCTGGATTTTGAAATTGTTATTTTGTTCTCTCCATTTAGTATGCCCATGTCTGGTAGATCTGAGAACCTTTAAAAGCAGAGAAGACGGGCAAGGATTCAATCTATATATTGCACTTCAAAACTTCCTGGAGAAAAAAATGAAAGCAATTGTGTGTAATAGCTCAGTGAGAGCGATTTAGGTACTTATTGTGTCATATTTTGGTACTTAATGTATTTTGGTACTTATTGATAAACTATAAGATGAGTACCTCCCTTGATGACACTGAGGGCTAAAGAAGGTGGGGCCATATAAATTTGATACAGAGATAGTCAATATCCATAGTTTCCATTGACACTGAGATACTGCAGCTCAAATTCCCACATTTATGCCAGCAAAAGGTAAAAATATAGGATTTCCTGGAAGCGTACAGGGAATAGGTGACCATTATAGTTTATCTCTAACTAACATATCTCTATGTTAATCCTTGTTAGAAACATTCCAAATGCAGAGATTGTCACTCAGTAGTCATGGAGTTAGTGGTGATATGCCCCGCTGGTTTCACAGAGGCAGTAGCCTTCCACTGACCCTAAACCATTTCAGTCTGGGAATAATGTGCTGACTACTGAACTCTGTGTTCCTTGGTCACACCCTGCCCTTTATCAGAGATGAGGAGCTAAAGCTGAGGATTATAGAAAGATTATGCTGAAGCACTGAACTGAACCAAGCTCCTTAAAAGTGCCCAACCCATAAAGCTCCTAACCTCTTACTTCATGTTTGTCTTATTTGATGCAATTTCTAAAACAATGATTCCAAGTTCTCTTTGAGTCTATAGTCACACACATATTAAAAATAAAATGGTTTCAGTTATGCAGGATGAATAAGTTCTAGAGATCTAATTCATTATAATAAGCATGGTGACTATAATTAACAATACTATACTGCATACTTGAAGTTTGCTAAGACAGATCTTAGATGTTCTTACCACACACCAAAAAAGATAACTATGTGAGGTGATAAATATGTTTGATTGCGGTAATCATTTCACAATATATACTTGTATCAAAACACCATGTTGTGTATCTTAAGCATATATGCTTTTTATTTGCCAATTACACGTTAGTAAAGCTTGAGGAAAGAAAAAAGAATTGGTAAAAGACACTTGGAAAAATATAGCTCTTAATATTATGACTTCATGTAATTGTCACAGCAACTTTAGTTTAGATGTCTCTACATACCAT
Source organism: Homo sapiens (assembly GCF_000001405.40). Classification (NCBI taxonomy): domain Eukaryota; kingdom Metazoa; phylum Chordata; class Mammalia; order Primates; family Hominidae; genus Homo; species Homo sapiens. The sequence continues at coordinate 106,397,009 of NC_000006.12, read as the reverse complement.
GACGTAATCAATCAAAAACATCCATGTATTGGCTGGGCATGGTGGCTCATGCCTGTAATCCCAGCAATTTGGGAGGCCAAGGCGGGTGGATCACAAGGTCAGGAGTTCGAGATCAGCTTGGCCAACATGGTGAAACCTCGGCTCTACTAAAAATACAAAAATTAGCTGGGTGTGATGGTATGCACCTATAACCTCAGATATTTGGGAGGCTGAGGCAGGAGAATTGCTTGAACCTGGGAGGCAGAGGTTGCAGTGAGCAGAGATCATGCCACTGCACCCCAGCCTGGGCAACAGTGCAAGACTCCAAATTTCTATGTTTCAATAGCAGGTGTTGCCCTGAGGTCTTGTTTTTCTGGTAGAACAGGTCCTCAGAAAGTCCACAGTCTGTACATGTGGTCAAGAAGCAAAACCATTAAACTTGACCTCTCCTCTTACTCCATGCTAAGAGTGGTATGCCAGAGATTTTACGTGCTGGTTTTTCTATCTCTGGTGCTAAGTTTGTCATAAAGAATAAATGAGTCCTTGAAATGCTGGAAATGAAATTACATATTCCAGCAAAAGTTGTAGAATTCTCCTTTGCTAGAGGTTGGTGAAGTCATACATATAGATGATAATACTGTAATTCATGATGTTTATGAAAGAATTTGCTTTCCACTGAATTTATAAGTTCATTCAGTGTTTACACTGAAACAGTAGTCAAAATTCTATTTGGAAAGGATGCTGGGAGACTAATCAGTGGTTGATACTGTTTCACTATAAACACAAGAAATGTGAAATAAAACATAATAAATTAAAATTCATAGCTGAGTTCAAAGGAAAAAAAATTACCCTGGCATAAGAAATAAAATACTCAAAGCTAAGCAATGAGTATACAAGCTGGCACTTAGGCATCCTAGTAAAATAGCAGATCCAGAAATAAGCTCTTATATCTAGGGACTAGGACTTCAATGCCTATGAAGGGATCAGAGACATAGCCCTGGGATCATGAAAGGCAGAGAGCTGGAAATAAGACCCTTTCATACGGTTGGATCCAGGGATGGGTTATCTCCTCCATGAAAATGGAAGCGGAAACATGACCAATGCCTCAGCTAAGTGTTATCATTTGCCTAGGGCTTGTCATTTGCCTAGAGCTCAGGGTAGAGAAGAAATTCTCCAACAAAAAATAAAATGCCAAAGAGTGATTTAGACCCCAAATCTATATATATATATGTATATGGGGTCTGAATATATAGTATCTTTGTAATGTAATAATCACAAACTGAGGATTAATATAAAAATTGATCTCAAATAGATGGGACTCCTTCAGGGATGGCAAAATCACCACTTAAGGAAGCAAACCAAAAAATCCTATACTTCTGAAAATCCATAATCTCACTTTTAAATTATTCATGGTCCAAGTAGAAATCATAATTAAATTTGTAAAACAGAATTAAACAAAAATAATAATACTATATAACAAAATTAAAGGTAAGCAGATAAAGCAATATCTAGAAGATATAGCATTAAAATATATACATACATATTTATTTGAAAAACGAATATATGTTAAAAAAGGAAAAACTGAAAATTAATGAGCTAAGCATTCACTCAAAAAGCTACAAAAATAATGGCATAAATTCAAACAAATGAGGAGGAAGCAAATATAAAGATAAGATCAGAAATTAATAAAATAAAAAAGAATGAGAGGAAAAGTAAATGAAAAATATTAAGAATAGAGAAACCTAAGTATAAAAACTGAAGCAGTTTTTTATTTTTTTTATATTTTTAAAATTGTTTTTATAGAGAAGGAGTTTTACCATGTTGCCCAGACTGATCTCAAACTCCTGAGCTCAAGCGATCAGCCCACCTCAGCCTCTCAAAGTGCTGGGATTACAGGCATGAGCCACTGTGCCCAGCCTAGAAGCAGTTTTTTAAATAATAAAAATATTACATTAATACATTTGAAAATTGAAAGACGGTAGAAATTTTATAAAATATATATATATACATTTCCAGGTGTGGTGGCTTATGCCTGTAATCCCAGCTACTTGGGAGGCTGAGACAGGAGAATCACTTGAACCCGGGAGGCAGAGGTTGTAGTGAGCTGAGATTATACCACTGTACTCCAGCCTGGGTGATAGAACAAGACTGTCTCAAAAAAAAAAAAAAAATTCTGCTGTGTGCATTTAACACACTATTGTTAAAACCTCTCTAAGGCACTGCACTACCTACTAAAGGATATTCTTCTTTTCTTCTTTGAAAGATTAAGCCTGTCAAGCTTTCCTCAATGTTTGTGTTCTAACTTAACATCCACAAGCAGAAATTACATGGTTCATTTAACTCCAATGCACTATTATGAAACAAACTTAACATACTTGTTTAAAAACTGTGTTACCTTCAAAAACAAGCTTATATTTCAGAAACAACTTTTAGAATCACTTTATTCCTTTCTTGCTTAACAATGCTGGGAATAAAAGTCAATGTGCCCTCATGTTCGGTTTACTTAGAATTCAGCCTCTAAAACAATCCCTTAGTAACAACTTTAAGATAATGTCACAAGAACATTAGAGAAGCTTGGAGATGTGCAAGAAAAAGCATTTTTACAATAAATTCTCAAGTATATGTGATAAACGGAAATGAACATGACGCAGAAAATACAGACATTAATTAGACATTGAATGGGTCACGGAGCACTCACGAGTGTAAGACACTGTTGTATATGTATCATAAGAAAGGTAGAAAAATGAAATATGTTCCTTCAGAACCCTTGGAAAACCTAAGAATATAAGGGTAAAGAGGACAAGGATAAACGATGTAGAGACATTTATTAATAAGCTACATTCAGAAACTCCAAAGAAATATGATGTCAGGGCACCTGAATCAAGTGTACCTAAAGCTTTGCAGCCTAGATAAACTTTAAGTGCATGGATTAGAAGTGACAGACTATTCTAGGCTGTACTGAAATCCAGTATTGGCCGTATACCCTTTCATTCAATTTCTGATAAAAGTGCTATTGCTCAGTAGTCTAAAGGTAGGACAAGACAAAAAAGGAAGAGGAGGCCAGGGGTGGTGGCTCACACCTGTAATCCCAGCACTTTGGGAAGCCAAGGTGGGCGGATCACCTGAGGTCAGGAGTTCGAGACCAGCCTGGCTAACATGGCAAAACCCCATCTGTACTAAAAATACATAAATTAGCCAAGCATGGTGGCACATGGCTGTAGTCCCAGCTTGGAAGGCTGAAGCAGGAGAATTCCTTGAACCTGGGAGGCAGAGGTTGCAGTGAGCCAAGATCGTGCCACTGCATTCCAACCTAGGCAACAGAGCAAGACTCCTAAAAAAAAAAAAAAAAAGGAAGAGGAAACGAAGAAACAGAGTAAGGAGCTATTACACAGCCTTATGAATCCACAAATGGAAGACGTCAACAAAGAATCATACATCTTTAAAACTGAGAGCAGTGGTAATAGTCAAAATATTTAACAGAGGTATGGACTGTGCACCATCCAATCCCTGCCCATGCAGGGCTCAGACACTGCCTGGAAGTGCCCCCTGCAGTGCAAGCCCAAGGAAGTTCAGAGGAGTCTGGGAAGCCGGCTGTAGGAGGAATGCCCCAGGGAACTTATTTGCTCACCACTATGTTAGCGTTACAACCCTTTAACGATGGTGAGGCTGCACGGGTGCATACTGGTCAGTGCTAGGTGCCCTAATTATATGGGCTATAGAGAGCACGACAGCCATACTCCCTGGACCCCCTGTGCATCATTGATTCATGTTACCGGGCCTTCTCTTTTTAGAGAAAGGTACCACAGCTCCTCCATGTTCCATCTCAGAACTCTGATGAGCTAGCCCAATGTTTACAATTTAGAAACCAACAGCATGTTCTAGGACTAAAACAAGACTTATGGATAAACAAAATTCTAGTACAGAGATTTTATTGTTTTGAAATCTAAAAATTGTATTACCAGGTGCAGTGGCTCATGCCTGTAATCCCAGCACTTTGAGAGGCCAAGGTGAGCGGATCACTTGAGGTCAGGAGTTCGAGACCTGCCTGGCCAACATGGTGAAATCCCATCCCTACATAAAATACAAAAATTAGCCAAGTGTGGTGGCACGCACCTATAACCCTAGCTACTCGGGAGGCTGAGACAGGAGAATCACTTGAACCCAGAAGGCGGAGGTTGCAGTGAGCTGAGATCGTGCCACTGCACTCCAGCCACTCCAGCCTGTGCAATACAGCAAAACTCTGTCTCAAAAAAAAAATTATTTCTCTTTTAAATAACCAAAAATTCGAACAGTTCTTAGCACGGCTGTCCTTTGCACAATGGTAAAATTTATTCGTGGAAGATCTCATTGTCATAATCCCTTTACTTCCTTCTTGCTATTTTATATTACAGAGAAAAATTTAATCTTAGATAAACACATTGTTTAATTTAATTTTCAAAATTTCAAGATGGTATCAGTCCTATCAGATCTCCCTCCACCATCTCTTTCCTGTGTCCCCCACTCCCCTCTTAGCACTGTCCTTTTCCCTTCCTGATTCTCTTTTGCCTTCACTGGGCCTCCCTAAGTCCTACCTCTAGTCTGCTGCCTCTTTACTCTGATTCTTTATTTGTCTTGTTATTTTTCTGTCCTGACATAAGAAAGAGGATGAGAAATCAGACACTGAAGAGATAATAGATGAGGAGAGCGGGAGATTCCCATTTTCATTCGGTTGCCTTTTTCAAGATGATGGGGTAGCTTTCCTCTCTCACTATTGTGTATGTGGCAGGGGAGAAGCAGGCTTGGGGAGCAAAGGGCAATTTATATATTGAACAAGCCAAAGAAAAGATTGGGGTAAAAAACCCAACTTATTCCCCAAGCTCTCCCATCCCCCATTGTAACTCCCACAGCCACACAGATTCGCGGGGACTAAACCTCATCGCACTGAGAGCCTTCTTTGCATTTTCTAAGGGGTGATAATCAGCTAATATGATGAACTTATCTGAATCCTCACAGCTGCTCACGTTTTCCTGAGGGACGATTAACTCTCTTGCTTTCTGCCCCTTTTCAGGAAACGCGCACGCACACACACACACACACACACACACACACACACACACACACACGTTTTAAACAACAGGCTTTTGGAAACGACTCCACTTTTGTGATCTAGCCAGTGGGAGCACCTCTAATGACAAGAATTTGGAGCGCAAGAACGAAGCAAGTGTGGTGTGCTGGCAGAGCTGAGGGGAGCTCTGCCCCTTGGCTTCAGTATAGTTTATATCAGGCACCAAAGTCATTGTGTATTTCTTTCCCCTAGGCCCAGGGCCAGCAAAGCTCCCTCACTCTCCGCTCACTTCATGTGGCCAAAAAGCATTAGACAAATAAGGCAGTCCTTTAAGAAGATCCTGACATGTAATTCAAAAATGGAATATTTGCATATATATATACAAAATGCCTATAAATCAATAATGTAAAAAAAAAAGACTGATGGTCTGGTTTCTAAAATGGGCAAAATATTTGAACAGGTACAACAAAAGGATATCAAATGGCCAATAGATTTGTGAAAAGTTGTCCAACATCATTAGTCATTAGGAAAATAGAAATTAAAACCACAATGAGATACATTATCAACTAGCACTGTACATCAAAATAGCTAAAATTAAAAGAACTGGATGGACACGGTGGCTCACGCCTGTAATCCCAGCACTTTGGGAGGCCTAGGTGGGCAGATCACCTGAGGTCAGGAGATCAAGACCATCCTGGCCAACATGGTGAAACCCCATCTCTACTAAAATACAAAAATTAGCTGGGTGTGGTGGTGCATGCCTGTAATCTCAGCTACTTGGGAGGCTGAGCCACAAGAATTGACTGAACCTGGGAGGCAGAGGCAGCTCACTGGCTTGAACCAGTGAGCCGAGATCACGCCAGTGCACTCCAGCCTGGGTGACTGAGCGAGACTCCATCTCAAAAAAAAGAAAGAACTGACAAGCAACTGGAACTCTTCACTAACTGTTGGTAGGAGTGTACACTGATACAATCACTTCGGAAAACAGTCTGAAAGTATGTACTAAATGAAGCATATGTTTGCCCCATGTCCCAGCAATTCAAATTCTGAGTATATACCCAACAGAAATGAGTACATACTTATGTTCACCAAAAGACACACATGAAAATGTTCATAGGACCTTTTCTCATAATGCTGTAGTAAAAAACTAGAAATAACCCAAATATCCAATGGTAATAGCATGTATAAAATAAACTGTAACACAGTCATAAAATAAAATATTACATAGCAATAACTATTGCTATTCAAAATATGAATGACTCTCATGGACATAATATTGAGTGAAAGATGCCAGACACATATCATATGATTCCAATGAGATGAAAAGAAAAAGAACAAAATTAATCTACGGTGAATGGAAGTCAGAATGGTAGTTATTTTCATGACGGGGCGTAGGGGGAGTGCACAAGAGAGCCTTCTGGAGTAACAGTAATGTTTCATATTTTTATCTGGATTGTGGTTACATGTATATACACAAATGTAAAAATTAATTGATCTTTACACTTAATATTTTTATATTTTGCTCTATGTAAGATATACCACAATTAGAAGGGAAAGAAGGGAGAAGAAAAGAAAGAAAAGGGAGAGAGAGGAGGGAAGGGGAGGGGAGAGGAGATCAGATTTATTATAACATGTCACTGCTTTAGACAATGTGATTTAGTAAGGAAGTGCCAAAGAACCAATGGTAACTTTTGTAATCCTATTTCCTGCTTTGGTACTAAGTCCCTAAAACCAAGTAGTATTTCCAAACAATACGATATTTGTTCTTTGGTATTTCTGATCAGAACATAGTTTTCTTTACAGCTCCATTTTATAAATGATTCATCTTAATGCTATTTGTCCCTGAACAATAACAGGCTTCATGGATAAAATTAATTAAACTGTAAGCCTGGAACCTGGAAAAATAATGTTCAAAAAAATTAATTAAACTGTTTACCTAGACCTAGGGATTATTTCCAATTAAAATCAGCATAGGCATACAAAAACAACAATTTTTCCAAAGGTTTACACAAAAAGTATCCTTTGCCAAAAGGGTGAACAACGAAATATTTTCATAGCTATTATGAAATAAAGTTAATATTTCATATTAAGGGCTTAAGTTGTAGCAGCTGAAAAAAGTTAAAACATCACAATACAACAGAAACCTGCCTCTCACTATAGGAGTCGACTGAACCAAAACATATGCAAAAATATATAAAGTGATAAAAATATGCTTTTATATTATATATAAGTATATCCATAAAAGCAACTACCGAAAAAGACTCAACTATCTCTCCCACAGACAAAAGTACCCAGCTAACATATATAAGTTACTTCATATTTCTGCTCAGGAAAGAAAGCTCACACTTCATCTGTGAGACAGAGGTAAAAAATTGCTATTTTTCTAAAATGTGACTTGCAAAGACAAACTAAACAAATGAGATCAACACCTTGCTTTTTAATGCAACTGATCTGTTTATTTCATAGTATATTTTTGAAAGAATACATCAATTTTGACAAATTTTGGAACACTACTATGGTTGATTAAAAATTTTTAATTGGACATGTAGAATTGAATTCTGTAAAAGAAAACTAGTTTCACTCATAATCTTAAGAAAAAGCATAATGTTGTCCAACTCGAGCCAAATCAAGGGTGCCCAATTTAATTTTACCACTGAGTTCTTACAAATCAATTAAGAAAACACAAACACACCAATATTAAAATGGGAAAAGAACATTCCACAAAAGAATAAATACAAGTAAGTGGCCAATAAATATATACGGCAATTTTCTAATTCCCTAGTAATCAAACAAACAGAAATCATATAACAAAAAGCAATTTTTAATCTAAAAAAAAGATTTACAAAATGATAAAAAGTCACAGAGGAAACTATAAAGGAAGATTTGGGAAAGAAAATTTAATCCCAAGTGTCACTTCAGTACTGAGCTGAGGATAACTAGGTGAAAATAAACATAAACTAGACTCTGGCAATTAAAAAACTGGTGAAAATGGTACTGACTTTATGCCAGTGTCAATTTCTCTGCTTAGGCACAGTCTCTTTAGGTTTAAAAGTACAAAATAGTCCTAGCTATCATGATAAAGAATTCTGTTTGTCTTTTAAAGTAAATAATATTGTAAAAAGCACTGATCTTTCTCTCAGCTAGTCATCCCTCTGATATAAACCTAGTGATTTTACAAGATGGCGATAACCAAAATATTGTTTCTTATATGGTGGCATCTTATTCTAATCATCAGCAAAGTACATAAAAAGAAACAACTTGAGAAATAAACTTGCCAACTGGAACCTATAAAGTAAAAAGCATAATTCATAAGGTCATATGTCAGATGATATTTTTCTCTGCACAATGAGGAGTGATGCCAGAAATTATAATTCTACTCTAGAACTGAAGTATGTTCCCCTTTTTAAGAGGCTCCTGCTTAAAATGAAACTTTTTAACACACATAAAATTACATATTCAAAATATTATTAAACCATAAGAGCCTTTGCTCTTAAGTTGCTAATAATAAAGTTAGAAGGGGCAATTCAACAAAACATTTGCCAAAAATTTATAAAGAAGACAGTTTCTGGGCTGGGGGTAGAGGGAGGGGCAGGTGGAAAAGGGGATCAACTCTCTCCTTCCTTCTTTCCTTAAATTTATGAAATAAGTGCATGGCCAAAACACTTGATGTTAGCCCCAGGATAGTTCAGGACCTAGAAAATTTGGGAGGTGCCAAGATGAACATGGCAAGCCTATCTACACAGTGATTTTCAGACTTCTGAGGAAGTTTTTCAACATACATAGAAAAGAAGTGCACGTGATTTACCCCTCTACTATTGTGGCAGCAGGAGCTTGAAAAGGATTCGTAGCACAAGCCAGGTTCATGGTGAGGTGGCATAACTAGACATCCAAACAAGGATCTGCTCAGAGTCAAAGGGAGTGCCAGTAATAACTGTGGAGGGAAAACAGGCATAAACCAGGACACATGGCCTTCCTACCAATGCCCTAACCTGGCACACTCATGGCTCAATAAATGTTTTAAAGAGTAGCAGACAGGACCTGAAATAATTGCTCCAATGGAAGAATAAAAGGTCACTGATAATCTTTAGAGCACCTGAGAATTCACGAGTGACGTTCATGGATGATAATACATAGGAAAAAGCTATTTTTGAGTTATTTTTATGGGTCTTCATAATTTTGAGTTATTTTTATGGGTCTTCATAATTTTGTTACCATGAGAATCTAAAAAGCTCCTTTCTTGCACTATACCAAGCATAGAGTGCTAGAGACACCCCTCCCCACAACAAAATTTCCTACCCTCACTCAACCCAATTGAGTTAACCCGTTGTTAAACCTATCCATCTGGGGTTGAGCAGAATTGTACACAGCAATAGAAAAAACTTTGCATGGATAGCAAATGTCCTGTCGAGTATCTAAAACCCTTACTAGGGTGGAGGTGTGACAAGAATAAAAGTAATTAGTACCTGTTGAGCAAAAAAGAGACAGGGAGGTGACAGCAGGAGGGAGGAGCAATGGTGCCTGTAGGAATCGGCTGTGAGTATAGAGGGACGTACAGTCCTTTCATGCTTAAGACCCCATGAGGGGAGCGGAGTCTCTTCCATCTCTCCTGGGTGTGAAAGCAGGTTACAAGATTACCTTCCTCAGCTTCCTTTTCCCTCCTCACTTCTCCCAGTATTTGTATCACAAATTTTTTTCCATTCAGAGTTCAAAGATTTTCTAATTCCAGTGACAGTCTTACTATGGAAATTCTGATAATTCAATATGTTCCATAAATCCTTACAACTTCATACTGATATTTTATTAATTTGCACATCAGATCCTAGATTATGACCAATTGGCTTAGCCTTATTCCTTATTAACTTGGGTTCCACCTCTGGATATTTTCTTCCTTGTTTTACTATACTTTTAAATTATGCTACTTTGTTATATTTTATGTTCCATGGTAAATCCCTTGAAATCCTTACTAAAGATACAGTTACAAGAATAAAAGAAAAGAGAGTAGATGAAATACGAGCTATTGTCTCAATTTTACTTTAAGCAATGTCAAAATCAACCCTGTTTCCAAATCAACCCTGTCTCAACTCTGTCTCCTCTAGAGCAGGGGTCCCAAATCCTGGGGCCATGGACGGATAGTGGTCCAGGGCCTATTAAGAACCAGGCCACATAGCAGGAAGTGAATGACAGGCAAGTGAGCGAAGCTTCATCTGTTATTTACAGCCGATCTCCATCACTTGCATTACCACCTGAGCTCTGCCTCTTGATGGTATGTCTAGCGGTGGCATTCGATTCTCATAGGAGTGTGACCCCTATTGTGAACTGTACATACAAGGGATCTAGGCTGCATGCTCCTTATGAGAATCTAATGCCTGATGATCTGAGGTGGAGCTGGGGCAGTGATGCACGCACTGGGGAGCAGGTGCAAATACAGATTAACATTAGCAGAGAGGTCTGCACAGAGACCATAATACATCAATTGCTTGCAGACTCATATCAAAACCCTAACAGTGAGTGGCAAGTGACAATTAAGCTGCAACTGGTGGCAGGCTTTAAGTCAGAATCTGACACTTATTTTAGTCCACACACAGCCTATCCATTATTTTATTTACCACTTCTGTCCACACCTCTTTCCTGCACTACGCACTTGTCTCAGTCACAGTTTTGGTAAGCTCACAAGCCAACCTTAGCCAAAATTAGTAAAAAACAAATGTCACTGGAGAGCTTCTTTGAAAAACGGGGAAAGACCCAGTGATTAGACAGCAGAAGACTATAAGACTGCCAACAAAAAGAAAGCTGCATTTAAAAGAAAATACTGAGTCCTACTGAAGTTACAGGTTCATTGCAACAGGTTATTCACATTCTGTAAGCCCACTTTGTATAATATGTTGTGACTGGCTATCCAATGAAGCCATGAAACCTTCAAAACTGCTTCGCCACGTGGAGACCAAGTACCCTGCATTAAAAGATGAGCCTTTGGAGGTTTTTTGTTGTTGTTGTTGTTTTGTTTTGTTTTAATGTGAACACCAAGAACAGAAGCAGTTATTGAAGGCCATCACATCATCAAATGGGCCTGCACTGAGAGCATCATTCTTAGTGGCTAACTGCATTGCTAAAGCCAAGAAGCTCTTTACTATTGGTGAACAGTTGATCCTGCCTGCTGCTAAGAACGTTTGTCATGAATTTTTAAGAGAGGCTGTGGTTCAAAAGGTGGCATGTGTTCCTCTTTGGGCTAGCACCATAACTAGATGAACTGATGAATAGGATATTGAAACATAATTGTTAGAGAGGATTAATGAGTCACCGTGGTATGCAATTCAGGTTGACGAGTCTACCGACGTTTACAATGAAACAACAATTCTTGTTTTTGTGCGATATAGTTTTCAGGAGGATGTGCATGAAGATGTTATGTGCACTGTTATTACCAACCAACATCACATCTGCAGAACTATTCAAGTCTTTGAATGATTATGTATCAGGAAAACTGAATTGGTCATTTTGTGTCAGTATATGCATGGACAGAGTAGCTGCCATGACTGGATGGCTTTCTGGCTTCACTGCTCAGGTCAAAGAGATTGTTTCTGAATGTGAGGCTATGCACTGTGTTATCCAGTAGAGAAATGCTGGCTAGCCAAAAACTGTCACCTGAACTTAACAATGTCTTGCAGGATGTGATTAATATTATCAACCACCATTAAAGTACATGCCCTTAACCCATGTCTGTTTGAGCAGCTCTGAGAGGAGATGGATGCAGAGCACACACGTTTCTCTTATACACAGAAGTGAGATGGTTTTCTAAAGGTAGATCACTGGCCAGAGTTTTTGTTATGAGAGCTGTTTCAGGGATTTCTTTTAGAAAAATAGTCACCACTGGCAGCACATTTCAGTGACACAGAATCAGTGGCAAAACTTGCTTACTTGTGTGACATATTCAACCTGCTCAATGAACTCAATCTGTCACTTCATGGGAGAATGACAACTATGTTCAAGTCGGCAGATAAAGTGGCTGCATTCAAAGCCAAACTGGAATTATGGGAGTGATGAGTGAACATTGGGATTTCTGACATGTTTCAAACATTAGCAGAGATTTTGAAAGAGACTGCACCCCAAACACAAAAGACACCTGAACTGGGAAGAATGTATCTGTGACCCATTTGTGAATAAGCCAGGTGAATTGATGTTGTCTGAGTTAGAAGAGGATCACCTGCTTGAGATCACAAATTAGGGTGGCCTTAAAAGTATGTTTTACTTTTAAAACATACTTAACATACTTAAAAGTATGAGAAAACTTCAAATCTCCATACATTCTGGATGGAATCAAGCCAGAATATTCTGAGATTGCCACAAAAGCACTGAGAAGCATGCTTCCATTTCCAACATCCTATCTTTGTGAAGCAGGGTTTTCTTCAGTGACTGCAAGCAAAATGAGATTACGGAGTAGACTGGACATAAACAACGCAATTCGAGTGTCACTCTCTCCCATCACCCCCAGATGAGACCATCTAGGTGCAAGAAAACATGCTTAGGGCTCCCACTGATTCTACATTATGGTGAGTTGTATAACTATTTCATTATATATTACAATGTAGTAATAAGAGAGACAAAGTGCACAATAAGTGTAATGCACTTAAATCATCCTGAAACCATCCCCGTCCCCGTCTTCCCCCGGTCTATGGAAAAATCATCTTCCATGAAACTGGTCCCTGGTGCCAAAAAGGTTGGGGACCACTGCTCTAAAGAACAGGGCCTCAGTTACCGATGGGAAGTCCCCAGAAAGCCAGTAGGTCAAAGAGGAGTCTCTGTAGCCTTGTTTTGGGTCACAGTTTAAACTCATGCTATTTTCCATCCTAAACAAAGGTGACACTGACCTCACACCATCAGCAGTAAGTGCTCTGCAAGCTGCTCCTCAATAGAGGTGATGTGCTGTGCTGAGTTCACACCTGCTGTCACCTGGTACCTGCATGGCCAACACTACACATCTGCAGGAAGACTTGCTTTGTTAGAAATGCAGTTTATGAACAAGGAAGCTTCTTTTTTTCTCTCTGTGCAAAGCTGACTGGCCACACACAGGGTTGAGAACCACAATTATAACTTCCCTAGCCCCATGTACTAATCTCAAAAACTCACCAGCCCAGATAGTCATCAACGATGTGGTTCTAAGTAGTGTATTCACATTGGAACACTTAGGAGATTGCATATGAAAAACTGCAGGAGGAAGTTATCTATTGCAAACTTGCCAAATATGAGCAATAGATGTGGAAATAAAGAACTGATCAGAGGAAAAACATGTGTGACATATCATATGATACATTCATATGGGAGCCTTGTTAGCGATCTGTTCATACCAGCACTTTTTGTCTGTTTTGTTTCACAGTCTTTCAGGAACTAAAGTCCAGCCTTTCAAAACTATAAACTATTCTATTATTCTAGTCTGTGTAAATTTCATTTACACATTTACATTTATGAAAGGATTGAGACTTAATACATCTGCTGTATTTGATTCTATAGTAAAAGATTACTTATCATCACTTAAGCAAAGGATAAGTTTGGGACATGCATTTATGAACATTAAACTAGAGAAAGCTTGGTTCTGGCCCCAGCTTTGCCACTGAATAGCCTGGTGCCCTTGGCAAGTCCCTTTTGGGATTTCAGTTTCCTAATCCCAACTGGGCTAGATCCTTGGTTCTCAAACTTTAACGACTACTTATGGAGGTTAAGATGCAGACCTCAGATCTGTCAAATTTGAATTTCTAGAGGAACAGAAATCTGCTTTTTACACCTGAGTGATTTTGATTTGGATATTTAACACATTTTGAGAAATACTAGATGAGGTAATATCTTCATATACTTTTAAAAAAATCTTTAAAATTCTGGTTCCATGACTAGTTCAAGTTGAACTCACTACCTCCATTCTGGAAAAAGCTACCTCAAGAGTCTTTCTGCCCACTTGATTACTTACTTGCCTTTTGTGGATATAGAGACACACACAAAAAATTGCAGGATTTCCCATTAGCCCTACTTAGATATCAATAATTTTGTAGTAAGCAGATTACTTAATAATAATAAAGTCATGATGTTCTAATTACAATTGTCTTTTGCAATGTGTCTAACTCAAGGACAATGATTCATCAGGTAATGTTATAGTTAATCACAATTTTTTATAATAATCACAAGTGTATGGATTATCATCCAAAGCTAGCTTTTGCATGCCAATAGCACAGAAACTATTTCCAAACACTTGGCTTTTGATTCTGGCATAAATATTAAAAATAAAATCAAAATTATTACAAAAATATGAAAGAAAATTATAATTCTAACAGAGATTACATTCTTTTCCATTGTATAAAGAGCAATTGGTAGAAAATTTGATTTTTATTATTTTTATTTTATTCTTGGCCTTCCAAAGTGCTGGTATTACAGGCATGAGCCACCATGCTTGGCCAAAAAATTCATTTTTAGAAGCCAACTTTACCTAGAAAGCAATAGGGAGTTTTCACAAAACTGGTGACACTGAAGGAACAAAAATTTCAAAGTCCAGATGTTTCAAAATCTTTCAGGAATGATGCTAATAACTGGTTTGATTTCCCATAAAACCTAATAAAAATTTCTGTATCTCCTAATATTCTTTTACAACATACCAGAGAATTTCTTTCTCTATCAAAAGAAGAATTTCCACAAAATAAATCAGATTCCCCGTGTAGTTTTGCCCTTTGCATCAACAAAGTCCTCATGGATACTACTCCCCTTAAAGTGCTATGTCCTAGATGTAGCCAGCAATTAGGCCCTGCAATTTTGACTACTGACCACACGTGTACTGTCAACATGTTTTTTGCAATGCCCATGGCTGGCCTCCCAAATCTAAGGCTATTAAGAGCTCAGAAGCCTGCCCCTCCCTGGCTGTTGCATGCCTTTGTTTAGAGGTAGACAGGAAACTGACACAGCTGAGGAGGACTGTTCATTGCTTCCTGGTGTACTGCTTCAGTGTCTCTTAGAGGTGTTTCCTTCTAGAAGTGAGTGCATATCTATCTTCCCTTGGTGCACCATAGTCTAGCAGTTTAGATGTACTCTGGCTGTACCCCTGTAACTAGATTATGTCAGACATTGTCCATGCCCTGTCCATATCTCCTCAAGATAATATAGCCTGGGACAACTGGACTTCCAACCACCTGGGGGCTTTCTGGCTAGCAGGAGCACACATTGCCCAAAGCAGAAAGTACCAGAGAAACAGTGCCTGCAGGATCGGCCCTTAACCAATGACTGGCAGAACTTGGTGTTTTAATACTCCAGCTCCTCTCCCCAAAGACGGCATAGTTCTGAGTTCTGCAATGGTATCCAGAATTTCCCAAGAGGATCAACCTCTATTTACCAACAGTGGAAACTGGCATTATAATTTCCCCTTTACTGGCTGGCTTCTTACTCACTTCCCACAGGTATTTCCTAAATTACATCTATACTTACATCCTTGTCATAGAGTTTGCTTCTAGCTGAACTCACCTAAGATGCCAATCTCCTAGGTAACCTTCTCTCAGTAAAACTGTCTTTCACTGGATATGGTTTTTAGCACTTAGAATTCATGGTTGAAAGAACTGAGCTCCAAAGAGGTAAAATGCTTTACCTAAGGTAACACACCCAGGAAATGGCTGAACCGTGAGCAGAATTTAGGAATTTTGGCCACAAGACACTATGATTCAAACCTGTAAAGAAAGCAATATGCTATTTTATTAAGTCAACAGACACATTATGACTACAAAGAAGCCAGACACAAATTTTGTAAACTTTTTTGTCCCCTGAATTTTTGTCATTAGTTAAATTCTTCTATGCTGTATATAGGAGTGTCTGGATATACCTCAGTTTCTATGTTATGATCCTATGCTGAATTTGTAAAGTGATCATCAAACATATAGACACAAATGTATGTACATCTTAAGAGATTTCTTGAAATAGCATTTATGTAATCCACTCTTTCATGTTATGTGTCTAAAATAAACACATAATTTTTGCAGTTTTCCTCTTTCCCATTTGCAATCATCCAAGATGTTTAAGATTTCTACTCAGAAGGAGTTTGAAACATCTTGATTTTGATGACTCTACGTTTCATCAAGGGCACCCCCACTGAAAAGGGTGGAAATAACTATCACTGGAATGAATTCAATTTCCTTACACATTACACATTGCTGCTTATTGTACTTACATGACAAACTTTCCTGTAAAAATTATAAACTAACCTATGTAATTCAGAGACTTTAAGACCAGAACAAACCCTATGATAAAAGACTGAATTCACCCTTCCTATTATAAATGAGGAATCTAAGCCTCAAGAAAGTCAAGTGACATCACTGAATAAACATAGCTAATATTAGCAAAGATCCAAGTCTTTGGATTTCTGGTTTAGTTCTTTATTGTTATGATTACTCATCTTCTTTCTGAATTCATCTAAATTATTAGAACACAGAAGAATTTCCAAAGGTTGTCACAGAAACGGGTAACATCACCTAATCACACTCTCCTCTCTGTGCCAACCCATTAGAGTCATTTAGGTGGCTAGTCCATCAGCCCTCTGACCCACCACCAAGCTGTGATGCCTCAGAGAAGCTGGATTTCAGTTACTCTGGGTTCCTGTCCCACATCCAAGCCCTGAATTTTGGGTTCCAGAATCTCTTGGGAATTCAAATAGTAACCTTTTCAAATCACAAGTTCCCAAAGGAAATTACTCTAGAGATATTTGAAATTGCTCAATATTTAAATTTCCTAAATACATTGTGTTCAATGCTACTGAATTTCCACTTAAGAAAAAAACTGAAGCTGCATGTTGGGACCTGAATATGAACAGCTCTGATCAGAAAGGTGTCTTGTGGGGTGACAACTTCTGGGGTTTTTCTTTTTTGAAATTGCACAAGTCAGGGCAGTGTCTTTGGTTATCAAACTCTAAACATGGAAATGCCCTAGAGACGGTGTATTTCAAAAGAGCACAAAGTAAGTGAGAGTCAAACTAAGGATTCAATGGCCAGCCATTTGTTACTAACAACAATCCATTATTTTCTACATATAGAATTTATTATATTAAAATTGTAATGTTCACCTTAGTGTGATCTGTAATTAGAATGTAAAAATCATGGCTGAGCATGGTAGGCATGCCTGTAATCCCAGCATGTTGGGAGGCCAAGGCAGGAGGATTTTTTGAGGCCAGGAGTTGGAGACTAGGCCTCAAGCAATCCTCAAGCTGGGCAACACAGTGAGACCCCCATCTTTACAAAAATTGTTTTAAAAGTAGCCAGGCATGGTGGTGCACACCTGTAGTCCCAGCTACTCAGGAGGCTAAGGCGGGAGGATTGCTTGAGCCCAGGAATTAGAGGCTTCAGTGAGCTGTGATCGTATACTGCACTTCAGCCGGGATGACAGAGCAAGACCTCATCTCTTAAAGAAAAGAAAAGAGGCCAGGCACGGTGGCTCACGCCTGTAATCCCAGCACTTTGGGAGGCCGAGGCGGGTGGATCACAAGGTCAGGAGATCGAGACCATCCTGGCTAACCCGGTGAAACCCCGTCTCTACTAAAAATACAAAAAATTAGCCAGGCATGGTGGCAGGTGCCTGTAGTCCCAGCTACTTGGGAGACTGAGGCAGGAGAATGGCATGAACCCGGGAGGCAGAGATTGCTGTGAGCCAAGATCATGCCACTGCACTCCAGCCTGGGCAACAGAGAGAGACTCTGTCTCGAAAAAAAAAAGAAAAGAAAAGAAAGGAAAACAAAGGTTATTATTTTACTTTACTAATCAAATAAGTGTTTTCATTTACTCTCTTACTTCAACATCATTTTGTTCTATTTGTACTTATTTATTTATTTTTGAGACCAGAGTCTGGCTCTATCGCCCAGGCTGAAATGCAGTGGCGCGATCTCAACTCACTGCAACCTCTGCCTCCCGGGGTCAAGCAATTTGCATGCCTCAGTCTCAGCAAAGTAGCTGGGACTACAGGCGCCTGCCACCAAGCCTGGCTATTTTTTGTATTTTTAGTAGAGACGGGGTTTCACCGTTTTTTGGCCAGGTTGGTTTCGATCACCTCAGGTGATCCACCCACCTTGGCCTCCCAAAGTGCTAGGATTATAGGCATGAGCCACCACACCTGGCCAGCATCATTTTATTCCATTAATTTTAAGTTTTAAAAAAAGGGAAGAAGAAGAACAACAGGAGGAGGAGGAAGAAAAGACATTGCAATAAACCAGTAAAACTACAAAACACATTTTTCTCTTTCTATCTACTGTAGTGAAATACTTGTGGAGCTACAGTGGAAGAGGCATTAGCTAAAATTCTGAAGATACAGTTACAACTCTCATTAAACAATTTCATGCCTCAATTGTTTAATCTGTGAAATGGAGACAACCAAACCTAACTACCTCTGGAAATTATGTGGGAAGCCCATATGTGCTTCCTCTGAAATACGTAGTGTCTGTAAGAGAGGGCAACCTGGTAGCAGCAGCTAAAGAAGAAATATGGGTATGTGTGTCTAGGCACAGCAATCCCCACAGGCACTTGGGTGGTGCAAAACCGAGGTGAGTGGGCAACAGTGCCGAGGACCGAGCCCTGAGCAGTGGCAGTGATGGGATCTACAGGCCCCACACTTCCACCTTGCCACTTTGCACAGGGAAATGAATGGGAATGCCCCGTACCAGCTTCAGAACAGAATTTTGGAGATGTTTCAGAAATAAGTTGAGAAGCTGGAGAGGAATAGCTAGAGAGAAGATTAGAATGGACACAAGGTAGGGGAAAGTGAATCCTGCCCTTTGTCTACTCACCTGTGGGAAGACCACAGGAAGAGGGAAAAGAATGCTCAAGGCTTCCAGAAAAGAAGTGGTGAGAGCTGTGTGAGGGATGACCGGGGGGTGACAGGGCTCCCCTAAGCCTTAGGCCTCCCACTCCTCACCATGCTCTCATACATGGCTTCAAGGGAGCCACTCAACAGGCTGGTTAGGGAGCAGGGAGATTGGGATTCTCCCCATTTTATGGAAAAATACCCTGAAGCACAAAGAATTTAGGTGATTTGCTTAAAAGTCACCTAATTTGTAACTGAGAAATCTAAAATTAAAACCCAAGTCCTCTCATTTCTATACCAATAAATTTTTGTTTTTGTCTTTTCTGCCATCAATGGTCATTGGTAAATGATGGAAATTTTGTATACTGAATTTTAAGTAAATTATACTTATTTATACCTGTGGTAGGATACACTAAGAGTAATTCACATTTCTAAGAGCATGAAATATAATGTGAATATCTGATCAGCAAAGACATATTTAAAAATAGGTTAAAAATAGACAAAATTTATTTAAATCTTTGACAGACTGCAAATGAAAATATATATATATATATATATATATATAAAACCTTAGGACTTATGAGTTACACAGTGAGCCACAGAATAAGCCTTAATATTCTCTCAGTCAGAGATTCTGTCAGTGATAACCTGGTAATCACAGAAAACACTGACATTCTTCCATTACATTTATTGGATTTAAAAGGCCTGTGAAGTATTAACAGCCCCTAGTAAGTCTGATGACCGCTTTGGCATTTGTTTTTAAAAGTCATGACTCAGATCTAGAGCTGAAGCAAAACGGAATGAAGTTAACTTTTTGCTACATGCTTTGTGTCTCCTTTAAGTAAGAAAAGGTTATTGTTCATATAAGGGAGCATGCCAAAAACGTGGTATCCATTCAGCTCACAAAACCCTGAGAGTGCTTTCTACAAGGGAGCAACACAAGAATGAAGAAGGACTATCCAAGTGGAGATAGAGGACTGTATGTATGGATAGGCAAACTGCCCAGAAACGAGGAGGAAAAGCAGAAGGGAAATAGTCACGAAAGCCCAGGTTGAAAAGGGAAATGAAACAATTGAACTAATACTATCCAAATAAGACAAGAGAACTGGAAACATTTGGCAGGGAAGGTATCCTGCTTGCCTTTTAAGCACAGGTGTTCAATACAATGTTTATAAGAATTGATTGCTCCTTTTTCTCTGTTCCAGAAACAATTTGCTTATATTTCTGTAAGTGTCATTTAATTTAGTCTATGCCATTTTTCAGTAACATCAGCTCAGACCTGAACTAATTTAACTCCCTTACCTAATCCTGAACTGTCTTTTATCCTTCTGCAGTACAAAGCCCTAAACCTAAAATATAAAGAGCGTACCACTTGGATTCAGATGTCAGCCAGGTTCTCAGCAGAGAACCGATGGTACACACAAAGAGATAATTGAGAAGTGTTTAAATAACTGACTAGTTACAAGATGTGGACAGGTAAGGGAAAACCACTAAGGAATGGTAAGCAGACCAGGGCTCCCAATGGCAGGAAGCCTCTACTACCCCCTAAGCATAAAGGCAAGGGGAGGGAGTGAGTACTGGAACTGCCAAGATCTGAGCTATAGAAGAGGTTGACCCATCAGAACCTGTGGCCTTCTGCGAAGTAACAAAACCATTACCTAACTCCAGCCTGACCTCCCACTCCTGCCCTCTCCTCCAAAGCTTCCCACTGGCAGAACCTAACTGTTATAGAAGCCAGAGGACAAAGAGCTAGGTTCATGTAGTCATTAAATACAGCCTCTGAGCACAGAGGAGGGTGGAGAGTGGGTCTGGAAAAACAAATAGAGAATATCCAGAGACTGAGGTTCAAGATGTGGATAAAGGTTTTACACAGAGGGAAATGAGTAAGGAAATTATTTTACATGTTTTAATGAAGTAGGGAGAGGCTTATGATAAAATGTGAAATGAAAAACAAAACGAGATACAAAAGCCATCTAAATTACTCCCTCTATAATTTCATCTTTACTGCTAAGCTATATGAAAATGTGTACCAAAAAGGAACACAATGTTAACAGTGTTATCCATAAATAGTGAGGTTGTGAATTATTATAACTATAGCAGTCCTCCCTTATGCATGGTTGCAGTCACTCAGTCAACCGTGGTCCAAAAATGTTACATGCAATAAGATATTTTGACAGAGAGAGAGAGAAATACCATATTCATGTAATTTTTATTATAGTATATTGTTATAATTGTTCTTATCATTTACTATTGTTAATCTCTTACTGTGCCTAATTCATAAATTTAGCTTTATCATAGGTACATGTATATAGGAAAAAACATAGTATATAGAGGGTTCAGTGCTATCAGCAGTTTCAGAAATTCACAGGGGATCTTGGTATGTACACCCACAGGGGTGAAGGGGAACTACTCAATATGGTGAAGCCTCCAAAACAGCTAAGCCAAGTGTATCAAAAAGTAAATGTATCAAAAAATAAAACTGGAGTCTCAAACCATAAAAGAACAGTTACTTGAGAAGTTCACCGATCTGACCGTTTCCACACAACTGGACAGGACATTTAACAAGTGATGCTAACCAACTGAGCCTCTTTAAGGAAGATAAAGTGGTACCTTTGGGCCTGGAATCCGACTCATGAGATGAACACAAGAATAAATGGGGCATATTTCTCTATTACCTTCCACAGTTCACATCATACTTTTTCTCCCACCTCCACCCTAACCCCTGCCAATGCTCTCTTTTATTTATTTATTTATTTATTTATTTACTTACTTACTTACTTACTTACTTACTTACTTACTTAAAGACAGGGCCTCACTCTGTCTCCCAGGCTGCAGGGCAGTGGCTTAATCACAGCTCACTGCAGCTTTGAACTCCTGGGCTCAAGCAATCCTCCTGTCTCAGCCTTTCGAGTAGTTGGGACTACAGGCACATGCCACCACGCCTGGCTAATTTCAAAAATTTTTTTTATGGAGACAGGGTCTCACTATGTTGTCCAGGCTGGTCTCAAATTTTGGCCTCAAGTGATCCTCCTGCCTCAGCTTCCCCAAGGTGTTGCGATTATAGGCATAAGCCACCACGCCTGGCCACAGTGCTCTTTAAACAAGGTATATACAGAGGTCTGCATCATTATCTTTAGAAACTTTAACCATCAAAAAGGTTATGCCCCCCCCACCTCAATATGTCATTCAAAATAAAAACAATTCTAAACCCTACAACAAAATTTAATATCTGAAAATAACACAGAACTTTCAGGCGTATTTTGGCTTTTCTCTCTCTCATTCCTGCTTTGCTGATGTCGTAAGTACATGTTTAATTTACTAAGTAGGTAATCTAGAACTGAGTATATATATCAGTAAAGAACTTAGTGCTAGAATGTATGTATGTGTATATATGTATGAATGTGTCTATCTATATATACAAACATATATATCAATATGCATATCTTTACATTATAGATATAAATAGAACCATCCATTTAGAGAATTTATATACACTAACATCATCAAGTGTTCTCTGGAATTCCTTTAGCAGTAACAATTACACTCAAGAATTATAAATTCTTCATCCTCTGTGAGGATTAAGTTCTTTTATCTCTCAGCCTCTGTCTTGAGCATATTTGTTTGTTTTCAGCGAGACGTCTTGCTCTGTTGCCCAGGCTGGAGTGCAGTGGCACAATCATAGCTCACTGCAGCCTTGAACTTTTGGCCTCAAGCAACCCTCCCATCTCAGCCTCCCAAGTAGCTGGGACTACAGGTGCATGCCACCCTGCCCAGTTATTTTTATTTTTTTTATTTTGTAGAGACATAGTCTTCCTATGTTGGTCAGACTGGTCTCCAACTCCTGGCTTCAAGCAATCCTCCCACCTTAGCCTCACATTGTGCTGGGATTACAGGCATGAGCCACCGTGCCAGGCTGTCTTATGCATATTTGAATATCTCTTTTTTATTATAGCGGTAAGTGTAGCAACTTTTTATCATTTTAATGGTGAATATTGCAGCTTCTCTAGAAGATAGGGGAGTGAGACTCAATTTGCCAACCACAGAACTTGAACTGGTTTGCCAGCCCACACTCCAGGGCCTCACATACAGCAGGTGTCTATAAATGTTTGTTTAATAAATGAATTATACTAGTGCAGTTTCACTATCACAGTTACTTACCTTTCTGAGTGTGACAAACACAGTCACTGAAAACCATACATCAAGACCACTTTGGAGAGAAGTAGTAACATCTGCTCAGTTACAGTCACACATAAAAGAAGTAAACCAACCTTCTGCTTCAATTACCATTATCACTGGGTAATTGTTTTTAAAATTAGAGAAAGTCTATAATAAAAGAGAGTGGTTTAAGACAAAGTAGCAAATTTCCAGTTGTACTTTGGAAAATGAACAGTATTAATGACTATAATGATTTAGGCTTTAAGCCAACAACATGTAATCTAAATACCAGAGCATATAAATTTCCAGTCTGGTAAAATGGAAACAGAAAGTTACTCTTTTCTGTGACCTACTGACATAGAAGTTAGCTCTGTGTATATAATAATATTCATAGAAACTAATGAACATTCTTAAACATAATTTTAAAACTCACATACATGAAAATCAAAATAAAACTCAGTTTTGAGAGAAATGGGTACTAAAGACAAAGATTATTTACAAGGTTTTCATAATCCTTTTGCATCAAACTCTGTAGATCTACATCTTTCACGCCAACTGTATCGCCTACAAATTTGAAGTTTGGGTCACCAGCATTTTCTTTCCTCTTTTGGGGCTGTGACCTTTATGCAGAGTGAAAAATCCTCAACATTTGTCACCTTAGATTCCTTTACATACTCAGTGAATCACCCCAGTAGCAGGTACTAAGACTTTGTGGCTAGATTGGAAATCAGGTGCAACAGGTTTAGTTAACACTTCAGGAACTGAGTCACAGATTCTTCTTAGAATCATTTCAAGTCAGGGGTTCCCAGGAAAACAAGAATGCCCCATTAACTTTATAAGGCATATGAATTCTTTGTTCCTGGATACCCTTCTGTACAATGGGACCAAGTAGGGTGCATGTAATCAAAAGGAGGAAATGCTTCCCTGCTCAGGGAGACAGCTCTGAGAGTAAATGGGTACCTACATTTCTACGGGAAGCTTTATTCATTAGCTAGTTACCTCCCCTGTACACACACACACAGCCTCTACCAACTACTCGTTCAATGAGCTTTAGTTTTTTCATGCTGTGGTGAAAATATTTTGAGGTTTAGAGCCAGAAAGAAGTATTTCAAATACTGCTCTGTCATTTATTAGCTAAAATACTTCTTTCAGGTTCTGTCTTCTCAGTTATAAATATGAAGGTAGAAATACCTATTTGGCACAGCTACTATGAAGACTGAATGAGATACACTGATATGAAAGCAACTGTCACATAATAAGGAATTGTTCATGTCCCTTGTCTTATACACAATTGACAAAATGTCCTTATGTTTATTTAGTTTATAGGAGAGATTGAGAATTATCTGGCCAAAAAGAATCCTTTCCCTTCATTCCCGCATGCCACACCCATCTTTCTCAGTGAACGTGCTCAAACCCAACTGTTTTTATTAGGTTGGTGCAAAAGTAATTGCAGTTTTTGCCATTAAAAGTAATGACAAAAGGCCAGGCACGGTGGCTCACGCCTGTAATCCCAGCATTTTGGGAGGCCAAGGTGGGCAGATCACCTGAGGTCAGGAGTTTGAGAGCAGCCTGGCCAACATGGCCAAATCTGGTCTCTACTGAAAATACAAAAATTAGCTGGGTGTGATGGCACGTACCTGTAGTCCCAGCTACTCAGGAGGCTGAGGTGGGAGGATCACCTGAGCCCAGGGAGTCAAGGCTACAGTGAGTTGAGATTGTGCCACTGCACTCCAGCCTGAGCAACTGGAGACCCTATCTAAAAAAAAAAAGTAATGACAAAAACAAAGTAATGACAAAAACCTCAATTACTTTTGCACCAACTTATACGTTTGTTCTTTGTTGATCAGTTATGGAGTGGCATTAAGATATAAAATGGTGCTCCTCTTTGTTTAACTTCTGCTGGCTTTGTAAGTTAGTGGAATTGTAGCCAATGTATGCTTATACACAGAAAGGCAACCAGAAATCCTGCAGTGAGAAAGCAGATGCATAAATTCCTGAGGAGCGTCTCTGTAGGAAGAAACTACATGATGATGGAGACATCGCCTCTCTACATTGTCAACAGTTATCAGCTATTGTGACTGGTTGTTTCCTCATGGGCATACAAAAAAGCTTTTAATAAAAGTGGAACAACAGGAAAGGATACAATTAAGTGCCAGCAATGCACCTAGCTACTAAGACTTCTAGGCCAAAGTACTTGAAACCTTTTACAGGGTAACATTACGACAATCACAAAATGCAAATTAGTAAAGGTCAAAACTTTTGAGCAAATGCAGACATTCAGTCCTACTTTGCTTTTATCTTGAAAGAAATCCAAAATCTAGTTTTAGACAAGCTTGTTTAAACATGTATACTGATACACAGGAATACAAGTGCTCTTGTTTCAAACCCTACGTATGTTCCAATGAAGGACTCCTGATTGATAATTGAGTCCACTCCAGACAAAATTGTTTTGGATAGCCAATACAAAAGAGAATAGTTCGGTAATCCCACCCTTGCAGTAACTACATTTTCTTGTTTTGCTGATAATAACAACCACTTAGTTCATGGGAGCTAAATGGTGGGGAAGGAAGCCAACAGTGGGGAAAGAAGCAAGGCAGTAGAGCCAAGAGTGGCTGGCAAGGCCTGGGTGAGCCTCCTCTGCCCAGGCTTGAAAAGGGCCAGTTCTTAGGTTTGTAATGACATGCATGATAAAGGAGACATTGAATTTCAGTGTGAATGTCAACAGTTGCTTCAACTATCATACCTTTTACTAATAGCAGATGCAAAAACTCAAGCTGTGCTTTCATGAGATATTTATGAATCCATCAGTATTATGAAAACATTTAAGTGACAAATTATGAATACACTATATTACGTGTCACAGCACCAGCATTACTTCAAGCCTTGTAAAGGGAGTTCTTGCATAGGTACAATATCATACTGATAGGCTCTATCACTTTAAGTGACATTTTGTTGTTATAAAATATGGCTTGTGCAAGCTTTTTAAAAAATCATGAATTGAGTTATTTTTATTTTTGTTGGCTTTTTTTAGGTAGTAGGTGAGGTACTAATTATAGTAGAAACCCAGAAATTATCCAGTATGTCAATAACCAGACTATAGGTGCTGGCTGAATAACTAGTCACTCAATCTAGGGATCAGACAGTCTCATCGTTGTTAGTTTATGAAACTAAGGGAAGATTTCCAGGGGAATAGTCATCAGGAAGTCAGATGAGTCAGTTGGGCTCCTGTCAAAGGTGGGTACAGGCCAGGAGTGAAGGTATAGTACACAATGCAAGAGAACCCAAAAGAACAGCTAAGAAAAAATCAGAAAATCTGAGTTTTAGTCCTGCTTCCTCCACCTGCATTACCTTCCATGAACTTCAGTTTCCTTATCCTCAGAATGAGGGTATGGGCTTATTTCACAGAACCCTTATAAGCCTCAAGTGGGATAAAGTATCAGCAATGGTTTACAATCCTTGAAGTGTAAGGTCAATGTAAGGTGGAACCTGTATTCATTGCCAGGGAATCCTCAAGAATAAGTCAGGAGGTAAAACCAATGGATTCAAGCAGCAGGGCTTCTAGAGGCCTAAAGTTAGAGCAGCCAGGAGCAGCTTTCTGCAGCAACTGGTAAAGCAACTACTTGAGAAATTCTGCCATGCCTCTTTAGCATGGGCAGCAACTAGAGGGCCCCCCATCTACCACTTATCTCTGACCTTGCATTCTCCTGCCTGTGTCAGGGCAGAAGAAGGGGTACGAAGTAGGTCCACCTCTTGGTAATGCTTTTTTCTGACACAGCTTGGGCAGAAGCCCCAAACTCAGAATCTACACATGATACTTTCATTTATAATATATACTTTTGAATTTCTGTTTTAAAATCTTTTTTCATCTAAGATTTTAATGAACTTATATTTCTATTAATTAACATATTTCTTTCCACTATTTAACGTAGAAATTGTCTAGTACCAAAACTTAATTTATCATATGTATTTTAATTTCTACTTGTGAGATCTAGAGGCTAAATGAACTCATATAAGAATATAAAGAAAGCACCATTAACCACAGTGATTAACTTGCAGGGATTTACCTGCAGTGATTAACCACAAGGACTCAAGATCACCGGCTGGGGAATCCCAGCCTCACTCTTAATGAGCTCTGTGACTTTGACCAAATAATCATACCCCTCTGTGCCTGATTTTTCCTCAATATGGGACTAATAATAGTGCCTACCTCTGAGGAAAGTTATAAATTAACTGTAGTGGGTTAATATTTGTAAAGCACTTAGAACAGTGTCTGATACATAGTGCATATTGAATAAACTGCATCTCTCAATCAAATATTGATGGGAAACAATGTTTTCACAGACATGGTCTGAAGTTATTATAAAGCACATGCTTCCTCTATTTTCTTATCTTATATGCAGCATATATTATTTTGACCCTTGATCCTAATCATAAGATTAAAAAACGAATCCAAAGACTATCATGAGCTTATGCTACTACTTATAAACAAATTTGAAAAAAATTAAGAGGTGTACTCTGCATGGTGACTTTATGTAACTGTTGGCCAAATCTCATATTTGAGCTGTCGATATTACCTTTGGAATAAACCTAAATTCTAATGACTGAGACTCAGTTAGGGTTGCTAGCTTGAAATGGCACAAACAATAAACACAACCAGCAGCCAACTTTCTTCCCCACAGTATCTTTTGCCAAGCTTAACACCAACCTACTTTTACTCATTTAATTGCCATTTATGAGAAGGTAACAAACAAAAGGTACTTGTTAATTGTGTTTCTTTTTGTGTGTGTTAGCTATGGGTGCAACCTTTACTTGTCTATAACATGCCAGTGAGAGAGGTCGGGGACACTGCAAATGGATTCTGATTCTCTGCCCCATTTGTATGTCCTTGGGCCTCCTGGTACTTTGTCAAAATGTATGCTTTCATGAGATATTTATGAATCCATCAGTATTCTGAACACATTTAAATGACAAATCATGAATAAAATATATTATGTGTCACATTACTAGCATTACTTCAAGCTCTGTAAAGGGAGTTCTTGCATAGGTAACAATATATTGATAGGCTCCATCATTTTAAGTGACATTTTGTTGTTACAAATATGGTTCCTTCAAGCTTTAAATTTTTTTTGAAAACATGAATTAAGTTATGGTTGTTTATTTTTTTTTAAGTAGTAGGTGAGGTACTAATTATGGCAGAAACTCTTAAACTATTCAGTATCTCAGTAACCACACTATAGTATATACTGTATACTGGCTGAATAATTAGCAACTCAATCTAGGTCTCTGTTATGAGGGGTCATTGCTTCTCTTCCACTGAACGGAACAATCCAGAAGATGCACAGTGCTGTAAAGGCAGCACTAAGCAAGGGCTCACTCTCTAGAGGGAAGACTTCTCATATATTTGAATCTGTACAGGTATGTTGATGAGGCATTTGGGTTAGCCCAATGCAGCTATGTTTTAAGGCAACTGTAAATGAGCTAATGAGACTCATAAGCAATTCGCTGGTCATTCTTGCTAAGCTCCTCACAAGCATTAGACAGTCATACATCCTGTATCTTGAAAACTCACTTTGGGACAAGTTTTTCAAGGTAGACAGAAGAACACACCATTCAAGCTTCAAACGATCTTCTCATGTTGACCAGACACAGATTTTCAATACATAAATCACTTTTCTTCTGCATGGACATTCCTGAAACATAACTGACCCCTTAGCTGAACTCAAACTTTAAGACAGATGTGTGTGTGTGTGTGTGTATGTGTGTGTATGTATCTTTTTTAAGAGATGGGATCTCGCTATGTTGACCAGGTTGCTCTCAAACTCCTGGCCTCAAGTAAGTGATCCACCTGCCTCCACCTCCCAAAGTGCTGGGATTATAGGTGTGAGCCACCATGCCTGGCTCAGATATGTATTTTTAATGTTCATAGTAAGATATGTATTTTGAATGACTATTAGGAATTAGAAACTATTTCAATATCTAATATGTTTACTACATTGTTTTAATTGTGGACAAATACTACAGCAGCAACTCACTATCTCAGCTTACAAAAAAGATGTACTCATTTATTATTACGATTATTTTAGAGACAAGGTCTCACTCTGTCACCCAGGCTAGAGTGCAGTAGCATGATCATAACTCCTGGGCTCAAATGATCCTCCCACTTCAGCCTCCCCAGTAGCTGAGACCACAGGTGTGTGCCACCACACCTGGCTAATTTTTTTTTTTTTTTTTTGGATAAGCAGGGTCTGAGTTTGTTGCCTAGGCTGTCTTGAACTCCTAGGCTCAAGCAATCCTCCTGTCTCAGCATCCCAAAGTGCTGGGATTACAGGCATGAGCCACCATGCTGACCTAAAAATAAGATTTATAATCAAAAGCCATACATTCTGGCAAAACTATTAATGAAAAAGGGAGTATATATGTATTTGATTTTTTTTTTTTTTTTTTTTTAGACAGAGTCTGGCTCTGTTGCCAGGCTGGAGTACGGTGGCACAATCTTGGCTCACTGCAACCTCTGACTCCCTGGTTCAAGTGATTCTCCTGCCTCAACCTCCCAAGTAGACGGGATTACAGGCGTATGCCACCACGCCCAGCTAATCTTTGTATTTTTAGTAGAGACGGGGTTTCACCATGTTGACCAGGATGGTCTGGATCTCCTGACCTTGTGATCCGCCCACTTTGGCCTCCCAAAGTGCTGGGATTACAGGTGTGAGCCACCACACCTGGCCCAATATTTTTTTAAAAAAGAGCTAAAGAAGAAAAAAGAAGTGAACTCAAGTTTCGAAGGTCTTACTAAAGGTCCCCAAAAGGGTTTATGTCACTGCCACTTGATTATGGAGAGTAGATTGTGATGGAAAGTGTGGAAATAGAGGGGGGATAAAGTAATTCAATGACAGAGATAAGTGGCAAATGATTATCGTATGCTAAACTCAGACTCCAAAATCCCTTTGGGAAAAACTCCTGTAATGTCAAGTAGAAAGTTTAGCCTTGGCTTCCTCAGTGAGATATATTAAGACTTTTAAGGCACTGAGAGCGCATGAAGGGTCTCCCTTTTAGAGACCAACATGAACATCCAAATACTCAAAGGTACTTCAAAGCTTAACAGACCTGGTTACGACTTCTGGGCCTCTGAAGTTTTTACTCCACTCACAAAGTAACAATGTATGTATTAATACTACTACCATTACTATAAAGACAACAATAATTACAACTATCACTGCCAGTATTGCCCCTGCTACTGACCACCACCTTTCCTCTATCCAGCACTTGCTTTGAGCCAAGCCCTGTGCTGGGTGCTTTACATAGATAACATCCAATCCTCCTACAGCTCCATAAGAGAAGTGTAATTGCCTCCATTTTACAGGTGAAGAAACTGAGACTTAAAGAGGTTAAAAATCTATCCCAATGGCAGAGGCAGATTTGAAACTAAGTCTGCCCAACACCAAAGTCTACTATCCTTTGACTGTGGCATGCTTTCAGAGGTACTATTTACTGAGTTTCTGTTATCTGCCAGGTACTAGGCTAGTCATTTTTAAAAAATATATATTTATAACTCTCAAAAACAATGTTAAGAGATAGGTCACAGATCATACAACAGAAGTTATCGGGGTAAACTAACTTCCCAAGAAGCTCACAGCTAGTGGCAGACTTACTTTTAAATTACTGGTTTATCACTGGTGAAATAAAATAAACCTAAAAATTAAAACTCTTTCCTTTAGTATAAGGAAAATAAGAGGGAAAACTCAGTACTAACCAGTTTAAATCTAACATTACATAAAACAAAAATAGACTTACCTGGCTATGTTCTTTATGCTAGAAAATAATTAAACCTGTTTAGAGTTCTAAGCACCAAACCAGCCACAAAAGACTGGAAACTAGAATCAATTTTAAGTTACGAAGACTAACACTCTACAGTTCCAGAATGCTTTCAAATAACATTTTAAATGATTGTTCTTTTTCTGAAGAAAAAAGAAAAACGCTCCAGATAACAATAGTTTATCCTTACAACATTCTAGTGATATAAACAGGGAGTTAGTTGTTTTCTCTTTATAGAAGGGAAAGGTCCACTGAGTACAGAAAAACTAAGGGATTGTCTATAGTTCTGAAACTTGAGCCTGCTGGCCTTCACTCAGAGGTAGATCTCTGCCTGCCCAATGAGGATGCTCTGCCCTTGACACTGGCTACACTTTTCCTCCAACTGAAACAAGGCGAGCTGATTTTCACAGGATTATGAGACCCATCTACTGCTTGAATTTGGCTCTCCTGCAGGG
Organism: Homo sapiens; assembly: GCF_000001405.40. Lineage (NCBI taxonomy): Eukaryota > Metazoa > Chordata > Mammalia > Primates > Hominidae > Homo > Homo sapiens. The sequence goes on along the minus strand of NC_000006.12, from coordinate 106,365,764 downwards.
AGCATTAATGCTTGTTTCTAGATGTGGAGTTCAATTCAGTTCAATGGTGATAATTTTTAATTCACTGCTTTTTTTAAAAAAAAATACAGGTTCTTAAACAAAGAACTCAATGGAAATAATTCACTGCTTTTGACCTTTAGCTAAGGACCCACTTCTAATCAAAATAACAAAAAGTATGGCCACATGTGGTGGCTCACACCCGTAATCCTAGCACTTGGGAGGCCAAGGCGGGAGGACTGCTTGAGCCTAGGAGTTTGAGACCAGCCTGGGCAACATAGTGAGACCCTGTCTCTATTTATGTTTTTTTTTTTTTGGTTTTGTTTCGTTTTGCTTTTTTTGAGACAGAGTCTCACTCTGTCACCCAGTCTGGGGTGCAATGGCACGATCTCAGATCACTGCAACCTCCACCTCCCAGGTTCAAGTGATTTTCCTGCATCAGCCTCCCAAGTAGCTATGATTACAGGCGTCCGCCACCACCCCTGGCTAATTTTTTGTATTTTTACATACATGGTTTCACCATGTTGGCCAGGCTGGTCTTGAACTCCTGACCTCAGGTGATCCACCCGCCTCCACCTCCTAAAGTGCTGGGATTACAGGTGTGGGCCACCACATGCAGCCTTTTTATGTTTTAATATTTTTACTATTTTTAATATTTAAAAAAACCAAAATAACACAAAGTGGCTTGAATAGATAAAAAGAAAGTACCACTTTCATTATATAGCAGAAAAACACACAAAATTCCTACTCCAAAGGAGGCATAAGCAAGAAACTAGTAAGAAAAAGAGAAACAACTCCCATTGGTTGAGCACATACTATGTGCCAACCACTGTTCTGAGCACTTGAAATGCATTAACTCGTTTATTTTTATAACAACTCTTATGATTCCCATTTTGTGAATGAGAAAATTGTGGCACAAAAATGTTAATAACTTTCCTAGGATGATAGGATTCAGTGTCATGGTAAGTATTAACAGAAGAACAAGAATTTAAATCCAAGTAGAGAATCCACATTCTGAGCACATTATTCACAAGACAGAGTATAATTTAAAATGTGGTAAATGACAGTGCCACTAGTGGCTGCTAAGTGGCCTGGCCACAGCTCGCCATGCTCATTCCACCACACCACTAGACCCTCTAATGGCAAGAGAATTATGGACTAGACAGGGGATGGGGCTGACTCAGGAGGGCAGCAACTCTATCTTTGTGAAAAATAACATCATATGACCATGTTTACCAAAACCAAGCTGAAAAAAAACTTTAAGAGTAAATTTTGGAAAGAGAAGTAGCCAAGTTCAAATTATTTCATATAAAGAAATAATTGATTAGAATGTCTATACCAAAAGCCACAAATATTTGCAGAATACGAAAATCTGACTTTAATAAACTTTAAATCATCTTTGGACTGGCAAGCTTTTCTTTCTTTTTTTTTTTATTTTTTGAGATGGAGTTTCACTCTTGTTGCCCAGGCTAGAGTGCGATGGCATGATCTTGGCTCACCACAACCTTCATCTCCTGGGTTCAAGGGATTCTCCTGTCTCAGCCTCCTGAGTAGCTGGGATTACAGGTGTGAGCCACCATGCCCAGCTAATTTTTTTGTACTTTTAGTAAAGATGAGGTTTCACTATGTTGGCCAAGCTGGTCTCAAACTCCTGACCTCAGGTGATCCACCTGCTTTGGCCTCCCAAAGTACTGGGATTAGAGGCGTGAGTGACCGCACCCGGCTGGACTGGTAAACTTTTCTAGGAAAAGATCTTCCTAGAGTTGGTTTTCCCCTATCCAAACCTATCTTTTCCATTTCTTCCATTAGACCTTTGCTTTGATGATGATGATGATGATGATGATGACCAGGATGCTTTTGCATTTACTGAGTTTCTACTTTGTGCTCAGAAGTGTGTTAAGGTTTTTGCACTTAATAACATAAACTTTCATTTAATATTCATGACAACCCTACAGAGTCAGCATCCTATTGTCTCCATATTACAGATGAGGAAATTGAGATTTTAAGAGGTGAAATAACTTGCCCAAGGTCACAAAGCTAGTAGATAAATTCATTTTTTTCTGACCTAAACACCCATAATATTAATCAAATAAGCAAATATGGGTGGCTACCTGACTGTCCCCTCCTTATTTAGAGACAAAAACCACAGTGAGTGCTGCACATTCCAGCCAAATTCCATCACTTCCAAGTCCTGGACAGAAATGAAGGGATATGGTCAGGAGGCTTAAGAGAGCCACACTGGGCAAACTGGCTTGAAATCTAAGGGTGCTTTTGCCACTCTCTTTAAACCAGAAAGAAGTACACTCTCTTAGAAGTAAATGAAATATTTATAAAGATGATCTAACTAGAAAAACATCCCAAAGACAGACTAGTACGTTTAGTTTTTCAGAACATTTATTAATACGAAGTTCATCACGGTTCTGAAGGAAAAAATGAAGTGTTTCAAGACTGCACTAAAATATAAAAAAACTCAAGGAGAGAAGCAAATCTCCTATTTTAATTTTTTTTTTTTTTTTTTTTTTTTGAGACGGAGTTTCGCTCTGTCGCCCAGGCTGGAGTGCAGTGGCGCGATCTCGACTCACTGCAAGCTCCGCCTCCCGGGTTCACGCCATTCTCCTGCCTCAGCCTCCCGTGTAGCTGGGACTACAGGCGCGCGCCACCATGCCCGGCTAATTTTTGTATTTTTAGTAGAGACGGGGTTTCACCGTGTTAGCCAGGATGGTCTCGATCTCCTGACCTCGTGATCCGCCCGTCTCGGCCTCCCAAAGTGCTGGGATTACAGGCGTGAGCCACCGCGCCCGGCCTCCTATTTTAAATTTTATACTAAAATGTATTTACATTTGAATAAATTACCTATAGCTGTGTATTATTATGTTTTGATAGACAGTAAATGATAAGACTAGATCTTAAAAGGAAAACCACGATGGAAATGTTTAAAATATTTACTGAGGTAATAGAAAAGAACTTCAATGTTGGGTACATTAAATACTGTATTTTGTTAGAAAGTATAATCTATAATTAGGCACAGTAAACGTTTGAATAGGTAATATATTTCTACTACAACTGATTACCAATGTGGATGATAAAATATGAGAGAAAAATAAAATGACTTCTTTCTTAGGTTTCCTACCCTTACCCACTCACACCTAGACCTCCCCGCTGCAACCACTTGCGCTTCTCAGGAAGTGCCACGCTCTTCTAAGTGCTGGTGATGTGCACAGTGCAGCCCCTGCCTGGAACTCGCTGCTCCTCCCTGTTTCTGCCTAAGCCACTTCACCTATCCTCCTCCAGGAAGCCTCCCTGATCCCCTCCTGTGTGCTGGCATCTATCATTGCATTTTTTGGTATCCACAAGAGACTAACAATTCTTTGATGACACAATTATTCCTGTCTCTCATTGTTTTTTATATCGCAGTACATGGCACTTAGCTAAGGTACTCAATACAATAAGTGAATGAAAATAGATCGTAAAATTGACTTTTTTTACAAATAAAAGGAGAGGCCGGGCGCGGTGGCTCATGCCTGTAATCCCAGCACTTTGGGAGGCCGAGGCGGGCGGATCATGAGGTCAGGAGATCGAGACCATCCTGTCTAACACGGTGAAACCCCGTTTCTACTAAAAATACAAAAAATTAGCCGGGCGTGGTGGCGGGCGCCTGTGGTCCCAGCTACTCGGGGGCTGAGGCAGGAGAATGGCGTGAACCCGGGAGGTGGAGCTTGCAGTGAGCCGGGATTGGGCCAGTGCACTCCAGCCTGGGTGACAGAGCAAGACTCCGTCTCAGAAAAAAAAAAAAAAAAAGAAAGAAAGAAATAAAAGGAAAACCATGTCTAAAATGCAAATTTTGCACAATTTTATTCTGGCCCTCATAGGGTGTATTTTAAAAACACATTTGGAAGGATTTACTGGACATTGTCAATTGTCCATCACTATAAATATTTCACACCTCTGAGCCATGTAAATACGCTGTTACTTCAAATTGATTATTATTCAACGAATGCATAAACTCTGATGCTATAGTTGAATAATTATACATATAGAATAAAACCACTTCAAAACCATGATAAAAATCAAAAAGCACAATGGTAACTACAGTTTTGATAACTAGGTGCTCTCTAGCTCTGCCACTGGCTCCAATGGGGAGAAGCCATTTATCCTTTGGTCTCAGTTCCTCCACCCATGAAATGGGGGTAACCATTCCTGCCACTTCCTCCTCCCTTCGTATGTTGCGAGGAGAATGGGGGTATAACATCTGTAAGAGCACAGATCTTACAGATATTCACAATAAAGAGCTTTACAATAAAGACACTAGCTCAAAAGCAGTGCCTAACCCCAAAGCAGAGTTCCCGCCATCATTTAGGACGGTAACAACCCTCACTCCCCGCCGCTCTGGTTAGCAGGCTGATGCGGGAGGCTCCTGCATGAAAACTTTGCAGTCATACTAAAGGCCACATGCGTGGGCACAAGTTCCTCTCGCCGGTGCTTGGTCTGAACCAAAAGCCGCGAGGAACCTCGTCAACCCCAGCGGCTACGATCGCTCCCCTCCGGACCCGGGTACCCTCCTGCGGACTGAAACAGACCCCGGGGCTTTCCCCTCCTCCAAGTGGGGTCAGGAGTCCAAGGGCTAGCGCAGCAGGAGAAGGAGGAGGAGGAGGAGGTGGGACTGGAGGGCTCGGGCGAGGAGCTCACCTGGCCTCTCCGGCAGGCGCCGGGAGCGGGTGCGGAACGAACACCCCACAGTCAGGCGGCGCCGGCTGCTGCTTCTTTTTGGAGCGCCAGAGGTGGAAGGTGGTGTGCTTCTTAGGGGGCCTGCACGGGCTGGGCTCCCCGGGGTCGCCCTGGGCTGGCGGGGACAGCGGCATCGTCTTGTCCTCCTCCCGCTCCGACTGCCGGGACGCGGTCCTCTCTGCCGCCCGGGCCCTATGGAAGAACACACCTGAGCGCCAGCTCGCCCGCCTTTCTCAGCGCGCCGTGGGACCCCGCCCCCTCGTCGCGGATGCGGGGGGACGGCCGCGGGTTGCAGAACCAGCACCCAGCGCAGCGCGAGCAGCACTGCAGCCCGAGCTGTTGGGGCGGAGGCGGGGACCCAGCCGCGGAAGAGCGCCCCCGCGCGGCGCGGGCGGCAAGGGGCGCTAGCCCAGGTGAGGCGCTCGCGCCGGGAGCCCCAGGTGAGGCAGACACGCCCCGGCTCCCCACCCCGGGGGCGCGCGGCGGCCGTGGGACAGCGACACCTACTGGATGCTCTGGGCACCGCGACTCCCGACACTGCATCCCAGGCTCTAAGATGGGACCCAGAGCCGGGTCGGGCTTCCACAGCGCCTGGGGTGCAGCGGCCATTGTCGCCTGCGGAGTTGTTGGCCGCTCTTGGCCTGTGACAGGCTGGCAGGGTGAGTCGCTGCTTAGCCACGAGCCCCGCCTGGAGAAGGATGGGAGAGGCACATCCCGGGGCTGGGCCGCCCAGCAATTAGGACTCTTCCACTCTGATCTCTGGGTGGCTTGGGCAATGTCATGTGCTGGTGGCTTCTGTTCCTGTTCGTGAACACGGGTGGCAACTCCGCCAACTCGTCTCCTCTCTCAAGAGTCTGAATAATTAATTTGTACTCACATCTCATAAAACACAAAAGGATTAAAAAAATTAAAAACGCCAGAAGGGAATTAGGCATATTCCCCAATTCCCCAAGAGCTTAATAGATCCCTCGCAGTAAATTAAATGCCAGTCCCACAAGGTATTTACATCATCTGCATTACTGTTGATGACTTTCTTGTCTTAACTTCACAGTCGTGGCTAAATAGCAAAGGAAATTAATACTTAAGCAAAGTAAGTAAACGAACAATTATTTTGGGCATCATTAGAGCAAAGAAAGTGCAAGAACTAAGCACTACTTAAAAATTCAATGCAGTACAAGATCCTCTTTCACGGTAATGTCTTTATTTTCCTCTTTGAAAACACAACTCATTCATTCGTTTATTCACTCATTCAAGGAACATTCATTTTTATTTGTTTTTATTTACATTTTTATCAAGATGTAATTTATAGACAGTAAAATGCACAAATCATAAGGGTAAAACTCAAATTTTTACATATTTATGTGGTTGGGGTGTGAAAAGTTTTTTAATGGAGAGTTGACATTGTCCTAGAAAATTCTTCCGTATGTGGCTTTTAAATGTATGATTATAGGCCAGGAGCGGTGGCTCACGCCTGTAATCCCAGCACTTTGGGAAGCCGAGGCAGGCAGATCACTTGAAGTCAGGAGTTTGAGACCAGCCTGGCCAACATGGTGAAACCCCTTCTCTACTAAAAATACAAAAAAAAAATTAGCTGGGCGTGGTGGTGGAGGTGCGCCTGTAATCCCAGGTACTCGGGAGGCCGAGACATGAGAATCGCTTGAACCCAGGAGGCAGAGGTTGCAGTGAGCCGAGATGGCGCCACTGCACTCCAGCCTGAGCAACAGGATGAGACTATGTCTCAAATAATAATAATAGGTAAATATATATGATTATAAAAATATAGAATACTTTCAAAACTTTAAAAATCTCCCTACTGTCCTCTTCCAGTACATTACCCCTCCCACCTGTAAAAGTTAACCATTATTTCATCCTCTTTTGCTGGAGATTAATTTGACCTTTTCTGGAATTTCATTTTAGTGGAAAATCACAATATGTACTCTGTTTCTGGTTTGCTTTGCTCAATATTAGTCGGTGAAAATCATCTATATTGTTGCTTATATTGTAGCAGTTTTTTGTCTTGTTTTGTTTGAGACAGGGTCTCACTCTGTCACTCAGGTAGGAGTACACTGTTACCATCACCTCTCACTGCACTCACTGCAGCCTTGACCACCTGAGCACAAGTGATCGTCCCACCTCAGCCTCCTGAGCAGCCAGGACTACAGGCACACACCACAGGACCGGGCTTTTTTTTTTTTTTTGGAGGGGGTACATTTGTAGAGACTGGGTTTTTCCATGTTGCCTAGGCTGGTCTCGAACTCCTGAGCTCAAGTGACTTGTCCGCCTCAGCCTCCCACCAAAGTGTTGAGATTACAGGGGTGAGCCCCTGCACCTGACCCATAGCAGTTTTTCATTTAAAAAAATTATTGTATACTGTTCCATGATATGAATATGCCACAATTCATTTATCCATTATTGTGGATGGACATTAGGTTGTTTCCAGTTTGGGGCTATTATGAATAAAATTGATATGAACCTTCTGAGATGTACACATTCATTTCTGTTGGATACTTATACCCGGAAGTTCAATCGTTGGGTAATACAATATGCATATGTTCAGCTTTAGTGAATTCTGCCAAAAAAGTTTCCCATTTATATTCTTTCTAGCATGTTTGAAATTTCCAGTTTTTCAATATCTTCATCAACACTTGATATTAACAATCCTTTTCATTGTGGCCATTCTGATGGGGATGTGGTGGTATCACATTGCAGTTTTAATTTATATTTCCTCAAGAAACAGTTATTGAACTTATTGAGTACTGTACTAATTATGTGCCAGGCCCTGACTTGGGGGAGGAGGCAATGACAGATGCATAGATTATATCATATATATATATATATATATATATATATATATATATATATATATATAAAATCATCTGATATATATATCATGTGATATACATATATATGTACACAAACACACATCAAAGGCTAAAAGAATCAGTGGTGGTATGTACAAGGTATTAGGGGAGTTTAGAAAAGTTACTAACTTAGCGTGGTAGTTTGGAAGGGAGGAAGGGGAGTGGTCAGTAAAGATTTACTATGAAGATGGCCCTTGGATTGAACCTTAAAGGGCAAAGGGAACAGTAAGAAAAGGCAAAGAAAAGGGAAAGGGAAGAAGGGAAAAGAGAAGAAAAGGGGGAAAAGGGACAAGAAGAAATCTTTATGCACACTCAAAAATATTTCTACGTTCAGTAACTTAGTCTTTCATTCCTGGCTTTTCCAAGCAGAATTTTTCACTCCACCCCTCCTTTGTGCCACCAGTGAATCAGAAACATATTTTTGTTATCACACCTTTCAGGTTGCATCAAACTGGTTTACATTTCTATATCTCCTATTAGCCTCAGAGAAACTTAAGAACATTTCTCATTTATTCTTATATTTTCCAGACGCAAATGTCCAGTAAGTAAAGTAAGTAATCAAATGAATTGGTGTACTCACTCAGTTGGACACCTAGGATGTTTCAGACAGGTCTTTTTTTCTCTTTTTTTTTTTAAGAGATGGGGTCTCTCTATGTTGCCCAGGCTGATCTTGAACTCCTGAGCTCAAGTGATCCTCCTGCCTCAGCCTCCCAAAGTGCTGGGATTACAGGCATGAGCCACCATGCCTGGTCTCAGACAGATTTTTTAAATTGTACACTTCATAAGAAAAAATCTTACAAGTCTCTTTTTCTCAATTATGTCCTCAATGACTAGCACAGCGTATGGCGCAGTGTAGGCACTCAACATGTATTTGTTATAAGAGTTAAGAAAGTAGAACTCTGCATAGAAGGATAAGACACAGTACCTGAGAGTAATGTAGTGGGAGAGACAGATACTTAAGAAAACATGAATAGTGAAACTTGGTAAGTGTCCTAACCAATGTGGGTCAGTTGTTGTTTTTCAGTCACTGCAAGAACGAATCCACTCAGACTTATTTAGGCAGTAAATTAACCTACCACGGGATTTTAGGTGGCCCATAGAATATTCGACAGAGCCAAACAGCAAGACTGAAGCCCAAGCATCCTCAACCACTCCAGGTAGCTGTTTTGACAAACACCACTCTTACCATCTCTCAGCACTATGGGCTACATGACAGCCACTCTGCCACTGGCCACCCCAAGGATCAAAGGCCTCTTCACACCCATCTTACCAGAAGATTAATTTCCTGCCTCACACCCATTACCAGCGCATGTATTGCTCACTTCAAGCAAAAAAGTTCCCTGCAGGTACATCTGATTAGAAGAGCCTAAGTTATTTAACTGTTTCCTAGCTACAAGGGAAATTTGGGATCTGGGGCTTCTACCTCAGAGAAATGGAATTCATGTGGCTAAAATTTGCCAAACATAATGGAGGTATTCAAAATAGGCAAGGCAGCCAAAAGTGTGAACAGTGGTGACTGCTGGAGGAATGGGCAAAGGGCTACGGGAACACAGAAGAAATGACTAACTCTTCTGATTGGCTCAAGGAAGTCATCAGCAGGGAGGTGACAGGTTTATGAGCTTAACTAATGCATAAGAATTTGCTAGATGAAGAAGAGAGGGTGGACAGTCCAGGAAGAGTAAACAACATGGGCTGAGGCCCAGGCTTGTGAAAGGACATGCATTGCTGGTGAGGAATAATCAGAAGCTCAGTGATGCTGGAGAAGAGAGGGATGGGGTGGGGCAAAGTGGCAGGAAGTGATTCTGGTAAAATCAGGTATAAATCATGCATAGATGATATATATCAAAGACTAAAAGAATCAGTGGAGATATGTACAAGGCTTTATGGGGGTTTAGAAAAATTACTAACTTAGTCTGTAGTTTGGAAACGAGGAAGGGGAGTGGTCAGTAAAGATTTACTGGATTGCTAAGCACTTGGTAAGTCATGCTTTTAAGGAGTTTGGACTCAGTTTTGTAGGCACCAGGGACCCAGCTTACATTATTAAGTAGAGGAGTGACACGAACAAACTTGGGTTTTATAAAAAGTACCCTGGATGGAGTGAACTAGGAAGAAACTAGGAGAGTGAAACTATTTGAGGGAGACCAGCTAAGAGGTTGGTGCAAGAGGTCAGGTAAGAGGTGATGGGATCCCCTACCAAGGCAGTGGGATAGGAATGGAGAGGAGGGGATGGACACAAGACACATGTAGAAGATGGAATCACCAGGACTTGTAGTGAGTGAAGAAGAAGCCATCAAAGATGACTATGAGGTTAGGTTTCCAGCTTAGCTAAATGGATGGAAGAAAAGCCATTAACTAAAAAACAGAAATATAGGAGAAAGAAAGATCAGGTTCTCTGGGCATGAAAATAAATTAAGTTTTAAACACATTGAGATATGGCGTCTATATAGGCAGAGAGGTCTAAGAACTCATTGAAAAATATGGTTCTAGAGATCATAGTTCAGGACTACATATGTAGATTTGGACATCATCACTGGATAGGTGGGAGTTGATGCCATGAAATTGGATGAAATCCCCCAGGGCAAATGTGCAGAATAAGAATAAAAAAGGAACAAAGATAAAATCCTGGGCAACAGGAACATTTAGGTGTCTTGCAAGTAAGGGAGAGCCTACATACAACAGAGGCTAGGTACAGCAGCTGGAGACGTAGAAGGGTATCTGGGCAGAGTATTAGCCCTTTGGCCAAGGTCATGTGATTTCTATGTTCAAGCTTTGTGCTCTGGCCGAGACCTCTATCTTATAATGCTTTTTTTTTTTTTTTTTTTTTTTTTTGAGACAGAGTCTCACTCTGTCTCCCAGGCTGGAGTGCAGTGGCGCGATCTCGGCTCACTGCAAGCTCCACCTCCCGGGTTCAAGTCATTCTCCTGCCTCAACCTCCAGAGTAGCTGGGACTATAGGCGCCCGCTACCACGCTTGGCTAATTTTTTGTATTTTTAGTAGAGACAGGGTTTCACCATGTTAGCCAGGATGGTCTCGATCTCCTTTTACTCCTCTCCCTCTATCTAGCAATCCGAGATCCATTTCAAAATTTCCCTTGCTTTTCCAAGAGGCCAACTTTCTCCAACCTGCACAGATTTTTTTTTCTTTCTCTAACCTTCTATTATAGTTTCTATCTGAATTTAAGTTGACATTGTGGTAGATTATTAAAATGTCCACAATATTTTTCCCATAAAGAAGCAAAGTTTATTTTTTCACTCGTTAATTCAGGGCTGGCCATGAGACTTACTCTGGCAAGTGAAGCATTAGCAAATGTAATGCAAACAGAACTTGAGAAATGCTTGTACCCCAGGCCTTACCTCTTTGCTTCCCTTGCAATCTTGCTGCCATGTGAATGTGCCTAGAGTAGGCAGCTGAATGAGGAGATCTGTGTGGCCAAGTCACCCCCCATCATCCTCAGCCAACAGAGCCAACAATCAGAAATAAGGGTGAGGCTAGCTGAGACCAGCCAGCCGCCAATGAAGCCACAAACTGGTTGCAGACACGTGAAAGAGCCCATTAGAGATCAGCTGAGACTGTCCCAGATGAGGACTTCCCAGCAGAATCATAAGCTATAGCAGTAGTGTTGTTTTAAGGCACCAGGATTTTGTTTTTGTCTAAAAATATTTGTTACCCACGGGAACATCACACTCTGGGGACTGTTGTGTGGTGGGGGGGAAGGGGGAGGGATAGCATTAGGAGATATACCTAATGCTAAATGACGAGTTAATGGGTGCAGCACACCAGCATGGCACATGTATACATATGTAACAAACCTGCACATTGTGCACATGTACCCTAAAACTTAAAGTATAATAATAATAAAAAAAAGAGACTAAAAAAAAATTGTTACCCACGAAACCAGGATAAAAATAATTAAAAAATAAATAAAATAAAAATTTAAATATTTGTTGAAAAAAAAATAATGACCTAGCATGAAGTCAACAAACAACCAAACCAATTCTGAGCACTTTTTGTATCTTAACCTCAGAGATATACAATGAATGGAAGCAATGAAAAATCTGAACTACTACATAAAGATTCAATTATGTTCAAGCTACTTAATAAGAAAATGCATCTTAGCCCAAATTAGCTGTAACATCTCTAATGAGATTATAGAAAAAAAAAAACACAAAAATCACTTCTAAGATGAAGTAGAAAAAAAAGGTGCAAAGTGTTTACCTGCATTAGGTGAATTAAAAATCTATTTAAAAATTATTAAATCATTTTGATAGATAGAACAGGGAATTCTTGAACTGGTCTTCACGTCAAAAACATTTCATAGTACTCTTATTATACTTTATTGGAAAGATACTATTCAATTAAGCCACTAAATTTTGAGGTGATTTGTTATATAACAATAGAAAACTGATACAGATACTAGAGGATTATTCTCTTTTACTATATTATTAAAGCAAAGTCATATTTTTGAAGTCTCCAAATTACAAATTAGCCATATTTTAAAGTCAATTGTTTGAAATGTAAAATACATTGTCTCATAGAAACAGATATATGTAGTGACTCTCTTCATTGACTAGTCCATAGAGTCATTTTAACATATAGTGAGTCCAAATTCCTTATTTGCTATACAGAGAAAAATATCAAGAAATATGCATAGACGTTGCCTTGCATCTGCTCCAGAATACCAACTTGTGTCTGTGTAAGGTAAAACTCCACAAGGGAGGGCAAAAAGCAAATAGCAGCCAGTTGGCTGAGTAATTCCCAGAGCTCACACAAGACTGGAAGATGGGCCGGGTGCGGTGGCTCACGCCTGTAATCCCAGCACTTTGGGAGGCCAAGGCGGGCGGATCACAAGGTCAGGAGATTGAGACCATCCTGGCTAACACAGTGAAACCCCGTCTCTACTAAAAATACCAAAAAATTAGCCAGGTGTGGTGACGGGCGACTGTAGTCCCAGCTACTCCGGAGGCTGAGACAGAAGAATGGCATGAACCCGGGAGGTGGAGCTTGCAGTGAGCTGAGATCGTGCCACTGCACTCCAGCCTGGGCAACAGAGCAAGACTCCGTCTCAAAAAAAAAAAAAAAGACTGGAAGATGTTCTGGGAGACTCTGACCAACAGGAGTAATGAGTCCACACTGAACACTGGGGAATTCAACAGAGACCACAGAGGGGTTACACAGTAGAGCGGCTAAACTAACCCAGAGCAAAGGGTTTGCTCTAAAAAAAAAGAAGTTTAAAAACAAGCCCCCAAAGCATCACATTGATCCATAAGTAGTTTAACAAAACAAACTTCAACATTCTACATGAAGATTGTTTAAAAGTAATTTAACTGCATCTCAGAAAAACAATCTAAAACTCTTTAAAGGAAGACAACAAAATCCAGCCCTCAACAAAATACAATGTACAATGTTCAGCATCCAATCAAAAATTACCCAACATATAAAAAGGGAGGAAAATGTGTCCCATAAGCAAAAGAAAAATCAGTCAATAGAAACTCACCCGGAAATGACAGATAATGGAACTAGCAGACAAGAACTTAAAACAATTATAAATATATTCAAGGACTTAAAGGAAAGCATGAACATAATGAGCAGAGAAAGTAAAGACATAAGTATAATTCAAGTAAAAACTTTAAAGGTGAAAAATATAATATTGGTAATAAAAAAATCACTATTGGATTAACAATAGATTATTCACTGCAGAAGAAATAATCAGCGAATCTGAAGAAATAGCAATAGAAACTCTACAGATAGTTTCTGGGTAAAAGAAAATATTTTTGAAAAGAAAGAAAAAGAGAGAGAATGAGAGAGAGGGTGTTGGGGGAGAAAGGAGGGAGGTGAGCAAGAGAGATTGAAAAAATCTGAAGAAACAATGGCAAAATTTTTACAAATTTAATACACAGCATAAATCCACAGATGCAGGAAGCACAGTGAATCACAAATAGAATAAACACAAAGAAAACCACCTCAGAATAATTTTTTGAAAACCAGTGATGAAAAGAAAAATTTTAAAGAAGGCAGAAAATAAAGATATTGTATGTGTAGGATAAAAGATAAGAATAAATACATTTTTTTTTTGCCAGAAACTAGGCAAGCTAGAAAATAATAGAACAACTTTAAAGTGCTTAAAGGAAAAAAAAAAAAAAGACAACCTATACCCAGTGAAAATATTCTGTGAAAATGAAGACAAAAATAAGGATGTATTTAATCAAACACAATCTAACAGAATGCATCACCAGTATCTCTCCCTGCACTACAAGATACCCAGCACTTTTTTTTTTTTTTTGAGACAGAGTCTTGCTCTGTTGCCCAGGCTGGAGTGCAGTGGCGTGATCTTGGCTCACTGCAACCTCTGCCTCCTGGGTTCAAGCAATTCTCTACCATGTCCAGCTAATTTTTGTATTTTTAGTAGAGACAGGGTTTCACCATGTTGGCTAGGCTGGTCTTGAACTCCTGACCTCGTGATCCACCTGCCTCAGCCTCTCAAAATGCTGGGATTACAGGTGTGAGCCACCGCGCCAGCCTACCTGGCACTTTATTAAAGGAAGTGCTTCTGGCAAAGGAAAGTGATGTCAAAAACTTGGGCCTACATGAAAAAATGAAAAGTGCCGCAAACGGCAAAAGCAGATGGTCCCTGATTTATGATGATTCAATTTACTGTTTTTAGCTTTACAATGGTGCAAAAGTGATAGGCATTCAGCAGAAACCACACTTCAAGAACCCATAAAACCATTCTGTTTTTCACTTTCAGTATAGTTTTCAATAAATTACATGAGATATTCAACATTTTATTATAAAATAGGCTTTTTGTTAGATGATTTTTGCCCAACTGTAGGCTAATGTAAGTGTTCTGAGCACTTTTAAGGTAGGCTAAACTAAGCTATGATGTTCAGTAGATAATGTGCCTTAAATGCTTTTTTGACTTACGATGGGTTTGTCAGGACATTACTCCATGATAAGTTGAGGAGCAGATGTATATGGGTGGCTACAAAGGACTTTTTTCTAATTTGCAAATTTTTTAAAAAGATAATTGACTGTTTAGCACATTGAGAGAATTATGTATAAAAGTAAAATAAGTAACAACACTAGCAAAGGAAGGGAAGTGGGAAATGGAAGGATACAAAACGAGAGAAAGAGAATTACTACAATGATCACCCAGATATGTGTCACTCCAACTCATCAGTTGTTAAAATCTTGCCACTTTAATGTTAAATCCTCTCTCTCTCCAACTCAGCATTAGTTTTGCTGAATTACCTGAAAGTAATATGCTGACATCAGGACACTTCACTCATAAATATCTCAATATGGGTCCACTCAAGTACAAGAATAATCTCCTATGCAAACATAAAACAATTACCACACTCAGAAAACTCAGTGTTGATACAGTGCCATCATCTAACATAAAGCCCATATTCAAATATTCCCAATTGCCCATAGATCACATGCTTTGAACTCAAAATTGAAAATCTCTCCCAGAAGGAAGCTCCCTATCTTTAAGATTACAGTTGTCCTTTGGTATTTGTGGGGATACCCCTTCAGATGCCGAAATCCACAGATGCTCAAGCCTCTGTTATAAAATGGTGTAGTGTTTGCATATAACCTATGCACATCCTCCTGTATACTTTAAATTATCTCTAGATTATTTATATTACCTAATACAATGTAAAAGTTATGTAAATAGTTGTTATGCTGCATCATTTAGGAACTAATGGCAATAAAAAGTTTGTACATGTTCAGTACAAGTGCATTCATTTTTTTTTTCAAATACTTTTTTATCTGTGGCTGGTTGAATCCACAGATGTGGCACCCATGGATATGGAGGGCCAGCTCTATATTTTTTACCTTCTTATCTGCACAACAAAAGGAAAATGCTTGGCTTACTCTCATCTCTCTGGAATTTCAGGTCAGCCATTCTTTTGTGTGAATGTTTCCAAGTCAGGAATCTATCTGTACTTATTTTTTGTTACTTTTAATATTTATTTATGTAATTCTTGGATTAAAACTCATCTTCATAAGTTTGGGGAGCTAAATGTTAAGAACTTATGAACACAAAGAAGAAAACAGGCCAGGCGGGGTGACTCACACCTGTAATCCCAGCACTTTGGGAGTCTGAGGTGGGCGGATCACTTGAGGTCAGGAGTTCAAGACCAGCTTGGCCAATATGGTGAAACCCCATCTCTACTAAAAATACAAAAATTAGCCAGGCATGGTGGCACACGCCTGTAATCCCAGCTATATGGAAGGCTGAGGCAGGAGAATCACTTGAACCAGGTGGCAGAATTTGCAGTAGCCGAGATCGCACCACTGTGCTACAGCCTGGGTGACAGAGTGAGACTCCGTCTCAAGAAAACCAAAGGAAACGACAGACACTGGGGTCTACTTAAGTGGGAGGGTGGGAGAAGGAGGAGGAGCAGAAAAGACAACTATTGTGTACTGGGCTTAATACCTGAGTGATGAAATAGTATGTACAACAAACCCCCGTGACATGTGTTTACCTATGTAACAAACCTTCATATGCATCCCCAAACCTAAAATAAAAGTTAAAGTAAATAAATATATAAATAGAAGCAAATGCCTCAGAACTCGTTTTTGTTTTGTTTTGTTTTGTTTTTAAAAAAAGAGCAGAGATTGTTTTTCCCTAACCCCAAATGTATTCTCAGAACCTAACAAGTGCTTGGCACATAATAGGTGTCTAATAAATGTTCGTGGAGTTAATGAATGGATAAAGTGTTTAAGTTGGGGAAATGCCTGTATCTACTTTATATATCTCTGCATCTCATAGAATTGGGCCTTCAATGGGAGTAAAATAGATCCTTATTAAGTAAAGGAATATTTCACACCATAGCTAGAACTACGCTTTGACTGTTCCTTTTGCACTTTTCTTCTACATTTTAGAAACAGAAGAGTAATATAGGGAATACTGGATTTGATCTTCAATTCACTGCATCGAACTGTAGAAATTTAGTAACTATAGGGGGAACTATTACTGTGACAATAGAGAAATTAGTTTTTCATAATATTAATACAGCCACATATCACTATCATATTATTCATTATGCACTTAGTGTCAAACCTGTACTAAGTACTTTACATGCATTTTTAAATTTTATTTTTTAAAGTCAGATTTATTGAGGTACATGTGACTTTCAGTGAAACTCATACTTTTTAGTATGTAGTTCTGTGCAGTTTAATAAGTACACGTAACTACCGTCACAATATAAAACATTTCCATTACCCCTCCCTGCAAATTCTCTTATGCTCTTTTTTTTTTTTTTTTGAGATAGAGTCTTGCTCTGTCACCAGGCTGGAGTGCAGTCGTGCGATCTCTGCTCACTGTAACCTCTGACTCCCTGGTTCAAGCCATTCTCCTGCCTTAGCCTCCTGAGTAGCTGGGATTACAGGCAGGTGTCATCACGCACAGCTAATTTTTTTTGTATTATTTGTAGAGACGGGGTTTCACCACGTTGGCCAGGATAGTCTCAATCTTCTGACCTCGTGATCCACCCACCTTGGTCTCCCAAAGTGCTGGGATTACAGGTGTGAGCCACTGCATCCAGCCTATACTCCTTTATATACACTATTTAGTCCTCCTAATTACCTTAGTAGACATTACTATTTATTATTTCCATGTTTTGGAGAGGAAAAACTGAGGCTAAGAGCAGTTCAGGGATCTATTGAGGGTTGTTGCATAGTAAATGGCAGAGCTTGGACTCCAAATCCTATGATCTAAGTACTTCACCATGCCAATAGTATTTTGTAGTACTGTATTTCATATGTTCAGAATTGCATTTCCCATTTTGTTACACATTGAGATGGTTAGGGAGTTGTGACAACAGGAGAAAATTAAAATGAATTTTTCAAAAATAGAATAAGGTAAATGAATTACAAGATAGATTATATGTCATATTAGAAGTGTACCCTCTCTATGTTACACAACATTAAAGCCAAGTAAAATTTTAGTTGATTGATATGGTAGTGAATATTTCAAAAGCTCGAG
Source organism: Homo sapiens (assembly GCF_000001405.40). Taxonomy (NCBI): domain Eukaryota; kingdom Metazoa; phylum Chordata; class Mammalia; order Primates; family Hominidae; genus Homo; species Homo sapiens. The sequence goes on along the minus strand of NC_000006.12, from coordinate 106,348,190 downwards.
AATTTTAACTTTACTTCACAACCAAGAAACCCATTAGTCGCTTGACTGTAGAAATGTCCAAGGATAAGATGTGGGAATTAGCAGCTGCCTGACATGTCAGACCTAGGTGGTCACCATCCTCAAGTAGCTTACCATTGAGTTTCACAGATAAAACAAAGTCTTTTGTAGTTACTGTTTTGTTTAGAGTTCTGCCATGATGGTAGCCTTAGTTGGCCCCTGGTTCTGATTTGGTCTTCCCGATTTCCAGAAACCTCTCTACCGACTGTTGCTGAAAAAGCAGCAGAAGCCAGACAGGCAGCCTTACAGAGGTCATGTTATCTTTGCACAAAGTGAGCTTCTCTGCTGGTTCAAGCTGTAGGAAACAACGAATTATTCTAGTTAATTTCAAAAACCTAGTCTGTTTTAGAAATCTATGTTAACAACCCTAAAAACATGTATTTTATCAAAGAAGTTTTTAACACTGAGTGGAAAGACATTTCCATTGCACAATCTAAAGCCAAATAGATTGCTTTGAGCTAATCATGTGTGTTCAATACGCATCGTTTTACCTAGATGTTTGCTTATAGCTACATAATTTAGTTATTCTCCTATCTACATTCGGTTAAACCTCTATGGCCCCTGGTGATGATATTTTTACAAACATCATTGCCATTAGCCAATTCTGAGTCCCAGGAGACACATGCTAAAATTTTTCTTCTTATCATTCTTATCATTTCTTTGTGTTATTAATATTAATGCTTTAGCAAACAAGACTGCCTAGAGAGAGTGATTTATGAGCTAATTATAGACAGTCCTCACTATGTAAATAAGGCCTGTGTACATAGTTTAGGATTTCTCAAGATGGAGCCAATGTATTAGAAAAATCCTATATCATATTTATTTTAGTTTATTTAATAGTTGGAAATTTTTCCTTCAGTAGCAATTTTTTTTTTTTTAGCAAAGCAAGAGTGATCTAAAGACAAATACAGTAAATAAAGTAGATGATCCACCATACATATTTTTTTTCTGTGGGGGGAATAATTAGCTGAATTTATAAAGTAATGTGAATAGTTTCATTTGTGTATTTCTTTAACTGGCTTTAAAAGCAATTGCAAAAAGTTTTGTCGATGCCTTGAGTAATTACATTATTGTTCAACAAGCATGTGATCTCCTGGAGCTTCAACTTTGAAGGACAACATATTTTATGTTTAATTATGCTTGCTTAAAAATAAGTCACCTATCCTCAAAAAACTAAAAATAAAGCTACCATAGGATACAGCGGTCCCACTCCTAGGTATATATCCAAAAGAAAGGAAATCAGTATATCAAAGACATATCTGCACTCCCATGTTTATTGCAGTACTATTCACAATAACCAAGATTTAGAAGCAACCTAAGTATCCATCAACAGATGAGTGGATAAAGAAAATGTGGTACATGTACATAATGGAGTACTATTCAGTCATAAAACAGAATGAGATCATGTCAATTGCAACATGGATGGAAACAGAGGTCACTATGTTGAGTGAAATAAACCAGCCACAGTAAGACAAACATCACGTGTTCTCACCGATTTGTGGGAGCTAAAAAGACAACTGGACCCATGGAGATAGAGAGTAGAAGGATGGTTACCAAAGGCTGGGATAGGTAGTGGGGTTGCGGTGAGGCGGAAGTGGGAATGGTTAATGGGTACAAAAGTAGTTAGAAAGAATGAATAAGACCTAGTATTTGCTAGCACAGCAGGGTGACTATAGTAAATAATAATTTAATTGTACCTTTTAAAATAACTAAAAGTATAATTGGATTGTTCATAACACAAAGGATAAATGCTTGAAGGGATAGATACCACATTTACCTTGAGGTGATTATTATGCATTGCATGCCTTTATCAAAATATCTCATATAACTCATGAATATATACACCTACCGTGTACTCGCAAAAAATTAAAAAGTCATCTAACTTTAAAGGATATCATCCTAACTTTATATCCTAAAGTTCATTCAAGGCCTTAATTCAGGGATTCGCATGAGCTATAGAGAATTTACAGCCGGGCTCGGTGTGTAATCCCGGCACTTTGGGAGGCTGAGGCGGGTGGATCCCTTGAGGTTAGGAGTTCAAGACCAGCCTGGGCAACATGGTGAAACCCTATCTCTACAAAAACTACAAAAATTAGCCAGGCATGGTTGTGTGTGCCTGTAGTCACAGCTACCCGGGAGGCTGAGGTGGGAGCATCGCCCGAGCCCAGGAGGTTGAGGCTGCAGTGAGCCGTGAGTGTGCCAGTGTACTCCATCCTAGGTAACAGAGCAAGACACAGTCTCAAAGGAAAAAAAAAAAGAACTTGGCTGATTACTACTTTTTCAAGAGAAAAAGGAAAGAGAATTTACTGGCAATTAGGAGTTAACACTGAAAATTTTAATAAATACATCTTTCAGTTAATCAATAAGCATTGCCCAAGGTAGTGTTAAGTGCTTTATGTGGGACCAGAAACATTCTTCAGGAGGTTAAAATCTAGTTCGACACCTAAGACTAAGAAACATCAAATAATTAAGGGATAAAGTAAAGAAGTTGCTGCTGTAAATTTTTATCATTAGTTATTAGTTTACTAATCTAATACATAAAAACTAACAGTAAATTTTATTTTTGTCTTATGTCTTGGCCATACCTTAGTCCACTATTACTCCGCCTTCTTCCTAGCTTGGCCTAAATAACTATAGGACGACACTCATACCTGACACATTCAAATTGCTTGGATGCAGTCCTGTCCTGAAACTAAGATATACATCTACATACCACACAGGCTAAGCATTGACTACCTATGGTAAATTGAGAACATTATATAATTCTTCCAGATGAGTGAGGGCTTTGCAAGAGAGGATGTAATTATTATATGAAGAAATGAAAATAACACTCTCCTTTCTCATTTGCAATGCTTATTAAATTGTATGAATTACATGTTACCAGATTGTTTATTCATATTTGCTTTGTTCTGAAAAAGGATTTGAGACTGTTGAATGAAAATAGGTAACACATAAGCAACGAGCTGTGTGGGTTCTTTTCCCTACTCAGAAACATAGAATATAATTTCATATACTGTAGTAATGGCATAATAAAGTGGCTTAATAAGCAGCCAGTTTCAAACACTGCTTAACTGGCTAGTTATGGGTAATTTATGCATGGGATAATGCAGCCCATCAGTTGCTACATTTATTTAGCATCCAGAGGTTTTGCGTAAATGAATCAATCAATTCAATTTAAAAACTAGTATAATTTATTTCCTCCTACTTAATTGACATTGGCTCTGATGTACCCATTACCTCAATTATGGAATTCTAGATTCAAGTCCATAGTACTGGATCTTGGACAGACTGTCATTTTAAAATAGAATTAAATGAGCTCATGTACCAGACATGGCTAGTTGCCAATACTCATTCTCCCTTCTTCAAAACATTACCCTGATTCTGTTTGAGGTGAGAACACTCTCTAACTAAAAGTACTTGATTTCCCAGCTTGTTTTCCAGATAGAGGTAGTCATTTGGCACAATCACGACCAGTTAGATGTGGGTGAACATCTGTGGCGAGGATTTGCTTCCTTGAATGGAATGGTAAACCTTTGAGAGGAGGAAGTCCTTGGCCTCCATCCTTTCTGTCTTCTTTTCGTCTTCCTTCCTGAGACATGAATGTTATGCCAAAGAAGCCAAACCCATCTTATGGCCCAGAGGATTGCAGGGCAGGAAGAAAGAAGCATTTGGAACAATGACGCTACCATGGGGCCACTACCCAAGCCCTAGACTTCTTGTAATGTGAACAACAACTAAAAATCTAATTTTGGTTGAGTTTTCTGCCACCTGCTGTCAAATTTCAAATACTATAAAGGTGCCCAAAGTGGGTGCCAAAAAAATGTTAGCAATTATGTGAGAGATTCCTAAAGATCAGGAAATACTTTAGGAAAGCTTTAATTAATTAATTAATTAACATGAAAAAGGGGAGTAAGTCTAATAGCAGGGAGGTAAAAACAATGATGTTATTAATATTTATTATTATTTTTTTTTAATAGAGACATAGTCTTCCTGTGCTGCCCAGGCTGGTCTTGAAGTCCTGGGCTCAAGCAATCCTCCATGCTTGGCCTCCCAAACTGTTGGGATTACAGGCATGAGCCACCACACCCAGCCAATAGTTATTATTATGGTTAATTTTTTGAGTGCTTACCATACACCAGGCACTGTGTAATATTGTATATATATATAAATATAAATATGCATATAACATACAGCACATATATAAACAGATGTTTATTTGTTATGTATATATAACATATGTATAATTTATTACTATAACAATACTATAGGGTTGCAACTATTGTTACCCCATTTCATAGGTGAGAAGAATAAAGCTTAGGAAGGTTAAATAAATGTGGCTACAGGCGCATGCCACCACACCTGGCTAAATTTTTGTATTTTTAGTGGGGACAGGGTTTTGCCATGTTGGTCAGAGTGGTCTTGAACTCCTGACCTCAGGTGTTCCACCTCCCTTGGCCTCCCAAAGTACTGGGATTACAGGCATGAGCTGCCACGCCTGGTCAAAACATCCTGCTTTTTAAATGAAGTATCAGATTAAGACATGTAGGCAAAAAAGCAATGTAGCAGCAATGCATGAAGAATAGGTTTATCTGTTAATCCCTAAATAGCTGGTATTTGAGTATCAGGAACTACAGAGACATCTAGAGGGGAAGAGGAAAGGTCTGAAACCGTGGCCAAGAGACGCAAAGCTATGCACTGCCCCTCAGAACTTCATGATGGCAAAGAACAGTTTATTGTGTTGAACTTTTGTTTACACTGATGTGTATATATTAAAATAAGACGTATTTGTTAAAGTGTGGTGGTGGTCAGGAGAATACACTTCACAGATCTTTACTGAGTGAGAGTGATTGATTGAGGGCCCAGGGACTGAGCATGCTGGAGATTAGAGGGCAGTCCTATTCCATGGGACTCCTCTGACTGATGACTTTGGCTTGAGACATCTAAAAATTTCTTGTTGCACCTACCTTAGGCTAAACTGGCTTCTATCCACCTGCTCCTTTGCTCCACTGACAGCTGGCTTTCCCAGCCCCTCCTCTCTCCCTACATTTTCCTTTTCTTTTTCTTTTTCTTTTTTTTTTTTGAGACCAAGTCTTGCTCTGTTGCCCAAGCTGGAGTGCAATGGTGTGATCTTGGGTCATTGCAACCTCAGCCCCCCGGAGTTCAAGTGATTCTCCTGCCTCAGCCTCCTGAGTAGCTGGGATTACAGCATGTGCCGCCATGCCCGGCTAATTTTTGTATTTTTAGTAGAGGCAGGTTTTCACCATACTGGTCAGGCTGGTCTTGAACTCCTGACGTCAGTTGATCCGCCCGCCTCCACCTCCCAAAGTGCTGGGATTACAGGCTTGAGCCACAGAGCCTGGCCTTCTTTTTTTTTTTTTTTTTTCAGGGATGTCCCCATGTTCCCTGGGCCAGTCTCAAACTCCTGGGCTCAAGCGATCCTTCTGCCTCAGCCTCTCAAAGTGCTAGGATTACAGGCGTGAGCCACCATGCCTGACCCCCCTACATTTTCTATCACAGAGACTTCTCCTAGAGAAATATTTGTAAATTTAATCCTGTCCTGGAGTCTGCTTCTGGGAGGACCCAGACTAACATGAGTGATAAATGTCTTCTTAAGAAAATGCCTCCAGTCTAGACTGCTCCCTCAAACTCTAGATCTCTTTAGATGTTACCATAAAATTCCATAAGGATACTTTGCAGGTAATCCCCCACCTTTTTAATAGACTTAGTTTTTCTTTTTTCTTTTTTTTTTTTTTTTAGACTTAGTTTTTCTAGAGCATTCTTAGGGTCATAAGAAATTTGAATAGAAGGTACAGAGACTTCCCATATATCCTCTGCCCCCACACAGGTATAGCCCCCCACTAACAACATTGCCCACCAGAGTGACATTAACCAACTTTGAGCTCTAGGGAACACATGCTAAAAATTTTCTTCTTATCAGTTTTATAATTTCTTTGTATCATTAATATTAATACTTCAGCAAACAACAATGCTTAGAGACAGTGATTCATGGGCTAATTTTAGACAGTCCTCACTACATAAATAAGGCCTGTAGTTTACAACTGATGAACCTACATTTACACATCATTATCACACAGTGCCCATAGCTTACCATAGGGTTCACTCTTGATGTTGTACAGTCTAGGGGTTTGGATAACTTATAATGACATATATCCACCATTCTAGTGTCATGCAGAGTAGTTTCACTGCCCTAAGAGTCACTGGTGCTTTGCCTGTTCATCCCTCCCTCCCTTCAACCCCTGATTTTTTTTTTTTTTTGAGATGGAGTCTCACTGTGTTGCCCAGGCTGGAGTGCAGCCATGTGATCTCAGCTTACTGCAACCTCTGCCACCCAGATTCAAGTGATTCTCTGGCCTCAGCCTCCTATGTAGCTGGGATTACAGGTGCCCACCACCACACCCAGATAATTTTAGTATTTTTAGTAGAGACAGAGTTTTGCCACATTGGCCAGCCTGGTCTTGAACTCCCAACCTCAGGAGATCCAACAGCTTCAGCCTCCCAAAGTACTGGGATTACAGGCGTGAGCCACCACACAGGGCAATCACTTGTCTTTTAAGTGTCTTTATAGTTTTACCATTTCCAGAATGTTGTGTAGTTGGGACCATACAGTATGTAGCCTTTTTGGGCTGGCTTTTTTCACTTAGCAACATACATTTAAGTTTCATTAAATGTCTTTTCATGACTTGATGGCACATTTCTTTTTAGTGATGAATAATATTCTATTTGTCTGTATGTACCATAGTTTATCCGTTCACCCACTGAAGGATATCTTGGTTGCCTCCAAGTTTTGGTATTTGTGAATAAAGCTTCTACAAACATCCATATGGATAGAAGTTTTTGTATGAACACAAGTTTTCAACTCCTTTGTGTAAATACCAAGGAGCCCAATTGCAGGATCAGATGGGAAGATTGTGTTTAGTTTTGTAAGAAGCCACCAAATTGTGTTCCAAAGTGGCTGTACCATTTTGCATTCCCACCAGCAATGAATGAGACTTCCTGTTGCTCACATCCTTGCAGGCGTTTGGTGTTGCTAGTGGGTAATCTCGTTTTGGCATTGGTCTTGGTTAACAGCCTGAACACTAACACCTCAGCCGCCCTCACAAACTCACCCAATCAGTCACTAAAGTCCTTGATTATTCCTCTTGAACATTTCTTCTTTCCACCCTCTTCTTCATCCCACTGCCTTGCCTTTGTCATCATTTCCCAGTTGACTGTGGTAGTTTTTCAATTGCTCCCATTGCCTCCAGAGACATCGCCAGTCAAAACACACTTTATGTTAGCTGGGTGTGCTGGTTTGGGCCTGTAGTCACAGCTATCTGGGACAGTCCTAACTACATAAATAAGGCCTGTAGGTTACAATCGATGAACCTGCATTTACACATCTATCATGCAGTGTCCATAGCTTACTACAGGGTTCATTCTTGGTGTCGTACAGTCTAGGGGTTTGGATAAATTTCTAATGACATGTATCTACCATTCTAGTATCATGCATAGTCATTTTATGCCCTAAAAATCCTTGGTGCTTTCAGGGAGGCTTGCTGCCTCAGGAGCCTGAGGCAGGAGGATCATTTGAGTCCAAGGCTACAGTGAGCTATGATCGCACCACTGCACTCCAGCCTGGGTGACAGAACAAGACCCTGTCTATTAAACAAACAAACACTCACTACGGTCTGAGAAAACTTCCAAAACCACACATCTGGTCATATCATGCCTTTGATTGAGACTTTCCGTGGATCCCCTCTGGTTACAGTGTCTTTAGAACCTTTTTAACATGACCCACTGGAATAAAAACATTCCACATCAGGACTCAATAAACACATTCTTATTCAAGATATGCACGTGTATGCATAATATATATAACTAAAGTAAAAGTTTTATGAAACAAACTTACTCCTGCTACTTGTGATGCACTTTGATATTTTCTATGTTATTCTATTCTGTTCTGTTCTACAAAATTTTATTTAACACAAGAAATTATTGCAAACCACTAAATTAATCTTACAATCTAGTAACAGATTATAACTAATAGTTTGAAAAACCTAGAGGTCTGGAAGATGAAGTCCAAATTCCTTTCCTTGGCTTCTGATCCTTCTCTTGATGTAAGGTTGGACAATAATTCCAGCTTCATTCATCTCACCGGTAAAACCACTGAATGCCTGCTATATGTCAGTTACAATGTGGGGAATTAAACAGTGAGTAATGAATGGCTCAGTGCCAACCAGAAAAGACAGTGCAGCATTCTGTGGGACACAGACCAGCAAAAGTCTATTACTATTCAATGATAAAATGAAGGTAAATACTGTTAAGACAGCACATAATAAGGCGATATTCTTGGGGGAAGTAGAGAGAGCTTCCCGGAAGAAACCTCTAAAGTGACATCTAACAGCTAAGTAGGAATTAATCAGGAAAAAGGGGTGGTGAGAGGTATTGTCCCAGGCAGAAGAAGTAGCCTGTTTATTGGAGGCAAAAGAGGGCATAAGGTTGTACCAGAAGGGTGAGCTTTTTGAAGACTAAAAAGTGATTCATTGTGGCGAGAGACTCAGAGCTCCGGGAGGCATAGGGTAGGAGATGCAGATGGAGAGGTAAAGAACGCCCCCTGGAGGATATTGAAGGCCACACTTCTCTTCCAGGCTTTCAGATTGCATCCCAGGGAGTCCAAGACTCCACAGAGGGGCCTCGGGGACAGAGGGAGAGTATCAGATGAAGGCCAAGCAGGCCAGACTTTCCTTACCACCTTCAACCTAAGTAGCAGCGGCACAAGCATCGTGGCATTTTACATGGACCCGTTTTGAAGACAGTGAAGAAAATAGAGTGGAAGAAGGCAAGACTGACAGCTGTGCCAAACTGGAAGAGTGGCAGCAAGAGGGTAAGAGGACAGGAGCGGGCAGAACTTAAAGTCAGGATAAAGAAAAGACAGCACTGGGGATTTAATTTTGAACAAATCCTCATATTTTACACCTTCCGTGTCTTTGTGTATTTTGTTCCCTCTGCCTAGAGCAGGATTCTTGACCTTATTTAATTATTCATTTTTTTCTTTTGCAATGCATATCTTAGACTGTCTGGGAAATCTAAGAATAATGTATTTAAAGGCATCAACATACACATTGCTACAAAGAAACCCCAATATGTTAATATATAGTTATCAAAATATTAGGAACACAAAGTTGTGTTATATTGTTTCCTTGTTAATGCAATAAATAATAAGGTCTTACAGTGAGCCTTGTAACTACTGTAATTTCAAAGTAGTGAATAGTAAATATTTCAAGGATCTGAATCAACTGCAATGTGAGTTGAATATATCTGTGATTCTATTGGTGACAAGTTACAAATATTGCCAATACTACTCCAGTTTGTGGCCTGAATTTATAATGGAAGGAAATGCTAAATTTCGAACTGGAGGTTACTGAAAATAAAGATGAAACTATTTTCCCAACCAAATCTTCAAATCCTTGAATTGGAACCATGAACCCCTTGGTTACAGCCCTGGCTTAAAAGCCCTTTCCTTCCTTGTCTACCTGTTATATTCATTTAACTTCTAAGGTTTATCTTACATGTTGCTGCTAGTTATTCTTGAAGCTAGATTCTGATGGCAGTTGTATGTAGTTTAATTACAGCCTGTGAGGGACTGCTGCGGTCCTTTGTTTGCTTGTCAGTTCTCTCCCACACTGGAATGTGAGTTCCCTGAAGGCAGAAATTATTTCTGATGTACCTTAGTATCCTGAGTATTTTGCACAGCCTTGCATCAAAAAGCCAATTGAATTAATGGACACACTGTTCCATGAGAACACTAATCACTTTAAATTGCTGGGTAGGGGTTGGAGTGTGGAGAAAATGATACTTTACTTGTATCTCTCTTTCAGTAATACAGAAACTTCATGTTATAGTCAGTGGATGAAAAGAATGTAAGAAAACTGCCTAGAATAAGGCAGTAAACAAAATAAGGGTGCATAAATGGTGGATAGAAGTGTGTGACAAGTAGAGCATGAAAGAATCCCATTGAAAAAAGAGTAGATTTGGCTGGGTGTGGTGGCTCACACCTGTAATCTCAGCACTTTGGGAGGCTGAGACAGGAGGATGGCTTGAGTCCAGGAGGTTGAAGCTGCAGTAAGCCATAATTACGCCACTGCACTGCAGCCTGGGTGACAGAGTGATACCCTGTCTCAAGAAAAAAAAATAAACATAAAAAAAATGCTGCTCGTCCTTAACATTCAAAGACAGCCTTTAGAAACTTATCTCTGCCAATTCTAACAATTAATATATGTAGGCAAATTATCCCACAGAAAGATCCTCAGCGTAACAGTTGTTGATAAAAGTGTCTATTAAATTTTAATTAGTACGTTTTAAAGTAAAAAGAGAAATCATCTAAATGTCCCACTCTATAATTAAATGTGAATTAGATTTTAGAATATTTTATTTAAAAAACACATTGCACCCTGAAAAGACACGAGGAAACTTAAATGCATAGTACTATGTAAAAGAAACCAATCTGAAAAGGTTATATAATGCCTAATTCCAACTGTATGACATTCTGGAAAAGACAAAACTGTGGAGACAGTAAAATGATAACTGATTGCCAGGAGTTAGGAAAGAGAGAGGTATAAATAGGCAGAGCACAGAAGATTCTTAAGCAATGAAACTCCTCCATATGATACTACAATTGTGGATACATGTCATACATTTGTGAGAACCTATGCAACATACAACACCAAGTGTGAACCATAATGTAAGCTGTGGACTTCAGGTGATAATTTTGTGTAAACGCAGTTTCATTGATTGTAGTAAATGTACCATTCTGGTGCAGAATGTCAATTGTGGGGGTGGTTGTGTGCGTGTGGGTGGGGGGATATAGAGGATATATGGGAACTCTCTCTACTTTTTGTTCTATTTTGCTGTGGACCTAAAACTGCCTTAAAAAAATGAAGTTTATTAATAAAAAAAAAAACATGTTGCCCCCTCTTTCAAGTTTATTGTGTAAAAACTTAAAAGTGTGAATCATATTTTTGTAAAGAATCTATGGAGCGATGGGTTTTGATACATACAACATATAGCCTATATATAATATAGTAACCATTTAAAAACTATGAAAAGAAATGCTTTTTTAAAAGTGCCATTTTAGTCAAGACTTTTGCTCCTTCTGAGCTTTTATGACACTTTTTCCCTTGACCACTCCTGCCTTGTGCTTTGCTACATCTCTTGTATAATGCTCTGTTTCCCAGTTTAGGTTGTAAGCAATTCCAAGGCAGATCTGTGACTTAGATCCCTGTATATTTCCCCCCAGCCCTGGGGAAAGGACATTTCTAGCAGAATGAACATGGTAAGCAAAGGCACAGGGATGTGAGGACCGAGCTCAGAGAGAGACCAGGGAGCCAGACAGCTGACGAGAGAGGAGCTGGAAAAGTGGATTCGGGTTAGATTTGGATTTTGTTCTGTAGGCAGTGAAGATTTAGTTTTTATAAAAATAGGGCAGGGGCATAATCAGAACTGTGCTAAAGAAGATTACTCTGGCAGCAGGTTGTAAAATGGATTGGCACAGGGGAGGAGAGGCATACAGTCTAGTGAAGGACATAAAAACAGCAGCTCCTATTTATTGAGAGCTTACTATGTGCCAAGCACTGCGATAAACGTTTTATGTGCATCATTTCACTTAATCCTCACAAGTCCACGAGGCAGGTGCTATCATTTTCCTTATTTTAGCTTGAGGAAAATGGAAAAGTGGAGGCTTGGAAAAGTTACATAAGAGCTAAGTTCTTGTGCATGCGACCTGTTCAGTTGCACAAGGCCTGGCACCGGCTTTCATGCTCTGCTGTCTCCATCTTGAGATTCTTAATTTTTAAACAAAGGGCCCTCGTTTTCATTTTGCCCTGGGCATCAGAAATTATGTAGCCAGTCCTGGTTAACTCATTTGTCTGTGGCCATATAGGTAATAGATGTCAGAGCAAGAATTTAAGAGTTCATATCTCAACCACTCTGCTCTGCTGCACAAGCCGATGATCCAAATCAAACCAATGAGAGAATGTGAGGGAAAGGGGATGGATTTGAAAGAGAATATGAGGCTGGGCGCGATGGCTCACGCCTGTAATCCCAGCACTTTGGGAGGCCGAGGAGGGCGGATCACGAGGTCAGGAGTTTGAGACCATCCTGGCTAACACAGTGAAACCCCGTCTCTACTAAAAATACAAAAAAAAATTAGCCGGGCGTGGTGATGGGCGCCTGTAGTCCCAGCTACTTGGGAGGCTGAGGCAGGAGAATGGCATGAACCTGGGAGGTGGAGCTTGCAGTGAGCCAAGATCGCGCCACTGCACTCCAGCCTGGGCAACAGAGTGAGACTCTGTCTCAAAAAAAAAAAAAAAAAAAAAAAGAGAATGTGAGTTAATATTCACAAGGTTTAGAAGCCTTTTTTTTTTGGAAATTAAAATAATTTTGTTGTGAGAACGTTTTTAGGATTTCACAAGATCTTTTACAATAACCAGATGTTTCCTACTGGGAAACACTATCTTTACATCTTTTTTTTTTTTTTTTTTTTTTTTTTTTTTTTTTTTTTTTTTTTTTTTTTTTTAGCAGAGTCTAGCTCTGTTGCCCAGGCTGGAGTCCAGTGATGCGATCTCAGCTTACTGCAACCTCTGCCTCCAGGGTTCAAGCAATTCTCCTACCTCAGCCTCCTGAGTAGCTGGGATTACAGGCACACACCACAATGCCCAGCTAATTTGTTTATTTGTAGAGACAGGGTTTTGCCATGTTGGCCAGGCTGCTCTCAAACTCCTGACCTCATGTGATCCACCTGCCTGGGCCTCCCAAAGTGCTGGAATTACATGCGTGAGCCACCGCACCTGGCCTATCTTTACCTCATTGAGGGTGCTGTTGGCTGGCCTTGCTGGCTGGGGAGCTCTGAGCTTTACCTCTGGTAGACAGTGACACCTGTTGACAACAACGCATTATTGCAAGAATCTATTTTACTATTTTAGAAATCAGGCTATTTTTATTTTTACTTTTTTTTTTTAAAGACTTGTCCTTCAGTTTTACACTTCCCAGATTATTTTTCTTTCTGATGTTCATTGAAAAAAACAGACTGAAAAACTGCCTGGCTGATTCATCCTAGACTTTATTAAGAGTTTTTTTTGTTTTTTTTTTTAAGAGACAGTGTCCCACTCTGTTGCCCAGGGTGGAGTGCAGTGGTGCAATCATAGCTCACTGTAGCCACAGACTCCTGGGCTCAAGGAATCTTCCCACTTCGGCCTCCTGAGTATCTAGGATTACAGGCAGGCACCATCATGCCCAGCTAATTTTAAAAATGTTTTGTAGTGATGGGATCTCATTGTGTTGACAAGGCTGGTATCAAACTCCTGATCTCAAGCAATTCTTCTGCCTTGGCCTTTCAAAGTACTGGGACTACAAGCGTGAGCCACCATACTGAGCCTGGAGCTTTTTACAGAAAAAAATTCATATGGAAACAGTAAAAAAATCTGATACAAAGATTTTTTTAAGACAATATTAATTTATAGGATGAAAAATTAGAACACAAATCCATAATAGTTATGAGTGTAGGCCAGGCACGGTGGCTCACGCCTGTAATCGTAGTCCTTTGGGAGGCCAAGGCGGGCGGATCACCAGGTCAGGAGATCGAGACCATCCTGGCTAGCATGGTGAAACCCCGTCTCTACTAAAAATACAAAAAATTAGCTGGGTATGGTGGCGGGCGCATGTAGTCCCAGCTACTCCGGAGGCTGAGGCAGAAGAATGGCATGAACCCGGAAGGCGGAGCTTGCAGTGAGCCGAGATCGCGCCACTGCACTCCAGCCTGGGCGACAGAGCGAGACTCCGTCTCAAAAAAAAAAAAAAAAAATAGTTTTGAGTGTATACGTATCTCTAAATAATATTTGGCATATTTCTTTAATTTAACCCTGTGGAATCCATCTGTGTAGACAGGTAGAGAAGATTCAGTAACTGGAGTTATACATATAGTGTCTTATAACACGCTATTTTTCAATGGAACCCTACATTTTATCTGTAACGGTGATAGAATTGCATACGGTGTTGTAGAGTTCACACGGTAGTCACAGAAAAGCTGCTCCAAATTGTGATTTTTAAAATATATACCGGCGTACCTTCAAGATATTGAGGGTTTGGTTTCAGACCATTGCAATAAAATAAAGAGTGCTAAAAAGTAACACAATTCTTTTGGTTTTCCAATGCGTATAAAAATTAATGTTTATATTATAGGTACTATAAGGTAGTCTATTTAGAGTGCAATAGTATTGTCTAAAAAACAAATGTATATACCTTAATTTAAAAATGGTTTAGCCAGGGATGGTGGCTCACACCTGTAATCCCAACACTTTGGGAGTCTGAGGTGGGAGGATTGCTTGAATCCAGGAGTTCAAGACCAGCCTGAGCCACATAGCAAGACCCCATATCTACAAAAAAATTAAAAGTTAGCCAAGCATAGTGGCATGTCCTTGTGGTCCCAGCTACTTGGAAGGCTAAGGCAGGAGGATCGCTTGAGCCTGGGAGATCAAGGCTACAGTGAGCCATGATTATGCCACTGCACTCCAGCCTAGGCGACAGAGTGAGACCCTGTCTCAAAAAATATATATACTTTATTGCTAAAAATTGCTAACCATCATCTGAGCCTTCAGTAAGTGGTAATCTTTTTGCTGTTAGAGGGTCTTGCCTCAATGCTGATGGTTGCTGACTGATCTGGGTGGTGATTGCTGAAAGTTGGGGTGGCTGCAACAATTTCTTAAAATAAGACAATGAAGATTACCACAGTAATTGGCTCTTCATAAAAGATTTCTCTGTAGCATGTGATGCTGTTTGATAGCATTTTACTCACACTAGAACTTCTTTCAAAATTAGGGTCAATCCTTTCAAACTCTGTTGCTGCTTTATCAGCTAAGTTTATGGAATATTCTACATCCTTGGTTGTCATTTCAACGGTGTTCACAGTATCTTCACCAGGAGTAGATTCTATCTCAAGAAACCATTTTCTTTGTTCACCCATAAGATGTAGCTCCTCATCTGTTAAAATTTTACAATGAGATTGCAGTAATTCAGTCACATCTTCAGGCTCACTTCTAGTTACAGTTATTGCTATTTCTACCACATCTGCAGTGACTTCCTCCACTGAAGTCTTGAACCTCTCAAAGTCATACTTGATTATTGGAATCAATTTCTGCCAAACTCCTGTTAAGGTTGGCAACATTTTGACTTCCTCCTATGAATCACAAATGTTCATTTTTTTTTTTTTTTTGAGACAGGGTCTCACTCTGTCACCCAGGCTGCTGGAGTGCAGAGCACAGCTCACTACAGCCTCAACCACCCAGGCGTAAGTGATCCTCCCATCTTAGCCTCCCAAGTAGCTGGGACTACAGGCGCATGCCACCACACCTGGCTAACTTTTTTATTACTTATGGAGATAGTGTCTCATCATGTTGCCCAGGCTGGTCTCGAACTCCTGGGCTCAAGTGATACTCCTGCCTCAGCCTCCCAAATGCTGGGATTACAGGAGTGAGCCACTGCACCTGGCCCACAAATGTTCTTAATGGAATCTAGAATAACGAATCCTTTCCGGAATATTTTCAATTTATTTTGCCAGATCCATCAGAGGAATCACTATCTATGGCAGCTAATGCCTTAGAAAATGTATTTCTTAAACAATAAGACTTGAAAGTCAAAATTACTCCTTGATCCATAGGCTGAAGAATGAATGTTTTATTAGCAGGCATGAAAACAACATTAATCTCCTTGTACATTTCCATCAGAGCTCTTGGGTGACCAAGTACACTATCAATGAGCAATAATATTTTGAAGGACTCTTTTTTCCTGAGCAGTAGGTCTCAATAGTGGGGTTAAAATATTCAGTAAACCGTGCTATAAACAGGTGTGCTGTCATCCAGGATTTGTGTTCCATTTCTAGAGCATAAGCAGAATAGATTTAGCATAATTTGTAAGGGCCCTAGGATTTTCAGAATGGCAAATAAACATTGGCTTCAACTTAAAGTCACCAGCAGCATTAGCCTCTAACAAGAGCATCAGCCTGTTCTTTGAAGCCAGGCATTGACTTCTCCTCTCTAGCTATGGACATCCTAGATGGCATCCTCTTCTAATAGACGGCTGTTTTGTCTATATTGAAAATCTGTTGTTTAGTGTAGCCACCTTCATCAATGATTTTAGCTAGGTCTCCTGGGTAACTTGCTGCAGCTTCTACATTAGCACTTGCTGCATTACCTTGCACTTTCATGTTATGGAGATGGCTTCTTTCCTTAAACCTCATGAACCAACCTTTGCTAGCTTCCAGTGTTTCTTCTGCAGCTTCCACACCTCTCTCAGCTTTCACAGAATTGAAGAGAGTTAGGGCCTTGCTCTGGGTTAGGCTTTGGCTTAAGGGGATATCATGGCTGGCTCAATCTTCTATCCAGACCATTCAAACTTTCTCCATATTAGCAATAAGGCTGTTTTGCTTTCTTATCATTTGTGAGTTCACTGAGGTAGCACTTTTAATTTCCATCAAGAGCTTTTCTTTCACATTCATAACTTGGCTGTTTAGTCCAAGAGACCTGCTTTCGGCCTGTCCTGGCTTTTGATTTGCTTTCCTCACTAAGTTTAGTCATTACTAGCTTTTGACTTAAAGTGAGAGACGTGCATTTTTTTCTTTTTACCTGAACACTTAGAGGCCATTATAGGGTTATTAATTGGCCTAATTTCAATATTGTAGTGTCTCAGGGAATAGGGAGGCTAGAGGAGAGGGAAAGAGACGGGGAAGGGCCAGTGGGCTGAGCAGTCAGAACACACGTGTTTATCAGTTAAGTTCACCATCTTATATGGATGTGGTTCATACTGCCCCAAAACAATTACTGTAGTAACATCAAAGACCACTGATCACAGATCACCATAACAGATATAATAATAATGAAAATGTTTGAAATATTGGGAGAATTGCCAAAATGTGACAGAGACATGAAGTAAGCACATGCTGTTGGAAAAATGGCGCCAAAAGACTTGCCTGATGCAGGGTTGCCATAAACCTTCAATTTGTAAAAAACAGACTCTGCGAAGAGCAATAAGGTGAAGCACTATATAACGAGCTATGCCTCTGTTATGCTTCAGTGGTGGTCAGGCAGCAACACATTAGAAAGACCACACTTCGGAAGCAGCTGAAGTGTATTTAAATTTATTTATTTATTTATTTTTGAGACGGAGTCTCACTCTGTTGCCCAGGTTGGAGTGCAGTGGCACGATCTCGGCTCACTGCAACCTCCACCTCCCAGGTTCAAGTGATTCTCGTGCTTCAGTCTCCCAAGTAGCTGGGACTATAGGCGTGTACCACCACACCCCGCTAATTTTTTTGTATTTTTAGTACAGACGGGGTTTCACCATGCTGACCAGGCTGGTCTGAAACTCCTAACCTCAAGTGATCTGCCCACCTTGGCTTCCCAAGATGCTGGGATTACAGACATGAACCACCGTGCCCAGCCCAAATCCCATATATTTTAGATTTTGCTAATTGCATACATGAGATCCCATTTTTAACATTTATCATACTTTTGGGGAAGCCAAAAATAAAAACCCATCTCTGGTGTTCACTATGCTAATTAGCAAACCAAGCGATGTGGATCAAGATGGTGATACTAGGCGTCCTTGTGATATGTGCTCCTGAAGTGTGGTCTTTTTAATGTGTTGCTGCCTGACCATCATGGAAGCCTAGAATTCTCAGTTTGTGTGAGTAGAATCGAAGCTTATGTACTACTACCACATTCATAATATTACATTTTGTATGCTGAAGTAGGTTAATGTATGTTACAGCAATCATACAGGTTCTCCAGTTCCAGCAGGTGGAACTCCAGTTTGTAGCCTTTTTGTATAGGAATTCATGCCAGCTTTGTAGGAGTCTCCATTCTAGCAGGGGAGAGGTATCATTTGAGTAAGGATAAACGGATAGAGGAACAGAAGTGTGGTTGTGTTCTGGGAATGCACTGCAGAGTGTGCAGCCAAATGGAAGAAGTGATGCCTTTCCCCGTACAGATCCTAAAACTGACACTGAGACAGGATACGGTGATGGCGGAAAACTTTAACTGCTAGTGACTGCTGGAGACCCACTCTGCTAATGGCAGTGCATCTCAATTACTTTCAACGTGACTTGCTGATTTTCTCCCTCAGACATCGATGAAGTAACAAAGAAAACGACCACTTTCTACCTAAACTCTAAGCTATATGGAACAATTTAGATTATGAGGTGAAACTGATGGGAATCCTAGAAGAGAGCGCATGTTCAGCTTAGGTTACTTTGACAAACATTTAATAAATGCCAGGCATTATGCTGGGCATTGGTGATCAAAAAATTACCGAGGAAAGTATGAGGACCAACAAATCCAAATTGGGTGGGTCAGGAAATACTTTCCAAAACATGAATTGAGTCTTAAAAATGAGTGATGTGTGCCAAGTGAAGAAGAAAGAATGTGGTGATGGTGCTGGTGGGGGTAGTGTTCCGGGCAGCAGGGACAACAGCAACAAAGTCATAGAAGCATGGCATAGCCTTAGGGCTCAGAAGTCTTACAAAATATTGGATACTGTTGGATTTTTTGAAGCGCAAGGCAGGGAGAGCAGGGGAAGGAAGCTAGAAGGAAAGAAGAAATTAGCCATAAAAGACCTTGTTTACCATGCTAAGAAATTTGGAATTTGCCTAGAAGGAATCAATAAAAGGTGTTAAACAGAAGAGTGACATTGTTAGAATGCATTTTAGATAACATACACTGGTTGGATGCTGGGACAGGTAGAGCAGGACTGGAGGCAGGGAGATGGGGGGAAGCTATCCTAATAGTTCAGAAGTGATGAAGGTTAAAGGAAGCATTTTAATAGGATGGGAGAACATTTGAGCATATGTATAGGATGAAGGAAGAAACTAGTAGTAAGGGAAATCTGGGAGATGGGATAATTAGTTGGAGCAGTCAGAAGTGTTAGAGCTGAAGTATTAATAGAAGAATTAAATTAGGCTTAAATCATTCCTCTGAAACCAACAGGACAGAGATAAAAGAGAGCAGAATGGGACCTTGGGTCAGGAAGTAATAGCATGATAACAAGTGATGGTTAGGGTTCATGGAGGCAGTCAAGATAACTTACATTTTAGGAAAGTAGATTTAAATAAGTTTAGAATAAAGTTACGATCCCACAGTTTTGAGTCTTGCACTTTGTGAGGTGTGCAAAAATAAAAGCCAGACTTTACAACTACAAACTATTATAGTGAAAAGAAAAGAGAGCAATTTATTAACAAAGACTTCTTTGGAGTCTCTCCTTAGAAACCAGAATTTGGGAGGAGTTGTGTACTTGACTTTTGTTGAAAAGAGGACTTTATAAACAAGTTCGCACGAGTCAAAGGCTGCCTGAGAGTGCCGAGACCAGCTCGGTCGGGCAGACCCTAACCCAGCGGCGCTAGAGGAATTAAAGACACACACACAGAAATGAGCTGAGAGCCCCGAACAGAGATTTACCCACGTATTTATTAACAGCAAGCCAGTCATTAGCATTGTTTCTATAGCTATTAAATTAACTAAAAGTATCCCTTACGGGAAATGAAGGGATGGGCCGAATTAAAGGAATAGGTTGGGCTAGTTAACTGCATCAGGAGCATGTCCTTAAGGCACAAATCTCTCATGCTATTGTTTGTGGCTTAAGAATGCCTTTAAGCAGTTTTCCGCCCTGGGCGGGCCAGGTGTTCCTTGCCCTCATTCCGGTAAGCCCACAACCTTCCAGCGTGGGCTTTATGGCCATCGTGAACACGTCACAGTGCTGCAGAGATTTAGTTGATGGCCAGTTTTGGGGCCAGTTTATGGCCAGATTTTGGGGGTCTTGTTCCCAACAGAGAGTCACCCCCAATAAGCTAAAACTTGGAGGAAATGGTAAGGCCAACAAAAAGAGCTCTTTAAAAGTTATCTTCATAGAAAAAAAATTAAAAATTTGCAGTGCCACTGATTTGGAGAAAAGGCATAATGTTCACAAATGGAAATGACAGAGACGAAACATACAATTCCCTTTATTTCCAAATTTTTGCTCAAGGAGCATGATCATCATATAGAAACAAGTGTAACAACTATTTAATAGGAATGCTGATAACTGGACCATATCCAGAGGAGAGATATGGCATGTGAAGAATGGCTGAAAGAAATGACAATGTTTATCCCTGAGTGCATTACGGGGCACAAGAGCTACCTTTTCATATTGAAATGCTGTCTTTTAGAAGAAGAGTTAGTTATTTCTGTTGTATGTTGTAGATGGGTGAGGAAGAGAGAAGGACAAGGGGAGAAAGAAAGAAAATGGTCAATTTATAAAAATTACAGGAAGTTGAATTTTAAGTCAAATCAAGTAATCACCTTTCACCTATTGGGTTTCTTCATACATAGTTTCCCCCAAAACAATTTTTTTTTTTTTTTGAGACAGGGTCTCTCTCTGTTACCTAGACTGCAGTGATACAATCATAGCTCACTGCAACCTTGACCTCCTGGGCTCATGTAATCCTCCTTCCTCAACCACTGGAGTAGCTGGGACTGTAGGCGCATGCCACCATGCCCTCCTAATTTTTGTGTTTTTTGTAGAGATGTGGTCTTGCCATGTTGTGCAGGCTGGTCTTGAACTCCTGGGCTCAAGCTATCCTCTTACCTGGGCCTCCCAAAGTGCTGGGATTACAGGCATGAGCCACTGTGCCTGGTCCCAACATTTTGTTAGGAAATAATTTTGAACACACAGCAAAGCTGAACAAATTTTACAGTGAATACCCATTTACAATGAACCTAGATTCTACCATCTAGATTCTACCATTATATTTTACCATTATATTCTACCATTATATTTTACTATATTTGGTTAATCACATATTTATCCATCTATGCGCCCCTAAATCCATCTTATTTTTTAGATACATTTTAAAGGAAATTTTATATACTTTTGTCTGACACTGGGAAGGCAATGCACCTTAATCCCACAAGCTTTCTTACAGAGGCTAATAGCTGTTTACTGGGGACACTGTAGTGAGGATTTCTGCATTGAGTAGGTGAAGAGGACCATAACTGTGGCTTTCAAACTTTTCTGACTGCTACCCTTACTAAGAAATGTATTTCACATTCCTATCCAGTGTACACCACATACATACTGAAGTAAAAATTTTGGGACACAATATTTACCCTTTACATGTGTGAAGCATGCTGATATTTTCTATTTTATTTCATTTAAAAAGATGCTGGGCATGCTTCCCTAACTTGATTTAGATACCCACTAATGTACTGTAATTTACCATTTGAAAATCATTGTACTTAGTCCAACTCCAAGAAGATTTTTCTTTTTAAAAGAATCCTGTGGCTACTACTAGAATTTTCCTTATGTTCCCAATTATCAAGAACCTGTTTTGAGTCTCAGCACAGTACTTACTTAACATGCATGGCGTTAAGGCACGTGTAATTAAGAGAAAAACCTTAAATGCCTGCTAAGACTTCTGGATAGAGCCAATTCAAAGATTCTTTATTAGTAAGTTTACCAATTATTACTATTTTTTTTTTGAGACGGAGTCTCGCTCTTTCGCCCAGGCGGGACTGCGGTGGCCCTATCTTGGCTCACTGCAAGCTCCACCTCCCGGGTTCACGCCATTCTCCTGCCTCAGACTCTCCAGTAGCTGGGACTACAGAAGCCCGCCACCGCGCCCGGCTAATTTTTTTTGTATTTTTAGTAGAGACGGGGTTTCACCGTGTTAGCCATGATGGTCTCGATCTCCTGACCTCGTGATCCGCCCGCCTCGGCCTCCCAAGGTGCTGGGATTACAGGCGTGAGCCACCGCGCCCGGCCCCAATTATTTTTACAAAGAGTAAGATAAAGATATGTACTCTTGGATGGGTGGGAGGGTTCAGTGCTCATATAGTCTTCTGTTAAATTAGGTTATTAATGCCTGCGGTGGTTCCAACAAAGTAGAGAAGAAGATCAAATAAGAAAATGGATGGGAAAGTACTTTGAAAACTAATGTTTTATTAATACTGTTGTGTGATGCCAGGAAGAAAGGGATGTTGCGATCAAGCTCTAGGGAGGCAGTGTTTCAGTATTTTAAAAACTGTTTTTGTGGAACTGTTAAGTTAACCTCCCCAAGCCCCAATAACTACGCTTTGACGCAAGATTCTCAGAAGAGGGTAGAAGCTATGAACTTGGAGAGGTTTGGTCGCGAGTTCAAGCGTACTGCCCCGTTGGCGCATGCTCAAGAGCGACTCGGGCCTCCTTGCTGGGTTAGGCAGAACACGGAGGGCGGAGTTCGGACCACGTGGGGTCTCGTGACGTCATCTCCGGGCGCCGAGGGTGACTGGACTTGTGGTGCGCTGCCAGGGCTCCGCAGCGTTGCCGGTTGTATTCGCTGGATACCAGAGGGCGGAAGTGCAGCAGGGTTCAGCTCCGACCTCCGCGCCGGTGCTTTTTGCGGCTGCGCGGGCTTCCTGGAGTCCTGCTACCGCGTCCCCGCAGGACAGTGTGTCAGGCGGGCAGCTTGCCCCGCCGCCCCACCGGAGCGCGGAATCTGGGCGTCCCCACCAGTGCGGGGAGCCGGAAGGAGGAGCCATAGCTTGGAGTAGGGTACGTGTGTGTGTCCACCTTGTGTGAGGAAATTCCTAGAGGAGGAGGGCTGGGGAGGGGCCAGGTAGGTGTGGTAGGAAGGAGGGGTGAGTAGTTGCCTGGAGGAGCGCCCGCCCGGCCGCGATGGCGGGTGAAGGTGGTTCCTCCGGGCAAGGTGGAGTTGGCGAGACGCCGGCCCGGAGCCCTGGGGCCGGTTGGCGGGTGTGGCCTGCGGGGTCCCTCTTGGGGTACATGTCTGTTGCTTACTAAGGTAGGAAAGCGAGAGTCTAGTCGCAGGCTCTAGAGTTCAGTTCAGGACCTGAATTGTTTGTGGAACACAGTTATTTAAACCTTTATTGCACAGTGCAGTGTGAGTCTGTCCAAACTCGGTGGGTATGTCCTCCAAGCAATTTATCTATTTACGATATTCCCTGTCTCAATAACAATATTTAGTGCTACCAAAGACATTTTCTGTTGGCAAGACACTTTTACATACTTCATTTGTACTTTGGATTATTTTAAAATTATCCTGAACTTGAGGAACCTAGGAAACTATTGGTTCTAGATTTTTCTGAGGGGTGAGGAGGTACAGCCTGTCTTGAGCAATCAGAACCCGGAGACTTACCAGACAGTAGCTGAACTTCCAAAGCCTTCCAGAATTGGCTTGTTAAATTTCTGAGACCTTGAAACTGGATACTTGGCTCTGAACTGAACTATTTGTGATTTCCATAGAGGGAGTTTCTGGTTGAATTTTGAATTTGAAAATAACGATGTTGTGCTCAGGGTAGTAATTGAGAGGTATTTTACACCAGATTTAAGCCTGTGCTTTTATCTTCAAAGATATGCTACTTAAAATTGGGGGAAAGTGTACAGAATGGAACTGTATGGATATGGATTTTTAGAATAGTGCACACACCTCAAGTGTGTATTTATTTCATTAATTTCCCCCAAACTGAGTACCTCCTATGTGTTAGGCACTGGACAAAACAGTAAACAAAATAGTAAACAAAAGAATAAAAATCCCTGCCATCATGAAGTTCCACTTTGGGGATGGGGTGAGAAGACATTGATACAAAAATTAAGGTACAGTCTTTCCTGTCCCTCGGCATCTGTGGGAGATTGGTTCCAGGACCTCCCTTGGATACCAAAGTCCTCAAATGCTCAAGTCCCTGATATAAAATGGTGTAGTGTTTGCAGATAACCTATGCACATCCTCCTATCTTTAGTTCAACTCTGCATTATTTATAATGCGCAATACAACTTAAATGCTGTATAAATAGTTGTTATGGTGTATTGTTTAGGGAATAATGACAAAAAAGAGTCTATACATGTTCAGTACTGACTTTTTTTTCCTTCCCCGAATATTTTTTCATCCATGATTGGTTGAATACAAGGACGAAGAACCCATGGGTAGGAAGGGCCAACTGTGTACGTCAAGTGGCGGAAAGTGCTAGAGAAAAAAACCAAAGCAGTGCAGGGGTATAGGGAATGCCAAGAGATGGGAGTGGTGGCCATAGAAAAGATGATATTAACTTGGAGGCCTACGGGTGATAAAGAAGGGTGCCACTTGGAAGGAGCTGCCACTGAAGCCCTGAAGCAGGCGCATACTAGCTAGTTTGACTGGAAAATAATGAACAAGAGGGAAAGAAGTAGTGGATACTTAGGTGGAAATGGGGCCAAGTCATTTAGGAGCATGTGGGAATTTATAAGAACCTTAATTTGTACTTTGAATGAGTTGGGTTTTGAGTAAGCAGTGAGTTGATCTAACTTGTGTTTTAAAAGATCTGATTGCTATGTTGACTGTATGCAGCAGGTGCAGAAATAAGAGTTGTTAGTAGGCCATTGACTGCATTTATCCAGGTTAAAGGTCGAGGTGACTTGAATCAGGGTAGTAATAGTGGCGGTAGTGCGAAATGACCAGATTCTAGACTTTTGAGAGCAGTCAGGTAGAAGAAGGGTCAAGGACGACTCCAAGGGTTACGGACTGAGCAACTAAAGAATATAACTTGGCCGGGCGTGATGGCTCATGCTTGTAATACCATCTTTGAGAGAATCCCCAGCCTGGGCGACATAACGAGACCCTGTCTCTACAAAAAAATAAAAAATTAGCTGGGCATAGTGGCATGAGCCTGTAGTCCTGGCTACTTGGGAAGCTGAGATGGGAGGGGAGGATCACTTGACCCCCTTGAGCTCAAGGTTACAGTGACCCATGATCCTTCACTGTAGTCCATCCTGGGTGACAGCAAGACCCTGTCTCTTTAAAAAAAAAAAAAAAAAAAAAAAAAAGGACTTTTCCACTTAGCGAAACGGAAAAGACCACAGAGTGATAATGATAGGAGAACTTTTTGTTGGGAGGCCAAGGCGGGCGGATCACGAGGTCAGGAGACCGAGACCATCCTGGCTAACACGGTGAAACCCCGTCTCTACTAAAAATACAAAAAAACAAACAAACAAAAAAAACAAACCCGAGCCTGGTGGCAAGCGCTTGTAGTCCCAGCCACTGGGAGGCTGAAGCAGGAGAATGGCATGAACCCGGGAGGCAGAGCTTGCAGAGAGCCGAGATTGCGCCACTGCACTCCAGCCTGGGCGACAGAGCGAGACCCCGTCTCAAAATAAAATAAAATAAATGATAGGAGAGAGGAGGAAGGAAGATCTGAAATGGTTTTCCGTTTTGCATATGTTAAATTTCTAAATGGAAATGTCATATGTGGTGGTATATGTGAAGCCAGCCAGTTCAAAAGAGAAGTCTGGACAGAAGATAAAACTGTGGGAGTGTAAATGTATAAGTGTTATTTAAAACCATGTGAGAGATCTTCAAGGGAGTGGTTCAAGGACTGAGTCCTGGGGCATTTCAACATTTACAGTTTGGAGAGATTTACAAAATTTCCTCCCTCCCAGGGTGGGACTGTTGAGTAAAATTCCTCTTGAGAATCACTGATTCACAGTACCTGGATAGAAGGAAATAGAAAGCAAGGTCATTAGCTGAGAGAGAGGAGGAGGAGGAGGAAGAAGTGAACATTTGAGGGAGGAGAAGGTATAGAATAGTGATGTAGGAAAGTGGGAGAATAAATGGACTAGGGAAGAGTAGGAAACTAGTGTTTATGAATTTAAAGGAAGACCAGCCAGCATAGATTATAATTTTTTTTCTGTTTACACGCTTAGTTTAGTAAGTATTTGATATTTCTAGGTAGTTGGGGGTTTTGTCAGTGAAAATTACTTCAGGTAGTAGGTTAGTTTTTCTTGGTATGTAGTGTGAAAGAAACTATTATGCATTATATTGTTGTCACACCGTGCCATTTTCTGAATGACTGATTGGTTAACAGATGTTGTTGGTGGGCACCTACTCTGTCCCAGGCTCTGAACTAGATGCAGAAAATAGAAGTCAATAATAGCCCCTGCCCTCAAGAAACTTACTTCTAGTAGATTGCGTCACAGGTTGGAGTTTCTTTATTTCCAAGACAGTTCCTTGAAATTGGATGGTGATTGGATGGTGTAGTGTATGTAGGAGAGGGAAAATCTTTCTAAAATAACAAAATATGCCGAATTTAAAGTGCGACTATACTGATTTGGAGAGGAGTTTAGGGAGAAAATTTCTTAAGTAGCTAGATTCATATATTTATATATTTTTCCCCATTATTTAACAAAAATTTCAAAGCCTACTATGTGCTAACTGTACTAATATTGGTGATAAGAAGGTACTTATGACTAAATTTTGCTGTCAAAGAACTCCCAGTTCAATGTGGGGAGGGGCAGGAGACAGATAAGATAAACAGATAACTACATTGCATGATAGTGCATGCTATTAAAGAAGTAATTAGACTAGAGGCTGCATAGGGGAAAACTTCCCAAGGAGCTGATATTAAGCCGACACTTAAGAGGATTAAGAGTTGGCCAGGCGCGGTGGCTCACGCCTGTAATCCCAGCACTTTGGGAGGCCGAGGCAGGCGGATCATGAGGTCAGGAGATCGAGACCATCCTGGCTAACACGGTGAAATCCCGTCTCTACTAAAAATACAAAAAATTAGCTTGGCGCGGTGGCGGGCGCCTGTAGTCCCAGCTACTCGGGAGGCTGAGGCAGGAGAATGGCGTGAACCCGGGAGACGGAGCTTGCAGTGAGCCGAGATGGCGCCACTGCACTCCATCCTGAGCGACAGAGCGAGACTCCGTCTCAAAAAAAAAAAAAAGAGTTGACCCAGAGAGGATAAAAGAGTTGGCCAAAAGAGGAGGGAAAAAGTGTTCAAGCAGAGGGGCCATGGAAATATGAGGAAACTGTGTACTAAAAACATACATTGTTTATTGAGTGGTTACCAAATGTACTAAACACCTAACAGCCCTGTGAAAATTATAATTATCTTCATTTTACAAATATGAGAGTCAAAGAGGATGGGTTTGTTGTTCAAGACACGTAACTAATAGGTGGAAATCAGGGTTTAAACCCATGTCAGTCTGATTTCAAAGCCCCTTAACTATTTTATTGTATTTTGCATGCTGTCAGCATCTAAATCTTCCCTGCCCTTGTTCTTTATCCCTCATTTTTCATCAACTTCTCTTTCTTCCTTGGAAAGACTCATCTGTTTCTCACCAGTCCATGACTACCTCTCTAGGTCAGGCACTCATTACTTTTTGCCTTAGTTGCTGAAATTACTACCTGGCTAGCCTCTCTGACTCAAGGCTCTCCCTTCTGTGCACTGCTACCAGATAATTGTTTTTATTTTACCATTCTAAAACCGGTAGGCACTATAGGACTGGTGGATGA